>NC_000015.10:75776874-77026874 GCF_000001405.40 Homo sapiens
CTCTGAAATGAGATGGGTTGTACTCTTTCTGATAAATTCCCAGATTTAACAAAAAAGCTGCCTTCTGCCATGAGGACACATAGATATAAAAGTTTGAGAGGTACTGGTGCACTTCTTCACACTAACAGACATGTGAGGATGTATGACTCTAAACCACAGAGTGTGCAGTTCCTGCCTACTTAATGTTTACTTTTCTACTTCTGCCTCTGGTTTTGGTCCCTGGCAGCTGCTGATTCATGGCAAAACCCCAGAGCTTGGAGTCAGAAGACTGAGTTTAAGTTCCATTATTGCCCCCTCCTTTTTTAGCCATAATATCAATCTCTCTCAGTCACTAAGTGATTGTGACAACACATTGTACAGTTGTTAGTGGCATTAAATCAGATGGTGTATAAGAGTATTTTGCAAAAACTGTAAAGGAGGCTGTGGCTGTAGGGACTGGTAGTTCTCATGTGTATTACTGTTCTTCTTTCCCACAGCTAAAAGAATATCAGCAGAGGAACAGCCCTGGTGTTCCAGCAGGAGTGAAGATGAAAAAGAAAAACACTGGCAGTAGCCCTGAGACAGCCACTTTTGGTGGTTGCCACTCACCTGGGGCTGTGAGTCTTGGCTGGCCAGGCTCCTGGGGACAGGGGGCCCAAGGGGCAGTAGAGGGTAATTGTTGAGATTGCTGGGTACTGGTTAAGAATTCTGGGTTTGAATCCTGCTTCTCCATCTTCTAGGGATCTGATTTACAGCAAATTGCTTGAGCTCTTTGGGCCTGTCTTTTCACATCTGTACAATAGGGGTAGTATTGTTTGACTTCCATTTGTAAAGTTTAAATGAGATTCCTTATTGCTGTTTTTATGTTAATCCCTAGTACATGGTCTGCTGTAAAGACCAAGGATACCCAGGAAATGGTCATTGCTCTTTGATTTTCCTGATCCCCATTCTCAAGGGGAAGCTGGGCCAATGAGTACAGCCACTTGCCATCAGGCTGTCCCCTATAGGAGTCACTGAAGGGGCCTGGTGTGGTGAGGAGAGTCCCGGGTACTAGGAGTAAGAGAAGATCTAAGTTGCCACCAGCTTGCTGGGTGACCACAGAAAAATTGCTTCTTCCCCTGGGCCTCAGTTTCCTCCTCTGTAAGATGATACTGGATAAGATCAGTGCCTTTCAAACTTGTTTTTTAGCTGGAGCCCCCTTAGTTCCAGTGAACCCTTACTCAGAAGTCTGGTTTTTTTAATGGAGGTGGAGGTCTGGAGCTCTACCAGATTCATCACCCACGTCCTGGGCCTGAGGAGAGGGGTTCAGTGAGCATATGAAGAGCTGCATTGGTCAGGTGACTCCACTCTGTGACTGCATTGTTCAGGAGACTTTTCCATCTATTTGTTCCTGCCCTGGCAAGGCAGCAGGTGGCCATTTCAAAGAGTGGGACAGGCCAAGGTTTTAATCTCCTCTGCTCTTCTTCAGCATTTCATTTTCCTGAACCCACATCCTCCTCCTACCCTGACTTTCTTGCTTCTCTCTAAGACACTTCTGTCTTTCTCCCCCTGCCCTTGTTTTTTCCTTTTCACCTCCTGTAGATTCAGGACATTCTGAAGGTGCTGGTGTCCAATCTTAACCATTCCAATGGGGTAGCACTCCCCCATTGGATAAGTGGAAGGTGAGGCAGTGCCAAGACCCTTCTCTGGCTTGCTGTCTCCGGCTATGCATGGCCCTGAGGCTTCTGTGGTTTGGGGGATACCTTTCCTCTGCCTTGTTTTATGTTGCTGCCATTGACCTTCAGCCTGTTTATGTCTGCTTCTTCACCTGCTTGATTGATTGGGTTTTTTCCTTCCCTGCATCTTTTATCATCTTAGAAATGGTGAGATATACCTTAAAGTTTAAAAGTAATTTGGGAATAATGTACAGAGCAGGCATATGGGCTTTGGAGCCTTTTTTTTTTTTTTTTTTTTTTTTGAGACAGGGTCTCACTCTCTCACCCAGACTGGAGTGCAGTGGTGCAATCTCGGCTCACTACAACCTCTGACTCCTGGATTCAAGCAATTCTCTTGCCTTAGCCTCCTGAGTAGCTGGGATTACAGGCACTTGCCACCACGCCTGGCTAATCTTTGTATTTTTAGTAGAGATGGGGTTTCACCATGTTGGCCAGGCTGGTCTTGAACTTCTGACCTCAAGTGATCCACCCACCTCAGCCTCCCAAAGTGCTGGGATTACGTGCATGAGCCACCATGCCTGGCTCATTGCTGTTTTTATACTTTCTCTATATCCATAACTGTTTCCCATGTAAGTTTTTGTTTTTTTGAATTTCTCATTTTTATTACTTCTGCATCATCTGTTACCCTGAAGGATCTGGAGGTAAGAGGCCCTGGGCCAAGGTGCAGTGACCCTGCAGGCCAGCCCTCCAACCTCCTTTCACAGCAGGGGCTAGGTGCCCCTCTGCCAGCTGAGACAGCCCACACACACCCCAGCCCTAATGATTGTTCTCTCCACCTCTCCCCACAATCCTCCTCCAACTCCTCCTCTCTGCATGCGCCTCAGAGTCGGTACCAAGAACTGGAATTAGCCCTGGACTCAAGCTCCGCAATAATCAATCAACTCAATGAAAACATAGAATCATTGGTAAGAGTCCAGTAGGGTCCCCTGAGTCCATGCTTCTATTCCTGGGCTTTAGTTTCCCCTTGGGGTCCTGAAGAAAGGGGCTGGGGGGCCCTGGTGCCAAGGGCAAATGGGGAGCTGGAGCACCCAGGCCTCACCTGGAGGGACCCCAGAGCAAGGAGCATGCAGCATGGCTCTTCTGTTGCTGCCCTCTTTGCCAACTCTCTCTTCTCTAGATATCCCTGCTCCAGTCCTTGCCACACTCGCCCTGGGGTTGTCGTCTCTCAGGGAAGTACTAGCCTGACTGGTTGTCAGGGAACCTGCGTTTCTACCCTGAGTCAGTCCCTAATTTGCTCTTTGAGTTTGGACAAGCCACCTGTCCTCCTTGGGCTCGTGTTTCCGGAGAAGGTAGAGCATCAAAGGTCTCTATTAGCTCTGAGAATCTGAGATTTAAAGGCCTCCAGAATGGAAACCTCAGGGTCAATGGCTCCTGTCTGTCCTTTTCCATCCTATATCTGCTGTGAAGAAGCATACCTGGCCCATACGTGCTCAGTAAATGTTTGTTGAATGAAGGCACCTTTCTAAATCACAAACTGGCAGAAGAGTGGGCATTTCTCAGACTCCATCTCTAGAGGTTTATGTTACTGTCCTTTCAAGAGAATCCAGATTCAGACTTTGAGTTCTGTGGCTGTGGGTGAAAACCAACAAAGACCCACATCCTCTGTCCTTGGGAGCTTGAGGAGAGTTGACCAGTTCGTGTTGCCACTGGGTCTGAGAATGTTGCCTTTAAAATCCATTGCTGGCCCCTGCCTACCGCTTCCTGGTCTGGGAAATAGAGTTGAGGGGGCCACTCTCAGTCACCTGAATTTGACTCTCCCCACAGAAACAACAGAAGAAACAAGTGGAACATCAGCTGGAAGAAGTAACGTGATTTTTTGTTTGCTCACAACGTGACTGCTGGGTTTGGGGGGCACTCAGATGCAGAGGCGCCAGTCTCATCTTGCCCTCTCCCAGCCTGGGGAAGAAGGCTCACCCCTCAGATTCCACCCCATCCCCACAGGGTCCCTGATAACCTGGTCCCATGGGTGGGCCTGTCCTGGGGCATTGGTGGCATTCTGGGAGCATGTCTCTTGCTGTGCCATCTCGGCCTCCCCCTAGTAAGAGCTCTGTCTTCCTCTTCCTATAGGAAAAGAAAACCAACAGTGAAATACACAAAGCACAGATGGAGCAGTTAGAGGTGAGTGGAGGGTGGGGAGCTTTCTCCTGTCCTCTGGAGAATATTTCTTTCCTTCTCTTTCAGCATTTGCTTGGCTTTTCTCCCAAACATTCAATTCCAGGCAATCGACATCCTCACATTGGAAAAGGCAGACTTGAAGACCACCCTTTACCATACTAAACGTGCTGCCCGACACTTCGAAGGTGGGAACCTGGGCACCCCATCATCCTTCAACCTGTCACTTTGACAGGTCTTTAGGGGGAGTCCTTTGGGCCCCATCTCAACCTCTCTCATTACAGAAGAGTCCAAGGATCTGGCTGGCCGCCTGCAATACTCCTTACAGCGTATTCAAGAATTGGAGCGGGCTCTCTCTGCTGTGTCTACACAGCAGCAGGAAGAGGACAGGGTGAGTCCAACCAGCAGCCCCATCCCCTGGCAGCCTGGCTTCCCAGATTGAGGAGTGAGCCTAAAGGTCCCTTCTGCAGGACGGAGTGTCCTGCCCAGAAGGCAGCATGGTCATTTCTCGCTACTTTTGTGTATGGCTGTTAGAGGCAGCTGCTGTGGGTGAGTTGGGGGGCACTGTGGAGAGTGAGCACTGGATGCAGAGCTCAGAGGCCAAGTGCTTGCCCTGCCCTTTCCTGGCTGTGGCCTTGGCCAAGTCCTAGGTGGGGTATTGGGTACTTATACTGTGAAGGTACAGAAGAGTACCTTTAGTATGTTACCATTTCTGTAGAGAGAAGAAAGGGGTGTGTGTGTGTGTGTGTGTGTGTGCGTGTACTATGATGATATACAAAAACATGTCTGCAAGGGTTCATAAAAAACTCAGGAGAGAGTAACAGGGTGGCTGGGAGACTCTTCCCTTCTGTATCTTCTGAGTTTTGGACTATGCGAATGTATCATCCTTTCAAAAAGTGAACAAAAGATTAATTTCCCCCTCCTATCTGTGTCCCCACCCCCAGCAAGAAAAATGGGCTTAGAGAATAGGATAGACCTGGGTGTTCAAATCCCAGCTCTGTCTAAGTGATCTTAGGCAAGCACTTAACCTTGAACACTCGATGTTTTTCATCTACACAATAGAGGTAATCCTAGTAACTGTGTCATATGGTGGTTGTGAGGATTAAATGGGATTGCTAGCATGGAACCTGGTGAAGCACTCCATAACGGTTCAAACAGTGGTAGTAATAACAGTAATAACAATAGCAATATTATCTGATCTCTCTGGGCCTCTGTTAGCCAGCTGTAAATTCGATCTCTTTCCCTGTCCCTTCCAACTTTACTGAGTTCTTTTAAAAATTGGGCCATGGGCTTGGAAATGCCTTGATCTTTACTAACCGAGTTGTATATTGAGCCTAGCCCTAGCCCTTTTAAGGGGCACTGCCCGGGATCCCCAGATCAAAACTTCTCACTCTTCACCCTCCAGTCCTCGAGCTGCAGAGAAGCGGTCCTCCAGTGGCGGTTACAGCAGACCATAAAGGAGCAGGCACTGCTGAACGCACACGTGACACAGGTGATGCTTTGCAGAGGGAGGGATGTGGAAGGAAGATGACCCCAGGTGGCCAGGAGCAGGTGAGGACCAGTGACAGCCCTTCCTAACTTGTGTGCCCATTCTTGCAGGTGACAGAGTCACTTAAACAAGTCCAGCTAGAGAGAGATGAATATGCTCAACATATAAAAGAAGAGAGGGCCCGGTGGCAGGAGAGGATGTGGAAAATGTCGGTGGGGGTGAGGTCTGACCCTTCAGCCCCCACTTTAGATAGGTCACTGGATCTTTCTGGGCATCTGTAAAATGGGAATAGTACAGCCAGAGGTGGTCATGGGTCTCGGCTTTGTGGAGGTGGGGACACAGAGGGAGATGGTAGCCTGTCCAGCCACCAGCCCCTCTCTCCAGGGCCCTTTCCCATGTGCTTTGGGCAGGCTCGCACATTGAAGAAGGAGAAGAAGCGTGTCATACATCAGATACAGGAGCTGGAGAGGAGCTTGTCCAAACTCTCTATGTGAAAGTGGCTTGGAAATTGGCTACCGTCGGGTGGGAGGAATCGTTAGCAGTGAGGCCAAGTTTGGGAAGCCTGAGAGGAGCTGTGCATCAAGAGGAGGGTTTTTTTTGGAGGGGGGGTGGGGAATCCAGAGGCCCTTATTGTCTGCTTTGTTTCTCAGCTGAGCCCCCATCCCCGGCACCCCCAGCAGTGACCTCTGTGGTGGAGCAGCTACAAGATGAGGCCAAACACCTGAGGAAGGAGGTGGAGAGTTTGGAGGGAAAGCTCCAATCCAAGGTGGAAAACAACCAGGCCTTGAGTCTCCTGAGCAAGGAACAAAAGTAGAGGCTCCAGGAGCAGGACGAGAGGCTCCGAGAGCAGGAGGAGTGGAGGGTGCGGGAGCAGGAGAGACTGTGTGAGCAAAATGAGAGGCTTCGGGAGCAGCAGAAGACGCTACGGGAGCAGGGTGAGAGGCTGCGAAAGCAGGAGCAGAGGCTATGCAAGCAGGAGGAGAGGCTGCGAAAGGAGGAGGAGAGGCTGCGAAAGCAGGAAAAGAGGCTGTGGGACCAGGAGGAGAGGCTGTGGGACCAGGAGGAGAGGCTGTGGGAGAAGGAGGAGAGGCTACAAAAGCAGGAGGAGAGGCTCATGCTCTCCCAGAACCACAAGCTCGACAAGCAGCTGGCCGAGCCACAGTGCAGCTTCGAGGATCTGGTGGGTTGCCCCACCTGGGGAGCCTGCCCTCATCCCTATCTATCCAGGCCTTTGTTTCCCCACCTGTAAAATGGGGCAGTGTAGCTCTCACATGAAATGGTACTTCTAAAGGCACCTGTGAGCCAGAGCTCATCAGGCCTTGCTCTGATGGCTGTGGGGGAGAAGGGATGATTTTTCTAACCTGCCTCCACCCTTCCTGGTGACATGGGAGGCAGACACCAAGTTCTGGTGTCTCCAGCTGCAGTGGATGGCCACTGATTGCTTCTCTCTGTCCAGAATAACGAGAACAAGAGCGCACTGCAGTTGGAGCAGCAAGTAAAGGAGCTGCAGGAGAGGCTGGGCGAGAAGGAGACAGTAACCTCTGCCCCATCCAAGAAGGGCTGGGAGGTGGGCACCAGCCTCTGGGGAGGGGAGGTGCCAGGCCAAAGGCAGCTCCAGCTGGGGGGCAGCTGACCCCAGCACCCTCCAGGGCAGCCCTATGACTGTTTCTTGCTTCCTGCCCTCTGACTTTTAGAGGTGGGTAGCCCTGGGCTCCTCCCAGGTCTCAAAATCATCATCCCAGCTAGAGGCATGGATTCCCCCAGTCATAGGGGAAGAGACAGTGGTATAAGAGGCTCCTTATGCCAGGCATGGTGGCTCATGCCTGTAATCCCAGCACTTTGGGAGGCTGAGGCAGGAGAATCACTTGAGGTCAGGAGTTTGAGACCAGCCTGGCCAACATGGTGAAACCTCATTTCTACTAAAATTACAACAACAATGAAAAATGGTGATGTATGCCTGTAATCCCAGATATGAGAATCACTTGAGCCTGGGAGGTGGCGGTTGCAGTGAGCTGAGATTGCACCACTGCACTCCAGCCTGGGCCACAGAGTGACACTCTGTCTCAAAACAAAACAAAACAAAAAAGCCTCCTTGGATTCAAACTGGATTCTGGCCTCGGTTCCACTGGTGACCATTCAACTACTTTTCATCTCTAGGTCTCTGTTTCTTTAACTTCAAAAGGAAGTTAGCATTTTCCTTGCAGAGGTGCTGAGGATTGAATGAGAGAATACATGGAAAGCATTAGGCATGTAGCACACTTAGCAGATGGTGGTTGGCTCCCTCTGCTTTTCCACCAGTCTGTGGCCTACAGTTTAAATGGGGGGGAAAAGGACATGAGATTTGAGGCTAGGGAAGGAGGTATGGGGTTCTAGGCAAGGGAGGAAGTCTCTTAAGCCTGGAGCAAGGGGCCAGGGGCCTGGGCAGGTGACAGAGCCCCACAGGCCCTCTCTACCCTATTAATGGGCCCAGAATCTGGAAGCCAGCCACCACGTGCCCTCATGCCCAGGGCCTTCCTGCAGGTGAAGCTGAAGAGCCAAGAGTCTCAGAGTCTGCAGCAGCAGCGAGACTAGTACCTGGGACACCTGCAGCAGTACGTAACCACCTATCAGCAGCTGACCTCTGAGAAGGAGGCGCTGCACAGGCAGTTACTGCTGCAGACCCAGCTCATGGACCAGCTGTAGCAGCAGGAAGCTTGGGGCAAAGCGGTGGCTGAGATGGCCCACCAAAAGTTGCAGGAGACCTAGGGGAGGGTGTTGCTGAGGACAGGGCCCCGAGGGGGATGACCTGGCAACCTCTGTGCCTTCTCACTCTGTTTTCCATCCCCTTAGGAACCAGCTGCCAGCCACCAGAACCAACAGCTAGAGACCCAGCTAAGCCTCGTGGCTCTCCCTGGAGAAGGTACAGGAGACCACTCAGAGGAAGAGGAGAGAGCCCCAGGAGGAAGGGGGGACTGTTAGCAGCATAGGATTGAGGGGTTGGAAGAGATCTTTAGAACAGCTGGTCGTTATGCCAACCGGGTGTCCGCACTAAGTTCAGCATCAATATGGTGACCTCCTAGGAGCAGGGGGCCATCAGGTTGCCTAAGGATGAGTGAACTGGCCAGATCAGAAAGGGAGCAGGTCAGAACTCCTGCACTGACCAGTAATGGGACTGTGCCTGGGCAATATAGCAAGATCTTGTTCTTAAAAGGAAAAATAAAGGACAGCAGCTCATTCCCCTCTGGGGAGAGGCTGGCTCAGGGTTACACATTGAGGGTGGGGACAGAGGTAGGCCCAGAGTACCTCCCTTGTTGGGTTGTCTGAGGATCCCTCTGGCCACCTCCCCACAGGAGATGGAGGACAACATCTGGACAGTGAGGAGGAGGAGGCGCCTCGGCCCACGCCAAACATCCCAGAGGACCTGGAGAGCCGGGAGGCCACGGTGAGCCTGACTTTCCCTGCCCCGCTTTGCCACCTTCCTCTGTGGTCCCTCCCAGACCCCCTTATGCTCTTGGTTTCCCACCTTCTGATTTCTCTGGCCCCTCACCCCTTCCGGGAGCCAGTGATCAGACACCATTTCACCTGTGACCAACAGGTGCGCTCTCTGAGGCCCCAAGGGAAGGGGCTGTGCTCCACCTCCCTGCCTCATTTGTTCTGTGTATGCCCCTACAAGAATACTCACCTCTTGCCTTCAAGTGGCATTTTTCAACTCTGCTGGAGCCAGTTCCCAGGAGGAGCAGGCACGGCTATGTGGGCAGTGGAAGGTGCGAAGGCTGTGCCACCTGCACCTGGCTCATCTGGTGGCCTTGGCCTGGAAGGAGCCAGAGGCAGAGGCCCCAGCCCCAGGGACTGGGGGTGACTTTGTGTGTGGGGAGAGCTACCAGGCCCTCAAGGAGGCTATGGAGAAGGTGAAGGTGAGTGAGTCCTGGCAAGGGCCAAGAAAAGTAGGGGCAGGGCAGGACAGGTCACTCCCGAGATGTGACCCCATTATTTTGGCTCCAGAGCGGCTTTATGGACCTCCCGAAGGAGAAGGTGGGCAGGAAGGAGCAGGTGGAAAAACTAGAGCTTGGATTCATCCAGCTCTCTGGAGCGACAGACGGCATGAGTGAGCGGGAGGCCAGGGCACGGCAGGGGGAGCTGCAGGGCTGTCGGAGGGACCCCAGCGTCTGAGCCGTGTCCTCTCACAGGAGAGTACATCACTGAATATGAGAGCCAGGGGGCAGTGCCAAACACGCGGCACCAGGAGAAGGAAGACATCATCAGGCTGGCCCAGAAGGAGGAGGAGATGAAGGTAGGGCGTGCAACATCTCTGCAGGGGTAGGGGTGGGCGTGGGCACTGGAGCCGGCTCCGGTGTGGCGGCTGAGCACCCCTCCCTTCAGGTGAAGCTGCTGGAGCTGCAGGAGCTGGTGTTGCCCCTTGTGGGCGACCACGAGGGGCATGGCAAATTCCTCACCGCTGCCCAGAACCCTGCCGATGAGCCCGCTCCAGGGGCCCCAGCCCCCCAGGAACTTGGGGCTGCCGATGAGCAGGGTGGTGAGTAGAGCCCTCAGGCGGGGTGGGCAGGCAGGAGCAGGGGAGGCTGGCGCTGCCCTCAGACCCCCGCCTCCCTCTCTCTGAAGATTTTTATGAAGTGAGCCTGGACGATAGCGAGGAGCCTGCACCGGGAGCGGCCGGGGAGGGTTCTCCCCATGACAACCCCACTGCACAGCAGATCGTGCAGCTGCCTCCTGTAATGCAGGACACCCAGGAGCACCCAGGCTTGCCCGGCAACCCCTGTGTGTCATTCTTTTACCAGGCAGCCGAGAACAGGGAGATAAACATCATCATCTAAGAGCTGGTCAAGAAATTAAAAAAAAAAAAAACAAAAAGTTATGGGGTTCATCTCCTACACAATTCATTTACTCCATTTGAATGTTAGAGCCACTCATGTTTATTTGTGTTTCTAATTTACAGTTTAAATTTATTTGTAAAAAGTTAAGGGAGAGTGGGTCTTTCCCTGATGTTCACTCTGGCATCCTTTAGCATTTTTGTTTTTAATTTGATAATTGTAGGTCATTAGCACGCATATCGAGTTTGCCCTTATGTGGTGGGAGTTCAAACACACAAAGACCTACTATTTGCGCAAAACTATTCTTGCTGGTTTGGAACAGGCTGCCATGCTTTTTTAATGTTATTGCAGCACGTATATTCATTACAGAATTCAGATAAAATGTGCTTATGTTCTGCTATTATGTTTGATCGAATCCTAACCACAGTGAGCTCTTCATTAGCTCAATATGTGGTTTGCCCTCAAGTGCGCACCGTTTATTACTTTGTAATATGCCACTGTGAGTACTGACATTTAGAGTTGTTTAAAGGCCGAGAACTGGAAACAGCATTTCCCCTATTTTCTGTGTATTGGGGATGAGAGTAATAACATTTTGGGGAGCTTTTAAAATCTCACAGAAGAGGAAAGTGGCCTGCTCTGGCAGGTGTGTGCAGGATACAGTGTGTTTCATTTGTTCTGGTGCCAAGAATGAGCGCTGTACTGTGGTGGCTTCCTTAGGATTTGTGTGTGCTCTGGGCTCATGAAGATATTGTATCATGAGCTGCAGCAGTTGTACCCTTTCTCGATAACCTAAAAAGGGATTATTTCTGAGGAATGAAAGGCTCCCATCATTGACTGTGGATGTGGAAAACCTTTTCTAGCTTAGAGCATTTATATCTACAATACATTTTAAAGTCAGAGTTCATGTTACCTGTTTTAATCACATGAGTATATGTCCCAGTACACCAAAAGGCACTGCTTGGCATTCTTCTTAATGTATTTAGTGAGGATCATAAGAAATCCTTTAAGAGTTTAAATGTCCCTGGAACAGGCATACGGGCTCTAGTCAAGAATGAATTCGAGTGAAGGAAAGCTGTGTGACACTTGGCCTTCCTCTATGTTCATGGAGCTTCTTTGAGGCTAGAAGATTGATTTTATCATCTAGACCTCTCTGGCTAATACCTATTCTTCAGCCACGTTGGTTTCTCTGACATAGGAATTTACTTCTTTCCCTTGACTGGAAAACACTTTAAAAATAATAAAAACCATTATTATAAACCAATATATGTGAGAGTACTTAGTTGAAACAAAAAGGAGTTTTAGTAGACAGTATTATACTACACATGAAAATCAACGTGAAGTTTATGCAACTTAAAATGTTTACAAGCTGCCGTGCAATCTAATGTTTGTGAATGTCCAAGTATTATGAGGAAAAGTGTCTATACAATTATAGAGTTATATTTCCTCACAGGGTTCTTTACAAAGAGTGAAATATGTTTTTATACCTCTCGGTTTCAGTTAGAGGCATATTTTGTGCCATATTTATGTTAATGTGCCTATACATGATGAATGAATTATTTCAGTCATACATTGCCTAAATCATAACTTTAAGATGCTTGGGAAAGAATCAACAGCTAAAATTTCATGAAGTTCTAAAGTCTGTGTTCCAAAATACGTCACATTATTAGGATGCAGGGAGAGATGCATGTGTGCTCCCTGGGGTGGGCATTTCTAGTGATTAGACCATCTCCATTTTTAGCATTTGGCATCTTCATTGATACTTTTATACATACGACATTAATAGGAGAGCAATAATAAGATTTTACAGATGAAATAACAGATTTGCCTGCAGTCACTGAAAGAGTGCAAATATTGGGTTATTGTGACTTCAACTGACTCTTCCAAATTGTTTGAATTTATCAATGTATTAGATAAACCCAGTTTCAGAATGATAAGGAAAAACTGTTAGACCAAATAATGTGGCTAATTAACAGTGGTACAATTTCTAGCCTGAGGGTTTAAAATGGACTTAAGGTCCTGTTCTTGCCTCCTATTTTGTGAACTTGCCGCTTTTGCATTATTTGAGTTCACTTGAAAGACAGTTACTTTAAGTCCATTTTAAACCCTCGGGCTAGAAATCATACTACTGTTAATTAGCCAACTTATTTGGTCTAACAGTTTTTCTTTATAATTCTGAAACTGGGTTTACCTAATACATTTATAAATTATTTCAAAGGTATTTTTATAGTTCAGATCACTTCACTTTTACCCTGATAAATATAAATGACTAGGAATGACCTTCAGATAGCCTTTAGCACCTGTAACCAATCTGACAATAATGTGTTCATCAGGTACCTATGGATTAAATCACACACTGGCATATTTAAGCTGAATGTCAGTCTGGAAAATGAATGTACTATATTAACTGAAATACCACTCTTTGTGTAGGTATTCTGTCATATATTTAAGAAAAATTAAATAGCATGTAAATCGTATGACAATAACCTAAGTCTTTCTTCAAAGTGCATGCGTTCCTTTGCAATACCTCATTCAGCCAAGTATTTGTTCTCTTCCTCATTCAGTATAAGGCAGCTTTCAATTTGCTTAGAAGGCAATATTGGAAGGTTAGAGTTTATCAGAAACATAGAATTTTAAAGTGTGAGTTCAACTGAATAAATTAGAATTTCTGTAGAAGTGAAGAATTAAAATACCTATTTAAATATTGCAATATATAATAATTTTTAAAGTATTTGATTAAACCTGATAGGTTTTTCCAGAAATGAAAAAAAATCAGTTCTAAAACCAAAGCTGATATTTAGAAAATCTGAAAATGTAAATCAGCCCTATCCATAATATAGTTTCTCTAAAACTTTATCTTAAAGAGTCGTTTTAAAAGAATATAACTATTTAAAAATGTAACTGCTATCTTAATGTTTTGAAATAAGTTAAAACATTTTAAAATATGAATACTGTAGTTTAAAAGAAACCGGGGGAAGGAAAAGTAGAGAAAGAAATTCCAATTCCAATGCAAAGCTTTATTTGCCAAGTTTTCTTAGAATGACTTTTACCAATTTATGAATTCTTGTAAACAGAATGTATAATGGAAATACTGAAACACTGTTGCCTAAAGTGGCATAATTGACTGCTACTGTGATGCTACTGTAATGTAATAAATTATTAAATTGTTGCAAAGTGCTGTTTTTGCCTTAAAATTTTGTGTGTCTTGAAAACTATGGTGTTAAAAGTATTGAAACTGTGCAAATGCTGGGCACGCTTGGCATGAGATAATCGGTTTTTATTTTTACAAAATTGTAACTATGCAAGTGTGTTTATTTAAAGAACACAAACCAAAGTTATGGGATAAAAAATGTTGTGGAATGAAAAAGTTACGGGACAAAAAATGTTGTGGAAAATTTGTGGCAAAAAAAAGTTGTGCAAAAAGGTAGAATAAAGTTTTATGAAAAGTTTTAAAAAAGTATTATGAAAAAGAAGTTATAGGATTAAAAAATAAGTCATGGGATAAAAATAAAAGCGGGCCCTTGTCAGCATAAGCCTGGAGAAGTGGGGCTGGAGTCTCTGCCCCCACCATGTCCCTACCACCCCTTCCCAGTCACCCATTTACCATTAGGGTAGCAAGACAACACCCCTGTCTAATGGGGGGCAGACAAACAGACCCTTTGCCACCTGACCAGGGCTGAGTCCTTACATTTCTGGATGGCAACGTTTGTTACTTAAGAGCTAGAGGCTGGTGGAGTTGGTTTGTTTGGAGGAGGCCTGATGATCTCCCTACTCTCACCAAAGCAACTTTTCCCTCAGGGCGGCTCCCATCTTCTTATTCAGAGAGGCAGCTGAGGCGGGACAGTGGGGCTAACTGTAGAGCAGGCAAGGGCTCAGGCTGCTGGGGTGGACCCCCTTCCGCAGTGTACATATAATGTCTGTGTAACATTTTGTATATGCTTGGGGGTAGGGTCACCCCCTGTATCATACCTAGCGGAGGTTGGAGCTGGCATATGGGGAGGAGGTTCTAATCATTATTTGGGGCTGGGAAACTTACTTATTGATAGCATAGGACAGAGGAAGGAGGCGGGGATGGGGTCCTGGCTGCCTTGGTGATGTGACTCCTGCCTGGCCTGTGAGGTGTGTTGTGGGATGACCATGTGTATGGGACTGTCAAGATTTTATCCTAGATCACTACTGGATTGCCAACAGATAGAGGAGGTGGGACCCTGACTATCACCCCTGCTCTGCAGTGGATTTGGCTCTCGGCACTCCCAGACTGGGAGCTGGATACCCTGACCTGGCAGCATGACTCAGACTGCACGACAGATACGGCGTGCCCAGGATGACGTTCCTAGGCCTCTGGCAGACTCAGATTCCAGCCCCACACACAATGCCCTCCAAGTTCCAGCCCCTACACCATGAACCACGAGCTCTCTGCCCTCTCTGACAGCTCCAGAGAGCACCCACGTCTGCCACCTTGGGCATGGAGCCTGTTCCAAGATCCCACAGGCTCAGCCATGGAGGCTGGGGCGCTTTGGGGCCATGGGGGCCAGCCCTGGTACCTGCGTCGGGCTGGGACGCTCTGCACTTACAGCCAGGAGTCATCCATGGGCCCCCGTGGGCATGCTGACCATGGTTGTTTTGATGTCGCCGATGATGTTGGGCGCCTCCCTCAGCACATGGTGCATGCACAGCGTCTCGTTGCACCATTTTGCCTGCTCCGTGGAATCCTCCATCAGCATGTTCTCGTCTCCACATGAGTACAGTTTGGCCAGCAGCTCTGAGAAGATGAACTCCTTGGTCTGAGAATGGGCAAAGAAGGAAGGAGGTTGGGACCTGATGCCTGTGTCACCCTGGCCACCCCACCAGGCCCTGCTGGGACTGTGGAATGGACTTGGAGCCCCAAGCATGGCTTTTCAGACGTGGCTTCTACACCACTTAGACTCAAAGACCCACCTATCCACCGCCTTTTTTTCACTCAGATGGGGACACTGAGGTCCAGAGGAAAAGTCAAGTCACCAGTCCAGGGTCACAGATCTGGGAGGGGACCCAGGACCTATCATGCCACCAGGACACCTGTCTACTCAGTTTTTAATTTTTGGAGATAGGATCTCTCTCTGTCGCTAGGCTGGAGTACAGTGGGCAAGATCACTGCTCACGGCAGCCTCAACCTCTTGGGCTCAAAGTCATCCTCCAAGGCTAGCCTGTTGAGTAGCTAGGACTACAGGCACGTGCCACCACCAGGCCCAGCTATTTTAAAATTTTTTTTGTAGAGACCAGGTCTCACTATGTTGCCCAGGCTGGTCTCAAACTCCTGGGCTCAAGCGATCCTTCCGCCTTGGCCTCCCAAAGTGCTGGGATTATAGGCATGGGCCACTGTGCCCAGTCCCACGTTATAGTTCTATGGGACAGCTCTGGTCTGGACCGTGACCCTCTCCCTGCACCTGGTCCCACAGGGCTGGTTGTCATCTCTGCCAGGCCAACACAGCCACCTGTGTCCCCAGTGCTACAGGAGCCCCTGCCCCCATGAGGTGGTGCATGCATGTTGTTGATCATGAGGTGCATGGTGGTCTTGGGCGTGAGACCAACCATGAGGTCCCACACGGTCTTGTTGACAATGGCCACATAGGAGTCCACCAGGCTCTGAGTGGTCTCCATTTGCCACACCAGCTGTGGGTCCATGGAGTGCATGAAGCTGTCGGAGCCATTCTCCTCGGCCTTGCTGGCCTGCCATGGAGAACACAAAGGCATCACGGTGGCCAGGACATGCAGCCAGGCTCCAGGATCTCAGCCCTTCCAAGGGTACCTGGAACATTGAGGCACAGGGAGAAGCAACTGGCCAGAACACACACCCAGATCCCCACATGCTCTAGAGGGTTTCAGGTCTCTGCCTCTCAGGACCCCAGATGCCCCTGATCAAGCCTCATCTTAGTTCTGACTCTAGTACCCAGAATTTGCCTCCATTTCCCAATCCAGAAATTGGAAAAGAACATCTCCAGGTCCCTCGCTTGAAGACATGGCCAGAGCTGGTGCCAGGCTACAGATGCCTGGCAGGAGGAGAGAAGGGCATACTCACTTTCCCCTTGTCCTGGGAGGCCCACACACCAACATTGCCACCACCGCTGCCACCTGGGAGCACAGCCAAAGTAGACACACACAGGAAAAGGGGAAGGGTTGAGTGAAGCTGGGACACTGCACCCCAAATTTAACGTGTTGATGAATTCAATTTGCTAATATTTTGTGGAGGATTTTTGCATCAATATTCATTAGTGATATTGGCCTGTAGTTCTCTGTTTTGGATGTATCTTTGGTTTTGGTTTCAGGGTAATACTAGCCTTGTGGAATGAGTCTGAAATAGTTGGGTAAGGTCTCTATTTTTTGAATAGCTTGGGTAAGGTTGGCATGAGTTCTTTAAATGTTTGGTAGAATTCAGCAATGAAGCACCAAGTCCCAGGCTTTTCTTTACTGGGAGACTTTTTATTACTGCTTTGATCTCATTATTTCTTATTGGTCTGTTCAGGTTTTGGATTTCATCACGGTTCAATCTTGGCAGGCTGGATGTGTCTACAAATTTATCCATTTTTAGTAAGTTTTCCTATTTCTTTGCATACAGTTGTTTATTATTATTATTATTATTATTATTATTATTATTATTATTTTTGAGATAGAGTCTTGCTCTATCTCGGCTGGCATGTGGTGCCATGATCTCAGCTCACTGCAACCTCCGCCTCCTGGGTTCAAGCGATTCTTCTGCCTCAGCCTCCCAAGTAGCTGGGATTACAGGTTGTGCAACCACACCCAGCTAATTTTTTTGTATTTTTAGTAGAGACGGGTTTCACCATGTTGGTCAGGCTGGTCTCAAACTCCTGACCTCGTGATTCACCTACCTCAGCCTCCCAAAGTGCTGGGATTACAGGCGTGAGCCACCACACCCGGCCTTGCATGCAGTTGCTTTTTAATAGCCACTAGTGATCCTGTGAATTTTTGCGTTATCAGTTGTAATGTTTTCCTTTTTCATCTTTGATTTTATTCACTTGAGTCTTCTTTTTTTCTTAGTCTTAGGCTTAAAGTTTGTCAATGTTGTTTATCTTTTCCAAAAACCAACTTTTTATTTCATTGATGCTTTTTATTGTTTTCTTCATTTTAATTCCATTTATTTCTGCTCTGATCTTTATTATTTCTTTTCTTCTACTAATTTTGGGTTTGGTTTGCTCTTGCTTTTCTATTTCTTTAAGATGTATTGTTAGGTTGTTTATTTGATGCTTTTCTGCTTTTTAAAAGTAGGTGTTTATAGCCATAAAGTTCCCTCTTAGTATTGCTTTTGTCGAATCTCATAGGTTTTGGCATGTTGTGTTTCCATTATCATTTAAGAAATGTTTCAATTTCCTTCTTAATTTCTTCATTGACCCACTGGTCATTCCAGAGCATATTATTTAATCTCCATGTGTTTGTGTAGTTTCCAACATTTCTCTTGTTACTAACTTCCAGTTTTATTCCATTGTGATCAGAGAAGATGTTTGATATTATTTCATTTTTTTCCTAATATTTTAAGACGTATTGTGTGATTTAAGATATGGTCTATCCTTGAGAATGATCCATGTGCTGAGGAAAAAAATGTGTATTCTGTAGCCCAAGGGAGAAGACACCCACCCTCACTCTGCTGCAACAGCACTCTTCTCAGGGATGGGGCAGTGGAGTGCTGTTGTTACACAAGGGGCTCTCTGTCGGGGAGGGAACAGAAGTCTGTTCTGTAGTGTTTGCCATTTTCGGTGGTGCAAATATTCCATGGCTGATTTCAAGCTGCCACCATCTTCTCAGCCTGGGCTTGTTTGTCCCACCCTTGAGAAGGCTTTCCAGGTATTTGAAAGGATGCGGGTGTTGTGATCTAAACTGTATCTTTATTAGGGGACACTCCAAGCCCAGTTATGCTATGGTTCTTGCAGACTCATAGAGGAACTACCTTGGTGGTCCCGGATAAGATCTGGAAGAATTTTCTGAGCTACCAGGCATTAGAGACTCTTATTCTCTACCTGTAATTTCTTTCTAAAAAACAGTCTCTGACTCTGTCTCTCTGTCTCTGTCTCTCTCTCTGCGGCCCCCCCCCATCTCTCTCTCTCTTTCTCTCTCTCTCTCTGCTGAGCCACTTGGAGCTGGGGGTGAGCTGACACAAAATCCCTATGGCCACCACCACTGGGACTGCACTGGGTCAGACCTAAAGCCAGCAAAGCACTGGGTCTCACTCAGGGCCCACTGTCAACACTACCTGGCTATTGCCTATGTTCACTCGAGGCCCTGGGGCTCTACTGTCAGCAGGTGTCAAAGCCAGCCAGGCTTGTGTCTTTCCCTTCAGGGCAACAAGTTCCCTTAGGCCCTAGCATGTCCAGAGATGCTGTCTGGGAGCCAGGGACTGCAGCCAAAAACCTTAGAAATTTACCTGGTGCTTTATTCTAAGGCGGCTGAGCAGACACCGAAACCATGAGACAAAGTCCTTCCCACTCTGTCTTTCCCCTTCCACAGGCAGAGGAGCCTCACCCTGTGGCCACCACCACAGGCGCACACGGAGTGCTGCCAGGCTACTGTCGATGTTCTCTTAGGGCCCAAGGGCTCTGAAGGCACTTGTGGTGAATGCTTCCAGGCCTGGGACTCACCCTTCAGGGCAGTGGGCTCCCCTCTGGCCTAGGACGGGCCCAGAAATGCTGTCTAATAGCCAAGGCCTAAAATCAGTGACCACAAGAGCCCATTTGGTGCTCTACCCCATTGTGGCCAGGCAGGTACGTAAGCTGCAAAACAAAGTCCCTTTTACCTTTCCCTCTGCTTTTCTCAAGCAGAAGAAGTCTCTCACCACAGCCACCATAGCTGGGAATGTGCTGGGTCTCACCTGAAGCCAGCACGTCGCAGAGCCTTACTCCAGGCCCATAGCACACTGCCTGGGTATCACTGTTGTTGGCTATTCAGGGCCCAAGGTTCTTGAGTCAGCAGGTGATGAATCCTGCCAGGATTGGGTTGTTTCCTTTAGGGCAGAAGATTCCCTTCTAGCCCAGGGTGTATCTAGAAAGGTAATTCAGGAGCTAGGTCCTGGAATGGGGGCCTCTCAATTCTGACTGGTGCTCTGTCCTACTGTGGCTGAGTTGCTATCCAAGATGTAAGACAAAGTCCTCTTTGCTTTTCCCCCTTCTCTCCTCGAGCAAAAGGAAGAAGTCACTTTAGTTGTTGCAAGCTGCGTTGCCTGGGGTTGGGGGAGCGGTGGTGCAAACACTCCCTTGGCTGTCCTGGCTGGTGTCTCTCTAGGTCGTGTGCCCCCTGAGTCCACTGGCTCTGAGCCCAGCATGGCATTAGGATGTGCCTAGGAGTTGAAGTCCTGATGGACTAGACTGCCTTTCAAGTTTATTTAGGGCCCCAGGGCATAACAGCCTGCCATGCCAAGGCTTGTCAAAACCCAAGCCTCAAGCCTTCTAACTAC
Source organism: Homo sapiens (assembly GCF_000001405.40). Classification (NCBI taxonomy): domain Eukaryota; kingdom Metazoa; phylum Chordata; class Mammalia; order Primates; family Hominidae; genus Homo; species Homo sapiens. Next base: position 75,796,417 of record NC_000015.10, read on the forward strand.
TGGGATGGGTGAACCCCTCTGGGTAGGGCTGGTCTAAATGCTTCCTCCATGGGCAGGTGTCACGTGAGTTCCACCTGGTTTTGCTTTCTGCTGTGACAGGACAGCAATGAGTTCAAGGCAAAGTCCCACAGTTGCTGTATTCTCCCTCCCCCAGGTGCACAGATTCTCAGCACCACAGTGACCACTGCTGGGGGAGGGGGAGGGGTGATATTGGTGTTTCAAGGCTGTCTCTCCCACCCTCTTCAATGCCTCTTTCAGCAACATGAAGTTAAACCCAGGTACTGTGAGTCCTCGCCTGATTTTTGGTTCTTATGATGATGGTTTTCTGGTGAAGACAGTCGTTAAATTTGATTTTCCTGCAGGGGGAATGATTGGTAGAGACTATTATTCAGCCATCTTGCTCTGCCCCTCCTCCCTCACTTCACTTTAATTACCTCCTAATAGCCCTATTTTTAAATACAATCATATAGTGGGTTAGGGCTCCAGTGTATGAATTTTGAGGAGACACAATTCAGTCTATAGCATTTGGACTTGGGAAGAGGGAGGAAAAGAACACGCACAGGAAAGTCACAGTGTAAGCAACAGTATGGAGGTGGGGAAGTTCAGCTCATGGATAGGAAAAATTGATCCAATTAGGCAGGGCCCACAGGGAGATATGGTGCGGTGGTGAGAGGTGGCCACATCAGAAAGAACCTTGAATGCCAGGCTGAGATGGGAGGCATTTCCTGTTGTGTAGAAGGTACCATGAGGTGATGGGTAGGGTAACATGATGAAAGGACATTTGGGAGGATGGATCTGGCATCAGTGATGGGTAGGGGTGAGGAGTGAACAAATCTGGAGGCCAGGAAACTGGACACATGGCCCAGAGTTCAGGCCCAGAGTTAGGCTGTTCAAAGGCAGTTTCCACACTGAGTTCCCATGTGGATCCAAGCATGCAGGGGGAGATGATTTGGAAAAGCAAAAGCATTCTCTTCCCATTACCACACAGTTTCCCAGCTGAGCTCATCACCAGAGTCCTACAAATCAGACAGTCAAACTACCCCAAACTCTGTCCCTAGAAGCTGTGACCCAGAGGGAGCCCTTGTCCAGCTGTAGCCCAGGGACACCGCAGCCTGAGCAGGACTGCACCTGTTCCCCCCCAGGAGCCTCATCTCTGTCTGGCCTGGCTTTGGCTTCCAATGCCCTCAGCTTTGGCTTCAGAATCTGTTGGGTCAGATTCATGAGAGCTCTGGCCTTCTTCGGTTTAGGGATTTTTAAATAGTTTTTTCAAGCAGGCAGTAGATGAGCTCTGCTTGCTTACCTCTAAGAATTGGCTAGAACTCACAGAAGGCTGTTATACTCATAGTTACAGCTTGATTACATGGAAAGGATACAGATTAAAATCAGGGAAGAAAGGTATAGGGCTGAGTCCAGGAGGGCACCAGGCATGGAGTGTCCATTATCCCTTCCCCATGCAATCAGAGTGCATTACCCTCCCGGCTTTGCTATGTGCCAATACACATGAAGTATTCCCAGCCAATGAGGCTCCCTCAAGCCTCAGTGTTCTGGGTTTTTACTGGAACTTCATCACAGAGGCATGCTTGATTGTCCATGTGGCTGCGCTCAGTTTCCAGTCTCCAGTACTTCCAGGAGTGACCTAAAGCCCAGACTCTAAATCACATAGTTGCTTTTTTGCCCTGGCTAGTCCCTACCCTAAATCTTATTATTAGGCTGTCCATCATGAGCCAAGATCCCCAGGCAAAGATATTCCTATCAGGTATTACATGTTGACAGTTACCTCCCAGGAGTCTAGGACAAAGGCCAGATCTCTTTTTGGTCAAGGTTAATTTTTTTTCCTTATTTTTTAAAACTATACGACATGCCATCATTCTATTATTCAATCTTTCTATTTTATCTTCAAAATAACCCTAATTGGTGGGTAAGGATGTTTATTATTATAAACGAGATCTCGAAAGAAAAGACACTTGGGCAAAGTTGCACAGTCTATCTTTGACTCATGGTGCAATACTCTTTCCACTCTCTGAGAACACTGAGTCCTGTGAAGAAGGTGAAAGGAAGGTGTGTGCGTGTGTGTGCACGTCTGTGTTGGTGTGTGTAAATGTATATCTAATAAGTGTGTATAGATATGTGTATGTCTCTGTATTTGTGTTTGTGTATACATGTGGATGTCTGGGTGTCTATATGCATGTTTGTGTGTGTGTACACATGCTCATGGGGAAGGTTAAAGAGAAAATTGGCCCGGTGCGGTGGCTCATGCCTGTAATCCCAGCACTTTGGAAGGCTAAGGCGAGCAGATTGCCTGAAGTCAGGAGTTCGAGACCATTCTGGCCAACATGGTGAAACTCCATCTCTACTAAAAATGCAAAAAAATTATCTGGACGTGGTGGCATGCACCTGTAAACCCAGCTACTCAGGATTGCTTGAACCAGGGAGGTGAAGGTTGCAGTGAGACGAGATCGCACCACTGTACTCCAGCCTGGGCAACAGAGTGAGATTCCATCTCAAAAAGGAGAGAGAGAGAGTCAGCAGTGTGCAGTGATGCACATCTGTAATGCCAGCTACACAGGAGGTGGACGGAGGAGGATCACTTGAGCCCGGGAGTTTGAGAGAGAGAGAGAAAATTTCAATAATCTTGCAGTTAGAAGGAAAAACCTGGGGCTGAGCACAAAGAGACATAAAGCACAGCATAAAGAGGCAGAGAAATGTCTAATGAAAAGTGACAAAGAATTAATTAGTTCTTATATAAAGAAATATAGGACTTTAGCAGCAGGATAAAACTGGAATATAATTTCTTCTAGAATCCTGATAATCTTTGTGAGAAAACTGTTGGTCATATATGTTAATTGCCAAAACTTGCAGGACCCTATGCAATAGAACTAGCAAATAAAACCATCTTTCTGAAACTCACTATGCTACAAGCAGCATTCAACTCTTTCTCAACCAAGATTTCACTAACCTATCTCCAGCTTCCAGATGGTGAGGGAAAGTGTGATGAGATTTTATGATAAATTGTGCCTGTCTCTGAGTCCATCTCCTTCTATTGAAGAGAAGGAAAATGAGGTGAGCACATTACAGCCCTGCTGACAAAAGTCACAAGATAAGCAAATAATTATTACTTAAAACCAGGGAGTCCTATAATTTATTCATGAATGCCACACATTCTATATTAGATCTTCCATTTCAATTTACTTGTATTATTTGAAGCTAATTTATAAGATTCAAATTATTCAGAAAATGCTCCCACGTAAATAGAAGAAAACACTTTAACCAGAGGAAGTATCATGCTACACAATATGGTGTGGTGGTGAAGGGTGCAGGCTCTAAAACCAGAAAACACAGGTTCAAGTCCTGGCCTTACCACCTTGGGAAAGTTACATGGTCTCTCTGTGCCTCCATTTCCCCATCTAAAATGTGGGGATGACAATAATAGTGTCTATTTCACAGAGCAGTTTTGAGGAAAATAATATATGTAAAGCACTGTGAACAGCAGTTAGTGCTATGTAAGTGTTTGCTCTAGTTATTTTAACATTTCAGATGATAAATATCTACCCTGTTATTCAGATGACAAGCGTCCCTAAGCTGATAACATGATGAAGAGCTTTTGGGTTTCTTAATTTCCATCAGTTTTGTGAGGGAAAAAATACCACATGAAGAAGAGCAACTGAAGCAGGCGTGAGGAGGAAACTTGGCTTAAGATTGGGGGGCTTGGGGTTATTAGGCTTTCATCTTCTAAAATGTCCTAAGCTCCATTGATAAGAAGACACTTAGTATCAATCCAGCTAAAAAGGAACAATAGACCCCACAAGACACTGAGTTAGAGACAAAAATAGCAGGGTAATAAATGAAATATGGAAAACTACACAACCAGAAAAATAAACAGCTACCAGTACCCAAAACGTGGTTAAATCTCACAGGATTATATTGAATGAAAGAAGCCAGCCACAAACGTGCACATACTGAATGGTCCCATTTATATGAAGCTAAAGAACAGGCGAAACTAATCCATGGTTGCAGAGGTCAGGATCCTGGTTAACTTTGAGGGGACAGCAACTGAGAAGGGGCAAGAGGGAGCCCTCTGTGCTGATGGGAACATTCTGTATCTTGAACTGAGTGGCGGTCACATAAGTGTGCACATATGTAAATAGTAAGGAGTTGTAGCTTAAGGTATAGGCACCTCGCTGAATGTAAGATACTGTCTTAGTCCATGTGTGCTGCTGTAACAAAATATTTGAGACTGGGTAATGTGTAAAGAACAAAAATGTATTTCTCACAGTTCTGGTGGGTGGGAAGTCCAAGATCAAAGCGCCAGCAGGTTTGTAGTCTAGTGAGGGCTGCTCTCTGCTTCCAAGATGGCACCTTAAATGCTGAGACCTCCAGAGGTGAGGAATGCTGTGTCCCAGCATGGTGGAAAGAACAGAAAAGCAAAAGAAGAAAACCGAGCTGGGTAGCTCCCTCAAGCCCTTTCATAAGGTCACTAATCCCATTCACGAGGGGGCTCCTCCTTACAGCTTAGTCATCTCCTAAAGACTCCACCTCTTAATACTATCACATTGGGGTTTAAGTTCCAACATGAATTTTGGAGGAGACACAATCATTCCAACCATAGCAAATATACTTTACTAAGAAAGAAAAAAACATAGTCTCTAAATATGATATTTTAAGAGTTTATATATTTAAAGCTCAATTTTCTGCTTGCTTACATACATATTTGTGACCATGAGTGTCATTCTTGGCTGAGAAACATTTCAGTAAATTTTAAAAAGTCTCACATTATCTATTAATATCTTATTCAGATAAGATCAAATTTCTAACCTACATTTTAGGTTGAGACAGAAACCCAGTCATTTGTTGCAATGTGAGAATGACAGAGAGATAGTAACTAGCAGAATCCAACTATAAAACTAAATTTAAGGGCACAATTCTCTACTAATCACTCCCCCAGACAAATCATTACTTGGATAGCAATGAATCAACTAAAAATGGAAGTGAGAAAAGTTCGAGTCCTTTTTGCGATGGATGGATGCTTATGAGACTATTAAGTGAAGGGGGTTCGGAAATAAGGGGATAAATGGCATACTAATTTGAGGTTGAATGGAGTAATGAGATGACCTTGGAAATATAAGAATCCTGCTTAATGGGGCTTGTCTACTTGCAATTCGATAAACTAATATACGTAAATTCAAGGAGATAAAGGACATGAGCACTCAGCACAAAATTACAGGAATAGATTTAGCAAAGAGGAACCAAAGTTGAGATAAGGGCCACTGTTCCAGGTCTGACATCTTTAATTCTTGAGTCATGGGGATGGTAAACCAGAGAACAGAGTCTTCCGACTGGAAGCTAAAACCAGCCTTTGGGGTGGGTTCAGAGAGCCTGTTCAGACTCAAGATGCGAAAACAGATGTTGCATGGTCGAAAACATCCCGAGTGCAAGGGCATTTTCAAAGACAGCGGTGCTCAGGGAAAAAGAATACTGTGTGTTTAAAAAGAAAAAAAATTAAAAGAAAGAATGGAAACAAGGAGGAAAAAGTGACCGGAGTGTAGGGTGACCATACGTTCTGGTTTGCAAGGTACAGCTAATGTTATGTCTGCTGTCCTGGTACAATTATTATAGTGCCCCCTTTCACTCTCCGAAGTGTCTTGATTTGGATGATAAAGCATATGATCACCCTATTAAAGAGAGGAAATTAGCCAGAAGACCTTTGTGTCGATTTTAAACGGTGTGGACTGATCCGCAGTCGCGCTCTTGCCGCTGCCCAGCTGAGCAGCGTGCACCACCTCTGCGTCGCCCTACCCCGCCCTGCCTGGGTCTCCAGGAAGGTTGGAGCGGAACCCGCGCTGCTCTGGTGCCACCTGCAGGTTATATGGGGGAACTGCTTCTCTCCACCCCACTACCCACCACCCCACATCCCCACCGCCACCTTGGACAGCCTTGGACTTGGCCAAAAGACATTAAGAGCACGCGAAGCCCTGGCTGGGGAGTGGGCTGGACCCTGCAGTGAAGCCCGCGTTACAGAATCAGACGGTCCCGGCTTAAGCCAACAAAGCCAAGCTCCTCTACTTCCTACCCACTCCTGGTCTTTCTCATTTTGTAGACAGGAAACTGAAGCCTAATTCAGATTTTTCATTGGTAGGATTGTGAAGCATACAGCGGGAGCCTCCCAGGTGCCATTCCCCACATCTCTGTCTTTCCGCTAACACTTTAGGGTAGTGGGGAGCTTAAGCTTACTAAGTTCCTACTGTGTACTGGCCAGAGTGGGCACTTTTATCTCCAGCCTCGCAATTGATGGGAAATAGGTGATTATACAACTAGGAGACAGGATCAGAGTGGGCTAGCGATGTGCTCACAGTCTCTCAGCTGAAACTGGAACCCAGGGGTCTTTGATTCTAAAGCTAGTGCTCTTTTTGGGTCTCCAGCTTGAGTAATAGTTGTAAAATACAAAGAGCACCATGAAAATCTAATATCAATCCATATAAGACTGTATTGCAAACAGAAACATAGAGTGTCTTCGTGGGAGTGATGGGGAGGGGGGAGATTACCTCAATTCTATGTAACCTGGAAACTCTCCGAGGAAAATGAATGAAGCATGACCAAGTGCAATTTGTCTGATAAAATCTGTCAGAACGTGGGGCCTTGTGTGTCCTGGGTAGTGAAGATGAGAAATCATGGTGCTGGACATTTGCTAAGGTGTTCCTTATGAAATCACTCAGGGCCTCAGTGCCTCCACTCTCTCCATGACCCCAGGCAGTTTCCCCATCTGTCTTCATCCTACTGCCTGGCACACTATCCATCAAACTGTTTTTAGAGTTATGTCTCGATAAAATAAAAATCATGGTGGGAGTCATTTACACCCTAGTGAGAGTCATCTAAGATTCCCTTATCTTTTCAGACCTTTTAGCTGAAGTTGGTTATGAGAGAGGATGGGGAGGGGGAAAAGGGTTGGGGCAAGCACTTGGAGCTTGCACTGTTTCTTGCCGGTGCCCTGGCACAGTGTGAATATGTCCATCTAAATGGAGAGCTCTATGCATGTTCCTCTCTACTCCCTTTGTCACTAATACCAGTTCCCAAGGCAGAGCCCCAGGAGGGCTGGACTGAAGGACCTGGAGGTAATAGCAAACGCTTGGCTTTGGGTTTCAGGTCAAGCTCTGCCAGTGACTTGCTGTGTAAGAGGAGACAAGTCAGTTCACCTCTCTACACTTCAGTGACCTCATCTGTAAAAGACTGGTCTGGACTAGATTAATGATTTTCTTATTTATTTTATTATTATTATTATTTTTGAGATGGAGACTTGCTCTGTCGCCCAGGCTGGAGTGGAGTGCAGTGGTACAATCTCGGCTCACGGCAACCTCTGCCTCCCAGGTTCAAGAGATTCTCCTGTCTCACCCTCCCAAGTAGCTGGAACTACAGGTGCCTGCCACCACACCCGGCTAATTTTTGTATTTTTAGTAGAGATGTGGTTTCACCATATTAGTCAGGCTGGTCTTGAACTCCTGACCTCAGGTGATCCACCTGCATCAGCCTCCCAAAGTGCTGGGATTACAGGTGTGAGCCACTGTGCCCAGCCTAATGATTTTCTTTAGGTTTTGCAATTGTTTTTTGTTTTAACATTATACTCAATTCTTCCTCCAGCATTATTAAGGTATAATTGATAAATAAAAATTGTATATAGTTACAGTATTCAATGTGGTGTTTTGATATATGCATACATTATAAAATTATTAAATCAAGTTAATTAACATTTCCATCACCTCACAACTTATTATTATTATTATTATTGTGGTAAGAACATTTAAGATGTATTTGCTTAGAATAGTGTTTACTAGCAGTGAGGAAAGTTAAGCGGGAGAGAGTAGCCAAAGGCTGGCTAACAGGTTAACAGATACAAGAGTACATGGCTGGGCCGGGCGCGGTGGCTCATGCCTGTAATCCCAGCACTTTGGGAGGCCAAGGCGGACCACCTGAGGGCAGGAGTTCGAGACCAGCCTGGCCAACACGGTGAAACCCCGTCTCTATGAAAAATACAAAAATTAGCTGGGCATGGTGGCTCATGCCTGTAATCCCAGGTACTTGAGAGGCTGAGGCATGAAAACAGGAGGCAGAGGTTGCAGTGAGCCAAGATCATGCCACTTCACTCCACCACCCTGGGAGATAGAGTGAGACTCTGTCAAAAAAAAAAAAAAGTACATGGCTGAGTTTGGTGGCTCATGCCTATCATCCCAGCACTTTGGGAGGCTGAGGTGGGAGGATCACTTGAACCCAGGAGTTTGAGAGCAGCCTGGGGAACATAGGGAGATTCCCATCTCTGCAAAAAATTTAAAAATTCGCCATGCACTTTTAGCTACTCCGGAGGGCTACAGAGGTCAAGGCTGCAGTGAGCTGTGATTGCACCACTGCACTCCAGCCTAGGGGACAGAGTGAGACCCTGTCCGAAAAAAAAAAAAAGAATACAGCTAGATAGGAGGAATAGTTCTAGTTTCTTTAGCACTATAGGGTGACTATAATTTATGACAATTTATTATATATTTTCAAATAGCTAGAAGAGTGGATTTTGAATGGTCCCAGAACAAAGAAATGATAAATATTTGAGGTGGTGGAGACGCTAATACCCTGATTTGATCATTATACATTACATACATATATAAAAATATTATACTGTACCCCATAAACAAGTACAATTATTATGTATCAAATAAAAATAATAATAAAAGCAAAAAATCTACTCTCTCAGCAATTTTAAAGTATACATTATTATTAACTATAGTCATCATGCTGTACAACAGATCTCCAGAATTTATAAGATTCTATTTAATTCCATTCAAAGTACTACATACATAGAGTTAAGAACAAAATGGTATCTGGAGCAAGAAATCCTCGGTAAAACAAAAAAAGAAGAAAAAAAGAACAAAATGGTAATAAAAGGCTTATATCAAAAAGCATTTCCTCTGCCCTTTCCTTTCTTGCATTGAGTCCTAAATCCCAGAGGCCATCACTTTAAACTCATTTTGCTATTTCCTCTGGTATTTATCATCATATTTCTAAATAATGTTTATGTTGCTATTTCTTGATTTGTTTTCTTCAGTATCTGTCTACCTCCTGGCATAGCTCAGTATAGGGCTTACCTCCCTTATGAGGTCTTAACAATTTCCTTGCTTCCAATCTACCAGTCTGATTGGATCATAGTCTTATGAAATCCAAAGCATTTCCATTATTGTAGGTATCTAAATATTGTTCCCTAACCCAACTCCTGCACTGAAATTGTCTAATTTCTTTCCTTTTTTTCCCTCAGAGTTAATAATTGCTTTGTATTTTTTTCCTTCATTTGCTTATATGTTTTTGTACCTATTACCTACCTTTTTTTTTTTTTTGAGACAGAGTCTCACTCTGTCATCCAGGCTGGAGTACAGTGGCACAATCTCAGCTCACTGCAACCTCCAAGTCCTGGATGCAAGCAATTCTCCTGCCTCAGCTTCCTAAGTAGCTGGGACTACAGGCGCATACCACCACGCCTGGCTAACTTTTGTATTTTTTAGTAGAGACGGAGTTTCACCATATTGGCCAGGCTGGTCTCAAACTCCTGACCTCTTGATCTGCCCACCTCAGCCTCCCAAAGTGCTGGGATTACAAGTGTGAGTCACCGCTTCTGGCCCACCTACTATTTTATTTTCAGATGCTCCAACTGATTTATCAAATGCCTAGTGATAATGATCCAAAAACTAAGAAACACCAGATACTGTATCAGACCTGTTATTTTCCTGGAGGCTTCCCTTTCTCCCTTGCCCTCCATCCTTCTGCTCCAATCTGGACTCAGCTCTCAGCCCATGGCACATCTGGCATCCTGGCATGTCTCTGCACCATCGTGTGAATTTCCTCCTGCCTCTTCTGTTGCATCTCCTGTTCCTTGGCCCCAGATCTTCTTTTTTCCTGGTTTACTCTCTCACTGTGTTGCAGCACATTTTCCAGTGGCTTCCTGAGAAAGAGTGAATGGAAGCCAAGCTTTCTGACCCTCACACATTTTAGAATGTCATTGTTCTACCCCAACTCCTGATTACTAGTTTGGCTGGATGTAATGCTCTAATTTAAATGTAACTTCTCCTCACATTGGGAAATATTGCTCTATTATTTTCTAGTTCCCAGTGTTGTTGGGAATAAGTCCGTGTCATGCGGAGTCTTGGCTCTTTACATGTGACCTGTCTTTTCTCTCTGGAAGATTTTAGGGTTTTCTCTCTATCCTTAGTTTTCTGGAATTTCCCAATGCTGTGCCTTGCTGTAGGTCTTTCTTCATTCACTGTGCTAGTCACCTGGTAGACTCTTTTGAACTAGAAAATTATTTCCTTCTATTGTGGGAAGCCACCAGCAGGTTCGTGTGAGCTGGTTAATCACATTCTTTTCTTCCAAGGACGGAGGTATCAAGGCCCTGGGAACCTTATAAGTGGATGTGGGGAAAGGGGGCCTGAGGTGAATCCAACAAAGCTGCAGCACCCACTGAGCTCATGTCCCAGGGCTAGGCTCTGCCTGAGGACAGGAGACATGGGTGAGACCCACTTCCTGCCCAGTCCCATGGTGGGGCTCAGGACACACATGGTCCAGGAGGCCCCCAGCCCCAGCTACATTGACATGCACCTACCTGTATGCAGCGATCAGTGAGCCACAGGACAACTTAGGGGAAGGGGCAGCTCCAGAGTGCAGGATAGGAGGGAAGTAAATAATCATGGGGTGGGGAGTGGCCTTGTGGGGAAGGGGCAAAGGCAGGGCTGTGTGTGTGTGTGTGTGTGTGTGTGTGTGTGTGTGTTGTGTATTGGAGGAAATGGGGAGAGCATCTGTAGTTTTGTCTGCCCCCTTTTTTGGCCACTGCACCCCTTTCTTCGTGAATAGTTTTTCTTCTCTTCATGGACTGAGTGTCTCTGTCTCCTCCAAATTCATATGTTGAAGCCCTAACCCTCTGTATGGCTGCATTTGGAGATGAGGCCTCTCAGGAAATCATTAAGGTTAAATGAGGTCCTAAGGGTGGGGCCCTGATTCAGTAGGATTAGTGTCCTTATAAGACGAGACACCAGAGAGTGCACTCACTGTCTCTCTGCACAAATACAAAGAAGAGGTCACATGAGCACACAATATGGCAGCCACCTATGGGCCAAGAGAAGAGGCCTCAGAATGAAACCTACCTTGCTGGCACTTTGATCTTGGATTTCCCAGCCTCCAGAACTGTGAGAAATAAATGTCTGTGGTTTAAGCCACCCAGTCTGTGGTATTTTGGCATGGTACACTGAATTGACTAATACATCTCCCTGCCCTACTTCAACCACATGACACTAGAGGGGTCGGCAGTTTTAGAGTCCCAGCTACTCAGCCAACCCAGACCAGACCAAGCAGAAACTTTCTTCTGGAATTTTCTGAATAGGAACTAATAGAGGGGAGCCCCATCCTTTCCTCGGGGGCAAAGCCAGTAAGACAGAAGCCTCATGCTGCCAACAGCCTGACTCTAACCTCGTGGGGAGAGTTGCTCTGAGAGCACAAAACTGATCTGCAGACTGAGGTGGAGACAGAGACAAGGGAAGGAGCCTGCAAATCCTAACAGCGCTGGTGATTCTGAGTCCAGGTATTCCTGAGGCCCAGCTGTTCCCTGTCCTGCCCATGGCTAACTTACTGACCAATGAGCTTCCCTTCTTGCCTAAGCCAGTGAATTTTCTGTCACTCACATCCAAAGAGCCCGGACTGTAATGGCAGGGTATGGCAGGGCTGAGCTGGCTGGGGCAGAGGACGGTGTGGGTGGAATCAGCAGTGACAGGCACACAGGAAGTGCAGGTATCGAGTGGCCTCCATGAGGTCTCCCTCCAGCCCCGACTGTGAGCAAGGCTGGGCTCATACGCTCAGTAGGTCAGAGTGAGGGATTTGGTCAGAGGTGCCATGCTCAGGGCCATCTTTCTATGGGCCAGACTCTTCGTCATCAAAGGTTTTGCCATCAGAGACAGTTTTAGTCCTATCTTGGGTTCACTTGATCAATTGCTGTTCTCCTGCTTTCAGGATCTTTACACTAGGCTGCCCTACCTGGGGGTTAGGAAGCCATAGGCATCCTGGTCATAAGTCTGGACCCCAAAAAGGGCTTCTGCCAGCCTGCTAAGGGTTCCAGAGGGCAGGACTGAGGGGTGGTGGGAGGAGCCCAGCCTGGACGGCCGAGATATATATAGTGCTCTTGATTCATCTCTTGGAACTTTTCACCCATCAAGTTTAGGCTCCCAGTGGGGCACACATGGGAAAGACAATGCCCATGTCTTCAACTAGTTTCCCCATCAGAAGTGGTCATTGCACCAAGCACCCTCCTCCATTAAAACCGGACAGGCCAAGGGCCGCTTTCCTAATGGATGAGTCTTCTTGGTCTGTCTCATGTTCCCAACAGAGCTCCCTCCATGGGATGGGAAGGTGCCATCCCAGGGCCGCCGTTTTGACCCAGCCTCCAGCCAAAGCTGGTCCCCCTGCCAAGCAGGCCCTAGAGTTACACTGGAGAGTGACAAGCCTCATCTGAAGATTTCTTGCTGAAAATTGTCAGTTTCCTGCACAAGTACATCCTGGCAGTTTACACATTTATGCTTAGCGTTCCATTACTGGAACGCTAAGCTTGTGGAGTTATTTATATCCTACTGCTCAGTGTCATCGCCAAGGTCTGATTTTTCACAGAAAAACATTTGCAACCTCTGACATAATGAGTTAATTCAAATTAAACCCAGAAGGAGACTGCTGCTTCAGTCTCAACTGCTTGGAAATTGTGCTATGTAGAGCTTTCGTTTACTGAAAATTGTGCCTTCAGACTCTGTGCAGATTAACCTACTACATAGAGCAAGTACACACATAGGGCACCAACCAAGGACAAGTGTGTACCTGTGTGCACACACAAATAGAAAATCCAAAAATAAATATTTTAATTTCAGCTATCATGGAAGTTTTGTGTCATTTCTCCAAAAATGCCCATGTCAAATTTTATTTTATAATTTAGTCTTGTTTTTATTTAGAATTACTTAAGAAAAAGGGGAGCTGAGTGTGGTGGCTTATGCCTGTAATCCCAGCACTTTGGGAGGCTGAGGCAGAGGATTGCTTGAGCCCAAGAGTTTAAGATCATCCTGGGCAACTTGGTGAAACCCCATCTCTACAAAAAATACAAAAATTAGCCAGATGTGGTGGTATGTGCCTATGGTCCCAGCTGTGCAGGAGACTGAGGTGGGAGATTCATCTGAGTCTGGTAAGTTGACGCTGCAGTGAGCTGTGATCGCATCTTTGCACTCCAGCCTGATGACAGAGAGAAACTGTCTCAAAAAAAAAAAAAAAAAAAAAAAGGAAAAGGAAGAAAGAAAGGCAAAGAAAGAAAGAAAATGAAAGAAGAAAGAAAGAACGAATGAATGAAAGAAAGAAAGAAAGAAAAGAAAGAGAGGAGCTCTGCACAATAATTTTGCAGTGTCTTGGGTCTCTAAAGATCTTAATTAGGACCTAAACTCAGATTAGGCTGGGATCCTGGGCAGTGTGGCCCCAAATACAGTTATGGGAGGCCCTTCCAAGATAAGTCTAGACTGAGATAGAGTAGGTCTCAGGAGAGGGGCTGATATGCCCATGGTTCTCAACCTGGCTGCACCTGGAGAGCTTGGCATCACCTGGAGAGCTTGAAAACATTCTGATGCCCAAGCCCCACCCTAGAGATTCTGAGCTAATTGGTGGGGGATGGCCTGGGCACCAGGAATTTTCACAGCTCACCTGATGATGGCACTGTGCAGCCAGGGTAGAGAAATACTGACCTTTGCTTTCTCCACGTTGTGTCTGCCTTGGTTTTCCCATATTCCCCCAGGCTCCAGGATCTGAATGAACTACAGGAATTGAGAATTAGCCCTCCCACCCAGCCACTTTCTTCCCCTGCTGGGGAATCTTTGAGCCTTCATTTTGGCTATAGGCCTCGATATAACTCATCGGCCCAGGGATCGGGGCAGGAGTGGGGCTCCTGGCAGAGAGCAGAGTGTGGGCTTTGTAGTTACACAGACTTGCATTCAAGTCCCAGCTCTGTGATGTCAGAAGAAGATCTGATCCATAGTTGGTTACCCTGCGAAGTGGAGAAAGTGTCCGCCTAACCGGCAAGATCTCTTTGAGACTGAAATGAGAGAAAGCTGGGGCAACAAGTGAGTTCCTTCCGCGCCATTTCTGTGAGCTGGCCCTGTAGCTTCTCCTTGGTCCTTTGAGTTCTCAGCTTTAGCTCTCTTACTCCTGCTCCTTCTCCTCACTCTCTCTCTTTTCCACCCTGGATAAGTGCCCTGCTTCTCCCCACAGGTTAACCACCCTCCCCCGTACCCAGTGGGTGATGAAAGTCTTCCCTGGTTGTGCCAGCATCTCCCTGATACTTCCTTTCTCTCCTGCATTCAACCATGATGAAGCCCAGCACAGTCTCCCTCTCTTGTGCCCCATTTCCACCACAAGGTCACTGTCAGCTCTTACACAGACATCCCCAGTAGCTTCCACTTTGGCCTCTTCCAACCAGCCATTCTGGTATTGCAGCCATATTCATCTTTAAAAGCCCAATATTATTAAGTCACTCTCTTGCTAAATTCTGCAATGGCTTTGACTCACCCTTGGCCTGCAGGATCTGGCCCCTGCCTGCCTCTGCAGCCACCTTTTGCTTCATTCTTTCTCTCTTACTCCCTCTATCACCTCAGATCCCTGAGGGTTCCCTCCCTCCTACCTCAGGACCTTTGCACATGCTGTTCTCTCTGCCAGAAACACTTCTCTTTGACAGTGAATGCCTTCTCAAATATCCCTTATTTGGGGTGTTGACTACCCACCCCATCAGATTAGGTCCCTCACTATATGCTCTTATATCTCTTTATACTTTTTCAATTAAATAAATTTTGATCACGTGATTTATGGCCATCTCCCCTACTAGACTGTAAGCTCCATAACATCAAGGACCAGGCCAGTTTTTGTTCATCGTTGTAACCCAAATGCTTAGCACTGTGCCTGGCACAAACTAGGGGCCATTTGGACCAAGTGTCTAGGTTGTGTAGACTTGCAGCCCCTGTGGAAGTGTGTGGATAAACATGAGAAACAGGATGACTGCCTCCCCAGCATGGCTTGAGTGTTTCCTGGATGTGTCCAGGCGGGTATCACATGCTGGGTGGCATCAGAGGAGTGCCCTGTTTTCCTTTTATAAGAGAAGGAAAGGTTAGAGACTATGAACAGTCAGCTGTGGGATCATACAGTGTCTGCCCTGCTCCACTTGGCTCAAGGCCTCTGGGGAATGGGGATATGGGACAGGGACATGGCGCATGGTGCAAGTGGTTGTGGCAGCGAGCCTTATGGAGGAACAGCAGTGAGTCAGTCCCTTCTTGGCATGGGACGCTGCCTCTGCAGGCATAGGAGGCCATATTCCCCACTCTCACACCCAGTCAGTTGGGTGCTTCTAACTTGAGCTGTGGCATTTGGCATGTAAAAAATGCATTCCTGGTTTTCCAGCTTGGATCTCATGGTAAGCAGGGGTGTGAGGTCTGAGGAGGATGAGTGTTTCAGTGGAGATGTCTGGATAACTTTTAGGATAAGTATATCCCAAACATTGCATGGGATATACTCATACAAAAAAACTATTTGCTGTTTATCTGATATTGTAGGTTAACTGCATATCCTATAGTTTTCTTTGCTCAATCTGGTGCCCCTAAGCTTGGGGCTTCCTCACTTCACCGTGGTGCTGTTGTGCCCTTCCTTCATTATACCACACTAGGCTCTTGGGGTACACAGAGGAGTGAGACAGGACCCTTCCCTCAGGGAACTCACAGTCTAACATAAGAGATAAGAATTTGAACAGAGATCGCCAAAGCAATGCAAACTCTATTTCTGAGAATTTGGGGACCCTTGTTGGAATAGAACAGCTTTAGAATTCAGAAGAGATCAGAAATCATGGAACAGAATAGGAAGTCCAGAAACAAACCTGAAGGTTTTTCTTTTCTTTTTTTTGGAGATGGAGTCTCACTCTATTACTCAGGCTGGAGTGCAGTGGTGTGATCTTGGCTCACTGCAACCTCTGCTGCCTGGGTTCAAGCAATTCTCCTGTCTCAGCCTCCTGAGTAGCTGGGATTACAGGTGCCTGCCACTACGCCCAGCTAATTTTTATATTTTTAGTAGAGATGAGGTTTCACCATCTTGGCCAGGCTGGTCTTGAACTCCTGACCTCATGATCCACCCACCTCGGCCTCCCAAAGTGCTAGGATTACAGACATGAGCCAGCACGCCTGGCCACAAACCTGAATTTTTATAAGAATATATTGTTTTAGCGTGTGATAAAGGTGGCATTAAGACCTCTTGAGCAAAGAAGAATTATTCAATAAGTTTTGTTAGAGCAATTAATTAACTACCTGGAAAAAAATTAAGTTAGAATCATTACTACTTTAAACCTCATGCCAGAAATGAATTCCAGTTGTTGTAAAGATGTTAACAAATAAAACTGTAAACATACTAACTAGGAGAAAACATAAAAAAAGAATATTTACATGATCTTGGGGATTATGAAGGACTTTCTAAGCATGATGCTCAGTACTGTACAGAAGGTATAAAGAAAAATTGTTCTATTCATTGCAAATTTGTTCTATTCTTGCAAAATTGTTCTATTCATTGCAAATTTGTTTTTCTCAATAATTTCTTCTGTCTTTTCATTTGTTTTTCTGGTGTTTTGTAACATACAGAAGTTTTCATTTTTACATAATGAAGTATGTCAGTGTGAGTATTCCAACTACATAAAAGTACTCATCAACAAACAGGAAAAAGACAAACACAGTAATAGAAAAAATGAATCAAGGAAATATACCAGCAATTCAGAAAAGAAGAAATACAAATGTCCAATGAACATATAAAATAATATTCAATTTCACTAGTAATAATAAAAAAGAAAAAGCAAACCCAGCATTAGTGAATGTATTAGTCCATTCTCATATTGCTATAAAGAAATATCTGAGAGTGGGGAATTTCTAAAGAAAATAGGTTTAACTGGTTCACGGTTCCATAGGCTGTACAGGAAGCATGATGCTGGCATCTGCTCAGCTTCTGGGAAGGCCTCAGGAAACGTACAATCATGGTGGAAGGCGAAGGGGGAGCGAGGCCTCTCACATGGTGGGAGCAGGAGCAAGAGAGAGTGAGGGGGCAGGTGCCACACTTTTAAATGACTGGATCTCATGAGAACTCACTTACTATCATGAGAACAGTACCAAGGGATGTGCTAAACCATTTATGGGAAATCTGCCCGTGTCACGCAATTACTTCCCAGCAGGCCCCATCTCCAAAATTAGGGATTAGAATTCAGCATGAGATTTAGTGGGAACAGAGATCCAAACCATATGAGTGAGGGTCTGGAAAAATGAGCCTTTCATAATTGCTGTCCAAAGGTAAATTGGAGCAATTTTTCTAGATGGCAATTTGTCAATATATATTGAACATCTTAAATCTGACCGGTAGCTTCTAGTATTTTACTACAAGGAAATAAAGTTGCATATCAGCTATGACTTAACTGGAAATACAATGTAGCTGATTATATTTTAAAAGCTGAAAACTATACAGATGTCTGCAAATAAGGTATTAGTTGAATGCATCAAGCACCATTCCCATTGTGAAACCCCATATGCAGGAGATCCCAGGCTTGAAGCCATAGAGGATTCCTCCCCTTGCTGGGCTTAGGGCCTCCCCCAGTTTCTGATATCCCTCATATTTGTAATAAGGCATAAACAATGTACCTTAGCTTGAAAACAAAACAAAACAGTACACCTTTGCATTAGATCATTCTTGCATTGCTATAAAGAAATACCTGAGGCTGGGTAATTTACAAAGAAAAGAGGTTTAATTGGCTCCCGGTTCTGCAGGCTGTACTAGAAGCATGGCACTGGCTTCTGCTTCTGAAGAAGCCTCAGGGAGCTTACAATCATGGCAGAAGGCAAAGGGGGAGCAGGCATGTCACAGGGAGTGAGTGGGAGCAAGACAGAGGGGATGTGCCACACACTTTTAAACAACCAGGTTTCAGAGAACTCATTCACTCATCACCAAGGGGATGGCACTAAGCCACTGATGAGGGATCCAGCCCCATGATCCAAACACCTCCCACCAGCCACACCACCAGCACTGGGGATTACATCTCAACATGGACTGCTGGGGACACAGATGCAAACCATATCAACCTTATAAAAATAAGCATTTATTTCATTTTAAACAGTAAATGCAAAGTTTTCTTTTCTGGAAGATGTAGGGCAGTGAGCTAGAAGTAATACCTTACAATAGAATAGTTCTATAAAAATAGCTACTACCAAGTGGCTTCAGAACATTTTATTCTCCTAAAGAGATTAAATATCCCCTACAAAAAATAAAAAAGTCCTTACATCCACCCCTAAACTCATTGCTTACACAGAGTTTCCTTGGAAGTGTCAAGATAAAATATACTTCTACCTAACTTTGAGATTCTTCAACATCCATGTGGGAGTGGCAGGACTCTGTGTGGCCTGAGGGTGGCCTTAAGTGTGTGTCAGAGAGGAAGGGCCAGGCCCTGGGGAGTAACCTGGGGTCAAATGGCACAGCCAACTTCTAATGAGGCCACCTTAGCCAAGTTACTGTTTTTGAGCCTACGTGTTCTCACCCATGAAATGGGTTTAGTCACCCAGATTTGTTGAAATGATTAAAAGAGAAAATACCTGCAAGGCAACAGCACCATGCTAACACAGAGCTGGCTCGTCAGTTCCAGCTCCGGTCTGTCCTCTCTCACCCTCCGATTGCGAGGCCTCTTGCTGTCGTTTCGCCACCAGCAGCGGTGTGTTCCCTGGGGATGCTGCCTTCAGTTGCAAGTTTCTTTGCACTGTTTGGTATGTCCCTTTCCCAGGCACCTGAGCAAGGGCCACTGGTTATGATATAGGCACTGAGGAAGAAACTTGAATCAAGGGCAGAGCTCTGAGTTTGAGCTTTGAGTCCCCAGGTGTGACCTATGGCCAGTCTCTGTCTGATCTGTGCCCCTCTTTCTCATGTCCAAAATGAGAAGACTGAACCAGTTGTCTCCAATGTCTTTCCTAGGCTTTAAGATGAGGTATGTACCTCTCACTTGGAGGAGGGGCTGGCAAAACCACTTGAATTTTAATTTGAATTGAGGCATCTTGGCAGAGGTTGTAAAATGTCCACATGGTTCAAGGAAAATGATGCCTTGCCTGTACCTGGTGCCCCTTTCAGAGGTTAAAGACCTTTCCATTATTTTGTGGCACTAAAGATCCTGAGCTGCTGCCTGCCTTTCTCCAGCTCTGTAAAAGCATCTTAATTAAGGCCAATTTCAGAAGGCACCAAATGGTCATCAGTTTTGTTTCCACAGCTATTTCACATGGATCAAGACCAGCTTACCTGCTCTTGCAATTTGGTCTCCATCTCATTTGTCCAACAATTTGGAGTTTGTAGGTTTTCTTAGAGGAAGAATGCTCTGGTCATTTGTGTATGGGTGTGGAGTGGCAGGTTTTGGAGGGGGAATCATTTCAGGCAATGAAGTGGAACCTGCTCCATGTCAACAAGGCAACCATGGAGGGGAGCTCGGTGACCAGCACACAGTGAGTTACAGCCATCCCAAAGCTGGCAGTGCTGTGGTGCACTTGCAAAGGGCTTTGTTTGGGGAGCTGCCAGAGGAGCTTCCCAGAAGATAAGGAGGATGCTTTCTCCTCCATGGAAGCCCTCACCACCAGCAGCAGTAGCAGCTAAAAGGACAGAGAGGGAGAGACAGGCCTGCAATCCCAGAAAGAAAAATGTCCATGAATAAGGTTGCACACTGGGAGCTGGATTCAGCAGAGGCTGGGATTCCTGTGATGACTGGAGTGTCTGGTTTATGTCAATGGAAGGGATGACTCAAAAGTAATGAGAGAGGCACTGGACTGGAGCTCAGAAGACCCGAATGAGTTTTGTCTCTTGTGTGACCTTGGATAAGTCACTTCCTTACTGTTTCTCCATTTGTACAAGCAGACAGTTGTACTAGATCAAGAAATGCCAAATAGGTTTCATCTCATGGGCTTGGATCAAGTGGCTTCTTGGAAAGCTATGTAGGAAAGGATTCTGAGGTAGATGAGGTTTGTAGGGGAAATATGCTATCGATTAGCAATGTCTGCCATGGGCACAGGTTTGGGGACTAGTGGCAAATGTTCCAAGAATTTGCTATCTTTAGACAAGATGATCTCTACAGTTACTTTCAGTTCTAAAATATATTTCATGACCCTGTGAGATAAACAGACCTGAGCAAAACCTTGTTAAACCAACAGCTGACAACAAATTGGGGTCACAATAAGTCAATTATCACATTTATGATCAATTAATTTTATTAAAAAATTAGAAATGTTGAGTGTCCAACTTGCAACCAAATTGTCACTTAGATTATTTAATAACTTAGTATTTTGTTGAATTTTTAAAAAATGTAACTTTCTGTAAGGAACAAGCTTCCCTTTGTTTGTTTCTGCTGGGTGCCAGAAGTGTGACTAAAATTCCCAGATGGGGATCTTCCTGGTTCAGCCTTCTCTCTTCTATCTGCAGTAATTTAAAGAAGGGTTCTTTAAGTCAGGACTTTATGAAAGTGACAAAACGAAGTTGTTAGGGGAGATGTTGACATCCTGTCAATTTTAAAACAGTTTATAATTTCCTACAGAGGATTTTGAGGTTGAATGTTTTTCCCTTCAGGTGTAGATAATTGGATTGATCTAATCCCAGGTTCATAACACATTCTCATCACTGGTAAAATGCAGGAGTATTTTAATATGTTTATTTGTTTTTAAAAATGTAATAAGCACTATTTTTAAAGGGAACACACTATGCAAAATTAAAGTTAGGACATTGACAACTTACAGCCGGCAACACAGCACTTCTCCATGTTCCCGACTCCCTATCACTTCCCCCTCCACAGGGAACCATTTCCTGAATCTCGTGTTCCTAGTTCCCTTAAGAGTTACTTTTTTCTTTTCAAAATTGTGGTAAAATACACAAGACATGAAATTTCAGTGTGCAGTTCAGTACTAAGTATATTCACACTACTGTGACTAGTCTCCAAGAACTCTTTTCATCTTATGAAACTGAAACTCTACACCCATTTATAACTCCGTTTTCCTCTCCTTCCAAGATGCTGGCAACCGCCATTTTACTTTCTATTTCTGAGTCTGACTACTCTAAATACCTCCTACAAGTGGAATCATATAGTATTTCTCTTTTTGTGCCTGGCTTATTTCACTTAGCATAATGTCTTCAATCCATGCTGTAGCATGTGTCAGAATCTCCTTCTTTTTAAATATCATTAAATAGTATTAAATTATTAAATATTATTAAATTAATACTATTAAATATATTATTTAATATATATTGAATATAATTTAATATTCCATTGTATGTGTATACCACATTTTATTTATCCATTCATCTATCTATGGACACTTGGGTTGCTTTTGCAACCCAATAGCCAAAAGGTTGCAATAGACTTTTGGTGATTGTGAATAATGCTGCTATTAAATGTGTGTACGGATGTCTCTCTTCCCCTAGAGTTCTTTTTCATACAGTTTTTTATTTTATCCTTATATAATCCTAAAGTATATGTATACATTTCTTAAAATTTTTCCTTTTTGCTTATTATTATTATTTTAAGAGACAGAATCTCCTGTTGCCCAGGCTGGAGTACAATGGCGCAATCTCAACTCACTGTAACCTCAAATGCCTGGATTCAAGAGATCCTCCCACCTCAGCCTCCCAAGTAGCTGGGACTACAAGCCTGCACCACCACACCTGGCTAATTTTTCTAGTTTTTATAGAGACACGGTTTTGCTATGTTGCCCAGGCTGGCCTTGAACTGCTGGCCTCAAGCAATCCTCCTGCCTTGGCCTCCCAAAGTGCTGGGATTACAGGTGTGAGCCACTATGCCTCGCCTATACACATATTTTCCTTTCAGTTGTTTTTCAAGTTATATAAAGCATGCTGTAGGCATCCTTATGGGATTTTTTTTTTTTTTTTTTGCTGAATATTATATTGTTAAGATTCATCCTCATTGTTGTTTATAGCTGCTGTTCATTCTTTTTGACTGCTTGTGACAACACCAGAAGATAGAGATCCTGAGATCTTTTAAGAACTGCTGCTGGGAATGTACACTGATCTGACCACTTTGGAAAACAGTTCGGCTCCATCTCATAAGGTTGAATATTCACACTCCTCCCAGCCCAGGAATTCTACTCTACATCCAAGAGAAATTCTTGCCTATATAAAACAGGGGGCATGTACAAGGAATGTTCCTAATAGTTCTGTTCAAAATAGCAAAAACCTATTGCCCATCAATAGTGGGTGACTAAATTGTGCTTTTTATTCCTTTCGATTTCCTGTAGTCTTATCATGCAAGTGGCTTTCCTTGTCTCATTCCTGATTTTAGGGGAAGGCATTCAGTCTTTCATCATTAAGCATGATGTTATCTGTGGGGTTTTCATAGTGTTTTTTTAATCACGTTGAGAAAGTTCCATTCTAGTCCTAATTTGTTGAATATTTTTATCATGAAAAGATTTGAGTATTTTTATCATGAAAACATTTAATCAAATGCTTTTCCTGCATTTGTTGAGATGATCTTGTGTTGTTTGTCTTTTATTTTTATTTATTTATTTATTTTTTGAGACAGAGTCTTGCTCTGTCACCCAGGCTGGAGTGCAGTGGTGCAATCTTGGCTCACTGCAACCTCTGCCTCCCAGGTTCAAGCAATTCTCTTGCCTCAGGCTCCTGAGTAGCTGGGATTACAGGCGTGTGCCACCACACCTGGCTAATTTTTGTATTTTTAGTAGAGACAGGGTTTCACCATGTTGGCAAGGCTGATCTCGAACTCCTGATCTCAGGTGATCTGCCCACCTAGGCCTCCCAAAGCACTGGGATTACAGGTGTGAGCTACCGCGCCTGACCCTTTTATTTTATTAATATAGTGTATCACAGTAGCTTATTTTTGCATGTTAAACAAACTTTACATTTCTGGGATAAATGCTGTGTAATCCTTTTAATATGTTGCTGGATTTGTTTTGCTAGGATTTTGTTGCAGATGTTTGTGTCTATATTTAGGGGAGATACTGGTCTGTAGTTTTCTTTCCTTATAATGTTTAGTCTAGTTTTGGTATCAGGGTAGTAGAGGTCTCATAGCATGAGTTGGAAATTGTACTCTCCTCTTTTTTTTGGAAGACTTTGTGAAGAATTGGTGTTACTTCTTTAAATATTTGGTAGAATTCAGCAGTGAAGCTATCTGGGCCTGGGCTTTTCTTTGAGGGGAGTTTTTTTGATTAGTTATTCAATCTCTTTACTTGTTACAGGTCTACTCACATTTTTTATTTATTCTTGAGTCTGTAATGATGACCCTTCCTTTCATTTCTGGTTTTAGTAATTTGAATCTTCCCTCTTTTTTTCTTGGTCAGTATAGCTAAAGGTTTGTCAAAGAACTTTGTTGATCTTGTTGAAGAGACAACTTTTGATTTCATTGATTTTTCTCTATTGTTTTTATATTTTCTGTTTTATTACTTTATTCTCTAAACTTTATTATTTCAATGCCTTCTTTTATAGATGAAAAAACTCTGGCTCTAAGAGGTAAAGAGAGTTGCTCTAGGAAATTAACTAATAAAACAATTTATCTTTCCCTTTAAAAGTAAGTCTTAAGCTTTGGAGTATAAAATTGCAATCAATTGGTACAGCCCAAAACAAGACTAATGGGAACAAGGGGCTCCAGTGAGACGATGCCCTGGGTCCCTGGAGGTACAGGTCCGAACCTGTAGGAAATAGCCATCATATAGGTTAGTCTTTTCAAATGCTTCTGTCACTGGGCCGAGTCCAAAGGATACCCTCTCCTGAAATATTATAAAGTTTACTGGGGCACTAGATCAAGAAATGCCAAATAGGTTTCATCTCATGTGCTTGGATCAAGTGGCTGCTTGGAAAGCTATGTTAGAAAGGATTCTGAGATAGATGAGGCTTGTAGGGGAAATATGCTGCTATCGATTAGCAATGTCTGCCATGGGCATAGGTTTGGGGACTAGTGGCAAATGTTCCAAGAATTTGCTGTCTCTGGACAAGATTTTGAACCTGTTGTTTAACAAGGTTTTGCTCAGGTTTGTTTATCTCACAGGGTCACAAAATATATTTTAGAACTGAAAGTAACTGTAGAAAGCATTTACCATGCACCTGATCATGTACTAGTGTACTAATTGCATGCATTATTTCATTTATTTATTTATTAATATTTGAGTTAGGGTCTCTCTCTGCTGCTCAGGCTGAAGTGCAGTGGCATGATTATGGCTCACTGCAGCCTTGACTGCCTGGGCTCAAGTGGTCTCACCTCAGGCTCCTGAGTAGCTGGAACTACAGGCATAAGCCACCAAGCCCAGCTAATTTTTTAAGAAACATTTTTGTAGAGATGAGGTCTGGCTATGTTGCCCAGGCTAGTCTTGAACTCCTGGCTTCAAGTGATCTTCCTGCCTCACCCTTGTTAGTTCATTTAATCCTCACCATCACCCTATAAGAGTGCCTGGGGGTAGGTGCTCCACACAGTAGCAATGTAGCAACCTCCACTCATAGGTGACAATGAGACTCAGTGTAGTCAAGCAGCTTCTCAAAGGCCACACAGCTGGAGGGTGGCTGAGCCAGGATGAAGACCTAGGACTCTAAAGCTGGTGCTCCAGTAAATAAGAAGAGTCTCTGAGGGTTCAGGAGAGCTTCCTCCCAATAAATCTTTCTCCAAAGGTTCTAAAAACAATGACAGATCCATCTTTCATAAAGAAAACAAAACTAGCAGCCACTTCATTTTAGAGGGGGTGGGGTGGGGTAAAAGTTAGCTAAGCTCCAGGACATCCCATTTTAATCCTACATATTTGTAAGGCAACATGTGGCACAGCACCCCAAACCTAAAGAACCCTGCACAGCTGTCTCTGTGGGGCATGGCATGTCCATGGATGTAAAGATTTTCCAATGTGTGCATATGGGCCAGTGGCATCACCCTCAGTCACAGGTTAAAGGGCAGCTAGGCCTGGCCTGCTAGGCACCATTGTGAGAATCTGCTGAGCTTTCCAACTAGTTTATCTGTTGTTTGCAGTCAAAGATGCCCTGAAGAGAAGGGGGTGTGGGTGGGAAGAATTCTGATTTGAGGTCCTCTGATCTGGGTATGATCTCCTTCTCGTCTCAGGAATCAGGGGACTCCATCTCTAAACACAGGCTCAAGCCATGTCCCCCAGCTCCCTCTTTCAACCAGGTGCCACCCCCTGCTTCTCTTCCATAGACAGCCTCGAGCTGCCGGCAGTCCCTTAGGATCTGTGGCCTTAGGCCTAGCTTAATTTTTTCCTCTCCAAAGAGCCATCTGTAGGGCCAGAGACTGGCAAAGCCTAACTTATTACTGGACGCCACTTCCTTTGCCTGACTTTCAGTGATTCCTACCTTACTCTGGGGTTTTATGTTTCTCGTCTCAACACTGTCATTTCTCATTCCTCCACAAGTTGAATTGCTCACTCCAGCCAACTGAAGCATGCTCTTCTTGACACAGATAGCTCTAGGCATATGGTTGGTGAAAAAAAAAAAAAAAAGCAGTATGTCAATTTAATTGATCAACAAAAGTGATGGCTCCACTGCAAAGTAAAGTTGATACTGCCTCGGCCTCTGAGTTCAAGAGCCTTCTAGACAAAGGGCTCTGAGCTGAAACATGAGCATGCACACACATGCATCTCTGTTGGTCTGATGAGGTAATTTGGATACTTGGTTGTTATCCTTGAGCATTTTCCTGCCTCATTAATGCACATGTAGCCAGCACAATAGTAATCGTAGCTAATAATGGCTAAAGCTGAGGACTTTCCTGAGCCAGGCAGTGTGCTTTAAAGTTTTCACATAGACTATCATTGAATAATTTCTATTTTTCAGATCAAGAAACTGAGGCTTACTATCACCTTTGGGATTAAGAAAAAAAAAGGGAAGGAAGGAAGGAAAAAAGAAAGAAAGAAAAAGAAAAAGAAAGAAAGAAAGAGAAAGAAAGAAAAAAACAAAAAACAAAAAAACCTGAGGCCTAAAGCTGTCAAGTATTTCACAGCCAGCAAGTGGCTAAGTCAGAACTTGAACCCAGGCAGTCTAGCCCTGGGATCCTGTGCCCTTACCCATTATCCAGTGTTTGGTACACAGAACTAATGGGTACATATTTTCAACTATAGTTTAATGGGTGACATGTTTTTCACTTTATTTTAAGTGGGTGAATTTCAATTTGGGGGTATTCCACTTACACAATCTATTGAGCTGGATATTAATTGAGAACAAATAGAAACTAATGAACTCTGAAAAACATAAAACATGAGCAACATGACTTCACTGCGAAAGACAAATCAGCACATAGCCTTCTTGTGAATGTATTTTGCTGACAGTCCACGAGCTAATAATCAGCCTGAACTCAGCAGTGTTCTGTTCCCTTAGGAGACACACACACACACACGCACACACACACACACACACACACACACCAAGTTGGTGGCTGTGCCACCTACAATAACTCAGTAACTATCCTGGATTAATAGATGACAAGGCACTTCATAAGCAACATGGATCAATTGGAAAAGCAAACGTCTGGATTCAGAGACCAAGAATGAAATAATGTAGTTAACAATTGCCAAAATGTCCAGAAGCAGAGAAAATGCAAAGACAGCAAACTTGTATCAGGTGGTACAAAAAGACAAAAGGGGAGCCACTGGGAGAAGTAAGCTTGCTTCAGGCAGGTGTCCTATCGGGTTAGTGACCTGAGCAGGGCCAGAGAGTCAGGCTGGGACTGGGGTCTAGGTCTCCTGCCTCTTGCCTCCTTGCCAGTATAGCATAAGCCAAGATGCAAAATGGAAATGAGGAAAATACATTCAGCACAGATGACAGGTTTGGGCGTCTTAGGACAAATAAGGCATTGAGGAATAGCTGATTTGGAAGAGGGTAGTTGCCATGGTTTTCATGCCCACTGGACTCTCCATAGAGGAAACAGTGAGGAAGCCGATGTAGGCTTTATCTCCCACCCCTGTGCTCAGTCTCCTTACGCTGGCTTGCTCTTCCACCCCAGAATGGGGTTAAGAGCACAGATGCTGGAGCTGGACTGCCTAGATTCAAATCCTGGCTCTTTTTACTGCTGGTGGTGTGAACTGGGGCTATTCCCCAACCTCTCTGTGACTCAGTTTCTCCATCTGTAAAGTGGGAATGATAACAGTATCTATTTGGGGGCATCACTGGAAATATTAAATGAATTAACACATATTAAGAGCTTAGGACAGTGTATGGCAGCACACTGAATAAGCCCTCTCTAAGACTTAGCTATCACTACAATCATCTCTGTTCCTTCCTGAATCTAAACTTTGTTGCTTCTTGCTGTTTTTCCTCTGGCTTTTTGAATCAAAACTTTTTTACTCAAAACCTTCTCAATCATTCCTTCGGTAGCTTGAGATTTCTACCTGATTTATTTCAGGATAAAGTCAAGCTCTTGGCCTGAGGATAAGATGTCTCATGATCTGAGCAAGCCCAGCTGTCCTGCCTTACCTGCTTGCATTCTCTGTTCACGTCATTTGGCTTCCGTGCCTGCATGGGCTGTCACCTTTACCCCCACTCTCCGCTGGCCTGTCTCCTGGCCTATTGTTCTTCCCACATTCCTCAGTTCAGACGTCACATTCCCGAGGAAGCCATTTTATCCCCTTCCACCCCTGACCCTGAACACCCAGGCTGCATTAGATGTGCCCTGGGTTAGATACGTATTCCCATAGCACCCCAGTTTTCCTTCTATCCTGGCACTGATTACACTGCCTCTAATTGTCTATCTGCCTATGACTCTATAAAATAACCTGCACCTTGGGACACGAACTGTGGCTTTTATTTTGATCCCTATGCCCTCCCAGATATCCCTTCTCCTGTCCTCCATCCTGCCCTCTGTCCTGGAGGTTGACCTGTAAGGACTGCATCTATAGGGTTCCTAGGCCCTCTGGCTTCTGATTGGTTTGGGCCAGTGGGAGAAAGCCCCAGTGGGAGACTGGAGGAGGGGAGGGCAGTCAGGGCATTTGTTCCTGAGGCTCCCTCCCTAGGGGATGGCTGTAGACTAGCAGCATCCCTCACTGAAGTTCACAGGAGCATGCCTTAGACTATCTGGGGTTAAGAGCTGGTTTGTTTTATATTACTTACAATGAAGTGCACCATAGTGCTTTTACGAAATGCAGTGAAACATGAATTATTAAAATATTATTAGAAAAATTAAAAAGCAATAACTTGCAAGATATAAAACTAGATTTCTATTCCTACATTTAAAGTCATAAAGTTGTATTAAAAAATAGATAATCAGGAAAAATCTAACATAGGGGAAAAAAGAATTACAAAAAAACTACATATGTTGCTCATTGAAAGTCTGCATATAGGTGATTAACATAGAGAATTGCTGCTACGTGGCTAAGTTCTTATAGGTTAATAATCATATCTAAATAAAAAATGATGATAATATAGTAATTGCCCACATTAAAGGCCTACAATACTCTCAAAGAGCAATACATATATCAATACATTAAGTTTTCGATGTGACAAAGAAATTGCTTTTTAATTTATCTGATCTAGGTTGGATTGACAACATTGATACCCACATAGTAAGAAGTATATACAAATGATTTCAACATTGAAAAAAATTACACTTATAGTAGAAAAGTCAGTTTTAAAAAGTATGTTTTTAAAACTGGCATAGAAGAGATTTGAAGCAATTTCAGCAGGCTCAGGCTATTCATTTTTTATCTCTATAAAAATGAGGTGGGCTGGGTGCAATGGCTCACGCCTGTAATCCCTGCCCTTTGGGAGGCTGAGGCGGGTGGATCACCTGAGGTCAGGAGTTCGAGACCAGCCTGACCAACATGGTGAAACCCCGTCTCTACTAAAAAATACAAAATATCTGGGCATGATGGTGGGCGCCTGTAATCCCAGCTACTCGGGAGGCTGAGGCAGGAGAATCACTTGAACCCGGGAGGTGGAGGTTGCTGTGAGCCAAGATTGCACCATTGCACTCCAGCCTGGGTAACAGAGCAAGACTCCATCTAAAAAAAAAAAAATTAGGCAAGTAATGCTATGTTTTCAAAATTTATCTCCAATCCTTTATTAGAAGCCAGCATGATTAACTTATTCTATCAAGTGATACTTCTGGATCCATTCATTTCCTATGTGTGAATCTCCTTTTGATGAAAAATAAATTGAAAATGTTCTATCAGATTTGTAAGATGTTTGTTGTTAACTTTTAACATATGTGCAATATCAGAATTACCACCAACTTCGCTAACTGTTAAGAAATGAAATGCACTATCCCAATTTGTAAAAATTCTGTTCTTCTAAGCTTGTATTTCTTCCTTGCATGAAAGTATTAACATCATTAAAATACTCAAGATGTCAAACAAGAAAACAGATCTGGCTGTCTAATTTACAGCCTGAAAAAGTTGGGGCTACACTGGTCTTCTGTCTTGCAGAAGCACAGCTTCACTCTATCCTTCAAATCTTCTTGACAGAACTTTTCCCTTAAGTAACCATCATATGTCAGCATATAATTACAATTGTTTATGATCAGCATTCCATATTATTACAGAGTAAAGAAAACAATCTCAAACTGAACACATTAGCAAGCCTTTATAGAATTAACACTTTTTACTGTGTCACCTAGCACACTGAAAGCTTAGCTGACCTTCATTCATTCATTCATTTGTTGTTATGGGAGGTGGGACAGGGAACCTGACTTCTCAAGAAGGAAAGCAGTGTATTTACTTGCATTCTGGTGCAAGCTTTTTTTTTTCTTTTTTTGTGAGACAGGGTCTCACTGTGTCGTCCACTGCAGCCTCGACCTCCTGGGCTCAGGTGGTCCTCTCACCTCAGCCTCCCTAGTAGCTTGGACCACAGGTACACGCCACCATGCCTGGCTGATTTTTGTATTTTGTAGCAACAGGGTCTTGCCATGTTGCCCAGGCTGGTCTTCAAACTCCTGGGCTCAAGCGATTTGCCCACCTCAGCCTCCCAGCCTCCAAAGTGTTGGGATTACAGGCATGAGCTACTGCGCCCAGCCCTGGTGCAAGCTTCTCAATCTGAGTAAGTATCCCAGAATGTTTCCCTGTCATTTAAGCTGCTTTACCTGGACACATTCCTACACAAAGCCTAAACTCCAAACTACATTTTCTGACGCTAATCACACACTTTGATGTTACGGCAATGTTGAATTGTTATGAAAATTTCTAAACATCTCCTTTCAATTGCCGTACATATCTTATCATAGACTGTCAACAGTGTGCAGAGACCTGCAAGACCTGCACAGGTGTGCAAATTGCACTCTGAGCAACATTGCTCTCCGTCATTCTCTTATTCCAACTGATTTCAGTAATCACTCCCTCCCCTCGAGTCTTCAAGCCTAGGGATGATAAGAGCTTGGTTGCTACCAGCTCTCACTACACTATTCCCCCAACAGCTTCGCCTTTATAAATTGTTATTTTGTTCATAAATCTCCTCCTTGAATTATCCTAATCTGCCTTCTGAATTTCTCTTGGGAAATGTTTTCTGATATAGCCTCCTAACATAGTACCCTGTCCGGCACAGACAAGACGAACAATCCGTGTTTACTGAATAAATGACCTGACATTATTTTGGAGAAATAAGATAACATTTTTCAGGAGGTGAAAATAAGGAGAGGACCCAAGGCATGATATGAACCCGTGCTTCTTCCTTACATGGTCATTATCCCTTCCAGATTTGGAGGCCTAGGCCAGAGCAACCAATAGCTCACATAACACCTTTGTGCAAATTAGAAAAAGGCCTGGCCTGTGGAAGGACACAGTCCCCAAAACACATGGCTTGAAAAAATACAGTGTGGGCTGGCTCTCAGCTCCCCAGACCAGGTACTCTCTGCTTGAATAATGCACACAATCTTACGCAGCTAGTCTGCCCTAGGCTGAGCAAACTGGCAAGTCATTCCACCTTAGAAAAGTGACCAATTAAGTATAATTCTCTGAAGAAGCTCATTACAGCTCAGATTTTGTGGGAATGTGATATTTTTGTCTGCAGGGTGATCTTTTTGACACTTTTCCTCCTTACCTTCCTGAATGTGAGAAGAGAGTCCTTGCTGGCATCATTCGAATAGGTAGTATTGTTATCCAATGGGGCCACAGGATTTCTGGGGGCAAATGCTTTTTGCAGTTCTTCTAAATATAATTGTGCTGTCTTGAAGAAGACCTTTAAGACCCCGAACTGCATGGTCTGTGACTAAGAGTAGCCCAGGGGAGCGTGCTGGGGGTGGCAGGTATTAGGACCTAGCTCTTTCTGGCTGGAGCTGGCACCACTTGCATAGGAGGTACACTGATCCCTGGGGTGAGTTGGGGAGTGGGGATGGGAGAGTTCAAGGGAGCAGGGTGAGGAAACTAAACGACTTGTCAGTGCCTTGTGATTCAGACCTTCCTGTTGTAGAGAAGTGATTTTGTTTGACATGGATTCCCAGAATGCCTGACACACCCACATGCAAGCGAGCCCCAACCCATCCCAGGGCCCATGGTGAGTGAGTGAACTGAGGATTCATGACAGCTTCTGCCCTCAGCACCATTCCCTGCTCCTATCTGAACAGGCTTTTCCCCAATAGAAGCATCACAAGAGCATATGAGGATGGGAAACATTCCAGAGACTTGCATTAAATTGACCCTATAATTCTCAAGCCTGAGAGGGGAAGCTATCTGTCTTTTCTGGAAGCTTGACACACCTTAACTTCTCTCATTTCTTGTTTTTATTTATTTGTTTATTTATATTTTAGACGGAGTTTCACTCTTGTCACCTAGGTTGGTGTGCAATGGTGCAATCTTGGTTCACTGCAACCTCCGTCTCCCTGGTTCAAGCAATTCCCCTGCTTCAGCCTCCCAGGTAACTGGGATTACAGGCATACGCCACCATGCCCAGCTAATTTTGTATTTTTAGTAGAGATGGGGTTTCACCATGTTGGTCAGGCTGGTCTTAAACTCCTGACCTCAAGTGATCCACCTACCTCAGCCTCCCAAAGTGCTGGGATTATAGGCGTGAACCACCGCGCCTGGCCAACTTCTTTCATTTCTTAATCTCCCAAACACATCGGTCAACTGTAAGTTTGATAGTAATGACAGGGATATCTACTTCGTAATCAAACCAAAAGTGGTGAGATGGGGAGGATGTGGGAAAGGCGAATCAGAGAGCCTGGGGAAAGGTATTGCTCTCCCTTCCAGAACTGGAGTCAACATACAAACACCTTTTCATGCGGTCACTGGGTCATCACTAAAAGTAACACTCATTGCATTTTGGAAACTGAAGAAATCTCAGAGACCATTATTCCTTTGTTTTAAAGACTAGGACCCTGAAGCGTAATGAAATGTATTACGGCTGAAGATTACCCAGGAAATGAAACCAGGGTTAGAACCCAGGTCTGTGGCTGCTACTCCAATGTGACTTCTACCATGCTATGCTGCCTCTCAAAGTAATTATCTTTTCTCACTCATTCGTTCATTCACCAAATATTTGTTGGGCACTGTTACGTGCCTGGCACTGTGAGGTATGCTAGCTAGATAGTAGAAGTGAACAAGACCAACATTGTCCTCACGGGGCTTAAATGTAATGAGAAGACACATTAAACAAATTATGCAAATAAACAATTACAAAGATGATGAATGCCAAGAAGAATTAGACGGCACTATTAGAGCTTATAAAAACATGCCTTACCTAGCCCAAGTGGCAATGATGGTGGTGAGATCCAGGAAGGCTTCTCTGAGGAAATGACATTTAAGCTGAGACTTGAAGGATGAGTAGAAGATAGTGAGGTGAAGGGTCTGGGAGATGGGAAGTGAAATTGAGGTAGAGGGAAGGAGATGTATTATGGCAAAAACTGTCATTACTTTTGCACCAGCCTAATACAAAGGCAGGAAAGAGATAAAGCTTTCAAATAACTGAAAATAAACCTGTGGCCTAGTGTATAAATGGTCTGGGGGATACAATGGGTTGGGAAGCAGAGTCAGACCATTCAGAGCCTGGCAAGCTGTGGTCAGGATTCTGGACTTTATCCTGAGAGTGGAGGGAAACCACTGGAGGGTTTTTAAATATGGAAGTGTTATGACCAGATTTTTCTTTTTCTTTTTTTTTTTTGAGATTGAGTTTTGCTCTTGTTGCCCAGGCTGCAGTGCAATGGCGCGATTTCAGCTTACTGCAAACTCCTCCTCCCAGGTACAAGCAATTCTCCTGCCTCAGCCTCCCAAGTAGCTGGGATTACATCTATATGGCATCACACCTGGCTAATTTCGTATTTTTAATAGGGATGGGATTTCGCCATGTTGACCAGGCTGGTCTTGAACTCCTGACCTCAGGTGATCCACCTGCCTCGGCCTCCCAAAGCACTAGGATTACAGGCATGAGCCACCGCACCTGGCTGACCAGATTTTAAAAAGATCACTGAGAAGATTTCACTAGTGGGAGCAAAAGTGAATGCAGGCAGTGACTTAGGGGGCTCCTCCAACATCTCAGGTAAGAGAGGATGGTGGCTTGGACCAGAGCAGGGCTAGTGGAGATGGGGAGAAATGAAGACATCCACAAGCATTTAGAAGGAACTTGGTACTCAGTGAATGTGAGAAATGAGCAAGAGAGGAGGGACCAAGAGTAACCATCAGTGTTGGCATAAGACGGGGGAAATGGGGGTGCATTCCTGGAGCTAGGGAATACTGCAGGAGTCAAAGCCTCAAAAAGAGACCAAGATTGGACATGTTAAGATTGAGGGACCTGGGAGACAAAGAGGAGAAGATCAGAGAAGGCAGTTGGATGTGTAGGACTTACAGTGCAGAAAAGAGATCTGCTTTAGAAATAGAAATGTAGGAGTCAGGTTGGCCAGGCGTGGTGGCTCACACCTGTAATCCCAGCACTTTGGGAGGCCAAGGTGGGTGGATCACCTGAGGTCAGGAGTTTGAGACCAGACTGGCCAACATGGCAAAACCCCGTCTCTACTAAAAATATAAAAATTAGCCAGGTGTGTTGGTGGGTGCCTGTAGTCCCAGCTACTCGGGGGGCTGAGGCAGGATAATTGCTTGAACTGGGGAGGTGGAGGTTTCAGTGAGCCAAGATCGTGCCACTTCAGTCCAGCCTGGGTGAAAGAGTGAAACTCCATCTCAAAAAAAAAACCAAAAAAAAAATTTAGGGGTCAGGTCACCGAGATGGTGACCAAAGCCATGGGAATGGAGAAATCCATTTAGGGAGAGAGGCTAGGCCCACAAGAAAAGAGATAAATCAAGAAAATAAGCATATTTATTTCAGTGAGCAAAATAATGTACACCTAAAAGCATATGACGTCTCTACTTTTCAGATCTGTGTTGGTTACTATGCTATTGCTTCTCAGTTTTTAACCCACCCTTCTATTCTTGGCTTGGGTTGGCATTTCTTCTTTGCTTACAGGGAAGTAAGGGGTGCTTGAAGGAGACTGAAAGGCTGGAGAAAGGAGAAGGATTTATTCTTTTACCGTTTTTGCCCCTGTTCCCGTCAGCATCACCCTAGCAGCGAGGCTTCATTTTGTTGGTGGCAGTCGATTCCAGGAGCTCGAGCAACTCCCTTTGCAGTATTTGCACAAATGTTATATGCCTCCTCGGCAGAAACAGCCTTGCTGCCCCCACATACCTATATCTTCACCACCAGGCCTTCCTAAAGATCATTTTCCCTGAGCCTGGTATCCTTTTCCAGGAATATAGAGAAAACCTGGCCAAATGCCTGCATCCTACCTACAAGGGAGTATGGAGATGTGAGTTCTGACTTCTGCATTGAGGAGGTGGGATTCCTCATTTGGGAACTGAGGACTGCATAAAACTCTTGGCACAAACACTCCATTCAAACCCCTGCACTACGGGACTTGACCAAACTTTAACATGGCTTCTGGCAGCCTAAGTCAGTGTCCCTGGGACAATCTAGCCCCTTTTTGGGTTTTTGTCTGGAAAAGCTCAGAGCTGTCAAAAATTTTTACTATTTGTTTTAGCCAACACCTGAGTTAGGCCCCTACCTTTCTTAGTACAGCATTTACTAAAAATGGCCTACAATTGTGAATGCTTTCTCTTTCTCTTTGAGGTATAGATGTATTATATCTCCTACAACTTGGGAGTGTTTCTTTCAAGGACCCAAAAGCCATTCCTTTGAAATGTAATAAGCAAGAAGGACTGGACCTCTGTCTTCCAGTCACTGTGGGAGGCTAGATTCCTAACTCTGATAATTGGCAGCTAGCAGGCACAGCTGGCCTAATCTCACTCACACTGACCAACCCTTTGTCATTTCTCACTTTAGTCCCTGTTCACATCCCCCTCCTACGGCCTCATTCTTTCTTTAAAGTACCCATGCACCTCTGCACAAATTGGAATGGAGCTCCACTCTTTCCCCTTCTGTCAGTAGTTACTGAGTAAAACCTGTTTTTACCACTTTAATGAGTGGTTTTGTTTACCTTTGTCAGAACATTCCCCAACATAAAGAGATGATTTAAAGCCTGATTGACAGCCACGAATATGGCAAATATCAATAACAGGGGTTTAACTGTTCTTTAGGTTTTTTTTTTTTTTACTTGCTTATCTCTTTCCAGGAAGGGCACAAGGAGTCCTGCTAAAAGACATAATCCAATAAGAGTAATAAAATAAGGCTAAAAAGGAAAAATAGTCCTGAGAGAAAGGGAGTGTGTTGGTTAGGGTACAAGCTAAGGTGATATAACAAAGAGACAGCAAAATGTAGTGTTTAAACTAGAAAGGAGTTAATTTTTCTCTTACATAACAGTCAGGAAATACATTCAAGACCTGGAAAGGTGACTGCTTCACCAACATGTGATTTCCATCACTGAGTCCAGGATGGCTCTCTGGTCTCAGCTAGTCACCAGAAGGAAGCAGGAAGTGGTCGGGGGCGTAGGAGAGTGCATGTCCCAGCCTTTTAAAGAGAAGACTTGGAAGTGGTGTGCATCCTTTCCAGGCACACCTTATTGTCCGTATCTTAGCTACTTGGTCATACTTATGGGCTAGGGAAGTTAGAAAAGGTAGTTTCTGGTTAGGTAGCTCCATGTCCACTGAAAACTCTTACTATGGAAGGGTACAATGGTTGGGGTTGGGGAGAATAACTGAGAGACCATGAATATCCAAAACTAAGAGTCAAAGAGATGACTGCCAATATTTGCAGACTTCTATCATGGGGGTGTGTTTGGACACACACAATGCAAACTGGAAATGCCAAAGGGTGAATGCCCCTGGAAGCAGCCCATCACCAATAACGAATGGGGAGTTGGGAAATAAACACATCAGCTTTCTCCTCCAAGATTGGGATAACTGACAGTCTATAACAGCCCCAGAGGTCCTTGGAGGGACTGAGCTACAGTGGCCTACATGGTAAACTGTTTGGCTTCCCTATCTCATATTCCCAATCCTCTATGAGTGTTTCCTGGGGTCCCCTCCAAAATAAATTATTTGCACTAGAATGTGTATCTCAGCATTTACTTTTAGGAGAACCCAAACTAAGGCTACCTCTGGGCTTCCTGGAAATCTAGAGGGAAACTAAATAACATAACTGTTATATTTAGAAAGTAGAAAATAAATCAGTTCTTCAATTGAGGCAAAGTATTTCTGCCTCCCCTGCCCTTCCACTCTCCATTCCAAAACTGGACGGGCCCGCGGTGTGGCTCACACCTGTAATCCCAGCACTTTGGGAGGCTGAGGTGGGCAGATCACCTGAGGTCAGGAGTTTGAGACCAGCCTGGCCAACACGGTGAAACCTCGTCTCTACTAAAAATACAAAAATTAGCCAGGCGTGATGGCAGGCGCCTGTGATCCCAGCTACTCAGGAGGCTGAGGCAGGAGAATCGCTTGAATCCGGGAGGCGGAGGTTGTAGTGAGCCCAGATTGTGCCACTCAAGCCTGGATGACAAAGCGAGACTCCATCTCAAAAAAAAAAAAAAAAAAAAAAAAAAAAGGGAGGGGGGCGGGGGGCAGCAGAAAAAAACGTATTACTTATCCTCCAGTTCTCACATTGATCTTTTTGGTGTTCATGTTTGTTCTGCCCTTAGGCCTATAAGCTTCTTGATCTTTATTGTCTCTAGAGCTATGTGCAACTGCCTTTCACATTGTTGAAACTAAGCAAGTGTTTGAATGATACAAATGTGAACCCTGTCTATCCAACACACCTCTTGACACACAAAGAAACCAAGGCTCCGTTAGAGTGTGTTACTGGACACCTGTTATATGGGGAGTGACCAAAGGAGCCAGAATCCACCCCCAGTCCCCCAACCACTTCTCTGATTTTCTACCACAAACAGTCTTTTTCCAGGTTTTATTTTCATCATCACTAAGTGGAGCCCAAGGTTTTTAGCAGGAGAAGCATGTTTGTAAATGTTAAAAACACCCCTTCTTGAGTGAGCCAGGTTATCTTCCCCTTGGTCCATTAGGTCTGAAGGACTGGGCTTGTTACACTTAATTTTTTATATCTTGCAAGATGAGACCTAAATGTAACAAGGGAGATGACTATAGATTCTAGGCCCATTGGCTAGTCAAAGTTCTATAGTGCATTAATGATTACGGTAAACTCCAAACATGAAATCAAGACTGAATTTCCATAAATTCCTCCCGCACATAGCACCACCTTGAAGCCCTGGAGTATGAGCAGGAGGAGGTCTTGATTAACACTGCAGTGGCTCTGCAGAGAATGACCACAGGCTAAATGAAAGACCAACAAATAAACCAGAGGAGGAAACCCTATGTAAGACCTTGTAACCTAAACCCAAAGCCCTCGCTCAGCTTGGTCTAGGGAGCAGGAATTCTCCTAATGGAAAATAAAACATCAAAAGTGTCAGTTAAATTGGCTGTTTGTCATGGTCCCTGAAGTTTAAGTGTTTGTAATTCAACCTTGAGCAGCATCTGTTTCAGGTGTCTTTTTGTGGTAGAAAAAACAACAGCCACATATTTACTGGGCCTTTAAAATTTCTTTGCAAAATTCCTCTCTGATTTACCTCTCTCTATCTTAAATGTCTATAAACCAATTTAAAATCATATATTTATGTTAATTACATAAATAACCCAATACAAATATTTCAAAAAATATAAAGAAGCAGATAGAAAATTGAGATCACCTAAGAAGTCACTACCAAGAAATGACCACTGTTAACATTTTGGTGTATCCTTCCAGATATACACACAACCTCATTTAATGACTGTATTATATTTCATTGTGTGGTTGTATTAAAATGTATGGTACATCCAATTCTAAGACTCTGAGTCCTTTCTTTTACTATGATAAAAATAGCTGGGGCCGGGCGTGGTGGCTCACGCCTGTAATCCCAACACTTTGGGAGGCCGAGGTGGAAGGATCACAAGGTCAGGAGATCAAGACCATCCTGGCAAACATGGTGAAACCCCGTCACTACTAAAAATACAAAAATTAGCTGGGTGTGGTTGTGCGCACCTGTAATCCCAGCTACTCAAGAGGCTGAGGCAGGAGAATGGCTTGAACGCAGGAGGCAGAGATTGCAGTGAGCCGAGATTGCACCACTGCACTCCAGCCTGGCAACAGAGTGAGACCCCATCTCAAAAAAAAAAAAAAAAAAAAAAGCTGAAATAAATATTTCAAGAAAAGATTTGTGGTTTTATTTCATCCATAAATATCTCTAAAAGATAAGGACTCTCGTTTTTAAAATATGATAGTAATAACAACCTGGGCATGATAGCTCACTTGAGCATTTTGGGAGGCTGAGGCAGGAAGATTGCTTGATCCCAGGTGTGTGAGACCAGCCTGGGCAACATAGTGAGACCCTGTCTCTGCCAAAAAAATATTAGCTGGGCATGGTGACATATGCCTATAGTTCCAGCTACTTGGGAGGCTGAGGTGGGAGGATCAATTGAGCCTGGGAGGTTGAGGCTACATTGAACCATGATCACACTATAGCACTCCAGCCTGGGTGACAAAGTGAGACTCTATCTCCAAAAAAAAAAAAAAAAAAAAGTAATAGCCATACTATTGTCACATCTAAAAAAATTTAACAACAATTCCATATTATCATCAAACATTTAATGTTCAAATTTTCCAGTTGCCTCATAGCTATTTACTCTTGCCCTCACTCTGGTAACTAAATCTTGATGTGCACGCTTAATTAGTTCTCTAGGACGCATGCTTAGATTTGAAGTCACTGGGTAAAAGGTATATTATACTTAGATCTAGAAAGATCTAGATGTTCTCACTTGTACCTCTTAAACACTTGTATACTTGTTTGTAGCCTTAAACATTCCAGAAGAATGTTTTGTATAAATGTGACTGGAAGGATGAGGAGAAAATCTTTCATTTGAGGCTTTCATATGCTGATGACTGAGAGGATGTAATGCTCTGAAAGGTTCCTAGCAATTTACCACAGTAGACGCCAGGCTGATACCCCCAGCCCCCATCATCAGCATCACTGGAGTCAGGAGGGCTTCCCACTCTGGAGGAGCATCCTTCCTTCTCAGTGGCCCAGGTGATCTTCCTGAAAGTGCTGATGTCTCTCACTCAACAATCAAGACTCTATCTGTAGAAACATGGCTCTTCCCAAGAGGAAGATAAATATTCCAATCCAGTGAAGTTCCTATGCCACCCTGCCCACTCAATGCTAATTTATTTGCTATTTTATATTTATCTATAATATTTACATTAAAAATTGTAATTTATATAGAAGCAGCACTGGTGGAAACAGACAGACCTGGGTTAAAACTTTGGCTTTATCAGTTATTTATTGCATAATCTAAAGCAAATTACTTCCCTTTTCTGAAACTCAGTTATTTAGGGGCATAATGATGGTTTCCTAGGTTGCTACAAAGAAGTAGTAGTTTAGGACATAGCAGGTGTTCAACAAATATGTGTTGAACAAACAAATATTTTTAAAGAGAATTTTTTTTTTTGAGCCAGAAGAAATCTCAGAACACACCCTCTGTATTCTGGAAATGAGAAAACTAAGTTCAGAGAAAATGTGAAATTTTTTTGTTCATTCATTTAACATTTATTATGAACTGAGTATGTGTCAGGCAAGTATGTGCTGAGCACTGAGGATATAATTAGTAACATCTCGTCACTGCTCTCAAGGGGTAAGGAAGGATGGACATGGCTATATCAAGCTCTATGTGATATTATTATAAAATGATAGAATTATCTAGTGTTGTGCTATCCAATATGGTAGGCAGCAGTCACACGTGGCTACTTAAATTTAAATTAATTACAATTAAATAAAATCAAAATTCAGTTCCTCAGTGCTTGCTTAGACAGCACATATACAAAATTCAGTTCCTTAGTCACACTAACCACTTTTCAAGTGCTCAGTAACCACCTGAGGCTAGTGGCTACCATATTGTGGCAGGCATAGAACCTTTCCATCATTGCAGAAAGTTCTATTGGACAGTGGTGCTTTAGATCTTCTCCCCAGAATAACATTCATATGCATATATCCCAAATTCATACCACTTCAAGGTGTTTACATCTTGGTCTGAAAGCCCTTTATAATACAGGCAAGAGAGAAATGATGAGTGTTGCTAACTAAAACTAAAATCAAAGATAGGAGTTTTGTTATAAGCCAGAGTCCAAACTTGTGAAAATTGTAGCTTAGAAAAACTTTCTGGCTGAGTTGGCTGCAGTTGAATAATGAGTCACTTGTTCATTTCAACAGGGATGGGCTCAGTTTCCTGTGCCTCCTGGGTAGTGCTGTGGTTGTCTGGGCCTAGTGGCCACATGCTGATGTGTGCTCACTTTAGACAGGGAGAGGTCCTCACCACTTCCCTGACATTTTAGTCAAACTAGATCACTTCTCTCACAATTTACTTGCAGTCTTTCTAAGTAAGGATGTTACATGGGTTTCACCTTCAGTAGGCTATATTCACGTAACGATCATTTAGTGGGTGCTTTCTATGTCCCAGGAACCAGGCTATGTGCTACAGACATGAAGAGGATTAGGACAAGTTGTTCATAATCTCGCAGAGGAGACAAATGAGAAACCAGCTAGTCATAACAAAGGCAGAGTTAAATAAGTGCTGTAATAGACAAGGTACTGGGAAATTCAGGAAAAGGAGGGACTAAAATTCAATATAGGGGACTAGGGAAGGCTCACTGAAGGAGATGGCATTTGAACACGGCCTTAAAGAATATGTTAGACCAGAATAGCATGGAACATATAATTGGGCATTCTTCCACATTCATGTTCTTTTTTTAAAAAAATCTTTTATTTAAGGTTCAGGAGTACATGTGAAGGTGTGTTACATAGGTAAACTCATGTCATAGGGTTTATTGTACAGATTATTTCATCACCCAGGTATTAAACCCAGTACCTAATAGTTATATTTTTGGCTCCTCTTTCTCCTCCCACCCTTCACTCTCAAGTAGACCCCAGTGTCTTTTGTTCCCTTCTTTGTGTCCATGTGTTCTTATCATTTAGCTCCCACTTATAAGTGGGAACATGCGGTATTTGGTTTTCTGTTCCTGCATTAGTTTGCTAAGGATAATGGCCTCCAGCTCCATCCATGTTCCTGCAAAAGACATGATCTTGTTCTTTGTTTATGGCTGCATGCATTCAAGTTCTTGAAGTCTGAAATTCTTCCACTGTGCAGGCTGTGGCAGCTCTCATATTTCCTTTCACACTGAACCTGCTCTGTCTTCCTGGAGACTTCCAGCCTCCCAACCCATCCTAGTCTCACGGTCCTTTATGCACTTCTAGATGAGACTCCAAGATCAGAGTTTTCAAGCAGATTTTTTTTTTTTTAGTACTTCTTTGTCCTCTGGCTTCTGTTTTTATCTATCGTACTAATCCCCAATCTTGTTTTGCTGAAATTCATGTTATCCATTCAGTATGAGGTCTCTCAACAACTCTCTAGTCTAACTCAACATTTCTTTGTGTCTTCCCCAATTCTCTCCCCCAACCCTATCCTCTATGGAGGGGGCATTCCTTTCTATGAGTAACTCTTTATCCCATGTTTTCTCTTCCCTTCCAGGACCCAGTAGCATGCTTTTTCTCCTCTCTCGTATCCAGTCTTCATTGCCTGTTAATGGTTCTCTCCTTAGAGGTAGATCCAGGGTTTTCAGGGCCTAAAGCTTATTTAATCTTGGGAGTCTTCTTCTTCTTCAAAAAAAAATACAAAATTACAAATATCAAATTAAGGGGGAAAAGTTAATACTTACTTAGAAGGGGGCTGTGTAACTGCGAGGGGCCCTGAAGCTTATTTCATAGTGAGTCCATCTCTGTCTGTCCTATAATAAAAACCTAACCAAACACAAAAGCTTCCCTTTGCTTTGCTATTGCAAACCATTATTCCATTTCTCTTTCTCAACACCCTGAAACTTTTCAAGAAAGTAGACTAGGTACATTCTCTTCACTTTAACATCACTTTGACCTCATGCCCACCATGCTATTGCAATGGTTTTCTCTGAAGCACCACTGACCTTCTAATCCCTAAAGCCTATGGCCTTTTCTTGGTCCTGAACTAACTTGTCCCTTCCATAAAAATTCAACATGAGTCATCCTCTGACTTCTTCAAATGACTCTTTTCCCACTCAAGCACCAATGGTGAGCCTTCCTCAGGGTCCCTTCAACATCCCAGGTTGTCTTCCCTCCCTTGTGACTCAATGATCACACCTATGGCATGGCTTCCACCATCACCCACCTGTGTGGCTGACCCAATTATGTGTCCTTTGCTCTGACTTCCCTCATAAACTTCAAACTTAAGATACAAACTCTCTACCTACGTTCCATCAGCACACCAAATTCAACATCTTTTTCTTGATGTGTCAATGGCATCACTCCCTCCCTGCCATCTGCTCTAGAAATTTCAAAGTGTTACTTTAAACAAATTTCCCCTCTCTCCTTCTATCCTCCCGTCATTTCTAAGATCTAGCAGTTCTACTCCACACTGATTCCCTAGTGTGGTTCTTTCTACTGCCATTTCCCGTACTTCAATTTTTTTCACTCTTGACTCAGACTGATTCAAAGGCTCTTCATTGTTTGCAGCTAAGGAGCCTCAGAGCTGAGTATGACTTGCCCCATTGAATTAATGGCAGGCCAGATGTAGAATCCAGGTCTCTTGCTTCTTTTCGGTGGCTGCATACTTCTAAGCCCACTATAATCCATTTTATATATGAATGCCAGATTAATCTTTCTTTTTTTGTTTTTTTTTTTGTTTTTGTTTTGTTTTGAAACAGGGTCTCACTCTGGTTGCCCAGGTTGGAGTGCAGTGGTGCAATCTTGACTCACTGCAGCCTCGACCCCCTGGGCTCCGGTGATTCTCCCACCTCACCCCCCGAGTAGCTGGACTACAGGCACGTGCCACCATGCCTTGTTAATTTTTTGTATTTTTAGTAGAGATGGGTTTTCGCCATGTTGGCCAGGCTGGTCTCGAACTCCTGGACTCAAGCAATCCGTCTGCCTCAGCCTCCCAGAGTGCTGGGATTACAGGTATGAGCCACTGTACCTGGCCCAGATTAATCTTAAAAGTGATTACTCCAGTGAAACCCTGTCTCTACTAAAAATACAAAAAATTAGCTGGGCGTGGTGGCGGGCACCTGTAGTCCCAGCTACTTGGGAGGTTGAGGCAGGAGAACGGCATGAACCCGGGAGGCAGAGCTTGCAGTGAGCCAAGATCGTGCTACTGCACTCCAGCCTGGGCGACAGAGCGAGAATCCATCTCAAAAAAAAAAAAAAGAAAAAAAAAGTGATGACTTTTGTCCAGGCGCGGTGGCTCACGCCTGTAATCCCAGAATTTTGGGAGGCCAA
This sequence comes from Homo sapiens, assembly GCF_000001405.40. Taxonomy (NCBI): domain Eukaryota; kingdom Metazoa; phylum Chordata; class Mammalia; order Primates; family Hominidae; genus Homo; species Homo sapiens. The sequence continues at coordinate 75,840,188 of NC_000015.10, forward strand.
AGCGGGCAGATCATGAGGTCAGGAGATCGAGACCATCCTGGCTAACATAGTGAAACGCTGTCTCTAGTGAAAATACAAAAATTAGCTGGACACGGTGGTGCATGCCTGTAGTCCCAGCTACTCGGGAAGCTGAGGCAGGAGAATCACTTGAACCCAGGAGGCAGAGGCTACAGTGAGCTGAGATTGTGCCACTGCACTCCAGCCTGGTGACAGAGCGAGACTCCATCTCGAAAAAAAAAAAAAAGTGATGCCTCTCACCAAATGAAACTATTATACTATAGTCTGTGGCATGGTATTTCAGGGCTCAAAATCTGATCAAAAGTAATATCTCAACTTTATCTTTCTCTTGGCCCCTTGCTGTACTCTACAATCAAATGGGCTCTTGAATATCCTCTGAATATGGCCCTACTTTCATGCAAATAATTCATGGAATTAGTTTCTTCCTCCCCTGAAATGTAGTTCAGTAGTTTGAACCTCATATCACATATGATCTGATGTTGTCTTTACTTGTCTGTGTAAGACTATGGTGACTCCCCAGCAACCATTCCATCCCAGCAGGTTGGAAATCCAGAGTAATCCCATCTACTTCTCTGTGATTGGTTAGGGGTGGGCATGTGACACACTTCTGGCCAAGGACACACTAAGGGAAGTCTGCTGGGAAGATTCTTGGAAAGCTTCCCATGTGTTAGAAGGAAACATAGAAGAAAATGTCCTTTCTGCCTCTGGATATTTTCATGTCTGGATGTGAACTGCAAGAACAGCTACAGCCACCTTGCTCTCAACCCAACAAAAGAGATGGAAAGAATTTGGACTTTTGATGACATGAAAGCTCAGGTCAACCAATCCTGGAGACTGTTCTGTCTTTGGACTTCCTATTATGTGAAGTAATTTATTTCCTTATTGTCCAAGGCAGATTAAATCACAGTTTTCTATTATTTGCAGCCAAAAGCATCAGGAAACAATATTTTGTTTTTGATGCTAAATGTTAAGCTTCTTAAAATCAGGGACTGTATCTATGTATCTTTCTAGCCCTCTTACAGCTTGGCATGCAGCAGATGGATGCTCAAAAAGCGACTGTGAAATTAATATTTGTATATATTTCTGGGATACAACTAGTAAAAACACTTGCAATTTAAAAAGCTCTATTTTCTCACAGCAATCTAGAGGTAACAAAATAAAGCTTAGACAGATTAAATAGCTTGTTTAGGGAATTTTGTTTCTCGAAGTCATACCAACTTCTCAAGAGTTTGTTGCTCTTTGTCTCAAATCCTTATCTGGGAATGCCATGCCTGTTAGGGTCCCAAGAAACTGGGGACTGAAGGAAAAATAAAGTGGCAAGCCACTTCTGTGCTTAACCCAGCAATAATGCTAATACAGTAGCCTAGTTGTTTCTGGCTCAGAACCCAGGCCTGGAACCCCTTCTTCTCCCAGTCCCAGTGTATAGTGTGGTAGCTCTAGTGCTGGGGTCATGAATCCCCATAAGTACAAAATTTTAGATGCAGAAGTATTTTCCTGGGAAGATGGATCATAGCTTTTATTAGATTCTCAAAGGGGTCTGTGAGAATCTTAGTCTTCTTAAAGGCTAGATAGAAGTTGGGGTAGAAGATGGTAGAAGTTGGGGCATGGCCAGGAAAAGTTAGGGCTGGTTTGAATGATAAGAGACTGAATTTGTAGGCTGTGGGGAGCTACTAACTTACTGAGGTAAATTGGAAAAGTTTATTTGTCTTCTTAAAGGCTAAGGACTATAACATGATACAAAATCTCAGAAGTAGATGGAAATAAAAACTTTCAGTAGACTTAATGTGTCCCTGTGTTGTTCTGTATTTTGTCATCTAAGGGGACCAGTAGCCCAGGGATCTCTTGTAGATTAGGAAGAAAGAGACAGGTGTCAGGGTTGGGTAACTCTAGGTAAGACTGGAAAAGGAAAATGCGGAGCCCCTTTCTGAAAAATTACGAATTTCAAAATGGCGACACCAGAATATTAAACCAAGCTCGAAGCCCTTCTAAGCTGGGAGCACTGTGCAACTACATAGGTTGGACGCATATGCAGCTGGTCCTGCCTCTTGCACTTACGATTGCACACACTATTGTCTGCCAAATTGGGATGTATTCCTTTGGACTGCTATCCAGACCTTTATTCATTTTTTGAGCACCTACAATGTGCCAGGAATTGTGCTAGTGGTGGGGATTCCAGATAAGAGCGAGCATTCAATTCAATCATATCGGGTTTCTACTATATAACAGGTCTTGTTCTAGGTCCTGGGGATACAGCTCTGAACACATTAACACGGGGCAGAGACAAGGAATAAATGGGTTAAAGATCAGATAGTGACAGGTGCCCAACAAAAACTTAGCACAGGACGATGTGACACAGGGTGACTATTTGAAATGGGTTGTGGTGGGGGGTGCCGGAGATGATATTTGAGCTATGAGTTTAGTGAAAATAGTGGGCAGCCCTAGCTCCATGGGGGTGTGGGTGGGGAGGGTTATCTTAAGCTTGGGAAACAAGGCAAAATAAGGAAAGGGGGGAGAGAGAGACTATATACGGCAGAGTGAACACAGGTGGTAGCTAAGGGAAGGGATGAAATCATGGGACACCTCCAGGCAACAGCCTCCAGGGGCTAAACCATCGTCTTGGGTAAATGGATGGTTTGAGAGCAAAGGCGGGAGCAGCGAGTCCGGTGAGAAGGTCCTCACAGGAACCCAGGCTGGTGAGAAGGTCCTCACAGGAACCCAGGCTAGCGAAGCGGTGGCTCGGACTAGGGTGAAAGTAGCGGAGGTAACGCTGGGTGAGCCGCACCCGCGTCTCCCACGAGGTCCCCCCAGTGAGGTTAGCGGGTGCCGCGCCGAGCGCCAAGCTGAGGAGCCGCCCCCAGGGGCTGGCGCTAGTCTGCAGCGGCGCCGACGTGGCCGGCGCGATCCGCCACGCACGTGTCCGGCTCCAGGCCGGGGGCGGGGGCGCGCGGGGGTCTCCGGCTCCTCCCCGACTTCTGGGGCCCGGGCGCCAGCTGGCCCCGAGCCTCCAGTCCGCGGGTGCGAAGAACGGAGCAGATGGGTCGGGAACAAGGGAGCTGGGTCAAGGCGAGGAGGGGGCGGCCGGGCGCGCGCGCTCTGGCCTCGTGCACGCGCTGAAACCGGAGCGCGCAGGGCGCGCCAGGGTGAGGGGGACGGGGGCGGGGTGGGGGCAGCCCTTTCCCAGGCGGTAGCGGGGGCGGCGTCGCTGTTGCCCTTTTAAGCCGCGGGGCCGCCGCCTCCTGCCGCTGGAGTCGGTTACAAAGGAAGCGCCACCCAGGCCGCCACACGCCGAGGCTTCCGCGCCCCTCGCCATTTTCCAGCAGCGCTCGACGAGGCGGAGCCGCGAGAGCGCGGCCCAGGCCGGCCCCGCGGGGCGGTCGCGGCCGTGACGGCGGCTCCGGGCCCGGCTCCCCTTCCGCGCCCGGCTCCCCTTCCGCGCCCCTCCCGCCGGAGATGAGGGGAAGATGTCCGTGTCAGGGCTCAAGGCCGAGCTGAAGTTCCTGGCGTCCATCTTCGACAAGAACCACGAGCGATTCCGCATCGTCAGTTGGAAGCTGGACGAGCTGCACTGCCAGTTCCTGGTGCCGCAGCAGGGCAGCCCGCACTCGCTGCCGCCGCCACTCACGCTCCACTGCAACATCACGGTGAGGCGCCCGGCCGCGGCCCCGCGGGGCAGGGCGAGGACGGAGAGGGGGCGCTTCGAGTCCCGGGACAAAGGGGAGCCTGCCCCGGAGAGGCTCCGGCTCCCCGGGCGGGGCAGGCCCGCCCCTTTCCCCCGCGACTTGCCCATCCCAGGCCGGGCTGGGACTGCGCGAGGCTTGGGTGGGAGGAGGCGGAGGGCGCGTCTTTCCGGCTTCTCGCCAGGGGCTGGCTTGGGGGCTTCTGGCCCATCTCGGTCCCCGTCTCCTAGCCCCGAGGGGGGAGTCCGCGGCGGCCCAAGCCCTTGTGGGGTCCATGGCCGCCCTCAGCCGGCCTGCTCCCGGGACCGGGGCGGGGCGGGGCGGGGCGGCGCAGCTCCGGCTGTTGTTTGAGCCCAGGCCGGCAAGGGGAACGGCCCTTAAGTTTTAACGCCTCATTTTTCAGTCGGATTTTCCTTCTTCCCGCTTGTTCAGCCAATTGTTTTTAAGTTTGCGTTTAAGGAGAAACTGACAATGAGAATGGACTCGTTGACGGAGGAAAAGTTGGAATGCAGACTCTGGTGCTGTTTGAGCGACCCCTCTCCCCCGGGCCTGGCTGCGCGCTGCTGTGTTCTGGAAAGGAGCATAGTACCGTCGTTGCGGCAGGTGGTGTTGAGTGTGTATTCGTGTGGCCCCTCCCTTGTGTGTAAGCCTCGAAAATGGATAGGTGAAAGGAGATACGCGCCAGGGCTGCTCCCCGGAAAGATCACGTATGTCACAAAGCCGAAAAGACACTTTTAAAAACTCACTCATTAAGCGGAAATCTCATTAGAAACCCAAGGCTTGGTAAAGGAATTGAAGTATTAAGTTTCTCCATAAAAGTGTATCGTGAAGCTATTCGTCGTGAAATTGATGTAGGATATTGGTCCAAACTGCAGAATATTCTCTTGGTTATAATAGGCGTCAAGGTGGTGGCTTCGGGCTCCTTTTCAAACATGGCTAAAACCAAGTCTTGTTTTTAACTCCCTTTGGTTGAGTCAGTGGGTACTCAAGTGCCTGCAGGGTGGCTGGCGTTTGCAAAAACCTTGATGTTATAATTGACCTTAAAATGGTTACCAGACTATCTGGGCAGAAGGTGTGTTAATTTCAAAAAAAAAAAGACAAGTGCTGTACTGAGGAGATAATTCATTTATTGAATGAATACGTCTGAGTGTTCTGGGCACTAGTGTTGCAGAATTGAGTGAAGTCGTCCTCGCTCTCAGAACTCAGTCTTCTTGGGGGAAGAGTTCAATAAGGTGACAGCTCCTGTGGTATCATCAGGAAAGCCAAAGCAACTAATTTTGACTTGGGGGAGGTGCGCTTCAGGGAAGGCTTTGATGAGAGGCTGAGACAGTTAGAGATGAGCTTCCACAGGTGACTACAATTTTGGAAGGCTGGCGGAAGGGCATTTTAGACTGAGGAAACTCCACCCAAAGAAGACACGGAGATTTGAGAAAGTGTGGTTTCCTTAGAAGTAGAAAATTTATGCTAAGACTTGAGAAGCCCACGATACAGGCTGGAGAAGGGGAGGATTTTCCAAGAGTGGAAAACAGAAAGTGTAGTAGTTGTCATGAAGCAGGTGTTTTAAGGAGACGGGCCTGAATGGCTTCGAGGGTGATTACTCTGGTAGAAGTTGGGGCATGGCCACGAAAAGGTAGGGCTGGTTTGAATGATAGGAGACTGAATTTGTAGGCTGTGGGGAGCTACTAAGTTTACTCAGGTAAGTTGGGAGAATGTATCTTTCATCCAGGATTAGAAATGGTTCTCTACAGTGGGTGGCATTAGGAAATGTGGTTATCCCAGTGGGGGTGGGGTGGTCTTATTGCTGTGCCGGCATTTAGTGCTAGGAGTACAGGGATACCAAATGTTTTGCAACGTTCAGGCAGTCTGCCACAGCAAAGAATTATCCCACCTAAAGTGCCACTGGTGCCCCATCGAGAACCATATTGAAGGCTGGTAAGAGTCTGCTGCAGATAAAAATAAGGAGTGATGACCTGGATTAGGCAGTGGCAACAGAAATGGAGCAAGAAGTGAATGAGACACTTTCAGTACAAGGAGGATTTAGTGAGGACTAGTGTAATGGCACCCACCGCTAGGTAGAAACTATTAAAATTGACTTGCTAGTGAAATATGACAGACTATCAGGAGATAATTATCATGGCAGCTGCTCAGTACAAATGTCTGCTAACTTTTTATTATGGAAAATCATCAAATGTACAAAAGTTGAACAGTGTAATGTAGCCAGCCTCAACAATGATAAACTTTTGGCTAATCTTCATCTGTACTCCACTTTAGATTATTTTGAAGCAGATTCCAGACAGATCACTTCATCTGTAAATATTTCTGCTTGTATCTTTTGAAGGTAAAAGACTCTTTTATTTTTTATTATTATTTTTTGAGACGGAGTCTCGCTGTGTCGTCCCAGCTGGAGTGCAGTGGTGTGACCTGGGCCCACTGCAACCTCCGCCTCCCAGGTTCAAGCAATTCTGCTGCCACCGCCTCCCGAGTAGCTGGGATTACAGGTTTCCGCCGCCACACCCGGCTAATTTTTGTGTTTTTAGTAGAGACGGGGTTTCACCATGTTGGCCAGGCTGGTCTTGAACTCCACCTCAAGCTCCCAAAGTGCTGGGATTACAGGAGTGAGCCACCGTTCCTGGCCGTAAAGACTCTTTTAAACATGGATGACTGTTTTGATAAAATGACATGGCTTGTTCATGTCGATACCATTTGCTTAGAAGGGAAAGATCAAGGGAAAAATGGGGTTGGATTTCAAATGATTTGGTTTGATCGATGATTTGTTATTCTCTAAAGTTGTAACTCTGGAAAAGGTAATGAGTTTGACTTATTCTTTAACTTTTCCTCTTTAGACAGTTCAAATATTTGAATTCTACATGCTAGGACTTGTTTTCTTTATACTTACCAAGAAACATCCTTATGCAGTTTCTCTAATGTTTGAGAAACTAAGTTGTTTTTTACACACGTGCATGCTAGTTCCTGAAGAGTCCTGTACAGGTGCTCTGCTGGCTTTTCCTTTCAGGTTTCTGTATCAGCTGTATTTCTCCCTGTAGAATGTGCCCCTGACCTCCACCCCTTAACCTTACCCCATTTGTCTTTATATGCCTGACCATCCGTCAAGGCTCTTCTGGGTCATATTTAGTTCATGCTGTTATTTCCCCTTCCTCCCTTCTTTAGTCCTTACTATTTTTGCTTTGGTCATGTTTTCTTATGCTGTATTCTGTAAGCCTTTAAATTTTTCTTTTTATGGTGGCAGGGGAGAATATTTTATAATTATGCTTTGTGCTTTTTATCTTCCACTCAATAAATGCTTCATAAATATTTGAGTATATAGCGCTATTCTAGCTGTATTGTATTTGAACAAAAATCTTAACTGCCTTGTAAGTTAACTGCTAAGAATTTGTCAAAAGTGCAGAGATAACATCAATAACTTGTCATGGATAGTACAAAAAGGTCTCTAAGGGCTTGATGGAAGTCTGTAAATTGACTTCATATGAGAGTGTAAGAAGTGAAAAAGACCAAAACAGAGTAGATGTTTTACTCTGTAGGCCAAGGGAATTGAGCTAATTCTTTTCCTGTTTTATAAATTTGTCCTGATCTTAAATAATGAAGGGAAAAGAGTGCTCTTTTTCAACCTCGAGTCCTTTTTATTCTTTTCTGTGAAGCCATGATATGAAAGATTGCCTGTTATACAAACTTAAGTATAGTTTTTCCATCTTCAGTAAACTAACCTGATTGCCGTCTAATTAGTTGTTACAATCACACCGAAATGCAAAGCAGCTTGTTTTAAGCAGCCTTATTGGGAGCTAGTATATGGCTTTAGTCGTTTTGAAGTATTTAACATAACTTGGCAACTCCATTACTCCTTTTATGGACTTTTTGGCATCTGGGCATTCTTGGTAGGAAATCACTGTTTTAGAATGAAAAATCTCCCCCAGGAAGTAAATTAGCTAGTAAACAAATGAAACTTCATTTTTTATATTACTTGTAGAGCATAAATGATTACCCTTTCTGCGTATAAGTGGCTGTTTGCTAGGCTGCTTTTAGTGGGACTTTGTTTTTGATTGGTTAATTAAATTTCTATTCATTATTGCCAAAAAGTGCCTACCCCCAACAGCAAGATACTAAATTTTAAAAATGTTGGAGCTGTGAATCTAGGAGGAAGTGAGAAGTTTAGCTTTTATTTAGTAGTTAGGAGCTTAAGTAAGTCACTTCTTTTACTGTGTTTCTGTGTACTATAGATAATATTTTTTTGCACTGCAAGAGAGCATATAGAGGAAAGCTCTTTGGCAATGATATTATGTTCTACAAATATAAAAGCGATGGTGTCATTTGTGGCTGAATAACACTTTATTTTGAAAATGCTTTATAACAGGTTTTTGTGGGAAATAAAGCAATGCTGTTAACTTCATCTTGCATTTTTCTAGTCTTTACTATGATTAAAAAGTAGTCCAGTCAAAGTTGTACAAAGGAAATAAACCTGGACTAAGGAGCCTAAGACTTTTCTCTTTGGTTTGCCCTCCTGGGACAGATTACCTTTCCAAATTGAATTCATGGAAGAGCATTTGGAAATATCAGAACTGTCATGTTAAGCACCTAAGTGGTACTTTCATTCCAGAAGAATCATTGTTTTCGTTTATCTGACCAATTTATAATATAGGGTCAAATTCCTGGTGGTTATTTATGCTCCCTCATCCCCATTTTTATACCTGTCCTTGAAAGGAACAGATATATGAAGAGAAGACTTAGGTTTCCCTTTTGTGAATAGTATATCCCTTAGTATCTTGATTTTTTTTTTTTAATTTGGTTAAACATATTTAGACCTGGAAAAGGGTAGTATTTGATAAATGTCAGCTAGTTGAGGGGTGGGGAATTGAGTTGAATGGAGATAGTCACTGCCAAATGTCAAGCATGACTGGAGAGCCAGAGTGATAAAGCAGGGGTCCCTTTTTCCAGATCCTTTGTAACAGTGTTATGTGATCTCTTCTAGAAGATTCTGAAAGATAATCCCAACTTGGAACCTAGGAAACCACCCAGTGGGTTTCTGCAGCTTAGGTGGTTCAGATCCTCATCAGCACCTTTTTCTGTGCCTCAGTTTGCTTACAATGATGTTCTCAGTAGCTGTAATTTGCTGCTTGTGTTTGAATACTTAAGCATTTTCTTTTTATCATGGGTATATGAACATTTTTATTTCAACAAGTGTTAGAATTTTTACTCTGCTTTTGTGGGCTCTAGGTTAGCTACTTGGTTGTTTATTTGTAAAATGATTAGCAGGGAACCATGTGTATGCATTTTAAGTATCTTTTGTTGTCAGAGCAGTTAGAATTTTATTAAGGTACTATATGCTAATTCTGTCAATTTACTTCGTTCTCCACCCCACATTTATTGAACAGCAAACTATGAAAGTAATGTGTCCCATAACTGGCCTTCAGAAGAATTACAACTGCTGTTATCTCTGAACCTTCCAGAAGTTTGTGCATCAGTTTTAAAAAAATGATGAAATCCCTGAAGATAGCTGTGTCCTACATTTGGAAAGATACAAAAACTGACCATTCTGGTCAACCAGTTTTGGTTGCTGGTGCTTGAGATAGAGCCACACAATGGTCTCAGTGGATTTATGGAGAAAAATAGATACAGAAAGTTACTTCTAAATAAGACAAAAAAATCTTTTTCTTGAGCAGTGACAGGTAAAGAGGTTGGTTTGGTTAATCTTGAGTTGTGTTTCCCTCCATTAAGACAGTTTTATGGTGGGGATGGTAGTGGTGATGAACTTGTTTGAAATTTGTCCACTTACAGTAATGTTTATGGTAGCTTCACAGACAACTTCATTCTCACAGGCCTTAGAATTACTATAAAACTAATAGAATGGATGAGGAACAAAGGACCTGAGTAATTAGATGCTTAGATAATTGTTCTGTGTTTTCATAACTGTGGTGAAAAAGAGTGGTGCTAGAAGCACTTAAACATTCTATGTACGGGAAAACTGCCTGAATTTGTATTGGGATTTTTGAGCACCATTCACTGTTTAAAAACTGATATACCATAGGTCATATTTATTTTAAAGAGAAATAGTAGGCAAACTTATCTTTTCAAGATAGATATAAAGCTTAGTTAACCTTATCAAAATTACAAAACTTAAAGCATGTGAAAGATTGAAAATATTAATACATAGGTTTAAATATTGGTCATTATTTTAGATGTCTTTCAAAGTAGATTCTCTCTTAAATGTTAAACTGAACAAACCTTGAACATGATGTAGAGTTTGTGCTGAAGGTTAAGTTTCCTGGCGTGGTGGATATTTTATAATATGGAAAACAAAACCTTCTTATTGTAAGACATTAAAAGAAATTTAGTCAAAACTAGGAGATATGATTCTACCACTCAGAATATACCACTATCAGAATTTTGTATCTTTCCAGTTATCTGCTCATCTCTTTTCTCCGATGCTTATGTGTGTTCCCTCTCCCTTAAAAAATCAGATTTTTTTGTAATCTGCTTTTTCACTCAACAATATTGTAGATCCGTGTTATAACTTACTCCTTACGTGTAGGCAAGATGAATTCTGACCACCCCAAGGTGGCCATCCTTGTCCCTGTGATTCCAGATCTCCCAGAACTAGAGGTCTAGCTTCAGGGAAAACCCAGATTTTCTTGGCTTAGCCCACCTGACAGCTAATCACTGGAAATGGGGTGGGCTGGTAGAGTCCTTTGGTCAGGTTTTGTGTCAAGAGAGGGAGGAGGAAAGATGGGAGGGAGGTAGCAAAACTGGTCTCAATGGAACTATGTAAGTTAATATAGAATGGCAAAGGGATGTTTCTTCCAAGGAAAGAATTCTAAGGAAGGAAGGAAAGTGGAGGGGAAGGCAGCAGTTCTCAAAGTTTTGGGGTCAGGACTCCTTTACACTCTTGAAAATATATTCAGCACTTAAGGGCTTTGGTTTATGTAAGTTACGTCTATTGGTATTTATCACTACAAGTTAAATCAGAAATATTTAAAACATTAACTCTTTAAAAACTCATCACATATTATTATAAATGTGCTTTTACGAAACAAAATTTTCTAAGCCAAAAAATAGAATAGTAGCACAGTCTTAAATTTTTTGCAAATTTCATTGATGTTTGCTCTGTCATTTGCTTTTGCATTTAATTTGTTGTATGCTATTTGCTTGAAATAATGTAAACAAAATCCAACCTTATACAGATACCTGGTTGGAAAAATTGTGAATATTTTAATGGCCATTTTAGATAATCCTGGATATTCTTCTTTTTTTTTTTTTTGAGATGGGGGTTCACTGTGTTGCCCAGGCTGGAGTGCAGTGGTGTGATCACAGCTCACTGCACCCTCAGTCTCCTGGGACTCAGGTGTAGGCCATCTTACTGGCTAATTTTTTGTATTTTTTTGTAGAGACAGGGTTTTGCCATGTTGCCTAGGCTTCTTTTTTGATGCTCTATCAAAACTTGGTCTTTCTTGAACTTTGGATCTTTTACCCTTGTATGATATTATAACATCATGCATTGGTCATTTAGAAAATAGTGGTTCACCGAGATCTTCTAAATGTTGATACATTTGATTTTACAGTATCAAAATACATTCATCAATATTGCCATCAATGTTATCAGGATATTCTTGGAAAACGGTGGTGGATACAAGTTTTCAAAAATTCTAATTTTTTGTTCAAAAACTTGCATTTTATTATTAGCAGTTTTATTATTGAAATTTATTATGGCCTGTCTGTTGTTTTCCTTGAAATGACAGAATCTCATTTTTTGAGGAAAATGACTGCCAAAAACCCAAGTTGAAATAACATCGTCAGTTATCCTTTCAAGTAAAAATGGTATTCCATTTAAGTGGTTAATTCACTTCATGACTTAGTCACACAAGGGTTTTTTCTCAGGCAGTCTGTAGGAATGCTCATGTATACTTCCCGTTTCATCACTTGAAATATTAAAAAGACATATTCAAGGATTCAGATGTAGTAAAATTTTCACTGCTTCATCATAGACATTCTTTTTATTTTTGAGACAGGGCCTTGTTCTGTCACCCAGGCTGGAGTGCAGTAGCGTGATCACAGCTCAGTGGAGACTCGACCTTCTGGGCTCAATCAATCCTTCTGCCTCAGCCTCCCTAGTAGCTGGGACTACAGGCGTGCAACCACCATGCTTAGCTAATTTTTTTATTTTTTTTTGTAGAGATGGGGTTTCACCCTGTTGGCCAGGCTGGTCTTGAACTCCTGGGCTCAAGTGATCCTCCTGCCTCGGCCTCCCAAAGTGCTGGGATTACAGGCATGAGCCACCATTCCCAGCCTTATCGTAGACATTCTTAAATGAAACTGACCTTTTGTTGCCCTTCCTTTTTAAGCCTTTCCTGTGCATAGTGAAGAATACCATGACTACTAGTAGTTTGGTGTTACCGCCTTTATTTGTGCTAAAGTGCCAGCGTTTTTACCCACCATTGTATCTGCACCCTTACAGCATATGTCAACATGTTAGTATTCTTGTAAAAATAGTTTGGACCTGGGGGTCTGAGGTCCCCACTTTGGGAACCATTGAAATAGGTACTTAGATCTACAGTGTATCATATCTTTTCATCTACAAGATTAAAAACATGATTTCAGTTAATTGTTTTTGTAATTTTCTTAATATGGTTTTGAGGGGTTTCAGTCCAGAGTGAAGACATGTATGTTTCTTGGCTTATGCTGAAGTTTACTAGACAAATACTAACCTAATAATGAGATCCTAAGTGTAGTTGCAGTTTCTTTAGCCTAAGGGAAAAGAAACCTAAAAACTAAAACAGTAAAAATGGTCCAGATGGTGTATTCCCAATGTGTGCTGAAGAATTTGAAGAAGAAAATGCAGTACTCAATAAGTGGTGTTAAGAACAGGATTAATTCTGGAGAGTTTCTCATTTAGCCTGTAAAGAGATTTGGGGCACAGTAAGAGTTAGAGGAATGAAAATAGTAAATAACCCATTATTGACCAGGTATACTATTAATGATGTCCTCCATCAATACAACTTATTCTTAAAAGAACATTTGGTAAAATGCTTTAAAAATATTCAGTTTCTGTGGCTTCAGCTATAAATCAGATTATAGTTCTCAAAGCAGTGTTTCCTAAAATCGTTTCTGTGAAATTGTTTTCCATGACTTGAACCTAGTTGTTCTGAAGCTAATATACGATAATAATGGCTTTTCCCCAATTTATAATAGAAAATCATACAAAGTAACAGAGTAAATGTCTGTTAGTGGGTGAAAGCACATAATGCTTAGTTCATTAGCTTTTTAAAGAAATCACATGTAATTGTGTTTTAAAAAAGATATGGGCCTGGCTTAGTGGCTCACGCCTGTAATCCCAGCACTTTGGGAGGCTGAGGTGGGCTGATCACGAGATCAGGAGTTCAAGACCAGCCTGGCCAGCATGGTGAAACCCCGTCTCTAATAAAAATACAAAAAATTAGCTTGGCGTGGTGGCATGTGCTTGTTATCCCAGCTACTCGGGAGGCTGAGGCAGGAGAATCGCTTGAACCTAGGAGGCGGAGGTTGCAGTGAGCCGAGATTGTGCCATGCACTCCGCCTGGGCCACAGAGCAAGACTCTGTCTCGAGGAAAAAAAGAAAAAAAAATTATATATATATATATATGTATGTATGTATGTATGTGTGTATATATATGTAGTAATGGCATTTCTTGGTAGTACTTGGTTTGTGTGATAGATTAAAACATTAGAATTTTATGGTATTTGAATTACTTTTCTATTGCTCTGTAACAAATTTATCAGCTTAAAGCAACAAACATTATCTCACCATTTCTGTGGGTCAGGATTTTGTGCAATTTACCTTGGGTTCACTGGCTTGGCCTCTCACCAGGCAGCGAAGTTGTTGGTGGCAGCTGTGATCATCCTAAGGCAGGATAGGGAGAGAATCAGTCTCCAAGCTCACTTATGTAGATGTTGGCAGGATTCATCTCACAGGCTGTGGGACTGGGCCTCCGTTTCTGGATGGCTGTTGGTCTGAGGCCTTTTATAATACCTCGCCATGTAGGTCTCTCCATAGGGCACCTCATCACATGGCAACTGGTTTCCATCAGAGGGAGCAATGGAAAGAGCAGGAGAAGGATGGGCAAGGCAGACATCATAGTCTCTTTGTAGCCTAATCTCAGAAGTGATGTTATTACTTTTGCTGTATTCTCTTTGTTAGAAGTGAGTCACTAGGTCCAGGGGCGGGAATTTTACAAGGGTGTGAATGCCAGGAGGTGATGGTGATCGGGGCCATTTTAGAGGCTGCCTACCAGTGTTGAAGAAAATCATTGACTTCTATGAGCTGTAGCAACAGACAGTGCTATGCAAGGAGAATGGTTGTCTCAAAAGTCCAGCTCCTCACAAGGTTTTTAATATGTTGCCTTTTCCCCCCATACATTTTGTTTAAATCCATGGTCATCTTGCCGTTTAGTGGTGTGGTTTAATTGCATATTTGGGTTAGTCTGTATGTAAATGTTTAACATGTGTCTCTGTGTTAAACAGGAATCCTATCCATCTTCTTCACCGATATGGTTTGTGGATTCTGAAGACCCAAATCTGACATCAGTTCTGGAACGTCTAGAAGATACTAAGAACAACAATTTGGTAAGAAAATAAGCCAAGCTATTTTCTCTTTTCCTCATGAACATTACATATAGAAATTAAATGTTAAGAGATAATATGATATAAAAGCATGATTAATGATTATAATCTTGTAGGAATTAAAGACTAGTTTGTTTGTTTTTTTTCCTTCAAATTCTATTTACTACCTGGTCTCTCTTTTATTTCCCACATGTATAACCTTAATTTAGATTACAAATTAGGGATCTCTTTTTCCCTGAATTCTAACCATTAAGCCAAACAAGCATTTTGGGTAGAGACCACTAGCCAAGGTGGGAAGCAGAAAAAAGACCAAGGTAGGAGTGAAGGGAGAGATGGGGAGAATGACACCAGAACTAGTATGAGGGAATTGCCTTTTCTTTCAAGGGTCTGTAAGTCTGCAGTAAAAGAATAGAAAGTTTTATTTTTGTTTTTAGTATATAAAGAAATATAACTTTCCATGTTGAAAAAGTTTTTAATGCTTTTTTTCTTGATTATAAAACTCATGAGCAAGCATTATTGAGAAAATTAGTAAAATATAGACAGGAAAAAAAATTAAAATCTCCCATAATTTCTCTACCTAATATAACCACTGTTGACATGATGGTTATTTTCTACCAGTATATATTTTTCCTTTGCTAGTAAAATACATATACCTTTATACATGTGTTTAAATAGTTGAGGTCATGGTCTATATAGTTTTACATCATTTTAAAAAACATTTACTGGCCAGGTGTGGTGGCTCACGCCTGTAATCTCAGCACTTTAGGAAGCTGAGGCGGGCGGATCACTTGAGGCCAGGAGTTCGAGATCAGCCTGGCCAACATGGTGAAACCCTGTCTCTGCTAAACATATAAAAATTAACTGGGCATGGTGGCGCATGCTTGTAATCCCAGCTACTTGGGAGGCTGAGGCAGGAGAATTGCTTGAATCTGGGAGACAGAGGTTGTGGTGAGCCGAGATCACGCTATTATACTCCAGCCTGGGTAACAGAGTGATACTCCATCTCAAAAAAAAAAAAAAATTACTGTATTTTCCCATGATGTCATACAGTCTTTATAGAAAAATAATCATCATTATTTTCAGCTGACATGATTGTTTACCTGAAAATATTCAGAGGAACCAACTGAAAAAAAGAGTTTTTAAGATTACTGGTTGAAAGCTCTGTTACATAAAAGTCAATAGCTTTCCACAATTTTAGCTATAATCACATTGAAGGTATAGTGATAAAGTATTTTTTTAAGTATTTCAACAAAAATTAAATACCTAAGAATCAACTTAGATGTGCACGACTTTTATCAAGAACATGACAATTTTGCTGAGTGGAAGGAAAGATTTGCATTCTGTGTTCCTGGATGAGCAGATTTCATGTTATAAATATGTCACTTATCGCCATGTCTTCATATTCGTAAATGTAATTTCTGCTGGGTGTGTAGTGGCTCATGCCTGTAATTCCAGAACTTTGGGATGTTGAAGCAGGCAGGTTGCTTGAGCTCATGAGTTTAAGACCAGCCTAGGCAACATGGTGAAACCTGTCTCTACAAAAAATACAAAAATTAGCAGGGTGTAGTGGCACACACTTGTAGTCCCAACTACTGAGGAGGCTGAGGTGGGAGGATTGCTTGAGCTTGGGAGGTGGAGATTGCAGTAAGCCTAGATTGTGCCTCTGAACTCTAGCCTAGGTGACGGAGTGAGACCCCGTCTCAAAAAAAAATGTATATATATATGTGTGTGTTTATACATGTATGTGTATATGTGTATATACGTGTGTGTGTGTGTGTGTGTGTGTATATATATATATATATATATATAATGAATTTCAGTACAAATCCCAGCAGATTTATTTTTGGAAGTTGACAAAATGACTCTAACATTTGTTTAAAAGGGTAAATGATAAAAAAATAAAGAATAGACTTGTTCAACCAGATGTTCAATAAAATGTTGTATACTAACTCTGTTCCAGACAGATAAAGGCAATGGAAATTTAGAACCAGAGTCATGCAAATGAGAATTTAGTATAAGGTAAAGGTGGTATTCTAACTTAATAAGGAAAGGCTAGATTATTCTGTAAACAGTCTTAGGAAAACTATTTGAGGAAGTTTGAGTCTCAACTCTGATTTTTGTCAAAATAAGTTATAGTTGTATAGTTGGTTTAAACACATCTATTCTTAAGAACAGAAGGCTGGGCATGATGGCTCACGCCTGTAATCCCAGAACTTTAGGAGGCCCAGGCAGGCGGATCAGTTGAGGTGGGGAGTTCAAGACCAGCCTGGCCAACATGGCGAAACCCCATCTCTACTAAAAATACAAAATTTAGCCGGGTGTGGTGGCATGTACCTGTGATCCCAGCTACTTGGAGGCTGAGGCAGGAGAAGTGCTTCAACCTGGGAGGCAGGTTGCAGTGAGCCGAGATTGTGCCACCGTACTCTAGCCTGGGCGACAGAGCAAGACTCTGTCTCCAAAAAAAAAAAAAAGATATTTTAAGAGTTAAGGCTGAGGCTTGGCACAGTGGTTCATGCCTGTAATCCCAGCACTTTGGGAGGCTGAGGTGGGAGGATTGCTTGAGCCCAGGAGTTTGAGATTAGCTTTGGCAACATAGCAAGACCCTCTTTCTCTCTCTCTCTGTACACACACATGCACACGTACGTACGTATGTTAAGGTTTGTATGGAGAGCCATGAAGGTAAGAGGTAAAAATTAAAAGCTAGATGGACACATGTTTACATCCCCAGCAAGGGGGTTGATGGGAAAGAGTGGTAGACATAGTTCTGTTACTGCTACCTCCTTTTAGGAAGTTGCTTCTGAAGATCTAAAGATAACGGTTTTGTAATAGCAAAAATGAGTTATTTTTCAGTATCTAAAATATTACATAAACATGTTCATAAGGTTAAATGAAATAGGATATAAAATTGGGCCTAGTTTTTTAAAAGTGAATATATTTACATGAAGGAGAAAACAACTCACCTCCCACTCTTGCAGCCTCTGCCAGTTTATCAAAACCTAGTTTCTTGAGAGAATAAGCTACATGTCTTCACCTTTTTTCGCTGAAGTTATTATAATCTGGATTCTGCCTTCATCATTGCACTAAAATTTATCTCCTAGTTGCCAAAACTAGCGGCTCCTCTCTTAGTCCCCAAATTGACCCCTCTGCAGTATTTTGATACTGTTGATTGTTCCCTTGTTGAAACATTCCTGCATTCTTAATGTCCACCAATAAAGAGTTGGTTAAATAAAAATCATAGTGTATAGTTTTATAATAGAATATTCTGTTGTAGGCAAAAAAAAAAAAAATGCAGCCATTTTTTCCATAAGAGCATGTGCAGATTTCTAAGATATATTAAATGAAAAAGCAAGGCATAAAATATTGTGTATAATTGGCCCCTTTAGTATATAATGTAAAAAAAATCTATATGCTTGTTTATACTTTTTTCTTTCCTGGTGGGTACAGGAAACTGTCAATAGTAGAACACAATTAAGAAAAATTGGCTTCTGTGTCAGGCTCTGTGATAATTGAGTATAAAAGACAAGGCATGTCCCTGTCCTCTGGGAACTGATAATCTAATGGAACTTCCATCTGATTACTGTCTTGTTTTGATCTTATCACCCTGCCTTGGTCTCCTCTGATCTCTTCTCCCTTGGCCTACTTCTTCTCTTCTCATTCTGTGCTTTCTCTGAGTAATATTTTACTCCCATTACTTTAGTCATGATCTCTGTTCTAGGGATTCCTAAATCTGTATTCATCTCCAGAGTTTCAAACCCATATATCTGTCTGTAAATCATATATGTTAGGGAATCTCACTTACAGTGCCATGGATATTCAAAATGATGACGTTTAAATTTGCGTTTACCCACCTCCTAGCACTCTATCAGCCCCGTGTTTTTTCTCAGTAATTCTTGTGATTGTGAGTGGGACAAAATGAAATAATCAAACTAGTCACCCATACCCAAACCTGGGAACTGTCTTAGCGTTCTTTTATATACTACTGTTCTCTGACCCCCGCCCCCCGCAAACTAGTAATTTTCTAAGACCTGTCCTTCTGAATGTCTCTTACTATTTTCCCTGTGATCTCAGTTTCTTCCTCCCATCCCTCAAATGCTTTTTTGGTGTGTGGGGGAAGGGAGGAAAATTGAAATTCGTGGAGAGTGTACTACCCTGTCTTTCTTGTTGCTTGGTATGACTCCACTACCCTGCTGCCTCTCTCCCCAGCACTCCTGGAGCCCCTTCCGTGCCAGAGGCCAGAGTGTCTAGGTCTGTGTCCGGATTGCTCTGCCTCATCTTCATTATGCACTTAGCACGCAATAGAGTGTATTGGGTGGATATCAAATCCACACTGGAGCTTGGTTTCCGTTTAAGCATGAAGATTTTTGTTGGATCGTAATTTACCGTTCAACCTTCCTCATTTTCATTTGCTCCGTTGTCCACTTTGGGAAAGCTTATTCTTTGCTTCGTTAACCCATTCTAATCCTATGTCTTCTTTCTTTGTCCTTTGTAAACCTGCTTCTTTCTCTTCATCTCTTTTCTTGGTCAGAGCCACCTAGGAAACTGTTCCTGACCGAGTTAAGTGAGTTGCCTTATTAGATCCCATTTGAGTCACGTTATACATTGAAAAACATTTTAAACAATGAACACCATACTTGTGCACATGATTTACCTTGCTTACTTGTTGAAAGCAAATATGCTTAGAAAACAATCTGGACTTAAACATGGAAATTTACAGTTATTCTTTGCAGTTTTCCTAGTGAATTATTGTTATTTTTTATACAGACACTTAAGAGCCTACTAAATATCAAGTGTTACAGGTTTCATTTAATCTTTACCATTCTGGGAAAGTTTTCATTTCTTTGTTTTACAGATGGGTAGACTCATACTCAGGGAATTAGATAGGATATCCAAGGTCATCTAGATTGCCAGGCTCTGTCTACTAGATATTTGCTTCTGTATTTTTAAATGAATATGACTGGAATATATAATTTTGTAATCCATCTGTAACAACACTGCCTGTGTGTGTCTGGGTTATTTTTTCTGTTATTTTTTGTTTTTATTTTTTTGGTAGCCTCATTAATGCATTAATGTTCTCTTGTCTGAAGTTGTAAGTTTCTCAGAAAACGGGTTAGCAGTGAGAAATTGGACAATGTCTGGAACTTCCTTCCTCTGCCCTTATTGTTGTCATTCTGCTAGGTATCAGTTGTAGTGATTATACCCCAAGCCATAGTAACTTTCTTACACTAGAGGGTCCTGAAAATATTTTAAAGACTATTTTTTAAATCTGTAAGCTGCAGTTGAGCAGTAACAAACTTTTTCATTTCCTACTGGATTGATTACAGTAGTCATAACATTATTGATGTCTTCTAAGGGCTCTTTAACATAATGCTTATTTACTGAAATGTGTTTTGTAGCTTCGTCAGCAATTGAAGTGGTTGATATGTGAACTCTGCAGTTTATATAACCTTCCTAAGCACCTGGATGTTGAGATGCTAGATCAACCACTACCCACGGGTCAGGTAAAGTAAAAATTCTCTAGTGTTCAAGAGCTAAATAAATTGTCTCAAGCAAAAGTCAAACTAGGATGATTTTTCTTTTTATTGTTCAACTTATTTAGAAGTTAGTTTCATTTTTGTTCCTATTGAATTGTTTTGTTTGTTCTGTTTTAGGTACTAAAAATAAACTTTTCATTCTTTGGAGCTGCTGGTATTTACTATACAGGCAAACAATTGCCCTTCTCTCTACCACCACCTTTTTGTTAATATTGCTGGTTTCCGTAAATGCTCTTGCTTCTTTCATAGTTTGTCTTTGGTTATTCAATTACCTTCACCTAGCAATGTCATCTCCTTAAGTCTGTCTGTGCTTTTTAAAGACTAAACCAAATGTTATCTCCTGCAAGCAACAGAAATTTCCACTAGCTCACCACCATCACTAATTTCATTCTGGATTTACCTATTTAGGCATCTAAATATTTATTACCTATTTATTTTTTTTTTACTATAATACATGATAATTTAGCTCTTATACCACCCACTTACCACTCACCTCCCCTTCCTCAAATATTATCTTTAGTCATATAAGTAATCACTAATTATCATTAGGACTTTGTAGAGTAAAGCCAAGTTTTCTAGAATATTTAAGATAGGATATTTCCTTTCTTGGTGCAGCTTTTTGTTTTGCAGTGTCTTCCTCATAATAGTAATTTTTAATTTAAAAAATTCTGTTGTAGCCCTTTCTGTGAGGTTTCCCTTTCTTCTGAAGCCTTTGGTTCCTCTGTGCCCATCTTGGCAGGTTGTTCTTTGGGTTGGCTGTGCAGATGCCATCTTGAGGTTTTTCTCATCTGCTCTCCTACAGTAGATCCATTGTTTCTTGGATCCCATGCCATCTTTCTTGGCTGACCCTTTCTCATTTTGCCTGACTATATTCTCAGGTAAAACCCTAAGAAAGCATGGAGGAGTACATTTTCTGAGCTCTAGCTTCTGAAAAATACTGTCCAGTGTTTGGTTTTTGGAGCCAGACCGTGATAGGTTTGAATCTTTGTTCTGCTACTTACTGGCTGTATGCCCTTGGGCTGATTCCCTAATTGCTCTATGCATCAATTTTCCATTGGCAAAATGGGGGAACCAGTAATAATATTAGTACCTATGTTTTGGGGGAACTATGAGGATTAAATGAGTTCGTACAAGTAAACCATTTAGAACAGTGCCTGGTGCATAGCACATCCCCATCAACGTTGACTTCTGTTATATTCTACCCTCCCTCACACTTGATTGGTAGTTTGGTTGATTATATATTTCTAGGTTGAAGATAATTTTACCTTAGAATTTCAAAGTCTATGCTGTTGTCTTCTAACCAGTCGTGGTGGTGAAGCCTCATGGCATTCTGAGTTTCAGTCATTTATGTATGGCTTTCTCTCTGGAAGCTTTTAGGAGTTTGTCTTTTCCTTGGTGTGCTGAAACAGCACAACAGTATACTTAGTGTGGGTCTTTTTTCACTCATTGTGCTCAGTACACCAAATGGATAGGCCTATGGATAGGCTCTTTCAAATTTGGAATCTTGAATCTTCTCATAATTTTGTTAACTTTCTCCTTTCCATTTTATTTGTTCATTTTGAAGTGTCCGTTAATGGGATTTTAGACCTCTTGTCTTGAGTCTTGTATCTCATATTATTTCTAAATTATTTTTCTTTAATTTTAAAATCTGAAATATTTTTCTTTCAACTTTTGGAAATGTTATTTGGACAGTCATAGCTTTAAGTTTTATTTATTGTTGCTTAACCAATTATCCCAAAACTTAATGGCATAAAACAACAAATTTGCCTATCTATCACTATTGTATGGCTTAACTGGGGCTAGTTGGACAGGTTTTCTGCTGGTCTCATTTGGCAGCTCTCACTATGTGGTTTAGACGGTGGCAGGGACTGGTCATCTGGATGCTCAGCTGCAGTGGAATGTCTGAGACGACTTCTTCACCCACAGGTCTGCTGCCTTGGTGTTTCTTCATCTGGCCTTTCTCTCTGCATAGCGTCTCATCCTCTCGGGCCTCTTCATGTGGCTTCTCTTTCTCCAAGAGGATAGTCAGTTCCTATTTTTGGCTTCCAGAAGCACAGAAGTGGAGCTGCCAGGTGTTCTTAAGGCTTAGATCTGGAACAGGTCCAATATAATTTCTACCAAATTCTGTAGGTTAAAGTGAGTCTCAGGGCCAACCCAGACTCACTGTGGGATGGGCCCATCCAAGGACGTGATGACAGGAGGTGTGGTTCATTGAGGACCAACTCCCAAGATGAGCCCTGAGTTCTAAGAACCTTTTCTTCGCTGGTTATTTTTTATTCATATTCTATTTTTGTTCCATGGTTGTATTCATAAGTGTCTTTAAGGAGCTATTTTGATACTCTTTGGCCCTCTCCCTAGCATCTCTTTTTTCTTTAATAAATTTTTTTCTTAGTTTATTTTGGTCTTTTTTTTTTTTTAAACCTTTCCTCAGGTATCTATTCTATGTTGCTCATCATTTGTAGTCTTTTAATTCCCTTTTTTGTTCATATTTGAGAGAGGTACTAAAAGACTGATTGGGAGGCTGGGTGTGGTGGCTCACACGTATAATCTGAGTGCTTTGGGAGGCTGAGGTGGGAGGATCACTTGAGCCCAAGAGTTAAGACCAGCCTGGGCAACATATTGAGACCCCATCTTTACAAAAAATAAAAAATTAGGTGGGTATGGTGGCACCTGCCTGTAGTCCCAGCTACTCAAGAGGCTAAGGCAGGAGGATCAGTTGAGCCTATGAGGTTAAGGCTGCAGTGGGCTGTGATCATGCCAGTGTACTCCAGCCTGGGTGACAGAATGGAACCCTATCTCAAAAAAAAAAAAAAAAAAAAAAAAAGGACTGAAAGACTGATTGGGAGTTCTTTGTGGCCAAGACTGGTAGCTTTTAGTGGGAATTTAGGCTGATTCCCAATTGTTATTCCCTACCCCTCTATCTTATCTCCTGGTGCAATCATAAATGATGGCTGGAACTACTCCATTCCTCTGGAGATGAAATCTGTGTTCTTTTGCCTGAGGTAGATGTATGTTTGCTTAGGTTCTGCTTAAGGAGATGTGGGAGAACAGTGTGTTTCAGGGCCTGGAAAATGTGTTCTGTATATAGGCTTTTGTTAATCTGTTTACAGTCTTGCCTATCTGTCCCACTTTCTGGGGTACCTAGTGTCTGAGTCTAGAGCCTCTTCAGGGCGCTGTGAGATAAATTTGCCTTCTTGCTGTCAATATCCCCCTAACCTCCACCTTTGTTGGCTTTGCTCCATTAATTAACTATTTTCCATTTACTGTCATTGTCTAGTGGAGGTGAGTTCTGGTCTGCCGGTAACCCCATTCCTTTTTTGTAATTGTGTGTTTATTCTTCACCGTAATTCTAGTGGAGCCTCAGGACAAAGAGCAGATGGGAGAAATATGTGTTCAGTATTCACTTTTCCTTCTGTTTTTTTTGTTTGTTTGTTTTTCTTTTTTTTTTTTGACGGAGTCTCTCTGTCGCCCAGGGTGGAGTGCAGTGGCGCGATCTCAACTCACTGCAACCTCTGCCTCCCGGGTTCAAGTGATTCTCCTGCCTCTCAGCCTTCCAAGTAGCTGGGATTACAGGCACATGTCACTACGGCCAGCTGATATTTTATAAACATCTATGATCACCT
This sequence comes from Homo sapiens, assembly GCF_000001405.40. Lineage (NCBI taxonomy): Eukaryota > Metazoa > Chordata > Mammalia > Primates > Hominidae > Homo > Homo sapiens. The sequence goes on from NC_000015.10 coordinate 75,863,639, forward strand.
GGCCAGTCTTTTTTTTTTTTTCTGAGTTGGAGTCTCGCCTGTCGCCCAGGATGGAGTGCAATGGTGCGATCTTGGCTCACTGCAGCCTCCGCTTCGTGGGTTCAAGCGATTCTCCTGCCTCAGTCTCCCCAGTAGCTGGGATTACAGGTGTGCACCACCACGCTCGGCTAATTTTTTGTATTTTTTAGTAGAGGGGTTTCACCATGTTGGCCAGGCTGGTCTCGAACTCCTGACCTTGTGATCTGCCCACCTCGGCCTCCCAGAGTGCTGGGATTACAGGGGTGAGCCACTGCACCTGGCCCCTCACTTTTCCTTCTGTAAGACATCTGCAGCTTGTGTTTTTCACTGAATATCACATGGACTTAATGCATAGAGAGCTGCCTGGTTTTTCATGATTGTGCCCACGATTCTGTATAGGGATATAATTTATGAATTCCTAATTTTGAATCATCCTTGCATTTCTATAGTAAACACCGTTAGAATGGATATGGTAATACTTTATTTTTGGATTTTTACTTCTATATTAAGTAAGGTTATACTTTGTTTCCTTTTAGGCTCTTATTTCAGTATCAAGGGTATGCAGGGGTGACTTGGAAAGCTTTACATCTTTTTTCCTAAGATCTAGGGTGTAGATCTAGTTTACACAGTAATTTTCAACTGGAGGAGATTTTTGCCTCCCGTGGGACATTTGGAAATATCTGGAGCCATTTCTGGTTTTCACAACTGGTCATGGTAGGGGTGCTGTTGGCATTTCTTAGGTAGAGGGGATGTCACTAAACATCCTACAACACACAGGAGAACCCTCCACAAAGAATTGTCTGGCCCAATACGTCAATATTGCTGAGGTTGAGAAACCATGGTTTAAATAAAACTCCAATCTGGAGGATGAGTCTTTGACTGTCTTTTTCCTTTTTCTATGTATCGGTCTCCAGATTTTCCACTTCTTCAGTTTTAGTAACTGTAGATTCTAAAAAAAAAAAAAAAAAGGATCGCTTCATGTATACTTCTAAGCTGTTGCATCATATTCACATGTGGCTATATGCCGTTTTCACTTCAAAAGTTTTCTTTATCTTGATTACTTATCAGAGGCTTGGCTGTTTTATTAGTCTTGTGAAAGAATCCTCTTTTAGTTTTATTTTTTAAATCTAGTGTTTTCTTTTTCATTTTTTGCTTATGTCTTAATTATTTCCCCTTTTTATTTTGCTTTTTCTAGTTTAGTGGATTAATGTAATTTAAATTGCTTTTTAAACAAACATGTAAGGGTATACATTTTCTTTGGGTGCTGTTTGAGTTTATTGCACAAGTTTTAAAATCTGTTTTCTAAGTAAGTTTATTCCATCATTTGTTCACATTGCCATACTATTAAAACTTTTTATTGTGAGAGATGACATGTATTAAAAATATGTAAAACATAAGCTTAGTGTAACTCATAATTAGAGTGAATACTTGGGAGCCAACACCTAGCCAGCACCCAGGTGAAGAGAAGGAACATTGCTCGCACTACAGAAACCTTCTGCAGGCTTCTTCCTGATCACTGTTCCTCTGTGCACTCATCTTTCCTTACATTTCTCTAGTGTTACCACTTATGTATGCATCCTTGAACAATACAGTGTAGTGTTGCCTATTGCTGAACTTTTGAAAATCATACTGTATGTATTTTTTCGTACCTTTGTTGTGCTTAACATTGTGTGTGAAATTTGTTCCTATTGTGTGTAGCTATAGTTCTTTTGCATTGCTGTATTTATTCCATTGTTTGAATACACCCTACCATTTATCCCCTTGACTGGATACAGACATGTGGGTTGTTTCCAGTGTTAGGAACAGCGAATGCTGCTGTGATCATTCTTGCTTGTATTTCATGGTACCCCTGTGCCAGCATTTCTCTGGGGCACATACTTAGGGGCATGAGGATCAATTTCTTCTTTTACTCAAGAGTTATCTAGGAAAAAAAAAACTTTTTAAAAAGCATTTTCAGATGGCTTTTCAGTTATTTTTAGTGCATCAATATGGTCAGAGAATATGGCCTGTGACCTTTCAGCTGCATTATCAGTAATCGTTTAGACTTCACTATTGGTGTTACTGCTGTCTTTGCTTCTTATTGCTGCTCCTTGTATTATGTGTCCTGCTCCCTGCCCCTCAAGTATATCCCTGAATAATATCTGGTTGTTTTTTTTTTTTTTAACCTAGAAAGGGTTTAAAGGGATGTGCATGGAGAGTGTCCCTTGAATACTTGCTGTCTGTTATTTGTTCAACAAATATCTGACTCTGTATAAAGTATTCCACATTGGTGTGGAGAATCTGGAGGTGAACGTACACAGATAATGCTTCCTGTCTTGATGGAGCTAGATATAGAATTCTAAGTTCATAATTGAGTCTATTCCCAGTTCTTTACGCTTTTATCTTCTGATATTTGTTACAAATGAAAAGTCTGATGCCTATCTCATTCTTAATTCTTTCTGTGTATTTTATTTTTTCTTTCTGGTAGTTGGTATGATTTTCTCTGTAACTGTAAAGTGTGGGGGTTTTACTTTTCAGTTTTACTTTTTTTTTTTGAAACAGGGTCTTGCTCTCTTGCCCAGGCTAGAGTGCAGTGGTGTGATCACAGCTCACTGCAGCCTCTACCTTCCTGGGCATAAGCAGTCCTCCCACCTCAGCCTCTTGAGTAGCTGGGACTACAGGTGTGCACTGCCACCGTGCATGGCTACTTTTTAAAATTTTTTTGTAGAGATGTGTTTTCACCATGTTGCCCAAGCTGGTCTCAAACTTCTGGGCTCAAGTGATCCTCCTGCCTTGGCCTCCCAAAGTGTTACAGGCATGAGCCACCGTGTCCGGCCTTCAGTATTCCTATGGGGCTTTCAGAGCCACTTAATATTCTAAAGTCTTTCTTTAGCTCAGCAGCACTTGTCTCTTTTGTTTCTTTTTATTCCCCTTCATCCTCTGGATGAATGTTAGATCTCTATATCTTCAATGTCCCTTAACTGTTCTCTTACTTACATCTCTTCTGTTTTCTCCCCCATCTCCTTTTTTTCTCTGTTCTAAGGAAATGTCACTGTTTGTTTTTCTTAATCATAAATACCTTGTTGGGTCAAGTCCATAGTACTCTGGCCCTTCTACAAGTGGTTTTTTGGGGGTGGAGGGGATCTTATTTTTACTTTCTAGAATTGTGCTTGCATAGTAATCTGTTTTTTATTTTGTGGATGCAGTATCTTCCCAATTACTGCTAAAGATCCCAATTAGGTTTTAAAATTCTATTTATTTCCTTCATTAGTAATGCTTCAGATCAATTGTGCTTACTTGACTTGGCACTTTCAGATTGCTAATTTTCTTCAGCTCTCTGGTGATACCTGGTTATCTCCTCATTTATAGATGAGATATACCCTTGATCAGTATCCATTGTTGACCTGAGTGTCTTCAGAATTGTCACTCTTTTCTACTGTGGCCTCCCCCTCCTGGTTTGCAGACCTGTGCTCTTCCTATGGCATGAGGATGGGGAGGTGCTGGCTGGTGAGCTTTCCAGCTCCTGAGCTAAAAGGAAGAGGTGGAGTCTAAGATTTTGCTGCTGCATTGAGTTATACTAAAAACACTCTCTGTCTTTTCTGTCTGGTTTTGACACTCATAGAGGCCATCAAGATAGGGTTCCTATATAGGAGAGTGATCCTTACCAACTGTAGATGGGACAAGTACAGTAAAGAATGTCTGATTCTTCTGAAAAAAAGTGGTCCCTGCATTATTTGGATTGAGTCTGTGACTTTCTCAAGCCCAGCAGTCTGATTCCATCTCCTTTGTATCTTCCAGCATGTCCTTATAGTTTTAGTTCACTAAGGGTATTCTCCTTGTATTTGTTTTTCTGCTACTGCGGCAGACCTACTCTTTTTTTATAAAATTCTGTCATTTCAGTGGGGTTTTGAAAAGAGGACCAGGCCACATCTTGAAATGAAATCATCTTAGGGTTTCCCACGATTAACTCACTTTTTGTTTTGATTAAATTACTTCCCCTTTTTGAGGTGATGGGGGCTCAGTTTTCTCATTTTAAAATGAGGGATAGTAACTGGGCTGATGGTGACAGACCCAGATGCATGTGAGAATCACCTCAGAGAGCTTTTGAAAAACAGATTCTCTGGGTAGGCTTTGAAATTGGCATTTCGAAAATGCTCTTTCAATCGTTGATGCAACCAAACTCTTTGGGAGTTTTAGGCTAGGTATATAGTCTTTAGATACCCAGAATAGTTTGATTTGGAATATAACAATTTAGGGAAATGAAAAAAGGGAGAATTACATTTTGGAAGCTGCTTGCTTCCATTTTCCATTAGTTTTTAGAAGACAATGTGTCTAAAGAGATGCAGATTTAAAGGAAATACAAGTTAATTCTGCATGGGTATGTTTACATGGAATTCTCCAGCTGACTAATCCAGAAGAGTTCTAATACCCTCTGTGATCATGGGTTTGTTTTTCTTGAGAATTATTCCATCAGAGTGTCTAATAACAGATGCTTAGATACTGCCGAGACCTTTGTTGGTCTTACTTGATCTCTGGATCCTGGTTTCGTGATCTTTTACATATTCTGTGTTCTAACCTGAACTGGCCTTCATGGTTAAAGATGCATGTATAAACAGTGTCCTGGCGAGGGCTTACCTTTTGAACTTTGTCAAAAATGGATATGAAAGTCCTTCCTAAAACCCCATCAAATTCATTTCTGAACTTGATAAATTGTAAATTGTGTAAATTGGTTAAGTTGTGTCTTGTAGGGAAGTATTTTGTTGTAAAATGTTTTTAAAAAGAAAATTTGCTTTTTAGTGAGGTGGTAATCATTTCATAATTCTTAGTTTTGTGAAATGTCTATTATCAATAACACATCTGACTGTTCAAAATGTAAGGCAATTGAATTTATGTAAATGATTCAGGCTTTCCAAAGTTAAAAAGGGAGCTATTTTAAGGAATCGGTAGTTTGGGAGATTTTATTTTAAATAAGCCATTGATCTTATGCATATAGCCATATAAGTAAAATGTTTTCTTATTTTAAATTAGATTATGTTTTAACATTTTTTTCTGTTTTGCTTTATATTTGATTGCTTTTCTTTGTTCCTAAGGCAGCCATTAAGTTGAATTGTTCAAAATTGTTTCATTTTTAAAAGCTGATAACTTATTTGTTAGTCAAAGCTGGATTTAAAGATAAACATTTTAATTTTAATAAACTGTCTGGTAGTGGGACTCCAGTGACAGATGTTTGAGAGTTTGTGGCACCAGTCTTCTAATGTACTCAGCCTGTGCATATTTGTTCTGTATAGCCCTGGCAGATTCTTTCTCTGTTTCAGAATGGGACAACAGAAGAAGTGACTTCAGAAGAAGAGGAAGAAGAAGAAGAGATGGCTGAAGTAGGTATTTTATATAAAAGAAGAGTTCATAAATTTCTTCATTTTTGAACATTTGAGTAATTCTCAAATCTTTTTTATAGACTACTATTAATGTGGAATAATTGAAAGCACATTGTGTTTGGAATGGAATATAATTTCCCAACTCTGGCTTTACCTCTAACTAATGATATGCCTTTGAGCAAATTTATCTGAATTCTTTGGATTTGATTTCCTGGAAAACAAAAGCTTTTAACATTTAGCACCAAAATTATATTTATGTTTAATACTAATCAGTACTTAATCTGTATTTGGTTATTTTTAGGAAGAGGAACTACTAAGTTTAAAAAATTTTATGTTTGCATAAAAGGAGAATTTGAGAACATTTTAGGGACTACTCGCCAGAAGTAGTGAAACTGTCTCTTGTTGAAAAATCATCAAAGAATTTTGTCTTAATCTGGTTTACACTATTTTAACAGAATACTGGAGACTGGGTAATTTATAAAGAACAGACATTTATTTTCTCACTGTTCTGAAGGCTGGGAAGTCCAAGATCAAGATACCAACATTGGGTGTCTGAGGACCTTCTTGTTGCATCCTCACATGGTAGAAGGCAGAAGGGCAGGAGAGCAAGCTAGTCCATTGTGTGAAGCCTCATTTGTAAGGGCCTTAATCCCATTAAGGAGGAAGGAGCCCTCTTGGCTTAATCACCTCTTAAAGGTCCTACCTCTTAATAGCATCACATTGGCAACACCTGCATTTTGGAGGGAGCACATTTAAATCATAGCAAATTTAGTAGAGTGCATTCCAAAGACATTGAGCTTAGGCCAGTTGTCAGTCATGGATATAATTTTAGATGTTTTCAAGCTCTGAAGCTCTGCATTTAAATTCAAACTTCAGAACAAAGATCTTTGTTTCTGCGTTGACCAAATAGAGGATATGTGAATTCCATGGTCTTGATTTAAAAAAAAATTTTTTTTTCTGTTTTGGGTCTTATAATTATGCTTTTATTTTCTTGATTTGGAAATTTTTAATCTAAAATGTGCTTTTAGAATGCTTCAGAACTAAAGAAGCAGTGTTGTAGGCTTGTTTTGTTTTTTTGAGACAGGGTCTCACTGTGGTGCAGGCTGGAGTGCAGTAGTGTGATCACGGCTCACTGCAACCTCAAACTCCTGGACTCAAGCAATCCTCACACCTCAGCCTTCTGAGTAGCTGGGACTACAGGCGTGTGCCCCATGCCAAGCTTTTTAAAAAAATTTTTGTAGAGATTGGGTCTTGCTGTTTTGTCCAGGTTCATCTCGTGAACTCCTGACCTCAAGTGATCCACCACTGGCCTCCCAAAGTGCTGGGATTATAGACATATAGACATGCGCCACTGTGCCTGGCTGTAGGCTTGTTTTATGAGTCTGGGAGTAAAATACTCTTAAAACTGTCAAGTTAGAATGAGAGTTTAATGTTTTTATGCAGTTTAGCTTAGGTGGAATAAACTGCATGAAAACATTAAACCTTTTTTGTGCGCCCAGTTTACCATGAAGCAGCCATTGTACTAAAGTTCATGAACTTTTTCTTTTTCCCCTCATAAGATAATAAACAAGGGGCCGCAACATGGAGGGAAACCTAGAAAGGTAGACTGGACTTTGGAGATGTCAGATTAGGACAAGTGGAAAGAAGATATTCTAGGCTCCTAAAATAATATGGGAACAGGCTCAGAACAACCTTGGACATAGTGTGTTTGAGTTCATTGGATACTTTTCTTTTGAGGAGGGTTGATGGGTGGAAGTCATGAAAAAACAAGATTGGCTAGAAAAGGCAGATGGTTAAAAGTCTTGAATTCGAGACAGGTGTGTTTCTATTTGGTGTGATTATTTGAAGGGGTGGGTTGCCCCTCCACACCTGTGGGTGTTTCTCGTTAGGTGGAACGAGAGACTTGGAAAAGAAAAAGACACAGAGACAAAGTATAGAGAAAGAAATAAGGGGACCCAGGAAACCAGCGTTCAGCATATGGAGGATCCCGCCAGCCTCTGAGTTCCCTTAGTATTTATTGATCATTTGTAGGTGTTTCTCCGAGAGGGGGATGTGTCAGGGTCACAAGACAATAGTGGGGAGAGGGTCAGCAGACAAACACGTGAACAAAGGTCTTTGCATCATAGACAAGGTAAAGAATCAAGTGCTGTGCTTTTAGATATGCATGCACATAAACATCTCAATGCTTTACAAAGCAGTATTGCTGCCCGCATGTCCCACCTCCAGCCCTAAGGCGGTTTTTCCCTATCTCAGTAGATGGAACGTACAATCGGGTTTTATACCGAGACATTCCATTGCCCAGGGACGGGCAGGAGGCAGATGCCTTCCTCTTGTCTCAACTGCAAGAGGCATGCCTTCCTCTTATACTAATCTTCCTCAGCACAGACCCTTTACGGGTGTCAGGCTGGGGGACGGTCAGGTCTTTCCCTTCCCACGAGGCCATATTTCAGACTATCACATGGGGAGATACCTTAGACAATACCTGGCTTTCCTAGGCAGAGGTCCCTGCGGCCTTCCGCAGTGTTTGTGTCCCTGGGTACTTGAGATTAGGAAGTGGTGATGACTCTTAAGGAGCATGCTGCCTTCAAGCATTTGTTTAACAAAGCACATCTTGCACAGCCCTTAATCCATTTAACCCTGAGTTTGACACAGCACATGTTTCAGAGAGCATGGGGTTGGGGGTAAGGTCAAAGATTAACAGAATCTCAAGGCAGAAGAATTTTTCTTAGTACAGAACAAAATGGAGTCTCCTATGTCTACTTCTTTCTACACAGACACAGTAACAGGCTGATCTGTCTTGCTTTTCCCCATAATTATTGATAGGAAGGCCTTAAGCAGGGAATAGTGTGCTGAGGATATTGTTTGAGAAAGATAATGTTGAATTCTGTTTGGGATGTGCTGATTAATACTCAGAAAAAGAAATTTCGTGGATGGGAACATGACTGAGGTTGAAGGTATAGGAGGAAATACAGGCTAAAGGCATTTGTGAGAATTGTGAGGAAAACATGTAGGATGGAAGATCAGGGCTGAAAGGTGCACACAGGGAGAAGGGAGCTCAATGAAGTATGGAGTCATGGGCAGAGTTTGAGTGAGAACAGAACGTTATAGGGCTTGAAGAGATGGCATTCCAAAAAGGAGGCCGGGGAGGTGAAGGCTGCAGTGAGCCGAGATCTTGTCACTGTACTCCAGCCGGGGCAACGGAGCGAGACTCCATCTCAAAAAATAAAAAAATAAACCCAAAAAGGAGGCCTATTGAATGGATAGAAGGTAGTGATTAACCTGGTCTAGAAATCAGTGAATTAGCCTGCTTGGGGAAAAAAAAAAAGCCGAGATGCGTATAAACTACTCCTTTAGAGATTTTGGCAATTGAAGTAGAGAAATAAGGTAATTGCAAAAAGTTAGGATTTAAATTCTGCATAGATTTATATATGTGTAAGAACAGATAGTACGGGAAAGAAGGGAGCAGAATGATGTGAATAAAGATATTGGTCTAGGGGTATTCAAATTCTTTGTTTTCTTTTCCTTTTTTTTTTTTTTTTTTTTTGAGATAGAGTCTTGCTCTGTCACCCAGGCTGGAGTACAGTAGCATGATCATAGCTCACTGCAGCCTCAAACTCCTGGGCCCACATGATCTTCCTATCTCAGCCTCCTGAGGACCTGAGATAAAATTCTTTTTCTAACTTTTTTTCTAGTTATAAACGTCAATAGATGCTTACTACATAAAACTTGGAAATTAGGGGAAAGCATTAAATGCCTCCAGAGATAACTAAGATTAACTGAAATTAACATTTCAATGTAAGTTCTTCTGGTCTTTCTTTTTCTGTGCTTATTTCAGCGTAACTGAAATTCTTTCTATTCTTTTTTGTATTGTTTTTCATTTTAAAGTTTTTCGTTACAGGAGAAATTAGGCTATGTTAGTATTTCAGTGGCCTCTTAATATTTTGCTATTTTGCACATGCAGATTTTGTGTTTATTTTTGTGGCTGCAAGGTTGAAATAGGTATCCTTATGCCTAAATTAGTGTTTATAGTTTAAACTAGTTTCTTAGAATACAATTCTAGAAGTTGAGTTTCTGGAACAAACTAGGAACACTTAAGGTTCTTGACACCTGCTGCTAAACTGTTTTAAAGGTTCCTCTTAATAGGAGATTTAGAAGATGGCTTATTTGGTAATAGTTATGATTTTGTAAAGCTTTTAAATCTGCTTTACCCAGAGTCTAGATTTTAAATAAAATATAGGATATAAAAGGTGGGAGCCTCTTGAATGGAATGTGGGGGCTTTTTCTCTCTCCCTATAGGATAGTTACATTTTGTTTCTTGTTCCTCATTTGAGTCAAGAATAATTTAATGTTATTTTGGCATAAGAAACTGCTGAAGAAAAATAGGTTGAATAAGCTAACATTTTTCGTCTCTTTGTAGGATATAGAAGACTTAGATCACTATGAGATGAAGGAAGAAGAGCCTATTAGTGGGAAAAAGTCAGAGGATGAAGGAATTGAAAAAGAAAATTTGGCAATATTAGAGAAAATTAGGAAGACTCAAAGGCAAGACCATTTAAATGTAAGTGTGTGTAGATATCTAGAACCTGGACTTTTGTGGTTAAATAATTGTAGTTAATACCAGGCAATTCATTAACATGCCCATCTCAGCTGCCCTCTTCCTCCATTTCTGCCTTAGTGGTGGATTCAGTCATGTGTGTTTTAAAACAGGGTCTTGCTCTGTCGCCTAGGCTAGAGTGCAGTGGCACAATCATAGTTCAGTGTAGTAGCCTTGATCTCTCAGGCTCCAGTAATCCTGCTGCCTCAGCCTCCCAAGTAGCTTGGACTATAGGCACATGCCACCATGCCAGGCTAGTTTTTTTTATTTTTAGTAGAGATGAGGACTCTCTGTTGCCCAGGCTGGTCTTGAACACCTGAGTTCAAGTCATCCTCCCATCTTGGCCTCCGAAACTACTGGGATTACAGGCATGAGCCACCGTGCCTAGCCTTAGTCATATGTTTTGTTGCTGTAGATTACGTTTCTTATCTATAGATAGCCACTTTTTACCCTGTTCATCTGCTCTTCATATCCTGGAACCACCTGCTGATCCCTGTATTTGCCCCTTCCCGGCCTGTTTATGCTGTTTTCTCTGCTTACCTTCCTCTCATGGGATCTGTATATTCAAATTCATCCTCTCCGACAAAATACAATTCAAGTTCTTTCTCCTTCGTGAAGCTGACTTTGGTCTGTCCTGCTCTGACCCAACCAAAAGTAATTTTTCTCTTTTGACTTAACATCCTTTTTTTTTTTTTTTTGGATGAAGTTACGCTCTGTCTCCCGGGCTGGAGTGTGGTGGCATGATCTCAGCTCACTGCAGCTTCCACCTCCCAGGTTCAAGCAGTTCTCCTGCCTCACCCTCCTGTGCAGCTGGGATTATAGGTGTACACCACCACACCTGGCTAATTTTTGTATTTTTAGTAGAGACAGGGTTTCACCATGTTGGCCAGGCTGGTCTTGAACTCCCGACTTCAAGTGATCCACCTGCCTTGGCCTCCCGAAGTGCTGGGATTACAGGTGTGAGCCACTGTGTCCGGCCACAACTTAATATCTCTTTTACGTGAAGCAGCAGGATGTGAAAAGAACACTGAGTCTGGTGACAAACACACAATTTATGGTTTCACTTTCCTCAGCTCTAAAATATGGCTAGACAGTACATACCTTTTGGATGATTGCTATCAAAAATAAATGAAAATGATGTGTGTATATATATAAAATGCTCAGAGTAGGGAAACATCAAATGATTGTCTGAACACTTACTACTTTTTGCCTTGTGTTAGAGCTATTGACCAACTCCGTGAAATCTGAGTAGCAGTTACTTTGTCTTGGGCACAGGTTCCCCAAAACAGGGAATGAATTGTTAGGTAAGTAGATGCCAAATGTTGAAAACAGGTAGATTACTCTCCCTCCTTCAGTCTAATTTATATATTAATCTAATTTATAATTTTTAGTAGAGCAAAGAAATTTAGTCAAGCCCCCATATCTTGATTACTTAAAAAACAAAGTTTGTCATTTGAATTAATGATGACTGTACTTTATGTCTTGTGATCGATTCCAGTTTGAGTTATAGTCAAAACAACTATAAGTTACTGAACACTTTTGCATGATGGATACTATGCCAAGTACTTTATACTTCACATATCTTCACATTTAGTCTTCATAGCCACCGTGTGAAATAGGTATGCTTCATATTTTAGAGATAGGAAAAACTTCTCATATTTTGTAGATATGAAATGAGCTAGGAAACTTGATTTTTCCCCCCTTCAAAGTATAGTGCAATGTTTAAAATCTTTAATTTCACGTGACCAAAAAATAGTTCCGTTTGTATTTAGTCTTATGATAAGATATTGATGTGTTTTCATCTTTAGAGATGTCCCTGCACTGAAAAACTGAAACCAGTCGCATGTAGGCAGATGTTTCTCAGTGTCTTAATGTGCGAACTAGACCATCTGTGTAATATTCTTGTTTGTAGTCTTATGAATGGAACTCTATTTTAGTAAATAATGTGTCACCTTGAGTGTCTTCTAGTATTTTCAAAAATTGCTGGGGTTTGGAATAGACTCATACTGAATTCTTTGTTATTGTGGAATCCATGGTGGTCTGGACATGTTGGCTAGACTTTTTCACATGAGAAGAAATAGGAAATGAACTAGACTTGTGCCTAGTTTTAATATCCTCTTGAAACTTCATAATGCTTCATTTAATTGGGCTTTTTTTTACTTCTTAAAATGTTGAGGTTGGGCACAGTGGCTCATGCCTGTAATCCCAGCACTTTGGGAGGCCGAGGCAGGCAGACCACGAGGTCAAGAGATTGAGACCATCCTGGCCAACATGGTGAAATCCCGTCTCTACCAAAAAAAAAAATACAAAATTTAGCTGGGCGTGGTGGTGCGCACCTGTAGTCTCAGCTACTTGGGAGGCTGAGGCAGGAGAATCTCTTGAGCAGGGAGGCGGAGGTTGCAGTGAACTGAGATTGCGCCACTGCACTCCAGCCTGGGTAACAGGGCTAGACTCCATCTCCAAAAAAAAAAAAAAAAAATGTTGAGTGGTGATCCATTTTTGCTGTAATCTTTTAGATCAGGTTGAAATATCTTAAATCTTAGCTCAGCAGACCCTGGTAAACAGTGGCTTTTGTGTTTCAGGGTGCAGTGTCTGGGTCAGTGCAAGCTTCAGATAGACTTATGAAAGAGCTCAGGGACATATACAGATCACAGAGTTATAAAACAGGTAAGGATCTCTGGATCCCTGCTCTCTTTATGATTCTTCTGCTCTTTTCTATTGTCAGATTATAAATGTCATTTCTTAAAACTGGACAGAAATGGAAATGTTTACTAGCTTTATTTCAGGAATGTGAAACTCAAATGCAATCAAGTTCCAAAAGATGTAGGAGTAAAATAGGATGAGTTTACTTGTCTTTTGGATTTTTAAAAAATGTTTTTATAGGTCCATTGGAATTTTGTCCTCTTCTTGATAAACAGTGAACTCTTACATGATTTTTATCTTCTGGGGAAAGCATGAGCGATATTGCTTGGAAAGTAAATAAGAGTAAAACATTTCATTTTACAGAGAATAATTGCCAAGTTGATTTTTATGATTCCCCCCCATTTTTGAAAGCAAGATAATCAGCTTTTATTGTAAAGATAGTTATGTTATTACCTTTAAAATATATAAGTTTTTAAAGTTTTCATTTCCTTGTTTGACGAGTATTCTTACTCAATATGACTTGAATGTTATGGAACCTCTCTAACTAGAGGTAAAATTCTCATATTGTTATGGAGATTCTAATAGTATTAAATAATGAGCCAAACTTTAATTTGAAAAGATAGCATTGGTTGGGTGCGGTGGCTCACACTTATAATCCCTGCACTTTGGGAGGCCAAGGTGGTCAGCTCACCTGAGGTCAAGAGTTCAAGACCAGCCTGGCCAACATGGCGAGCGAAGCCCCATCTCTACTAAAAATAAAAAATTAGCCGGGTGTGGTGGCGCACGCCTGGTGATCCGAGCTACTCAGTGGTCTGAGGCAGGAGAATCACCTGAACCCAGGAGGCAGAGGCTGTAGTGAGCCAAGATTGCACCACCGCACTCCAGCCTGGGCAGCAAGAGTGAGACTCTGTCAAAAAAAAAAAAAAAAAAAAAAAAGGGTTATGACCGATTCAATTCTAGCATTATGACCGATTCAGGAATTCTTAGCGTGAGCAAATCAAAATTAATTAGAATTTGCTTAAAGAATAAAAACAAGGAAAAAATCCTTGCTTTGTAGTGTGCAGGATAAGCCAAACTTGTTTCTGAGTTGTTAGAATTGTGGGTGTCCTTACGGTTTTTTGTGTAAGAAGTCTAAAAGTTTATCTGTAGAAACCTAATAAAGTACAAACATTTGAATACTGGTTTTATTTTTAAATGTTAAATAATCATTTGTTTCAGCATTGTTTATATAGAAAAAAAAAAACAGATACTGGGTGGAATTTGTTAAAGCATATCCATAAAATAAACTACCACAGAGTCATTAAAAAGATTGTGAATAGGTTTATGTATACTAACTTGGAAAGATGTCCCTGAAAGTTGAAGAGAGATTATAAAACAACATACGTAGAAGGATTCCATCTTTGTAGAAATGTGTGTTCATGGAAGAAAAGTCTTAAGTACATATGATTTTGCATAATCTTTTTTTCAGTCAGACTAAACGGTAAGCAGTTTTTCAACTCATTAAAGAATCTTCTCAGTTGATGGCTGTAATTATCTGTTAAGGGCATAAGATACTCAGCTGCAGTAGTGTAATATTTACTATATAGCTTAGTTGTTCCATGTTTTAAGAGCAAAATTTCTAGCTTTCGTTGGCTATTTAGTGTATACATTTATACCATAGTAATAGTTATATGATGAAATGAAGAGTAGCTAACATGCTCTATATCTTAACAGGGATTTATTCAGTGGAACTCATAAATGACAGTTTATATGACTGGCATGTTAAACTGCAGAAGTAAGTGGCTTTTTAATGCTCACCCACTCTTTGCAATGGTAGACTATCACAGTGGAGGTTATTTTCCTTCTAACTTGATACCTTTATACTATGGCTTTTACTTAGAACTTTAGACTTTGTTTCTATAGAAATAGTTCTTAGATTGTTTAAATGAGCTGTTGCTGAGGTCTAATAAGAAAGTGAGAAAGAGGAAGGACAGAAAGAGGGACCAGCTGCGGGATAAAGTGTTTTATGGAGTTAGAGCAGGGGAACTTAAAAACAAAAGTGTATTTAATAACTTCATGAGACTGTGATAACCAGTTTATATTTGAAATATATACAGCACTTTGGGAGACTGAGGTGAGAGGATCTCTTGAGCCCAGGAGTTTGAGACCAGCCTGGGCAACATAGCAAGACTTCATCTCTACAAAAAAAAAAAAATTAGCCAGGCATGGTGGAGTACACCTGTAGTCCCAGCTACTGGGGGTGGTGGGAGGCTGAGGCAGGAAGATCTTGCACTCCAGACATCAAGGCTGCAGTGAGTCACGATCGTATCACTATATTCCAGCCTGGGCAACAGAATGAGGCACCCGGTCTCTTAAAAAAAAAAAAAAAAAAAAAAAAAAAGTTGGGGGGAGGTGGGATTCAAATTAGACCTGTATATATAGGACAGTTGTAGACAAATACAGGTTTTTTTAGTGATTTAAGTTTTCATAGTTCTGACCATGGCAAACTTTTCTCCTTGAACCCTTTGGCTAATAATGTAAGTTTAATATGCTTTCCTAAACTTTTTTTGAGTTCTTGAGAAAATTATATTCATGTGACTATTTTCCTTTAGAGTGACTGCAAACTCTGAACTCCTTTACTAGATTAGATTTAGAGTATTATGGTCTCTTTTGGACATTTATTCCCAAGGAGCTGGAACCTATGGTGACCTCTATTTTTCCTGGTGATACAGAGCAGCTTTAGACCTTCTCTTTCTGGAACTTGCCCTAGGTGCTCTATTTTAGCTGTCATACTAGTTCATTTTTGAGTTTAGTTAAAAAAAAAAATCTCTAACTTTTTATTTGAACTGTTTTTTGTTTTGTAATTCTTAGGGTTGACCCTGATAGTCCTTTGCACAGTGATCTTCAGATCTTAAAAGAAAAAGAAGGCATAGAATATATTTTGCTTAACTTCTCTTTTAAGGTAAGAAAATAGTTACAGGACCCCATATACTTCCAGTGGGGTGCGTATATTTGTACAAGTGCTTTGGAAAACAATTTGGTAAAGTAGAAGATACTCATACCCTATGGTTCAGGAATCTCGTAGACATATTCTCCGTTAAGACGTGAGTACTTAGGCGTACCAGGAGACACAGGAATGTTCAGAGCAGCATCGTTTATAATAGCACCAAATAGAAAACCCAAGTGTTCATTCCAATAAAATGGAGAATTGTGGTGTTTATAAAGTGGTTTACAGCTATGTGGGACAAGATGGGTGGATCTTGAACACAGTTGTAAAAGAGACTGGACTCCAAAACCTATTTTGTACAATTCCCTTTATATACAGTTCAAAAATAGGTAAAACTAATGTTGATTAGGGCATGCATTCTTAGTGGAGGCAATATCACCTGCAGTGTAGTGAAAACTGATCTTTAGAGTGAAAACAATCTTAGCTATTAAAATGGTCTGCTGCCCTCCAAAGGGCCACAGAACATAAACAGATATACGATTTATCTATGGTGTTAAAATTCCATGGAGCAGGGGGGTAAAACTAGGAAGAAAACTTCTAAAAAGGCTTCTTAGGGGGGCAAAAATGAAAAGAAAACTGAGAAACACTTATTTATGGATTCATACGTGAGCAGTAAAACTGCCCAAAGAGGAAAACTGTCCAAGAACAAAGAGGTGATTACATACAGGTTAGGGTAAGGAGTCCATCTAGGTGGGAGGTAGGGAGGTGTGAACTGAAAGGTATATCTGCGCAGGCTTCTTGGATACTGGCTGGAATATATTTCTGGGCCAGGTTGATGGTTACATGAGCACATAATTTACAATAGCTTCTTAAGGTATATCTCTATATTTTATGTACTTTTCTGAATTTATGTGTTATATTTAATAAGGTTTTTTTTTGTTTGTTTGTTTGTTTTTTGAGACAGAGTCTTGCTCTGTTGCCCAGGCTGGAGTTCAGTGGCACAGTTTTGGCTCACTGCAACCTCTGCCTCCTAGGTTCAAGTGATTCTCCTGCCTCAGCCTCCTGAGTAGCTGGGATTACAGGTGCATGTCACCATGCCCGGCTAATTTTTTTATTTTTAGTAGAGACGGGGTTTCACCATGTTTGCCAGGTTGGTCTTGAATTCCTAACCTCAGGTGATCTGCCTGCCTCGGCCTCCCAAAGTGCTGGGATTATAGGTGTGAGCCACCACACCTGGCCTAATAAGTATTTTAAAGATGCTAAAAATAATGGTTAAAGAATAGCAATGGAATCTAGAAAAAATGTTAATGATTTTTTTTTTTTTTTGAGACAGAATCTTGCTCTGTTGCCCAGGCTGGAGTGCAGTGGCCCAGGCTGGCGTGTGGTGGCACAATCTTGGCTCACTGCAACCTCTGCCTCCCGGGTTTAAGCAGTTCTCTGCCCCAGCCCCCCGAGTAGCTGGGATTATAGGCATGTGCCACTATGTCCGCATAATTTTTGTATTTTTAGTAGAGATGGGGTTTCACCATCTTGGCCAGGCTGGTTTTGAACTCCTGACCTCATGGTACACTTCCCTTGGCCTTCCAAAGTGCTGGGATTACAGGCGTGATTTAATATGGATCTGGATGAGATGTAATGGTTTAAAATCTGTGGATATATGAGATATTTTGATGGAAAAAGCAATACTTCCTTTGTACTTACAAAAAAGGTAGTAATTTTCTAAAAGCTTCTTACGTAGCTTTTTTATGTGTGTGTTTTTGCTTGGGGATATATCTTATGATTGAACTTTCTTGAAGTGACCCAAATGTCAGTATTATCTCTCACTTTTGTTATTATAGAAACTGTTGTGGTTGTCAACTGGGTTGTCTTCCTAAAATATGAGTCTGGTATATATTGACTGAAGTTGCTAATGGCTACATTTTTACTAATTCATATGGGGGAACGAATAAAGCACCCAGGCCAAAAACAAAAAACAAAACACACAAAAAAGGAAGGTATCTTTCTTTTTAAAAAATTGAATTATATGTCCTTATGCCTAACACCAAACTTAAGAAATAGAACCTTTTTTTTTTTTATCCGTCCCTGTGGCCCCCTGTGTGCCCCTCCCTTGTCACTTCCTCTTTGAGAGGTATCTTTACGGGAATATGAAATATTGGCCAGGAAACTGGAGGATTTGTGACTATAGGTAGTGTTTTCATTATTTTTTCCTGCTCTAGGTAGAACTTCAGGGAGGGGACGATCTGGGAGGTAAATGGCTGAATTTCTGTTGGATTTGTGTTTCTGGACCATGGCTCCTGATACCACAAAGAAGGGCCTTTTCTGGGGTTGGAGTATTTCTTGAGAGGCCTAGGAAGAATGTGATTGCCTTGAGCTAACTGACCTTATGAAGAGGACCTTAAACTGAATTGCCAAGTTATTAGTATCGGGATTCACAGACTTTGGAGGATAGCAGGTATGACTCAGAAAGATTTGCAGGAAAGAGCCAGAACAGTATATATTTATGGCCTCTGATGTCCACGGTGACAACTTGAATAATAAGAAAAATGGAACTTGAGATAAAGCATAACACAAAGATGGGAGTTGGGGCAGGAGGGAATGTGACCTTGTTGGTAAATCCAACTTGCTATATTTTTAAGGAAGTCACTTTTTGGTGTTTCGGGCAGCATCTGAATTACTGAATTGAATTCTGAGGTAGTACTTTAAGAAGGGTCTATTTAGATAAACTTAGGTTCATTTAGAGAATAATAGCCAGGATTGGGAAGAGATTGATTGTATTCCGTGTCCTAGGATAGCTGGTGAAATTGTGGATTTGGAGAGGAGAACATGAGGGTTGATGTTATCTTGTCTTCAGCTATTTGAAGGACTGTGTATATGGAAGCATTAGTTTTTATTTGCTTTTGGTGAATGCAGGGCATGAAACTAGTAAGTCAAATTACAAAGAGGTGATTTTCAACTCAATGTGAGGAAGCGATTTGTAACTATTTAGAGCCATTTGGTGATGTAGTCTTTAAAATGTTCCTCTTCCTTAATAACTTAGATGGCTAAGATGTTAAGATCTCAGATAACTTTCTGAGATCCTTTATAGAGTCTGAGAGTCTGTTTCTGAGTTAATATGTACTAAGGTAACTGAAACTTCATTTTAACAGTCATCCTCAACCTTTTTTTCCTCCCTGAGGAACTTTTTATTTCTGTAAAATCTGGATTCCTGAGTTCCAGGGTATAGACTTTATGGAATAGAGCCCGCAGATTTTGATGTAGAAGAGTTATTCTGAACTGTTTAAAATGAATTAAATCATACATAATGAAGAGGTTTTGTAGTCACTCATTAGGGATTCACATGTTTAAAGATCTAAATAATAGGAGGTTAAATGAAATTGTACTTTACCAAGCTTACATCAACCTCTATACCTTTCATTATGTCTGTTAAATATAGATGAAAGGTGAGCTACTTTATTTGAAAGTAGATTATAATAACTGTTGTTAAGTTGGTATCTTGTGTCATTAAGTTGGTATCTTGTGGATAATCTTACATTTCTATTGCAAGTTAGAAAATGCAAATCAAAATTAATTAGAATTTGCTTAAAAAATGAGATGATTAAAGCTGGCTGTCATTCCCTGTCAGGGCAATTTGCAGTTTGTTCTTCAGGGTCCCAACCTAAGGAGCCGGAGACTTAGCAGGGCCTGTCCTCGGTGGACGCTGAGCTCCAGTATTTATCTCCCTGTGAGCTCTGTGAGTCTGTGAGTTCTAGCTCAGCTTGTGAACCTCTTCTTTTTCTCTTCTGTAATTGGAAGAAAACCTAAGGGGGAAAAAAAGATCCTGCTCTCTGGTGTTCCCTTTTCTTAGCCTTGAAATTATTATGTTTTGTTCACCTTTCTAGTTCTCAGTCAGAAGATTTATCTAAGTTACCTAGTCTATCATTATTGGAATGGTTCCTTTATATAGTTCTAGTGAAGTGGAACCCCTTCATGTGTTTCATCAGTTTACCATAATGCTGTTCTGTTTGGGCCTGATTTTAACTTCATTTTTATTTGCTTTGGTTTTCATTTTGGTTTTGGGTACTAATTTTATGACTCTTACCCATTATCTGATAATAAATGTACACATTCTTTATAGTATCTTTTAAAATCTTCTAAATAGTATAACACTAAGGATGTTCTTTAAATTAATTAAACTTGCTTATTTGCTTTTTAGGATAACTTTCCATTTGATCCTCCATTTGTTCGAGTGGTGTTACCTGTTCTCTCAGGAGGGTAAGTTTAAGTGACTACTTAAAAAGAAATTTTTTTCAGTTAAAAAAAATTTTTTTTTATAGGGACGAGATCTCACTATGTTGCCCTGGCTGGTCTTGAATTCCTGGGCTCAAGTGATCCTCCCACCTTGGCCTCCCAAAGTGCTGGGATTACAGGCATGAGGCCACTGTGCCTGGCCTGCATTTTTTTTTTTTCTTCTAAATATAGTGTGCACCAGAAACATTTGGAGAGCTAGTCCCAGGGTTTCTGATTCAGTAGGTCTGTGGTGGGGCCTGAGTATTTACATTTTTAAGAAGTTTCCAGGTGAAGTTGATGCTGTTGTTCTGGGGCCCACACCTAGAACCATTAGTTGTAAAGCATTATGTTGTTGATAGGTAAAGTTTTTAATGATTCATACACACATGTATTTATACATACACACACACACACACACACACACACGTATATATACGCACATACTTTTTACCATAAAAAAGCTAATGTTTTCAAATGTAAATTGTGATTGAGGGTTTAGAGAATGTTACGATTAGAGAATGGTCCCCACATGCCTGTGATCCTAATTGGTACTTTTAGGGATAATCATGGGAAAATCTCATGGACCTATGGAACTGGCTAATTACTCCTAGAGGTAATACTTGCAGTTTATTAGGGTCAAATGGTAATTGTATTGCTTCTTTTTATGGTTGGAAGTCTTACAGAAGGTGGGGAAAAGATCACAATTTGTTAGGTTAGTTATGAAATGTTCAGTAGGCCCTCAAAGTATGAGCAGTTTAACTTGAGAATGTTCCAACACTCGGGTGACTAATTCTATTATGTGACATAATCTACATTATGGTGGTTAAAATCTAAATATATCCAGCCTTTCCTTTGATCATTTCTATGGTTGAGATAGTAATAGTTGCATTTAGGGTAAAAATATGAGTGACTGCTTCAGACTTCAGAACTTTCTCCAGAAGAGCTTTGTTCCTACAGTTATTTTTAGTTATATTTGCTTTACATGCTTATATATGTGTTTTGGGGGCTAAAATCCTGTTAAGAATCATTTCTGTGTAGTCAGAATACATACTAACTTTGGTGTTGATACTACAGAATAGTTATTTGGGCATGGTGTCCATCTGTAAAGCTCAGAGAAACAAAAAGTGTGTGTTTGTTTGTTTTTTTAACCTTTCGTATTACATATGGATATGCTGAGCTCATTTTGAGTTCTGCCACATGGTAAAGCAATATAATTTATTTTTACTTATTTATTTATTGAGATAGGTTCTCGCTTTGTTGCTCAGGCTGGAGTGCAGTGGTGCTGTCATGGCTCACTGCAATCTCTGCCTCCTGGGCTCAAGATATCTTCCCACCTCAGCCTCCTGAGTAGCTGGGATGCCACCATGCCCAGCTAATTTTTGTATTTTTGGTAGAGATGGTGTTTTGCCATATTGCTCAGGCTGGTCTTGAACTCCTGGGCTGAAGCCATCTTACCCGCCTCAGCCTTGCAAAGTACTGGGATTACAAGTCTAAGCCACTGTGCCTGGCCCAATATTGTTTTTCAAAATTATTTTATTATTTTTTGTCCTTTTTTGTTTTTAAATATTTCTTAATTTTATTTTTTTCAGTATTGTTTCTTAAGAGTTTACTTACCTGACACCTGCAACCTAATCTTTGCCATAGCTCTCAAAATGTTCTGTAAGCACTAATAGTAGTGGGGTTTTTTTTTATTTGTTTTTTGAGACGGGGTCTCACTGTCACCAGGCTGAAATGCAGTGGCGTGATCTCAGCTCACTGCAACCTCTGCCTTCCTGGGTTCAAACAATTCTCCTGCCTTAGCCTCCCGAGTAAGGACTACAGGCGTGCGCCACCATGTCCAGCTAATTTTTGTGTTTTTAGTGGAGATGGGGTTTCACCATGTTGGCCAGGATGGTCTCTATCTCTTGACCTCGTGATCCGCCTGCCTCAGCCTCCCAAAGTGCTGGGATTACACGCATGAGCTACCGCACCCCACCTAGTGGTTTGTTAATAGATGTTTGTTTTGAGGGGACTGCAAGGTTTTGGGAAACCAGGTTCAGAATATCTTTTACCAAAGGACTTCTTGGAGGCTTAATGCTGTTTTCTATTTTTCCCAAATTTGTTTAATAATTTACACGATAGCATCTCAGAGGACGGTGTCCTCTGGCTTACTCTCTGGGAAAGGCTGTTCTTTTGGAAATCTGGAGTTCTGAGTGATTCCCATGTGTTTTCTGCTGCAGAGCAGGAAATGCTGAAGGATTCCTTCGTGAGCAGATGTTAGAGGTTTCCTTTTGACAGGTGGTTACAAAGTTGATCACAAATATACTATCACAGTGAGTGGAAATCCCAGGTTGGGTGTGAAATAGTTGTTTAGAATTGTGTACAGTTTTCTTTTGTTACCTTTAAAGCTTCCGTAGACTGTTTTTGGATCAGGCAGTAAAATTGCTATAAAAAGTACTTCTTTTGTCATAAAACCTCATGATCAGTTTTGGAAGTGGAATGTTAGGTAACCCAGCCAAATATTTACATATACAAAATAAACACAAGACTGAAAAATAGTAAATTTTTAACCTTTCTCTTGCTGACACCACCAGTCTTTTACTAGCCACCAAGTCATAGTTCTTACGTTTTTCATAGTTTAATGTTAAAATATCTTTAACGAAGCCTTTACTGATTGGGGAGAAATGACATAACTATTGTGTTTTAGTTTTTTTTTTTTGAGACAGAGTCTCACTCTGTTGCCCAGGCTGGAGTGCAGTGGCGCAATCTTGGCTCACTGCAACCTATGCCTCCCGGGTTCAAGCCATTCTCCTGCCTCAGCCTCCTGAGTAGCTGGGACTATAGGCATGCGCCACCATGCCCAGCTAATTTTTGTATTTTTAGTAGAGACAGGGTTTCACCATGTTGGCCAGGCTGGTCTCAAACTCCTGGCCTGAAGTGATCCACCCACCTGGGCCTCCCAAAGTGCTAGGATTATGGCATGAGCCACTGCCTGGCCAACTATTGTGCTTTAGTTTTATGTGCTTGTTTATAAAATTGTGATGTTTACTCAGTATTCCCATAAGCATGGGAAAAGGAAGACAGGTCATTTTTTGTTCAAAATCTTATTTGAGAGAAAAAAAAGATCAAGGAAAAGATTTGGAAGAAATTTGCAAATTCAGAATAAATATATAAAAACATTTTTATCAGCCAGATGTGGTTGCTCACGCCTGTAATCCCAGCACTTTCGGAGGCCAAGGCAGGTGGATCATCTGAGTCAGGAGTTTGAGACCAGCCTGGCCAACATGGCAAAACCCCGTCTCTACTAAAAATACAAAAATTAGCTGGGCGTGGTGGTGGGTGCCTGTAATCCCAGCTCATCGGGAAGCTGAGGCAGGAGAATCGCTTGAACCCAGGAGGTGGAGGTTGCAGTCCAGCCTGGGCAATAGGGCGAGAGTCCGTCTCAAATTTTTTTTTTTTTTAATCAGAACATTTTAAAATGTGATTATAAAATTGGCCAGTATAGCTTTTCAACATTTTATTGTAAGAATTCTAAGAATTTAAGTTCATGACCTTAGTTTACCACCTAGAATAGAGACAAATATTTTATGCATAATGCCATTTTCAGTTTTAAAATCTGTTACGTAGTTTCTTAATTGATTCTTTTTTGCCACAGTGTTATTGTTCTCATTATTCAAATGAGTAATTTGAATAAGTCAGCTTGTGACCTACTCAAATAAATCTTCTGATTCCTAATAAAGTGTCTTTCATTATACCAAAGCCAGCTATATAAGAGGGGATTAAAAGTACTAAGTACTCCATTGATTATCAAATGCTAACCATGGACTTAATTTATCAGAGGTTTAAAGCAGCAAAGAGTTGCTGTGGCAATAGTGACCTGAAGACTTCATGAAGTAGGTGAGATCCCAGCTGGGCAGTGAAATGTGAGTGTCGGGTTTGGTCAGCTGGTGGAGGTTGAAGGAAAATGATTTACATAGGTGAAAAGTAAACACAATCAGTTATCTAGGAAAGAGAATGAGATACTCAGAGTATACCAGACCAGTTTGAGCTATAACACAAGGAGGGTAGGACTCATGTAGAAGAGTTTTAGGAAATAGTGCTGATGTAATATCTTGTACTTAAACAGGTCTGTGGACTGGCCACAGATCTTTTTTTTTTTTTTTCCCCCTCTGCTAAGTAGACTATCACCCTGGCTATTCATCTTTCTGTATAACTGGTTGAGGAACAGGGGAGTGACAGTAAAGAAACTATTGTAAAGTAAATCTGGTGACAGCAGAAGAGAATATGAGACACATTGTGCTCACAGAGCCTAGAAGAGTGTGACAGTAGTTGAGGGCCACGCTGTTGTCTTAGAGTGAAGTGAGGAGAACCTACATTGGTTTGGTAGTCATGGGAGTGGAAGGAGGAATGAAATGTGAAAGCTCATTGGAGGCAAAATCAAAATGGCTTGCTCTTCATAGTCAACTATTAAGTGAGGAGGAGGAATTATTTGCTGACTTGGGAAGAAGTAAAAGCTTGCCATCTCAATCAGGGTAAAGCTTAAGCATTGTGTGATTCTAGATAGATTATTGAGCAGTTTTGTTCTATGTATTTCATATCCCATATCTTCTAGTTATGACCCTACTTCTTTATTTCTTGACATAGCCAAACATTTTTTAAATTAACAGCTTTATTGTGATACAGTTTATATATGATAAAACGCTTCGAAGTGTACAATTTGGTGGTTGTTAGTATATTCACAGAGTTGTGCAGTCATTACTACTACCTAATTTCAGAACATTTTCATGACTTCAAAAAGAAACCCCGTACTGATTAGCAGTCACTCCCTGTACCCGTTTCCCCCACCATTGATCCTGGCAACCTCTCATCTAATTTTTATCTCTGTAGATTTGCCTATCTTGGACATTTCATATAAATAGAATCATATAAAATGTGGCTTTTTGTGACTGGTGTTTTTTACAGTGATTTTTAAATCAAATATCTGAAGAGGCTAAGCTTAGGATAGTGTTTGCTGTACAACTTTGGCAACTGAACTTTTTTAAAGTTGAAAATACAGTATTACTGTGTCCATATATATGGCATGTTATCCTTAGATGACCCTTACTTAGATCATTAATGTTTTTTTCCTTAGTATTCTTGAACTGTCTCAGTATTCAGCAGGAACCCTTTGGAGGCAAAGAGCAGTAAGAATTTGGAACACTTGTTGACAAAATGAATGTAATTTAATACAGAAGTAGAATCGGCCACTTTTAGGTGTCGATGCTGCTGAAAGTGTATATTAAGGAAAAGTTTAGTTATCTTACTTTTTGTATAGGTACTAGAACTACTTGTCTTGTGTTCAACAAACATTTGTGTAGTTATTACGTACTTGTACAAATGCACTTTTTGACCTGAAAATCCAAAAACTCCCTTTCTTCCCCCCACCTCTTAAGACTCTGCATCCTCAAAGGAAGAGTGGGGTACCTTAAAGGAAAGGTGGTTGTGACTGGATAACAGGTAAAATGTCTACTGTAGACTTCCTTTTCCCGAAACAAGTTCCTGTCTACCATCAGCATTTCCAAAATTTGAAGATTGTGTTTGATGTTAACTCATCAACCGATTATTAAGCTTTCAGCAATTGTGGAACCAAAATCTAAATGAGTACCTGGATCTTCTAATTCTGTTAAATCAGTGAGTGCACATTATATACAATACTCTTTTAGCCCAGTAGGAGAGTTAAAGAGTGGAAGATAGATTTCTATGTTTCAGAAATAGAATACACAAAAAAAAATTTAATCCCATGAACCTTCGCCTGAATTTAAATTTTTGGAGAGTTTTTCTTTTAGATTTTCTTTCACTTTTAGATTAATCTTTCACTTTGAAAGGTCCCAGGGTTTGGGCAAAGCAAGTGGGGAGAGACACTTGCTTGGATTCTCCAGGATGGGGGAGATGAAAAGGACTTCTTTCCCTTATTTTATTATTAAATATTGTCACTGTAACAATTATTAATGTTAGTGGTCTACAGTAAAAGTTTTTAGATGCCTTGTCTGCAAAGTAATTTGGTTAGTTGACACAAAGATGCCTTTGGTTAACTGGAATGGAAGATGTGCAGGCTAGAGTGGTCTTGGCAAGTCTTCTGGGGGGAAATACAGCATTTGGAAGGGTAGGAAGCAGTAGGAATCTCAAGCAAGGGAAAGGCATGGGCAGAGCCCCGGAGGACAGAACAATTTGTGGTGGACTTGGTGTCCACACAGACCTAATCAGTGGTCTTAGCTTTTGTGTTTTCAAAATTACCACAGTTTTTGTTCTAAAACTATCATTCCCTTGATTTTTTAAGGCATGATATTTATGTATTTTGAAATTTAAAATAACATTGAAGGAGAAATGAAATTTTGTTTGAGAAAGATAAAGGTTAAAAATCGTTATCTAAGTAATGATTTTCTAATGGGAGATTTGGTACATCCCCAGAAGTTATCTTTTGTTCAGAGAATAGTCTTCAGGCCTAGAAAGAGCTTAAGGGAGTCCCAGAGAGAAGCTCCATGGTCAGAACCATTTGATTCTCACAACAGAATGGGTAAAAACAATTTGAACCATAAAACCATACAGATCTTCATAGCATGGATAGGGTAAGGTCAGTGTCATTGTCAGGGGAAAAACTCATGGCTGTAACATGGTAGAGAAAGTTTCAGATGTAAAGAACACGTGAACGCCATTTAAGGAAACTGATTCTTCTGCCCCTATTCTTTGGAATATTTAGGGCTAAGTTCTTAATTACTGATATCATACAAATCTGAAAGTATTATGTTCTAAGAACCATTAGAAAAAATTGACTAGAATTTCAGAGGGATTACATTAGCATGATAACATTAGAATTTTTAAATTACCCATAGTCCTGTATCCCTAACAACTGTTGTCATGTTTGCATGTTATTTTCTCATCCTTACTTGTGTGCATATTTTCTTGGTAATGGCACTTAGAAATTGTTTAAGGAGGAATAATTCTCGAGAATTTTGTATGACTCCTTTTTTCTTTTTAAGGTATGTATTGGGTGGAGGAGCATTATGTATGGAACTTCTCACAAAACAGGTGACTTTTCTTACGATACTCCATTTTCACCCACAATTTAGTGTTTTGATCATGTAAATTAGATTGTAAGTAGAAAATTCTTTAATAGCTCCTACTCTTAAATTTTAGTTTATTTTTAAAATAGCGTCTACTTTCAAGAATGAAAAAGGTAAACCAATAAAATGACATTGTACTTGGTGCTGAATCTATGCTAGGATAGGCATTAAGAGTGACCTTTATTTAAGGTTCTAATTTGCTCATGTTGGGCACTTAGAACATTGGTTTGTTGTTTTTTTTTGTGAGATTCTGGAAATGTTCCAATTTTACTTTTTCCCCTTGACTACAGTCTTTTTAACACTGATTTGCTGCTGTTGAGTTATATACCATTTTGTTAGGCCTTCCCAAGTGGGAATCAGAAATACTACTGTATTTTAGAGATACTTTGTTCTTCTGTAGGGCTGGAGCAGTGCCTACTCAATAGAATCGGTCATCATGCAAATAAATGCCACCTTAGTCAAAGGCAAAGCCAGAGTGCAGTTTGGAGCAAATAAGGTACTTCTGTTAAGAATTTTACATAAACCATAAGATACATTTTATATTACTTTATAAGCTTTCTTCCTGTCTTGACTTAATTCTTTTTTGAGATAGTTTCATTTTCATTTGGTTTGTTTTCTTCTTGTTACAAAAGTGATCTATAGAAAATATGGAATTATAAGAAAATTAAAGATACTAATTGATAATCACTTAATGATTTCGTATCTGTTTTTAGTCTGTTATATTTGCTGTAGATAAACATTATAAGTTTACAGTTGTAAACAAAAACTTATTTGTAAACAGATGTTTACAGTTGTAAACTTATTATTAGTATGTATAGTGTAGTAAATTAAAAATTATATGTACTTTGAAGTTTTAAAAAATTGAGTTCATGTTATAGAACTAATTCCTGGTAAGCTTTTATGTGCTAGGCTCTAGTCTTTTCATTTATTTTTACTTTTTTTTTTCTCTGTGCCTATGCTTACCAAGTTTTTTTTTTTTAAATCTTTTTATTAACTCAATCCTCTTAATAACTTAAAAAATAGGTGCTATTATTATCTGCATTTTGTAGATGAGGTAACTGAAGCATACAGAAGTTAGTTAGATAACTTGTCTGAGGTGACAAGTGGCAGAACAAGGATTGGAACTAGACAGTCTGGCTGCCCTAGGCCCAACCAAGAGGAGCTGAGAGCAAGCCATGGGACATAAGGATGTTGTTCAGGCTGGTTTTCTTTTCAGTTAACCTGAAGCATAGGCTGTAATGTTAATTTTAGGACATTAGTGAGACAGCCTTCCAAAGCCGGAGGTTTGTTACCATGACTTTTAGCAAGAATTTGTGGTTTAAAGGCAAGATGGTGCTTTATGAAGCTTCCATTCACTATGGAGGGAATGGTAGTTGAGTTAAATAGTGAAATCCTGGAGCACACAGTCTTTAGGGCAGCTTCTGACCTATTTCTATGATCAGGAAAGGCATCTGTCTTTCCCTGCTGCCCATAACCTCCACTTATTCTCCCACAGAATCCCCTAGACTGTGATCACATTCAGAAGAGAGATCTGTTTTGTTTTTTCCAGGGTAGGAGGAAGTGAGTCACTACCTATACTAAGCAGTCTAGTCTTCTGTGTATAAATGAGCAAGGGTGGGGAGCCAGATCTCTTGGAGAATCTCAGGATTGTGCAAGATGGTAAAGTGGTCTCATGTTAGTTGTATCCACAGCTGTCATCAGAAGCAGACACAGATACTTTTTGTAGGAAAGCATCTCTAATTTAAGCCTGTAGGATTCCCAAAGATTAAAAGAATTCACTCAAATCATAGCATTCAAATAGTCAACCCAACATATTTGAGAATTGTCAGAAATAATAAATAATAGATATGTTTCCCAAGGACAGTAGGTTTTGGAATTATCAGATACAGAACACAGACTTCAGATATTAGAATTGTGAGAAAATAGTTATATGTGAAATCTAATATAAAGAAAAAAAGATGGAATCATAAAATTGAGCAAGCAGCAAGACCACCAGGAATGATGAAGAAGACCTGAAAAGAAAATGGATGAAATAGAACTTACAGAAATTAAAAAATGTAGATGGGTATGGTGGCTCACGCCTGTAATCTCAACACTTTGGGAGGCCGAGGCAGGAGGATGGCTTGAGCCCAGGAGTTGGAGACCAGCCTGGGGAACATGGTGAGAACTCGTCTACACAAAAAATACGCCCCCCACCCTAAAAAAACAATTAGCTGGGTATGGGGTACCTGTCTATAGTCTCAGCTACTCAGGAGGCTGAGGTGGGAAGATCACTTGAGCCCAGGAGACCGAGGCTGCACTGAGGCATGTTTGCGCACTCCAGCCTTGGTGACAGTGAGACTCTGTCTCAAAATAAAAAATGTAATTGTTGAAATAAGAAACTCAGTAGATTAGACACCAGAAGAGAATTAATTGATTAGATGATTATCTCAAAAAAATAAGTTAGAATGTTACACAGAGAGACATGAGGATAGATGATAGGGCAGAAGTTGGTGGGGTTGGTGGGGAGAGATCAGAATGAGGTCTAAAATATGTCTTAGTGGAATCCCAGGAGGAGATATTAGAATTACACTAGAAAGTGAGAGAAATAGAAGTTGTAAAGGTGATAGAAGCAAGTCTATATAAATCAGTCACAACAAATGTAAATGGACTAAAGTTACCAGTTAGATTGAATTAATAAAATCCAGCTGTTTTAATCTATATATTTAAAATATGAAGGTACAAAAAGGTTGAAAGTTTTTATAAAGGAGAGTGATAAAGATATGCCAGTATACATTAACTAGAAACAAATGATGCAGCTTTAGTATCAAACAAAATAGGATTCTGGAACAGAAAGCATTAGTAACAATTTGATAATAAGTGTTAATTAGGAGGATATAGCAATTTTTGTATTTTATGTACCTATCAGAATAGCCTCAAAATACCCAGGAAAAACTGATAAAACCACAGGGAGAAGTTGACAAGTCCACCATCACAGTTGGAGATTTCAACATACCCTGTGTACTACTAGTAAGATAAACAGAATGCCCATATGTAGATTTGAACAACCAGTGAACAGGCATGGTATAATAGACAAATATAGACCTCTGTACCCAATAATTAGATATAGATCGTTCTCAAGCATATATGGACTATGGGAGAAAAATTAATTATAGATCCATAAAATCAGACGATTTAAAAACAGTTGGTACCATACATACCATATAATTTAAATATGAAGCAATTAAGGTTAGAAGGCAATAATGAAGAGATTAACAAAAAGCTATGTGAATTTGGAAATTAAACACACTTGTAAATCATAGTTTTAAAAAGTAAAATGAAATTTTAAAATGCTTAGAATTGAACCATAATTAAAATTACTAAAATTCTATCTATTCCTTTCTCCCCTCCTCTCCCTCCCTCTTCCTGTCTGGAACATTCAAGAAGCTAATCTTTTTCAATGAACAACACTTCAAATACTGAAAAACAGAAAAGGACAGTGTCATTCTCTGATCTTAGTTAAATCTATAAGTTAATAATAAAACCAGAAAACAGATACTTCTTTCTGGAATTGTATAACTCATGCAAACAGCCTTTAGGTCAAACAGGGATTTGAAATTAAAACTGCAGAATATCTAGAGAATAGCAATAATGCAATCATTACTTATCAGAGACTAAAGGAGAGCTCAGAGGAATGTTCATTGCCAAATCCTTGTGCCATTAAGAAAAGAATGAAAATGAATCAAGCCTCTGATTGTTAGAAAGGACAATAAAAAAAACCTGAAGGAGGCCAGGGACAGTGGCTTACTCCTATAATCCTAGCACTTTGGTAGGCTGAGATGAGTGGATGGCCTGAGCTCAGGAGTTCGAGACCACCTTGGGCAACATGGTGAAACCAATCTCTGTAAAAAAAACAAAACAAAACAAAACATGAAAATTAGCTGGGCATCGTGGCAGGCGCCTGTAGTCCCAACTACTCAGGAGGCTGAGGTAGGAGAATTCCTTGAACCCAGGAGGTGAAGGTTGCAGTGAGCTGAGATCCAGCCACTGCACTCTAGTCTGAGTGACAGAGCAAGACTCCATCTCTTAAAAGAACCTGAAGGAAAGCAGAATGGGGAAATTATTAAAGATATACAAGCAGAAATCAGTGAGTTAGAAGAATAGGAAGGGCTAGACCCCCAGTACAGTAAAGTCTCTGCAGAAACATTTGTTTAAACTGGGCTTTTGAGTACCTTGCTACTGATAATTGAGACTGGGGAAGGCCAACATTCTTATTTTCTCCTTGTATTCTGGGTGGTGGGCAGTAGGGTTGGAAAGTGACTGCTTCACAGTCATTTGGGAGTTTCAGGGTATGTATAGTTTTTACGTCCAGTTTGTTTCTTTTATTTTTGTCCTTTTTGTGAAAGTACTAAAACAAAAACTTTTTTGCCTGTAATCCCAGCACTTTGGGAGGCCGAGGTGGGCGGATCACAAGGTCAGGAGATCGAGACCATCCTGGCTAACACGGTGAAACCCTGTCTCTACTAAAAATACAAAAAATTAGCTGGGCGTGGTGGCGGGCGCCTGTAGTCCCAGCTACTGGGGTGGCTGAAGCAGGAGAATGGCGTGAACCCGGGAGGCGGAGCTTGCAGTGAGCCGAGATTGTGCCACTGCACTCCAGCCTGGGTGACAGAGCGAGACTCCGTCTCAAAAAAAAAAATTTTGAGATGGAGTTTTGTTCTTGTTGCCCAGGCTGGAGTGCAATGGTACGATCTCGGGCTCACTGCAAACTCTGCCTCCTGGGTTCAAGCGATTCTCCTGCCTCAGCCTCCCAAGTAGCTGAGATTACAGGTGTGCTCCACCACGCCTGGCTAATTTGGTATTTTTGTAGAGACGGGGTTTCTCCGTGTTGGTCAGGCTGGTCTTGAACTCCCAGCCTCAGGTGATCTACCTGCCTCAGCCTCTAAAAGTACTGGGATTACAGGTGTGAGCCACCGTGCCTGGCCGGCTTTACTATTTTAAAGAGCTCTTAGATGTTGAAAAAGACTACCCTGTAGAAAAATAGGAAAAGTCCTTACATAAATTTAACATGTTAAAAAAAAATAGGAAAAGGGGGTATAAAAAGTCTGTTTACAGAAATAGAAATAAATGGCTCATGAACATAATGGAGACATGCTCAGTCTCACTCAATAGAAATACAAATCAAAACTATACTGGGAGTCCATCTAGTATATTGTCAGAAATCTACAAATGTTTGAAGTACTGCATTGGTGAGGCTGCATCGAGGCACTCTTACAGATGGCTGGTGGGCAGACACATTTGTGCAGTTATGTAGAGGGCAATTTAGCAATATCTCAGAATTACACATATATATCTTTTGACACAGCAGCTCTACTCTAGGACATTTTTACCAGTACTCAGCAGATATACGTACAAGGTTGCTCTTGGCAACATTATAACAGCAAAATATTGAGAAACCCTGATGTCCACCAATAGGGGACTGATTAAATATTTGAATATCCATATAATAGAAATATTTCAGTGTTTAAAACAGGTATGTTCTATACTGATAAGGAACATTCTCCAAGATATGCTAGACAAGAAAAGGGGCAGACCAGTGTCTGTAGCATGCAACTGTTAGTGAAGGAAAGCCAGGGACAGTGGCTAATAACAGTGGGCTGTACATGAATAATCTTAAAGAGGGACATACAAGAAATTAGTAATAGTGGTTAACTTGTGTGGAGGAAGGGGGATGAACGGGAGGAAACTGGGTGTTCAGGGCACCAAGTAGGAGGGAGAGTTTTCACTTAGGATGTAGACATTTTTGAGTCTTGTGCTGTGTGAATTTATTATGCAAAAATTTCTGCCACATAATATAGTGGATAGATGGGTACCACTATGGAGAGTGCTCCTGGTATATTAATTCGAAGCGAAGATATAGGTTGGTTGTACTTATGGTGACAAAATTAATCCTAGATTTGGCTCCTTAAAAAGATTGTATATTTTTATCAAAAGAGGGCTCCTTTAGTAAGCATGGTGACAATTATGGGCATTCTTTAGATTTCTAACTTAAAATGTCATTCATATGTATAGTTGTGGAAGCTTAATATTTTCTTATCTGAAAGTAATATTTTGTAGTTTTTTTAAAAATAGAAATTGTGTGAAGACAGTTTGAGTTTTATTAACATCCAGATATAATCCTTTAACTTGATTCAGCAATATGGAGACGGACTCTAGAACCAGAAAGCTTTGTACTTGTCCAATGGTAGGAAGACTTATAAAAATGAACTGTGAGGCTTGTTGAGTTTTATTGGGGTACAATTTTGGTTTTGTTATTTTTATAAAATTGTAGAGAATAATGAAACTGAGAAATGAGGCTATTAAGTTAAAATTGTTTTTGAAATGGAGATAGTCAGTTTCCCATGTTCTTTTAAGCACAGTGTGATGCATTCATAAATTTATTGTAATAATTTTCACCTAATTACACTTTTGATTTAAAATGTGTAATTCTCTTTCAGAATCAATATAATCTAGCAAGAGCCCAACAATCCTATAATTCCATTGTACAGATACATGAGAAAAATGGTATGTTTAATTCAATAAGTGTTTATTGCCATTTAAGAAGTTTTAGATAATGTATTAATACTTACCATTTTATTTTTCTGTTTTTGCTTTAGTTTCTTAAAATGCTGTTACCATGGTGAAAGAAACTTGTGCTGCATACAAAATCTTTATTTATTTATTTATTTATTTTATTTTATTTTATTTTATTTGTTTTTTGAGACGGAGTCTCGCTCTGTCACCCCAGCTGGAGTGCAGTGGCACTATCTCAGCTCACTGCCAGCTCCGCCTCCCAGGTTCATGCCATTCTCCTGCCTCAGCCTCCCGAGTAGCTGGGACTACAGGTGCCTTTTTTGTATTTTTAGTAGAGACCGGGTTTCCCTGTGTTAGCCAGGATGGTCTCGATCTCCTGACTTTGTGATCCGCCCGCCTCGGCCTCCCAAAGTACTGGGATTACAGGTGTAAGCCACTGCACCACAAAACCTTAACATTGTACTTCAGTCAAAATTTTTGTATCCTATACACTTGGCCTAGGTATCTCAGAGTCAGAATCAAGATTTCTTTTTTTTTTTTTTTAGTAGATTAATGAATGACTCACTTTACTTACTTGAAATATTAGGAACTGAGTTAAAGGCAACTCCTTACAGATGGAGTTCTTGTTGTTATAACTGGAGTGCAGTGGTTGTTTACAGGCGTGATCATAGTGGACTGCAGCCTCAAGTTCCTGGGCTGATGTGATCCTCCTGCCTCAGTCTCCTCAGTAGCTTGGACTGTAGGCACAAGCCACCATGCCTGTAAAGTATTCTTTACTTTGCTAGAAATGTGTCAGTTTGTGACTTAAGATTTGTGTTTTGTGCTCATTTATTTTAATGACAAAGCAAACTTGTCACTCTTTCAGTGATTGCTTACTTATGGAAATAGTATTCAAAACAAAATTTTCAAGCAGAAGAGAGAAACGATAAAATTTGAGGACAAGGCCAGGTTTTCATAATAATAATTTCTAGCACACAAAATTAGATCCAAAGAAACCTGTGTACTACTTTGATACTTTATAGATCTTGGCATATTCATACTATTCTAAAGTTTCATACTAAACAGTACTTAGTCTAATTTGCCTTTTTATAGAGAGCTTAGGTTTTTGCGGAACCTGGGACACAGATTTCTTCTTATCTTTGTTTTTATTTCTTAACCATTACAACTGGCATTCAAAAAATATTTATAGAAAATGCTGTATTTGAGAGTGTGTGGGTATGTGTAAGCTTAGCTGTGATGAAAGAGTAATAGAGTCAGAAGCAGGGGAGATGACTTCTAGGGTTTTGTTTTTTTTTAAATCTTAAAATTTTTTTGTTATTTTAAAAAAATAGATATTATACTTACTGTGTACAAAGTTTTGAAGTATACATAACTGTGGAATGACTAAATCTAGCTAATTAACCTAGGCATCACCTTACATAGTTATCATTTTTATGGTGAGACACTTTACATCCACTCTTAACATTTTTCAAGAATATAGTATATTGTTAACTATAGTCACCATGTTGTACAATAGCTCAAGATGGATTCTAGTTTGGCCTGCTACTAACTCTGATTTTAGGCATAGTCATTTAGTCATTGCACCTGCTGCGAT
This sequence comes from Homo sapiens, assembly GCF_000001405.40. Taxonomy (NCBI): domain Eukaryota; kingdom Metazoa; phylum Chordata; class Mammalia; order Primates; family Hominidae; genus Homo; species Homo sapiens. The sequence goes on from NC_000015.10 coordinate 75,898,665, forward strand.
GGCTTCCTTGTCATTGTGAAATGACGTTATGGCTCCGATAACAGTCCAAGTTCCTTGTATTCTAAATCGCCAGGATTTTGTTTGGGGAAATAAGTACTTTCCATGAGGCTTACTTTCAAGTATAGAACTGAAGTGGAATAAAACTTATTCTTTTAGTCTAATATTCCACAGTCATCTTTAGCTAGAGATGCCATTAATACAGAGCTCTTGTGTTGAAAACTCAGGTACAATTTATTCATAGAAAATAACTTTCTGTTGTGAAATAGCAAAATGCAGTGTTCCCAATCCAAGTGTAAGTTTAATTTTTAGAGTAGACTGGGTGCAGTGGCTCACACCTGTAATCCCAGCACTTTGGGGAGGTGGAGGTGGGTGGATCACCTGAGGTCATTAGTTGGAGACCAGCCTGACCAACATGGTGAAACCCTGTCTCTACTAAATACCAAAAAAAAAAAAAAAAAAAAATTAGTGGGGCATAGTGGCGCATGCCTATAATCCCAGCTACTTGGGAGGCTGAGGCAGGAGAATTGCTTGATCTGGGAGGTGGAGGTTGCAGTGAGCTGAGTTTGCGCCATTGCACTCCAGCCTAGGTAACAGAGTGAAACTCTGTCTCAAAAAATATATATATAATATATATATATATTTTTTACGGTAGATTTTAAACACCAAAATTATGAAAAGAGACTGTAGCTAACCTTATTACATGCCAGTTCTTCTAATTTATTTAAGAATTATTTTAACTTTTTTTTTTTCATTCTATTTCAGGCTGGTACACCCCTCCAAAGGAAGATGGCTAAATGTGTTGACTGTTGTATGTTTGGACTAATGTTGCTTTAAAGAAAATCTTTCTAACATGCAGACAAAAGCTTTGAGTGCCCCTATTACAGCAGTACCGAAGATGTTAGTTAATAGATATTTTAGTGGATAATCTGTCATCTGACATCCAGTATAAGTTACAGCCTTTGCATTTTGCTCATTTTAGATATCTTGGACTGAGCAGTGGGGCCTTTACTGTATTTTTCCTGATAAATACACATACTGGCCACTCCTTATCTCTTTTTCTTGAAAAGTGAACTTTTTAAAGCAGCCAAGTCAACATCAGGCTACTGAAGTTGAGGCTTTAGGGTAACTTTCCTATATTGAGCCCATGGGTTACAAGGATTTGCAATATATTGTTCCATTTACAGCCAATACAGGTTTAATCGATGTTCAATATTGGTTTAGGAAATTTAAGGCCTTCTAAATCATAATAGCTCTTTCATGTCTAAAACCATTTTATGATATTGCCAAAATGTGATAGGAAACCTACTCATTAAATTGTTAAACTTTTTAATGACTATGTGAAGATATGAATTGTTTCCTGAAGATAATACTCTTAATTGAGTTGTATTGTACTTCTTAGGCAAAGCAGTGTAAAACTGTATCAATTAAGGCTTGTGAGTAGTGATTTCCACTGGGGCATCAGAGTCTTGGCTGGGCTGAATCTGCTGCTTGTTGGTTCAGTGTTTCTTATGAACAAGAGCCACAGTACAGAGCTTCAAGTTATTTAAAATACTAAGTCATCTTACGTTTCCATTTTATTAACGGGATGTTGCAATCGTTTGTAAACTAATAAACTTATAAAGTGATTGGCACAAAGACTCCTTGAGCAAAAGCTGTGCAGTTAAGTACAAAAAGATACTTAATTTGGAGACTCTTACAGTAATTTTTGCCATGTCAAAACAATGGCTTTTACATTGAAAGATTAATAGAAACTCTACATATGTTAATTTTTTTATAGAACCTGACTCAAATCAAGGTACTCTCCATTTTATTGCCTTACCTGAATCAGTCCTTTTTGGTTGGTAATAGATTTTTTTATACACCCACGTTTGATTTAAAAGTAAATTCTAGTTCTTAAGCACTTTTAACAAATCCAGAAGCACATTTTTCTGCACAAACAAGTTACAAAGTTCAAAAGTGTTTCTTGTGCATTAGCTTTGAGATTCAGTTTTTAACTTTGTAAACCACATCTGAGAGACTTGTCATTTCTACATTGTGTGTGTTTAATTTCTTTTGATTCCATTTTGGTTAAGAGAGCAGTAAATAGATTTTCTGGTATTCTTGTTCACTTGATTACATTTGTATAAAGTTCTGATTGCCAGTTGCTCAGATAACAAGTGACAAGGCAGAATTCTTTAAATCAGTAAAGTTCCTTAAGCCTAAGGCTAAATCTTGAATACATTGTTGAATTCTTTAATATCCTGATGGCAAGCAGACTGATAGCTGCACATTTGGCATGCTTTGTTTAATGGATTTTATTTTTAATTGCAGATTTATTTGGCAATGTACAGTAAATTTTGTAAACTTGCATCAAGTTTATGAATAAAGAACCATTTAAAAATTTTGTTTGTGCTGATCATGGCAAGCAAAAAAAAGATTACTTTCTCATTTTTCCCTCATAAGAAAACTCTGCTTGATGTGTTTGTAGGCTTTATTGAGTTTCTGGAATAAGATATTTAAGGAGGGAAGTGGTGAGGGGAGGCTTGGAAGACAGGCAGATTTAACAAGAGAAAGTGAAAGTGTGAAAGAACCTGGAAATAGTCTGTACAATAGTCACCTTTTCCTCCGCCTTTTTCCTCTTCCATTCTCATTATAAATTCAAGTGCTACTTTTTCCTTATGGCTATCCTTAGTTCCCCCAGTGAAAATAATCTGCTCCTTCCTTAGCATACCCATGGCCTCCTTGCACACAATTGACAGATTATTTCACATACAAGAAGTCCAGAGGTAGGACAACTCCAGGTACTGTACATCTGGGCTTTGCTCTGCTTCCTTGAGATTTTTCTATGTTGGTTTCATCTTTTGGTTGCATGTTATGTGCAGCCCCCTTACTTGATCCAGAGGTAGATAAATGGCCCTGTCTTCTAGTGTCTCCTTAGGAGGTGAGGAAATCTCTAAAAGCACCATCCCATCAAGCACACTGCCTCTTGCCTTTCCTTGGCTACATCAGGGACCTGTGCCCACCCCTAAACCAATGGTGGTGAAAAGAATGAAACCATCGTGATTAGTTTGCACAAATGGTTCTCAAAGCCTTATTTGGGGAACACTGGAGACCCCTGAGACCATTTCAAGAGGTTTTAAAAGACTATTTTCATAATATTAAAACATTTGCCATTTTCACTCATTCTTCCATGTGTACAATGGAATTTTCCAGAGGCTACATGATGTGATTTTGCAACAGATTGAATTCAGAAGCAAATATGAGAATCTATTTGTCTTCTATTAAGACAAATTAAATATTTGCAAAAATGTAGTGATGCCGTCACTGGTAAACTGTCCTCTTTCCCTACTTTATATCAGCCACAAAGAAAGAACGCCCACTTTGAAAGGCAGTCAGGTTTCATTCAGTAGCCAGAGAATGGAGAAGGGGAGCTCATACTCTAAAGGCACCTTCTCCCAGAGGGATGGGAGGCTGGGGAGTTTAAAGAGTTAGCTGAGGGGCGGGGGAGGTATGAACGGCATGCACAGACTGGAGTTCCAGACAAGCAGGCATAGTCCCTGAACATGCTGCTTCATACATCCATGTTCGTAAGATGCCAGTGAGCTTTCTTTAGGGAGAGGATTTTAGCATTATGTTAATTATCTAAAGGTAACTGGAGGGCGCCTGTTTATCTTCCTCTGGTATTCCGCAAGGGGTCAGGAAGCTCTGGTGACATCTGGGCCATCTGGCTTCCTTAAGCAGCTGCGCCTATAAATAGACTATGGGAAAAAACTGGCTGGGCTTGGTGGCTCATACCTGTAATCTCAACGCTTTGGGAGGCGGAGGCAGAGGGATGTCTTGAGGCCAGGAGTTTGAGACCAGCCTGGGCAACATAGACCCTGGGTCTACCAAAAAAAAGAAAAAAACCACAGCTACTCAGGAGGCTTATGCCACTGACAATGTCATACTATCCACCAGTGGGGGAAGGAGGATTTGGGAAATAATTGTTTTCCATAAAAATATTTCGTTAATGTATAACATCGGTTTTTTAAAAAGAGTTAAGCATTAAGATGTTCTGATTTAATTTTTAATATGGTAAATATTGATAGTCATAACACACATAAACTATTGGTCGTGTCAATATTTTAGGGTGTAAAGGGTCCTGAGGCCATAATGAGAACTGCTAATTTAGACCAAGTTTCTGCCCAAGATCTGGCGATCAAATCAGGGCTCCCTTAGGAAGGAATTGGCGGGAGGAATGGATGTTAGGTGGGGACAAACCTGTGTCTGCTGTGCTTCCATTTCTTGGTGGTTCTCAGTTTGAGCATGCATCAGAATCGTCATAAAGTGTGTTAAAACAGATTGCTGGGCCTCACCCCCAGTGTCTGATTCAGGAGGTCTGGGATAAGGACCGGGAATGTGCTAAAACTTAGTAGTTTCCAGGTGAATCTGATGTCCCTGGCGGGGAACTGGTGCACAGCTTGGGGCGTGCTTCACAGCAATCATCTCACTCAGCTACCTTAGAATGGCAGGTGCTATTTATGCCATTTTACTCATTCGAAACTTTAAACCTGAAGATTACAACGAGTTAACTAAGTTTACAAGGAATAAAGGCAGTGATTTTCACACACTAAGACAATTTTTTAAAAGCAAACGTCCGTTTATAAATCGAGCTTATGCTATTTAAACAGGCATTGGGACTACGAAGAGCAATAAGTACTACCTAGTCCCTGCAAGGAATTTGTGAATTAGAGAAAGATGTAAACTCAGAAATATGGCGGTGCCAGGGCAGTGAGAGGCACAGGCACAGAAGAAGAATTTATTTTCACTGCAGGAGGCCTCCTAGAAAGTTGCCAGGAGCGGTGGCTTATGTCTGTAATTCCAGCACCTTGGGAGGCCCAGGCGGGAGTATCGCTTGAGCCCTGGAGTTTCAGACCAGCCTGGAAACCCGTCTCTACAAAAAATACAAAAATTAGCTGGGCGTGGTGGCGGGAGCTTGTAGTTAAAGCTACGAGGGAGGCTGAGGCGGGAGGATCGCTTGAGCCTGGGAGGTAGAAGCTGCAGTGAGCAGAGGCCGCGCCACTCCACTCCCGCCTGGCCACAGCATTAGACCCAATCTCAAAAATGAAGAAAACAGTTCCGAGCGTATTACGGAACGGAGTACACCTCGGAGTACGGGCTCCAGACGAGGGAACGCACCGGCGTTGCCACGCCCACCTTCCCCGTCCAGCCGGAAGTGGCGCGGACGCCTGCTCAGTGCGCGCCGGCCGGGCAACCCTATGCTGGCGTAATCGGGTTCCTCCGAGCCGCCGTAGGACTGGTTCCGGCGGGCTGGTGAGGAATGGAGCCGGTAGGCTGCTGCGGCGAGTGCCGCGGCTCCTCCGTAGACCCGCGGAGCACCTTCGTGTTGAGTAACCTGGCGGAGGTGGTGGAGCGTGTGCTCACCTTCCTGCCCGCCAAGGCGTTGCTGCGGGTGGCCTGGTGAGGAGAGGAGGCGGAGGCGGGAAGCTTGCCTGGGGACACGCCGTGGGCATGTCCCAGGCTGGCGGGGTGGGGGGAGAGACCCTTGGGACCCACCAGGGCCGTCCCCGGCTCGCTCGCCCTACCTGAGGTGACCCCCTACCCGCGAGGTATCTCCCAGCCGTGGTGCCCCGGGGGGACTTCCCTGAGGGGCGAAGTTCCCCTTAAGGTTTTCTCCATATCTGGCTCTTCTTCCGAACTAGCGCCCTGACTGACACCTACCTACCCCGGGGACTTTGGATCCCGCAGGGATCTCCTGCTGCTGCGCCAGCGGGTGGGGGTTTGTGAGCTGTGGGAGAGACGAAAATGAACGTCCGTTCGCAATCCTTTGTGCGTTTGCGTCCTCAGCGTGTGCCGCTTATGGAGGGAGTGTGTGCGCAGAGTATTGCGGACCCATCGGAGCGTAACCTGGATCTCCGCAGGCCTGGCGGAGGCCGGCCACCTGGAGGGGCATTGCTTGGTTCGCGTGGTAGCAGAGGAGCTTGAGGCAAGTAGCAAGGGGTGTCATGCACAGTCATTTGCAGGTTGGTGGTTCAGTCTTTGAGAACTATTTTTTTTTAAATCCCAGTTTTGTTAATTAAAGGAACATCTCGTTCCGTGAAAAGATTTTGTAAACATCAGTTTTAGTGACTACACGGTAAGGATGTGTCATGATTTATTTGACCGTTCATCAAATGTTGGGCCTTTTTTTTTTTTTTTGAGACGTAGTCTCGCTCTGTGGCCCAGGCTGGAGTGCAGTGGCGCGATCTCGGCTCACCGCAAGCTCCGCCTCCCGGGTTCACGCCATTCTCCTGCCTCAGCCTCCCGAGTAGCTGGGACTACAGGCGCCCGCCACCATGCCCAGCTAATTTTTTGTATTTTTAGTAGAGATGGGGTTTCACCGTGTTAGCCAGAATGGTCTCGATCTCCTGACCTCGTGATCCGCCCGCCTCGGCCTCCCAAAGTGCTGGGATTACAGGCGTGAGCCACCGCGCCCGGCATGTTGGGCCTTTTAAGTATCCACATTTTCACTATTAACAACAACGCTGTGCAGAACCTTCCCTTCACCTGCTTCCCTTGAAGCAACTTTTTGTTGTCTGTTTTACCGGGAAGACAACTGGGTGTGTCTTGCTCAGTGAGCACACCTAGAAAGCCAAGAACCAAAACTTAAAGCCAAATATTTCAACTTCTGATCCTGTACTCTTTTGCTTCTCTGGCCCCCAACTTCAAAAGGGGAGCCAACACCAGGAGAGATGAAGACTCGAACTGTGGAGTCAGAGGGGCTGCAGGGTGTACCATCTCTGGGGAGTGGAAGGGAACCATTTGACAGTAAAGTGCCAACCTGCTGCTCTGTCACTCTGTTTACTTTAGTACGGCTTACAGACAGACATAACTACGGTGCAGCCGTCACAATCAGGAAATTATCACTGATACATTTCTACCATTTTATCCTCAGACTCGGTTCAGATTTTGCCAGTTGTCCCAGTAAGGTTCTTCATGGCAAAAAGATCTGTTCCCAATTGCAATTTGCTCTGAGTAAGTCCTGTTTCTTTAATCTCCTTTGATCTGGAACAGTTTCTCAAGCTTTGCTTGATTTTTCCCAATCTTGACACTTAGGAAAATCACAGGCTATTTTGTAGAACATCCATCAATTGTGTCTTTGGCAGGAAATAATCACAGAAGTGATGCTGTGCTTTTTTCACGGCATACTTTAGGTGGCATGTGATTTCCATTCGTCTTGTTATTGGTGGTATTACCTTTGATTACTCAATTAAGGCGATGCTTGCCAAGTGTCTTCACTAAAATCACTCTTCTACTGTAATGATTGTTTTGTGAAGAGATCATTTGAAACTATGTAAATATCGTGTTTCAATTCATTTATTTATTTATATCTGTACACTCTCGGAGTCTTATTTAATTCAGTGGGATATAATCTGTTACTGTATTTTGGTGCTCAAATTACCCCTCTCACCCCCTAGTTTGGCTAGTAGGAGCTCCTTCAGGCTGGCTTCAGTGTCTTTTTAGAGATGACTCCATTATCTTTGAGCACTTTTCTTGTTTTCTGGCACAAGATGTTCTAAGCTTGTCTTGGGTTTTACCTGCCTTGGTCCTGGAATTGGCCATTAAGCCCTGGCTCCTTTTGATGGAGTGTGGTATTTAGAAATCAAGGTCTAGACTCTCTAAGTGTACTCCTTGCCATTGAGGGATTTGCTGCTCCAAAGCCCAGTCATTAGAGCCAAGGAATATAAGTATGTATATACATGCATGTGTATGTATATACATTAGTATATACATATACACACATTTACAATTATATTTCTATATATATGTGGAGGCTCATGAGTTCACACAGGTGCATCCTTTTCGAATCAAACGCAGGATGCTTTCTAGTTTTGTCTCTGCTCATATTTGTACCTCCCTTTTGGGCAAAGGGAAACCTGGTTCTCATCATTCTTAATGTATTTAGATATTACATCAATGCCCCATATGTAACCAATCTTCTGTTTCCCCCTTCCTTGGGTGGTCTTTCTCCTTACCTTGTTTGGGCTCTGGAACTCTCATTCCAGGGAGCTGGCCAGTATCCAAAGGCAGGCTTGTAGAAAACTTTTCTTCTCTGGCACTTTGTCTCAACTCTTCCCATTTTCCCAGAAGTTTATCATTTGGAAAAATTCAAAATGCAAGCAGATTTCCTCGAAAGTGTTCTCTGGAGCATCGTTTATAATAAGGGATACTAAAAACCTAATGTTAATCTAATAAATAAAGCTATTAAATTATAGACTGCAAATGCATTAATGACAAGAGAAAATGTTGATTTTAAAAGTGAAAACAGATTATGAAATTATATATTTAGTATCATCTGAATTATTAAAGACAAAAAAGGGAGAGTAGAAAAGAAAGCCAAAATGTTAGCTTTTTTTTCCATTTACTGTTTTTAAAAAGTTTTCTATGGTTTTTAAAAAGTTTTCAAATTTTTACCACAGCAGGCATGATTTTTCTATAGCTTTAAGAGTTTATACATTGTAGTGGCTGTTAATAGCCAGACAGACTTAGTTGTGAACCATAGCTTTGGCATATACCAGCGGTGTGACTTTGAAAAAGCTACTCAACCTCTCTGAGCCTCAGGTGCTATCTCCATAAAATAAAAAGAAAAATAATAATTTTCCTATGCCCTTATAGAGTTGTTGTGAGGATTAAATAATGAAAAGGTAATGCATATAAACATTACTTACAATACCAGGAGCATAAGTTCTCAATAGATGTCTATTAAATATTCTTTTATTAGTATCATTATTAAAGTTCACATAGTTATAGTAATGCCCTTAGAGGAGTTCCTCCATTGTAGTAAACTGCTGGTGAGACAAAAACATGAAAACTCTATCCAAATCATACGTGCTGTTTATTTGTGTTTTCCAAGTTATCTAGTGGACATGGGTACTTTTATAGCCATAAAGAAAGTTGATTTAACTTTTCTATTAGAAATATTTTAAAGTCCGCCAGGCATGGTGGCTCATGCCTATAATCCCAGCACTTTGGAAAGCCGAGGCAGGCAAATCACTTGAGGTCAGGAGTTAGAGAACAGCCTGGCCAACATGGTGAAACCCCGTCTCCACTAAAAAAATATAAATATTTAAAAATATCAAATATATAAATAAAAATATTAAAGTACAAAAGTTGGCTGGGCATGTTAGTGCAAACCTATAATCGCAGCTACTTGGGTAGCTGAGGTACCAGAATCGCTTGAACCAGGGAGATGGAGTTTGCTTGAGCTGAGATTGCACCACTTCACTCCAGCCTGGGTGATAAAGAGTGAGACTGTGTCTCAAAAAAAAAAAATTTTTTTAAAGTCCACCAAAAGCTTTATAAAACAGCTTGCCATTTGTAACTTCTTTGAACAGTGGAATGTGGTGTCAGCTGTCTTAACTGTGCTTTGAGAACATTTCATATTGAGGCTTGTTATGTCACTACTTCTAGTGTGAATTAGGAAGGAAAATTCAGCAGTTGCTTTTCAGTGGATGCCTCATAAACTCTCAGGACCAGACTTTTAATACTTGTTCAGGAGTAAGAAACCTGAGGCCTAAAAGCTTGCTGAGGGTTATTCTGCTGGTTTGTGGCAGAGTTGCCACTAAGACCTAAATCTGTTTTTTGTTTTGTTTGGTTTTTTTTTTTTTTGAGACAGAGTCTCGCCTGTCGCCCAGGCTGGATTGCAGTGGCCCGATCTTGGCTCAGTGCAACCTCCACCTTCCTAGTTCAAGTGATTGTCCTGCCTCAGCCTCCTGAGTAGTTGGGACTACAGGCGCATGCAGCCATACCCGGTTACTTTTTGTATTTTTAGTAGAGATGGGGTTTCACCATGTTGGACAGGCTGGTCTCACCCTGGCCTCAGGCAATCCACCCACCGTGGCCTCCCAAAGTGCTGATATTACAGGCGTGAGCCACTGTGCCTTGCCCGTAAATCTCTTTTTCTGTCTCCTTTACTCACTATACCAGGCATCACAGATTCAGATGACTCGAAGGTCAGGCAGGTAGCTGAAGAGGGTCAGGTAGCTCAATAGTCGTAGCACCATGGCAGTCTGGAAAGGCTTGCCTCCGTTTAGCCTTAGTTAAGAGGCACGTAGTCTAAGTGTTGCCAAAATGTCCAGTTTTTAAAAAGAATCTGGAAATCCACATTTTATGTAAAAATTCGGTGGAATTTTGAACATTGGCATTCAGTTTACATTTTCTGAAAATGCTGTGTGGACCAAGGAAACTATATCCGTAGGTCTTGGGCAGCCCTGGGCCCCACAGGCCATCATGCTATCTGTCTCTTTTATTAGTTTATCTATGTAGAATGTATTCTGAAACATCTTGGCATTCCCTCAAATTATAATGGACCAACTTTTTTTTTCCATTTAACTAACAATGAGGCTTTGCTATATCCTAAGTACTTCATTTTATTCTGGTAGTAAAAAATATTTGAAAATAGCTAGCTTGGAAAAATATATCATCCTTTTCATTTAATTCAGCTGCTTTGCCGCTTGTCTTCAATTGGAAAGTTTAGTTGAAAACAGGTGAGTCTGAATAAGCCCAGCTCATAGGGGAGATAGGGGACAAATAAGATTAACTAGGGGTAAGGGATGTTGCATCTGAGGTCCAGAGTACTGAGGGAGTTTAGGAAAAGGTTTTGGAGAGGAGGTGGCACTTAAGGTGTCTCTAGAGGGAAACAGTCTTAAGTTCCACAAGAACAGAGCAATAGAACATATGGGGAAGTCGGTGTGTCTGGATAATATTAATAGTAAGCTAAGGGGCCCTGAAGGAAGCCTTGCTGGCAAGCCTGGAAATGGAGGCTTGGAGTATTTGATTTGATAAGCAGTGAAAAGGGAGTGATACAGCCTGTATACCTTCCCCAGTGCTGAGATTTTTCTGATACTGTGATGCCTGTTCAAATAAAGCAAGTGCATCTTTTGCTGGTACTTGATGTTTTTGTTCTAAGAGCTTCAGTTATCATTATGAAAATGAACTTTTTGAGGGCTGGAATGAAGAAATTATAGGTGTTTAGTAAATGAACTGAAAATGAAAGAGCATGAGTGAAAAGTAAATGAGAAGTAGATTGACTCAGAATGCCAACATTGACCTGAAAGAAGGTAGGGTACCAGCAGTTTGGATGGGGTGATACTTTTTTTTTTTTTTAAATTTCTGCGATACATGTGCAGAACATGCAGGTTTGTTACATAGGTATACACGTGCCATGGTGGTTTGCTGCACCCATCAACCCGTCATCTACATTAGGTATTTCTCCTAATGCTATCCCTTCCCTAATCTCCCACTCCCTGACAGGCCCTGGTGTGTGATGTTCCCTTCCCTGTGTCCATGTGTTTTCATTGTTCAACTCCCACTTATGAATGAGAACATGCAGCATTTGGTTTTCTGTTCCTGTGTTAGTTTGCTGAAAATGATGGTTTCCAGCTTCATCCATGTCCCTGCAAAGGACATGAGTGCATCCTTTTTCTATGGCTGCATAGTGTTCCATGGTGTATCTGTGCCACATTTTCTTCATCCAGTCTATCACTGATGGGCATTTGAGTTGGTTTCAAGTCTTTGCTATTGTGAATAGTGCTGCAGTAAACATGCATATGCATGTGTCTTTATAGTAGAATGATTTATAATCCTTTGGGTATATACCCAGTAATGGGATTGCTGGGCCAAATGGTATTTCTCTTTCTAGATCCTTGAGGAATCACCACACTGTCTTCCACAATGGTTGAACTAATTTGCACTCCTACAAACAGTGTGAAAGTGTTCCTGTTTCTCCACATCCTCTCCAGCATCTGTTGTTTCCTGACCTTTTAATGATCGCCACTCTAACTGGCATGAGATGGTATCTCATTTTGGTTTTGATTTGCATTTCTCTAATGACTAGTAATGATGAGCTTCTTTTCGTATGTTTGTTGGCCACATAAATGTCTTCTTTTGAGAAGTGTCTGTTCATATCCCTCGCCCACTTTTTGATGGGGTTGTTTTTTTCTTCAAATTTATTTAAGTTCCTTGTAGATTCTGGATATTAGCCCTTTGTCAGATGGATAGGTTGCAAAAATTTTCTCCCATTCTGTAGGTTGCCTGTTCACTCTGATGATAGTTTCTTTTGCTGTGTAGAAGCTCTTTAGTTTAATTAGCTCCTATTTGTCAATTTTGGCTTTTGTTGCCATTGCTTTTGGTGTTTTAGTCATGAAGTCTTTGCCCATGCCTATGTCCTGAATGGTATTGCCTAGATGTTCTTCTAGTGTTTTTATGGTTTTAGGTCTTACATTTAAGTCTTTAATCCATCTTGAGTTAATTTTTGTATAAGGTGTAAGGAAGGGGTCCAGTTTTAGTTTTCTGCATATGACTAGCCAGTTTTCTGAACACCATTTATTAAATAGTGAATCATATTCCCATTGCTTGTTTTTGTCAGAGTTGTCAAAGATCAGATCGTTGTAGATGTGTGGTGTTATTTCTGAGCCCTCTGTTCTGTTCCATTGGTCTGTATATCTGTTTTGGTACCAGTACCATGCTGTTTTGGTTACTGTAGCCTTGTAGTATAGTTTGAAGTCAGGTAGCATGATGCCTCCAGCTTTTTTCTTTTTGGTTAGGATTGTCCTGGCTATACAGGCTCTTTATTGGTTCCATATGAAATTTAAAGTAGTTTTTTCTCACTCTGTGAAGAAAGTCAGTGGTAGCTTGATGGGGATAGCATTGAATCTCTAAATTACTTTGGGCAATATGGGCATTTTCACGATATCGATTCTTCCTATCCTTGAGCATGGAATGTTTTTCCATTTGTTTGTGTCCTCTCTTATTTCCTTGAGCAGTGGTATGTAGTACTCCTTGAAGAGGTCCTTCACATCCCTTGTAAGTTGTATTCTTAGGTATTTTATTCTCTTAGTAGCAATTGTGAATGGGAGTTCACTCATGATTTGGCTTTCTGTTTGTCTGTTATTGGTGTTTAGAAATGCTTGTGATTTCTGCACATTGATTTTGTATCCTGAGACTTTGCTGAAGTTGCTTATCAGCTTAAGGAGATTTTGGGCTGAGATGACTGGGTTTTCTAAATATACAATCATGTCATCTGCAAACAGAGACAATTTGAATTCCTCTCTTCCTATTTGAATATGCTTTATTCTTTCTCTTGCTTGATTGGCCTGGCCAGAACCTCCAATACTATGTTGAATAGGAATGGTGAGAGAGGGCATCTTTGTCTTGTGCCAGTTTTCAAAGAGAATGCTTCCAGCTTTTGCCCATCTAGTATGATACTGGCTGTGGGTTTGTCATAAATAGCTCTTATTATTTTGAGATACGTTCCATCAATACCTAGTTTATTGAGAGTTTTTAGCATGAAGGGGTGTTGAATTTTATCAAAGGCCTTTTCTGCATCTATTGAGATACTCGTGGTTTTTGTCATCGGTTCTGTTTATATGATGTATATGTTTATATGACGTGTATTGATTTGCATATGTTGAACCAGCCTTGCATCCCAGGGGTGAAGCCGACTTGATTGTGGTAGATAAGCTTTTTGATGTGCTGCTGGATTCGGTCTGCCAGTATTTTATTGAGGATTTTCATATCGATATTCAGGGATATTGGCCTGAAATTTTCTTTTTTTATTGTGTCTCTGCCAGGTTTTGGTATCAGAATGATGCTGGTCTCATAAAATGAGTTAGGGACGAGTCCCTCTTTTTCTGTTGTTTGGAATAGTTTCAGAAGGAATGGTATTAGTTCCTCTTTGTACCTTTGGTAGAATTCGGCTGTGAATTCGTCTGGTCCTGGGCTTTTTTTGGTTGGTAGGCTATTAATTACTGCCTCAATTTCAGAACTTGTTATTGGTCTATTCAGGGATTCGACTTCTTCCTGGTTTAGTGTTGGAAGGGGGTATGTGTCCAGGAATTTATCCATTTCTTCTAGATTTTCTAGTTTATTTGCATAGAGGTGTTTATGGTATTCTCTGATGGTAGTCTGTATTTCTGTGGGATCAGTGGTGATATCCCCTTTATCATTTTTATTGTGTGTGTTTGATTCTTTCCTCTTTTCTTTTTTGTTAGTCTGGCTAGCAGTCTATTTTGTTAATCTTTTCAAAAAACCAGCTCCTGGATTCATTGAGTTTTTGAAGGATTTTTCTTGTCTCTATCTCCTTCAGTTCTGGTCTGATCTTAGTTATTTCTTGCCTTCTGCTAGCTTTTGAATTTGTTTGCTCTTGCTTCTCTAGTTCTTTTAATTGTGATGTTAGGGTGTCAATTTTAGATCTTTCCTGCTTTCTCCTGTGTGCATTTAGTGCTATAAATTTCCCTGTAAACACTGCTTTAGCTGTGTCCCAGAGATTCTGGTACATTGTGTCCTTGTTCTCATTGGTTTCAAAGAACCTCTTTATTTCTGCCTTTATTTTGTTATTTGCCCAGTAGTCATTCAGTAGCAGGTTGTTCAGTTTCCATGTAGTTGTGTGGTTTTGAGTGAGTTTCTTAATCCTGAGTTCTAATTTGATTGCACTATGGACTGGGTGATACTTCAAGGGACTATGCAGAAGCACTGATGGATTCATGGGATCCAATTCCAATTTTTTTTTTTTCTTTGCAGAATGTTCGCATCTTACCACATACAGTTCTTTACATGGCTGATTCAGAAACTTTCATTAGTCTGGAAGAGTGTCGTGGCCATAAGAGAGGTAAATATCAAAAGAAAAGCTTTTGCTTCTGTTTTTTTATCATGTGCCTTCCGTTCGGAGTTCAATATTATACTTGTCCTGAGAGTTAACTGACTTTCTGAGGCTCTGGGACTGCCACCTGTAGTATGCATCAATATATCTATCTTTGAACCTTGAGGAACCCTTTCTGCTTCAGATTGATTTCTAAACCTTGTAGTGCAATTGAAACAAATTCGTTAGAAAGGTGTTGTTCTCAATTTGAGATGCTTTAATTCTCCAGGCACTTTTTATTATTAAAACAGGTTGTATGACTTGGCTATTCAGGCCTTTTACTGTATTGGAACATGAGGTCCCATTTACTAAAGTTATGTAGAGAAATGGTGCATTTTTGGCTTGCTGAGGGAAAAGGCAGAATGGGTATCCAAGATGCGCACACTCAGGTCCCAAGTTAGACTTAGATAATGGATTCTCATTGTCTAATTTGATCCAGGTGACTGTTGATGCAAATAGTAGTTATACTGCAATATCAGCTGAACAGAAAGGTACAATAGCAAGTCTAAAATTCAGCTGTTACTGCTAAATTTGACATCACTGGGGCAAAAGCAATATATGAACAGAGGGGAAAGGCAGACTAGTGGTGCAAAAGATCAGATTTATAATTTAAAAGCCAGGACCAAAACAGGTAAAGTGTTTGTTTTAATCAATGCTTTTAGACCTTTATTTAGAGCATTCTCGTGTTAAATGACTTAAATATTTCCAGTATTTGCTTTTTTACTTTTTCATTCTCAGATTTGACTTTAAATGGATGATATTTATCATTTTGCTACTGTATTTTTACAGCAAGGAAAAGAACTAGTATGGAAACAGCACTTGCCCTTGAGAAGCTATTCCCCAAACAATGCCAAGTCCTTGGGATTGTGACCCCAGGAATTGTAGGTGAGATAAATTAGCAACTTGATGATTTCTTCCTTGCATTAATGTGGGGTCCTTTGGATTGGTGAGTTATTTTTAGCTTAGAACCACATTTCTATTTCTGTCCATCTAAAATACAATAAAGTCAGTCATATTTACCATGGCATTATATTTGCCTTATATTAATGTTTATTAAGTTATTGTACTTCTCATCTCAAGGTTACCTGTATAAATATCCAGTAGTCATTCATAAGAGGGGAATGATCTCATTCTGCCTTCCTCCAAATTAGGAAGTATTTGTGGGCATTTTCAGAGTTTTGTCAGTTCAAGCAGTATTGTGTTTGGTGGGTAGGGGTGAGATGGGGCTGGGATTAGGAGCAAAGCTGGGCCTTACTAGGAGACTTCTGTTTCTCTGCTTTGGTACCACTCTTCAATGTTTACAGCATGAGGTTGTGCCCCTTTCCATGCTTGATTGCTGCTGGTGAATTTTTGCTGGTTTTTATTATTTTTGATTCTTTTCTGTAGTTAACTGGGGGAGGAGAGATTCTGTTGAGGCAGTAATGGTGCAATGGTTAGATACCTGGATTCGAATGCCGGCTGTACCGCTTAGTATCTGTATGACTTTGAGCAAGTTACCTAACTTCATGGGGCTTCACTGTCCTCATCAAGGAAGTGGGGATGATGACAGTAGTACCTTCCTTGGAGGGTTGTGAGAATTAAATGAGTTAACACTTGTAAAGCATTTACAATAGAGATACACAAAGCAGTAAGTAAATGTTAGCTGTCATTTATGTATTGTTTTTGAGATGGAGTTTCACTCTTGTCACCAAGGTTGGAGTGCAATGGCGTGATCTCTACTCACTGCGACTTCTGCCTCCTGGATTCAAGCAATTCTCCTGCCTCAGCCTCCCAAGTAGCTGGGATCACAGGCGCCCGCCACCACCACACCTGGCTAATTTTTGTATTTTTAGTAGAAACCGGGTTTCACCATGTTGGCCAGGCTGGTCTCAAATTCCTGACCTCAGGTGATCCACCGCCTCAGCCTCCCAAAGTGCTGGGATTACAGGCATGAGCCACTGCACCTGGCTGCTGTTATGTTTTTTTGTTCCAACTCAGTAGTACTCTACTGAGAATTGTCATTTTTAATCTTCACTGAAAGATTTTTGATCTGAATTTGAGTCTTATACAGTGAGGTAAAAAGAATTTTACATGTTTACAAATGAATATTATTTGTTCAGTTGCTCTAGCTGTGGTTTCTAAAGGGCTTAACATTTTTTTAAAAAAAAGAGTTTATTTCTTTTTGGCCTGGCGTGGTGGCTGACACCTGTAATCCCAGCACTTTAGGAGGCCGAGGCAGGCGGATCACTTGAAGTCAGGAGTTGGAGACCAGCCTGGCCAACATGGCAAAACCCCATCTCTACTAAAAAATGTAAAAATTGGCCAGGCGCAGTGGCTCACGTCTGTGGTCCCAGCACTTTGGGAGGCCGAGGTGGGTGGATCATGAGGTCAGGAGTTCAAGAGCAGCCTGGCCGACGTGGTGAAACCCCATCTCTACTAAAAATACAAAAATTAGCCAGGCATGATGGCGGGCACCTGTAATCCCAGCTGCTCAGGAGGCTAAGGCAGGAGAATTGCTTGAGCCCGGGAGGCAGAGGTTGCAGTGAGCCGAGATCACGCCATTGCACTCCATCCTGGATGATAGAGCAAGACTCTGTCTCAAAAAAAAAAAAAAAGCTAAAATTAGCTGGGCATGGTGGCTCATGCCTGTAATTCCAGCTACTTGGGAGGCTGAGGCAGGAGAATTGCTGGAAACCGGGAGGCAGAGGTTGCACCACTTCGCTCCAGCCTGGGTGACAGAGTAAGACTCTGTCTCCAAAAAAAAAAAAAAAAAAAAAAAAGTTTATTTCTTTTTTTATACTAGTAATAGTTATTTTTAGAAAAAAAAAATTAGAAGATTCAGATAAGCAAAAGCACCTTTAAGCACCACAGAGTTAACCACTCTTATGATGTTAACCTCTATTTATATATGTATGTAAATATAAAAAACCAGAATACAATTTTCTGTAGACTTGTAACCTACTGTGTTAGTCTACTAGGGCTACCATAACAAAATACCACAGACTGGGTGACTTAAACAACGGAAGCTTATTTTCTCACAGTTTGGGAGGCTAGAAGTCCAAGATCGGGGATGGTCTCTCTGAAGCTTACTTACAGCTGCTCTCTCACTGTGTTCTCATGTGGCCTTTTCTTCATACATAAGCATGCTTGGTGTCTCTTCCTCCTCTTCTCAGGACACTAGTCCTGTTGGATTAGGGTCCTACCCTTGTGACCTCATTTAATCTTAACTATCTCTTTAAAGGCCTTATCTCCAAATATAGTCACATGGGGGGTTAGGGCTTAAACATGAATTTGGGGTAGGCAGTAGGGAGGGAATGACACAGTTCAATCTGTAATATCTACCTGTAAAATTCAGAGCATATTACAAACATATTTCCATGTCTATAAATATATATTTGTCATCATTTTAATGGCTATATTCTATGATACCAATGTAACTTTTAATCTGAATACCAGTGTGGGACATTCAGGTTTTTTCTTTTTATTTTCTATTTGAAATTATGTGATAAAATACTTGGGTATATATATACTTTATATAATTGTCAAATATTTTTAGGGTAAACTTTTAAAAATTGGAATTGCTGTGAAAGTGTATTTACTACCCCCCCAACTTTTTAATTTGAAAAATATGGAGAAGTTGAAAGAATAATAGAACAGCATGATAAATACCCATATACCCTTTATCTAGTTTAGCAGTTGAAAAAATTTTGCAACATTTATTTTTTCTCACTTTGCTTATAAAAAATTTCTTTCTGAACCATTTGAAAGTTAAATGGCAAACATCATGACACTACACCCTAAAACTGTCAAAGCTGAAAAACTTTTACTCAGATAGTGGCTTGTTAGCTTAATGATTATCTTAGTGACCTAAACTGTAGTTATCTAGTTTTTACTGACTCTATTGGTGAAACTGTTTAACTTTTTCTCTAGTGACTCCAATGGGATCAGGTAGCAATCGACCTCAGGAAATAGAAATTGGAGAATCTGGTTTTGCTTTATTATTCCCTCAAATTGAAGGAATAAAAATACAACCCTTTCATTTTATTAAGGATCCAAAGAATTTAACATTAGAAAGACATCAACTCACTGAAGTAGGTAAGTTACTTTTATTTATCATTAACTGCTCATTTTATTGATTAATTTTGTTTTCTTTTTAATTCTGGCTAGTTGGTGGATATTAGGTTCCTTTGGGAGAATCTGAATTAAGTACACCTGTCACTGGAGATGTGGCTAATTCAAACAGGTGATTCACAGAGGCCAGTGTGATACATGTTTGGTAGAATTGATTTACTTTTTAAATTATTTTACTTGCATTAAAGCCCAAGAGAACCAGAGATGAAAAATTTTTCATAAATACTCTGTTGATGATAAACTTGTTTGTATTTAGTTCTGAATTTTAAGGAATTCTTGCTCTAATAGTTTATTTCATTTTGCTCTATTTTTGTTTTGTTAACCTTTTTTATTCTAGTAACAAGCATTTTAGAAGTTTTTAGAATACGCGGGTTAGTTCTTTGTGAACTAATTAGAAAGATGGGAACAAGTAAAGTGACCCTGATGAGTCTTAGGAAATATATGAGTTAAGGCAAGTCTATCAAGCAAGGGGTGTGCTGGGAAACATCCTGCAGGTAGTGTGGATGGAGCCCTGAAGTGAATTTGAAGAGGTAAAGGGTTGGCTTAATGTCTAAGCTTGGATGGGAAAGCTTAACTTAATATAGTAAACAACAAACGAATTACTCAAGGAAAGCAGCGTTTAGCCTTTTATCTACATCTGCAGATGGACTGATTGAATTCACTTCATTCATTAAAAATCACTGTTGGCATAAAAACTATTCAGTGGTAACACCTCATTTTTGCATAGATCAGCCAGCCTATAGAGATAAACCTCTGTTATTTGAAATGGGACTTAAACCAGCTGGAGTAAAAAATTGTGTAGCAGCAAAGGTAAAATTTGTTTTACTGATGAGGAAAAAAAGGGGGTATACACATTGAGACTAGTTTTTACAACTATCCCTGACAATGTGGAAAAAAAAAAAAAACTTGCAAGTCATTGGTGGATGGGAGGGGAAGCACAGAACAAGAGGCATTAGCAGCAAAGACTCAGCCGGGAACCTCTTAATAATGTGGAAGAGGGTGGTCAGGTCAAAGTAGATGGTGGAAAGTCTCAACAGCCAGCTCTGGTGTGACACAGGGTAGTGTAGCTATTAAGAATGCTGACTTAGAAATGAAATCAGTATGTTGAAGAGATATCTGCACTCCCATGTTTATTGCAGCACTGTTCACAATAGCTAGGATATGGAATTAACCTAAGTGTCCATTAGCTGATGGTGGATAAAGAAAATGTGGTATACATACATAATGAAATACTCTTCAGCCATAAAGGACATCCTGTCATTTGCACCAGCATGGATGAACCTGGAGGATGTTAAGTGAAATAAGCCAGGCCCAGAAAGACAAATAGTGCATGATCTCACTCATGTGTGGAATCTAAAAATGTTGCTCTCATAGAAATATAGAGTTGAATGGCAGGCACCAGGATCTGGGGTGGTTGGGAGGGGCTTTGGGGAGATGATGGTCAAAAGATACAAAATTCGTTTTGGAGGAATAAGTTCTTGAGGTCTGTTGTACAACATGGAGACTATAGTCAGTGACCATATATTCTTTTTTTTGTTTGTTTTGGAGACAGAGTCTCACTTTGTTGCCCAGGCTGGAGTGCGGTGGCATGATCTCAGCTCACTGCTACTTCTACTTCCTGGGTTCAAGGGTTCAAGTGATTGTCATGCCTCAGACTCCCGAGTAGCTGGGACTACATGCTGTATGCACCACCATGCCTGGCTAATTTTTTTTGTCTTTTTATTAGAGATAGGGTTTTACCATGTTAGCCAGGGTGGTCTCAAACTCCTGGCCTCAAGTGATCCACCTGCCTCGGCCTCCCAAAGTGCTGGGATTACAGGTGTGAGCCATCGTGCCTGGCCCATATACTATATTCTTGAAGAATGCTAAGAGAGTGACTGTTAAGTGTTCTTACTACAAAAATGGTAACTGTGAGATAATGCATATGTGAATTAGACTTAGCCCTTCCACAATGTATATATACTTCAAAACATGTTATACATTGATAAATACATACAATTTTATCTGTCAGTTAAAAAATAAATAGAAGGTAGTCAACCTTAAAAGATTGCAGGCTTGTAGCTACTCTAGTTCTGCTACTTTCTGGCTCTCCAGTTAGGGCAAGTTTTTCAATTTTTCTAAACCTCCATTTTCCTCATCTATAAAGTGGAAATAACTAACATTGAATTCACAGAATTGTGAAGATTAAATGAAATGACTTTCATAAAACGCTTAGCAACAGTAGATTGTAGCTAGATGCTAGTGTTGGCCTCCACCCTAGGCAGGCTTTACTGTGTGTCACATGGGCCCTTCATCTGCAGTGTGGCCTTGTAGTTTGTGGGGGGAATAGTAGGGTTCTAAGTGTCCTTAGCTCATTCAGAAGCCACATGCCAGAGGAGCATACATGTGTCTGGGCTTGAAGTGACAATTAACGATGGCCAATGTTTATGGAGGTACTGTATGCCAGATACTGTGCTGCGCAGCACTTCTAATCTTCACCACAGCTTTGCCAGACAGAATTCTTTATGGAATATTTTTGATGAGGAAACTGAACTTTAATGGCAGTAGAGAGTTAAGGCTCTTAGGGTATGTAAATAGCAGAGTTAGCAGAAATGTTAAAGCTATTCTAAATTAAGGATGCCAAACTTCCTTTGGGAAAAGGTCAGATAGTGCCCTTAAAACTGACCCATTGTTAAGTGTAAAGGCAAAATGAATTTTAGGAGCAAATGTGGCTATGTGCTGAGCTTATGTGATTTTGTAATAACATAATGAGACTTGATATTGGTAGGCTAGCTGGAGCGAACAAAGTTCAGCAAACTAGGTCTTTTTCAGAGTTGGTCAGGTGGTTAGCAAATAGTAGGTCTGAAACTCAAAGGAATGGCTGTGGTCAGACATGTTGGTTTGAGAACCATTTTGTGTGTTGCCTGGCAGTCTGCCTGTAAAAGCATCAAGTGTCATTGAAGGCCTTGGAGTAAGCCAGTCCAGGGCAACATAGCCCAGATTCTGGGAAGATTTATGGCAGCAAATTTAGTACAAGGAAGGAAGAAGATGATCAATGTGTTGATGTTGACGAGATGACTATCTATATTCAATTGGCTCATAATGTAGAACTCCTACATTAATTTTATTCAGGCTGGTATGGTGGCTCATGCCTGTAATTTCAGTACTTTGGGAAGCTGAGGCGGGAGGATCGCTTGAGCCCAGGAGTTCGAGACCAGCCTGGACAATATAGTGAGACCTCACCTCTACAAAAAAACTAAAAAACTAGCCAAGCATGGTGGCACGCACCTGTAGTCCCAGCTACTTAGGAGGCTGAGGTGGGAGGATTGCTTGAGCCCAAGAGGCGGAGGTTGCCGTGAGCTGAAGTCACGCCACTCTACTGCAGCCTGGGTGACAGAGTGAGACCCTGTCTCAAAAATAAATAAATAAATAAAAATTTATTCAGCATGTTAAAGGTGACATAACTGGATGTAGATTCTGTCTCAGTGACATTCCAGAAAAGGTATGAAGAATACATATACAGTCATATGTTGCTTAATGACGGGGATGAGTTCTGAGAAATGCATCTTTAGGCAATGTTGTTGTTGTGTGAATGTCATAGTACTTACACAGACCTAGATGTTACAGCCTACTATATGTGTAGGCTATACAGTGTAGCCTATTGCCCCTAGACTACAAACATGGACAGCATGTTACTGTACTGAATACTGTAGGCAGTTGTAACACAATGGTAAGTATTGGTGTATCTGAACATATCTAAACATTAAAAAGGTACAGTAAAAACATGGTATGAAAGACAGTATACCTCTATAGGGCACTTAACATGAATGGGACTTGCAAGACTAGAAGTTGGTGTGGGGTGAGTCAGTGAGTGGTGAGTGAATGTGAAGGCCTAGCCCTGTATACTACTATATAGTTTATAAACACTGTATGCTTAAGCTACATTAAATTAATTGAAACATTTTTGTTTGGCCGGGCACAGTGGCTCATGCCTGTAATCCCAGCAGTTTGGGAGGTCCGAGGTAGGTGGATCCCTTGCGATCAGGAATTTGAGACAAGCCTGGTCAACATGGTGAAACCCCATCTCTACTAAAAATACAAAAATTAGCTGGGCATAGTGGTGTGCGCCTGTAGTCCCAGCTACTGTAGGCTGAGGCAGGAGAATCGCTTGAACCTGGGAGGCAGAGGTTGTAGTAAGCCAAGATTACACCACTGCACTCCAGCCTGGGCGACAGCGAGACTCTATCTCAAAAAAATAAAATAAAATTGTTCTTTAATAATAAATTAACTTTAGCTAGACAAAAAAAATTTCCATTTATATCCTTATTCTGTAAGCTTTTCTCCACCTTTAATTTTTTTTTTAACTTTTTAAGCTTTTTGTTAAAAACTAAAACACAGTCACACACATTAGCCTAGGCCTATACAGAGTCAAGATAATATCACTGTCTTCCACCTCCACATCTCGTCCCACTGCAAGGTCTTCAGGGCAGTAATACATGTGGAGCTGTCATTTCCTATGACAACAGTGCCTCCTTCTGGAATACGTCCTGAAGGACCTGCCTGAGGCTGTTTTACAGTTAACTTTTTTTTTTTTTTAATAAGTAGGAGGGGTAACCTCTAAAATTACAATTAAAAGTATAGGATAGTAAATCATAAGCCAGTAACATAGTCATTCATTGTCATTGCCAAGTATGCATTGTACGTGATTGTATGTGCTATACTTTTATACGACTGGCACTGCAATAGGCTTGTTTACAACAGCATCACCACAGACATTTGAGTAATGCGTTGTGCTACACATTAGGCAGTAGGAATTTTGTAGCTCTGTTAATCTTCTGGCACCACTGTTGCATATGCTTACTGTGCGTGTCACCACGCCTGGCTGTCCTTGACCAAAGTGTTATGTGGTGCTTGACTGCATAATCATAACCCAAGTGAGTATGTGAGGTGTTCTGTGAGAGCAGAATGGGTAGATTGCTGTAGGGGTTCTGCCAGTGGGAGGGATCAAGGAGGCTTCCAGAAGCAGGTGGTATTTAAGCCCTTGAAGGATGGGAAGCATATGAGAGATATGGATGAGTAATATCACTGGCTGAAGGAACATAGAAACACAGGCACAGAGCCAGGAAATCCCAGAGCATGTTGGAGAAATAGTAATCATTTTGCAAGCAAAGGTTATGTGCAGGGAAGTCATGGGAACAAAGGGTGGGGCGCATTCAGGCCAGGCTAAAGAGTCTGGGCTTAGCTCCTGTACACAGAAAATGGTAGCTGTTACTCAGATGTCATCGAGCAGAGGTGAATGTGGCCCTCCTGTGTGGGGAGACACTGGAAGCGGGAGACCACTTTAGAGTCCAGGCAAGAAATAACACTAGGGCATGAGGACTAGGGAATGAATTGGAGGAAATGAACAAATGATTAGATGTGAAAGAGAAGGGAAGCCTCAGTAATTACTTTTGAGTTTTGATCCTAGGAGACAAGGGTGATGGTGGTGCAGAGACCAGAAATAGGAACACTGGGACAGGAGGAGCGGGATTGGGAGAAGAAATTGGGAAAAATCAAACCCCATTAGAGATGCTTGTTTTGGCTGTTGATTCAGTGCTGCTGCTAAAGGTCATATGGCCAAACCTTTTGTGTGCTGCCTTTTTTGTCCAGAGAGGTGACATAGCTGTTTCCTGGGCAGTACTCTGTCCTCTGTCCACCTGAGCATCCTGGGAATCTTTGATGAGGCCCTGATATGTGGCACTGGTTGAAGCTAGGACCCTAGTTTTGTCAGTTTATAAGAGCCAAAATCTTGAGCAGCAGAAACCCTTTTGTGATAAAATTGCTATATTTGTTAGATCATATTTGCATTATAGTGCCAAGTATAGGAATGAGAAAACTGGAAGGAAAAACAACCCCAGAATTATTGTGCTCTGTGAAGCTTTCTTATAGGTGTCCTTTCCTGAGCTGCTTGATGTCAGCAGTTTTGGCTTATTCCAAGGCATCATTTTCTTCTGGAAATTGAAGCTTTGCCCAGCTTAAAATGGCCATCTTCATTCTTTCACTTGCTATCTTGTGTCCTAATTTTAGGTAGAGTTGGCCTTCCATATCCATGGGTTCTGCATTCATGGATTCAGCTAACCACAGATCAAAAATATTTGAGGGAAGTGCAGCAAGAAGCCAGGTTTCTAAACACAGGAGTGGCATAATTTGATAGATCTTTTCAAAATAACACTCTTGCTATGATGTGGTGATCATTTTGGAGTACAAGAGTGGATGCAGGATTAGCTTGATTTAGCCATTCAGTAGTGTATATATATTTCAAAACACCATGTTGAACATGATAAATATATGCCTTTTAAATTTTTCAGTTAAAATAATTTTTTTTAAAAAGTATATGCAGGAGACACAGACTGTTGTAGTGGTTAAGGAAAGAGGAGATGGCAGCTTGGAGCAGGGCAGTGGTGAGTGGAGTTGAAGAGAAGTGAATGGATTCAAGATGAAGTTTGGGGCTGAATGGACAGGATGTGGTGACTGATGAGATGTTAGGTGTTGAGAATGAGGGAGGTGACAGCGATGTCATGCGGGTATGTGGCTAGCGCAGCTGTATAGTACCATTGACTAAGGTGAAGAAGATTTGAAGGTGCGGGTTGGAAGATCAGATTATCAGTTCTGTTTTGGACATGTTTGGAATTTGAGATGGAGATATTGATTATAGACAGTTGGATATGTTGGCCTGGAGCTCTAGAGAATGGTCTAGAGGAAAGATATTAATTTGGGAATCATCAGGTAATTAATGGTGATTGAAGCAAAAGGGACTGGCTTCAGTGATTTGAGGAGGAGGGCCGGGGAGGAGGCTCAGTAGTGCATGTTGATTGTCCAGGGTTGGTACTGCTGTAATATTATTTTGACATCCCTCCCTTCTGCTAATGCAAAGGCTTTATTGAGACTACTCAGTAAGGATCTCCTTGAGCCATTTCTTAGCTTTTGTTTTAAACACTTCATTTGTACAGTCTTACATGGGATGTCAACATAAAAATAAAGCAGGTAAAAGCAGAGCCTCTAGGTTGAAGGGTGAAGGGAGCATGTTAGGCCTTGAACTGAGGTTGCTTATTCTCCTCCACCTACACTGGAGGCATCTTTGGAACGCTTTGCCCACCAAAGCACAGTCTGAAAGCCCCAGCTGCAACAGAGGAGGGGAGAGAAGCTTCCCTCCCTGGCAGTGCTCATGCACTTCTTCCTCTAAACCTTCATGTAATCCAGGGAAGGGGCTCTAGACTCAGAGCAGTGCCTGGCAGCTCTACAGTGCCTGGCAGCTCTACCTGTCTGTACCACAGACAGGAGAGCTTGAGAAAGCAGACCTAGCACTGCTGAGCGTTGGCAAGATGGACTTCAGCTTGAGAGCCAGAGCCTCTTTGCTCCTTTGAGAATGCTTGAGGTGGTTAGTTATATAGCAAACAGTTGACTCACACCTGGGATCCTCCCTCTCTTTTCCTTTTACAAATATCCTTCTGACTTTCTTCTAGGTGAAGCACAAACCTGTAACATTGCCTTTTGGGGCACAGTGATTTTCTGGATTTGAGTTTTATTTGCGGAGAGTCCCATTAGAAAAGCTTTCCTATTGATTTTTACATTTTAGGGTCAAGAGAGGAAGTTCTGAAGAATTCAGTTGCCTTTGCTCTTTGAAGGAGAGGATTGGAAGTGTCCTGTGTTTTCCATAGCTCAGTAGGCACAGTTCTTTCTGGCAGCCAGTTCTGGGGTGTGTATTTAATTTTACTTTGGTCTGGTCTGATCTAGCTTCTGTAATATGGATATAATTTGCATGTTAAATGTGAATTTTGGAAGTATTGAATCCTCACAGACTTTTTAGGAATAAAACAATACGTAACAGGTTGTTACAGGCATTAAATAAGTTAATTTCTATAATGTACTTAGAACGGTGCTCTGTACTAGTGTTTGTTGTGAGATTGGTGATCTGGTGATCTAGCTTGTAGATTGTTCAGGTTCTTTCTGCTCCCTGCTTTTTGAACCTTTAACTACTTGTCTTGAATTCTGCCAGCCACCAAGAGGGGTAAAATAGAACTTTAATGACTTGTCAGATTCCAAAAAAGTGTGAAGAAGAACAAAGTTTTAAAATTATCTGAGGACATCATAGAGAGTCTTGAGGGGTCATAGGCAGTACCAGGTGTGAAGCAGAGAGAATCAGTGCTGAAGCTCAAGGGATTGAACTTGTTCTGCCTTCGAAGTTGCCCAGCCCTTGAGAAAGCAGAAGTGACAGGAAGCTAGTGTTAAAAAAAAAAAAAAAAGCGATGCTGACATCTATTCAAGACAATGAGGCAGACTTTATTTGGGAGACCACTGTGATGGGGTTTTGCACTAGGGGAGAGAGATCAGGCTCAACTCCAAATGCACCAACCACAAATGGGGATTTATAGCCAAGGAGGAGGGTGGGGGCTTGGTGGATGAAAAATTCCTAAGAGGATGGGGCAATTCTTTGCTAAATTTACCTAACAAGATTATTACTGGCAAGAACAGTTTCATCCTATTCCAAAACCAAAGACATCTCTTGGTGGACAACTACAGTAGTTAACTTGATTATAGTTGCCAATCCTACATGGCAGGTCAGTTTATCCTGTTACCTAAGGTTACATTTTGTAACCAGCTTATCATCTTGAAAGGTTCACCAGTAGGTTACACTGTTTAAAGTGCCTTATAAATACTTTTCTGGAATTGTTTTTAATGGTTGTGGTAAGCTCCTGCTAATGTATCAACTTTTGGAAAATTCTAGAATAAAATCTGTAGTCAGATTCTATGGCGGGTGGCCCAGAACATTGGGTCCTTGATGATCCTTTACCTATGAATTGGGGGGAACCCAGAACCTTTCAGGAAAACTTGGCATTGCTCCTTATTCTTCCCTCATATTTTAGGCCTTTGAATTTTGAGTGTCAAGGAGTTGGAGTTGTACCTTCCCTCTGTTATTTACCGGTAGCACCAGGTAGTCTGTTGGTTAAATACAGAGCCATCTGCTCTATCAGGCAGCCAGCCTTGGCTAAGGTGGGTTTGTTCTTTAAGTTGGGGTAGGGGAAAGTGATTCTACTTTCTAGGGTTGTGTATTAGGAGGGGGAAGTGTTCCATTAGCTGAGAACCAACCCACTAGAGAAGATGTTGAAAGAACACCACTGGAGAAGATGGTGTTAACTGGAATGTGTGACTGAGGCGAGAATCTCCATCATTCGAGGTTTACTGAGCCAGAGGTTGAGGGCGTATCCGGGAAAAACACTAGTCACAAACGAGTGGCTGTGTACTCTGAAGAGGTTTTCAATACATGTTTTTAAAGGAGAGAAGGAAGGATGGGGAAGGATAGGCATGAGGTGAATGGTTACATTCCTGTGAGACTTTAGTTAGTACTCAGTAAATCTACACTTTACATAAGATAAGGTGAACCTTTTGAAGAAAGGAAGAACCATTTATGCAGATGTCTCAGAGTAGGTGGGTGAATTACTGATCTCTTGTTTTTGTGCAGCATCTGGGAAGATAAGCTTGCAATGGACATTATCAGTGTGGAATTGAACAGATTACAGACCTAGAGTTACAATTGACATGTCCTTGTGTTATGGGAGGATGTACATCTTAAAGGTTTTGAGGCCAGCAAAGATTTTCCTTATGAATGATTTGTGGGAGCAGTCATCTGGAGATGCCTAAAGCCTTTTGCCTTTCCTGGTCGGGGGGAGGGGTGTGAGGCGGTAGGTCTGGCTAATGTATAATGCTCTGACACAGGGTTGTGAAGTAGCAATATTAATTTGGAGAGAGGATGGTGCTTCGCTTGACTCAGCCTCTAGGCTAAACTTTCCCTTTGGCATAAGGAGTTTGGAGGTCCTGAGATTTTTTTAAAATTTTCCTTTACATTGGGTATGTGTTTGTTAAATGAATGGGAGTGGTTGCCTTTAGAATATTCAGGTAGGATGTTTAGTGGATGTTGTAAAAGAGCATCTAGAGCTTAGAAAACAGGAGGAAAGGTTGAGATTTAGAAGTCATGAGGTTTCTAAAAGCTAAAGCCCTGAGTGTCAGGAGATGTGGGTTTTAATGTAGAGTCTGTCATTATATTGTCCTGGGGTAGTAGTCACTTCTCTGGCATTGGCAGTCCTTGTTTGTAAAATAAAACTCTAGACTTGATCTCACAGGCCTCTCCCAACTCTGAAACTTTGTTCTAAAGAAGAAAATATATTCTCTTAAAATTTCGTGGGCTAGTCTATAAGGGAAAAAAGATGCTTTAGCAATGGTTTGGGGTATATGATGTCATGAAAGTAATATTCTTTTTACTGTCCAAGTCAGTAATTTACTGTGTAGAGAATTGGAAATGGACCAGAGGCAGTTTCCCAGAATAGGTCATTATTTGGTGTTAGTAATTGGTCATTCACGCATCTGCATACCCTTTGTTTCCTTAAGTAACTCTCCTTTCTGGTAACCACCTTAGGTTTGTCAAGGTGGAAGTCATGTGGTCAAATCAAATGGAAACACAAGTGTGTTAGGTATTAGATTCATTTTCCTGTCCCCAAAGCACCCGTTTGGTAATGCTGGCAGAAGACATACATGCGGCCAACAATCATAGGAAAAAAAGCTCCACATCACTGATCATTAGAGAAATGCAAATCAAAACCACAATGAGATCGTATCCCATACTAGGCAGAATGGCTATTAAAAAGTCAAAAAATAACAGATGCTGGCAAGTTTGTGGAGAAAAAGGAACACTTATACACTGTCGGTGGGAGTGTAAATTAGTTCAGCCATTGTGGAAGATAGTGTGGTGATTCCTCAAAGACCTAAAGACAGAAATACCATTTGACCCAGCAGTCCTATTACTGGGTATATATTCAAAGGAATATAAATTATTCTGTTATAAAGACACATGCACATGTATGTTCATTGCAGCACTATTCACAGTAGCAAAGACATGGAATCAACCTGAATGCCCATCAGTGATAAACTGGATAAAGAAAATGTAGTACATATGCAGCCATAAAAAAGAATGAGATCACGTCCTTTGCAGGGACATGGATGGAGCTGGAGGCCATTATCATTAGCAAACTAACACAGAAACAGAAAACCAAATACTGCATGTTCTCATTTATAAGTGGGAGCTAAATGATGAGAATACATCGACGCAAAGAGGGGCACAACAGACACTGGGGCCTACCAGAGGGTGGAGGGTGTGAGGAAGGAGAGGATCAGGAAAAATAACTAATGGAGAATGGGCTTATTACCTGGGTGATGAAATAATCTGCACAACAAACCCCCATGACACACGTTTGCCTGTGGAACAAACCTGAACATGTATCCCTGAACTTAAAAAAAAAATCAAATTGATAGTCTATAAACAAGCTGCCAGAGGCTCCAGTGAAACCTGGGAGCTGTGGGCAGAGCAAGTAGGCTGTCTCTGTTACACTCTGCCACCTCCTAGCGGTAGCAGCTTTTAGTTCCTGTGTCACAGAATTGAACATTTTCCTGCTTTGCAAGGAACTTTCAAAGGCTAATTCGCCTTTACTCTCACCTGCTTCCGTGGAGGAGGTGAATAAAGCCTGTATTTCAGTGATGTAGTAGTTTCTTAGGCTGCTGTAACAAAGTACCCCAAATTTGGTGACATAAAACGAGAAATTTATTCTGCACAGTTCAGGAGGCCAGAAGTCTGAAATTGAGATGGCAGTAGGGGTAGTGCTACCTTGGGAGGCTGTAGGGGAGAGTCTGTTCTTTTTCTCTTCCTACCGCTCCAGTTTCTGCTTCTGTGGTCACACTGCCTTTTCTTCTCTGTCTCTCCTTTGTACATCTTTCATTATGAGGACACTGTCATTGGATTTAGAGCCCACGTGGATAGACCAGATGATTTAATCTTAAGATCCTTACTAACATAGCGAGACCCCATCTCTACCAAAAAAAAAAAAATTTTTTTTAAAGATCCTTTTTCCAAATAAGCTTACATGCATAGGTTCCAGAGGTTTGATGTGGATATACCTTTGGCATGGGCAGGGGGCACTGTTCACCACACTATAAGTGGTTAGCGCCTTTTCTCTCCTTTAAAAAATAAAAAATCTGTAAATTCTCACTGCTGCTAGCACAGCTCTGTGTAAACCAGTGTTTTTTTTTTTTTGTTCCCTACTGAGAGCCAGCTTGCACCTTGGTCTACCAAGAGTTGCTGCTCAGTACATAGCTGCTTCATTATTTGTGTTGATTGCATTATTTATTAACACAAATAGCCATTTAGTTTTTTTAATAGAAAAAATAATTAAGATTTTGCATAATGTTTGTAAAAAATGGAAAACTTGATACAGAGATCGAAGAGGATATAAAATAAGATAAAAAATAAAAAATGGAAAATTTGATAGCTTAAGCCACTAAATTGCCCTTAAGGTGGAGTGCAAGTCAGTAACATTTCATTTTGCAGCATGTATAAAATAATTTCTGTTTTAAGGCTGTCTTTAACTGTTGCTCTTCATTTCTCTGCAGGTCTTTTAGATAACCCTGAACTTCGTGTGGTCCTTGTCTTTGGTTATAATTGCTGTAAGGTGGGAGCCAGTAATTATCTGCAGCAAGTAGTCAGCACTTTCAGTGATATGAATATCATCTTGGCTGGAGGCCAGGTGGACAACCTGTCATCACTGACTTCTGAAAAGTATGTCTTGTGTGCTTCTGATTTCGTCTGTGAATGAAGGGAAATGGTCTCAGGTTTTGTCACTTTGGGGTTAACAATTTAAAAAACGTGTTTAAAGAATTATTAAGATAATAGTTCATTCCATTTTGTAGTAGACATTGGCTAAGGGGCTTACTGAACATAATTCTGCTTACGGTTGAATAATTACATTTTTATATATATTGTCCTTCAAGAACTTCCTTGAGTCACATTCTCCTTAAAATTTGACATTGCCTGTTGATCTTTCCTTTGACAGATGTGGTACTCTGTGTGACCTCAATGTGTCACCTCCTTTCTAGTTTCCTCCTTTA
This sequence comes from Homo sapiens, assembly GCF_000001405.40. Taxonomy (NCBI): domain Eukaryota; kingdom Metazoa; phylum Chordata; class Mammalia; order Primates; family Hominidae; genus Homo; species Homo sapiens. Next base: position 75,930,379 of record NC_000015.10, read on the forward strand.
AAGGAAACACATGGTTAGAGTGTATCTTTATGGCAAAACTTCTCAGAGCTTCTAATATGCCCAGTGCTGTGGAAATCTGGAAGGAGAATAGCATTACCTGTGACAGTTCCCAAATGTGTTTGGTCACAAAACTTTTTTCCACAGAATGTCTTGCAAGTCGTACTGGTTTTTGGAAATTCTGTATTAGATCTTTTGAAAGGCTTTTTCAAGCTTAAAAATTGTGGATCTTTTTTGTTACTAAGGCTTTTGCTTTCAAAGATAAAAATATTTGCTCTTCTGTCTTGGGAGCCATTACTTCCTTTCCATCTTGAATGAAAATACATATCATTTTGAGTTTGAAACAATTAGGTGGACATAAATATCATTTGTTTCCAGCAGGAAAATCAGACCCTACCCCACCCTCAATGCTTGTAAACACTACTATTTGTTTCCCACTCTGTTTAATATTTGCATCCTAGAGTGGTGACATGGGGACAGACTGTTGCAGATCAGTATCTATAAGAATAATGTAAGTCATCCTAGTTATAGTCTCTCTTCTGGTTATCTCTATGAGCTAGATCTGGGAAAATAGCTAAAGTTGAGGTCCCTGGACTGCCAGGGAGGAGGAAGAGAGGAAGGCCAAGTACGTTGAATCCCAGGCAGGATATCAAACACTGGATTTTGTGCATACATACACTGAATTCTTGGTGGCTATCTAAGTTATTTCCCCTCTTGCCTAATTTTTCCTGTGTCTTTGCTATTAACTTAAATTGTGTACGGATAGGGCAATGGTGATTCAACATACAGTTTACCTTTGAAATGCAGATACCTCACTCAGACTTATAACATCTGAGGTGCTAGCTTGTAAGTGTAGCTATTTGTATATCATCTACTTTTTATACCTAATAAGAGAAACACCCCCCACCCCAATCATTACTCTTCACATGACCCATTAATTTTAATGTGGTCTTCATACTCTGTCAGTGGTTAAGAGAAACCATTGAGTAAATGAGGGCTCCATTTTAATAAAGTCCAGATAACCCAACTGACCCAGTGCCCCAAAAGGAAGATGTATAATTCTTTGAGGCAAGATTGACAATGTATATTAACAATTCTGTACCAAAGAGGAAATGTGATAAAGTTTTAAGAGCAGCAGAGGACTTCAGAAGACGGATTTTGCCCCTCACAAACTTGTTTTACTACTAGCTAGCCTTATTACTTTAGTCACTTAACCTTTTTGCGTCTTAGTTTCTCACTAATCCAGTGACTCTTGCCCATTTTATAGATTCAGATGTTGGAAGCATGATACAATACTTGTTTATCCCCTAGTGGATGTTCACTATATTATGCTTTATTACTTTTATCAATGTTGTATTTTCTTTTGTAAGGATATTTCATTTTTTAAAAAAACCAGGCAAATATAAACAAAAACAAAGCATGAGTTTTTACCATCAAATTAAGCTGAACTCTAGACTCAAAGCAATAAACAAGACAAAAAAATAACATAATCATATTTTCTAGTGGACTAGACATAAAGCTAAAACTTCTAGAGTTAATAGGTTTTTAAAATTATCCTCTGAGTGCAGTGGCTCATGCCTGTAATCCCAGAACTTTGGGAGGCTGAGGCAGGAGGATTGCTTGAGCCCAGGAGTTTGAGACCAGTCTGAGCAACATAGTGAGACCCTATCTCTACAAAATGTTTACAGATTAGCCAGGTGTGGTGGCATGTATCTGTAGCCCCAGCTCCTTGAGAGACTCAGGCAGGAGGATTGCTTTATCCCACGAGTTTGAGGCTGCAGTGAGCTATGATTGTGCCACTGCACTTCAGCCTAGCTAACAGAGAACCCTATCTCTAAAAAAATAAAATCACCCTCCATTATTATATTTTTAATATACATCTTTCAGAATTTGACAGCTGAAGTCGGGGGGAAGAGATGTTAATGTAAACAATAGCAGAAGGCTTCGTTTAGTGGATATCTTTGTGTATATTAATAAAATTATAACATTCCTTTTAAGGAAGTCAGAAAGGTAAGGAAACTGTACTTTCTAATAACCGGATATGGGTTTCAGAAATCGTTATGGATGTGCATTGCCCCTTTGTATTTGTGACTGAAAAAAATGGTGGCTTCTCTTGATCTGCCTTGTGCATTTTTTATGTATTAATTTTGATTTTTGACCCTATTTTACTCACCTATGAGGGTGAGCCTCAGATTAACCATAGGCTGCTAAAGGCAGCAGCCTCCCGTCAGTGAATCAGGAGGATTTTGCTTCTATACTTAAAAATTTTAATGTTTCATGAGATATTGCCACTTTTCTAAATTTTCCAGGAACCCTCTGGATATTGATGCCTCGGGTGTGGTTGGACTGTCATTTAGTGGACACCGAATCCAGAGTGCCACTGTGCTCCTCAACGAGGACGTCAGTGATGAGAAGACTGCTGAGGCTGCGATGCAGCGCCTCAAAGCGGCCAACATTCCAGAGCATAACACCATTGGCTTCATGTTTGCATGCGTTGGCAGGGGCTTTCAGTATTACAGAGCCAAGGGGAATGTTGAGGCTGATGCATTTAGAAAGTTTTTTCCTAGTGTTCCCTTATTCGGCTTCTTTGGAAATGGAGAAATTGGATGTGATCGGATAGTCACTGGGAACTTTATATTGAGGAAATGTAATGAGGTAAAAGATGATGATCTGTTTCATAGCTATACAACAATAATGGCACTCATACATCTGGGGTCATCTAAATAATAATTAAAGTGGCTTTCATAATATGTAACTTTTGGGTTCTGCCTTTTTCAGAAAATGGAAACTTGGGCCATGTGTATTTCAAACAAAAATAACTTTAGATATATCTTTTTTGTAGCTTTGATTGATGCTCTAAGATCACATGAGGGTAGTATTTAATATATTAGATGAAGGACAACTTTGGACATAACACTGACTAGGAGTTGAGAGCTTTTGCATCAGGCAGAAGCAAACTGATTATAGTTGTGTTGCACCAGATCATGTAGCTGCTGTGTAACATGACCTTAAATAGTCTTCCTGCATAGGAAGAGCAAAAGGGTATTCATCAATAGGATATAGATTTAAGACATTCCCTGACTACCCCTTGCGTTGTTAGGTGATGTCTTTTAGCAGAATCATGAAGACCTTTTTTCTCCCTTAATAAAGGAGAAAAATATACTGATGGCTGGAGAAATTTTTCTCTGCCTTTCAGTTTTATGAATTTTTTCAGAAGTAACAATATTATTATTGACTTTTTACTTATTTGATAAAAATTAAAGAACTATTTTTGTTTTGGTCAGATAAATTGACAAGACTAATCAGTATTTTATTATAAGTAAAAGATTTTTCTTCTTTCCTTAAAAATATTTTTTTTTCACCTAGGTCTAAATAGCTAACTAACTGGTAGACCAGAGTATTACATCATCTTATTTTGGTTTTATACCAATAAAACATAGCGTGGAACTCATTCAGGTAATGTTTTGCATTTCATTGCTTTTGGATGAACAAAGGAAGTAAACTAATCCTTTATAAATGAAAACCCAGAATAGTTGGTATGTCAGCTAGTCATTCCTGTCATATTCCCAGTAGAATGATTTTCAAGTTTGAATTTCTGTACAAATATCTAAATAAGAGATGTGCAGAGAGCACCAATTTTCCTTCAATATCCATTCTTTACTTTTCACATAATGATAGAACCTTTGATTTTTCAAGTGGGTATGCCTCCTAGAATAAAGACTACATTTCCCAGTCTCCTGTGCAGGTATGACTGTGTTCTGGACAATGGAATGTGAGGGGAAACGATTTTTTGTGTCCTTAAAATGGCATGACCATTTATTTGCCCCTTTCTCCATCCTGTTGCTTGGAATGTGGATCTGGTAGTGAGCCATCTTGGACCCTGAAGAGGAGGCAACACACCATTGTAGAAGAAAAACAACAGAAGGATCCTGGTCCCTGTACGACCTCATTGAAGAAACACCATAAGTGGCGTGGACTATCTACCTCCAGACTGTTTTACAAGAGAGAAATTAGCATATTCCATCTAATACAGTATGATGTAACTAATGTTACTTTTGTAACAGTCAGTGGTTTGTTCTAACAGGACAGTAGAACACTTGCAAGGTAAGTAAAACCAAATGTATTAGCATTATTCCTGCTTTTCCTTTTTTGTCACTTTTATCCTTTTTTTAAAACTGAAAATATTTTTCTCTTGCTATTTATATATATATGATAAAAATGCTTGGAAGAGTCCTTTAATTTATGGTTATTCTAAATCCTAGTTCCTGAGGCAAGTCCAAAGAAAAATTTGTCAAAACTTTTCATCTATGAATATTTATATTTAGCTCTTGCTATTTAGCTATTATCAAAATACCTCAAAATTTTAGTCCTTGAATGTGCTCATATAGCCCATAAGGCAAATATTTTTTAAACTTTATTGTCCCTGATATTAACCAGAATTGGTTGAATAGTAGAGGAAAAGGGATTTTTAAAACTGAAAATATGAACAAAATGAGCCTTAGAATTGAATGGATTATTTTAAACAAATTAATACTCATATAAAATGTTTTGCTGCTTCTCAAAGAGTCTGATACAGGGTAATTTCATACAATATTTGATGTTGTTAAAGCATTCCTTTTTATAGCTGAGCCTTTGGAGCTTGTTATGAACAGTAAAATCATTTAGTCACATGGTTGTAACCTTAGTGCAAAGTAAAAAGGGAAAAGTTGACCTAATAGAAACAATAGTAGTATTGATAAGAACAAAAGTCATCCTCCCTGCCTCTCAGAGGCCCTGAAGTCCTGTGAGGAAGGGAAATAGTAATTTAACCAAAGTTAAATCTGTGTAACTCATTTATTACAATTTTGAAAGGCTTGTCTTAGAAGCATTAAAGGAGTATTAGCTAAAAACAAACTAAATTCCTAGAGATGACAATCATTGTAGTCCTCTGTGAAACTGAAAATGATCACATGAAAAAAATGTGAGCATAAAAAAGAGAAGTAAAGGTGTACCATTAGCCTACATACTGAGCTGACGATCAGATCATAGAATACTTTATTTAATCAAGACATTTAAAAATACTTATTTCATCTACATACTTTCAAAGCAAAATAATTTCTGGGGCTAGTTTCCTTTGTATAAGGCTTAAGCAAGGAATATATTTCCATGCCCTTTGATCCAAGTAAAATCTAAGGAAGAGGGAAAGTAAACCTTGAAATTAAGACCTAGAAATAGATCCACCCTTGCAGACTGATAAAAGTGGGCAATCTAGTAGGCCAGTTCACATTACAGTTATCTCAGTTTTGCTTAAAGCAAACCCTAACCCTCAACCTACGAGGCCAGATAGCAAAAGACGTGCAACTGGTTTATATTGCAAATTTAACAAAGTGAACATGCAAAGAATTACAATAGAAATAAACTTTTACAAATCTGAGAACTTTCTTTTTTTTTGAGACGGAGTCCCGCTCTTTAGCCCAGGCCGGATTGCAATGGCACAATCTTGGCTCACTGCAAGCTCCGCCTCCCAGGTTCACGCCATTCTCCTGCCTCAGCCTCCCGAGTAGCTGGGACTACAGGCGCCCGCCACCGCGCCCGGCTAATTTTTTGTATTTTTAGTAGAGACGGGGTTTCACCGTGTTAGCCAAGATGGTCTCGATCTCCTGACCTTGTGATCCGCCCGCCTCGGCCTCCCAAAGTGCTGGGATTACAGGCATGAGCCACTGCGCCCAGCCACAAATCTGAGAACTTTCTATGCAATCTGCAGAAATTTTTAAGAATATAAATATGCTTTTGTCATTTTATACCCAGTCTGGCCCAGGTTTGCACTGCCATAAATTCAGTTTTAATGGGAACAGAAGACTCCAGATCCTCTTGATGGGAAGAAATCATGAAATTTTAGATGATTGACTTGGTTTTCATTTGTAGAAACTGGGTATGAGTTGGCTTAATGAAAATCCTAAAATAATAAAATAAGCATTAGTAATAATATCCTTGTTAAATGAACAAAGTGAATACGATATAAAGAATGTGATACCAGAAAGTTACTTTAATATTGACCCTATATAGGGAAGAATAATCAAATATTTGCAAAATATGTTATTTTTGTTTTATATATTTAACTTCTACCCTATGCCACAACTGAAGACAGGTTACAAGAACATGTGCTACTACAAAGTAGGAAACTGGCAGAAGCCAATAAGTATCACTTAATATTTTGGTATGGAAACTTTTTTTTTTTTGAGAGAGTTTTGCTCTTGTTGCCCAGGCTGGAGTATAATGGCACAATCTCGACTCATTGCAACCTCCACCTCCTGGGTTCAAGTGATTCTGCTGCCTCAGCCTCCCTAGTAGCTGGGATTACAGGCATGCGCCACCATGCCTGGCTAATTTTGTATTTTTAGTAGAGATGGGGTTTCTCTGTGTTGGTCAGGCTGGCCTCAGACTCCAACCTCAGGTGATCTGCCTGCCTCAGCCTCCCAAAGTGCTGGGATTACAGGCGTGAGCCACCGTGCCCAGCTGGAAACTTTCATTTCTTAAAACAGATTTATAAAAGTTTTTGCTATATAGTGACTGTTAGCCAGTAAAAACAGGGAAGATTGATTAATTTAGAAGAAATTGAAAGAAAATATATTTATTAATGTTGCTTTTAAATGCAAATTATCAGATTGAGGAGAATTTTGAGACCATTGACATTTTTCTAATTATGACTAAAATTTAATCACTATACTTAATAAACATACTCTATTCAAGGTCTTGTAATAAAATTATAGGGAGGAATAAAACATAATTGACCCCAGCGACATCAGCAAAAATGGGTGGACTAGGAAGCTGCAAGCTTTTGTTTGCCTATCAAAACATTAAAAAAAAAAAAGAGGCCGGGCGTGGTGGCTCACGCCTGTAATTCCAGCACTTTGGGAGGCCGAGATGGGCAGATCACGAGGTCAGGAGATCGAGACCATCCTGGCTAACACAGTGAAACCCCATCTCTACTGAAAGTACACAAAATTAGCTGGGCATGGTGGCGGGCACCTGTAGTCCTAGCTACTTGGGAGGCTGAGGCAGGAGAATGGTGTGAACCTGGGAGGTGGAGCTTGCAGTGAGCCGAGATCGTGCCACTGCACTCCAGCCTGGGCAATGGAGCAAGACTCTGTCTCAAAAAAAAAAAAAAAAAAAAAAAAGCAACTGTCTGAACGAACCTTGTTAGAGCTTTGGAAAACAGTCAAAGGTTTACAGCAACCAAAAGAATGCCCAATCATCTGCAGAATGGTAGGAAAATATTGTGACTTTTTAGTGGCTCTTGCCCGAGCCTCTCCCTACATTGTGGCAGTCTTAAAGCAGCAGAAGCCCAGTCCCCTCCCTTGAACTGGAGAAAACATGCTAGACCTTTTTTGCAAATTACTGTGTACATTTTTTTCTAACCTGTCTGCGGATACTTGAAGGACTGACACAAGGTCACATGTTTGTTTTGCCTAACTGGTAGGGTGGGCACTGCTTACAAAAGCTGCAAAGAACCACAGGTGCATGGGGCAAGAGGTTATGGGTGTAAACATAAAATAGAACAACTAAGGCCCAGAGGAGAATCTGGGGTAAGACTTTGGGAAATTAAGAACAGTTACATATACAGGGGGGATTTAAAATGCGACATGCATGCCCAGGGAAAACACTTGCCCGGAAAGTTCTAAGACCCAAGCTTTCACCTTGGTCTGGTCCCTAAGCCCAAAAGCAGGCCAAAGTAAGTATTGAAGGATTACCTGGGACAAAGCTGATTTGTAAAATCTAGGATTGCTCCTAGCATTCAAGGGAATTTATGTCAAAATAGCTGAACGTGACATAAAAGGAAGAGAGACTTCAGTGATCACACACAGAAGGAATAGTCTTTTATAAAAATAATTTGGAAAACTCTCAAAACAAATGGATGACAGCTTTTAAAAATAAAAAAACAATGAACCAGAAAACCGTGGGGAAAGGAAAGAATCTCATACCTAGAGTTACCATATTATAATAGTGAATATCCAACTCTCAAGGAAAAAAATCACAAACCATACAAAGGAACAGGAAAATAATGCGCATTCAAAAGATCAAAATTAATTGACCTTGTCCTAATGAAGGACATTAAACTAGACATATACTTTAACTCAAATATGCCCAAAGAACTAAAGGAAAACATGAACAAAGAATTAAAGAAATCAGGAAAATGATAAATGAACAAAATCAGAATATCAACAGATAGGCATTATAAAAAAATTCTGGCAGAGAAAAGTATAATAAATGAAATTTTCACTACAGGGGTTCAGCAGCAGATATAAGCAGGTAGAAGAAAGAATCAGCAAACTTGAGATGGGATCACTGAAAGCAGAAACAACAAATCAAGCCTACATAGTTTTAAAAGATACATATCACACACAAAGAAGTGAAGAAGATATGGTGCATTTTTGAACCACAACAGGATGTAGTTAGAAATCAGTAACAAAAGGAAAATTGGAAAATTCACAAACTTGTGGAAATTAAACAAAACACTCAACCAATGGGTCAAAGAAGAAATCACAAGGGAAATTAAAAAGAGAAAAATGCAACATACCAAAATTTATAGGATGCAGTGAAAGCACTGCTAAAAGGGAAATTTGTAGACATAAATGCTTACATTAAAAAACAAAAAAGACCTCATGTCAACAACCTGACTTTGCAGCTTGAGGGGGAAAAACATACTAAATCCAAAGCTAGCAGATGGAAGGAAATAATAAAGATTAGAACAGATATAATAAATTGAATAAAGATTAGAAACACTAGAGAAAAATCAGTGAAACTACAAGTTCTTTAAAAGACCATAAAGTTGGAAAGCCTATGCGTAGATAGACTAAGAAAAAAAGGAAGACTCAATTGCTAAAATAAATGAAAATGGGAACAGCACTCTAGATTCTAGAAAAATGAAAAGGGTTATAGAAGAATACCTTCGACAATCTAGATGAAATGCTCAAAGTCCTAGAAATGCAAAACGTACTACTGCTGAACTATGAAAAAAATTTAAAAATCTCAATAGAACTATAACCAGTAAGGTAATTGAATTAGTAATCAAAATTCTCCTGGAAAAAAAGCACTGGACCTGATGGTTTTCATTTGTGAATTCTACCAAATAAGAAGAAATAACCCCAATCCCTTCTAACTTTTCCCAAAAATTGAAGAGGAAGGACGCTGCCTAATTCATTCTGATGCTGAAGCCAGACAAAGATACTACAAGAAAAGATTACAGACCAGTTATTCCTTATGATCGCTGATTCAACAATTGTCAATACTAGGAAACTGAATTTAGCAGCATATTAAAAGGATTGTACACCACGACCAAATGGAATGAATTCCTGGAATGCAAGGATTGTTCAACATACAAAAATCAATATAATATACTACATTAACAGAACGAAGCGAGAACCAGATGATCATCTCAATTGATGCAGACAAAGCATTTGACAAAATCCAGCAGCCTCTTGTGATTAAAAACACTCAACAAATGAGGGATAAGAGGAAACTACCTGAACATAATAAAAGCCAGACATGAAAAGCCCACGGTAGACACCATACTTAGTGGTGAAAGCTTTTCCTCTAAGATCAAGACAATGCTCATTTCACCATTCCTATTCAACACAGTACTAGGAGTTCTAGCCTGAGCTAGAAAAAGAAAAGACATCTAAGTTGGAAAGTAAGAAGTAAAATCCTATATGTTCACAAATGATATGATCTTTAGACAACCCGAAAGATTCCACACCAAAAAAAAAAAATAACTGTTAATTCAGTAAGGTAGCAGGATACAAAGTCAACCCACAAAAGTCAGTTGCATTCCTATACACTAACAATGAACAACCTGAGAAGGAAATTACAAGAACAGTCCCATTTACCATAGCGTCAAAAAGAATAAAATGCACAGAAATTAGCTTACCCAAGGTGGTAAATGGCTTGTACAATGAAAACTACAAAACATTGCTTCAATAAAGATAAAAATAAACGGAAATACATCTCATGTTCATGGATTGGAAAATCTAATGTTAATATGTCAGTACTACTCAAAGTGATGTGCAGATTCACTACAGTCTCTATCAGAATCCTAGGATTTTTTTTTTTTTTTTTGCAGAAATAGAAAAACCCATCCTGAATTTCATGTGGAATCTGAAGGGATCCCAAATAGCCAAGTCAGTCTTGAGAAAGAAGAACAAATTGGAGGACTTAAACCTGCAGAGTTTAAAACTTACTATAATGCTACAGTAATCAAAACAATGTGATTCTGGCATAAAGGCAGACGGATAGACCAATGGGATAGACTGGAGAACCTAGAAATAAACCCTCTCATATGTAGGTAAATGATTTTTGACAAGGGTGCCAAGGCTATTCCAAGGATAGTTTTTTCAACAAATAATGATGGGAAAGCTGGATAACCACATGGCTAACTAACAAAGTTGCAACCTCACTCATTTGCAAAAATTAACTCAAAATGGACCAAAGACCTAAATGTGAGAGCTAAAACCATAAAACTCTTAGGATGTGGCAGTGGTTTCTTGGATATGACACCAAATTCACAGACAACGAAAGAAAAAATAGGCAAATTATACTTCATTAAAATTTTGTGCATCAAAGAACACTATCAACAGAGTAAAAAGATTACCTATGGAGTGGGAGGAAATAATATGCAGTTCACGTACCTAATAAGGATTAAACATCCAGAATACATACAAAACTCCCAAAATGCAACAACAGTGTAAAAACCTGATTTAAAAAATGGCAAAGGATTTGGATAGATCTCCAGAGAGGACATGCAGATAGCCAGTGAGCACAGGAAAAAATGCTTAGCATCACTAAACAGTAAGGAAATGCAAATCAAAACCACATTGAGATACCACTTCATACCCACTGGGATAGCTCTTATTAAAATTAAAAAAACACACAAGTGTTGGCAAGGATGTGGAGAAATTGGAACTCTTATTACTGATGGAAATATAGTGGTATGCAGCTGCTGTAGAAAACAGTATGGTGATTTTCCAATTAAATATAGAATTGTCATTTGATTCAGCAATTGCATTTCTGGGTATATACACAAAATAATTGAAAGCGGAGGCTTGAGGGTATATTTGTATACCAGTGTTCACTGCAGCATTATTCACCGTAGTCAAAAGGTAGAAACAACCCAAATACCCAACAGATGAATGGATAGACAAAATGTGTTATATCCATACAATGGAATATTATTCAGCCATAAAAAGGAAATCCTTCTACATACTACATCATGGATGAACCTTTCAGACATTAAGTAAATCACAAAAGGACAATACTATATGAATCCACTGATGTGAGGTACCTAGACTAGTGAGATTCATAGAGACAAAGTAGAACAAAGATTACGTTTTGTCACAGGGAGCAGGAGGGAATGGGAATTTATTGTTTAAGGGGCACAGAGATTAGTGTGGGATCATGAAAAAGTTCCGGAGGTGCATAGTGGTGACTGGTACATACAACGAATGTATTTAATGCCTTTAAACTGTAACTTCAAAATGGTTAAAATTTAAATCTTACGTACATTTTGCCACAGTAAATTTTTAAACCACCAAAAAAAAAAAAAAAAAAAAATATGGCCTAGCTTTTTTTTTTTTTTTTAAAAAGGGCAGGGGGTGGGGTATTTAGTCACAAGACATAGAGGAACTTTAAGTGTATATTGCTAAGTGAAAGAAGTTAGTCTGAAAGGCTACATACTACATGATTTCAAATATATGACATTCTGGAGAAAGCAAAGTTAGTAAAGACTGGTTGCCAGAGGTTCAGTGGGAGAGAGGGAGGGGTAAATACATGGAGTAGAGATTTTTAGGGTGGTGAAACTACTGTATACAATACTATAATAGTGGATACATGACATTATATATTGGTCAAAATCCATAAAGACATACAACAAAAAGAGGACCCTTCATGTAAATTACAGGCTTCAGCTAGCCTGGATGACAGAGTGAGACTTTGTCTCAAAAAGTAAAGTAAAAATGTGTCAATATTGGTTAAACAAATATACCACACTAGTGCAAGATGTTAATAATAAAGGCCTGGGGTGGGGGGAAGCATAGGGGAACTCTATACTATCTGCTCAGTTTTTCTGAAAATCTAAAACTTCTAATAAAGTCTATTAAAATTATGTGAGAGCTTTTCATTTTGTGTACTCTGTCTCAATGTCTTACCCTCATGTGTTTGTGAAATGAGTGAATGATGGGTGATGAATGAATTGGTGACACTAGTGACCCACTGAATTCACAGCACTTACACTGGGCCAGACTGTGTAGAGAAGCCAGCGTGCATCCCAGCCTTGACGAGGACATAGTTCAGAGACAGGCTGTTAGGTTTGGCCGGTGCATGCCCTTCTGCCTAAGCCATTTACCAGCCCCAGACCTTTCCACTGCTCCAAGACTTTATTTTCATACTTCCTTAAAGTTACTATTGCTTTTTTTTCCCCCATGTAACTTAGGTAGAAAAAACTGGAGAAACTAAATTGTTCTGACCTAATCAGTTCTTAATATTGCACCTAAAAAGATAGAAACTGCATTCTGAAAAATCATGCACTAAAAATTACAAGGGAAATAGGTTTGGAACTTTGTGACCTGTGTAGTACAATAACAATCCTAAATTTCCAGTTACTTGCACCTAGAATTAGTCAATCTTTTGCAGTCAAAATTTTGGGTTTTTGTTTCTTCCTTTGAGAGACAGATCCTTGAAATCAGTCACTTCTAGTAGAAAGCATTTTCATCAATATTGAAAGAATGATACAGAGGTATCTATCAGTCAGCGCTTTTTTCTAATTGCCAGGTGAAATGTCTTCTCAGTTTTTTCATCAGTACTTGCAGCTTCTCAGATAACAGCAGGAATGAGGTGGTTTTGAAGCCACTAAGCCAGCTACTCCTTGCATTTAAAGGGTTTTCATCCTTTTTCATAAGATCTTCATATATCCCTTAGGGTTTCTCTCTAGGTGTGTGAACATTTGCCTCTGGTTGCTTCAGCACATCAGCTTTCTGGGGAGAGTCATGTTGAACCAATGTGACTTCGAATTATACTGGTATCACCCCCTACTTAGCAGTTGCCGATGGACTGATGCACATTACAGAAGCACACACACCTTGCAGCAGAATGGATTATGGTTCATGATACGAGTTACACAAGCGTTTTATTTAAGAAATAAAGGATTAGATTTTTAATTCTTTTACCTAGTGGTGTTTCATTTTCTGCCTTTGTAAAATAAAAACAATGATTTGGTTCACTTTGACGTTTCTTCAGTGTTGTTCATGACCTGTGAAAAATAAGTAAGAATTAAGATGCTTTCTCCATTGCAATGTTTCTTACTACGCACACCTATCTACATGTCTCTTATCTTCTTCACATATATAAGCCAACCCCTTCTGTTTGTGATAGGATGTGTTGAGGTAAACTAACCTAGAATATCAAAAATTTCCAGCAGCCTGACAAGACTCCTCAGAACACTGAGTTCTGTCAGATTCCCCATTCAAGTCTCACATATAAAGTTCCCTGCATGCCTGCCCACACCCCCCGCCCCTCACTGTCTTTGCTCACTGCCTCTTACCCAAAGTTCTAACAAGCCTGGTGACCTGTCTTAGATATACAAGTTAGAAAAGGGTGGTTGAGGGGAAAAGATTGCTAGAGTGAGTCACTGTAACAGCAATGACAATAATAGATGGCAAGAAAATACCAAGGAAACAAGGACTAATAAAACCTGTGGCTAATTGGGACTATTTAGAGACAAAAATTCCCTCTGTAGCCAGCAAGTCCTGAGACTAACACCCATATCTGTGGAAATGCAGTAAGAAAAACATGGGTTTAACCTCCCTAAACCTCAGTTTTCTCATTGTAGAGTGAGAATAATACCACCTACTCCATACAGTTGTTAAGGTTTATAGGAGTTAAAATATTTGAAATATTAACCATAGTACCTGGCACACAGGCATGTGGTGTGCATGATCATACTGTTACACTGCTTTCCATTTGGAGAGTTGTGTTGTCAGCATTAGGGCATTATTGCAGTAGGGATGGTGTCTAACAACAATATAAATGCATGCTAAGACTTCAGGCTGTGGATTTATGCTAGGAATACATTGGAAAGATTGCCCGGGGAGGCTTACATTCCAGAAGCACACAAGGCGACATGAATAAACCTATCGATGAAGTAAGGCTTGATGGTGTGGTGGCAGGAGGACATCCTTGGTGAAGGAAGGTCATTAATAAGTTTTAAAAATATAATGTACCTTTATGCTATGATTTTCATAATATGAGCTAACATTATTAAGCAAGTCCCAGTCTTCATAATCGGCTCTCCTCATCAGAGAATCTAACTTTATTTTCATGACATATCTTGTCACATTTAGTAAAAGGCTTTTGTGTGTGTGTGTGGGGGGGTGGTTATTTGCTTATAGTTATGGTGTTGCAGTTATTGACTGAGATTGTTCAACCTTGAAAAAACGGTCAAATGAACTAATTTTGTCAGCTGAGCCTAATACCTTACCCCTGTTTTTAACCTTTGTTATGATGTCTTTTTCTTACAAAAAAACAACAGTAATTTAATACTTTTTTTAATACTTTTTTTTTTAACAAGTATGTCTTTATAAAGTCAAGCTGTTTTATATGTGTGTGGATTCTAAAAAATAAGTCCTTACCATGTCACTGAACATTCTGGGGAAAAGAAAAAAATCAAGAGGCAAACCTTTTGGGGAAAATGCTGTTGATGAATTACAAGCATGGTACTTGTGCATTCAAGATCTAATGGCAGGATTCTATTCCCAAACTTGTTTATATCAGATTTGGCCCCTAGCATTAACCTTTCCAGTTAACACCACGATAAATTTAAAATCTTTCCATTCTCTGATATATATATTTTTTATCATTTATTTTTATTTTATTTTTTTTGTGGAATCTCACTTTGTCACCCAGGCAGAGGCACAATCTCAGCTCACTGCAACCTCCGCTCGGGTTCAAGCTATTGTCCTGCCTTAGCCTCCTGAGTAGCTGGGATTACAGGCGCCCGCCACTATGCCCGGTTCATTTTTGTATTTTTAGTAGAGACAGGGTTTCACCATGTTGGCCAGGCTGGTCTCGAACTCCTGTATTCTCTGAGAATTTCTTCATGGTTATTTAACCATCAAGCACTTTAAAAATTAATGTGGCTCCAGACATTACAAATATAGCAAAGATCTACAAACCTAACAAACAAAAGACATGCTTTTACTCATGTACAGGAGTAAAGTATGGGAACAGATTATCCCTCCTGATAAGTGATAATTCTGAGCACAATAAAACACATCAACTGATAGCATTATTTAATAATGGCATCTCTTTCAGGCTGACTGACTTTTTATTGTGAAATATACTTAACAAAATTTACCATTTTAACCATTTTTAAGTTCAGTAGCATTAAGTACAGTAGTCCCCTCTTCTCCATGGGGGATACATTCCAAGACCCCAGTGGATGCCTGAAATCACAGACAGCACAAAACCTAAATATACTATTTTTCCTGTACCTATGATAAAGTTTATAAATTGGACACAGTAAGATTAGCAATAACTAATAATAAAGTAGAACAATTATAACAATATGACAGCATCACTACTCCTGCACTTTGGGGCCATTATTAAGTAAAATAAGGGTTATTTGAACACAAGCACTGTGATACTGCAACAGGAGCTCTGATAATGAGATGGCTACTAAGTAGCTAATGGGTGGGCGGCATATACAGTGTGGATGTGGTGGGCAAAAAGATGATTCACATCCTGAGTAGGTCAGCGGGAGATTTCATCATGTTGCTTAGAAGGGTGCGCAATTTAAAACATGAATTATTTCTGGAACTTTCCGTTTATATTTCAGACCACAGTTGACTGTGGGTAACTGAAATTGCTAAAAGCTAAACCACCAATGAAGGGTCATTATTGTACATTTACATTGTGTGCAACCATCACACCATCTCCAGAACTTTTTGTTTGTTTTGTTTGATTTTGTTTTTTTGAGACGAGGTCTCGCTCTGTCGCCCAGGCTGGAGTGCAGTGGCACGATCTCAGCTCACTGCAAGCTCCGCCTCCCGGGTTCACGCCATTTTCCTGCCTCAGCCTCCCAAGTAGCTGGGACTACAGGTGCCCGCCACCACGCCTGGCTAATTTTTTTTGTATTTTTAGTAGAGACGGGGTTTCATCATGTTAGCCAGGATGGTCTCGATCTCCTGACCTCGTGATCCGCCTGCCTCAGCCTCCCAAAGTGCTGGGATTATAGGCGTGAGCCACCGCGCCTGGCCCTCCAGAACTTTTTCATCATCGTAAACTGAAACTCTACCCATTAAACAGTAACTCCCTATTCCTCCCGACAGCCCTGGTGACCACCATTCTACTTTCTGTCTCAGTGAATTTGCCTATTCTAGGTGCCTTGTATACGTGGAATCACACAATACTTACCTTTCGTGTTTGGCTTTTTCACTTAGCACGTCTTCAGGATTCACCTATGTTGTGGCATGTTTCAGAATTTCATTCCTTTTTAAAGCTAAATAATATTCCATTATAGGTATATACCACATTTTATCTATTCATCCACTGATGGGTATTTGGGTTGTTTCCACCTTTTGGCTACTGTAAGTAATGCTGCTATTGAGGCAGGAGAGGTAGTCAAGGAAGTAACCATGTTCTTGGTTACAGGGGCGACCGTGCTGTCAACACAATAAGCCCAGCATTCGCATTGTAGTCCAGCTCATTCAAGCAAAGCTATCTCCAGTAGGAAATTTCCCTGTAGGGAGCATGTGCATTTTGATTTTACTTGTCCTCAGACTGGCCCATTGCTCATTATAATTGTAAAAAACACTTCCCTGAGGAGAGATTTCAGATGCTAATGAGATATATGATGTGTGAACAAACACGTACAGCTACTGGCATGTGCACCCAGAGGACCAGCCAAAACATGCTTACTAGTAACAGCTCTTCCCACCTCCTCATGAGTAATAATCTAAGACTCCCAGAAAGGGAGTCTCCCTAGTGCCAGTCTTTGCTGTCTCATCCTTATGAGTAGCCTGCCCTGAATCCTCTCTCAGGGTGTCCTGTCTATTCTGCACCTAACTTTCAAAATATTCTTTCTCCTTTGCAATAATATTGCTATATGCTGCATCTCTGTTTTGTGTCTCTTGTTTAAACTCTTTTAAACTGAAAAGACAAGAACCAAGGTCTCACAACAGCCATTAACACTATGAGTGTAGGTATACAAATATCTGTTTGAGTCCATTCTTTCATTTCTTTTAGATGTATACCCAGGAGTGGAATTGCTAGATAATATGGAAATTCTGTTTAATTTTTTTTTGAGGACTTGCCATATTGTTTTCTTAAAGTGGTCGCACAATTTTACATTCCCACCAACAATGCACAAGGGTTCCAATTTCTACGTGTTCTCACCAACACATGGTTTCTGGTTTTTTGTTTGTTTGTATCAATAGTAGTCACCATCCTAAAGGTTGAAAGTGGTACCTCATTGTGGTTTTGATCTGCATTTCCCCAATAATTTGTGATGTTGAGTATCTTTTTTCATGTGCTTATTGGCCATCTGTGTATCTTCTTTGGAGAAATGTCTATTCAAATCCTTTGCCCGTTTTTGAATTAGGTTCTTCTACTTGTTGTAATTGAGTTTTAGAAGTTCTTTATATATTCTGGGTATCAAATCCTTACCAGATACATGATTTGTGAACCTTTTCTCCCATTCTATGGATTGCCTTTTCACTCTGCTGATAGTGTCTTTTGATGTGCCAAAATTTTAAGTTTTGATGTCCAATTTGTCTAACATTTCTTTGGCTGCCTGTGCTTTTGGTGTATAAAGCAATCATTGCCAAATCCAATTTCATGAAGCATTCCCCCTATGTTTTCTTCTCTTAGTAATTTTAGCTCTTACGTTTAGGTCTTTGATCCACTTTATTTATTTATTTATTTATTTATTTATTTATTTATTTATTGAGATGGAATCTCGTGATCTCGGCTCACTTCATCCTCCGCCTGCCGGCTTCAAGCAATTCTCCTGCCTCAGCCTCCTGAGTAGCTGGGACTACAGGCACGTGCCACCATGCCCAGATAATGTTTTGTATTTTTAGTAGAGAAGGGATTTCACCATGCTGGCCAGGCTGGTCTCGAACTCCTGACCTCGTGATCCGCCCACCTGGGCCTCCCAAAGTGCTGGGATTACAGGCATGAGTCACTGCGCCGCCCGGCCCTAGTTAATTTTTGTATATGGTGATAGGTAAGCGTCCAACTTCATTCCTTAGCATGTGGATATCCAGTTTTCTCAGCACCACTTATTGAAAAACGGGCTTTTAAAAACAACTTACTGAGGTATAATCTACAACTTAAAAAATTTACTTTTTTAAAGTATGTAATTCAGCTGAGCACAGTGGCTCATGCCTGTAATCCCAGCACTTTGGGAGCCCAGGCAGGAAGACGGCTTGAAACCAGGAGTTTGAGACTAGCCTGGGCAACATAGCAAGACCTTGTCTCTACAAAAAAAATGTAAAAATTAGCCAGGCATAGTGGTGCACACCTGTAGTCTCAAATACTTGGAAGGCTGAGGCAAGAGGACTGCTTGAGTGCAGGAGCTCAAGGTTGCAGTGAGCTATGATCACGTCCCTGCACTGCTAGAGCCTTGGGCAACAGAGCGAGACCCTGTCTCAAACAAAGAAGTCTACAATTCAATGAATTTTAAAATTTACAGAATTGTGCAATCACCACCACAATCCCATTGTAGAATAAATCCATTACCCTAAAAAAGATCATGTGTCCATTCCGAGCGGCCAAGGCAGGTGGATCACATGAGACCAGAAGTTCGAGACCAGCCTGGCCAACACCAAACCCCGTCTCTACCGAAAAATACAAAACACTAGCCAGGTGTAGTGGCACATGTGTGTAGTCCCAGCTACTCGGGAGGCTGAGACACAAGAATCCATTGAACCTAGGAGGCAGAGGTTGCAGTATGCTGAGGTCATGCCACTGCACTCCAGCCTGGGTGACAAAAAAAAAAAAAAAAAAATCTTGCCCAAACTTTAAATGGGCTGTCTTTTTATTATCGAGTTGAAAAAGTTCCTTATATATTCTAGACATGTCCTTTATCCATCTTTTATATCCATTTGCAAATATTTTGTCCCAGTTTGTGTCTTGCCTTTTCATTTTTAGAATGGTGTCCTTTGAAGCACAAAAGTTTTAAATTTACATGAAGCCCAATTTATGAAATTTTTTCTTTTTATCGATTGTGCTTTTTGTATTGTATCTAAAAATCTTTGCCTAATTCAATGTCACAAAGACTTTCTCTTATGTTTTCTTCTAAGGTTTTTGTAGTTTTAGCTCTTATATTTAGACCCATTTTGAATTTTTTTTGTGCATGGTAAAGGGTCTGAATTCATGTTTTTGCATGTGAATATCCAAACTGCCCCAGTATCATCTGTTGGAATGACTATCCTTTCTGTATTGAATTGCCTTGGCAGCTTTGTCAAAAATCAATTGTGGTCTATCTGGATGCCCAGTATGAAGCTTCTAACTTTGTTCTTCTTTTTCAAAATTATTTTCTCTATTCTAGGTCCTTTGCGTTTCCATGGGAATTTTAGAACCACCTTGTCAATTTTTACAAAAACACCTGTTGGGATTTTGTCTGGGATAGCACTGCATCTATATAGGTCAATTTGAGAACTGACACCTTACAATATTGAATCTTCCAAATCTATGAACAAAATATAACTCTCCATTTATTTAGGTCTTCATTTCTCTCAGCAATTTTTTTTTTAGTTTTCAATACATAGGCCTTTCGTATTTTTGTCTGATGTATGCTTATGTACTTAATACATTGAGATTCTATCATTAATAATTTTTTTAAATTTCCATATCTAATTGTCACTGATATATAGGAATACAATGGACTTTTTTGAAATTTTAAGATAAGTTTATTAAGTCCAATGATGAAATCTATCAGAAGAATATTCTCCTGAAAATAATTTCTTCTTGGAGAAAAGGAAAGGAAAATCAAAACCCTCTGAGCATAGCCAGGATGCTGTGGCAGTCGAGCCTCTCTACAGATGGGGACAGTCCCTCTGGTCAGTGGAGTCACTCTCTGGGTCAGCAGGATTGGAGTCTGGATCATCCTCCTCATCCCCCAGCTCCAGGTCATCCATTTACTGGTACAAAGACTCAATTACCTCCGTTGTTTCCAGCATCCTCCAAGAACTGGATATCAGATGTGTCAAGATTTGGATCTGTTTCAAGTAGCTGCTTCCCACTTATTTTTTCCTGTTTATTCTTTGATTTGGTTCTTTTTGATTTCCAAGAGTTCAGTATCAAACACGGCTTCTCAACTTAAGAAATGCTTAATTGTAAACAGGAATGCCATGGAATAATTGCTCTATGGTTTCTTCTGCTTCTTTTTGTTTCTTGCCCAAATTTTAATTGGATTGACTTTTTATTATTGATTTGAAAGAGTTCTTTTTATATTCTAGATATATGTCTTCCTCCCTTTTGCTTTTTATCCATTTCATTTAATTTTTCTTGCACAGCTGTCACTAAAGATCATCACCATGCCAAGATTTCTTCAGCTTGTAATGCTAAGAATTTTTAAATGTCTGAGACATTATCTTCTAGATTTTCCAAGAATGTTTCATAAAAAGGAGCTTCATTTGGGTATTTCTCACTGTCTGTAAACTTGAGGATAGTCTGGACAGTTTCATTATTTTCTCCAGCCTCAGATATCACAGTAATGGTAGAGCTGGGTGGGTTCTTCTTTTCTTTTTCTTTTTTCTTTTTTTTTTTTTTTTTTTTTTGAGACGGAGTCTCACTCTGTTGCCCTGGCTGGAGTGCGGTGGTGCAATCTCAGCTTACTGCAACCTCTGCCTCCTGGGTTCAAGCGGTTCTCCTACCTCAGCCTCCCGAATAGCTGGGATTACAGGCGCCTGCCACCACGCCCAGCTAGTTTTTGTATTTTTAGTAGAGACAGGGTTTCACCATGTTGGCCAGGCTGATCTTGAACTCCTGACCTCAAGTGGTCTGCCCCCCTTGGCCTCCCAAAGTGCTGGGATTACAAGGCATGAGCCACACCACACCTGCACCAGCATGACATATCTTTATTCATCCTTTTGCTTTTAACTTGTGTCTTTATACTTAATGTATATTTCTTGCAGATAGCATATCACATTAATTTTTATCCAATTTTACAATCTCTATCTTAACTGGGTGACTTAGACTTTTTACAGGTTGCTCTAGAGTTTCTAGCATACACTTTTGACTTATTACAGTTTCCCTTCAAGTGATGACGTACTGCTTGACATTCAGCATAAGAACCTTACAGTGGGGTATTTCCCTCGCTACCCTCCCAATCTTTGTATTTTCTTATTATACATTTTGCTTTTATGTATGTTGTAAGTCCCATATTATGTTGTTATGATATTTCATTAAATGGTCAATTATTTCTTAAGGAGATTTAAATAATACGAGAAAGATCTTACACATTTACCCACATAGTTGTCATTTCTGGTGCTCTTCCTCCCTTTATGTAAATCCATATTTCCATCTGATATTGTCCTTTTGCCTGAAGGACTTCCTTTAACATTTACTTTAGTGAGGTTCTGGTGATGATAAATTCTTTCAACTGTCATATGCCTGGAAAATCTCTATTTTGCCTTCATTTTTTTCTAAATAGTTACTGATTTTTTATGGTTTTGAGATACAATCACGTACCATAAAATTCACTCATTTAAATTGTACAATTCAATGGCTTTTAGTATATTCAGAGTTGCACAACCATCAGCACAATCAAATTTATGACACTTTCATTCCCAAAAAGAAAGCCCACATCCCTTAGCCGTCACTCCCCAACATCCCCCCATTTCCTCCAATCCTAGGCAAACATTAATCTACTGTCTGTCTCTATAGATTTGCCTGTTCTGGGCATTTCATATAAATGTTATAAAATATGTGTTCCTTTATGACTGGGTCCTTTACTTCAGCATGTTGTTTTCAAAGTCCATCCATGTTGCAGCATATATTACTACTTAATTTCTATTTCCTGCCGAATAATATTCCATAGTAGGAATATAACACATTTTATATATCCATTTATCAGCTGATGGACATTTGACTAATTTCTACTTTTTGGCTATTATAAATAATGCTGCTATGTGCTACGAACATTCATGTGCATTTTTTTTTCTTTTTTTTCGCCCTCCTCAAAGTTTTTTTTTTTTTAAGAGATGGGGTCTTGCTATGTTACCCAGGCTAGCCTCAAACTCCTGGGCTCAAGTGATCCTCCACTGCGGCCTCCCAATAGCTGGGACTACAGAAGTATGCCACCACACTTGGTTTCATTGTGGTTTTGATCGTCATTTCCTGATGGCTAATGATGATTGTCTTTTCATGAGATTACTAGTCATTTGTACATATTATTTGGAGAACTCTTTTCCAATCCTTTGCTCATTTTTAAAATGAGTTGTTTCTTCATTAAGTTGTAAATATTGTTTATATATTCAACTACATATATGTATTTCAGATCATATGTATAAGTCTCATATGTATGATTAAAAAAATTTTCTCTCAGAAGTAGATTGTCTTTTCACTTTCTTGAGGGTATCCTTGGAAGCACAAAAGTTTTTTGTTTTTAATGTTGATGAATCCAGTTTTTGTATTTTTTCTTTTGTTGCTTGTACTTTTAGAATCATAACTCAGAATCCATTGCCTAATCCAAGGTCATGAAGATTGACACCTATGTTTTCTACTAAGAGTTATATGGTTTTAGCTCTTATATTTAGATCTTTGATCCATTTTGAGTTAATTTTTATATATGGTATGTAGGGGTTTAAATCCATTCTTTTGTGAGTGGATATCCAGTTTTTCCAGCACCATTTGTTGAAAAGACTATTATTACCCCCCACTGAATTGTCTGGCACCCTTTAAAAAATGCATTTACTATAAATGTAAGAAGGTATGTCTGAACTCTCAATTGTATTCCATTCATCTATATGTCTATCCTTATGCCAGCACTACTTTGCCTTGATTACTGCAGCTTCATAATAAGTTTAGAAATTAGGAAGTGTGAGTCTCCTAACTTTGTTCATCTTTTCCAAGATTGATTTGCCTATTTTGCCTTGTGTTTGAAAGATATTTTTGCTGGATGTAGAATTATAGGTTTACTTTTTAAAATACATTACAGATGTTGCTCCATTCTTTTAAGGTGTGTTATTTCTGAAAAATGCCTGCTGAAATCCTTAGCTTTGTTATCTGTCTGTAATGTGTCTTTTTCTAGCTGCCTTTAAGACTTTATCACTGGTTCTGAGCAATTTGATTATGATGTGTCTTGGTGTATTACTACTCTGTTACTCAGGCTGGAGTGCAGGGGCACAATCTTGGCTCACCGCAGCCTTGACCTCCTGGGCTCAAGCAATTCTCCCACCTCCCAGGTAGCTGGGACTACAGATATGCACCATCATGCCCAGCTAATTTTGTTCTTTTTTGTAGAGATGAGGTCTCACTATGTTTCCCAGGCTGGTCTCAAACTCTTCGGTTCAAGTGATCCTCCTGCCTCAGCCTCCCAGAATGCTGGGATTACAGGCGTGAGCCAGAGTGCCAGGCCTTTGTTGAAATTTTTATATGTGTGAATTGATTGCTTTTATTAAATCTGCAAAAATTTTTGACTCTTATTTCTTCTGTTCCCTCCTCTCTCTTATCTCCTTCAGGGACTCAACATTATGCCACCTGCAGTTGTCGCACAGTTCACTGATGCTCTTTTCATTAAAAAAATTTTCTTTCTGCATTTCTTTTTTTCTTAGTTCTACTGCTATATCTTCAAGTTCACCAATATTTTCTATGGTGTGTAATCTGCTGTTAATACCATCCAGTTTTTGTTTTTTTGTTTTTTTTTTTTTGATCTCAGACACTAGTTTTCATCTCTGGAAGTTTGGTTTGGGTCCTTTAAAAATATATCTTCCATGTTTCTACTTGACTTTTGAATCTATGTAATACATTTATAATAACTGTGCTTGCCTGGTATTTAAAGCATCTGTATCAATTTCAATTTCTTTTTTTTTTTTTTTTGAGACGGAATCTTGCTCTGTTGCCCAGGCTGGAGTGCAGTGGCACAATCTTGGCTCAATGCAACCTCCGCCTCTGTGGTTCAAGCTATTCTCCTGCCTCAGCCTCCCGAGTAGCTGGGATTACAGGCACCCACCATTGGTTTTTTTTTTTGTATTTTAGTAGAGATGGGGTTTCACCACGTTGGCCAGGCTGGTCTTGAACTCCTGACCTCAAGTGATCCATCTGCCTCAGCCTCCCAAAGTGTTGGGATTACAGGTATGAGCCACCATGCCCGGCTTTCAGTTTCTTAATATTTCTCATTTTGAGCACATTTTCTGCTTCTTTGGAGGTTGGTAATTGTATTGGATGTGAAACATTATTAATTTCACCTGTTGGGTACTAGCTATTTTTCAGCATTGTTGAGCTTTGATCTAGGATGTAGTTATTTGGAAACAATTTGATTCTGTCAGCTCATGCTTTTACAGTTTATTAGGCAGAACTGTAGCAGTGCTTAATCTAGGGCTAGTATTCCCCACTATCAGGCAAACACCTTTCTATGTACTCTACCCCGTGCCCCGTGAATAATGAGGTTTCCAGCCTCAGTGGGAACAGACACTTTTCCTGGCCCTGTGTGAATACTGGGCACCTCTAATCCTTCAGGTGATTTTTTCCACAACCTCAAGTATTTTCCTCCCACACATGCCCTGATTAGTACTCAGCTGAATACTTGAACTGAAAATCTCTGGAGTTCTCTCTTCATACACCTCTCTTTTTTCCAGGACTCTCCTCAGTACAATATAGTCACCTTGATCTTTTTGGACTCTTAGCTCCATCTTCTCAACTCGGAGTCAGCCAAACTCAGCCTGGGGTCCCCCACCTTGCACAAAAGCCTGGAAATTCTCTCCAGGCAGTAATCTAAGGCAATCATTGGCTTACCTAGTCTATTGCCATCTCTCAGGGCTCATGGTTCCTTTGATGACTGATAGCAATGTCTTCATATATTTTGTCTTCATAAATTTTAATGCTCCATATATTTTGTCCATTTTTTGTTGTTTTAAGTAGAAGGAAATAAATCCAGTGCCTGTTACTCCATCTTGGCCAGAAGTCTCAAGACAATTTTAAAACATCAATTTGTCTACAAGTTTCCCAAAGATTTGCTGATCTTTACAGGTAAAACTCTTCTTCCTCCCCATATGCTGGCTCACTTCAAAATATTTCTGAGAAACCAGTCCCTTATATCTGTGTAGCACATTAGAGCTACATCAGAATTTCATATATTGAGATAACATTGTTTTCTTTGGGAAAAAATGTGATTTGTGTCATACTGATAATAAATTCATTTTTATGTGAAAAAGGGTACCTGGCCAAAAAAAAAAAAAAAAACCCATAGAAAAGTTTAGGCTCAACCTTTTTTTTCTGGATAGATCTAAATACAAATCCCTACATCTAACAACAACAGTCTCATCTAGGGTTTTAAAATAAGCATTTGTTTTGAGTTTACTCACTGTGGTGGGCACTGGTACTGCTCGTCTCTACCAGGTTGATATCATACTGGACTGAACTGGCTCTCTGAAAGTGGCCTTTCCTGACAATAAAGAGGAGAGAAACACAAAAATGGAAGTGTAATAGGAAAAGCATGTCAGAAGACCTAGAAAGAAAGTTTTTTTTTTTTAATTTCCCTTCTTCCCCCTTTTTACAACACATCAAATGAAAGTATAAACTTGACTATTTGATGGTTCATTTTCTTTCCACAACTACCTGAAATTGTCAGTGATGCTTTAAAACTGTTCCCCATTATTTAACAAATCCATTAGTACACATAGATCATCTGTGGGGACCAGATGCTGATGATGCCACCTGGTCTTTTTCCTTTAAGACAACAGCAAACCTGTTGTATCTTAATGTAATTTTTGTGCTCTTTTTAAAGAAGTTAGCTTTCATTATCAGTTGGGACCCTTATGTGACATGGGGTGCCTTTAGTCAATTATTCTAGTAATGGCATTTTAAAAAGTAATTTTGGACATTTTTGAGGTAACAGTACATCAGGTTTTTCAGTCATTTGATCAGTTAATATAGGTTATGATTTATGTTATGATAGATTTTGGAATGTACAGTTGATTTCATTTTTTGCAGTATGTCTATATGCAGTTTTAGCTTACATTAATGAAAATGAATTCAAAATCACTTTTACCATTGCAAAATGATGTGTATTTTCTAAAAGCATACTTGCTCCTATTCCGGAGACACTACTGATTCTAGCCCAGATTTTAGCATTAGTGGGGTATCATTTTGGACCTCCTTCAATGATGGCACTAATTAGTTACTAAAGTTCAAAAGGACCTCAGTTTAAAGCAATTTCAACCACTAATGGACCAAAAACTATTACAGAAAACAATTTCATTCTTGAAAGCACATTTCCAAGTTCACATGGTCACTACAGGACAGCCTAGATCTTGTGACACACTTTCTATTTATCCTGTTTTTTAGCTTTCTTTTTTATTTATTTTTAACTAATTGGTTATTTTTAATTCCATTTTTGTCCTTCTGCTAATCCGGCAATTATACACTTTGATTTTCTATTATGTGTTACCCTAGACATTTTAATACTCATCTTAAAATATCAAGGTCAAAATTAACTTATATATTTATCCTCCCCCCATACAAAGACCTTAGTACACTTTAAGCTTATTTGCTATCATGTGTTTTAATTCCTTTAAAAAAATACATAGGACAATACTATGTTATAATTTATACAATATTTGTTTTGATATTCACATAGTAATAGCTTTCTGTTCTTTCTTGCACTTCACACACGCCGTATAGGATCAACTTCCTTTTACCTGACATATATCCTTCAGGCAGAAGGTTTACTGAGGGATAACTCTCTCAAAGTTTGCTTATTAAAAGTTGTCTTCATCTTACCCTCATTCCTGAGAGATGTTTTCACTGCCACAGAAATTTGGGGTTAACTGTTTTCTCTCAGCATATTGAAAATATCACTGCTCTGTCTTCTAGTTTTGCTTCTTTCCAACTGAGAAGTCAGCTGTTGGTTTAATTGTTGCATCTTTGACGATAATCTGCCATTCTTTTCTGCTTTTGTGATGTTCTCTTTAGAACTGGTGTTCTACAATTTCACTGTTGCACCCATATGTAAATTTATTTTTATTTATCCTGCTTGAGATTTGTTAGGCTTCTAACATCTACGGGTAACTTTCATCAGTTCTGAAAAGGTCTCTGCCTTTACTTTTTCAAATACTGCCTCTGCCCCAGTCTTTTTCTTCTGGAATTCCAACTAAACATAAGGTAGACACACACACTCTGGTCACCATGCTTCTTGACTTCTCTTCAATATTTTCCATTTCTTTTTCTCTTAGAATTACCCTCTGGGTAATTTTTTCCTATCTATTTTCCAATTCATTAATTATTTTATTGTGTTTAATCTGCTGTTTAAAGACATACACTAAATTTTAAAAATTTATTGAAGATATGTACTGAATTTTTAAAAATTATATTTGATTCATTGGAGATCTGTTTTAGTCTTTGCCACATTTGCTTATTTCTAAGCCTCTCACTTAATTTTTATTTTCTATTTTTTATTTTTTTTGAGACAGAGTCTCGCTCTGTTGCCCAGGCTGGAGTGCAGTGGTGCGATCTCAGCTCACTGCAAGCTCCACCTCCCAGGTTCACGCCATTCTCCTGCCTCAGCCTCACGAGTAGCTGGGACTACAGGCACCCGCCACCATGCCCGGCTAATTTTTTGTATTTTTAGTAGAGACGGGGTTTCACCATGTTAGCCAGGATGGTCTCGATCTCCTGACCTTGTGATCCGCCCTCCTCGGCCTCCCAAAGTGCTGGGATTACAGGCATCAGCCACCGTGCCCGGCCACCTCTCACTTATTTTTTGATACATATTAAACATACTTATTTTATATCATGTGTCTGATTCTTCCAATAAATACAGATTTCTGAATATCTTACCCTACTACCTACTGTTTCTGCTAGTTCTAATAAATTGTGCCTCTTTTATTCTACGTTTGGTAATCTTTTCATACTGTGAGACGCTTTTCAAGGTAAAGGATAAAAGTAGGCTCTTCAAGAATTGATTTGTATTTGTTTCTGTCAACCACCTGATGACATTACCAGCCTAGATTATTTTATATTCTTAGCTTTTTACCCCCAGACATTCAGAGAGTGTGAATTCAGGATGGAGACCCACATAATGTTTGTGATTGGAGCTTTCTTTTCTCTTGTATTCAGCACCACTTCTTGTTCTTATATATATACGCTTTTCCTTCTATTATACCTATACTTTCTACTCAAAAGGTATTGTTTAGCCTGCTACAGGGTACTTCAGACTAGAAATATTTCTAAGTTCTGGCACAAGTCTGCAGAACAGCTATAGCTTAGAAGGTCTCCTTTCTGAAACTTTGCTGCTCTGGGGCATTGAACACCTGTGGGGTACAATATACTATGCCCTTCACAAACTCAATGGGTTGGCAAAGGAATTTCATTTTGGGGCAACTACAACAATATTAAAGTTCCATTAATTTGTTTATTTATTTATTTTTTTTAGAGACAGGGTCTTGCTCTCTCACCCAGGCAGGAGTGCAGTAGTGCAGTCATGGCTTAACTGCAGCCTCTCATTCCTGGGCTCAAGCGATCTTCCCATCTCAGCCTCCCAAGCAGCTAGGACTACATGCATGTGTTACCACACCTGGATAATTAAAAAAAAAAATTGTTTTGTACAGACGGGGTCTTGCTATGTTGTCCAGGCTGGTCTTAAACTCCTGGTCTCAAGTAGTCCTCCCACCTTGGCAGGATTACAGGCATGAGCCACAGCACCTGGCCCAAGTTCTATGGATTTAATATCACACAAATCACTCTCAACAATTCCCAGTGGAATAGCAGATATTCTTATAAATCCTTTGGTCACTATATTAGATATGTATTTCTGGCTCTTTATCTTATGAGCATATGATTGAATTGCATTTCCTGACAGCTGGATATATTATATGTCTCTTATTGTAAATATATGTAAATAAATATATAAATAAATATTATCTATTTAATCTATTCATATAAAATAGGAAACAGAGGTCTTGTTCTCTTTCCAGGTTGGAGTGCAGTGGCATAATCACAGCTCACTGCATCTCAAACTCCTGGCCTTGGGGGATCCTCCTGCTTCTGCTTCCCGAGTAGTTGGGAATACAGATGTGTACCACCATGCCCTGCTAATTTTTTTTATTTTTCATTTTGTAGAGACAGGGTCTTGTGATCTTGCCCAGGCTGGTCTCAAACTCCTGGGCTCAAGCAGTCCTCTCACTTGGGAATACAGACATGAGCTACCATGTCCAGCCACCTCTTATAATTGAGGAGGACCATGAAACTCCTGCTGGCTAGTGAGTTATGTCAGTAGTGATGTGTGTCACTTCTGGGACAGATCATTTTAATTTAAGTGTGAGACCTTCCAGAGCTTTCTTTTCCCTTTGTTATGACAACCAGCAACACTCAAGATGGTGGTTGCTCCAACAGTTTGAGTCCTTAAGTGACTATGATTAGTAAAGCCCTGCTTGCCAATCCATACTAATTACCTACAATAAGTGAGAAATAATCTTCTGTTTATTAAGCCACTAAAGTATTAGGGTTGGTAGTTACTGCAGCCAAACTTAGACTATCCTGACTTATTAATGATAATGAATTAAACATAATTCATTAATTAAACACAATTCATTATCCAATCAATAACAGATGGAAACTATATCTCCAAACTGGCACAAGAGTGATTAATGAGGGAAGTAGGTATTGGTCTTCCCCTTAGCATATTAGACTGACAGAATGTTTAGAGGGATAGAATAGATCATTATTCAGCTTTCCAAACATAGATACATTTAAAGTCAAGCATAAACCTAATTCCAAAGATGGGTGTTCTGGTTATCTACTTATGCATAACATACCACCCCAAACTTGGGGGATAAAAAAACTTTATCTCATGATTCTGTGGGTTGACAGCTGGGCATCTTTTGCTTGGGCTCTCTGTGTAGCTGCAGTAAACTGGCAGTTAAGTCAGGAGTCAACTAAAGGTTTGAATGAGCTGAATGCCTGGGATGGCTCATTAAAATGGCCAGCAGTTAAGGCTGGCTGTTGGCTGGAAGTTCAGCTGGAGCTGGTTCTTCCTGCTGTTTAGGCTTCTTACAACATGGCGGCTGATTCTATGAGGCAGCATCCCAAGTAGTCTATGATCAAGGCAGTCACGGTGCCTGCCTAGATTCAAGGAATCTGTAGCAATAAACTCTACCTCTTGATGGATGAGTGGCAAGGTCACACTACAGAAGAGTATGTGGGAATGAGGGATATCATATGGCCATCCCTCGGAAATGCAATCTGATACAATGGGCTTGTATTTAAATTTTTGTATCTGAAGTAGTCAGATGCTAAAATTATGAGAAATAAAATCTACTGGATTGCTTAAATGATATGTTTTGGAATAAACTATTTAATACCACATATTTTTAAAAAGCCAATTTCCTCCAATTTTTAATTATTCCTTGATGTAAAGTAGTTAAGAAATCAGGATCTAACAAGATACTATTTTACCTATATGTTACCTTTCTTAGTATACAAACTTCTCAAGCCCACTTGTCTCTCTTTTATGATTACCTTCAGCTCCATTTTCACAAGTATCTATGATAGAATACAGTGTGAGTTTCATAAATATTAATTAATGATGAGAGTTATGCCAAATAACTCCTGGACTTACTAAATTCTATATTTACTTTTACAAAATTTCAAAAACAATTGAAAATCAAAACGAATGAAAGTAATCTTCAGTGCATAATTGCTTCATGCAAGTAGTTTTTTTTTTTGTCTCTCTTGTGAGTTACCAGTTTCCCCAAATTAATTGCCTTTTTGTCTGTCTCTCCAAATTGATTTAAGTATCTTTGAAGTTGGGAAACATGTCTATTTTGTTCACTATTGTATTCTTTATGCCTAGCACAATAGTGGGCACTAGATAGCTGACCCTGCATATTAACCATATGTCTTAAGCTAACATGTACAGTATTGCGTAAGTTGTTCCTTTTCTTTCACATACAAAATTTACTTTAAATACACCTAACCCAAATATTCAGGTGCTTTTGGCATATTTGCTATAGTGAGTATGGGTTTACCTTAGTAGTTTAGATAAGTCAAGGTAAATATTGACAACAGTAACAAAGAACAAATTGAGACTGCTTATTAAGATTCTTTCAAAAATGAAATTAGTAACAAAAACTGTATTAAAGAGATAACTAAACATAATACAGTATCTGGAAAAATATCTAGAACTAAGGGCATATTAATTATTTAGTGGAATAACTACTTTATGTATTACTTTTCTCAAAAGCATGTTTCTATTTTACTTACCTGCAAAGGAAGTAGAAGGCTCCAATGATAAGTGTTACTAGGACCGCCAATGCCACAAAAGCTTCAAACAGGTTACTTTTAGTTTGGATGCTGGAGCCTGGGAGAAAAACCTCTTCACAACGAGCTCCTGTATAGTTTTCAACGCACCTACAGAATAAAATTTTAGATAAAGAATTGCATTCTGTGTTTCATTAGCTAGTTTGGAAGAAAAACAGTTTCCAGATGACGTGAAGAAAAAAGGAGACTAATTTTCAGATTGTGAACATGGAGTAGACAGGTTTTCCTATAATGCTCACAGATCTACAGTTACAATAAAACAAATGCAAATTTGTTATAATAAAACAATTTTTTACTATCTTCTTTTTCCAGTTTTCCAACTGCTTAGGAACTCCAGATAAATTATAGAGTATTCAGTGTTTTTATCTTGTAGATTTTCAATCATATAAATGTCCACACTTTATCACAAATTGACTTTTTGTTGTATCTGGTATAGATAATGATCTAAATGCATTTTTCCTTAAAACTGCTAACTGGTTATTCCAACCCCATTCATTAAATAATCAATCCATTACCCAGTGTTTAACAGGGCCTCCTTTAACATATGTCAGATTTATATAAATAACAGCATTTATTTCTATTCTTCTTCAATGATCTACACATCTAATCTGGGGCCTTTGCCACACTGCTTCAATACTGTTACTTTATAATATATTTGAATATCTGGTAGTTCTACTCTACTCCTTATTACTTTTATCTATAGAATTTTAAAAATATTCTCCACTGCCAACCAAATATTTTATAGCCAATTACCTGTAGCTCTCTAAAACTATATAACAAAGAACCATAATATTTGGTATTACCAATCATTCCTTTTTCCTTGTTAATATGTTCAAAGGATTATAAAACACAGAGATTGATATAAATTAACAAGAATGACACTGTTTGGCACCAGATCAATTTCAACATAGTAGCATTTAAAATAAAAAACACTTTAATATTAACTAATATACTCAGCAATAATTCTGTGTAAAAAAGTGTATGTGTGTGTAAAACCAGTTTGTTTTAACCAGATTTTGTCAAGAATAAAAAGGTTGATTCTACTAAATTAATTATCTTCCTTATTCCTTTCCAGTTTAGGTAGGTATTTAGAAATTTTATCTCTGTTTCTTCCACCTTAGACTAATAAGGATACAGGCCTAGAAAATCAACATGTGAATTAACTACTAGCTTTGATAACTAATGTGATAGTCTAATAAAGCAGTATACAAACAAATAAGAGAAAAGAACATCAAGATATAGCACAAAGGATCAATTTGAGTTAGATGAGCATATTAAAGATGTTTCATGAACTTCAAGTCCTACTCAATGTGAGGCAGTGATGTGATTGGTGATAGCTTCCCGGGGCGGTATCAGTTAAGCAAAGCGGCAGTCTAGATTCTCCTAAACTACCATAAAGATAAGATTAAGGGGACATAGGGAAAGTAAGGATAGGATATCGGTAGCAAACTTAAATGAAAGTAAAAATATTTTGGAGGGCCAGGCACAGTGACTCACGCCTCTACTCCCAGCACTTTGGGAGGCTGAGGAGAGAGGATCACTTGGGGCCAGGAGTTCAAGATCTATCTGGGCAATACAGTGAGACCTTGTCTTTACAAAAAATTAAAAAATTAGGCCGGGCATGGTGGCTCACGCTTGTAATCCCAGCACTTTGGGAGGCCGAGGCGGGCAGATCACGAGGTCAAGATATTGAGACCATCCTGGCCAACATGGTGAAACCCCATCTCTACTAAAAATACAAAAATTATCTGGGTGTGGTGGTGCACGCCTGTAGTCACAGCTACTCAGGAGGCTGAGGCAAGAGAATTGCTTGAACCTGGGAGGCGGAGGTTGCAGTGAGCTGAGATCGTGCCACTGCACATCCAGCCTGGCAACAGAGCAAGACTCCATCTCAAAAAAAAAAAAAAAAAAAATTAGCCAAGCATGGTTGTACCCGTAGTCCCAGCTACTCTGGAGGCTGAGGTGGGAAGATCGCTTAAGCCTAGGACTTTGAGGTTGCAGTGAGCTATGATCATGCCACTGCAGTCCAGCCTAGGTGACAGAGCAAGACCCTGTCTCAAAAAATATATATACATATATATGTAAATAAAAAATATATATGGTGGGAAACACAATTTATAAATTTTAAATATAAATTACCAATTTTTCCATAGTTTAAGTCAGTTAAATAAGCTGAGGAGAAAAAAGATTAGATGAAAATAATTTGTTTCTTTCTCTTCCAGCTCCAATTCCTGCTTCCCAAAAGGGAAATGGAATAAACACACATAAACACACACACACACACGCACCAATAGAAAGTTGACATAGAGACCACCATCACAATCTATCCATGTGCCATTACAAAATAAACACAGAAGGAAAGGGGCAGCATTCCACAGAGTAAAAGAAACTGGGTGCTAAACGGTTTTCAAAAGTATCTTTAAAATAACAAAAATAAAATAAAACCCTTCTATCATTCCTGTTTTTTTAAATAGAATTAAGTAGGTAACAATTATTTGTGACTGCTAAAGGTTTTTTAAGGAAAAATTTTAGCTGTGAGAGCAATTCCTGTCATACTTTTAAAATAACTCTCAAGTTTTTAAATAATGTTAAAGATAGGGTTCAGTTTCCATTCTAGAAAAAATAACCAGAACCATTGATAAGTAATCCTGAAACGAGATAGTATAATTATTTTTGATAAGGAAGATCTCTTTTAAAAGCTATAAACTCATTACTCAGATTTCTTAAGGCTGTTTGAGTTTAAGTAAGATTGAAATTCAGGCCGGGCACAGTGGCTCATGCCTGTAATCCCAGCACTTTGCGAGGCTGAGGCAGGAGGATGGCTTGAGCCCAGGAGTTTGAGACCAGCCTGGGCAACATGGTAGAGACACCGTCTCTACAAAAAATAACAAAAATTAGCTGGCTGGTGGCCCACGCCTGTAGTCACAACTACTCAGGAGGCTGAGGTGGGAGAATCACTTGAGCCCAGGTCAAGGCATAGTGAGCCCTGATTGCACCACTGCACTCCAGCTAGAGCAACAGAGTGAGAGGCTATTCCAAATAAAAAAAAGAAAAAAAGAGGCCGGACGCAGTGCCTCCCGCCTGTAATCCCAGCAGTTTGGGAGGCCGAGGCGGGTGGATCATGAGGTCAGGAGATCGAGACCATCCTAGCTAACATGGTGAAACCCTGTCTTTACTAAAAATACAAAAAAATTAGCTGGGCATGGTGGCGGGCGCCTGCAGTCCCAGCTACTTGCAGGCTGAGGCAGGAGAATGGCGTGAACCCGGGAGGCGGAGCTTGCAGTGAGCCGAGATCGGGCCACTGCACTCCAGCTTGGGCGACAGGGTGAGACTCTGACTCAAAAAAAAATCAAAGAAAAAAAGATAAGCCAGCTTATAT
Organism: Homo sapiens; assembly: GCF_000001405.40. Classification (NCBI taxonomy): domain Eukaryota; kingdom Metazoa; phylum Chordata; class Mammalia; order Primates; family Hominidae; genus Homo; species Homo sapiens. Next base: position 75,965,264 of record NC_000015.10, read on the forward strand.
GACCATAAATGTTTTAACTGGACAATAAATACTTTGAGTTGGAAGGAGTCAAGGGAATGGTGTAAATACAAGTTTGTAATCAGATCAGGGTTTATGCAAATAGAAAAAGGCATACAAAGTAAACCAAGCAACACTAGGTTGTTCTATTATCTTACAGCTGGGATAAAGCAATCACATGCTCTTGTGGGAAAGTAGAAACCTGATGGTAATTTTAAGCAAATTCAAAGGATAAACAATCTTATCATTGTTAGGTCAAAACAGAACCTAGGGAAAGGCAAAGACAAATTTAAATATTACATTACTATCCAGGAAGTAGGACTGGCTAACCTAAAAATGAATTTTAAAATTTCAGATATTTACCAAACAAAAAAGTAAACACTGCCTACCAATGACTGTGTACAAGGATTCTACTTTTAAAGCTCTAGCTCATTTATGAAAATGTTATGACTTCATTGATGATACAATTATCAAATTTCAGGCAAACAGAATTAATCGACTCCTTCAAAAGTAAGGGTGGATTAAGTGGATATAGACAACTGGTAGTACTAGCACAGCATTTATACAAAACACAAAGAGGTCATGTTGCACCAGCATTTACCCAGAACTACGTAGCTCTCAGTCTTTATGTAAGTAACTCTCTTGCTAAATTACTTCTGGACCTTACTTCTGCACAAACTGTTTTAGCAAACAGTTGTGCCACCTAATGAGGTGAATACCAAGCAATAAAGGATCACCCATGTTTTCCTGGAATTGAAGATGGATGCTGGAACAGGTACAAATACTCCACTAGGTGAGAAATTCTGAAATTCAGAATCTAAGTTATACAAATTGGTTTTCTGGCTGAATACCACCAATTATCTGCTCCCAAACACAGAAGCTACGTTTAGTACATTGACATGAAATACATTCATTCGATTCTGTGGCATTCAAGGAAGTTGTTACAACATAGGAGACCTTTCACATGAATAAAATAACTCAGTTTTTAGTCATGTAAACAAACAGAGCACCATTTAGCTTCAAGAAACATTACTGGACTGTGAACTGGAAAAAACTGGTTTCTTCACCCTATTTCCATGCTTGTTGGCTATGTGATCTTGGGCAAGTCACTTAAGACTGTGAAATCAAAATAACATCACATGCTTTAACTACATAGGGCTATTGTCAGAATCAAGTAAGAATGTCTAGAGTGCTTTGAACACTGAAACACACTATACAAGTGTGTTTACAAGGAATAAAATAACTAAGAAAAATTATAACTAGAAAAGGTTAAGAGCATGGTGATCAATAAATGTGCTATCATTATTTCTCAGAAAAAAACCCCATGTTTACAATATTATAAAAGACTTCGCTAACCAAAGGGAGATGCAATGTCAGTGCCACTTCACTTGGGCTGGTCTATCCTGGAAAGAGAAAGTCTAATACTGGCATACGTCAAATCTGGCTTCCACCTGATACTCTGTGTCAATCAAAGTTCAATTTGCAACTCATGAAAAATGGAAAAAACAAATCAAAAATGAAACTATTAGAAATGTTCAAGAAAACAACATGGGCTTGGATCCCTTTAATAAGTCAGCTGGGCGCGGTGGCTCACACCTGTAATTCCAGCAATGTGGGAGGCCAAGGTGGGTGGATCACAAGGTCAGGAGTTCAAGACCAGCCTGGCCAAGATGGTGAAACCCCATCTCTACTGAAAATACAAAAATTAGCCAGGCGTGGTGGTAGGCGCCTGTAATCCCAGCTACCCGGGAGGCTGAGGCAGGGAATTGCTTGAATCCGGGAGGCGGAAGTTGCAGTGAGCTGAGATCGCGCCGCTGCACTCCAGCCTGGCAACAGAGCAAGACTCCGTCTCAAAAAAAAAAAAAAAAAAAAAAGTCTACAGCCATATAACAACAAACAAATGTTGCCAAAATCCTATGAAACCCCTACTAGATTTTTATAGGCCGAGAAACAGTGAGAGAAGACTAGCTTGTGACCTTTGCATCTTTTATTAGCTAGTGCTATAAATGTAACTTCATTAAAGCCTCTATTAGATTCTTAATAATATGTAGAGATATTTAGCTAACATTCAATCTCACAAAATTTTTGTTGTTTAACGTCACATTTATATGACATTAGCACCATTAAAAACTGATCATTATTAGTACATCAAATGTATTAGTAAATTTAAGTCCAGTTATGAAGCAAAATCTTAGATTTTTTTTTTTTTTTTTTTTTTGAGATGGAGTCTTGCTTTTGTTGCTCAGGCTGGAGTGGAATGGTGTGATCTCAGCTCACTGCAACCTCTGCCTTCTGAGTTCAAGAGATTCTCCTGCTTCAGCCTCCTGAGTAGCTGGGACCACAGGTGTGCACCACCACACCCAGCTAATTTTTGTATTTTTAGTAGAGACGGGGTTTCACCATGTTGGCCAGGTGGGTCTCGAACTCCTGACCTCAAGTGATCTGCCCACCTCGGCATCCCAAAGTGCTGGGATTACAGGTGTGAGCCAACGTGCCTGGCCGCAAAATCTGATTCTTTTAAGATTGACTGTTACCCAGATAATTTATATGCTGAAATGAACTACAAGTTGTATCTAAATGAACTACATGTTGTGTATAAATAAGTCTTCATAGAGAATAATCCATATTTGTCACTAGGAAGGATATTGTTTATAATTTCATTGTGAAGGACTATAATTTCTTAGCTTAAGTAAGTCATTGAAAATTTGAAACATTTTATTTACTAAAACTAGCTAAGGCACAGTGAATGAAGAAGCATGTCGAACAAATGGTGAGAGTAAGCAACAGTAGTGTAAAAACATGACCCTCATTACTGAGTGTGTGCATTCGCTAGTCTTTTCCAATGGAGACTTTTTGGGAAAAACACCCATAGAATGCTGGTTGGGTCATGAGAGTACTGAGACAAAACTTTATAATTTGTTGATTTTCTTAATGTTGTCTTCTTTCTCCATATTAACAAAATCGAGTCTTTACTCTCCTTACTTTGCTGGCCTCAAAAAACGATCAGGGAGGAAATCTAAAACTGATCTAAAAAATAAAGTCTAAGGCTGGGTGTGGTGGCTCACGCCTGTAATCCCAGCACTTTGGGAGGCTGAGGTGGGCGGATCACGTCAGGTCAGGAGTTCGAGACCATCCTGGCCAACGTGGTGAAACCCCGTCTCTACTAAAAATACAAAAATTAGCTGGGCATGGTGGTGGGTGCCTGTAATTCCAGCTACTCAGGAGGCTGAGGGAGGAGATCATTTGAACCCAGGAGGCAGAGGTTGCAGTGAGCCAAGACTGTGCCACTGCACTCCAGCCTTGGCGATAGAGCGAAACTCCATCTAAAAAAAAAAAAAAAAAAAAAGTCTAGTGCTGGGTGCAGTGGCATGCAGCTGAGTGCGTAATCTCAGTTACTTGGGAGGTTGAGGTGGGTAGATGGCTTGAGGCCAGGAGTTTGAGACCAGCCTGGGCAACATAGCAAGACCCCTGTCTCAAAGCAGACAAAAATAAGTAAATAAAAGTCTATTAAAAAATCAGAAGAAAAAGTAAAACTACAAACAAAAAGTACATATATGTTTTTCTTAGTTTATTATTTTATGATACATATAGACTTGTATATACAAAGTATCTATACATAGAAATTGCTATGTGTCCATTTTTCCTTTAAGTAACAATTTCAATAAATATACAATTATGTTTAAATATTATAAATAATATGTTAATGGGCCTTTCCATTGTAGAAGTGTTTCACTGTCCATGTTTTGGTAAAACTTCAAGGGTTCAAGACCATAAACCAGGAACAGCTGGAAAGACTTACACTCTTAAATCACCAGACACTCAATTAAACCACAGTTCTCAACAGACAGTATTCATGCTGGCATCTTACCTTCCCAGGCTTCAGGTCTCAACAACCTTCTAATGCAGGGAAAATCTCATGCCCAACTTGGAATAAGACAAAGAGAAGCCAGCATCAGTTCACTTCCTGACAAAAGAAGTTAAGTATTAGAGCTGGGCAAAAGTCACAGTTGTTACTCTGCGTGGTATTCCTACATAGAAAATGAACTCTTACTGATGACATAATGGAGTATTTGCCAGCTGCCTTCCAAAGAAAATAATGGATGATAAAGACAGTAATCAAAAGGATAACCAAAATTTGGAAGCAAATGCATAATTTGGTATAACTTCAGTATGCAGCAATAAGAAGAAAATGAAAAATCTTTAGAGTATACGTTGCCTTTCATTAGCCTTCAGCTTCTTTGAACAGTAAACCTGAGTTAGTTCTGAAAGGTAGTTTCTATTCTTGGATATGTGACACAAATCAGTAAGACAAACTCAGGTAAAGAGAAGTAGACCTAAGAGAGCAGGTACGTTCCCATAGTTTCATCACCATATCCTGCCATGTGTGCTTACTGTAAGAACAGTGATCTGGCAAAATGTGAGGGTTAAATAAAATTTATACTCTTTTAAAGTTTCGTTCTAAGCATGGTGAGGTCAAGAAAGATGTATCAGTTGTTACTGCTGAGAACACTAATGAAGAATCTTTTTCAGAAGTAAGGTTACTAAAATAAAAAGTGTTAACAAAATGCATAGCTAAACAGAGGAGTTGTTTTATGCATTTTAAACTGTTCTTTTATTATAAGCTTCAAGGCTGCTATTTCCATTCTTAAGGTGTTTCTAAAGATCAATCTAATTCTTGATGTTTAAAAGCATATGGTATGGTGCCAAAAGTCAAAGTAAAGAGGACTTTGTTTTAATTAATATTGCAGAGGCATTCTGAACTTTTTTCTTTGAACTACAACCTTCTACTAAATTTACAGATGAAAATGCAGAACTCTTATCTAATAAGAGTGCCACGAGCCAGTCTATCTTAACCATTTGATCTTAAGAAAGCCTTAAAAATTTCTGGGGTTAATAAAACAATTCATAAAATCCTGACAACTCCTTTTGAAAAGTGAGTTTAGTGAAACACATAGCAAGGTCCAGCAAAATTGCTGAGAGACCAAAATACAATTGAGACAACACGTCCAATGAAGAAGCACAATAAATGTTGGTTTTCAAATTATAAGTGAAACTCAACCTTTATCATTTTACTTTCATATAACTAGCTTTTCATATATTCTATGTTTGTACTCCTAAACTGCTTCTCTTAAATAGATTTCAGTCTTTGTTTTATCACCTGACAAATGATAATTCCACCTATCGAAGACTGGGGGTGCTACTATTGTGGACAGGGTACAGAGCTGGGCCTTGGCCTAGGCAGCAGGGACCGTCCCAGGTCTGAGCCTGTGGCTCTATGGGCAGTTACTGGTTGGGAATGACCCTCAGGGAGGGCCCTGGTGAAACCAGACCTTACCAGGTCACTCTCGATAATTATTCCAATGGTAATTCTTTGCCAAGTTAAACCTTCTCCCATCAGAGTCCCACCTCCACACTGTGCAATGTTTGGCTCTGAAGTGATCCTCTGGATGGGTCACAAGATGCATGGAGGAAAGTGAGACAGCAAGAAAAGGCCTCACCTAGCTAAGGATGCAGGGATAGGTGAAGACAAACTCCTTGCCCCCATGCTTGCTCAAAGAATCTCGTAAGTTCCAGCTGAAATGTTGAAAGATTAGGGCCTGGCTGACCTTGTGTCTAAGTGGGCCAAGAAGTCAAGGATTGCTTCCTGGATTGTTCTCCAGAGAAAGACTGAAGCAGACAATAGAAAAAGATGACCAGGTGTCCTGTCAAATGCACCTTTCTGGGTTATCTGATTCTATAAATACCTGTGATTTTCATTGTCTTCGAGCTATTTTACAACTCTGTAAATTGTAGAAAACTTATGCTAATGCAAATGAATTTTGTCCAGTATAATAAAACAGATTGCCCTGTGGATACCGACTAGTTTCATACCTATTTGTAAATTCATTTCAACATGTTTGATTACCTGTACATATGTGTGTGGTTTGAATTCTCCTTTAAGCCAGTTGTGACATCTATTGGTTCCCTCATTAATCAGTTCCTCATTAACTGTAAAAACAATAAGGGTTTTGGTTTTACAGTTTGACCATCTCATGATCTCTGTAGAAGGTGATATAGATCTATCCCTATTGGGTGAGATGACAGAGACTCTGGTTATACTTAAAAAAAAATTTGTCTATTTTCTTTAAGCTCAAATCAATTAAAATGTTATGCCCACTGGGAAGGAGAACACCTCTTTGATTTTGGACCAGAGAGATTTTGTGTTTCTGTGTTTACTCTTGACTTGTGCCTAACTTGTAGACATGAAGCTGTAAGCTCTGTCTCTATGTGTCCAAAATTCAGAAAGGCCTTTCCCTCTCATTATGTGAGATATAATATCCTATCTATAGAGGATATTATTACAGTATAATGTCTCTTAAATTCAAGGAGCTCTGTTCTTATTGACTTACAGAGATAAGTAAGTTCTTATGTAATTTGAATATTCTTAAAATTCCCAGAAAAAGGAAATTGGACTTCTAGTGCTTTAAAGGTGCTAAACTCAAATTCTTCTCACCAAAACTAAGAAACATTTAAAAAAAATCTAAGTTCATAATAAGAGTAAAATTGTGAACAGTGCCACAATAAACATACGTGTGCACGTGCCTTTATAGTAGAATGATTTATAATCCTTTGGCTATATACCCAGTAATGGGATTGCTGGGTCAAATGGCATTTCTAGTTCTAGATTCTTGAGGAATCCCCACACTGTCTTCCACAATGGTTGAACTAATTTATACTCCCACAAATAGTGTAAAAGCATTCCTATTTCTCCATATCTTCTCCAGCATCTGTTGTTTCCTGACTTTTTAATGATTGTCATTCTAAATGGCATGAGATGGTATCTCATTGTGGTTTTGATTTGCATTTCTCTAATGACCAGTGATGATGAGCCTTTTTTCATATGTTTGTTGGCCACATAAATGTCTTATTTTGATAAATGTCTGTTCATATTCTTTGCCCACTTTTTGATGGGGTTGTTGGTTTTTTTCTTGTAAATTTGTTTAAGTTCCTTATGGATTCTGGATATTAGCCCTTTGTCAGATGGATAGATTGCAAAAATTTTCTCACATTCTGTAGGTTGCCTGTTCACTCTGATGATAGTTTCTTTTGCTGTGCAGAAGCTCTTTAGTTTAATTAGATCCCATTTGTCAATTTTGGCTTTTGTTGCCATTGCTTTTGGTGTTTTAGTCACGAAGTCTTTGCCCATGCTTACATCCCGAATGGTATTGCCTAGGTTTTCTTCTAGGGTTTTTATGGTTTTAGGTCTTACGTTTAAGTCTTTAATTCATCTTGAGTTAATTTTTGTATAAGGTGTAAGGAAGGGGTCCAGTTTCAGTTTTCTGCCTATGGCTATCCAGTTTTCCCAACATCATTTATGAAGTGGAGAATCCTTTCCCCCTTACTTATTTTTTGTCAGGTTTGCCAAAGATAAGATGGTTGTAGAGGTGTGGCATAATTTCTGAGGCCTCTGTTCTGTTCCATTGGTCTATATATCTGTTTTGGTACCAGTACCATGCTGTTTTGGTTACTGTAGCCTTATAGTATAGTTTGAAGTCAGGTAGGGGGATGCCTTCAGCTTTGTTCTTCTTGTCCAGGACTGTCTTGGCTATACAGGCTCTTTTTTGGTTCCATATGAAATTTAAAGTAGGTTTTTCTAATTCTGTGAAGAAAGTCAATGGTAGCTTGACAGGGATAGCATTGAATCTCTAAATTACTTTGGACAGTGTGGCCATTTTCAAGATATTGATTCTTCCTATCCATGAGCATGGAATGTTCTTCCATTTGTTTGTGTCCTCTCTTATTTCCTTGAGCAGTGTTTTGTAGTACTCCTTGAAGAGGTCCTTCACATCCCTTGTAAATTGTATTCCTAGGTATTTTATTCTCTTAGTAGCAATTGTGAATGGGAATTCACTCATGATTTGGCTCTCTGTTTGTCTGTTATTGGTGTATAGGAATACTTGTGATTTTTGCACACTGATTTTGTATCCTGAGACGTTGCTGAAGTTGTTTTTCAGCTTAAGGAGATTTGGGGCTGAGGGTTTTCTAAATATACAATCATGTCATCTGGAAACCCAGAGACAATTTGACTTCCTCTCTTCCTATTTGAATACCCTTTATTTCTTTCTCTTGCCTGATTGCCCTGGCCAGAACTTCCAATACTATGTTGAGTAGGAGTAGTGAGAGAGGGCATCCTTGTCTTGTGCTGGTTTTCAAAGGGAATGCTTCCAGCTTTTGCCCATCCAGTATGATATTGGCTGTGGGTTTGTCATAAATAGCTCTTACTATTTTGAGATACATTCCATCAATACCTAGCTCATTGAGAGTTTTTAGCATGAAGGGGTGTTGAATTTTATTGAAGGCCTTTTCTGCATCTGTTGAGAGAATCATGTGGTTTTTGTCATTGGTTCTGTTTATGTGATGGATTACGTGTATTGATTTGCATATGTTAAACCAGCCTTGCATCCCAGGGATGAAGCTGACTTGATCGTGGTGGATAAGCTTTTTGATGTGCTGCTGGATTCAGTTTGCTAGTATTTTATTGAGGATTTTCATATCGATGTTCATCAGGGATACTGGCCTGAAATTTTCTTTTTTTATTGTGTCTCTGCCAGGTTTTGGTATCAAGATGATGCTGGCCTCATAAAATGATTTAGGGAGGAGTCCCTCTTTTTCTATTGCTTGAAATAATTTCAGAAGGAATGGTATCAGGTCCTCTTGGTACCTCTGGTAGAATTCGGCTGTGAATTCATCTGGTCCTGGGCTTTTTTTGGTGGGTAGGCTATTAATTACTGCCTCAATTTCAGAACTTGTTATTGGTCTATTCAGGGATTCGACTTCTTCCTGGTTTAGTGTTGGGAGGGGGTATGTGTTAAGGAATTTATCCATTTCTTCTAGATGTTCTAGTTCATTTGTGTAGAGGTGTTTATAGTATTCTCTGATGTTAGTTTGTATTTCTGTGGGATCAGTGGTGATATCCCCTTTATCATTTTTATTGTGTCTATTTGATTCTTCTCTTTTTCTTCTTTATTAGTCTGGCTAGCAGTCTATCTATTTTGTTAATCTTTTCAAAAAACCAGCTCCTGGATTCATGGAGTTTTTGAAGGATTTTTCGTGTCTCTATCTCTTTCTGTTCTGCTCTGATCTTAGTTATTTCTTGTCTTCTGCTAGCTTTTGAATGTGTTTGTTCTTGCTTCCTCGTTCTTTTCATTGTGATGTTAGGGTGTTGATCTTTCTTGCTTTCTCCTGTGTGCATTTAGCGCTATAAATTGCCCTCTAAACACTGCTTTTGCTGTGTCCCAGAGATTCTGGTATATTGTGTCTTTGTTCTCATTTGTTTCAAATAACTTCTTTATTTCTGCCTTAATTTTGTTATCTACCCAGTAGTCATTCAGGATTAGATTGTTCAGTTTCCATGTAGTTGTGTGGCTTTGAGTGAGTTTCTTAATCCTAAATTCTAATTTGGTTGCACTGTGGTCTGAGAGACTGTTACGATTTTCATTCTTTTGCATTTGCTGAGCAGTGTTTTACTTCCAATTATGTAGTCAATTTTAGAATAAGTGCGATGTGGTGCTGAGAAGAATGTATATTCTTTTGATTTGGGATGAAGAGTTCTGTAGACGTCTATTAGGTCTGCTTGGTCCAGAGCTTAGTTCAAGTTCTGAATATCCTTGTTAATTTTCTGTCTCATTGATCTAATATTGACAGTGGGGTGTTAAAGTCTCCCACTATTATTGTGTGGGAGTCTAAGTCTTTTTGTATGTCTCTAAGAACTTGCTTTATGAATCTGAGTGCTCTTTTATTGGGTGCATACATATTTAGGATAGTTAGCTCTTCTTACTGCATTGATCCCTTTACCATTATGTAATACCCTTCTTTGCCTCTTTTGATCTTTGTTGGTTTAAAGGCTGTTTTATCGGAGACTAAGATTGTAACCCCTTTCTTTTTTTTCTTTCCATTTGCTTGGTAAATATTCCTCCATCCCTTTATTTTGAGCCTATATGTGTCTTTGCATGTGAGATGGGTCTCCTGAATAGAGCACACCAGTGAGTCTTGACTCTATCCAATTTGCCAGTCTGTGTCTTTTAATTGGGGCATTTAGCCCATTTACATTTAAGGTTAATATTGTTATGTGTGGATTTGATCCTGTCATTATGATGTTAGCTGGTTATTTTGCCTGTTAATTGATGCAGTTTCTTCATAGTGTCAATGGTCTTTACAATCTGGCATGTTTTTGCAGTGGCTGGTACTGGTTTTTCCTTTCCATGTTTAGTGCTTCCTTCAGGAGCTCTTGTAAGGCAGGCCTGGTGGTAACAAAGTCTCTCAGCATTTGCTTGTCTGTAAAGGATTTTATTTCTCCTTTGCTTATGAAGCTTAGTTTGGCTAGATATGAAATTCTGGGTTGAAAATTCTTTTCTTTAAGAATGTTGGATATTGGCCCCCGCTCTCTTCTGGCTTGTAGGGTTTCTGCAGAGAGATCTGCTGTTAGTCTGATGAGCTTCCCTTTGTGGGTAGGTAACCCGACCTTTCTCTCTGGCTGCCCTTGACATTCTTTCCTTCATTTCAACCTTGGTGAATCTGACAATTATGTGTCTTGGGGTTGCTCTTCTTGAGGAGTATCTTGTGGTATTCTCGGTATTTCCTGAATTTGAATGTTGGCCTGTCTTGCTAGGTTGGGGAAATTCTCCTGGATAATATCCTGAAGAGTGTTTTCCAACTTGGTTCCATTCACCCTATCACTTTCAGATACACCAATCAAACATAGGTTTGGTCTTTTCACATAGTCCCATATTTCGTTCCTTTTCATTTTTTTCTCTAATCTTGTCTTCATGCTTTATTTCATCAATTGATCTTCAACATCTGATATCCTTTCTTCCACTTGATCGATTTGTCTATTGATACCCGTGTATGCTTTACGAAATTCTCGTGCTATGTTTTTCAGCTCCATCAGGTCACTTATGTTCTTCTCTACACTGGTTCTTCCAGTTAGCAGTTCCTCTAACCTTTTTTCAAGGTTCTTAGCTTCCTTGTATTGGGTTAGAACATGCTCGTTTAGCTTGAAGGAGTTTGTTATTACCCACCTTCTGAAGCCTACTTCTGTCAATTTGTCAAACTCATTCTCCATCCAGTTTTGTTCCCTTGCTGGCAGGGAGTTGTGATCCTTTGGAGGAGAAGAGGCGTTCTGGCTTTTGGAATTTTCAGCCTTTTTGCACTGGTTTTTCCTCATCTTCGTGGATTTATCTACCTTTGGTCTTTGATGCTGTTGACCTTCGGCTGGGGTTTTTTTGTGGACACCCTTTTTGTTGATGCTATTCCTTTCTGTTAGTTTTCCTTCTAACAGTCAGGCTCCTCTGCTGCAGGTCTGCTGGAGTTTGCTGGAGGTCCACTCCAGACCCCGTTTGCCTGTGTATCACCAGCGGAGGCTGCAGAACAGCAAAGATTGCTGCCTGTTCCTTCCTCCGGAAGCTTCATCCTAGAGGGGTACCCGCCAGATGCCAGCCAGAGGTCTCCTGTATGAGATGTCTGTTGACCCCTGCTGGGAGGTGTCTCCCAGTCAGGAGGCATGGGGGTCAGGGACCCACTTGAGGTGGCAGTCTGTCCCTTAGCAGAGCTTGAGTGCTGTGCTGGGAGATCTGCTGCTCTCTTCAGAGCCACCAGGCAGGAACGTTTAAGTCTGTTGAAGCTGTGCCCACAGCTGCCCTTCCTGCAGGTGCTCTGTCCCAGGCAGATAGGAGTTTTATCTGTAAGTCCCTGACTGGGGCTGCTGCCTTTCTTTCAGAGATGCCCTGCCCAGAGAGGAGGAATCTAGAGAGGCAGTCTGGGTACCGCCGCTTTGTGGCACTGTGGTGGGCTCTGCCCTGTCCAAACTTCCCAGCAGTTTTGTTTACACTATGAGGGGAAAACTGCCCACTCAAGCCTCCAGATGCCCCTCCCCCAACCAAGACTGAGCATCCCAGGTCGACTTCAGACTGCTGTGCTGGCAGCGAGAATTTCAAGCCAGTGGACTTTAGCTTGCTGGCCTCCATGGGGGTGGGATCCACTGAGCTAGACCACTTGGCTCCCTGGCTTCAGCCCCCTTTCCAGGGGAGTGAACGGTTCTGTCTCACTGGTGTTGCAGGCGCCACTGGGGTATGAAAAACCCCTGCAGCTAGCTCTGTGTCTGCCAAAATAACCACCCAGTTTTGTGCTTGAAATCCAGGGCCCTGGTGGTGTAGGCACCCGAGGGAATCTCCTGGTCTGCGGGTTGCAAAGACCATGGGAAAAGCATAGCATCTGGGCCAGAATGCACCATTCCTCACAGTCCCTTGGCACTTCCCTTGGCTAGGGGAGGGAATTCCCCCAACCCTTGTGCTTCCTGGGTGAGGTGACACCCCACCCTGCTTCGGCTCACCCTCTGTGGGCTGCATCGACTGTCTAACCAGTCCCAGTGAGATAAGCCGGGTACTTCAGTTGGAAATGCAGAAATCACCTGCCTTCTGCATTGGTCTCGCTGGGAGCTGCAGACCAGAGCTGTTCCTATTTGGCCATCTTATCACTTCTTTCTTTTGGGAACATTCCCAATCTTCTCTTCCAGCTTTTTATTTTTATTTTATTTTTTTAAATGGAGTCTCACTCTGTTGCCCAGGCTGGAGTGCAGTGGTGTGATCTCGGCTCACTACAACCTCTGCCTCCCAGGTTCAAGTGATTCTCCTGCCTCAGCCTCCCAAGTAGCTGGGATCACAGGTGCCTGCCACCATGCCCAGCTAATTTTTGTATTTTTAGTAGAGATGGGATTTCACCATGTTGGCCAGGCTGGTCTCCAACTCCTGACCTCAAGTGATCTGCCCACGTCAGCCTCCCAAAGTGCTGGGATTACAGGCATGAGCTACCGTGCCCAGCCTCTTCTAGCTATTTTGAAATATACAATAAATCTAGCAGTATTTTTGTACCCATTCACTAACCTCTCTTCATTTTCCCCACATCCACCCAGTACCCTTCCCAGCCTCTGGTAACCATATTCAACTCTCTACCTCCCTGAGATCAATATTTTTTGGCTTTCACATATTAGTGAGAGCATGCAGTATTTGTCTTCTCATGCGTAGATTATTTCCCTTAACATAATGACCTACGGCTCCATTCATGTTGCTGCACATGACGGGACTTCATTTTTTTTATGGCTGAATAATATTCTATTGTGTCTATACCTACATTTTCTTTATCCATTCACCTGTTGATGGACACTTAGGTTAATTATTTATCTTGGCTATTGTGAATAGTGCTGCAATAAACATGGGAGTACAGACATCCCTTTAATATACCTTTTATTTTTTGAGACATATACCCAGCAGCAGGATTGCTGGATCATATGGTGGATCTATTTTCAGGGTTTAGAGGAACCTCCATACTGTTTTCCATAGTGGCTGTACTAGTTTCATTCCCAATAGTGTACTACCATTCCCCTTTCTCTATATTCTCACCAGCACCTATTATTTTTGTCTTTCTGATAATAGTTGTGTTAACTGGGGTGAGATGATATCTCATTGTAGTTTTGATTTACATTTCCCCTATGGTTAGCGATGTTGAACATTTTTTTCATCTGTTGGCCATTTATATGCCTTCTTTTAAGAAATGTCTATTCAGATTACATGTCCATTTTTTTCAATTAGCAATAATTGCGCCTCAGATAAACCTCATTGGCTACAATACTGCCACTGCACAAAGCTATATCTCCACTTTTTTCATCAGATTATTTGGGCTTTTTTTTCCTGCAGAATTGTTGGAGTTCCTTATACATTCTCATTACTAATCCCTTGTCAGATGGATAGCTTGCAAACATTTTGTCCAATTCTGTAGGTTGTCTCTTCACTCTGTTGGCTGTTCCTTTGCTGAGCAGAAGCTTTCTAGCCTGATGTAATCCCATTTATCTATGTTTGCTTTTGTTACCTGTGCTTTTGAGGTCTTACTAAAAAAAAATCTTTGCCCAGATCAGTGTCCTAAAGCATTTCCCCCTATGCATTCTTCTAATAGTTTCATAGTTTCAGGTTTTATATTTAAGTCTTTAATCCATTTTTGTGTATTAGACAGCTAATAGCATTTGCCTGTGGTTATATCAGCAAAACTCTTTATACTGTTCTTTTCTTATCTCCAATCCATTGGGTGGATTTTGACCTCTCTTTTTCTGTAGTTGGGCTGTTTTAATAAACATTTATTTGAACACATGGGTTTTGAAGAGAAACACACAAACAAGAAAATTTTATCTTGGTGCCCCCTTTAATTATTATTTGTCAAGGTCAAAATAGCTAAAATTAAAATCTGTTATAAAAGTTTACATTTTATTGAAAAGGTTACATTTCCAGCTTTAATCATAACTGAATTGCATAAGACCAGTAAAATGCTGGCCCCAAAAAATGTTGTAAACAATGATCATTCATTGTTCACCCAACTATGATACATTTTATTTTCTGGATATTATATTAAGAGCTTAACTTGAATAAGAAGTCAATCAAACTGAATATACTGTATTTTAATGTTTAGTTTTTGTATGTCTAAGTAAATTTACTAAATTTTGCTTTCATTACATAAATTTCTTGCCTCCTATATATGCCCATTCTCAATCAATTTAATTAATTCTTATTAAAACAAGACAAATTACAAAGAGTTCATCTGAAATTGTACTGCAAATGGTAACTGAACCTTCTTTGTTAGCTTTTGTATCCTACAGCTGCCACATGGGAGACTTTCAGAATTATTTTATTGGTAAGTCAACTAATTTATCATTTTTTCTTGAAAGACGTTTGTGGCTATATATGCAGTATCTAAATATTACCTAACTTTTATTGACTGTTTTTACTATTTTTCACCTGATAAGCTTTTAGCATGTTCAAAATACATATATGAGAAAGAATTTGGCTTAAAAAGGTCTACAAACTAGAATTGAACAAGAACCATGTTCAGTAGTATAAAAGTTCATTTCAGAACAAAAATAAATGGAAAAGAAAGCATGTCAAGGAATTTTACAAAGCACACAAGAAACTTTCACCTTTTCCAAAATGTCTGGACTCCAGAGATAGGGAAAACAAAAATAGAGATTAGTGAAAGCAGAAATAATGTTGGTGGGTTTAAAAATACTGGGTAAATTCAAAATGAATACATTTTTTTCTTTGGGGATTTTTTTTTTTTTTTTTACTGATGTTAGTTCATACAAGTTGAATATCCCTAATCCAAAAGTCTAAAATCTGAACTACTTCTGATCTCAAGCATTTAGGATAAAGGATACTCAACCTGTATAATCAAATACAGCAAATCAGCAGAAAGTATAAGGAAGAATACACTCAGTATGAATGTCAGGCGTAATCTAGGGTATCTCCAAGCCAAAGGGTAAAGTGTTTCAAAGTTTTCTTTGGCATCCTTTCACTTCACTTTTCAATTTTCTGTTGCCACATAGCATCCAGAGCCCAGAGTCCTAAAGGTACTTAGGATACCCTAGTGCAGTGATATCAAGACAAGGTCTCACGTTCCAGATCACTCTTTGCCTCCTACATCCCTCAGAGACTTCATTCAGTTCTAATAAATTGATTTCTACTATTATTACTCACTAACATTCATTAGCTCTGTAAGAAAAAAAAATAAAAAATGGTAAAGGTGGGGGAAAGAGATTTTTTAGAGTGATAAAATAATTCCAAAGTAAATAGAAAGAAGGAATTAATAAAGGAAGAAATAAATGAGTTAGAAACAGAAAAAGAGAATGAAACCAAAATACATAAATCCAAGAGCTGGTTCTCAGTAAAATGAAATGAAATGAACTTGAGAGAAAGCACATTTGGTGAATTGCAGATGGCCACAAATTCTTTGTCACTCCTCTCACTGAGTGCTGGGGTCTATTTCCCCTCCCTTTGAAACTCAGTGGCCCTATGACTTGCTTTGACAAGGAGAATATGGTAGATGATGCTTCATAATTCTTAAAGTTAGGCATTAACAGATCAACAGCTTCCACTGTCGTCTATTGGAATACTCCCTTTTGGTCTCCATGTATGAAGTCTGACTATCCTCTGGGGAGAGAGACCTGAATCTACTTTAAATGTTTCAGATCCTGCCAAATACCCAGCTGAACACAGCTCCTGAGTAACCCTTGCCAATACCATGTAGAGGAGAACAACCACCCAGCATCACCTGCTTGAATTCCCAAGAATTCTGAGTAAATTATAATATGGTTGCTATTTTAAGCCACTGAGTTTTGGGGTAGTATGTTACACAGAAACAGATAATCCTAGAAGTAAGGTGTTTGTGTAACTAAAAACTTAAAAATTTGTGGCATTGGATTTTGGACCAAGCAGTAGGTGGAGGCCTAAGGGGCAGTAAGGAAACTGCTAGTAGCAGCTGCAAGTACAATGAGGAAATTGCTATTGAAGGCTGAATGCAGCCCTGTGAGTGACCCAAGATGACACCATGTAGAGTGGCACTGCCTAGGTGAGACCAGCCCAAATACCTGTCAAATGGTCGTTTTTGAAGCTACTGATTTTTAGGGTTGTTTTTATGCAAAATAGATAACCAAACTACAAAATATAAGTGAAGATATGCCAGAGGAAATTTAACCACAGAAATGGATAATATGTTTTAAAATCAGAAAAGAGGCTATTTTGATAAATTCTTTACCAATAAATTTGAAAACCTGGATGAATTGGAAAATTTTGCTTAAAAATATAACTTACAAAAAAAAAATCACCCCCAAAGAAACAGAAAATCTAATACAGACTGATTTACAGAGAAGAAAATTCAAATAGATCATTCTCCATAAAACAAATTTAGGAACTATTGCTAAGAAAACCTAGATCCAGACAGCTTCATAGAGAATTCTTCCAGACTTTAAACATTAGATAATTCTAATGCTAAACTATTCTAAAACTTAGAAAAGGAGAAAAATATTCAAACTCCTTCAATGAAATAAGGATATTGTCGATCCCAAAACCTAACAAAGATTGTACCAATAAGAAAACCGTAGGTCATTCTCACGAATGTCAACACAAAAATCCTCAATAAAATACAATAAGAATCAGCAGACCATAAAAGAATAGTAAGTGGGCCATACTCCAGAAATACAAGAATGATTCAAAATCAGGACTAATAATACAATTCATCATGTAGATATAGTTAAAGAGAAAAAAACATGATCATGTCCTTAGACTGTAAAAAAGCATTCGATAAAATTCAATGGCCATTCTTGATTTAAAACAATAAGTGGAATATGAGAGGTTCCACTTCTGGGTATGACTAGCTAAGATGCTATAGAATGACCACCACTTCTAGCTCCCTGCAGAAAACTATAAAGACTTGGACAAAATATGAAAAGCAAATACCTGAAGGTCCAGGAGAATGAAGAGATAAAGACAGATTCTGGAGGGGAGGTCACGCTAGTTTGGAGGAAGTACAAGTAAATTCCTGCTTCTGCAGCTTTTAGCCTGGGGCTAAGCCACCTAGTGAGTACAGCAGCTATGGGGGCCTTGCATGGAAGAACTCTTTCTGATCTGAGGAACTAGAAAAAAGAAGCTATGAAGCCATGAATGCTGAAAGAGTAGGAGAATTCTGGGTGAGCATGAGCCAAAGAGGGGATCCCCAAGCCCAAGCTGTCTCCCCACATCTCTAACGGACACCTGAACTAGGTAGGCTCAGAACAAATTTAAAACAGACCATCTAAAAACAAAACATCTGAACAGACTGGACCTTCTACATAAGAAAACATGTTTGCAGTAGAAGCCCAGCCAAGAAAATTGCTTACTAAACAAAGGAAACCATGCTTATCAGAAAAATAATAGCATTTAGAATATCCATAATCTAAAACTCCTAATGTCCCAGAAACAATCCAAAATCACCAAGTATACAAAGAACCAAAAAATCAAATGTTCTCAAGAGAAAGAAAATAAATTGAGTCCAAACCCAAGACGAACCAGATATTGGAACAAACAGACAAGAATCAAGCCGCTAATATAACTATCCTCAATGAAGCAAAACATATTTACAATGCATAAAAAGTCTTAGCAGAGAAATGGTAAGTCTCAGCAGAGATACAGAAACAAACAAAGACATTGAGATCTGAAAACTAATAAAAACCCTCAATAAAATAGAAATATAGTTACTTCCTTAGCATGATAAAATATATCCATCCCAGCCAAAAATTAGCATCAGATTTCCTGGAAAAAGTAAAGACATTCCCATCAAAGTTAAAAAACAATAAAAAGTAAAAAACACTCACTGCTACCCCTATTATTTAATATTGTACTGAAGGTCCTAACCACAATTAGACAAGATACAGAAATAAAAGGCACAGCCATTAGAAGGAGATAAGTAAAACTATTGCTATTTATAGATGATATGATTATACATCTTGAAAACCCAAAGGAATAAAATAAAAAACTCCTACAAATAGTAACATAACTCAATAAGATAGCAGGGGAAATTAACATAAAGAAATCACTAGCTTTCTTATATACAGACAATAATTAGAAGATAGGCAGGAAAAGCCCCAGTCACAATACAAACAAAATGATGAAATAACTAAGAATAAATTTAAGAAATATGTAAAACCTATATGAGGGAAATTCTAAAACATATTCTAGGCTAAATAGATTCAACTTTATAAACATATAAATTCTAAATTAATTTATGAATATAAATGTTATCCCAATATCTATAGGAAGAAAGCTTTAAAACACATTCTAGATGAAATAAATTCAATCTTATAAACATCTAAATCCTAAGTTAATTTATGAATATAAATGTTACCCCAATATCTAAAAACAAAAATGATAAAAGTTCCTGAAAAAATACATGGCAGGGGAGAGACGAACAGGCAGAGCACAGAGGATTTTTAGGATAGCGAAAATACCTGGTATGATAGTATAATGGTGGATACATGTCATTACATTTGTACAGACCCATAGAATGTACAACACCATCGGTGAACCCTGAACTATGGACTTTGGTGATTATGATGTGTTGATGCAGGTTCCTCAATGGTAATGAATGTACCATTCTGGTTGGTGGTGTTGATAACGGGGGAGGCCTTGCATGTGTCACGGCAGGGGGTATATACAGGGAAGTCTCTGTACCGTCCTCTCAATTTTGCTGTGAACCTAAAACTGCCCTTTAAAAGGGGTCTTTTTACTTAGAACCAACCCAAATGTCCATCAGTGATAGACTGGATGAAGAAAATGTGGCACATATACACCATGGAACACTACACAACCATAAAAAAGAATGAGTTCATGTCCTTTGCAGGGACATGGATGAAGCTGGAAACCATCATTCTCAGCAAACTAACACAGGAACAGAAAACCAAACACCGCATGTTCTCACTCATAAGTGGGAGTTTAACAATAAGAACACACGGACACAGGCATGGGAACATCACACACCAGGGCCTACTGGGAGGCAGGGGGCTAGGGGAGGAATAGCATTAGGAGAAATACCTAATGTAGATGACGAGTTGATGGGTGCAGCAAACCACCATGGCACGTGTATACCTATGTAACAAACCTGCATGTTCTGTACATGTATCCCAGAACTTAAAGTATAATAAAAAAAATTGTTTAAAAAATTGGCAAATAATTTTTTTTAAAGCAGTTTTTGTTTTGTTTTGTTTTGTTTTGTCTTGAGACAGAGTTTTGCTCTGTCACCCAGGCTAGAATGCAGTGATGCAATCTCAGTTCACTGCAACTTCCACCTCCCAGGTTCAAGTGATTCTTGTGCTTCAGCCTCCCATGTAGCTGTGACTACAGGCACGCCTCACCATGCCAGGCTAATTTTTGTATTTTTAGTAGAGACTAGGTTTCACCATGTTAGCCAGGCTGGTCTCGAACTCCTGACCTCAAGTGGTCTGCTTGCCTCAGCATCCCAAAATGCTGGGATTACCGGCATGAGCCACTGCACCAGGCCAAAAAAGTCTTTAATTAAACAAAAGGGAAAAAAATAAGGGTAAGTTCCATTATAACTCCCAGGAAGACTCAATGGACTCAATACATAGTTTTACCCACAGTAATGATTTATTACAGCAAAAAGATACAAAGCAAAAACTACAAAGGGAAAAGATACATGGGATGAAGTCTGAAGGAAATGAGGCACAAGCTTCGAAGAGTTCCCTCCTAGTGGAGTCACACAGAACAAGCCTAATTCCTCTAGTAATGAATTGTGACAATTTAAGTGAAGTGTTATCTACTAGGGAAGCTCATCAGAGACTTAGTGTCCAAGATTTTTCATGGAAACTGTTCATATATGTATCTTCTGCCTCGCATATACCAAAATTCCAGACTCCCAAAAGAAAAGCAGGTATTCAGCATAAACCACAATGCTTATACAGTTCAGGCATACGGAGACATCCTTATCATTTAGGAAAAGTTTCATTTAAGTATAGAGAACTGTATGCCAACTAAGTTTCTAAACACCAGCAACGGCCAACTTCGCAAGGAGGCCTTTCTAAGGATAGCAGTCTAAGACCTGCTCTGTCAACTCTATTCTCCACATCTTGAATATAAAAAATCAAATTATAAGTCAACATCCAAAACCCATAAAAGACTGATAAAATTAAGTATGTAAAAATAAAAAATAAAACTTAATTATGGCCAAAATTTATCAAGAAAAAAATCACAAGACAAGTGACAAACTAGAAGAGAATGTTTGCAACTCATATCTCAGTCAAAAAGATAATATAGCTTTTAATAGTATCTTTATTATATAAACAATTTCTACGATGGCTACTATAAGAATACAACTTAATAGAACAACTAGGGAAAAACTGTTGACACAAAAGGAAACACATATGGCTCAACCTCACCTATCAAAAGATTGAATTAAAAGTAACAGTGAGATACCATTTCTCATCTATCAGATTGGTAAGAACCCAAAATTAGACCACATATGCTGCTATCAGCTTGGTAAAAACCCCAAATCAGATAACGTTTTCATCTATCTGATTGGTAAAAACCCAAAGTTAGGCAACATACTCTGCTAGGAAATGACATACTCTCATATACAGCTGGTAAGAATTCACATTCCTACCCAGGACAATTTGGCAATGTCTACCAAAATTAATATGCATATACCCTTTGACCCAGCCAAATTCTTGGGATTCACTTACACCCTAAAATATGACATACATATAAGGTTAATTGTTGTATTTGTATTAGCAAAAGATAAGTAACAACCCAAATGTCTATCAGTAGGGTTAAATACAGCCTATTATCTGCATAAAATATAATACTATGTAGCTATAGTGAAGTACTCTGTGGATTGACATGAAATGATCTCCAAAATATATTCTGAAGAGAAAAAGCAAGGTAGAAAACAGTGTAAAAACTGACAGAACATAAGATTTCAAGTTGGTATTGGCTTATATATGCACAAATATATGTTAGAAGTGGGTGGAAATAACAATTTTTACTATAAACCTTTTATTATGACTTGATTTTTGGACCATATAAATTATCAATTTAAAAAAATTATAATTAGATGAGATATGAATATTATCATTTTTTGGTGTGTCCCAAGTATTTTATTTCTTTGCCAGACAATGGTAACTATCTTGGAGGCAAAAATCAGATTAAGGATATGGCCCTCCCAAACTAAGCCTAGTTTCAGATGGGCTTGAATTGCCCTGCCATTAAACTGAAAGGGAAGGGATGAACACATAAGAGAGAATATTAATGTAAAAGATCTCAATCTAAGTTTAAGAACTATTTATTTTTGATATTTAGCTGTGTTGCTTATATATGGAGCTGAGTAGAAACAGGGAGATCTCTAGAGCCTAGAATGTTTTTGAGTGAATTACATTACCAAAGAAACCAAAAGCCTGGCCTCCAAATCCTGTTCAAATCCTAAAGCAATCCCTAGGCCCCCAGATCACAACAGCAGGAAGTGAGCTATGAAAGCTTTGCGGTCCCCAGGAAAGAAGTATATTTCAATCACTAACTCAGATGAGGCCTTGGAGAAAAATGATTAAGGATGACAGAGCCAGGAATCATGGAGGTAACAGAGTAAAAGGCTGCTCCCAAAGGAGCTGCCAGAATGGCTAAGGGATTTAATGCACTTCAGAGCAAGGGGTTTTCACAATTTTTGTCAAGGAAAATATAATAATTGGTATGAACCAGCAACTTATTTCATGTTTTTCTAACTTGATTAGAATTATTCCATTTTAATTTTACCATTATATACTGGCATTACAGATGTGAATGTTGAAATCATACCTCCAATGTGATGGTATTATGAAGAGGGGCCTTTTGGGGGTCATGAGGGTCATGAGGGTCAAGATGAGATCAGTGCCCTTATAAGAGACAGGAAAGACTTACTTCCGCTCTCCCTCTCTCTGCCATGTAAGTATGCAGCACGAAGATGTCCATCTGCAAACCAGAAAGAGGGCCCTCACCACCAACTGAATCAGCTAGCACCTTGACCTTGGACTTCCCATCCTCCAGAAATCGGAGAAGTTTCTGATGTTTAAGCCATCTTGTCTATGGTATTTTGTTGTAGTAGTCCAAACTGATTAAGTGCTATTCAAAGAGCACTCTAAGACCTGTTGCCAGCAAGGAGCTTTTAGGCTCACCTTACTCAGGCTCACAATAATCCTGTTACTGTTATCAAGGTGCTGACATCTGTGACATTCAAACACTATCTAGATGCTTCAATAATCAAAAGCAGGAAGGTACACATGAATTTTCGATATACACTGTAGATGCCATCTAGGAAGCGTGTTTGAAGAGCCATGGCAATACAGACAGGTGTTCTAATGTTCTCAAAGTGTCTCCACTACCAAGAAGTTTCAGACACTTGACATTTACCTAGACATTATCCTGGATATCAAAGTAGCTCAGAATGTGAACCAAGCTTTGTAACAGTTTGTGAAGATTGAGAAGCTAGTTGAGAGAATTTCTATAGTTACAGCATGTGTCAGAGGATGCCGACGTCAAAGAGGTTGACTGTTATACAACTCTTTTTTTCTTTTTGAGACAGAGTCTCACTCTGTCACCCAGGCTGGAGTGCAGTGGCGCGATCTCGGCTCACTGCAACCTCCACCTCCCGGGTTCAAGTGATTCTCCTGCCTCAGCCTCCCAAGTAGCTGGGACTACAGGCATGCGCCACCATGCCCTGATAACTTTTATATTTTTTAGGAGAGATAGGGTTTCACCATTTTGGTCAGGCTGGTCTCGAACTCCTGACCTCAAATGATCTGCCCACTTCGGCCTCCCAAACTGCTGGGATTACAGGCATGAGCCACCACGTCCAGCCTACAACTCCTTCTAATGTTCTTAGTTTTGTGTTTAAACATTTCACAAATTTCTCAGGTGACAAAGTTGCTTAGAATGTGAAATATCCTGAGTCTCTTGATAGATACACATAGGTCTTTGCTGAATGAAGAGCCCTTTATATTCTACATGTCACACTGGATATTAACTCTGTGTAAATGGCATAAAATGGATGATGCCAAGGAACTAGAGATATTAGAGCTGATCTGAATCAACATGGAGAAGTCAATTGGAAAGAGACAGAGGAAGTGGGTTTAGAGATGGGACCACAAACACCCTGAGGAATAAAACGAAGGTATGAATTTATCCCACAGGGTGGCAAAAATAGAATCTAGAATCCTGCACCTTCCTTTTTTTTTTTTTTTTTTTTTTGAGACAAGGTCTCACTCTGTGCCCAGGCCGGAGTGGCAGTGGTGTCATCATAACTCACTGCAGCCTTAAACTCCTGGACTCAAGTGATCCTCCCATCTCAGCCTCCCACGTAGCTGGGACTACAGGCACAGCCATCATGCCCAGCTAATTTTTAAATTTTTTTGTAGAGATGGGGTCTCACTATGTTGTCCAGGCTGGTCTTGAACACCTGAGCTCAAGCAATCCTCTCATCTTGGCTTCCCAAAGTGATTTGATTACAGGCATGAGCCAGCACACCCAGCCCTGAGTGAATTTTTAAAGTTTATAGTACTGTTCCTGCTTCAACTCAAAGCAATGTGGATGTTTTGGACTTATGCAAAGAATGTTGTATTTCTAAGCTTTCTTCATTCCTTCATGTAGATCTGTTTCCATCTGGTTTCAGTTTACTTTTGCTGATGAACTTCCTTTAACATTTCATGTAGCGTGGCCTACCGATGAATGCTCTCAGTCACTGCTTGTCTGTAAAAGTCTTAGAATATGTAAGATCCTGAGACTTTTTGGCCATTACTTCTTCAAATGCTTTTTCTGCCCTCTCATCTTTCTGAGATACCTTAACACATACATGTTAGACCTCTATGACTCTGTTCCTTAGTCTGAAAAAAAAAAATCTATTTTGGAAAGTTTTTATTGCTATGGCATTAATTCATTAATATTTTATTCTGCGGTATCTAATTTGTTAAGCCCATCCACTCAACTTTTCATTTCAGATATTTCATTTTTCAGCTTCTAGAAATCTCTCCATTTCATTCAGGTTTTCTTTTAAATTCTTTACATATTTATAGTAACTGCTTTAAATCTCGTTTGCTAATTCCATCATTGCTGACATTTGTAGGTCTGTTTCTACTGATTGACTTTTTCATCCTAATCACATTTGCCTGCTTCTTTGTATCTAGTAATTTTGCATTGCTTGCTGAACATGAATCTTACATTTTTGAGTGCTAGATTTTGTTGTCTTTGTTTAAAGAGCATTGAACTTTGCTTTGGGAGACGAAGTTACTTGTAAATCAGCTTGATTCTTTTAAGGCTTGGTTTTAAGCTTTGACAGGGTACAAATGGAGTAGCATTTAGGCCGACTTTCGCTCTAATCCTCAAGAGTGACTCTTTGGATCTCAAGCGAATACCCTAGGTCTTCACCAAGGACACTTCACTCTAGCTAGTCAGAATGTAAACACATCGCAGCCCTGCCTGAGCTCTGGGGTTGTTCACCTTCGAGCTTCCCAGAAGTTCTTTGCGCAGCACTATGGAGTTTGACACTACACTTGTCTAATGTAGCATCTGACAAGATAATCAAAAGGGATCTCTGTGCAGATTTCTGGAACTCTTTCTCTTACACAGCTTCCTCTTCTCTGGTAGTGCATCCACAAATTTCAGCCATGTCAACCTCCCTGACCTCTGATCTCTTTCTCCTCAGCTCAGCAAGACCAGAGTACTCCGCTTGGTGCACCCATCTCTCTGCACCACGGTCCAGAGCGTACCTCCAGGAAGGGAGCCCGGAAGATTAGAGGGATCTCTAAGCTTGTTCTCCTTCTCTCAGGGATCACTGTCCCGTACTGCCTGTTGTCAACTGTCTGAAAAAAGGGTGTTTCATTTATTTTCCCAATTTTTATAGACATTTTAAAGAGGAGAGCAAGTCTGGTCCAATTACTTCATCAAGGCAGGAAGCAGAAGCCTCTATTATAATTCTTCTGATATCTGTAGGTTCATCTGTACTCTTTCATTACTGATGTTGGTAATTTTCTTACTGTAGTTGGTAATTGTTTTTTTTTTTTGTTTTTTTTTTTTTTGAGACAGGGTCTATGCTCCGTCATCCAGCCTGGAGCTGCAGTGGCATAATCATAGCCCACTGTACCCTCTAACTTCTGGGATCAAGTGATCCTCCCACTTCAGCATCCTGAGTAGCAAGGACTACAGGTATGCAGCACCATGCCTGGCTAATTTTTCAAATTTTGTTGTAGAGACAGGGTTGCCCAGGCTGGTCTGGAACTCCTGGCCTTAAATTGTTCCTCCCACCTCAGCTTCCCAAAGTGCTGGGATTACAGCAGCGAGCCACCACACTCAGCCGGTAATTTTCATATATTCTATTAATCTAGCTATGAGTTTATTAATTTTTATATAATCTTTTCAAGGTATCCATTTCCAAATATTAGGAGTTTTTCTAGACATCTTGTTAGTTATTTCTGCTATAATTTTATCATGGTAAGAGAACGTACTCTAAGGCAGGGGTTAGAAAAATGTTTTCTGTGAAAGGAAAGGGCCAAATAGCAAATATTTTAGGCTTTGCGGGCCATACAGTCTCTGTTGCAACTACTCAACTTTATTGTGTGAAAGCAGGCATTGATGATATGCAAATGAATGAGTGTGCCTTTGTTCCTATAGAATTTTAATTATAAACACTGAAATTTGAATTTTATATACATTTTCTATGTCAAAATATTTTTTAAAAATACTTACAAATGTAAAACTACTACTAACATCATACAAAAACAGGCGATGGGCAAGATTTAGCCCATGGGTCATAGTTTGCTGATCTTTGCCCTATAAATTTTCAATGATAAAATTTATTGAGACTTTTTTATAGCCCAACCTCTGTCCTGGTGAACATAACGTGTACATTTAATGGAATGTATACAGTTTTGGAGGATAGGTTTTTCTATCATTATCAATTAGGTTGAGGTGGTTGACAGTGATTCTTCATTCACTGTGTCCTTAGTGAATTTTTTTTTTTTTTGGTCTAATTGGTCTATGAACTACTGAGAGAGGGATGTTAAAATCTCCAATTAGTGGATTTATCTGTTTCTCCCTCTACCAAATGTTTCATGATTCTAAAGCTCTGTTATTAGGTACATATATGTACCATTTATGATTGCATGTCTTCCTGATGACTCCCTCCCCTCCCTGTCTCACTCTCTCTTTCAATACACAATCTGTCTTTAGTTGGCAAGTTTAGTTAGTTTACATTTAATAAAATTAATATGTTTGTATGTTGGTCTACCATCCCACTGTTTCTCTTTCTTCCATTTATTTTCTGAACCTTCCTTTTCTTGGTTAACTATTGTTTTTAGAATTTCATTCTCATTATCTATAAACCTTTTAGCCAACTCTGCATTACATTTTTAGTGGTTATTCTAGGCCTTACAGTACACATTCTGAACTGCACAGTCTACTTAGGGTTACTATTATATCACTTCACATACAATGCAGACATTTTACAACTATATTGTTCCCTTTACTTCCCTTCCCTTTATGCCACAGTTGTCATGTGTATTGCATCTACAGTCCATATTATCCACAAAACAATGTCACTATTTTTGGTTTAGGTACTCATTATGTACCTCACCTAAGTTGAGATTTAAGAGACAGTTTTATATTTACGCATATTTTTACTATTTCCAAAGTTCTTCATCCCTTTCTGTGGACTCAAGTTTCCATTTGGTATTATTTCCCCTCAGCTTGGAGACCTTCCTTTTACATTTCTTCTAGTATAGGCTTGCAGGTAATAAATTATCTTAGTTTTTTCGTACCTGAAAATGTCTTTATATTGCCTTCATTTTTAAACAGCCTTATTGAGATTTATTATTTATATGATATAATTCACATACCGTACAATCTATCCATTTAAGGTATACAATTCAATGTTTTTAGTATATTCACAGGGTTGTGTAACCATCACCAAAATCTAATTTTAGAATGTTTTCATCTCCCCTGAAAGAAACACCACGTCCATGAGCAATCAATCGCCATTCCCCACCCCACCACTAATCTACTTTCTATCTCTATAAATTTGCCTATTCTGGACATCTAATATGTAAATATGTGTAATACATTTAAAATGTGTAACAGAATTACACATTTGGGGTTATTTTGCAAATGGCTTCTTTGACTTAGCATAATGTTTGTATGGGTGATCTATGTTGTAGTAATATATAACAGTACTTTATTGACAAATATTCCATTGTGTATATATACTACATTTTATTTATACATTCATGAGTTGATGGACACTTTTTTTTTTTACCACTTTTTAGCTATTATGGGTAATGCTTTTATTATTGTCTTCATCCTTGAAGGATATTTTTGCAAGATACAAAGTTCTGGGTTCATAGTTTTTCCCTCTAAGCACTTTAAATATTTCCTTCCACTATCTTTTGGTCTCCATGATTTCTGATAAGAAATCAGTTGCCATTCATACTGCTATTTCCCCATATGTAATGTGTCACTTTATCTGACTGCTTTCAAGATTTTCTCTTTATATTTTTTTCCTCCTGCCATTTGACTATGATGTGTCTAAGTTTGCTTGGTGTTTGTTGAGCTTAAACCTGAAATTTTGGCTTTCACTAAATTTGGAAAATTGGGGACCATCATTTCTTTAAATATTGTTTTTTTTTTTTTCCTGCTGTGTTCTCTTTTCTCCTTCTGGGTTCCCAATTACAAGTATGTCAGTCATTTAACATCATTTGACAAGTCACTGAGGATTCTGTAAAAAAAAAAAAAAAAAAAAAAAAAAAATTCTGGCTGAGCACGAATTACATGTGTGGCTCACACCTGTAATCCCAGCAGTGGACAGATCACGAGGTCAGGAGTTCAAGACCAGCCTGGCCAGCATGGTGAAACCTCGACTCTACTAAAAATTCAAAAATTAGCCAGGCTGCATGCCTATAGTCCCAGCTACAGCTACTCAGGAAGCTGAGGCAGGAGAATCACTGGAACCCAGGAGGCGGAGGTTGCAGTGAGCTGAGATCGTGCCACTGCACTCAGCCTGGGTGACAGAGTGAGACTCACTCTCAAAAAAAAAAAAAATCTGTTTTTCATACAGATATTTTCAACAAAGCTTCAAGTACACCTACTCTTTCTTCTGTTTCCAATCCACTGTTAAGCCCACTCAGAAATTTTTTATTTCAGATGTTATTTTTTAATTCTAGAATTTCTATTTAATTATTTTTCCATATTTCTTATTTCTCTGCTGGGGTTTCCCATTTACTCACTGATAATAAGCAAATTTTCTGTTATATCCTTGAGAATAAATCCTTAAGATTTAAAATTATTATCTGCTAATTGCAATATTTGGCTCATCTCAAGGTCTGACTCCACTGATTTTCTTTAGTCTTCAGTATGGACGACATTTTTCTATCTTCATATGTCTAGTCATTTTGAATTCTAACCCAGACCTTACGAGTGACATGTTGTAGATTCTAGATGGTTACATTCCTTTTTAAAGTACAAATATTTTGTTTTATTAGGATAATTTGGCTTAACTGAAACTCTAAACTCTATCTCTCCTACTGCTGCAACAAGTGAAATGTCTATTCACTTTTCTTAGCCTTACCTGGGCTATCTGGAGTCCTCTATGCATACAAATTCAAGGCCACCCAGATATTTGGGCATATAAAGCACATAAAGAACTCAGGCTCCCCCTCTGTGGCCCTCTTCAGGACATTCAATTTCCAGCTGTGGTGACTGCCTGCATGTTTCCATCCCATTTTACCACTATGTGTTGAATTGATTAGGGGCTGTCCTCAGGCAACAAGCCATAATAATGGGAAACTCACCCAGTGACATTCCCTTCTTCTAGGTGTCAACTACTTTTGTTTCTTCCTGCTTTTAGTCATTCTCCAGTTTCTTCAAATAGTGTTTATACTTGTGCAGAGTTTATTATTTGTAAAAAGGAGGTATATGCGTATTTGATTATGAGCTACTCCAGCTGTACACAAAGCAAGTTGTTTTAATCAGAACTTATATTGATAATGCTCAAGCTTGAAAGTATCTTACAGAATTTAAAAATCTATGTGCTTTCTCTAAGACTGAAGTACAAGAATGGTATATTAGCCACAAGGATCATATTTCTGAAAGTCAGGGCCTAGTAGAAGACACTTAAAGAAAATAAGCAACACAACAATATATTTGTAATACACCTTGTCTTAGTCTATTTGCATTGCTGTAAAGGAATATCTGAGGCTGGGTAATTTATAAAGAAAAGAGAGGCTGGGCATGGTGGCTTATGCCTGTAATCCCAGAACTTTGGGAGGCCAAGGGAGGAGGATTGCTTGAGCCCAGTCTTGACAACATAGGAAGTTCAAGTCCAGTCTGGACAACATAGGAAGACTCTGTCTCTACAATAAATTTAAAAATTAGAGGGCATGGTGGCACGTGCCTCTAGTTCCAGCTACTCCCGAGGCTGAGGTGGGAGGATTGCTTGAACCAGGGAGGCAGAGGCTGCAGTAAGCCATGACCGCACCACTGCACTCCAGTATGGGAGTCGTCTCACTCCAGAGTGAGACCCTGTCTCAAAAAAAAAAAGAAAGAAAGAAAGAAAGAAAAGCAGTTTATCTTGGCTCATGCTTCTGGAGGCTATACAGGAAGCATGGTGCCAGCATCTGCTTCTGGTGAGCACTCAGGAAGTGTACAATCATGGCAGAAGGTGAGGGGGAGCCAGTGTATCACCTGGTGAGAGAGGGAGCAAGAGAGAAAAGGGGAAGACCACAGACTCTTTTAAACAATCAGATCTCACATTAGCTAATAGAGCAAGAACTCATTACCATGAGGAGGGCACCAAGCCATTCATAAAGGGTCTGCCCTCATGATCCAAACACCTCCCACTAGGCCCCCCCGCCCCAAACACTAGGGATCATACTTCAACATGAGATTTGGAGAGAGGATACATATCCAAACTATATCACACCTCAACTATATTTAGGTTGTGTATTAAGTACAAGTGGGAAACTGATGTGATGTCTAATACTTAGAGCTGAAGGAAATAAGATTATATAATGCAAATTGAATTATAAAGTCAATGGATCAGAGTAGAATAAAGCAAAGTTCCTTTAAATAATAGAGACTAGCTGAATATGCATTAACATATCTAAAGAAAGAGCTGTCAGTCTGAGGAGTTGGTTGGCAAGGGACACTCACAGAAAGGAGAGGCACAGAGGCAAACATCGGCAGTGCCTATCTAAGCACTGTTAAGTAGAGAGGGTATTGTAGCCAGAAGACTTCATGCATTACAGTTCTAAGTCAGATTATCTCTCTTGTGGAAATAAATGCATCAGACTAATTACAGGTAGACTTTCATATTATATAATTCTTGTTGTTTTCTTGTTTTCTCTATATCCATTAAAATATTCTGATTACAAATTTGGCTTCCCATACATGTCAGTCTACAGAGAAAAAGAATGCCTGGCTCACATCAACTCAAGCCTGTGTCAGTTATATATCATCATACATTAACAAATTGAAGTATCCAGCCTGGGCAACATAACGAGGCCACGTCTCAATAAATAAATAAGAATGCTTACTTTAGACACTAGCTCTGTAAGCCTAATCAATGTGTATCTGCTGTGAGAGATGAGATCCCTCACAATGTACTTCATTTAACTCTTAACAATCTACACTGAGGGGAGACCTCAGATTGTGATAATACCATGGTCACACAGTACTCATTGGGGCTATTTATTCCCTAGATATACCAACTTCATTGAGTAGTATGAATCTTTTAACTACAAGAGTTTGAAGCTCAGTTATTCACATTATTAAACAAATGAGCCTTGCTTTTTAATAGAGCATGTGTGTTTAGCTATAGAAGACAGTGAAATAAAGAGATACAAAAGAACACACTTTTGAAAGGTCAGGAAACTAGATAATAGTTCCTGACATAAAATTTCTTAGAGTAGCAAAGAAGAGATTTGGTCACAAAATTGGAAAAAGTGCCAAATTTCTATTTGTAACCATTTATTTTTATAGCAACTAGTGACTTGCTTAGATCATTCGTCTACATAATGATAGTACTAGATCCCAACATTATATTTATTATTACTACATTTGTTTATAGTCTTGGTAGGAATCAGATGAAATGGCTGTGTCAGAATATGAAAATAAATTTGATTCTAGATCAAACCTTGAATGTTTTCGGTGAAATGTATTATAGGAATTATATCATAAAGATCTATAAATATCCATATTACACATCACTACTTGATGGCCAGAATTAGCTCTATATTTGGAATTCTCTTCTAACACATATTGGTTGAGAAACTTTGTAAAAAGGATGAGGTAGGTGTCAATGAGAGAAAAATTATTTTAATAGTATTTTTAAGGCTTTTTTTCATGATCTTCTCCCCATTTGAGACTTTTCCCACTATAATACTTAGTAGACTAAGAAAAGCTTGAGATTTCCAGAGAGCTGATGTTATACATTTAATGAGAGAAAAAAATATGTAAACTAAATAAGGGCAAAAATCATTTCAGTAACATTTCTGTACAAAATTACAAATAACTTTTTACGAGATAATTCATCTAATTTTCTCTGAGAAAATTTTTATTTTTTGATACTAATTCAACTCCATTAATATTTAAAAATCTGTATTGCAAAGATATATATTGCAAAGATATTCTTCATAGAATTTCATCTCATCATCTTCTTACCCTTCTTTGCTTGGTATTAAATACCCCTATTTTTTAGTGATTGAAATTTCCAAATCCTTTTCCATCTTGGTTTTTCTCAAAAATTCACTCGAGAAACATTTTTGAGTAGTTTATTAAATTCTATGATATATACTAGATGTAGAAAATTCAAAGACAAGAGAATTATTCAGTCCCAAGGGGCTTAGATTCTATTAGAGAACAACAGACACATAAACACTAAGTACAGTAGAGAGAGATATAAGATAGAAATACGTCTGGGTACAGTGTGAGCATATAATAGTCAACAAAGTTAATACTAGCTGCCTTTAATTGCAAACTTACAAATACTGGTGACTTCATACAATGAAAGTTTAATCCTTGCTCACACTACTGTCTAATGCCCAATGCCAGTCAGGCAGCCCTTCTCCATCTCTTGGCCCTGACACCTGGAGAACATGGCCTCCAAGGTCACTAAGGCAGGAAAAATGAGAGCTGGAGTTTTTCAGGAGTTGGTTTTTCAGGGCCAGACTTGTGACTGGCTTGCATCCCTTTTGCCCATACTCTACTGTCCAGAACCCAGTCACATAGACCCAGTCTAACTGTATGTGAGGCTCAAACACAGAGGACCACATAGTTATTGGACACTAACAGCCTCTGCCACAGGGCTGAATGGCTAATTCTACCCAGAAAAGCTTCATAAAAGATACAAAGTTTGACTTGGGTTTCAGATCACTCTGCTTTATCAAATTCTATCCTACATAATGTGAAACCCGAGAGAATTAACAGAAAAATTATTATAATGATAACAGAAGTCAACAAAGTAGTGGGGCATTCATTCACTCAACAGATACTTACCGAAAACCTACTCTATGCTTGTTCTAGATGCACGGAAAATCTCAGTGAACAAAAAATAAAAATTTCTTTCCCTGTGGGACTTACATTCTAGCTTGGGGAGATACAATGTAAAGTAAATTATATAGTATGTTGGTAGATGGTAAGAGAGGAAGAGAGGGAATAGGCGAAGAATGGGTTTTACTTTTTAAAAAGTGGTCTAGGAGGCATCATTGAAAGATTGATAGTGAAGACTAAAAGGATGAGGGGGAGTTAGCCATGAGGATATTGGGGGAGAAAGCATTCAACACAGGACAGAAAGGCCAGGCCAACACCTTAAGTCTGGAACTTTCCTGGCATCAGGGAACATCAAAGAGGCTAATTTGGCTGCAGTAGATTGAGCAATTAGATAGTTGCAGGATATGAGGTGAGAACAATAATAGGGGCCATATCATTAAGGTTTTATAGGCCACTGGCTTTTATCTGAGTGAGACAGAGAGTCACTGAAGGGTTTTAAGCATAGAAATAACATATTTATTAAATTTACATATGGAAACAGATTTACCCCAGTAACAAAAAATCAAATCTATGGGAAAAAATTCAGAAATATGCAAAACATATATAATGTTAAAAACACTCTTGAAGTACAGAAAAGGATTTGAACTAATGGGAAGACATATCAATCCTGGATAAGAAGATTCAGCATCATAAAGAAACTTTCCTAAAGGGAATTTATCAATTTAATTTTTTATATTCTTCTGGACTGATTCTAAAGTTCATATGGAAAAATTAAAAAGCAAGGACAGCCAGGGTGCAAGGGAGTGCCGCAAAAACTAGACTTACCACATATTAAACTCACTATAAACATTCAACAATTAGAAGAGACTGCTGTGGGCATAAGAATAAATGGACACACCAAAGGAAAACGGAGTCCAGTAAGAATTAATACATATAGAGTTTCACATATAACAAAGTTGGCATCTCAAATCAGCAGGGGAATTCATTCATTCATTTAATAAATATTTATTGAGTACTTACTATGTTTCAGGTACTGTTCTAGCAGTAAACATATAGATAAAAATTTCTGCCCTCACAGGGCTGACATTATAATGGGAATTATGATCTATAAACTGATAATGTTGGGAAGACTGGGTAGGTGCTATGTATCCCCTCTAAAAATTCATGATGAAACATAATCTCCATTGTGCTGGCATAAGGAGTTGGGGCTTTCTTCACCCTCATGAATGGACTAGTTCCTTATAAAAAGGCTAAAGGAAACTAGCTTAGGCCTTTTTATGCTCTTCTACTCTCTGCCATGTGAGGACATAGTGTTCGGCCCTTTTTTGCTCTTCTGCCCTCTGCTATGTGAGGACACAGCATTTGCCCCTTCTGCTATGTGAGCTTGCAACAAGAAGGCCCTCACCACACACCAAAAGCTGGTGCCTTGATCTTTGGCTTCCCAGCCTTCAGAACTGTCAGAAATAAATTTCTACTGTCTATAAATTATCCAGTCTCAAGTATTGTTACAGCAGCAGAAACAGACTAAGAGAGTAGCCATATTAAAAAAGATAAATCTGGATCTATATCTTAAAACATATACATAATCCAAATAGAGACTTGGCACAGTGGCTTATACCTATAATCCCAGCACTTTGGGAGGCCGAGATGGGAGGATCATTTGAAACCAGAAGTTCAAGACCAGTATGGGTAACATAGTAAGACCTAAAAATAAAAAAATTAGCTGGGCACACTGGCACACATCTGTAGTCCCAGCTACTCAGGAGGCCAGCCTGGAGTGCAGTAGCATGATCTCGGCTCACTGCAACCTCTGCCTCCCAGATTCAAGAGATTCTCCCACCTCAGTCTCCTGAGTAGCTGGGATTACAGGTGCCTGCCACCACACCTGGCTACTTTTTATATTTTTAGTAGAAACGGGGTTTCACCATGTTGGCCAGGCTGGTCTGGAACTCCTGACCTCAGATGATCCACCCACCTCGGCCTCCTAAAGTGTTGGGATTACAGGCATGAGCCACTGCACCTGGCTGGAAAGTCTTTTTTAAAACTATGACTCGAACTTGAAGGGCTTTTAAAAAAAATTGATAGATTTGACTGCAGTAAAACCAGAAAACAACTGCATGGAAAACTAAATCCCATAAGCTAGGTAAAAGGAAAAATAAGCTATAAATAATTATCTATAATTGATATTATAGACAAAAGGCTAATCTTACTAATATAAAAGCAATATATAAACAAATACATTATCAAAAAGATTTTAATTAGTATTTAAACAACTGAACTATGCCCAGCTTTCCTCATAACTAGGAAAATAAAAATTAAAAGAACACTGAGATACTATGTTTGACATAGTAGTTTGACAATTCTGTTGCAAGGTTATAGAAAAACACGTACCCAAATATATTGGTGGGAGTTCAAAATAACATAATCTCTATGGATAGCAATTTGGCAACATATATTGAAGTTACAAATGCATTTATCTTTAACCCAGCAATTTCACTTCCAGGACTTTATTTTACTGATATATAATTGTATAATTTCATACATGTGCAGATTTATGTGCAAGGTAAAAAATTAGCTGGGCACAGTGGTACACACTGTGTGTACTTCTGCACTGTGTGTACAATACTCATTAATAGAGGCTTGGCTAAATACATGATGGTATATTCACACAAACAGAATACCTTCTAGTTGTAAAAACGAATTGGGAAGCCATATATTAAAATGAGCAGATATCCAGGATATATTGTTAAGAAAAAAGAAATACAGGATAGTACATATAGCAATACTCCCCAACAGAAATAAAATGTCTAGTTTTAAATTTTTCTTAATTATTTTTATCTTTTTTTAGAGACAGGGTTTTGCTCTGTTGCCCAGGCTGGAGTACAGTGGCATGATCATGTTCACTGCAGCACTGAAGTCCTGGACTCAAGCAATCCTCCCACTTTAGCCTCCTGAGTAGCTGGGACTGTCAGCACACGCCACCACACCTGGTATTTTTTTTGTTTTGTTTTGTTTGGTAAAGATGAGGTCTTACTATGTTGTCCAGGCTGGTCTCAAACTCCTGGCCTCAAGCATTCCTCCCTCCTGCCTTGGCCTCCCAAAGTGCTGGGACTACAGGCGTGAGCTACCATGCCTGGCCCCAATTTTTGTAGCCACATTGAAAAAAACCGAAAAGGGTGAAATTATTTGTAGTAATATATTTTCACTTCAATATATCCAAAATATTATCATTTCAACATGTAATCAATATAAAAGTTATTGAGATAGTTCACTTTTTCACATTAAGTCTTCAAAATTTAAGGATTATTTGATACTCATTGCACATCTCCAGTTCTCAGTCACACTAGCCACATTTCAAGTGCTCAGTAGCCACACATGGCTCCTGGCTACCATATGGGACCACACAAGTATACAATGTTTGTTCTTTGCTTCATTTGACAAATACTTATTGAATGACTATTATATATTAAGAACTATTCTACTAAGAATGGGAGGTTAAAATACGCATTTGTATTTCCTTGAATTTGCAAAAAGAAGTACTGGAAGTTTAGATAAGGGCTTACTGCTTTCTTTTAGTACACAGGGAGGAAAAATGTTAACAGACATAGAAATGAGAGAAATATACATCAACGTATTTTTTGGTTTTGATCTTTGAAAAATGTGAACATATTATCTATTTTAAACTTGTAGGAGGAGCCTACAACAAACACATAACAAGTATCCTCCTCCCAGCCAGATTTTTGTCAGATTTTGAACCTGTATGGAACAAGGGGATACAAAGCTTAGCTCAAAAGCTCCAAAGTGCGTAACTTTCAGAGTGGAGAAAACAAAGACTTAGCCACTCAATCAAAAGCTGGGTTGGGCCAGAAAGGATAAATGAAATCTCCCATATGAAAAAAGGAGCAAAGAACAGACAAAATAAGCAGAAAACAAGAAGAGAATAAAGTTAAACCCAGCTATTTCGAAAACTGTGTGAAATGCAAATGGACTTATCACTAAACATATTTGACAGCACAACAATAGTACCAAGGGAAAAAAGTGACTAAGGATTTAAACTGTTAGAAGATACTTGCATTGTTCAGGAAGAGTAAACGTACTAATTGAGGGTAGACTGTAATAAATTAAGAATATATACTGTAATATCTAGGATAATTACTCAAAGAGTAATATAGAAAGGTATAACAAGAGATAATGAAGAAAATAAAGTGGGAACTTAAAAGATACTTAAATAGCCAATAAAAGGGCAGGAAAGAAGGAATGCTAGAGGAAAATGCTGGTCAACGAGCAAATGGGACAATGAGAAAATATCAGCAAGATGGTAGACTTAAACCTAGCCATATCAGTAAGTTCATTAAATGCAGATGGACTAAACTGACTAAATCATACAATTAAAAGAGACTATCGGATTGAATTTTTAAAAAACCTGTCTATATGTTTATTAAACATACACTTTAAAGATACAGATAGGTTAAAAGAGGATAGAAACAGATACACTGTGTAAAACACCAACAAATAGAAAGCAATATTAATAGCAGAGAGGTAGACATTACAGCAAGAAGTAATACTAAAGATAAAGCAGAACATTGTGTAATGATAAAAGGGTCAATTAAACAAGAGCACATCAGAAGTCTAAACTTATGTACATGTAATAATTAACATAGCTTCAAAATATATAAAGTAAAACTGGGGGAAGGAGAAGCAGGCAATCTACCATCCTACTTGAAGATGTTAATATACATATCTCAGTAAGTGATAGAATAATGGGCAAAATATCAGTCTGGAAAGAGAATGTTTGGATAGCATTATTTACCAATGTGACTTAATTGAAATTTACAGAATGCTATACCAATCAACTGCTCCTTTTCAAATGTGCATGAAACATCAACCAAAATAGATTCCATGAAGGGCCATAAAGTAAGTCTCAACAAATTTCAAAGGAACAAAATTGTAAAGAGTATATTCTCTCACTATAATGGAATTAAACTTGAAACCAATAATAAAATATAACCAGAAAATCCACAAATGCTGAAAATTGAGCAATACACTTTCATAGAATTAACAGATCAAAGAAAACTTTCAAAGGATATTAGTAAACATTTGAATTAAACAAAATGAAAATATGACACATCAAAAATCGTGAGCTGCTATTAAATTAATTCTCAGAGGGAAATTTATAATTTTAAAACGTTATGTTAAAATAGATGAACATAAGATAATGACAACTGTTGAGTCATCTACCAGAAAGAAAAAAGATTAAAGAAAGTGAACAGAGCCTAAGGGTCCCATGGGACACCATCAAATGGACCAACATACCTATTGTGAGAGTTCCAAAAAGAGAAAAAAGACAAGGATAGAAAGAATATTTAAAGAAATAATTGTTTAAAACTTCCCAAATTTGATGAAAGACATTAATATAAATATCCAAAAAGGTTAATGAACTCCAAGTAAGATGAACTCAAAGAGACCCATAATGAGACATGCTATAATCAAACTTGTAAAAGCCAAAGAGAGAATCCTGAAAGCAGCAAGAAAAGTGACTCCTCACAGAGAAGGGATCCTCAATGAGATTATCAACAGATTTCTCTGATCAAAACTATGCAAGCCAGAAGATAGTAGGCTGATAAACTCAAATGGCTAAATAAACAAACAAAACAACTGGAACCAAGAATCCAATATCCAACAAGCAGTCCTTCAAAACTAAGAGTTTTTAAGGCATTCCGAGATAAAAGCTGACAAAATTCATTATCACTTGACCTGTTCTGCAAGAAAAACTCAGGGAGTCCTACATGGTGAAATAAAGATATCCATAAAAATAAATACATGAACAATTTTAAAAGCTAGTATTATCATAAAAATAGTTTGTAACCCCATTTTTATCTTCTACATAATTTAAGAGATTAATGTATTGAGACGAATTCTTAGTTTATGTTTTGTGGCACACAATATATAAAAATATAATTTTGTAACAATACGTGAAAGAAGTGGGGACAGAGCTACAAAGAAGCAGAGTTCTTATATGTGATTGAAGTTAAGCTGGTATAAATTCAAATTAGTGTTATAACTTTAAAAGGTTAAATTTAATCCCCATGGTAAACACAAAGAAAATAGTTATAGAATATACACAAAAGGAAATGAGAAAGGAATTTAAACATTTTACTACAGGCCGGGTGCAGTGACTCACACCTGTAATCCCAGCACTTTGGGGAGCTGAGGCAGGCACATCACCTGAGGTCAGGAGTTCGAGACCAGCCTGACCAAAATGGAGAAATCTTGTCTCTACTAAAAATACAAAATTAGCCAGGCATGGTGGCCATGCCTGTAATCCCAGCTACTCAGGAGGCTGAGGCAGGAGAATCACTTGAACGCAGGAGGCAGAGGTTGCAGTGGGCCGAGATCACGCCATTGCACTCCAGCCTGGGCAACAAGAGCGAAACTCCGTCTCAAAAAAAAAAAAAAAAAATTTTTTTTTACTATGAATAAATCAATTAAACACAAAAGACAGTAAAATAGAAAATAACAAAAAAGTGATAAGGCATATAGAAAATAAATAGCAAAATTACAAAAGCCCCTTCTTATCAGTAATTACTTTAAATGTAAATAGATTAAATTATCTAATAAAAGAGATTAGAAAAATGGACGAAAACACATGATGCAACTATATGCTGACTAGAGGCATTTTAGATCTAAAGGCACAAATACAGTTGACCCTTGAACGATATAGGGGTTAGGGGCACCAACCCCCATGCAGTCAAAAATCCACATATAACTTTTGACTCCCTCAAAACTTAACTACTAATAGCCTTCTGTTGACTGGAAGCCTTACTAATAACATAAACAGTCAATTAACACATATTTTATATGTTTTATGTATTACTATATTCTTATAATAAAGCAAACTAGAGAAAAGAAAATGTTATTAAGAAACTCATAAGGGGGCTGGATGAAGTGGCTCATGCCTGTAATCCCAGCACCTTGGGAAGCTGAGGTGGGAGGATCACTTAAGGCCAGGAGTTTGATGCCAGGAGTTTGAGACCAGCCTAGTCAACAGCAAAACCCCATCCTCTGCAAAAAATAAATTGCCAAGTGCAGTGTTGTGTGCCTGTAGTCCCAGCTTCTTGGGAGGCTGAGGCAGGAGGATCACTTGAGCCCAGGAGTTTGAGGTTGCAGTGAACTATGATCAAGCCACTGCACTTCAGCCTGGGCAACACAGCAAGACTCCGTCTCTTAAAAAAAAAAAAAAAAAAGGGCCAGGTGCAATGACTCACACCTGTAATCTCAGCACTTTGGGAAGCCCGAGGTGGGTGGATCACCTGAGGTCAGGAGTTCAAGACCAGCCTGGCTAAAATGGCGAAACCCCGCCTGTACTAAAAACACAAAATTTAGCTGGGTGTCGTGGCACACACCTGTAATCTCAGCTACTCAGGAGGCTGAGAGGCAGGAGAATCACTTGAACCTGGGGGGTGGAGGTTACAGTGAGCCGAGATCGCCCTACTGTACTCCAGCCAGTGAGACTCTGTCTCAGAAAAAAAAAAAAAAAAAAAAGGAAAGAAAAGAGAATTGTAAGGAAGAGAAAATATACCTCTTACTATTCATTAAGTGGAAGTAGATCATCATAAAGGTCTTCATTGTTGTCATTTTCATTTTCGTGTAGACTGAGGAGGAGGAGAAAGAGGAGGAGTTGGCAGGCAACATAACACAAAGTATATCTAACGTAAATAGTGAATGGCTCTAGTTAGAATGCAGACCAAGGAAGAAATGGCCACAAAGGTAGTTTGAGGGCCAAATGGTAGAAGGCTGAAAGAGCTAGGCTAAAAAGTAAGGTATTATTTCATGAGTGGTAGATGGATAGGTGTGAGGGCTGTCACTGAAGGTTTTTTTTGTTTTAGCTGGACAGATGATGAGAATTAGCCTCCGGGAAAATTGGTTAGGGACTATTTCTATAGACAAAGCAAGGAGTTAAGAAACTCTGAGCTAGTATATTGATAGTAAGAACAGAAAGGACTAGAGAGATGAGAGATACAGCAAAGGTAGAAATATGATTTGACAACTGGACAAGAGGGCAATAAAGAGTCAAATATAAGTCTGGGGTTTCTCAGTGACAAGATGGTTGAGATGTCATAATAGAAACAGGAAATACAGAAAACAGTATGAAGTGGGATGGAAAATGAGCTTATCACTCTTAGCTATTGCTATTACAGCCTACAGGGCTACATTAGAGGTGTGCTCCTAAGATAATTGGAAAACAATTATTTTTATAAAATATGATTTTAAATATATCTGCCATTCAATGTTACTGAACCTGCAGTCACTATTTTTTTTATCCTTTTTTCTCAGTCGCCCTTTTGTTCCCTACCCCACTCCCCTACTTCACTTCCTTCCAGGGTGTTTAGCAACTCCAGAATACACATTCACGTTGCAAAGAGGGTGCCAAGCCACAGAGCCTCCTGCTGTTGTGCAATGTGGTGACCTTGCTATCCATCATGAACCCATGTGGCATGGTTTCAGCTACTCCCAATTACTACTTTTACATTCTGATATTAGGAAGAAACTATACACATTTTTACACCTGGTGTGGGTTGCCAGCAAACTTGGCCATTCTCTATCATTGGTAACTTTTTGAAAATACACTAAAAACGCATCTATCCAACGTACAAAAGCAGGATGACAACCTAGGTTTCTTTCCATTTTAATGAATCTCCAAATTCCAGCATTCTTAGTTCTTTCTTTCAACTTATTCAGTGAGGTATAACAGATAGCTAGTATACAGATAGATATTAAGTGCATAGCTTAACGGACCAAGTACTCTGTCCACAATGCCATTAAATCGGATATAAATATAAAAGGATAGGAAAACACCTATAGGTTACAGAAGAAATCATAATGAAAAAATGTTTAAATCTAAAACTGAACAACAAACTATAAAATTTTTAGGATAAAACAGAAATGTATTTGAAAATTTTTAACATTAAATACTGCCTATTAGAAAATAAGGCTAAACGTCATTGAGTCGAAGAATAAAGTTAAGGAATCATGCTACCTGATTTTGCTCATTATAAAGCTACGTTTATCAAGACTGGTATTGGTGAAAAGACAGGAAACATAGATCAACAGAAAAGAATAGTCCAGAAATAGACCTGCACATAAATGATCAATTGATTTTTGACAAAGGGGCAAAGGCAATTCAATGGAGAAAGGATAGTCTTTATACCCATGCAGCCATCATCAAGATCAAGACACAAAATGTTAGTATATTTAAATTATTAAACGCACTTTTTTTTTTTTTTTTTTTTGAGACGGAGTCTCGCTCTGTCGCCCAAGCTGGAGTGCAGCGGTGTGATCTTGGCTCACTGCAAGCTCCACCTCCCAGGTTCATGCCATTCTCCTGCCTCAGCCTCCCGAGTAGCTGGGACTACAGGCGCCCACCATCATGCCCAGCTAATTTTTTGTATTTTTAATAGAGATGGGGTTTCACCGTGTTAGCCAGGGTGGTCTCGATCTCCTGACCCTGTGATCCGCCCACCTTGGCCTCCCAAAGTGCTGGGATTACAGGTGTGAGCCACCGCGCCCAACCTAAATGTACTTCTTCTGATAAGCATTCTTGTTTTATTTTAAACATTCTACGTGCCATATCACCTTAGAAAGAATCCAGTATGAATATATTATAAAGTTAAGTGAAACTTGTGAGTTGTATTCAAAGGTGACACCTTTCTTCTTCCCAGCTATATGACCTTTGGCATGTCACTTAATTTCTCATTTTCCCCTTTTTTAAAAAATTATTTTCTAAGGTCTCCCCTGCCTCCTTTCTCTAAGGTGTTTGTGAGAATTAAGTGTTGAGCACAGTCAGCAACAAAATTTGGGGGGATTATCTATGGAAATGTTCTATATCTAGATGTGATGGTGGTGGTGATTTCACAGGTACAAACACTTGTCAAAATTAATCCATTTTGCACTTTAAATGAATGCAGTTTATCATACATAAATTATATCTCAGTAAATAGATTAAAAAAGAAGAGTATACTGCTGAGGCACATCATGAGTGTTAAGTAATTGTTAATTTGTTCCTCCATTCCCTTCCCTTTTCATATTCACTAGAGAAGAAAAACACCTGGGCACTATTCCCCATATGAGAAGCCCTAAAAACTTCTTGAGATAATTGTGAGGTTATTTCTCTCTGCCTCCTCTCCTCCATACTACATCCCAGTATCTTTAACTTTTCCTATGGATTTTACTTTTCTATCCTTTTATGTAGCTAGATCTTAAATCTAGATTCTATACTTCTCATTTCAGTTAAAGAACAAGAAAGAGTAATTCACATGTGTTACAAAATATCTTTAGATCTTGGGTGTTAGCTCCACAGTATAGGGCAGTACTATGATGTTAACTCATATACTAAAAGACGTTTATTATATACATTTAAATCCTATTCAACCAAACTCATAG
The DNA here is from genome assembly GCF_000001405.40 of Homo sapiens. Classification (NCBI taxonomy): domain Eukaryota; kingdom Metazoa; phylum Chordata; class Mammalia; order Primates; family Hominidae; genus Homo; species Homo sapiens. The sequence goes on from NC_000015.10 coordinate 76,008,598, forward strand.
GAATCAGGCTACAGAAGTACTATTTTGAAGTTTTTTATGGGTCACTGGCTGTATCTATACTCCCACAGTGAATTATATTATTTTAAAACAATAGTGGCTAAGATACCCTTCTTTTTTATTTGCTACCACCATTAGAAAAACTTAACCCTTCTTTTGCTTTTTAACATATAAAGTGTAAGTTTTGGTGCCAACTCAGTTATCATGTGTTTATGTACTAAAAACTCAAAATAAAATATATCATATTAGGTTTTTTTGATTAGCAAATTCCCTAGCTGTTTTGCCAGTAATATTAAGCATAGACTGCCTTCCTTAAATTGCTAAAATCAAAGAGTTCACTAAAAGGGATTATTTTTTAAAAATGTGTCTAGGCTAGGAACTACCATTAGCAATTTTCAGAATAAACACCTTGATTAGTGAGATTTTTATGTGCTATTTTATTTTGTTTTTGTTTTGTTTTAAAAGGATAATTTTCCCTAAATAAATATGAATATGCCTCACATCTTTTCATCTTACACTTTTTGTTTACTTTTTATCACTTCTCAAAGAAGTTAGTAGACAATAAAAAATAAAGTTAACATCTCCCCCTAGTCCATTTCACTCACCTACAAAATGGGCTGGGAATAGTAGGTATCACATAACAAAGCCCCCCATTCAGGCAAAACGACTTGTGACTGGGACCACAGGGCTCTTCGTGATCTAGAACACATACATATATAAAATAGAGAAAAGCAAATTAAAGTTTTCCTAATGCAACAAGGAATAGGAATAACTATCTTAAACTGAAGTAGCAATTCTGAAAATCAGAATGAAGAATTTTTTTTCTCAAAATGAAAGATTTAATTCTATTCCTTATTTGACAGACTGGGACTTCTATGTCTTTGAGAGAAAAATTATGTCCTAAAGATATGGCCATTAACTATAATGGGTTTAGACATTATATAACAGAAATAAGGAATATCTATATTAGTTAGATTAAAAGGAGGTGATCAGCATCTTAGAACAAACAGGGCCTTTCTCACTTACTACAGAGATTTGGCAGTATTACCTAGCATTTCCCTGTCCCAAGAATTTATTTAAATTCTTGTTTTCCCTATTAGGTCTCAAATACATTAATATCTGAAATTGCAGCTGGTAAAGGATTTAGATAATTAACTTTTTATTTCCAAAGTTAACTTTAAATGTTCCTATATGACAATCTAAATGTCAGAAACCAAAAATAAACTTATAAGGTGTTGATTTGCAAAGTGTTTTAGGTAACAGTTACTAACCATAAGGCATATCTAAAGTTGCAAAGAAAAATTAAAAAGCTAAGTCATAGCTTGATATACAGCCAAATCTTTCAGAATATTAAGAAAATAAACCTCTACTTCTCTCTGACTTCTTTTCTCTCTTTCCTCTTTCCTCAGCCTCATCTTCCTTCTTTATGACCTTTCCTTTATCTATCTTTCTCTCTCTGCCTTCCCTTTCTCCCTTGGTACCTCTCCTTCCTTCTAGCCTCACCCCCAAGACCTTTTATAAAAAATCCCTGTCCACCAAAGCCATTGTATAGAAAAAATTAGAATAACAGAAGGATTCATTGAGTCATTATACTAGTAATTTATGAAGAGAAAATTGGTGAATATCTTATCTTCCAGCCTTAAAGGGGAAATTACATTGCTTTAAACTTGTACATTGTTAGTTCCTAATTGTTTCTGTCTAGGAAATGACCCAGAATCATCTAATCAGAATAAGAAAATGGCATTACTCTCCCACTGGGACTCCAATTTGACATTAAAATTAGTATATTAATTTTAAAAATTATCTAGCATTTATGTGCCACTAAGATATCAATACTTGCTAAGATATAATTGCTATGAGTCAGATATCTCCACAATCAGAATTTCAAATTTTAAAACTTTTGTTCTACTTTAGAATTGAGAAAATCCTGTTTCAGCATCACATTATAGCCCTAAGAGTATAAAAATGTAAAGACGAAATCAGAACTACAGAGAACTGGTGAAAAAGAAAGTAAAATCAACCAAAATGAATGCTTTTAGATTTTTTTCTTTTTTACACAATGCCATGCTTCTTCGTAATCAAACAACTTTCAACAAGATTATAAAATTTTTCAGGAATAATTTGGCTAAAAAATAAAATTAACATTACATCAGCATCAAAGGCGTCATCATATATGGTTTTCCACTGAGGGTGGAATGTAACTTTATCACAGCTAAGATTAGTGTCCTTGTTTTAATTGGATTATAGTCAGACATATCTCAACACTTGGCATTTATTTTATCAATAAAGAAAACTCATCTAACCTGAATCATTATTTCTGAATCTACTTTTATTCTGACTTCTATTTCCTTATTATTTGAGCTGATTTCAGATATAGGACAAGCTAGAATTTATCAGGTTATAAAACCAATAAAACACATATATCTAAAATAAAATAGCTTTATGTCACAAAGGAAGGTCTCTCAAAACCAAATATTTCATATTTGAAATATTAATTTCATATTCACATCTCTTCCAATGATGTTGGAAGGGAATAATACAGCCTTGTGTTAATATACATTTTTGATTGTTGTTCTATTGCTATGGACACATATTGACAAAAACATATAAATATATAAGAAATTACCTGTTGGCATCTTAATTTGTAAATAGTTTCATTCTTGGTCAAGAGAGTAGGGTTGAAAAACAGTACCTAAAACGGTTTAAAAAGTAATAATTCAGGGAAAATAGTCTTCTTTTAAGGGCATTATAAAATGTCAAATATTCTAATAGCAATATTCTTAAATGTTGAAAATAAAATAATAAAGACATTTATATACTAGGGACAAATTTTAGTTACAGCATTTTTAGATACCTATTGCATTTCAGTAAAAAATATGAACAAAACTAAAAGATCAATAACGTACTTAATATAAATCATTGCCTAAATAATGTAATTTAATCTTAAATATCTCTCTGCAGAAAAGTCTAATAAGGCTTTTTTTCGTAAACATTGTTAACATAGTAGAGTACTACATGGAATTTTACATGAACGATGAGACAGTAAGTAAAACTGAATGAACTGAACCTTTAAAACTTTTATAAAAGCACTTTTAAGTTTACCATAGATTGCACATTACATTTACCAACCTATGCAAACCTTTCTTCTAAAAAATGTCCAGGGCTGATAGGTGCGGCAAACCACCATGGCACACATGTTATAAACACACTATGTAACAAACCTGCACGTCCTGCACATCTATCCCGGAACTTAAAATTAAATTTAAAAAAGAAAAAAAATGTTAACCCCACACACACACAAAAATGTCTGGCATCTGGCAAAGCAATGTAGCTAATAAGACATTCTTACATATGAAGTTTCCTGCTATAACAGAAACAAAAGAATTCAAACATATATTTGAAGAGGTGAAGCATTTATACTTACATTATGATTACAAGCTCCCAGTTCTGTTCTATAAAGAACACTTCTGACCTAAACAGAAAGACTCTAACAGAAATCTCAATCTACTAACACAGTTGTAATACCAAGGTCTTCTCTCAAAGCCAACAGCTCTTTCTTAGACAAGCAGAGAGGCAGAGAAAGCGAGCAAGCAATCGAGAGAAACACACACGAGCGAGAACAGGCAGGAAGGAGAACATTAAATCTATTTGATTTTTAAAAAGCACTGACTCATACTGTTTCTTTTTTCCAAACAAACAGGACTTACCCTCAATAAAAACTTACATTCACACAAAAAATAAATTTTGTTGGACATGCAGTGTTTCAAAAGTTTTTGAATACCGCAGACAACAGCAGCTGTGACTTGCATTTTATAACATGTCAAAAATCTGATTTATATGGCTGCAGTGTGCAGTGTGGGCGAGGTCACGCCAGACCAAGGTGTGCACAGAGGTCAGGCACTGGCCACGGGAGCCACCCCTTCAATTTACGTGTTCAGAGTTGCAAATGGAGCAGAATTTTATTTAGAAAAGGAGTTGAACTAAGCTGCACTTCCAAATTACTGTCCACGTTTTAAAGGTAAAAACCAAACCACATTCCTTAGACTCCTTACTTATCTTTGCTTGTCTGAATAATTCAAGACGTAGTGTAAGTTTGGGAGAAAAGAAATTTTAATGTGGAGCTAATAGATAAGTGTTTCACAAATTAAAAAAACATTTTTTTAAATTTATGTTTTATGAGGTTTGTGTTACCTTACAAGCCAGATAAAATTTATATAAATAATGACCTGAAGAACTTATAAAGCTAAAAGAAGGTAATAGCTATAATAAAACTTGTAACACCAAGTTCAATTTGAAATGAATAAAATCACTGAACTTGACTAATACCAATGACAGTGTAATGCCTGAATGCTATGGCAAAGTTGTTAAATATACAGTGAGGAAAGTTAAGTTTTAAAAATCATAAACAATTTTAAAATATTGACTAAAACTGTAATTTTGTTTAAATGAATATAGAGTTCTTCATCATATAATTATCTAAAATATGCCAAACATTTAGATGGTTATCTTTTCTAAAACGACAATTCAGACATTATTACTTGACTGATGTAAAGCCCAAACTAATAAGTTTGTTTTGTTGTTTTAAGAAAATATTAAAATAAACTCAAAATCAAATACTCTAAAAACAATCTGTTCATTAGGAGAATGGTGTGAACCCGGGAGGCGGAGCTTGCAGTGAGCTGAGATTGCACCACTGCACTCCAGCCTGGGCAACAGAGTGAGACTCCGTCTCAAAAAAAAAAAAATGTTCATTATTACATTTTTAAAATTATACTTTAAGTTCTGGGATACATGTGCAGAATATGCAGGTTTGTTACATAGGTATACAAGTGCCATGCTGGTTTCCTGCACCCACCAACCTGTCATTTACATTAGGTATTTCTCCTAATGTTATCCCTCCCTTAGCCCCCCACCCCGACAGGCCCTAGTGTGTGATGTTCTCCTCCCTGTGTCCATGTATTCTCATTGTTCAATTTCCACCTATGAGAACATGCGGTGTTTGGTTTTCTGTTCTTGTGTTAGTTTGCTGAGAATGATGGTTTCCAGCTTCATCCATGGCCCTGCAAAGGACATGAGCTCATCCTTTCTTATGGCTGCATAGTATTCCACGGTATATATGTGCCACATTTTCTTTATCCAGTCTATCATTGAGGGGAATTTGGGTTGGTTCCAAGTCTTTGCTATTGTGAACAGTGCCGCAATAAACATATGTGTGCATGTGTCTTTATAGTAGCATGATTTATAATCCTTTGGGTATATACCCAGTAATTGGATTGCTGGGTCAAATGGTATTTCTAGTTCTAGATCCTTGGGGAATCACCACACTGTCTTCCACAATGGTTGAACTAATTTACACTCCCACCAATAGTGTAAAAGCATTCTTATTTCTTCACATCCTCTCCAGCACTGTTGTTTCCTGACTTTTTAATGATCGCCATTCTAACTGGCATGAGATGGTATCTCATTGTGCTTTTTGATTTGCATTTCTCTAATGACCAGTGATGATGAGCTTTTTTTCATACGTTTGTTGGCCACATAAATGTCTTATTTTGAAGACTGTCTGTTCATATCCTTCACTCACTTTTTGATGGGGTTGTTGGTTTTTTTCTTGTAAATTTGTTTAAGTTCCTTGTAGATTCTGGATATTAGCCCTTTCTCAGATGAATAGATTGCAAAAATTTTCTCCCATTCTGTAGGTTGCCTGTTTACTCTGACGAGAGTTTCTTTTGCTGTGCAGAAGCTCTTTGGTTTAATTAGATCCCATTTGTCAGTTTTGGCTTTTGTTGCCATTGCTTTTGGTGTTTTAGTCACGAAGTCTTTGCCCATATCTGTGTCCTGAATGGTATTGCCTAGGTTTCTTTCTAGGGTTTTTATGGCTTTACGTTTTAGGTGTATGTCTTTAATCCATCTTGAATTAATTTTTATATGAGGTGTAAGGAAGGGGTCCAGTTTCAGTTTTCTGCATATGGCTATCCAATTTTCCCAACACCATTTATTAAATAGGAAATCCTTTCCCCATTGCTTGTTTTTGTCAGGTTTGTCAAAGATCAGATGGTTGTAGATGGGTGGAGTTATTTCTGAGGCCTCTGTTCTGTTCCATTGGTCTATATGTCTGTTTTGATACCAGTACCATGCTGTTTTGGTTACTGTAGTCTTGTAGTATAGTTTGAAGTCAGGTAGCGTGATGCCTCCAGCTTTGTTCCTTTTGGTTAGGATTGTCTTGGCTACACAGGCTCTTTTTTGGTTCCACATAAAGTTTAAAGTAGATTTTTCTAATTCTGTGAAGAAAGTCAATGGTAGCCTGATGGGGATGGCATTGAATCTCTAAATTACTTTGGGCAGTATAGCCATTTTCAAGATATTGATTCTTCCTATCCATGAGCATGGAATGTTCTTCCATTTGTTTGTGTCCTCTCTTATTTCCCTGAGCAGTGGTTTGTAGTTCTCCTTGAAGAGGTCCTTCACATCCCTTGTGAGTTGTATTCCTAGGTATTTTATTCTCTTAGTAGCAGTTGTGAATGGGAGTTCACTCATGATTTGGCTCTCTTTGTCTGTTATTGGTGTATAGGAATGCTTGTGATTTTTGCATACTGATTTTGTATCCTGAGACTTTGCTGAAGTTGCTATCAGCTTAAGGAGTTTTGGGGCTGAGATGATGGGGTTTTCTAAATATACAATCATGTCATCTGCAAACAGAGACAATTTGACTTCCTCTCTTCCTATTTGAATAACCTTTATTTCTTTCTCTTGCCTGATTGGCCTGGCCAGAACCTCCAATACTATGTTGAATAGGAATGGTGAGAGAGGGCATCCTTGTGTTGTGCTGGTTTTCAAAGGGAATGCTTCCAGCTTTTGCCCATTCAGTATGATATTGGCTGTGGGTTTGTCATAAATAGCTCTTATGATTTTTGACATGCATTCCATCGATACCTAGTTTATTGTTTTTAGTTTTTAGCATAAAGGGGTATTGACTTTTATCAAAGGCCTTTTCTGCATCTATTGAGATACTCACGTGGTTTTTGTCATTGGTTCTGTTTATGTGATGGATTACGGGTATTGATTTCTGTATGTTGAATCATCCTTGCATTCCAGGGATGAAGCTGACTTGATCGTGGTGGATAAGCTTTTTGACATGCTGTTGGATTCAGTTTGCCAATATTTTATTGAATATTTTCACATCGATATTCATCAGGGATGTTGGCCTGAAGTTTTGTTTTCTTGTTGTATCTCTGCCAGGCTTTGGTATCAGGATGATGCTGGCCTCATAAAATGAGTTAGGGAGGAGTCCCTCTTTTTCTATTGTTTGGAATAGTTTCAAAAGGAATGGTACCAGGTCCTCTTGGTACCTCTGGTGGAATTTGGCTGTGAATCTGTCTTGTCCTGGACTTTTTTTGGTTGGTAGGCTATTAATTACTGCCTCAATTTCAGAACTTGTTATTGGTCTATTCAGGGATTCGACTTCTTCCTGGTTTAGTGTTGGGAGGGGGTATGTGTCCAGGAATTTATCCATTTCTTCTAGATTTTCTAGTTTATTTGCATAGAGGTGTTTATGGTATTCTCTGATGGTAGTTTATATTTCTGTGGGATCAGTGGTAATATCCCCTTTATCATTTTTTATTGTGTCTATTTGATTCTTTCTTTTCTTCTTTATTAGTCTAGCAGTCTATTTTATTGATCTTTTCAAAAAAACCAACTCCTGGATACCATTGATTTTTTGAAGTGTTTTTCGTGTCTCTATCTCCTTCAGACTGCTCTGATCTTAGTTATTTCTTGTCTTCTGCTAGATTTTGAATTTGTTTGCTCTTGCTCCTCTAGTTCTTTTAATTGTGATGTTAGGGTGTCAATTTTAGATCTTTCCTGCTTTCTCTTGAGGGCATTTAGTGCTATAAATTTCCCTCTAAACACTGCTTTAGCTGTGTCCCAGAGATTCTGGTACATTGTTTCTTTGTTCTTATTGGTTTCAAAGAACTTCTTTATTTCTGCCTTAATTTCGTTATTTACCCATCAGTCACTCAAGAGCAGGTTGTTCAGTTTCCATGTACTTGTGCAGTTTTGAGTGAGTTTCTTAATCCTGAGTTCTAATTTGATTGCACTGTGGTTGGAGAGACTGTTATGATTTCCATTATTTTGCATTTGCTGAGGAGTATTTTACTTCCAATTATGTGGTCAATTTTAGGATAATTGCAATGTGGTGCCGAGAAGAATATATATTCTGTTGATTTGGGTGGAGAGTTCTGCAGATGTCTATTAGGTCCACTTGGTCCAGAGCTGAGTTCAAGTCCTGAATATCCTTAATTTTCTTTCTTGTTGATCTAATATGAACAGTGGGGTGTTAAAGTTTCCCACTATTATTGTGTGGGAGTCTATGTCTCTTTGTAGGTCTCTAAGAACTTGCTTTATGGATCTGGGTGCTCCTGTATTGGGTGCATATATATTTAGGATAGTTATCTCTTCTTTCTGCATTGATCCCTTTACCATTATGTAATGCCCTTCTTTGTTTCTTTTGATCTTTGTTGGTTTAAAGTCTGTTTTTATCAGAGACTAGGATTGCAACCCCTGCCTTTTTTTTTTTTTTTTTTTTTTGCTTTCCATTTGCTTGGTAAATATTCCTCCAGCCCTTTATTTTGAGCGTGTGTTTCTTTGCATATAAGATGGGTCTCCTAAACACAGCACGCCAATGGGTCTTGAATCTTTATCCAGTTTGCCAGTCTGTGTCTTTTAATTGGGGCATTTAGCCTGTTTACATTGAAGATTAATATTGTTATGTGTGAATTTGATCCTATCATTATGATGCTAGCTAGTTGTTTTGCCCCTTAGTTGATGCAGTTTCTTCATAGTGTCGATGGTCTTTACAATTTGTTTTTGCAGTGGCTGTACCAGTTTTTCCTTTCCATGTTTAGTGCTTCCTTCAGGGGCTCTTGTAAAGCAGGCCTGGTGGTGACAAAATCTCTCAGCATTTGCTTGTCTGTAAAGGATTTTATTTCTCCTTCACTAATGAAGCTTAGTTTTGCTGGATATGAAATTCTGGGTTGAAAATTCTTTTAAGAATGTTGAATATTGGCCCCCACTCTCTTCTGGTGTGTAGTGTTTCTGCAGAGAGATCTGCTGCTAATCTGATGAGCTTTCCTTTGTTGGTAACCTGACTTTTCTGGCTGCTCTTAACATTTTTTCCTTCATTTCAACCTTGGTGAATCTGACAATTATGTGTCTTGGGGTTGCTCTTCTCGAGTAGTATCTTTGTGGTGTTCTCGGTATTTCCTGAATTTTAATGTTGGCCTGTCTTGCTAGGTTGGGGAAGTTCTACTGGATAATATCCTGAAGAGTGTTTTCCAACTTGGTTTCATTCTCCCTTTCACTTTTAGGTACACCAATCAAATGTAGGTTTGGTCTTTTCACATAGTCCCATATTTCTTGGAGGCTCGTTTGTTTCTTTTCAATCTTTTTTCTCTAATCTTGTCTTCACACTTTATTTCATTAAGTTGATCTTCAATCTCTGATATCCTTTCTTCCACTTGATCGATTTGGCTATTGATACTTGTGTATGCTTGTTGAAGTTCTCGTGCTATGTTTTTCAGCTCAATCAGGTCACTTATGTTCTTCTCTAAACTGCTTATTCCAGTTAGTAATTCCTCTAACCTTTTTTCATGGTTCTTAGCTTCCTTGCATTGAGTTAGAATATCCTCCTTTAGCTTGGAGGAGTTTGTTATTACCCACCTTCTGAAGCCTAATTCTGTCGATTTGTCAAACTCATTCTCCATCCAGTTTTGTTCCCTTGCTGGCGAGGAGTGTGATCCTTTGGAGTAGAAGAGGCGTTCTGGGTTTTGGAATTTTCAGCCTTTTTGTGCTGGTTTTTCCTCATCTTCGTGGATGTATCTACCTTTGGCCTTTGATGTTGTGACCTTCGGATGGGGTTTCTAAGTGGACATCCTTTTTGTTGATGTTGATGCGATTCCTTTCTGTTTGTTAATTTTCCATCTAACAGTCAAGCCTCTCTGCTGCAGGTCTGCTGGAGTTTGCTGGAGGTTCACTCCAGACCCTGTTTGTCTGGGTATCACCAGCGGAGGCTGCAGAACAGTAAAGATTGCTGCCTGTTTCTTCCTCTGGAAGCTTTGTCCCAGAGGGGCATCCGCCAGATGCCGGCTGGAGCTCTCCTGTATGAGGTGTCTGTTGACCCCTACTGGGAGGTGTCTCCCCGTCAGGAGACACAGGGGTTAGGGACTCACTTGAGGAGGCAGTCCTCCCTTAGCAGAGCTCGGATGCTGTGCTTAGAGATCCACTGCTCTCTTCAGAGCTGGCAGGCAGGGATGTTTAAGTGTGCCGAAGCTGTGCCCACAGCCACCCCTTCCCCCAGGTCCTCTGTTCCAGGGAGATGGGGGTTTTATCCATAACCCCCTGACTGGGGCTGCTGCCTTTTTTTTTTAGAGATTCCCCTGCCCAGAGAGAAGAAATCTAGAGAGGCAGTCTGTCTACAGTGGCTTTGCTGAGCTGCGGTGGGCTCCACCTAGTTCGAACTTCCAGGCGGCTTTGTTTACACTGTGAGGGGAAAAACACCTACTCAAGCCTCAGTAATGGCAAGCATCCCTCCCTCCACCAAGCTCAAGCATCCCAGGTCGACTTCAGACTGCTGTGCTGGCAGCGAGAATTTCAAGCCAGTGGATTTTAGCTTGCTGGGCTCCGTGGGGGTGGGATCTGCTGAGCTAGACAGCTTGGCTCCCTGGCTTCAGCCCCCTTTCCAGGGGGGTGAACGGTTCTGTCTCGCTGGTGTTCCAGGCACCATTGGGGTATGAAAAAAAGCTCCTGCAGCTAGCTCGGTGTCTGCCCAAACAGCCACCCAGTTTGGTGTCTGCCCAAACAGCTACTCAGTTTTGTGCTTGAAACTCAGGGCCCTGATGGCGTAGGCACGTGAGGGAATTTCCTCATCTGTGGGTTGTGAAGACCATGGGAATAGCATAGTATCTGGGCTGGAGTGCACCGTCCCTCATGGCTTCCCTTGGCTAGGGGGGTAGTTCCCCAATCCCTTGCACTTCCCCGGTGAGGCGACACCCCACCCTGCTTTGGCTTGCCCTCTGTGGGCTGCACCCACTGTCTAACCCATCCCAATGAGATAAGCCAGGTTCCTCAGCCAGAAATGCAGAAATCACCCGCCTTCTGTGTTGATCTCGCTGGGAGCTGCAGACCAGAGCTGTTCCTATTCGGCCATCTTGCCAGCCACCCATTATTACATATTATCTCCCACATTCAAAGGCAATTTTTACATAGCTATAACCATTATACAGACATATCTCATTTTATGCATTTTATTGCACTTTGCAGATATTGTTTTTACTAAAGGCTTGTGGCAACCCTGTGTCTGTTGGTGCCATTTTTCCAACAGCCTGTGCTCACTTCACGTTTCTGTGTCACATTTTGGTAATCCTTGCAATATTTCGAACTTTTTCATTATTATTCTATCGGTTATGGTGATCTGTGATCAGTGATCTTTGATGTTACTATTGTAATTGTTTTGGGGCACCATGAACCATGACTGTGTAAGATAGAGAACTTAATCGATAAATCTGCATATTCTGAATGCTCCATTGACCGACCGTTCCCCTATCTCCTCTGGCCTCTCTATTCCCTGAGACACAACAATATTGAAATTAGCCCAATTGATAACCCTACAATGGCCCCTAAGTGTTCAAGTAAAAGGGAGAGCTGCATCTTTCTCACTTTAAAGCAAAAGCTAAAATGATTAAGTTTAGTGAGGAAGGCATGCAGAAAGGTAAGATAGGCCTCTTGCACTGTTAAAGGAAATTAAAAGTGCTATTCAGTGAACACACAAATGATAAAATGAAACAGCCTTATTGCTTTTATGGAGAAAGTTTTAGTGATCTGGATAGAAGGTCAAACCAGCCACCACTTCCTCTAAGCCAGGGATGTCCAATCTTTTGACTTCCCTGGGCCACAGTGGAAAAATAATTGTCTTGGGCCACACATAAAATACACTAACACTAACAATAGCTGATGAGAAAAAAAAATCACAAAAAAATCTTATAATGTTTTAAGAAGTTTATGAATTTGTGTTGTGTGGCATTCAAAGCCATTCTGGGCTGCATGCGGCCCACGCGCCAGGGTTGGACAAGCTTGCTGTAAGCCAAAGCCTAATCCAGAGCAAGGCCCTAATTCTTATAAATTCTATGAAGGCCGAGAGAGGTAAAGAAGCAGCAGAAGAAAAGTTTGAAGCTAGCAGAGGTTGGTTCATGAGGTTTAAGGAAAGAAACCATCTCCATAACATAAAAGTGCAAGGTAAAGCAACAAGCGCTAATGTAGAAGCTGCAGCAAATTATCCAGAAAATCTATCTAAGATCATTGAAGATGGTTACACTAAACAGATTTTCACTGTAGAACAACCTTCTAGTAGAAGATACCATCTTGAACTTTTATAGCTAAAGAGAAGTCAATGTCTGGCTTCTAAGCTTCGAAGGACAGGTTGACTTCTTGTTATAGGCTAATATAGCTTGTGACTTTAAGCTGAAGCCAACACTCATCCATCATTCTGAAAATCCTAGGGCCCTTAAGAATTATGCTAAATCTACTCTGCCTGTGCTGTATAAACAGAACAACAAAGCCTTGATGACAGCACATCTGTTTACAGCATGGTTGACTAAATATCTTAAGTCCACTGTTGAGGCAAGACCCTCCCCCAGCAAAAACATTACAACTCACTGAGGGCTCAGATGTTTGTCAGCATTTTTTAACAATAAAGTATTTTTAAATTAAGGGATATACATTATTTTTTAGACATAATGCTACTGCATACCTAATAGGCTATAGTATAAACATACCTTTTATATGCATTGGGAAACCAAAAAATTTGTGTGACTCACTTTATTGTGATATTTGCTTTATTGCAGCAGTCTGAAACCAAAACCTGCAATATCTCAGAGGTGTGCTTGTACACATACACACACACTAAACCATTTTAGTGTATGGTGTTTGAATTTCAAAATGTTTTCATGAAACAAAATCAGTATCTTTTATTATTTTATTTGAACCTTGAAGCCATGATGCTGTCTACTATTATGAAAATGACTACTAAACTGTATATGGGAGATAATCTGTGACTTCATGACATTTGAGATGTATTTATTAAGAGACATATTGTGATGATTTTGTGTTATTTTTTGCACCATGCAAATAAGCAACCTTTAGGACCATGTGATTCCAAAGTAGAAAACCTATAGATTTTCAAGCTAACTTTTCACTAAGTCAGTGGTCCCCAGTCTTTTTGGCACCAGGGACCGGTTTCATGGAAGACAATTTTTCCATGGACTGGGGTGGCGGATGGTTTCAGGTTGAAATTATTCTACCTCAGGTCATCTGGCATTAGATTCCCATAAAGAGCACGCAATCTGGATCCCTCACATGTGCAGTTCACAATAGGGTCCATGCTCTATGAGAATCTAATGCGACCGCTGATTTGATAGGAGGCGGAGCACAGGCCATGAGGCTTGCTTGCCTGCTGCTCACCTGCTGTGTGGCCTGGTTCCTAATAGGCCACAGTCTGGTACTGGTCTGTGGCCCGGGTGTGGGGACCCCTGCTCTAAATGAAAGCCTTGATCTTTAAGAACTATTTTTCCATCCACGTATCAATAAACGTGTACTAAGTGGCCTGCCATCCTTTTAAAAAAAAGAGGACAGTCTCTTGCTGGATGAGGAATGCCAGACACAAAAACAAGCACAAAAATGTTTTAGGCTGATTCATATAAAGCATATTTTGACTTATACAAATGACAGTTTCATGTGATTAAACCTAATATTTTCACAGACACATATGTATGTCAATATTTTTACACACACACACACACACACACACACACACAATGCTTAACTGTTATGGAGAATCAGAAAAAGATTCCAAGAGGTAGAATGAATAAGAGTTTGTAAACAGAGATGAATGAGCATTTCAGACAGAGGTAACAGCATGTCTAAAGGTATAAAAGAAGGAAGATCTAATGTATTCAAATAATTGCAGGTGGATCACAAGCCAGGAAATGTGCAGTGGTGAGTGTGGAGTGTGTATGTTTGTAGGAGGGCGGGATGGTGGGGAAAAGAATGGCAAGAATAGATAGTATAAAACATGCTGGATCCAGATTGTAGACTTTATCTTAAAGGCAATGGGAAGCTTTGAAAGCTTTTTAGCAAGGGAGTGACATGATTACATCAACATTTTAGAAAATTCATTCTGATGGCAGTGTGGGAAACAAATTGGAATCTGCTGAGGAAATGGTATCAGAGAAAGCAGTTTGGAGGCTGTTTTAATAATAGTGAAGAAATAAAGCACAGGAATTAGGACAAAGAGAAAGATAATTAAAGACATACTTAGGAGGTACACCCACAGTATAGCTGAGCAGGGTAAGAAAAAAATCAAGAACAACTTTCAAATGTTGCTAAAATTAAATAACTAAAGGAATAGCTATTAGGGAAATGCATATTAAAACCACAATGAGGTGATGTCAGCAAGATAGCTCACTAGAGACACCTGGCACCCATACTCCACACACACACACACACACACACACACACACACACACACACACACACACACACAAGCAAGGACCAAGGCAATGAATAAAGAGCTAAGATTTCACTGGAGTGTTGCCCAGAGAGTGCTGGAGTGCAGTAGGGGAGTGGGGAGGTACCTATAGTGATTGGAAGCCCAGAAGGTACCTACAGTGATTGGAAGCAACGGAGAGTCATCTAGCCTCTGTGGCACTGTCTGCCATGCCTGGATCAGATTGATTTGGAGACAGGAGAGACTTTCCCTTTCAGGAAAATGGTAAGCAGAAGAATCTCATCAGCTCCTATTGCCACTGCAAATGCCCACAGTCCTTACTACAGGTGAATCCCACAGTCATCCCCAGCCCCAAGTCCAGTTTGGAGAGCTGCTGGGAATTTATGCAACTACACTGCTCTGGATTATGAACACAAGGTGTGCACTCCCCAACCCCCACCTATCCTGTGAGCCACACTGCTGCAGCACAGTGCCATCTTGAAATTAGAGCCACCTCTGGAATGCATCCTACTCTGGGACCAGTAGCCATTGCTCCCCTCCAGCACTGGGGTTTCATCTTCATTCCACCCAGCCCACAGATGGCTGATGCCATAACCCCAGCTGTGCAGAGCCTGGGTCCAGGATGGGTTGCAAATCTGGTCCTACACAGCAGGGAAACCAATTCCCACTGCCTGCACTTCCAGTGGAGGAATAGTCTAGCAGTCCTACCCAGGGTGAACCCGCTGCTGAGCCAGCTAAACTGCTGCACACTCTCCCCTAAGCTAAGCATGAAAGGACTCGGGGCTACCAAGTAGCTGACAAGCAACTCTTTGGGCTGTCCCCCAAACAGGTAGAGCAGCTACAAGCCTAGGACCTGAGAGATAGCCCTGCAGCACCCACCTCTCCTGCTGAGACACCTCTGGCTTGCCCAAAGGCCCCATGCCTGCAATCAGAGCCTGAGAAACAGATTCATGGGCTACTCCTAGCTCACCTGCCCCTAGGCCTCCAAGCTGCCAACATGTAAGTCTTGGGCCTAAGAAACAGCCCTGCAGGCTGCCCCTGGCTAGCATGCCCCCAGGCTGACTGAGTAGCTGTATGTCCACTTCCTAGGCCTGAGAAATAGCCCTGGGGGCTGCACCTGGCAGACACACTCCCAGACTGAGTGGCTGTGTACCCAAGTCCTGGCCACATCTACCAGACATGCACCCAGGCCACCCAAGAAGCCACCCACGTCCTAGGCCAGAGAAACAACTCCAGGAGCAAACTTGAACAGACACACACCCAGGACAGCTTAGAAGCCATGCATCTGCATCCCAGGCCTGAGAAACAGCCACCCGGGATACCCCTGACAGACATGCCCTCAGGCCAGCTGAACAGCTGTGCACCCATGCCTTAGGTCTAAGAAATAGCCTTGTAAGCCACCCCTGGCAGGCATAACCTCAGACTGGCTGAGCAACCAGGTGCCTGTGCCACCAGCCAGAGTAACAACTCCAAGGCCCCAACCCCAGCAAGACTTCAAGTTGGCTGACTCACTGTGCATACTCGCACCTTGATCTGAGAAAAAGCTTCGCTCTCAGCAAAGCCACACCACCACTGCCAAACTCTCTCATCTTAGATTCCTGAGACACTCATAAATGTTAGTAGTGCAGATTACAGCTGAAGAAACTACATGGAGACTATACTACATGATAATCTAGACCCAAAACCAAGGCACCCCACCAAACTGACACCCCAAGACCCATCTATATGTATAAGTCTTTCCATATGAAGCCTACTTCAGAAAATTGGAGGGGGCAATTGTTCCACCAAATGCATAGAAATTAATGTAAGCAAAAACAAACAAAAAACAACAAACAACAACAACAAAAACATAGGCAGAAAAAGCAGGCAAACAGGACACCTTCAGAAGAACACAGTAATTCTCCAGTAAGATTCCAATCATAAGGAACTATATGAAATACCAGAAAAAGAATTCAAAATAGTACGCTTAAGGAAACTCAGTGAGATATAAGAGAATATAGATAGACAGGGGCTGGGCGTGGTGGCTCACACCTGTAATCCCAGCACTTTGGGAGGCTGAGGCAGGTGGATCGCGAGGTCAGGAGATCGAGACCATCCTGGCTAACACGGTGAAACCCCGTCTCTATTAAAAATACAAAAAATTAGCTGGGCGTGGTGGCGGGCGCTTGTAGTCCCAGCTACTTGGGAGGCAGAGGCAGGAGAATGGTGTGAACCCGGCAGGCGGAGCTTGCAATGAGCTGAGATCACACCACTGCATTCCAGCCTGGGTGACAGAGCGAGACTCTGTCTCAAAAAAAAGAGAATATAGATAGACAACACAATGAAATTTTAAAAATTGACTATTTAGATAAGAAATTCAATAAAGAAATAGATATCATAAAAAAGAATCAAACAGAAATCCTGAAGCTGAAGGATTCAATTAATGAAATAAAAAATACAATTGAGGCTGGGCACAATGGCTGACTCCTATAATCCCAGCACTTTTGGGAGGCCAAGACTGGTAGATCACTTGAGGTCAAAAGTTCAAGACCAGCCTGGCCAATGTGGTGAACCCCTGTCTCTACTAAAAAATACAAAAATTAGCTTGGCATACTGGTGGGTGCCTGTAATCCCAGCTACTTGGAAGGCTGAGGCAGGAAAACTGCTTGAACCCAGGAGGTGGAGGTTGCAGTAAGCCAAAATCGCATCACTGCACTCCAGCCTGAGTGACAGAGTGAGACTTTGTCTCAAAAATTAAAAAAAAAAATGCAAGTGAGAGCATCAGTAAACAGACTAGATCAGCCAGAAGAAGGAATTTCTGAATGTGAAGACAGGTCTTTTGAAGTAACACAGGCAGCCCCCGACTACACACCCAAAAAAAGGCCTCCAAGATATATGAGACATCATTAAGTGAAAAAATATTTGCATTATGGGCATTCCAGAAGAAGAAAAGAAGGGGAAAAAAGCTAGTATTTCATTAAATATGCAGAAAAAATATTTAATGAAATAACAGCTGAAGACTTTACAAGTTTTGGGAGAGAGACAGATATCCAATTCCAGAAAGTTCAAATAATCCCACACAGATTCAACCTAAACAAGTCCTCTTCAATGCACATTACAGTCAAATTATCAAAAGTCAAAGACAAAGAATTCTAAAACTGCAAGAGAAAAGAATTAAGTCACATATGAGGGAATTCCCATTAGTTTGAGTGGATTTCTCAGCAGAAACCTTACAGGCCAGGAGAAAATAGGATATAATCAAAGTACTGAAAGAAAAAAACTATCAGCAAAGAGTATTATACCCAGCAAAGATATCCTTCAGGAATAAAGGAGAAATAAAATCTTTGCTTTCAGCCAAGCAAGAACTAAGGGAATTCATCACCACTAGACTGGCTATATAAGAAATGCTCAAGGGAATCTTACATATGGAAGGGAAAAGACAATTACTACACTCATAAAAACATGAAACTATTCAACTCACTGGTAGAACTGATATACAAAGGAGAAAGAGAAAGGATTCAAACCATTTCATTACAGAAAACCAACCAATTGCAAAAATAAATAAAAGAGAAACAAAGGATACACAAAACTACCAGAAAACAAACATAAAAACAGAAGGAGGTCCTCATCAATAATAACCTTGCATGCCAATGGATTAAATACTCCATTTAAAAGATATAGATTGGCCGAAAGGATAAAAAATAAAAACAAGAGGCCAGGTGTGGTGGCTCACGCCTGTAATCCCAGCACTTTGTGAGGCCAAGGTGGGTGGATCATGAGGTCAGGAGATTGAGACCATCCTGGCTAACATGGTGAAACCCCATCTCTACTAAAAACACAAAAAAATAGTGGGGCATGGTGGCGGGTGCCTGTAGTCCTAGCTACTCAGGAGCTGAGGCAGGAGAATGGTATGAGCCCGGGAGGCAGAGCTTGCAGTGAGCTGAGATTGTGCCACTGTACTCCAGCCTGAGGGACAGAGCGGGACTCCATCTCAAAAATAAAATAAAATAAAATAAAATAAAAACAAGAACCAACTATATACTGCCTATAAGAAACTCCCTTTATCCATAAAGACTCACATAGACTGAAAGTGAAGGGATGGAAAAAGACATTCCATAAACAAAAACCAAAAACAAGCAGGAATATCTATATTAGACAAAACAGATTTCAAGTCAAAAGCTGTACAAAGAGAAAAAGAAAGACATTATATAATCATCAATGGATCCATTCAGCAAGAGAATATAACAGTCGTAAATATATATATGCACCCAGCACCAAAGCACCTAGATATATAAAGCAAGCTGTACAAAGAGAAAAAGGAAACATATAATCCTCAATGGATCCATTCAGCAAGAGAATATAACAGTCAAATATATATATATATATATATGCACCAAGCACCAGAGCACCCAGATATATAAAGCAAATATTATTAGATTTAAGGGAGAGACAGACTTCAATACAATAATAGTTGGGGACATCAACACCCACTCTCAGCATTAAACAGGTCATCTAGCCAGAAAATCAACAAAGACACACTGGATTTAAACTGCACCATAGGCTAAACGGACATAATTTTCAGAACGTTTCACCCAACAACTGATTTTTTTCATCAGCACATGGAACATTCTCCAAAACTGACAACATATTAGGACACAAAACAAGTCTCAAATTTTTAAAAAAATTGAAATATCAAGTAACTTATTTTACCACAATGGATAAAACTTCAAATCAATAAGAGAAACATTCAAAACTATACAAATACATGGAAATTAAACACCACCCTGCTGAACGACCAGTGGATTAAAAAAGAAAATAAGGAAATCAGAAAGTCCCATGAGACAAATGTAAATAGAAACACAACATACTAAAACCTATGGGACACAGCAAAAGCAGTATTAAGGGGCAAGTTTATAGTAATAAATGTCTACACAAAAAACTAGAAAGATTTCAAATAAACAATTTAATGATGCATCTCAAGGAACTAAAAAAATAAGAAAAAAATCAAACTCAAAATTAGTAGAAGAAATAAAGATCAGAGCAGAAATAAATAAAATTGAGAGAAAAAATACAAAAGACCAATGAAATGAAAATTGGTTATTTGAAAAGATAAACAAAATTGACAAATCAGTAGCTAAACTAAGAAAAAAGAAAACCCAAATTAAAAAAAATCAGAAATGAAAAATGAGACATCAAAACAGATACCACAGAAATACAAAGGATCATGAACAACTACATGCCAATAAATTTGAAAACCTAGAGGAAATAGATGAGGTCTTGGATATATACAACCTACCAAGATGGAACCAAGAAGAAATGGAAAACCTAAACAGACCAATAACAAGTAATAAAAGTAAAGCAGTAATAAAACAGTCTCCTGACAGAAAAATCTAGAACCAGATGACTTCACCATTGAACTGTAATGAACCTTTAAAGAAGAATTAAAAGTAATTCTTCTCAAACTGTTTAAAAAAAAAAAAAAGTGATTCCAGCTGGGTGTGGTGGCTCACGCCTGTAATCCCAGCACTTTGGGAGGTTGAGGTGGGTGGATCACTTAAGGCCAGGAGTTTGAGACCAGCCTGGCCAATGTAGTGAATTCCCCTCTCTATTAAAAATACACACATTAGCCAGGCACGATGGCCTGCACCTGTAATCCCAGCTACTTGGGAGGCTGAGGCAGGAGAATTGCCTGAACCCGGGAGGGGAAGGTAGGTTGCAGTGAACTGAGATGTGCCACTGCACTCCAGCCTGGGTGGCAGAGTGAGACTCCTCCTCCAAAAAAAAAAAAAAAAAAAAAAAACTGTGATAGCACATCATAACTGTGATATCCCACATAACTGTGATAGCAAAACCAGACAAGAACACAACAGAAAGAGAAACTACAGGATAAATCCTCCAATGAACATAGATGTAAAATTCCTCAACAAAATACTAGCAAGCCAAATCCAAAATACATAAAAAAGATAATACACCTGATCAAGTGGGATTTATGTCAGGAATGCAAGTATGGTTCAACATATGCAAATCAATCAATATGATACATTATAATCAACAGAATGAAGGAGAAAAACCATACGATCATGTCAACAGGTGCAGAAAAGAGCATTTGATAAAATTCAACATCCCTTCATAATTAAAAACTCTCATGAAATTAGGTATAGAAGGAAAATACCTTAACAAAATAAAGGCCATATATAATAAACCCACAGCTAACATCATACCAGATGGACTGGAAGAAGACAAAGATGCCCACTCTCACCACTGTTATTCAACATAGTACTGGAAGTGCTATCTATGTACAGCAATTAGACAAGAGAAAGAAATAAAGGGCATCCAAATTAGAAAGGAGGAAATCAAACTGTTCCTGTTTGCAGATGACATGATCTTCTATATAGGAAAACCTAAAGACTCTACCAAAAAACTCTTAAAACTAATAAATGAATTCAGTAAAGTTGCAGAATACAAACATCGACATATAAACATCAGCAGTATTTCTGTACATGGATGATTAACTAAACTGAAAAAGGAATCAAGACAATTCCATTTACAATAACTACAAAAACATAAAATACCTAGGAATAAATTTAACCAAAGAAGTAAAGGATCCCTACAATGAAAACTATAAAATGCTGATGAAATAAATTGAAGAGGACACAAACAAATGGGAAGATATGCTCATGGATCAGAAGGTTTAACATTGTTTAAAATAATCATACTACCCAAGGAAACCTACAGATTCAATGCAATCCCTATCAAAATACCAATTACATTCTTCACATAAATAGCAAAAGAAATCCTAAAAGACTCAAAACAGATAAAGCAATCCTGAGCAAAAAGAACAAAGCTGCAGGCCAGGCATGGTGGCTCATGTCTGTAATCCCAGCACTTTGGGAGGCCAAGGCGGGTGGATCACAAGGTCAGGAGATCAAGACCATCCTGGCTAACACGGTGAAACCCCGCTTCTACTAAAAATACAAAAAATTAGCCAGGTGTGGTGGCATACACCTTGTAGTCCCAGCTACTCAGGAGGCTGAGGCAGGAGAATTGCTTGAACCCAGGAGGCGGAGGTTGCAATGAGCCAAGATCACACCACTGCACTCCAGCCTAGGCAACAGAGTGAGACTCTGTCTCAAAAACAACAACAACAAACAAACAAACAAACAAACAAAAACAAAGCTGCAGCCATCATGCTACAACTTCAAAATATACTACAAAACTGTAGTAACCAAAACAGCATGGTTCTGGCATAAAAACAGACACATAGACCAATGGAACAGAATACAGAACCCAGAATTAAAGAACCTATGCTTCTACAGCCACCTGATTTTTCACAAAGGCATCAAGGACTCTCATTGGGGAAAGGACAATCTCTCCAATAAATAGTGCTGGGAAAACTAGATAGCAATATGCAGAAGGATGAAACTAGTCCCCCACCCTCTAACCTTATAAAAAAAGCAACTCAAAATGGATTAACAATCTAAATGAAAAACCTCAATCTATGAAACTACTGCAAGGCAACATAGGGGAAAGACTTTAGGACACTGGTCTGGGAAAAGATTTTATGAATAACACCTCAAAGGCACAGTAACAAAGCAAAAATAAACAAATTTGAATCTCTAATTTAAAATCTTTCCACAAAGGAAACACTATGCCTGGATGGCTTCACTGGTGAATTCCACCAAACATTTCAGGAAAAAGAGATAACATTATACACAATCTTTTAGATACTGAAGAATGAACATTTCCCAACTCATTTTTCTGAAGCCAACATAACCTTGATGCCAAAACTTGACAAGAAATTAAAGAAAAGAAAATTACTATTAATCCTCATGAACATAGACCAAAAAAATCCTTAAAAAATTAGCAAATCAAATCTAGTGATATAGTAAAAGGATAATATATCATGACCAGTAGGGTTTATCAGCATGGTTGGTCTAATATGTGTGAATTAATACAATTCACCACATTAACAAAATAAAAGACAAAGATTATATTGTCACCTCAATAGATTCAAAAAAGGCATCTGATAAAACTTCAATATCCATTCATGAGGGAAAAAAAATCTCCACAAACTAGGGGAAATTGCTTAAGCTTATAAAGAGTATCTACTAAAAACCTACAATTAGCATCATATTTCACGTTGAAATATTGAAAGCCTTTCCCCTAAGATTAGAAACAAGGCAAAGAAGTCCAATTTCACTATTTCTATCACCACTATACTGGAGGTCTTAACTAGCACATTAGGACAATAAAAAGAAATATAAAACATAAAAATTGGGGCTGGGCACAGTGGCTCATGCCTATAATCCCAGCAGTTTGGGAGGCCGAGGCAGGTGGATCATCTGAGGTCGGGAGTTCAAGACCAACCTGGGCAACATGGTGAAACCCCATCTCTATTAAAATACAAAATAAATCAGCCAGGCATGGCAGCATGCTCCTGTAGTCCCAGCTACTCGGGAGGCTGAGGCAGGAGAATTGCTTGAACTCAGGAGGTGGAGGTTGCAGTCAGCCAAGATTGCACCACTGCACTCCAGCACTCCAGCCTGGGCGACAGAGCAAGATTCCGTCTCTCCAAAGATTAGCTGGATGTGGTGGCACATGCCTGTAATCCCAGCTACTTGGGAGGCTGAGGCAGAAGAATCACTTGAACCCAGGAGGCAGAGGTTGCAGTGAGCCAAGATCGTGCCATTGCATTCCAGCCTGGGTGACCGAGTGAGACTCTGTCTCAAATAAATAAATAAATAAAACCCCTAAAAATTGGAAAGGAAGAATAAAGCTGTAATTATTCACAGATAAATGCTTTCAATGGTGAAAGAAAATGAGCATATGTATGGCATACATTACTCAAGAAAAGCCAGCACACAGGGTAAACAAGAAGTAGAGAGGAGAATTACCCACTAATAAGACTTTATATGCTAGGCACAGAGCCACCATGCTAATAATACATTCTTAAAAATAAGAGTAATTTAAATCAAGAAAAAGCTCAAGCTTTAAGGTTTGTTTCAAACCACTTCAATAGAGTGTTCAAATATCAGTAGAAATAGACCAAAAAGATTTTCCAGTCAATTGGTTGAAAATACCCTTATCATACATTTAAGAATCACCTTAGATGCTGACTTTGCAAGTCTTACAATATTGTTAGTTTTTGTGAGGCCTGACTCAGGGTACATCAGAAAAGAATGGCAAAATATTGTGTACAAAGCCACCAAGAAAACCACAGTAGAGACCATTAGATCTCAATACCCCCCAAATCATGTCTTAGGCATTTAATAAATAACAGAATATTCAGTGTCAGGACCTTTCCGATTATTTTTAAAAGCTTTTGGTTTTAGAATTTAGCATAAACAAAATGAAAAAACTTCAGACTACTTTTCTAGGAAAATTATTTTGATCACAACTTGTCAGTATGTGAATAAATAACAAACATAAAATCTTAAAAACTTTCTTTGAAGGCCAAATATAATTTTTCTATAAACTACATCCACAGAAAAATATCTATTCTTCTTTGCCACATATTTTCCTTTGGTTGTTGTTTAAGCATCTCCTTGTGATATAAAAAGCTGGCACAAATGGCTATTACCATGAATTAATTTTTAGAAAGGCAAAAATAGAAAAGTAAAATCTTAAACCTCATATGATTGAGTCAACAATTGGAACAAAAAATTTTCTGAAATGATGAACAAAAACATTTAAAAGGACAACTGAAAGTAAAAGTAGATGTTCTGATATAAGGCAGTTAGAGTAAAATATCACTTTGGAAGTAATAAACATTTCCCAGCAGTCAGTGATGCAGAACTAAAATACTATCTTATTCAAAAGCCATGACTATATTGAACCTATCATACTGGACTCAGCAATTTCTTTCTGAAGACTTTTATTTGGTTGTAAAAGTTTGTAGCATTTCTTACTACATGGGAAACCAATTTTCAGAAGATATTCCCTAATTATATTAAAGTGCAAGTCTTAGCTATGCTGACATTCTACTCCTAAAAGTAAAATGTAAACTGGGCTATGTATCAAGAAGATGTCTGTCAATAGTAACACCTCAAAAATGCAATTTTACATGTGAATTGAATCAGCCTACTGTAAAAGTTTTTTTGTTTTGTTTTGTTTTAGTTTGTTTGTTTTTCCCCAAAAGCTTTTCCCGGCCAGTTGTGGTGGCTCACGCCTGTCATCCTAGCACATTAGGGGACCAAGGCAGGAAGATACCTGGAGGCCAGGAGTTCAAGATCAGCCTGGGAAACATAATGAAATCACATCTGTATTTCAAAAAATAAACAAATAAGGCTTGCCCTTACTTCATATAACCATTATTTACTAATAGGACATCATGGTTAAAAACAAAAATGTACCTGATATTGTAGCATATAAAAGAGACTTTTATAATGTATCAGTTTAGAAAGCTTTAGGTTGTAACAGTCAACCCAGTTCACAGTAGCATAAACAAATATGGATAAATTTCTCACAAGACACAAAATCTTGAACAGAGCAACAGCTAAAGTTGGTTCACTAATCAATGATGTCATCAATATTTTCAGTATTTTTTCTCCACCATCCTAAATGTGTTAACTTTTTGTACTCATTTTTATTGCCTAATGGTTCCAAGATGGTCACTTCAGCTTTAAGCATCACATCTAAGGTCAAACCCAGAAAAGGGGTTACCCCAGCCCTGTCTGACCCTTTTATCAGAAAAGAGGAAAGCCTTCCGTGAAGTCCCCCAGCAGACTCATGGACTAGAACTGTATTACATGGCCACTGTAGCAATAAGTTTTAAAAATCTAGTATTTAACTTTTCTAATTTTTATGGTGAAAATAAGGAATAGATATTGGATTGGATAACCAATAGTGTCTGTCACAGTCCTCAACCCAACATGCACATACACACTTCTTCTCACACCTATGCATTAAACAGAACATACTCATTCTCTCCTCAAGAAAGACAACCCTACTGTCTCATCCAATTACTGCAAACAGCTTTAAACAGAATCCCTGGGTGATTTTCTATCTGCTATATCAAGTGCAAATACGGCAATTCCTATCTGACCATCTGAATAGGCAAAAGATAAGATATCTATCTCTAAGCCATCCTCCTTTGTTAATATAACTGTGAAAAAGAAAGAACAGAGTAACCCCATTAAAATTCCCATTCAGAAAAGGGAATAATGGGAAGCACACATTGTCAACAGCCCACAATCCACACCATTATCTTAAGGACAGAAACAGCAGATTCCTTGGCAGGCAGTAAAGTAAATTCCCTGGTTAGTCAATCTGCTAGGTCCTGCTATAAGTCTCAGGAGCATCTGCTTTGTCATTGCCCTCTTTGGCGACATCTAAGGTAGTTTCTAAACAGACACCCTTCCCAGGGGCTCCAAAGCTTTTGCAGCCCACTTCACACTGGTTTGACTTAGAGTGGTGGATATGACAATTGCTTGGAGGGAAAAACTTCTGTTTTATTTGCTTCACATCAACTCCTTGTGTGAATAACCATAGCTAAAAAAAAAAAAAACACTTCCAAATAATCTTTAGGCCTGGGGATTCTTATCTCTTAGCTGCTGACCTATGAACTCTTAAATAGACTTGAGGCAATTCTAACAATAGCTTTAGGTGGAGAGGTACTACCACTAATCCCTGCAAAATTCCAAATTATGAGGTTCTTTGTCAATTTAGAGCAGGAGCTAAAGGCAGAATACTTCTATGGCGAACTGCATCCCCACCACCACCACTGCGCGTTCAATGCTGAGGAGCACTAATTTGAGTTCACCCCCTTCTATAGGATCCTACTGAAAAGTCACAAGAAGTAATTAATACATGCCAATATTCCAGATTTTTCCTATTGCTTCTCCTTATATTATAGCCTCCATTTCCACAGAGCCAGCCTGCCATTGAACGGCAGGCACAAGTTAATCAAATGCCTTGCGGTCACATAACAAGGGTAATAACTTTCCTCTCATCTTTCTCTGTTAAGTCTGGAGGTAGGTAGTCCAAAGCCAGAACTGCTGTTCAACAATGCCCCAGTCTCTTTCTGTCCATCTACTCCAAGGTCCACAGCTTGTGAGAATATTTTAGCCTCATGCTTGTCATCTCATGGTTACAAGATGCCTGCTATAGCTCCTGGCTTCATGATTCCATTTAAGGCACAAAGAGAGGAGAAAGAGTAAAGTACCAGCCACCTCTGTCCTCTTTATCAGGAAAGCAAAAGCCCTCCCTGAACTCAGCAGACTTCCCTTCTTAATCACTGGCAAAGGAGAACAGGATTGTTATGACTGGTTTCAACTATTCGATTTTTTATTTCAAGCTGGGCACATTGCTGCCCTAACAAAATTAAGGTGAGCAATAGGGAATGGGTATTATGGAAGCCACTAAGAATATCTGCCACTTATGAATATTTATAATTTTAAGAAATCAAACTCTATTTGGTGAAATTTCAGACTCGGTAACAGAAGTGAAAAAAAAAAGTCCCTCAGGCAGTGTTATAGAAATACATTTTAGGTACAGAAATCCCCACTCAAGCAAACCCATCCTACTTAGGAGTCTATCCTTGAAATTAGCAGCACCCTTTAGCAACTCTGCTTTTCATGGACTCTTCCTTTCCTCAATTCTGAACCTACAGATTCTCTAAAATACCCATGTTTGTTAACAACTGTTTCTATGGCAGCAGAGCCCCTGGTGGTCGGGCCCTGGGGTGGAGGCTATTTAGAAGTTAAAGACTGACAGTACACGCCAATAGCAGCTATTGTTGATGACATACCTGAGGTATTTCTGAAATAGATAAACGTTGTGAAAAAACAAAAAATATTTAAGGTGCCTGTTGCTCACCAAGAAATCTCTTGATTATAATTTGGGTTTCCCATCTAGGTCCACCACCTGAAAGAAAATGACTTGATCATTATGGTTCAACTGGTTTATGTAACAGTTTTATCTCCTAGTATGTTAATAAATTTGCATTCTGGCATTACATATTAGGTTTATAAGGTTGTCAAACTACTTTATTCTTCTCTGGGGCACTACTGATCAGATTAGGTTTCTAAGACAAAAAGACTGAGTCAGGCCCTGGTAAAAATTTCACTAAGGTTCTACCACCTGATGTGGTCTTTTGAATAACAGCAGCCGGCCTGCTCCAGGCAATAGCTCCTCACATCACTGATTATATTGGCATAAACAACTTTATGTAAAATGTTTAAGCAATAAATTTTTATTCCATGTAGCAGCTCACAAAAGCTACTTTAACATAAATTGTGCCACCTATAAATATACTCAAGTCACCAACCATTCAAAGTATCATCACTTCCCAGCAACCCTCAACTCATAGTTTTTTATATATATAAATATATGTAGTGTAGCTATACAGTATACAGAGAATGGGCTCTGGAGCCAGAAGGCTAGACTCCAATTCCCAATTCCACAGTAGAATGTTGCACCCTATAATGGGTGTGTGACATTGGGAGAAAAATCATTGTGTCTACTTTCTTCATCTATACATGAGGGCGGAGTTAGAAGGGGACATAATGATAATGCCTCATTCAAAGGGATATCTGAGTATCAAATTAATTTATACATGTAAAATGCCTGGAACATAGGAAGGATTCAACAAGTGCTAGCTATTATCATCACTCTTAATTGGGAAACTTAAATAGTGTATGACCACCTAACTCCTACTGAATGGGGAAAAATCAAATGCCTTTCCTCTAAGGACTGGAACAAGATAAGGATGTCCACTCTCACTACTGTTATTCGACATAATACTGGAAGTCCTGGCTGGAGCAATTAGACAGGAAAAAGAAATAAAGAGAATCCAAACTGGAAAGGAAGAAGTCAAATTAGCCTTATTTGCAGATGACATGATCTTATACACAGAAAAACCTAAAGACTCCACCAAAAAAAAACTGTTTGAGCTAATAAACTCAGTAAAGTTGCAGGATACAAAAATCAACATACAAAAATCAATAGTATTTCTATACGCCAAAAGCAAACAATCTGAAAAAGCAATCAAAAAAGCAATCTCGAGGGATGGAGCAAGATGGCAGAATGGAAGGTCCTACCAATCATCCCCCCTGCAGGAACACCAAATTCAACAACTATCTACACACACAAAAAAAGCACCTTTATAAGAACCAAATATCAGGTGAGCACTCACAGCACCTGATTTTAACTTCATAGTTCTGAAAGAGAAACTTAGAGTAGGAAAGAGTCTTGAATTGTTGATGCTACCCCTCCCCTATCCCATCACAGTAGCCAAGTGTTGTGAAGAAATCTGTGTGCTTGGGGAGAGTGAGAGCACAGAGACTGTGAGACTTTACATTGAACTCAGTGCTGTCACAGTATAAAGCAAAACTGGGCTGAACTTAGCTGACACCCATCTACAGAGGGAGCATTCAGACAAGCCCTAGCCAGAGGAGAATCACCCATCCCAGCAGCTGGAACTTGAGTTCCAGCAAGCTTCCTCATTGTGGGCTGAAGTGCTCTGGGGCCCTAAATAAACCGTAAAGGCAGTCTAGGCCCCAAGAACTGCAAGTTTTAGTGTTGAGCTGGGCTTGGAGCCAGTGGACTTACCGGTCATGAGACTTACTGAGACACAAGCCAGGGCACCTAAGGGAGTGCTTGCACTACCCGTCCCCCAACCCCAGGCAACACAGCTGTGGCTCCAAAAAAGTCACAAAAGAGCCACAAGCTGTATTGCCTGGTGTTGAAAAGGAGGTAGTGCAAATACTCCCTTTCCGCTTGAGAGGAGAGAAGAGGGAAGAGTAAAGAGGAATTTTGTCTTGCACCTTGGACACCAGCTCAGCCACAGTCGGATACAATACTAGACACAATACTAGACAGAATTGTGGCCCCCATTCCAGGCCCTAGCTCCCCAGATGACATTTCTAGACACACCCTGGACCCACAGGGAAACTGATTCCTTGAAGGGAAGGACCTATTCCTGGCAGGATGCATCATCTGCTGGCTAAAGAGCCCTTGAGACCCTGAATAATCAATAGTGATACTTAGGTAGTATGGCATGGGCCTTGGGTGAGACTGGGAGACACACTGGCTTCAGGTGAGACCCAGCACATTCCCACCTGTGGTGGCTATGGTAAGAGATTTCTTCTGCTTGAGAAAAGCAGAGGAAAAAGTGGAGACTTTGTCTTGCATCTTAAGTACAAGCTCTACCACAACGTGGTATAGCACCAATCAAGCTCTTGGGGTCCCTGATTCCAGGCCTTGGCTCGTGGATGGCATTTCTGGACATGGCCTGGGCCAGAGGGGACCCCACTTCCCTGAAGAGTGAATCCCAGGCTTGGTAGCATTCACCACAAGCTAACTGAAGAGCCCTCAGGCCTTAAGTGAACATTGGTGGTAGCCTGGCAGTACTCCCTGTGGGCCTTAGGTGGTAGTGACCATAAGGTGAGGGTCCTCTGCCTGTGAAAAGGAGAGGGAAAAGTGAGAACTGTTTTTCATGGTTTGAAAGCCCACTCAGCCACAGTGGAATACAACACCAGGAAGACTTCTAAGGTTTTTGACTCCAGTCCTTAGCTCCCAGATGGCATCTCTGGACCTGCCCAGGGCCTGCAGGAACTTGCCGCCCTGAAGGGAAGGACACAAGCCTGGTTGGCTTCACTAGATGCTGACTGTAGAGCCCTAGGGCTTTGAATGAACATAAGTGGCAGCCAGGTACTGGTTACAGCAGGCCTTGGGCAAGACCCAGTGCTGTGCTGGCTTCAGGTCTAACCCAGCACAGTCCCACTGGTGGTGGCTATAGGGGTGTTTGTGTCACCCTACTCCCAGCCAGAGGTGGCTCAGCACAGAGAAACTCCATTTGTTTGGGAGAAAGTAAGGGAAGAGAATAAGAATCTCTGCCTGGTAAACCAGAGAATTCTTCCAGAATTATCCAATATCACCAAGACGGTACTTCTACAAGTCTGCAAGAACCACAGCATTACTGGGCTTGAGGTGCCCCATAATGCAGACATGGCTTAGATCTTAGATCACAACACTCAAAGTCCTTTTGAATACCTGGAAAACCTTCCCGAGACAGGTGGATACAAACAAGCCTAGACTGAGAATACTGCAATGAATACCTAACTCTTCAATGCCCAGACACCAGCAAATATCCACAAGCATCAAGACCATCCAGGAAAACATACCCTCACCAAATGAACTAAATAAGGTGCGAGGCCAATCCTGAAGAAACAGAAATACATGATCTTTCAGACAGAGAATTCAAAATTGCTGTTTTAAGGAAACTCAAAGAAATTCAAGATAACACAGAGAAGGAATGCAGAATTCTATCAGATAAATTTAACAATGAGATTAAAATAATTGAAAAGAATAGGTAGAAATTCTGAAGGTGAAAAATGCAATTGACATATTGAATAATGCATCAGAGACTGTTAATAGTAGAATTGATCAAGCATAAGACAGAATTTGTGAGCTTGAAGACAGGCTATTTGAAAATACAGTTAGAGATTAAAGCAAAATAAAGAATGAAGCACACCTACATTATCTAGAAAATAGCCTCAAAAGGGCAAATCTAAGAGTTATTGGCCTTAAAGAGAAGGTAGAGAGAGGGGTAGAAACTTTATTCAAAGGGATAATAAGAGAGAAATTCACAAACCTAGAAAAAGATATTAATAACCAAGTACAAAAAGGCTGGCTGGGTGCGGTGGCTAACACCTGTAATCCCAGCACTTTGGGAGGCTAAAGCCTCCCAAAGGTGGACCATTTGAGGCCAGGAGTTTGAGACCAGCCTGGCCAACATGGCGAAACCCTGTCCCAAATTAGCTGGGCGTGGTGGCACACACCTATGCTCTCAGCTACTTGAGAGGCTGAGGCATGAGAATCATTTGAACCCGGAGGCAGAGGTTGAGGTGAGCCAAGATTGCACTACTGCACCCCAGCCTGGGCAACAAAGTGAGACTCTGTACCTGCCACCCCGCCAAATAAAAAAAAAGAGAGAGAGAGAGAGAAGGCAAGCAGATTTAACCCAAAGAAGACTACCTCAAGGAATTTAATAATCAAACTCCCAAAGGTTAAGGATAAAGAAAGGATCCCAAAAGCAGCAAGAGAAAAGAAACAAATAACATACAATGGACCTCCAATATGTCTGGCAGCAGACTTTTCAGTGGAAAACTTACAGGGCAGGAGAGAGTGGCATGATTTATTTAAAGTGCTGAAGGTTAAAAACAGTTTACCCTAGAATAGTATAATGTATCCAGCAAAAATATCCTTCAAACATGAAGGAGAAATAAAGATTCTCCCAGACAAGCAAAAGCTAAGGGATTTCATCAACATCAGACCTGTCCTACAAGAAATGCTAAAGGGAGTACTTCTATCAGAAGTAAGGATGAAGAAAAGAAAAAGAAAAGGATGTCAATGAGCAGTAAGACATCATCTGAAAGTACAAAACTCACTATCAATAGTAAGTACACAGAAAACAGAGACTTTTATAACACTGAACTGTGGTGTGTAAACAACTGTTATCCTAAATAGAAAGATTAAATGATGAACCAATCAAAAATAATAACTATGGGCCTGGCATGGTGGTTCACACCTGTTATCCCAGCACCTTGGGAAGCCAAGGCAGGCAGATCACAGATCATTTGAGGTCAGGAGTTCGAGACCAGCCTGGCCAACATGGTGAAGCCCTGTCTCTACTAAAAATATAAAAATCAGCCAGCTGTGGTCATGCATGCCTGTAATCTCAGCTACTAGGGAGGCTAAGGCAGGAAAATCGTTTGAACCCAGGAGGCAGAGGTTGAAGTGAGCTGAGATTGTGCCACTGCACTCTAGCCTGGGTGACAAAGTGAGACTCTGTCTCAAATAATAATGATAATAATAACTACAACAACTTTTCAAAACATAGACAGAACTGTAAGATATAAATAGAAACACAAAGTTAAAAAGCAAGAGGATGAAGTTAAAGTTTTTATTAGTTTTCTTTTTGCTTGTTAGTTTGTCTATGCAATCAGTGTTAAGTTGTAATCATCTTAAAATAATGGGTTATAAGATAGTATTTGCAAGCTTTATGGTAATCTCAAATCAAAAAACATACAACAGATACACAAAAAATAAAAAGAAATTAAATTATACCACCAGAGAAAATCACCTTCACTAAAAGGAAAACAGGAAGGAAGGAAAAAAGGAAGAGAAGACCATAAAACAACCAGAAAACAAATAAAACGGCAAGAGTAAGTCCTTGCCTATCAATAATCACCTTTAATGTAAGTGGACTAGACTCTTCAATCAAAAGACAGGGTGGCTGAATGGATAAGAAAACAAACAAAAAACCCAAAAAAAACCCACAAGACCCAATGATCTGTTGCCTGCAAGAAACACACTTTACCTATAATGATACACATAGATTGAAAATAAAGAGACAGAAAAAGATATTTCATACCAACAGAAACCAAAAAAGAGGAGTGCTATACTTATATCAGACAAAATAGATTCCATGACAAAAACTTTTAAGAAGAGACAAATAAGGTCATTATATAATAATGAAGGGTTCAATTCAGCAAGAGAATATAACAATTTTAAATATATATGCACCCAACACTAGAGCACCCAGATATATAGAGCAAATATTTGAGCTAAAGAAAGAGATAAACTCCAATATGATAAGAGCTGGAGATTCAACACCCCACTTTAAGCGTTGGACAGATCTTCCAGACAGAAAATAAACAAAGAAACATCAGACTTAATCTGTACTATAGACCACATGGACCAAATAGATACTTATAGAACATTTAATCCAACAGCTACAGAATACACAATCTTTTCCTCAGCACATGGGTCATTCTCAAGGATAGACCATATGTTAGGTCAAAAAACAAGTCTTAAAGTATTTTTAAAAATTGAAATAATATCAAACATCTTTTCTGACCACAATGGAATAAAACTAGAAATCAATAATGAGAGGGACTTTGGAAACTATACAAACACATGGAAATTAAACAATATGCTCCAGAATGACCAGTGGGTCAATGAAGAAATTAAAAAGAAAACTGAAACATTTACTGAAACAAATGATAATGGAAACACAACATGCCAAAACCTATGGGATACAGCAAAAGCAATACCGAGAGAGAAGTTTATAGCTATAAGCACCTACATTTAAAAAGTAGGAAAACATCAAATAAACAACCTAATGAAGCATCTAAAAGAAATAGAAAAGCAAAAGCAAACCAAACCCAAAAATCAGTAGAAGAATAAAGAGCAGAGATAAAATTGAAATGAATAAAATACAAAAGATCAATGAAATAAAAAGTTGGTTTTTTGAAAAGATAAACAAAATTGATAAATCTTTAGCCAGACTAAGAAAAAAGGAGAGGAGATACAAATAAATAAAATCAGAGGTGAAAAAGGAGACATTACAACCAATACTACAGAAATTCAAAGGATCATTAGAGGCTACTGTGAGCAACTACATGCCAATAAATTGAAAAGCCAAGAAGAAATGGATAAATTCCTAGACATATACAACCTACCAAGATTCAACCATGAAGAAATCCAAAACCTAAACAGACTAATAACAACTAATAAGATAGAAGCCATATTAAGAAGTCTCCCAACAAAGGAAAGCCGGAGACCTCTGACTTCACTGCTGAATTTTATCAAACATTTAAAAAAGAACTAATACCAATACTACTCAAACTATTCTGAAAAAGAGAGGAGGAGGGAATAGTTCCAAGCTCATTCTACAAGGTCAGTATTACCCTGATATCAAAACCAGATAAAAACACATTTAAAAAAAAAGCTACAGGCCAATAGCCCGGGTTAACACTCATGCAAAAATCTTCAACACAATACTAGCAAACCAAATTCAACAACATACTAAAAATATCATTTGTCATGACCAAGTGAGATTTATCCCATGGATGCAAGGATGGTTCAACATACACAAATCAATGTGATACATCATATCAAAAGAATGAAGGACAAAAATCATATGATTATTTCAATTGATGCTGAAAAAGCATCTGATAAAATTCAACATTTCATTGTGATAAAAACTAAAAAAACTGGGTATAGAAGGAACATAATTCAACATAATAAAAGCTATATATGACAGACCCATAACTAGTATCATACTGAATGTGGAATAGCTGAGTCTTTCTTCTAAGATCTGGAAGATGACAAGGATGCCCACTTTCACCACTGTTATTCAACATGGTATTGGAAGTCCTACCTAGAGCAATAGGACAAGAGAAAGAAATAAAGGGCATTCAGATTGGAAAGGAAGAAATCAAATTATCATTGTTTGCAGATTATTATGATCTTATACTTGGAAAAACCTAAAGACTTCATCAAAAAATTTAGAACTGATAAACGAATTCAGCAAAGTTACAGGATACAAAATCAACAAACAAACATTAGTAGCATTTCTATATGCCAAAAGTGAACAAACTGAAAATGAAATCAAGAAAGTAATCCCATTTACAATAGCTACAAATCAAGTATCAAGGAATTCACTTAATCAAAGAAGTGAAAGCTCTCTACAATGAAAACTATACCAATGCAAGAAATTGAAAAAGACACAAAAAATGGAATGATATTTCATGTTCATAGATTGGAAGATTCAATATTGTTAAAACGTCCACACTACCCAAAGCAATCTACAGATGCAATGCAATCTCTATCAAAATACCAATGACATTCTTCACAGAAACAGAAGAAACAATCCTAAAACTTATATGGAACCAGAAAAGACCCAGAATAGCCAAAGCTATGCTAAGCAAAAAGAACAAAACTGAATAAATCACATTACCTGACTTCAAATTACACTACAGACCTACTGTAACCAAAACAGCATGATACTGGCATAAAAATAGATACATAGACTAATGGAACAGAACACAGGACCCAGAAATAAATCCATACATGAACTAATTTTTTTTTTTTTGAGATGGAGTCTCGCTCTGTCGCCCAGGCGGGACTGCGGACTGCAGTGGCGCAATCTCGGCTCACTGCAAGCTCCGCTTCCCAGGTTCACGCCATTCTCCTGCCTCAGCCTCCCGAGTAGCTGGGACTACAAGCGCCCGCCACCGCGCCCGGCTAATTTTTTTTTTTGTATTTTTAGTAGAGACAGGGTTTCACCTTGTTAGCCAGGATGGTCTCGATCTCCTGACCTCATGATCCACCCGCCTCGGCCTCCCAAAGTGCTGGGATTACAGGCGTGAGCCACCGCGCCCGGCCACATGAACTCATTTTTGACAAAGGTGCCAAGAACATACTTGGGGAAAGGACAGTCTCTTCAATAAATGGTGCTGGGAAAACTGGATATCCATATGCAGAAGAATGAAACTCGACCCCTATCTCTCACCATATACAAAAATCCAAATCAAAATAAGATTACAGGCTTAATTCTAAGATGTCAAACTATGAAACTACTAAAAAAAATTGGGGAAACTCTCTAGGACATTGGAGTGGGCAAAGATTTCTTGAGTAGGCCGGGTGCAGTGGCTCACACCTGTAATCCCAGCACTTTGGGAGGCTGAGGTGGGTGGATCATGAGGTCAGGAGATCAAGACCATCCTGGCTAACACGGTGAAACCCCGTCTCTACTAAAAATACAAAAAATTAGCCGGGCATAGTGGCGGGCACCTGTAGTCCCAGCTACTTGGGAGGCTGAGGCTGAGGCAGGAGAATGGCATGAACCTAGAAGACGGAGCTTGTAGTGAGCCGAGATCATACCACTGCACTCCAACCTGGGCGACAGAGCGAGACTCTGTCTCAAAAAAAAAAAAAAAAAGATTTCTTGAGTAATACCCCACAAGCACAGGCAACCAAAGCCAAAATGGACAAATGGGATCCTATCAAGTTAAAAGGTTTCTACACAGCAAAGGAAACAATCAACAAAAGGCTTCTCCACAGCAAAGGAAATAATCAAAAAAGAAACAACCCACAGAATGGAGAAAATATTTGCAAACTGCCCATCTGACAAGGGATTATAACCAGAATATATAAGGAGTTCAAACAACTCTATAGGAAAAAAACCTGATAATCTGGTATTAAAATGGACAGAAGATCTGAACGGACATTTCTCAAAAGACATACAAATGGCATACAGGCATATGAAAAGGTGCTCAACATAATTGACCATCAGAGAAATGCAAATCAAAACTACAATGAGATATCATCTTACATCAGTTAAAATGGCTTTTATCCAAAAGACAGACATTAATAAATGCTGGAGGAGATATGGAGAAAGGGAAACACTCACATACTGTTGGTGGGAACCACTATGGAGAACAATTTGGAGGTTCCTTAAAAAACTAAAAATAGGGCTACCATATGACCCAGCAATTGCACTCTGAGATATACACCCAAAAGAAAGGAAGTCAGTACATCAAAGAGATATCTACACTCCCATGTTTACTGCAGCACTATTCGCAAGAGCTAAGATTTGGAAGCAACCTAAGCATCCATCAACAGATGAACAGATAAAGAAAATTTGGTACATACATACAATGGAGTACTATTCAGCCATAAAAAAAAGAATGAGATCCTATCATTTGCAACAACATGGATGGAACTGGAGGTCACTGTTAAGTGAAATAAGCCAGGCACAGAAAAACAAACTTCGCATCTTCTCACTTATTTGTGGGAGCTAAAAATTAAAATAATTTAACTAATGGAGGTAGAGAGTGGAAAGATGGTTACCAGAGGCTGGGAAGGGTGGAGCAGGGGGCTGGTTGGGGGAAGTGGGGATAGTTAATGGATCCAAATTAGTAAGAAAGGATCAATAAGACCTAGTATTTGCTAGCACAACAGGGTGACTACAGTAAAAAATAATGTAATTGTACATTTTAAAATAACTAAGAGTATAATTGGATTGTTTGTAACACACAGGATAAATGCTTGAGGGGATGGATACCCCATTACCCTGATGTGATTATGCATTGCATGCATGTATCAAAATATCTCATGTAACCCATAAATGTATATACCTACTATGTTCCCACAAAAATTAAAAATAAAGCAATTTCATTTACAATAACTACAAAAATATATAAAATACCTAGGAATCAATCTAACTAAAGAAGTGAAAGATCTATACAAGCAAAACCATGAAACTGATGAAAGAAATTGAAGAGGACACGCACAAAAAAGGAAAGATATTCCATACTCATTAATTGGAAGAATTATTGTTAAAATGATAAAGACTACCCAAAGCAATTTACAGATTCAATGCAATCTCTATCAAAATGCGAACGGCGTTCTTTATAAAAATAGGAAAAAAAATTCTTAAATTTATATGGAACTACCAAAGACCTGGAATAGACAAAGCAATCCTGAGCAAAAAGAACAAAGCTGAAGGCACCACACTACCTGACTTCAAAATTTACTACAAAGCTATGGTAACCAAAACAGCATAGTACTGGCATAAAAACAGACACATAGACCAATGGAACAGAATGGAGAATCCAGATGTAAATCCACACATTTATTGCCAACTCCTCTTTGACCAAGGTGCCAAGAACATACAATGGGGAAAGGTTACCAGATGCAGAAGAATTTAACTAGACCCCTAGCTGTCACCATACACAAAAATCAAATCAAAATAGATTAAAGACAAATATTTAATGCTGAAACTATGAAACTACAGAAGAAAACATTGGAGAGATGTTCCATGACATTGGTCTGGGTAAAGATTTTTGGGGTAAGACCTCAAAGGCAACCAAAGCAAAAATAGACAAATGGGATTACATCAAGCTAAAAAGCTTCTGCACAAGGACACAATCAACAAATTGAAGAGACAGCCCACAGAATGGAAGACTATGTTTGCAAACTATCCATTTGACAAAGAATCAATAACCAGAATATATATGGAGCTCAAACAACTCAATAGCAAAAAAATATATACATATAATCTGATTTTTAAATGGGCAAAAGACTTGAACAGACATTTCTCAAAAGAAGACATACAAATGGTCAACATGTGTATTAAAAAAAACACTCAACATGACTAATCAGAGAAATGCAAATCAAAACCACAATGAAATATCATCAATAAAAGATACTGGTGGGGATGTAGAGAAGGGAAAGCCCTCATATACTGTTGGTGGGAATGTAAATTAGTACAACCTCTATGCAGAACAGTATGGCGGCTTCTCAAAAGCCTAAAAATAGATCTACCATCTGATCCAGCAATTCCACTATGGAGTCTACATCCAAAAGAAAGGAAATCAATATATCAAAGGGCTATCTGCACTCCCGTCTATACTGCAGCACTATTAGCAATAGCCAAAATATGAAATCATCCTAAGTGCCTATCAATGGATGAATAAAGAAAATAGGATATACGTACACACTGGAGTATTATTCATCCATAAAAAAAAGAATAAAATCCCGTCATTTGCAGCAACATAGATGAATCTGGAGGCCAATTATGTCAAGCAAAATAATCTAAGCACAGAAAGACAAATATGTTCTCACTCATATATAGAAGCTAAAAAAAATGAATCTCATGAAGACAGAGAGTAGAATGGTGGTTACCAAAGGCCATTAAGGATAGAGGAGAGGGAAGGATAAAGGGTGAAAAAAGGAATATAAATGTATTTATTACCAATAAACCGTACACTTAAAAGTGGTAAAGATGGTAAATTTTATATGTATATTTTACCTCAAAAAAAGTGAAAAAAAATAGTGTATAGTTGCAGTCTCTGCAAATGTAAAATGATTTAATAATAAAGATTCACTTTATATGCTAAATATGAAATAACACAAATTCCCCAAATTAATAATTCATCAAGAATTAAAGTTGCAGCCAGACGCAATGGCTTGCAACTACAATCCCAGCTACTTGGGAGGCTGAGGTGGGAGGATCACCTGAGCCCAGGAGTTCAAGACCAGCCTGGGCAACATAGTGAGACCATGTGTCCAAAAAAAATGTTTTTTAATTAGCTGACTGTGATGGCACAGGCCTGTAGTCCCAGCTACTCCAGAGGCTGAGGTGGGAGGATCCCTGGAGCCCAGGAGTTCAAGGCTGTGGTGAGCTATGATCTTGTCACTGTACTCCTGGGTGACAAGAGAAACCCTGTTTCAAAAAAAAAAAAAAAAAAGTTTCAAAAGCTGGTTGGAGGCTGGGCACGGTAGCTCATGCCTATAATCCCAGCACTTTGGGAGGCCGAGGCAGGCAGATCACTTGAGGCCAGGAGTTTGAGACTAGCGTGGCCAATGTGGTAAAACCCCATCTCTACTAAAAACATCAAAATTAGCCAGGTGTGGTGGTGCATGCCTGTAATTCTAGCTACTTCGGAGGCTGAGGCATGAGAATCACTTGAACGCAGGAGGCAGAGGTTGCAGCAAGCTGAGATCAGGCCACTATACTCCAGCCTGGGCAACAAAACAAGACTCTGACTCAAAAAAAAAAAAAAAAAAAAGCTGGCTGGTGAATGTGATTTATAAACTCTTAAGCTACTGCCACATGGCAATACCAAACTTTCCATTCTTTGCTGCCAGAAATAGTCTTGAATTATGCATGTCTCTACAAAGTGCTATAGCTCTGTATAGAAATGTAAAGGAGAAAAAAATCATAGTGCTCCCCACCCTCACTACCCTAAGCGCTGCCTCTCATACATACCTGGGTCTTTCTAAAGACTTCCTATGCCCTTGAAGCCTAGAAACTCAGTCTACAATCAATATCCAAATAGGGGCCAGGCGTGGTGGTTCATGCCTATAATCTCAGCACTTTGGGAGGCCGAGGTGGATGGATCACCTGAGGTCAGGAGTTCGAGACCAGCCTGGCCAACATAGTAAAACCCCGTCTCTAATAAAAATACAAAAATTAGCCGGGCACGGTGGTGCATGCCTGTGGTCCCAGCTACTCAGGAGGCTGAGGCAGGAGAATGGCTTGAACTCAGGAGGTGGAGGTGCAGTGAGCTGAGATCACGCCACTGTACTCCAGCCTGGGGGATAGAGCAATACTCCGTCACATAAAAGAAAAAAAAAATCCAAACAGGATATGTCTGTCAACATTGTTCCAGGAAAACTTCTCTGAAATAAGAGGGTCAACCAGCCTAGTTACTTTTCATATGTGTGTGCCCTTCTCAGGCCTGGGGTAATTATCATCCCCTTCCACCTGCAACACACATACATACACACACACACTCTGACCATTTTCCTGAGTATATTTCCTCAGTATACATAACTGGTCATCCTTAACATCTCCTTGCTTACAAAGAAATATTATCTTAAAGTTCCTAATTTTTCCTCAACTTGTGTCTATTTTTTCTCCTACTCAAATGCTTCTTTCATTTCCATTTTATTTGCTCACCCCATATGCACAAGCCTCTTTTTCCTTTTACCTCTGACCCTCCCATCCTCACTCTCAAACCCTCCTAACCACATTCACTCTACACCCAATTCTTCAACATCTCAGTCATTCTTCCCCTTCTTCCCTATTCATCAACAATATCTACTGGAAAGTCTGTTTCTTTGAGGACAAACCCTTTTTACCCTCAATTTATTTTTCACTTCTGTGCAGTTCACTCTAATAAAAAGCTGGTTCTCTTTTAGATTACAAGGTGCCTTTTCCAATATAACCACTTACTTCCCTTAATTTCTCCTCTTTCTCTGACTCAGTAGAAAGAACAACAGCCCTTTCCTTGCTCCTACATGAGATTTTCAGATTACCATACTGTAGCCTGTTTCTCATTGTTTGAAATCTCCACCCTATCCCACATTTCGGGGAACTATTCTTAACAATCCCACTTGAACACACTGTTCTTTAAATCTGTCCTCCCATCCTTCTCTCTAGTCTTGGTAGAGATGATACATTAAGAGTCCACAATTCCATTTCTGTCGATGGTAACATATATGTACTTGGAGAGTATTACAAGAGCCAAGAAAAACTAAATATGTTAATGATGGTCACACGGCCAAGAATGGAATAAATTGGATAAGACATATGACTATTTCTGTGCTCCTAAAATAACTATCATTCTCCATAGTCTTAAAGTTCTATAAGTTTACCTATTCTATCATTAGAAATATATCATGTTAGCCTTAGACATAAATAACTGTCTGCGTTTCAAAGTAAACCATAGCATCATAAGGTTAGAAGACCTAATGATGGGTGTATAAGTGGTAGATAAGCTTTTCTCAGCAGATGTTCACTACTTGGAAGATCTTCTAGAAAGAGGATTCTACAATTTCCCAAAGTAAATAACTACAACCTCAAATATTCTTAATTTCAAAATCTTTGATTTTTCTAATCTATTTTTTCCTGCTGTTTTTCCTTCGTAGAGGTTAGAAAAGAACAGGCACCATCCTCAGTATGACAGCATCTCATCTACTGGAAAAGCATTATTGTCACCCCGAGCCTTCGTTTTTTTTTTTTTTTTTTTTTTGAAACGGAGTCTCACTCTATTGCCCTGGCTGGAGTGCAATGGCTCACTGCAACCTCCGCCTCCCAGGTTCAAGCAATTCTCTTCCCTCAGCCTCCCAAGTAGCTGGGATTACAGGCACTCACCACCACGCTCGGCTAATTTTTTTTTTTTTTTTTTTTTGTATTTTAGTAGAGGCGGGGTTTCACCATGTTGGCCAGGCTGGTCTTGAACTCCTGACCTCCTGATCTGCCCGCCTTGGCCTCCCAAAGTGCTGGGATTACAGGCGTAAGCCACCGTGCCCAGCCGAGCCTTCGTTTTTCTAAGCTCAGCAACTTGGACTTTTCTCCAGACTCCTGTTCTCCAAAACTAATTTTTTTTTTTTTAAGATATGGGGTCTCAGTCTGTCACCCAGACTGTGGCGCAATGGTTTGATCATAGCCCACTGCAGCCTCGAACTCCTGGGCTCACGCTATCCTCCCACCTTAGCCTACCAAGTAGCCAGGACCACAGGTGTGTGCCACCATG
Source organism: Homo sapiens (assembly GCF_000001405.40). Taxonomy (NCBI): domain Eukaryota; kingdom Metazoa; phylum Chordata; class Mammalia; order Primates; family Hominidae; genus Homo; species Homo sapiens. The sequence goes on from NC_000015.10 coordinate 76,050,964, forward strand.
CCTGCCTATTTTTATTTATTTATTTATTTATTTATTTATTTATTTTTATTTTTATTTTTTGAGATGGAGTCTCGCTCTGTCGCCCAGGCTGGAGTGCAGTGGCGGGATCTCGGCTCACTGCAAGCTCCGCCTGCCGGGTTCACGCCATTCTCCTGCCTCAGCCTCCCAAGTAGCTGGGACTACAGGCGCCCGCCACTACGCCCGGCTAATTTTTTGTATTTTTAGTAGAGACGGGGTTTCACCGTTTTAGCCGGGATGGTCTCGATCTCCTGACCTCGTGATCCGCCCGCCTCGGCCTCCCAAAGTGCTGGGATTACAGGCGTGAGCCACCGCGCCCGGCCTATTTATTTATTTTTTTATAGAGACGGGCTCTCACTCTGTTGCCCAGGCTGGTCTGGAACACCTATGCTCAAGCGATCCTCTCGCCTCAGCTTCCCAAAGTGCTGTGATTATAGGCGTGAGTCACTGTGTTCAGCCTAAAAGTTGAATTCTATTCATGTTATTTTTAAATCACAAAGACCAGACTTAAACTTAACCAGCAACAGCACTTTGTTGTTTCTACTTTTCTAAATAAATAGTTAACATATAATTGAACAATCTTCTTTTTTTTTTTTTTTTGAGACAGAGTCTCGCTCTGTCGCCCAGGCTGGAGTGCTGTGGCACTATCTCGGCTCACTGCAAGCTCCGCCTCCGGGGTTCATGCCATTCTCCTGCCTCGGCCTCCAGAGCAGCTGGGACCACAGGCGCCCGCCACCACGCCTGGCTAATCTTTTTTTTTATTTTATTTTTAGTAGAGACGGGGTTTCACCATGTTAGCCAGGATGGTCTTGATCTCCTGACCTTGTGATCCGCCCACCTCAGCCTCCCAAAGTGCTAGGATTACAGGCGTGAGCCACCGTGCCCAGCCTAATTGAACATACTTCTATACATACAGTCTTCTCAAACAGAACTGAAACCCATAAAATTAAAAATTACGGAATTTTCCATATTGCAGAGACTACCTTATTGTCTCTTAGTTAAATCAAACCAATGATCTAGGATTATAATTAACAAATTATGGCTACATATATAGCCCCAAAACATTAAAAAGAATGAATACTTACCTGATCTGTCCTTGGATGAAAATTTTTCCTCTAAATTGCAGAATAGAGAGGAAACTGGTTCTCTTTTATGGTTCACCACTATTTCTTCTGCTTTAATAGAATTTGTGGCCACTATAAAGAAATAAGCAAGAACAGAATATTTATATAACAATTTTAGTAATACACGAAGAGAAGGAAAGTAGAATATATATGCAAATTTCATATCAATGTTTTTCTTTTACTTAGTGATACCTCAAAGGACTTTTTAGTAAGAAGCAGAAGTTTCACTTTGTTGACATGTTTAATTTTTCCCCCTTTCACAACTTTTTAAGTCCCAGAAAAACTACTGTTACTATTTCCAAATAAAAGGCTAGGAGTTGGGTTAAGAGGGAAATAGAATTTTATTAAAAGATCAGATGGTGGTGAGGAGCCACTTCATACTATGCAAACAGGGATTTTGTAAGGACAAGGAATTACATTTCTTTTATTATGAAAGCCACTTTTTATGTTTTGTGTTCCCCAAGAAAAAAATGTTACATGTATTATCACAGACAGAAGCCTAATATGTCTTGTCATTTTAATAAGGTGGTAGTCTTTGTGGGAAAGAAGAGGAAAAAAAGTAGTATATGATCTATCTTCCACTTAGAAAGTTAATTTTCCCAAAGAGCTTTTACTTTATATGGCACTAAGATCAAGGCAATAGCTCAGGTTACCTTAATTATATCAAAGTGGCATATATTAAAAATACGAATTTGTATTCCAGTCAATAGTTAGAATGCAACAATCAATTATTCAGAAGTTTATGGGCTTTCTGTAGTCATACAAATAACGAACATAAAAGGTTTAAGAATAGTATATTTTTGTAACTACAAAACATCAAAAATGTATCTACCTTCAAATTTGATGCTGGTTCTTTATTTTTCTGATTCACTTTTAGTCTGTTAGAAAGTAAAAAGACAAATTTTCTCCTTTATGTGAAAATAATCGTAGAATCATAAAAATTTAGAGTTAGAAAAAAACTTAGAGAACTTCTAGATGAAGTAAGCACAAGTCTCTCTAAATTAGAGACTTTGATTTATTTCCCTTACTCATAGTTACAGAATGAACTGGAGCTGGAACTCTGGAATCCAGAATGTTTTTCCTACTACTTAATGATTCCTCAAACTTATTTAGGCACAACTTTGTGTACATACGTGAGGCAGTGAGGCACCAGCGTTGAATTTAAAGTCTCTGAATCACACTGCCCAAGTTTGAATCTTGGTTCCTTACTAGCTGTGTGATCTTGAGCAGGCTACTTAATCCCTCTGTGCCTCAGTTTCTTCATCTGTAAAATGACATTAATAACTATAACTCCCCAATGGGACTGCTACAAAAAAAATAAATTAGTATATATAAAGCACATAGAATGGTGTCTGACATATGGCAAGTATTCCATAAATGTCAGCAATTACTAGGATTCTATCAATAACTACATGGATATGTACTTGCTAGGTTTTATTTTTACTTATTTTTTATTTTTTGAGACAGAGTCTTGCTCTGTCTCAGGAGCAGTGGCACCTGGAGCACAGTGGCACAATCTTGGCTCACTGCAACCTCCGCCTCCTGGTTCAAGCAATTCTCCTGTCTCAGCCTCCCGAGTAGCTGGGACTACCAGCGTATACTACGACGCCCAGCTAAGTTTTGTATTTTTAGTAGAGACAGGGTTTCATCATGTTGGCCAGGCTGGTCTCAAACTCCTGACCTCAAGTGATCTGGGATTACAGGCGTGAGCCACTGCACCCGGCCTGTACTTGCTAGGTTTTAAAATAGCTTAATTATACCACAATTGGAATAGTGGATCATTTTTGTTTTCAATACATGTATATGTACTCGCTGATATTCCATTTTGGCACGTGAACTGTGTAGCCAAAGGAATGGTTCTTCATAGAGTACATGCAAAATTCCAAATATCAAACACATAACTGAACTCACTTAAAAACTGAATACCATTCACGTGGTGATCATTTGGGCCCATTAATATACTTAGAACATCTGACATCCAGAGGGATTTCTTTCTTTTTGAGATGGGGTGTCACACTGTCACCCAGGCTGGAGTGCGGTGGTGCAACCTTGGCTTACTGCAACCTCTGCCTCCCAGGCTCAAACCATCCTCCCACCTCAGCCTCCCGAGCAACTGGGACCACAAGTGCACACCACCACATCTGGCTAATTCTTAAAATATTTTTGGTGGAGAAGGGGTTTCACCAGATTGCCCAGTCTGATCTTGAACTCCTTAGCTCAAGCGATCTGCCCGCCTCAGCCTCCCAAAGTGCTAGGATTACAGGTATGAGTCACTGCACCCAGCCAGAGGGATCATTTTTGTTTTGTTTTGTTTTGTTTGTTTTTTGAGATGGAGTTCCGCTCTCATTGCCCAGGCTAGAGTGCAGTGGCACGATCTTGGCTCACTGCAACCTCCGCCTCCCCGGTTCAAGCGATTCTCTGGCCTCAGCCTCCTAAGTAGCTGGGATTACAGGCGCCCACCACCACGCTCAGATAATTTTTGTATTTTCAGTAGAGACAGAGTTTCGCCATGTTGGCCAGGCTGGTCTCAAACTCCAGACCTCAGGTCAGAGGGATCATTTTTTTATTACCTCTTCCTCTATGTGATAAAATTATTTTTCAGTAATAATCATGAAATGAAACAATAGGAAAGAGACAGTGGAAATTCAACTCCACTTATATACCAATAGAAAATAAAGTAAGTATTATAGTACAAAAAAGGAAATTGTAATGAAATTAACATTTTCAAAAAATAAAAAACACATATGCCAATGTACTGGTTTGTTTGCAGTACTAAATAACATTACACCTCTTTTCTTGATTTCTTTTTTAGTTTTGAAGCAACTATTAACAATGAAAAAAGAAAAAAATTCAAAGTTAAATGTATTATTTGAATTCAATTATTCAAGAGGGGGCCGGGCACAGTGGCTCATGCCTATAATCCCAGCACTTTGGGAGGCTGAGGTGGGTAGATCACTTGAAGTCAGGAGTTGGAGACCAGCCTGGCCAACATGGTGAAACCCCAACTCTACTGAAAAAAATACAAAAATTAGCAAGGCGTGGTGCTGGGCGCCTGTAGTCCCAGCTACTCGGGAGGTTGAGGCAGGAGAATTGCTTGAACGGCGGAGGCGGAGGCTACAGTGAGCCCAGATTGTGCCACTGCACTCCAACCTGAGCAACAGAGCAAAGCCCTGTCTCAAAAAAAATTATTCAAGAGGATAATTCCATGAAACAAAAATATTATACCTTAAAATTTACACTATGTTTCACTCTTAAATTTCATAAACAAAAACTCTAAGTGGTCACATAGAACAATGTTTAAGTAATCAAGTTCTGTCTCTTCATCCTTAAAATCACTGTGCTACCATTGTTTACAAAGAATCTACTGTTTAAATGCAGGAATATGGACCACCAGGGTTGCGAACATGAACTGTGCCTTAAATCTTGAATTACCCTGAACTTTTATGAGTTTACTTGGAAATATATACAATAGCTGGGTCCATGTTTGTTGAAGGACAATTGTATGAGTGGGAGTTCTCTAAATTAATTTCCATGTAGAATATACTGTTTATTAAAAAAATAATTAAAATGTGCTGATTTGAAGTTTAAATTCATATACTAAAACTTAACAGAGACTACAGAAATTGTTTAAAATCCAGATCCATGAGAGATTTTTCATGGAGGACTATTTTATTATTGACACAGTTTAGAATTACTGGTACATAAAAATTACTGGAAATAAAAAACAGACTTTTAGTGGGTTTACTGTAGTTTAAATTCTCTACAGATAATGAGAATTACTATTGTCCATACCCAAGATCTACTGTTCTTATTGCCCCACTCTTGGTATGCCATTCAAGGTAAAATCTGCTCTAAGTACTATCTTTGAAGATGGGCTTGCTGCATTAAGTATTCTTAACCTACTTAGGAGAAAACTTTACAATTAATTTTTATTGAGAGCCTACTGAGTCCATGGTATTGTATCCACACAGACTGCATGCACATGAATGTCGCTAGTTACTAATCATATTTATTTGCTAAAGTCATCTCAACAGGATTTTTTTAAAAAAAACGATTTAGCGGCCGGGCGCAGTGGCTCACGCCTGTAATCCCAACCCTTTGGGAGGCCGAGGCAGGCAGATCACCTCAGGTCAGGAGTTCGAGACCAGCCTGACCAACATGGAGAAACCCCATCTCTACTTAAAGAAAAAAAAAATACAAAATTAGCTGGGTGTGCTGGCGCATGCCTGTAATCCCAGCTACTCAGGGAGGCTGAGGCAGGAGAATTGCTTGAACCTGGGAGGCGGAGATTGCAGTCAGCCGAGATTGCGCCATTGCACTCCAGCCTGGACAACAAGAGCGAAACTCCGTCTCAAAAATAAATAAATAAATAAATAAAAATAAAATTAAATTAAAAAATAAAAAACGACTTAGATATTGTATGTACTCAAATTTAAAATAAATACCACACAAAGTCACATATATTCCATTTTTCAGGCTTTTACCAACTCAGATTGGCTTTCTACCTGTACATTCCAAATAAGTGAGGTTATATTATAACATTTAGAAGAGCTTTCAAAATATTAACATTTATATCACATTAACAATTTAAGGACTTTGGGCATTATTCAAATTTTCACAAATCACATGGCATCAGATTCACTTGTTCTATTTTCACAAGCAACTATCTCAAGAGAACAAAAGCTTTAACTCTGCTACCAATCTTTTTCAGACATTCACAGGATCAACATCATCTCTAATCTATCCTCCCATAATCTTGCAGCTACATACATGTACAAATTTTCCATTTATGTGATCCTGGTACTCTTGAAAAGGCAGTCTTTTTAACTAAAAGAAAATCTGACTTACCTCAAAAGGTATCTTGGTATGAGAGAGAATGCCAACTACAGCCACGTTAGAAACGAACAGTTATGTCTGGCAAGGAAGTGATATACCAAGCTTAAACCCACAGTTCCACTTCTGCTTTACAGCTCTTATACTTTCCTGTTGCTACTAAGCTCCTTTACTCACAAAATTCCTCTCATTAGTCACCTGCAGTGTACTGAAGCAGCACCTGTACTATTTATAGCTCTAGGATTCCCCCACCCTCTCCTGTCAATAAGAATCACCTGGGGCAGTTAAAAAAAAAATCACAAGTCAACCCCCTGATATTAGATTTCAAGGTGTTTGAAAGGAGGCTCCAGAATCCGATTTTTTTTTCTAATCAGCTGAATTTATGACTCACAGAATCTGATTTTAAGCAAGTGTTCCCAAGTGAGTCTTATAAGCCAGTTAAGTTCAAGAATAATGCTCCAAGTGAAAGTGAGATCTGTGGCAGATCTTCACAGTTCCTCTAGCCTCATCAGCCTCAAGGGCTAATCCTCCTCCGGTGTTAGGCCTCAGGGTATTTGAAAACAAGAGAAGGCCCAGTTTGAAGAATGCAGAATGGCATCTCGTCCACACTTAAGTTTTCAATACCCTAAAAAATTTATCGAAGGGAGATTTTAGTTTGGGGAGGTGCTGTGAAGTAAGACATCACCAGGGGGCAGCATAGAGTTGACAAATTATACATGTTTTGGGATTTTTGACTTCACACTACAACATGAAATGGTTGCACCTACAATTTCCATTAACTCGGATTACTCAGAAAAGGACAAAACCCAGAACACTTAAGACACACGTAAACTTTATTAGCATGTAATTTTCAATACAATGGCTATTATATTATAAATACATAATATAAATATTTATAAATATAAATATTTTCTACAATGGCTATTATACTATAAATAGCCATTGTAGAAAAAAATGTTCCCTTGAAGTCGCATGAACCCGAATTCAAAAAAATTTTATTAGGATACAAAGATTCCTGGTAGAAATTTGAAGTGGTCTTCAAATTTCTCTCAGCAAGTTTCAAAATACTTGTCGTACTCTGAGAGTTAATTAGCGTTATAACTGGATGCTTCTCAATAGTTTCAATCAAATCTTAAGTAGAGTTCTACTAAGGTGGAAAATGGAGTGGATAACAATCTGGGCAAGCTATGCCAAAGCTTTTTCTAAAGAAAGTGTACCTAGTTAAAATGCTGTCACTGACTGTCAGAAAACTATAGCTCCCCTCCCGTGCATCCTCCATTAATTTTTCTTAACCCATCTCCACTTTCTCTATTCTAGTCCACATTTCTTCCGTCTAGAAATGTAGAAAAATCCTTTGGCAACCCAGGTAGCTTCCACAAGTATCATCTCCAAGTGTTTCTTCCTCTGAAATTCCACCATTAGAGATTAGAGATGAGTAGGAAATGCTGAAAGGCGAAGGAGGATCTGAAGAAATTTTACATTTTTTTCTCAGTTTGCCAAAAGTAGATACTCCCTGTATAGATATTCCCGTATAATCCAGGGAAGGTAGTCCAAGACCGTGGGGCAATTCCAAGAGGTGGTTTTGAAGTCCTTCAACTCTACCATTTTCATTTTATCCATACTAAAAAAGCTACGGCAGGAAGAAAAGACAAAGGACATTCCTGGGAGGCCAACTGGACCTAATCAAATAAAAACACTTTAGAAGAGGTACAAGAATCAGAAATCAAACCTATCTGCAGAGCCAAAAGCCATTCTGAAACTCCGTGTCCTAGAAACAAGGGTTTCCCATCTTTTCAAATATTTTAAGATAAAAATCGCAACACCCTATAGGAAAATGGCTATATTTTTAGCAAGAATTGGTGGAGAAGACAAACGATAATAAGCTACTATGAATCCAGAAGCTGCTTAAATGGCCGTATTCACAGCAGCCCTTGCAAACATTAATTAGAGTAGTACCCATTATGGGTGAGGACTTTTTTTTTAACCACAGAGAATATCTGTGGGTGCATCCAGATTGCTCAGTGGTTCCGTTTAACCCACCCGGTAACTGGCAATCATGGCCCTAGGACAGGCTTCTCCACCGGGGCGATGCTGCCTCCAAGGGGCGCAATGTTACTTTTTATGCATCAAGCACGGATAACACATACAGCACATAAGCAGGTCGACAGTGTATCTGCGGTACTGGGATTTCACGGGGAAAGGAGATGGGGACGTGTAAAAAGCCTTTTTAAGAGTCAGATAACGAAAAACGGAAAAAGAGGAGAAACACGGTCCTACAAGGGTCCTGAGCTGAGGCCATCAAATGAATGTACTGACAGGTATTTTTCTCCCAGGCAGCCAACTGAGAGTCAAGGCACTCTGACCGTGCTATGACTCCGGCCACACAGAAAGAGGTGTTTTCCCCTCGGTGGCCTCCAAGCGCAGCGGGCACTGCGTGCCATCCGCTCCCTCACCGGGCGCCCCGCGCGGATGAAACGGAGCAACTGGGAAAGAGCTCTGGAAACTGCAAAGCGCTGCGCCAAAGCGACGGGAGGTTCCCATTCTCAGCTGTACGAAATCCCGCGGGGGTCCTCCGCTTCCCCGAGCGACGCCCTCGGCCTCCGCACTTGTTGCTTCTGCGCCCCGCCTGCGTCCCCGTCAAACCCACCCTTCGCGGCCCCCTCGCCTCTCCACACGCTCGCACTCAGGCCCCGACCCTGCCCCGCGACCCCCTCACCCACGCCACGAAGCCCGCTCTGCGTGGCAGCCCCGGAGACAGCCGAGCCCCCGCCTCCGCCCCCTGCCCAGCTCAGGCCGCCAGCCCCTGCCAGCCGACGCCGCGGTTTCCTAGACAGCCGCGCCGCCGTTCCGCAGCCTCGGGGGCGCGCGCGCGCGGCCGGCGGGAGGCGAGGGCGCAGGCGCGGGCTCGGCCAAGCCGCCGGCGCGAGGCCTCGCGCGCGCCCCCGAGCGCGGTGGGCGGAGGGGCGGAGGGAGCGGCGGGGCCGCGAGGGGGCGGGGGGGCGGAGAGGGGAGCCCCGGGAGCGCGAGCCGCGGCCGGCGCCGCTGCAGAGCCGAGCGAATCCCGAGCCCGGGCAGCAGGTATGTGTCCTCGCAGCCGGCCGCGGCCAGAGCTTCCCCTGCCTCACTGCCCGAGTCTTGTGGTCGGGGCGGGGGGTGGGGGGACCGGTCAAGGTTTGCAGGATGCGTGCTCGGAAGGGCTGGGATCTTGCCGCTGACCTTCATCCCCCTGGCCGGGGGAGCCAGGCGAGGGTGCGTGGGGCAGCCCAGGGCTTCAGCTCCAGCCTGGAGACCTGCTTCTTGTCACATGCTTCTTATTTATTTTTGCAAACTGCCCTGGTTCGGGTCCAGCTGCAGATGCCTTACCTCCCATTCTTTGCCTCCGTGTGCCATCTTGCATTTATTAATAAAACATGCAAGCTGGAGGGGGGGGTTGCTGCTGGGGGGAATCCCATTGCAGTATGGCAAGCGGGCGCCTATTTTCGGTTTTCAGACGTGGTATAGAGGTGGAAATCCCACACCCTGAGGATTTGTGGCTTGGTTGGTCGTGACCACTTCCTAGTGGGCTTCCCCCGTTTGTCGGGAGGTGCCCCAGCGGCAGAATGGGCTGTCTGGAAGGGATGGTGGGTCTTCACCGTCAGGCCAGAATCCCCTTCAGGGGACAGGTGCAAGCTAGGGCAGGCAGTTCCCTGCTTGCTAACTTGCCAGGGAGGCTTAAACCTAGAAAATTGTCTCCCTTGATGGCCGAGAAAAGATGGCCTTCAACAGAATCCCTGGGACTTGCATACTCAAACTCATTACGGTTTTGCATCTGAACATGACTAAAGCTAGCCACCTGTTGGAAGTCAGACCCCATGAAACACCCCCGTAATCTAGCTCACCCATCCCTGTTTCACAGTCACCAATACTGAGCTAGCAATAGGCCCATATGGGTTCCCTCTATCCTCTTTAATGCTGCTTGGCTTTTCTTTTAAAATAAGACCTACCTATGATTTGATGCCCTATATGTGAGAGGTTGAAATTATATGATTTGTTTATATTCCATACACCTATCACATCATATCCTAAAGACTGAATTTCTCTTCAGTGCATGTGTTTATTTCCCTGGCTTTTCACCTTGCTTTGAACAACAGTGGGAAAATGGGATGTATATAACTGCTTACCTCCTCCCCCAAATACCTCCACCCTAAAATATTGTGATGAAAAGAATAGTAAGAGCTAGAAGCAAAAAATGAAAATGGTTATCACAAGATGTTGGGATATGATAGCTGAACCGTAATTGCTTCTAAAATGGTCAGAGTGTCACATCTAATCACGAGAAGGACATGTTTCTTAAATGTTCATATGTACCAGGTACTGAGCTAAAACTATTTGTGTATGAGCTCATTTAGTCCTCACAGCAAACCTGCTATGTCCATGTTGAAGATGAACAAGCCAGGACTTAGAAAGGTTAACTAACTTGCCCAAGGTCACACAGTCAGGGACAGGGTAAGGATGCAAACTCAAGCACATGGGGATACTGGAGGTGGGGAGCCCTGAGGGGGCTTTTCCTCCAGGTGCGGCTGCTCCGTGTACCTTTTCATTAAAATCAAGCTTATGCATGAGCATGTTGGCTTGGGTCTAATTTTCCATTTCATAGATTCTGCACCAACTTTGTGGCTTTCCAGTAAGAAAAGCAGTTGTTTCAGAATGGATCAGTATGGAATTTTTTGAGGTGGCACTAAACCTATAAAAAGTGGGGTCCAAGATGTGCTTCCATTTAATTCTCACACACAAGGAGTTGAGTTTAAAAAGTTGTTTCCCTCCAGATTTAAACCCATAAAACGTATATGCATTAAGTAGAATGAATCACTCCCATTTTCCATTATCGCATCCCACCCTACCCTCCTTGCTGCCCTTCACACTATCTTCTGGTCTCACTGCCAGTCATCAGAGCAACATTGTCTATCACACTTGCCTGTGAGTGCCTTAATGGGAGGAAGGAATCCATCCGTACCAGCCGTGGCTCGTAATCCAGTCTCTCTATGATTGTAGCAATTATGCATTCAAAGTTCTTGGAATCTCTGCATTCAGCTATGGATGTGTATTTAATCATTTTTTTAAAGTGCATTATTATAATGCAGGTATTGGATTTTGTTAAACATTCCTAGCAGTTCTCATGGACTTAGAAATTGCTGTAGTTGCATCAGTGAAAATTCACCCAGTGGGGCTAATAGCTTTTCTACTCAGGTCACATAGTTGAGATAGTGGTGAGAAAGGTATAGGTGAATAGAAGGAATTATTTGGAAAGTATATCCCATGCAAATAACAGCTTTTAATTATAAATTGATGAATAATATTAAGTAGGAAATATAAGACTATCTCTTTTAATTTTATAAGCTCTGTTTTTGCCTTGGTCAATGTGATTGGTTTTAGAGCAACATGATGTTACCTTTTTCATTACACTGTTCTTTTGAAACAGTATAGCGGTTTGTACATAGTATTCTTGCCTCGTGGGAAACACTCAGTTTAGGAGGAGCACATTCCCTGGTGTTTACAGAAATGCTGAGACAGGATCTTTCTGTCTTGGGGATTTCCAGTCTATGATCAGATAAACTCAAGATGAGTCCTGATGTTACTGGGCAAGAAGCAGAAAGCAAGAGGTGTTACTTGATTTCTGGGGAGGAAATGAGTTTTCCTGTGGGGAGCATCACTATCTTCTTCAGTTGGGAATCTCATGATTGAAGAGTTTGAGAAACGGACTAGTCTGCTGTCTTCCATTCAAGCAGGATTTCATTTAATGCAGAGCTGAGAAGGCTTTATCGTGCAAAGGCCAATTCAGGAAATATAAAAGTGTTTCTGGACTACTTTTTTTTTCTCTTAAAACATATATTTAAACTGGGAAAGTCATATGGGAAACTATTAATGCTTAAGCATTATTTGTTTTTATTCCCTTCACGAGAGTTTTTGGGAGAGTGGGGGAAAAGTTTTCCAAGCTATGAAACTCACATGTCTGTGGTGACTGATTATAATGAATATTTTAGTACATTGTTGAATAAGGCACTAAAACTGGGATATTTGTTTTTCCTTGATCGACCTTGTAAGCTACTTCATTATGAAATGTGTTTTTTCTTAAAGTATTTCTTAATTTAGTATTCTTTAAAATGAGATTTTTATTCAGTTGTCGACAGTCTTGAATCACAAAAGTTCACAGATTACTTTGAAATACTTGATTTTCATCAGTCTCTGTTTCTTACTATGGCTGTCGTGTGCTGTGTCCTGTGATAGGAAGTTTCACATCTCATATTGCAGTGACCACCCTTTGTGGTCAACTGTTTATATGATAAGAAGTGGGGGAGCCCAAGGTATATGACCTAAGGGGCAGAGCCAAGATTTGAGCCCAAGTCAGCATAGCTCAAACTCTGGGCTCATTGCCTTTTGCACCCTGACTGCAAGATGAAGCACTTTCTGCCCCATAGTTCTCTGGCCTCCCATCCTATTCTGCTCCATCCACACTGGCCTCCTTGCTGTACCCCCTGCCCCAGGCCCTTAGCACTAATGGTTCTCTCCCCTGGAATACTCTTCCCACAGGTATCTTCATAGTCCCTCGCCTCATTTCAGCTTTGCTCATAGTCCAACCACTCCTTTAAAACTATCCCCACTCCCACAGCATCCTTTCCTCCTCCCTGTCTTGCTTTTATTCGTAGCACCTCCTAGCCTACTATATTAATTAGTTGTTAAGTGTATTGCCCATCTCCCCCATGGAATGAATGCTCCAAAGGGCAGGGGTTCTGTGTATTTTGTTCACTCCCCCAACTCTGGTACTGTGAAAAAAGAATCAACAAATCACTATGGTATCCTTGAATCTTTCCAGCTTCCCACACTTTTTGTTTTTGTTAGTCCTTACTGTTCTCTGTAGTGAGCAATGAAACCTCTAAAATGCAAAAGCTTTATGTGTTGTTTGGGGGAACAGCAAGAAAGTAGAGAAGAATCGGGAAAGATCTGGCTTACTCTTGAGCCGGTGTTGGGAAGAGAGGAACCTGTAAAGATGGGGAAAAAGTCACCTGAGGGTTGGGATGTGTGACGAGGCAGCAAATGGTACGTGGGGAGATGGCCTGGGATGGAGAAGAGATCTGTGTGGGTTCCCTTGTAATGGGAATGCATAATGTTTTTGAAGAACTTCCAAAGGAGACTCTGGATTCCTTCAGCCATCCATCAACTCTCCCAGTGGCCTGAGTCACTAGAAAGGAAAAGGAGCCTACGGTCATTCCTACTGGCTTTTTACACAGACAGGTGAATCCTTGCACTGCCTGCATTATTAGCCTGTTGCATTTTTTAAACATTAAATACCTGTTGGTGTCATCCCTGTTTGAGCCAGGGTCTGAGAGTTCACTGCCAAAGCACTTACCCCATGTGTCTGAGAAGCATCACAGCCTGAGATGTCTTTGGTGTAAGCAGTCCCAGGAAGGACTCCACATATATCTTTCATTCATCTATTGTTTGCAGTAGTTCTTGGGCCGTAGCAAAATCATAGGCACTTTGAGGACTGATTCATCTGCAGAACACTTTAGAATGGACTACACTGGGATGCTAAAGGGAGTTCATGGTTATGGAAAGAAGCCTGGGAGAAACTGCTCCTCAGCCACAAAGGCCTCCTCTCCTCCTCCCGGATGGCTTTAATTGCTGCCCTAGGCAGTCTGAATTACCCGCCAGGAGAGGATTTCCCCTTCAAAAAACACAGCCTCCCTAAAACTGCTTTTGATTTGTAATAGAAACTACTTAGTAGCTAGGACAGAGGCTGATAACTCCTATTCCCAGAACTCATTAAAACAAGGAATTTTAATAAGTATTTTTGCCCTTTGCAGCCCAGGTTTTTGGAAGTCCAGGCAGCTGTTCTCTAGATTTCACTGTCAAGCCGTAATGCATGCAATGCTTCAGCTTCTTTCCCTTGGCTCAAAACAGGTCTGAAGCAAGTTATTTTATCTACAATTCCCTCACACCATCCCACCCTGGTTACACAATTGCCATTTTCTCCAGCCAATACAATGCATAAGGCCAATTAACCTTCTGCCCATGACAGTTTCCTTTGAAATAGTCAAATCTTTGTACTTTACCTGAATTTGATGCAGGGCTTTTAAAAAACAATTTCTATGACAGTTACTAATTCTCCTTTAACCATGACTCCTAAAATTTGTTAGCTTTGCCCATCAAAACAAAAGAACAAGGTGAAATATATTGCAATTCCTCAACAAAGAAAAAGTTCCATTGTTTTGGGACACAGTCTCAAAAGAAAAGCTTGGAAATTTCTCTCCCATTTCTCCCTGTCTTTTAACTGTCAGTTTCTATGCAAGGCTCTATCACTGCCCTTCTTGATACCCTGCAAGGAGCTCCTGCCCCCACCCCTCTACTGAAACAGAACTCTTAAAGGTCACCGGTGATTGCCTAATATAAATCCAATGGCTGTTTCTCAGATTTCGTTCATGATGGCTCAGCAACATCTGACCCCATTGACTTCCTCTACTCTTTGAAATGCTGTCTGTCGGCAGCTCCTTCCTAGCGGTGTCCGTGTCTATCTGGTCTCTCCTCTGCTGTCATCCTTCCTGTTCTATCAAGAGGCAGTCTGAAGTGGTTAAGAGTGTGGGCTCTGCCTGTGATGTGAATCCTGGCTCTAGCACTTGCTAGAGTAGCTTTGAGTAAGTGATTTAACCCTCGTACCTCAGTGTCCTCATCGGTAAAATGGGGAGAAGAGTAGCTACGGCAGAGGATTAAATAGTATGCTTAGTAAAGGGTAAGCACCCAACAAATGCTATTTTTTTTTATCATATAACTTCCTGTGTACATGCCTGTAACTTTAGAATAAAACCCAAATGCCTCCCTCTAGCCATCAGGACCTCTAAGATCTGGCTCTCGTTTAGTTTGTTTATATCTCAGACCCTCCCCAGTGTGCGTCCACTTCTGAGGCTTTGTCCCGCGCACTCCCCACTCAACCACCCTCACCTCTTCCTATTCTGCCCCTCCTTCCCTGGCCAGAGGAGGGAAGAATGCCGAGGGGTGCCCCTGCCCAGGAGCCACCAAGCACAGCCTGCTTTGTAGCAGAAGACAGCCTCCCTTGGGCATGGAGCCTGTCTCTCTCAGACAGAGTATGAATTACTTAAGGGCACCAGCTGTGATTTATACTTTTAAAAAATATCTTCCTCAGCATTTAGCACTATAACTTTACACATAGTGGGAATTTAACTCATATCTTTTAACTGCCAAAACATTATGGTTTTACTTGGCCCTTCCAAAATCCTTTTTCCTCCTAAATTGAAACCTGTATTGATCAGTCCTGGAGCTCATGTAAGCTTGATACGGGATAATTAAGTCAACACCACAGGGAGAGTTACCCATGTCAGAACCTTCTTGGAACGAGGAGGGATATATAGAAATAATTAAAATAATGAGAGCACAGGGAATAATTTAATGCTTTTAAAAAGTAGCTTGAAATCCTACCAACCTATAAAGCTGTTAGAATTTTTAAGAAGTGTTTAGAAGTTTTTTCTATACTCTCTACTCTCAGAATAAAATGAGCTGTAAAGCTGTGAGTATCAAATCTATCAACCCTTCAGACCTTGCTATAGGCCTGCTCTGGAGCCACTGTGTTCTAGTCCTGCTTGCTTTCTCCTTCCTGCCCTGGTGAAGAGGGCATTGAAGTTGGATGAAAATCAAAGGAAGGGCTGCCTACTTAAAAAAAAAAAAAAAAATTAACCCCTTTATTGGCGTTGTGAGTTGGCCTGGCAAAGACAGCCTAAGTTTTCATCGGCATCTGCTGTGTGTGTCCCTGGGGTCATGAAGAGTGCCAGAGCTGTGCTGCCAGTATAACAGCTTCCCACCCCACAACCCTGGAAGCCACAAAGGACCATATGCTTTGCATCTTGACATTCTGTAGCAGAGTTTCTCAACTTCAACACTGTTGACACATGGGGCCAGGTGACTCTTTGTTGCAGGGGCAGTCCTGTGCATTGTAGGATATTTAGCAGCATCCGTGACCCTTACCCACTAGATGCCACCGGTACTACCGCGATTACCCCCCGTCCCCAGTGGTGACAACCAAAAATGTCTCCAGAAATTGCCAAATGTCCCCTAGGGTGCAAAGTCACCCCCATTTGAGAACCGTTCTCCATAGGATCAATACAGAAAACTCAGCATCTTTCTAGTTTGAAGAATACAGAACTTAGATAATTTGGGTCAAATGAAGATGAAGATTGGGTTATAATATACATGAAAGGTAAATTTGGGTTTGAAATTACACAGACAAGGAAAATTTAGACTCTATAAGCAGTTGTAGATTATATCATAAATAAGGAGATGTAAACAAATTACAGAAATGCAGACCATCTTCTTACTCCTGAAGGCCTCGGGTCTAGATGCAACAGCACATTCTGGGACTGTTAAAATCATCCTTGGGGCTGGGTGCGGTGGTTCACGCCTATAATCTCAGCACTTTGGGAGGCCAAGGAGGGCGGATCACCTAAGGTCAGGAGTTTGAGACCAGCCTGGCCAACATGGAGAAACCCCGTCTCTACTAAAAATACAAAAAATTAACTGGTGTGGTGGCACATGCCTGTACTCGGGAGGCTGAGGCAGGAGAATCACTTGAACCCTGGAGGCGGAGGTTGCAATGAGCCGAGATTGCGCCATTGCACTCCAGCCTGGGTGACAGAGCAAGGCTGCGTCTCAAAAAAAAAAAAAAAAAGAAAAGAAAAGAAAAGAAAAGAAAAAGTCATTCTTGGGTTTTTTTTTTTTTGGCATTGTATTTAAGAGCTTAAAGTATGCAATAACACATCCTGTGACTGTTAAAATCATCCTTGGGGTATTTTTTTGTGGGGGGCATTGTAATTTAAGTGCTCAAAGTACTTGTCGGCCTTTGACAATAAGTATATCAAACCAAAAATAATTAATATTTCTGGAGAAATCTGAAATATTTGATTATGACTGGAGGGAATTATATTTGACCTGCAAAGGGCCAGCTCTCCCCACCAGAGCCTGCTTCTGACCATAAAGCCACTCTAAGACAGCACTCGCAGGTGCTGCATAAAGTAGGACTGACAAGGTACTTTGTGCTTTGCTGAAAGGCCACAATTGCTCAGTAATCTTCATGGCTCTTAGAAAATTTAGCTGGAGACTTGTGATTTAAAACCCACCTCCAATTGACAGTCATCATTATGTTCTTTCTAAATGCAGTAGCAGAAATTGCATGCCATACCCAAAGGCTAAAAGTGACAGTTAAAATACATGCTTTCTGAAAAACTTTAAGGCCCCAACTTTGGGAGAGACCTGATTTGGCCAGAGATTACCTTTGGCTTGTTAATTGCCCTAGGGATGGGAAAGTGTTTACACAGATGATCTCCAAAATGTTCCCTACGAATAGTCTAGAAATAAGCCTTGTGTAGTTTCTCAAAAGGAGGCAAGGTAGAATTACTAATTCCATAGACTACTGTATCTTCAGTGTTCCAGACTTGTGCTAACAGGTGGAAGGAACTCCAAAGATCATATCCAATACAGTGGACTGAGTTGTTTCCCCTCCAAAAAATATATGTATATGTTGAAGCCCTAACCCCCAATGTGACTTATCAGGAGATAGGGTCTTTAGGAGATAATAAAGGATAAATGATGTCATAAGGGTCGGTCCCTAATCTGATAGTACTGTACCCTTATAAAAAGAGGAAGAAAGATACTATCTCTCTCTCCTGCTTCCATGTGAGGACACAGTGAGAAGGTGGCTGTCTGCAAGCCAGGAAGAGAGCCCTTACAGAACTTGACCATGCTGGCATCCTGATCCAGGACTTCCAGCCTTCCAGAACTGTAAGAAAATAACTTTCTGTTGTTTAAGCCACCCAATCTATGATATTCTGTTATGGCAGCCTGCACTAACTAATACATCCAGCATCCTTGTTGTACAGATGAAGAAACTGGATCCAGACAGGTAGACTTGCAAGAGGTCAAGCTACTAATGAGTGGCAGGGCTGGAACATAGTGCCTGTGCTTCGTGACTCCTAGCCCAGTGTACATTCTCCTTCCCACACTTTCTCCCGTCATATGGTCATCTTATTTATCATCTCTAGAACCTACAGCACATCACTTCTGTGAGCATCAGGGTCCTTATGCTTGCCCTGTTTATCTCAGGATTGTTGCAAGGATCAGTGACATAGCAGAAAAAAGATAGTTTAAGTTTTCAAACTACAAAATATTGTACGAACATGTCATACTGAACTCAGATTCGGCCTAGTTAGCAGGAATCTATCTGCCTCTGGAAATTGTAAGTCTAGTCAAGTAGGTAGCTCTGTGAGGTCACACTAGGCTAGGTCGACTCATGGGTGGGCTGGCTGTTGGCTTTAAGGAATAGATCAAAGGACAGAAAAAGCAGGAGGAGATAGGGCCTGGTTTGGTGATGAACCACCTCAAAGCGAGATGATTGCTCTTCTCTTTGGTTGAGTTGTAAAAGCTGAGGTTGATATGAGTTTGCATAGTAAGAGGAATGTTCCTCTTAAAGAGGATAGACTGTCAGAGCTGGAGGAGACCTTAAGAGCTCAAGGTACCAACCAGAGTCTCTGGTGTTAAGCAACAGAAACATACCCTGGTGGGCCGGGTGTGGTGGCTCACACCTGTAATCCCAGCATTTTGGGAGGCCAAGGCAGGTGGATCATCTGAGGTCAGGAGTTCGAGATCAGCCTGGTCAACATGGTGAAACCCCATCTCTACTAAATACAAAAAATTAGCGGGACATGGTGGTGCACGCCTGTAGTCACAGCTACTCGGGAGGCTGAGGCAGGAGAATTGCTTGAACCCGAGAGGTGGACTTTGCAGTGAGCCAAGATCATGCCACTGCACTCCAGCCTGGGCAGCCGAGTGAGGCTCTGTCTCAGAAAAGAAAAAAAAAAAAGAAACCTACCCTGAGAAACTTCAGCAGTAATGACAATTTATAAACTATAAGATATTGTACAACTGTAAATACCATTCTCAGCTCAACTTTTATTGAATGTATTGAATATTATACAACCTTTATTGCATTTATTGAATATTTATTGAATTTATTGAATATTATGCAACGTTTATTGCATTTATTGAATATTCCTAATATTGAAGTAGATCAGGAAGGAATGTGTTTATCTGGGAGTAAGAAAATCTGAAAAACAGTGACTTAAATAGGCGGATATCTTATTTTCCTTGTGTAATAAGTCTAGAGGCAGAAATCCAGGGCTTGTCCGGCTGCTCAGGGCTGTCATCAGAGGCTGAGGTTCTATTTAGCATTCTGTTCATAGTCATGGATGGCTGCTTCACCTCCAGGCATTTCATCTGTGTTCCAGTTAGGAAGAAGGAGGAAGGATGAAGATGAGGCATGAAAGCCTTTTTCCTTCCAGGTTTTGCCTTCATATTGGAGAAGGGACTTATTTCTTTATTTTATTCATCACAACTGTATCACATGACTACTTCTGAATGCTAAGGACTATGGAAATTCAACTGTTTTGCTTTCTGGCCTCTAGAATAGAGGGAGACAAGGAAGAAAGGAATTGAAATGGGGGCTGTGAGCCAAGCATGTTTATGACAGAAGAACATGGGCACTTCTGCAGAGTCATAAGGTCTTAGAGAGCCAGCTCAGAAAATAATGGTGGCTAGGTACAGCTCAAGTACTCTAGTACTACTACTCTAGTACTCTGGGCTACCCACTCCCAGTCAACACTGCCATACCTCTGGAACTTATTCCACCACAGCTAGACTTTTCCATTCTTATTAAGGATTCAAAGTTCTTGGCTGAGCCCAGGTCACATTTCCATGCTATAACTACATTGCAAGGGTAGGGAGAAAGACAATATGTCCCCTCCCTCTTGGGCTTCCATAATGGGGAAGAGGGGACCTTGCCAGCCACCTATCTTGATATTCCTCCAAATACAGAGGGTCCTCCAATGCTAGGCCACCAAAAATGACAAATACTTACCCTCCCACTATTTTACAGATGTGGAGCCTGAGGCCCAGAAAGAGGAAAGTGCTCAGTCAGTGCCACATAGTCATTGAAGGACAGACTCAGGAGTTTGTCTTATCCTGACACACCCAGTCTGGTTTGTCCCGGGGAAGAAGCAACTTTCAGAGTCTTTTCCTTAGGCTCCTTGACGTTCTATATGATAAAGGGGGTTGTCTTGGGAGGCAGCCACTCCTTTCTGCAGAAGTTCCTGGGTAGATCCCTTGCTACCCCAGGAACTTCCAGCAGCTGCTTCCTCTTTGTGTAGTGCCAAGGCTTTACAAAATTAAGAAGTACCTCCTCCCTGCAGACAACATTCAGGATTCCTGTCATGGGATGTCGAATGGGATATTTTGTGAAGATGCTAGGTGGTAAGTATTCCCACCTTCTGCAGAGGAACAGCTAGGCACAACCCCACAAGATCTATAGACAGACTGGTGAACTGTTCTGGCCACCATTACCCACCTACAGCCTGTGTGAAGGAAAGATGAGGCATTCAAGGAGAGTTGAGTCACTGGGCAGTGTGAGGGAAAGTACGATCATTTGTCCCTACTTCTCCCAGTGTGGGTGGGAGAGGGCTGTTTCTTCCCAGCCAAGAGTGAGGGCTCCAAGAGCACCTCTCCATTTGGTGCCCCTAACTCACACCCTATGGAGATTCTCATAAGGCCTCTTGAGAAACCATAGCTGCATCCCATGGAACATTCAGCATTTGGACACTTGCAACCCAGAGAATGCTGTCAGCCAAGGGAGAGCTGCAACCAAGTGTGAAGACTTTTGCCCCTTTACTCTACTCTTTGGTTCCCACCAGCCCCACCCCAGACCCCTCACTGACCCCAGAAAGCAAGAAGCAGTGGGGGACAGAGAGGAGGAGAGAAAGTGCAGGCTTCCCCCGCTTCCCTGCTGCAAGACCTAGAGCTGTGCTCAGTCTTACCCAGGGCAGGGGGAGGAGCTTTGAACTGGGTGTCAAGTTAAAGATTTGATTTAGACCAGATTCGGCATTTTTTTTTTTTAAACACCTGAAAATTAACCTTAATTGAGGTTCTTGAAATTATGAGTAACCAGAAAGCTATGAAGTCTGTCAAAGTTATCATCAAGGGGCAGGGAAGAGAGAGCCAGCAGGGCCGGTTTGAAGACAAAGTTTGGAGAGAAATAAACGTATTTCCAGTTGTAACCACATTCAGATGGTTATTAGTTACTCTCCTTTTCCAAAGATGACATTCCAAGTTTTGAAAAGAAGCACTGGACCGGCCGGGTGCGGTGGCTCATACCTGTAATCCCAGCACTTTGGGAGGCCGAGGTAGGCGGATCACCTGAGGTCAGGAGTTCGAGACCAGCCTGACCAACATGGAAAAACCCCGTCTCTACTAAAAATATAAAATTAGCAGGGTGTGGTGGTGCATGCCTGTAATCCCAGCTATTTGGGAGGCTGAGGCAGGAGAATCTCTTGAACCTGGGAGGTGGAGGTTGCGGTGAGCCGAGATTGCGCCATTGCACTGCAGCCTGGGCAACAAGAGCGAAAAACTCTGTCAAAAAAAAAAAAAAAAAAAAAAGAAGCAGCACTGGACTAAGGCCTCAGGACTTCCTGAGTCTAGTCCCAGCTTTTTCACAAACTAGGAGTGAGCCTCTGGACAAGTCGCTTCACTTTTCTGGGTCCTGGCATCCTCTCCTGTCCAATGATGGGATTGGGCTCTGTGGTTTAGGTATTCCAGAATAATTTCTCTACTTTTTTTTTCTTTCTTTTTTTTTGAGATGGAGTCTTGCTCTGTCACCAGGCTGGAGTGCAGTGGCATGATCTCGGCTTACTGCAAGCTCTGCCTCCCGGGTTCAAGCTATTCTCCTGCCTCAGCCTCCTGGGTAGCTGGGATTACATGTGCACACCACCATGCCCAGCTAATTTTTGTATTTTTAATAAAGACAGGGTTTCACCATGTTGGCCAGGCTGGTCTCAAACTTCTGACCTTGTGATCCACCTGCCTTAGCCTCCCAAAGTGCTGGGATTACAGGCATAAGCCACTGCATCCAGCCTTCTTTTTTTTTTGAGATGGAGTTTTGCTCTTGTTGCCCGGGCTGGAGTGCAATGGTATGATCTTGGCTCACTGCAATCTCTGCCTCCTGGGTTCAAGTGATTCTCCTGCCTCAGCCTCCCAAGTAGCTGGGATTACAGGCATGTGTCACCACACCCAGCTAATTTTGTATTTTTAGTAGAGATGGGGTTTCACCATGTTGTTCAGGCTGGTCTCGAACTCTTGACCTCAGGTGATCCACCTGCCTCAGCCTCCCAAAGTGCTGGGATTACAGGCATGGGCCACCTTGCCCGGCCTTCTTTTTTTTTTTTTTTGTGAGACTAAGTCTCTCTCCATCACCCAGGCTGGAGTGCAGTGGTGCGATCTCGGCTCACTGCAACCTCTGCCTCCCAGGTCCAAGTGATTCTTCTGCCTCAGCCTCCTGAGTAGCTGGGATTACAGGTACCCGCCACCATGCCTGGCTAATTTTTGTATTTTTAGTAGAGACGGGGTTTCACCATGTTGGCCAGGCTGGTCTCGAACTCCTGGCCTCAAGTGATCCACCCACCTTGGCCTCCCAAACTGCTGGGATTACAGGTGTGAGCCACCATGCCGGGCCAAATTTCTCTACTTCTGTACACGGTGCAGTTCCTTAAAACAGCAGGATAAAATAATTCACACAGTGAGTTGGCTTTACAAATTGTACTTCAGTTATATTGGTTGGAAAAGTCAAGCATAGATGAATGGCATTTGGCAGAAGAAAACCTTAGTATATCTGAAACCCTTAATTATACACTGTAGGCAGCTTTGTAGCTTGGTCTGTGTCAAAAGACACCACACTATCAAATGACACATTGTAGAAGTATTCAGAATTTTGCAAGAGCTTATTCATGTGTGGCATGATTGGCCTGTGTCAGACAGTTAACATCTGCATTTCCACCTGAGTCTGCATTTGAAAACCTGAACTCACCTGGCCTCTTGTCCAGTTCTTGTGGAGATGAGGCCGTTGAAATTGACCACACTCAATGGGATGTTTGAGGACTGTAGTTTGTGACACATGTTTTATTTTCAGATTTTGTTTGTAGTCGAATACTATTGCCACACTGGGTATAAGTTTTATACATGGCTTTTCATGTGTTTTTATTGTACAAGGAATACATAAAAGTCACACATAAATTACATAATTCACATAATGCATAAATTGGAAATGCTTTTTTGCATTAAGGAAAAAAGTCATCTATAATCCTACTACCCATAGATAATTATTATTCACCTTTTGCACCTATCCTTTCAGACTGGTTATTCATATGCACGTATCTGTATATAAATGATATTTTATTTTTCATTTTTAATTGTGGTAAAATGCACATAACTTGCAATTTACAGTTTTAACCATGTTTAAATGTATGGTTCGGGGTGTTAAGTACATGGATGCTGTGCAGTCGTCACCACCATCCACGTCTGGAATTCTTTTCGCCTTGCAAAGTCAAAATTGGACCCATTAAACACAAAAACTCTACTCCTTTACAGCTTTGCACTACCCCCACTTTATGATATTGACACTTCAAATTAATGCTTATATAATATTTTATTTTATAATATGTTTTAATGTATTATATGTCGTCTTTGCTGTGGACATCAAAGAGGCCTGTGGAATGAGAATGTCGAGATTAAGGGGATAGGAAATAAACTGGAAAGGGAGAATTTAGGGCCTTGTAGACCATGGTGAGGATTTGAATTTCATAAAATTTATTGGGACACCTTGGAGTATTGACAGCAGAGGAGTGGCATGACTGAGATGGTTTGAGAAGAGTCACTTGGCTGTGATGTGATGGTAGACCACATGGGGTGAGGAGGAGACAGAAAGGCACTTAGAGGGCTGTTTCAGTAACCCAGGTAAGAGATGGGGTAGCTTGAACCAGGGTGCTGTCAGTGTGGGACATGGGGTTGGATTCTGGATATATTTTGAAGGTGGAGCTGGTAGGATTTGCTGATGGATTGGTTGTGGGGTGGGAGAGAAAGAAAGAAGTCAAGATTAACTTCAAGGTGTTTGGCCTGAACAATTGGAGGGATAAAATTGCCATTTATTCCAGTGGAGATAGAGGAGGAGCAGATTTTAAGTAGGGGGAAATAAAGAGTTCTGTTTCAATCATGTTACATTTTACAATCTGTGAGACATGTAATTGAAGATGTCAAGTAGACAGTTGGATATGCAAATCTGAAGTTCTGGGGAGAAGATGGGGCTGGAGACAGAAATTTTAGAGCCAGGGTATGTGGATGACATTTTGAGCCATGACATTGAATGAGCTCACCTAGGCCCTGGGAGAGAAGGTAGATGGAGAAGAGAAAGGGGCTGAGTAATGAGCCCTAGGGCATAGCAACAGTTAGAGGTCAAGAGGAGGAGGAAGACCCAGAGGAGGAAATTGAGAAAGAACATTCAGTGAAGGGAGAGGAAAACCAGATGGTGTGGTCTCCTGAAAGCTAGGCAAAATAGTGTTTCAAGGAGCTGTAAGTGATTGGTTGTGTCTAATGCACCTAAGAGGTTGCATGTTTTACTTGCCAATATGAAGGTCATGGCTTATGTTTGAAATGAAGCTTCAGACACCAGGGTCTGTGTCAACTTAATGATACGACATGTTGGGGACCCCTCAATCAGGCAATTCTCCCTCATTTTGTTGCTTCATTAATCCAGCAGACATTTATCAGACACTTTCTACATGCTTCACACTTCTAGGCACAGAGAGTAACCAAAATGAATCACACCACAGCCCTTGCCTTTAAAATAGGTTAGGAGTCCGAGACTTAGATATATAGGAGTGTCAGATCTGAGTCTCTCATCTATCACATACATTTTTAAATTGGGGCTGTATTTTAGCTACACAAATTATTCACCAAATTCTGGAGGAGAATGAAGAGAAGGCAGCTTTTTTTTTTTTTTTTTTTTTTTTTTTTTTTTTTTTTGAGACACGGGCTTTTTTTGTGTCCCGGGCTGGAGTGCAGTGGCACAATCATGGGTCGCTGCTGCAGCCTCCATCTTCCAGGACCAAGCAATCCTCCCTCAACCCCCCGAGTAGCTGGGACCACAGGTACATACCACCATGCCTGGCTAATTTTTTAATTTTTCTGTAGAAACAGGGTTTCACTTTGTTGCCCAAGCTGGTCTCAAACTCCTGGACTCAAGTGATCCTCCTGTCTAGGGCTCCCAAAGTGTTGGGATTACAGGCATGAGCCACTGTGCCTGGCCAAGAAGGCAGCTCTTCAAGCCTTCTAACGTTCCATCCTGAAGATCTGTGCCTTATTTCTTGATAGCAAGTCACCTCTCCTGTTTCTTGATTATCTTTCTAGTTACCAGTTATATAAGAAAACTTTCTCTTCTAGCTGAATGTTAAATATCTCATCTTCCAGGAGACAGGCATCTAACTTTCTAAATAAATTAACCCAATATAAATACACTCCTTCTCTTGGACCCTCAAGCAATGGGTGCCTCTTTCCTGCCTGAGAATAAACAATAGTATTGTTTTGATGTGGGCTCTGGCCTATGCTTAAATATTCACACGGTCCCTTTACATTCATAAACCAACAATTTAACAAAATTCCAACAATATGCTATATGACATACATCGAGTCTTATTTGAGAAAGAAAATCCCACTCAGGAAGAGTTTACCAATTCCTAGGCAGGAAGAGTTTACCAATTCCTAGGCAGAAATGATACTCACAGGCAGAGCAAGAAGACCTCATAGTTAGGCAAGATCATGAGCAGGCGTGGAGGGTAAGGAACTGTCATGAATGGTTCCTAGGAAGGTCGGGCATTAGATGGGCCTCAAAAGATAGAAAGGATTTGAACAGGTAGGGCAAAAGATAATTATGCAAGAGTATTTAATAGCATATTTAAAGATGATGCTGATTGTGATTACAATTTATAATAGGCTGGCCTGAAAAGATGGATTCATTGCCAGAAGTAATTCCTTTTCAACCACGCACACATGAAATCCAGTCATGTATTGAGGATAAAATCTCTGAATAACCGTTTTTTTGTTTGTTTGTTGTTGTTGTTGTTGTTGTTTTTTTGAGACAAGGCCTCACTCTGTCACCCAGGCTGGAGTGCAGTGGCACAATCTTGGCTCACTGCAACCCCTGCTTCATGGGCTCAAGCGATTCTCCAGCCTCAGCCTCCCAAGTAGCTGGGACTGCAGGTGCATGCCACCACACCTGGCTAATTTTTGTATTTTTTATAGAGACAGGGTTTCGCCATGTTGCCCAGGCTGGTCTCGAACTCCTGAGCTCAAAGTGATCAATCCACCTTGGCCTCCCAAAGTTCGGGGATTAGATGTGAACCACCGTGCCTGGCCCTCGGATAACCTTTTAGAGGGATGTCAATTATGCATAGTGATGGTGAGGTGCCTTTGAATTTGGAAATAAGATTGTCTTAATTTGCCTATTTATTTTCATTCATGTGTGAGACATTGAAGACATATCAACACGGATACAATCCCAGTCCTCAAAATCCACAAATGGTGGTGTGGTAAGTCAAAAGCTGGTCCTGTACAAGATATCCACACAAATACCTGGAATCTGTGAATGTTACCTTATCTGGAAAAGGGGTCTTTGCAGATGAGATTAAATTAAGGATCTTGAGATAAGATAATTCTGGATTATCAGATGGGCAGTAAATACCATCACAAGAGTCCTTATAGGAGAGAGGCAGAGGAAGATTAGCCTCAGAAGAAGTTGTGGCAGCAACGTGACCGTGGATACAGAGACTGGATTGATGAAACTACAAGCCAAGGAGTTCCTGGAGTGACCAGAAGCTGGAAGAAGAAAGGAATGGATTCTCCCCTACAAGCCTTAGAGGGAGCTAGGCCCTCACGACACCTTGATTTTGGACCTCTGGCCTCCAAAACTGTGAGAGAATAAGTTTCTGTTGTTTGAAGCCACCAAGTTTTTGGTGATTTGTTTTAGCAGCCAAAAGAAACTAATATAGATGGTATTCATTCTTATGGGAGTAAACACATGGTAAATGGGGATTTGAAAGAACCCAATACTTTAGCCAAGGTGACCTTCTTTGTAAGGGAGGCAAGTCCAGAACACAGTTGTCATTTAGTATCCATTTGTTTAACATCCTGTTTAGAGAAAAACTGTGTGGATGGTAGTGGGGCAGTTGACCTGAGAACATAGAGAAGAGAAGCCAGAGAACTACAGATTTGCAGCGAATGTCGCCGACTCTGTCAGGCCTGAACTTTGTGGTGCTGGAGACAAAAGCTTTGTTGTGGTCCTGGAAGGGTCACTGGGCTTCCCCATGGCCCAGATGGATCCCCTCAAGGTGCCCTGCCTCTTTGCTTTGATTCCATGCGACTTACAGTCACAGAGCAGCTTCCAGGTGTTCTGACCCGGGGCCCCGGTAGTGAATATGAGCATTTTCAATACTGGAATAAAAGCCTCCTCTCTTTCTCACACACACACAGATGAATACATTTTCAGCTTGATTTTTATTTCTTGTGAGTCTGATTAGCACGACTTAGCTAATCATGCTAAGTTTGACTCAACCTTGAGTCTGACAAAACTTGAAGCCACATCCTGACACTTAGTAAATTTGCCAAGCTAAAGCCACACAATGAAAATTGATACACAGCCTTTGGGTCTTCCAGATACTATCTAATGTCACCATTGATCTCTCTGTGCTACCTCAAGGGACATCACACTTCTCCCTCAATTCAAAATCTGGGAAATGTGTTTATTCAGCAGTTTTTTTTCTGGGCACTTACATATGAGGGTGAACCGAGGAACTGCCAGGGCTGGAGACTTCCTTCCCTAAAGGGAAGAACAACCTCAACTCGTGTATGAGTTTCCTGTGGCTGCTGTATTAAAATACTACCACAAACTGGGTGGCTTAAAACAATGGAAATTTATTCTCTCACAGTTCTGGAGGACAGAAGTCCAATATCAAGGTGCTGGCAGGGCCACACTCCCTGCATAGGCTCTGGGGGAAAATTCTTCCTTTTCCAACAAAGCCAAATTCCTTGGCTGCGGCAGCATAAATCCAATCTCTGTCTCTGTCTTCCTAAGGCCCTCTCTTCTCTGCCCCATCCATAATCACTCTGGTTACCACCCAGGTTATTGCCATCTTGGCATTCGTATTCTGAGCTCAGAAGGTCACAGGGGATGTGCACGTGGCTCACGCCTATAATCCCAGCACTCTGGGAGGCCTAAGTGGGCGGATCACTTGAGGCCAAGAGTTTGAGACCAGCCTGGCCAACATGGTAAAAACCCATCTCTACTAAACATACAAAAATTAGCCAGGCGTGGTGGCACACGCCTGTAGTCCCAGCTACTCGGGAGGCTGAGGCTGGAGAATCGCTTGAACCCCAGAGGCAGAGGTTGCTGTGAGCTGAAATCGTGGCATTGCACTCCAGCCTGGGCAACAGAGCAAGACACCATCTCAAAAAAAAAAACAAAAGTCACAGGAAGGCAGGTCTCCCGGTTACTCTTCTTCCTTATAAGGACACTTGTCATTGGATTTAGGGCCCACCTTAATCTAGTATGACCTCAACTAGTTACCTCTGCAAAGATACTATTTCTAAACAAGATCACATTCTGGCTGGGCATGGTGGCTCACGCCTGTAGTCCCAGAACTTTGGGAGGCTGAGGCGGGCAGATCACGAGGTCAGGAGTTCAAGACCAGCCTGGCCAACATGGTGAAACCCCATCTCTACTAAAAATACAAAAATTAGCCAGGCTTGGTGGTGTGTGCCTGTAATCCCAGCTACTCGGGAGGCTGAGTGAAACCGGGAGGCAGAGCTTGCCGTGAGCCGAGATCGTGCCACAGCACTCCAGCCTAGGACAGAGCGAGACTCTGTCTCAAAAAAAAAAAAAAAAAAATCCACATTCTGAGGTTTTAGGTAGATATGATTTAGGGCGGTGGGGGGGTGGGGGCAGTGCAGTGGGACATAACTCAACCCACTATAGGTCGTAAGTTTGGAAAAGATGCCAAGACTAGAGTGAATCTTGATTATGGTAAATAAATATGAGGTCAACAACAGCACAGACTAAATAGACCTCAATTTGTAAGTGCAAGAGCTGTAAGATAGCATAAAGATGCTTGGCAGTAATTGAGAGGCCACCTTATCTGTGTCAGCAATGACTTAACAGTGATGTTTCCTTTTAAGATCCTTCGGCCAGGCGTGGTTGCTCACGCTTGTAGTCCCAGCACTTTGGGAGGCCAAGACGGGCAGATCACTTGAGGTCAGGAGTTTGAGACCAGCCTGGCCAATGTGGTGAAACCCCGTCTCTACTAAAAATACAAAAATTAGCCAGGCATGGTGGCAGGTGCCCGTAATCCCAGCTATCCAGGAGTCTGAGGTGGGAGGATTGCTTGAACCCAGGAGGCGGAGGATGCAGTGGCACGATCTTGGCTCACTGCAACCTCTGCCTCCTTGGTCAAGCGATTCTCCTGCCTCAGCCTCCTGAGTAGCTGAGATTACAGGTATGCACCACCACGCCTGGCTAATTTTTGTATTTTTAGTAGAGATGGGGTTTCACTATGTTGGTCAGGTGGTCTCGAACTCCCGACCTTGTGATCCGCCCGCCTTAGCCTCCCAAAGTGCTGGGATTACAGGCGTGAGCCACCGTGCCCTGCCAAAGGCACCATTTCAAACTGGGAACAACTACCTGCCCATTGAGCCCTCCTGCCGTCCTCTCATTAGGATTATTTCAGGAGTACTGCACTCTACAGATGGAGCTAGTTCCCATATCACCTGCTGTTCTTTGCTGGAGCGGCCACCTGTCTCCTGGCCCAGGGCCCTCACAGCTTTGTAACTCTGTATGGACACGCCATGGATTTTTTCTTTTTTTTTAGGAGACTGTCTCGCTCTGCCACCCAAGCTAGAGTGAAATGGCATGATGATAGCTCACTGCAGCCTCAAACTCCTGGGCTCAAGCAGTCCTCCCACCTCAGCCTCAGTGTAGCTAGGACTACAGGCGTGCACCACTGTGCCCAGCTAATTTTTTTTTTTTTTAATTTGTAGAGATGAGGTCTCATTATGTTGCCCAGGCTGGTCTCCAACCCTTGGCTTCAAACGACCCTTCCACCTGGCCTCCCAGAGTGCTGGGATTACAGGCATGAGCCTCCGTACCCAGCACCCTGGGGATGATTCTGAAGGCCCTTTCTCTATTGGGATAGATTTTTCTTCTAACAGCTGCCTCACCTATAATCACTCTCTCTGGTTACCACTCAGGTGATTGCCATCTTGGCGTTCGTGTACCGAGTTCAAAAGGTCACAAGAAGGCAAGTCTCCGTGTTACTTTTCTCCCATGCTATTGACTATGGACAAGTCATTGCCCTCATCTTTAGTTAGCTTAACCTGTGATGCACTCTGGTATTCCTTTCTTATCCTTCCGTTTCCAATAAGAGGATAATGTGTTCTCTGCCAGAGTAACTTCTGCATCCTCAAACTGCCTTATTTCTTAGTTCATTCATAGGAGACCCTGGAGGTCACATTATGAAAATTAAACCCATCCTTAAGGCAAAAACTGCCTATATCACCTTCCACTGTGCCTGGGCTCACTAACGATGATGTTCCAGCCATACTGAAGCAAAACATCTAAAGCCAATAAGAAGGGAACCAAATGAATAGGCTTCCAAGTTGCCCTGGCTCCTCGCGGTTGAGTCCTTTGGACCTAGGTTCCAGTTCCAGGTCAGACACTCACTGACAGTGTAGACAGTGGCAAGGTTCTTCACCTTCCTGAACCTGAGTGTCCATATCTGTAAATCGGGTCTGTATACTTGGAGGTTGTTGTGAAAATCTGGTAGATGGCGAATGTATGAGAAAGCTTCCAACACTACCAGTTACATGGTCACCACACTGCAAATCTGCCCACCATGATCATGGGGACAATCCATGGCACAGCTGGAAGAGTGCCTATCTGATGGCATTATGCAGATTCAGGAAAATGCCCCCTGGACCACATGACTGTAACAATGCCTCTCCCAGCAGTAGTGTTTTTTCCTCTAGGACCTTCCCTGTTTTCCCACCCTTTTCTCTTACCTCAAAGGAAGAATCGTTCTTCCTTTTCAAAACTAATGATCTTTGTATTCTCAATTCCATCCCCTCCCACCTATGTCAGAACCGTATTTCCATGCTTCATCTCTTCATCCTCTGTTGGCTGTATTGCATCAACAAACTCAAGTCATGTCTTTGCTTAAAAACACTCTTCCCACAACCCTGTAGCCTGCTCAAAATACATATAGTCTCTTTTTCCTTTAGGTGTCAAATTTCTTGAACACTTCTAAACTTTATTAATTTAGCAAATGTATGTTATGCATGACTGTTTTAGTCCATTTTGCATTGCTATAAGGGAATACCTGAGACTGGATAGTCTATAAAGAAAATAAGTTTCTTTGGCTCATGGTTCTGCATGACACTGGTATCTGCTTGGCTTCTGGTGAGGTTTTCAGTAAAGGTTTTCATTCATTAACAGTGGTAGAAGGGAGGGAAGAAGGGAAAGTGTATTCCAAGAGTTGGTCAGGAAGAGAGAAGAAAATAATGTATTATAATGTTTTGAACAGAGTATTATGATGGAGTCAGGCCCCGTATGTTATTGGAGCACAGAATTGCAGCAATTAACTTGGGTTGGGGGGGTGCAGATGTGAAATAATCAGTTAACACCTCTGATAGGATGCCTTTACTCATGGCAGAAGGTGAAGGGGCGGCAAGCGTGGCACATGGTGAAAGAAGGAGCAAGAGAGCCGCCAGGCTCTTTAAACAACCAGCTGTGTGGCTGGGCATGGTGGCTCATGCCTGTAATCCCAGCACTTTGGGAGGCCAAGGCGGGTGGATCACTTGAGGTCAGGAGTTCGAGACCAGCCTGGCCAACATGGTGAAACCCTGTCTCTACTAAAAATACAAAAATTAGCTAGGCGTGGTGGCCAGCGCCTGTAATCCCAGTTATTCAGGAGGCTGAGACAGGAGAATCACTTGAGCCCAGGAGGAGGAGGTTGCAGTGAGCGGAGATCGCACCATTGCACTCCAGGCTGGGCGACAGAGCAAGACTCTGTCTAAAAACAACAACAACAACAACAACAACAACCAGCTGTGGCATGAACTAACAGAGCAAGAACTCACTCGTTACTGTGGGGAGGGAACCTAGCCATTCATGAGGGATCCACCCCCATGACCCAAGCACCTCCCACTAGTTCCCACCTCCAACACTGGGGATCATCTTTCAGCATGAGATTTGGAGAGGACAAACATCCAAACTAGATCAATGGTCACGTGCTAGGTGCAATGACAAGCAATGGGGAACCGTCAGGGGTGCTGATACTCTTTTTTTTTTTTTTTTGAGTTGGAGTCTTGCTCTGTCGCCCAGGCTGGAGTGCAGTGGTGCGATCTCAGCTCACTGCAAGCAAGGCTGATACTATTAATACCAGTTTTCCTGCTCCTTGGTCTCGAGCAAGGTAATGACCAAATTCTTAGCAGCTTCTAGTCTGGTGCTGGCCTGACACTCGTCCCTCAGGTGAGGCCCATCAGTCTTTTTTCTCCAGGCTCACTGGCTTAATTTCTGTTTCTCGAACAGTCCCATATTCCCTTCTACCGTAGGGAGGAAACATACTTCACCCACTTAATTCCTGCATCTCCTTTAGCTCCCAGTTCAAACATTATTTCTTCAAAGAAGCCTTCCATGCCCTCACCCCCACACCATCTAGACCAGATTCTCCTTTTATGTGCTGGTAGACCCATCACTTCCTTTCTTCAGAACAATTAACTCAGTTTCTAATTCTCCATTTATGAGTGTAATTACTCGATTGTCTTTTCTGCCCTACCGTAAGCCTCATGGGAGCAGGGGCTGTGACTGTTTTAATTCACCATTCTGTGTACATCACCCAACATAGTGTCTGTCCGGTGGTGGGCCATCATCAAACAGTGGTAGAAGGAAAGGAGGGAGGGAAAAGAGTATTCCAAAAGTTGGTCAGGTAGAGAGAAGGAAATAATGTATTATAATGCTTTGAGCAGAGTATTAGGATGGGGTCAGGCTCTGTATGTTATTGGAGCACACATTGTAGCAGTTAACTTGGGGTGGGGGGTGATGTAATCAGTAACACTCCGAAAAGATGAGCAGCCGGGCGTGTGGTCGCTCATTACAGGAATGACACCAAAGTGTTGGGTTGTCTGAGGCAGGTGGATCACCAGAGCCCAGGAGTTCAAGACCAGCCTGGGCAACATAGTGAGACCCTCTCTTTATGAAAAATCAAAAAAATTAGCCTGGTGTGGTGATACATGCCTATAGTCCCAGCTACTCAGGAGGCTGAGGTAGGAGGATTGCTTGAGTCCAGAAGTTAGAGGCTACAATGAGCTGAGATTGCACCACTGCTCTCCAGCCTGGGCAAACGAGCAAGACCCTGTCTCAAAAAGAAAAAGAAAATAAAAGAAAAAGAAAGGATGAGTAGGCGTTAGCTCTGCAAATAAGGAAGACAATGGCATTCTGGCAGCAGGAAGGGTTTATACAAAGATGTAAAAAGACTTCATAAGATAAGGGAACTAAATGAGGTCAGCATGACAGACATGAAGGGAGCATATGGAGAAATAGCAAGTGATGAGTTTGGGCAACTGGGACACAGGTCATGAAGGGCCTTGCCTATTTCTGGTGAAATTTGGACATATTTAAGAGCCAGAGATGAGGGTTTTTTTTGGTTTTTTTTTTTTTGTTTTTTGAGACAGAGTCTTGCTGTGTTGCCCAGGCTGGAGTGCAGTGGCACGATCTTGGTTCACTGCAACCTCTGCCTCCTGGGTTCAAGCAATTCTTCTGCCTCAACCTCCCGAGTAGCTGGGACTACAGGCTCATGCCACCATGCCCGGCTAATTTTTTGTATTTTTAGTAGAGATGGGGGTTTCACCATATTGGCCAGGCTGGTCTTGAACTCCTGACCTCGTGATCTGCCTGCCTTGGCCTCCGAAAGTGCTGGGCAAGTGTAAGCCACTGTGCCCAGCCCAGAGATAAGTTTTTAAGTAGGGAAATAGTATGATCAGATTTGCATTTTCTTTTTCTTTTTCCTTTTTTTTTTTTTTATTGAGACAAGAGTCTCACTCTGTTGCCCAGGCTAGAGTGCAGTGGCGCGATCTCGGCTCACTACAAGCTCCGCCTCCCAGGTTCACGGCATTCTCCTGCCTCAGCCTCCTGAGTAGCTGGGACTACAGGCGCCTGCCACCACACCCTGCTAATTTTTTGTATTTTTAGTAGAGACAGGGTTTCACTGTGTTAGCCAGCACGGTCTCTATCTCCTGACCTTGTGATCTGCCCATCTCGGCCTCCCAAAGTGCTGGGATTACAGGCTTGAGCCACCGCGCCCAGCCTTTCTTTTTTTTTTTTTGAGACGGAGTCTTGCTCTGTCGCCTAGGCTGTAGTGTAGTAGTGTGATCTTGGCTCACTGCAACCTCCACCTCCTGGGTTCAAGCTATTCTCGTGCCTCAGCCTCCTGAGTAGCTGGGACTACAGGCATGCACCACCACACCTGGCTAATTGTTTTTATTTTTAGTAGAGACAGTGGTTTTACCATGTTGGTCAGGCTGGTGTTGAACTCCTGACCTCAGTTGATCCACCTGCCTCAGCCTCCCAAAGTGCTGGGATTACAGGCATAAGCCACCGTACCTGGCCCAGATTTGCATTTTCAAAAGACCTCTTTAGGCAACAGAAACTCTCACACATGGCTGGTGGTGTTATAAAATGGTATAGCCACTTTGGAAAGTGTTTGACAGTCTCTTATAAAGTTAAACATACACCTACCTGGCAGTTCTACTCCTAGGTATTTAATAAAAGAATTGAAAATATATGCCAAAAAAGACATACAAAAATGTCCACAGGCTGGGCGTGGTGGCTTACACCTGTAATCCCAGCACTTTGGGAGGCCGAGGTGGGCGGATCACCTGAAGTCAGGAGTTTGAGACCAGTCTGGCCAACATGGTGAAACCCTATCTCTACTAAAAATACAAAAAATTTGCTGGGTATGGTGGTGCACGCCTTTAGTTCCAGCTACTTGGGAGGCTGAGGCAGGATAATTGATTGAACCTGGGAGGTGGAGGTTGCATTGAGCTGAGATCATGCCATTGCACTCCAGCCTGGGCGATGAGAGCGAAACTCCATTTCAAAAGAAAAAAAAAAAAAGAAAAAAATGTCCATAACAACTTTTTTATAAGAGCCAAATTGGAAATGATTGAATTTTTCATCAACAGGTGAATGGAAGAAACAAACTATGGGATACCCATACAGTTGGATACTACTCAGCAGCATAAAGGAGCAAACTACTCATAGATGCAATAACCTAGATGAGTCTCAGACATTATGTTGAGCTGAAGAATCCAGGCACAGAATAATCCATGCCATAGGATCCCATTTTTAAACAGTCTAAGAACAGGCAATGAAGCAATGGTGATAGAAATCAGGACAGCAGTTGCCTCTGGGTGTCAGAGGCTTAACTGCAAAGTCACTAGAGAACTTTCTGGGGTGATGGAAATGTTTTATATCTTTGTTACCAGTGGAGTATGTTCAGGTTCTTGGTGTCTTGAACAAAGAATTGGACAAAATGCACAAACAAAGCAAGGAAAGAATGAAGCAACAAAAGCAGAGATTTGTTAAAAATGAAAGTACTCTCCACAGGCTGGGAGCAGCCCAAGCAAGGGGCTCAAGAGCCTGGTTACAGAATTTTCTAGGGTTTAAATACCCTCTAGAGGTTTCCTATTGGTTACTTGCTGTAAACCCTATGTAAATGAAGTAGTGGCCCATGATCAGTCCGATTGGTTGTGGGAGGGGACTAATCAGAGGCTGAAGTGAAGTTACAAAGTTATACCCTATGCAAACGTCTGATTCGTTGCAGAAAGCAACCAATCAGAGGCTGAAGTGAAGTTACAAAGTTATACTCCTGTGCAAATGAAGACTTGGCCCATAACCAGCCTGATTGTTTGCAGGAGGGGACCAATCAGAGGTACTTCCAATTTTTCATCTGCCATGCAGAAAAAGGGAGCAGGTCGGGGGGGGGGCGGTGGTGTTGCAAAGGGAGTACCCTCTGGTCCTTTTATTACTTGGGCATGGAAAGTTGGGGCTTTCCTTTTGATTTAGTTCTAGGAAGTCAGCATGAATTGGCCTTAGGTTCCCTGCCTCCAGTCCCTCTTCTGCCTCATCTTGATTGGGTTGGTGGTTCTTTTCAAATTCATCAAACTGTATGCTTAAAATGTGTGTATTGTATATAAATTGTGCATCTTTTTTTTAAAGTACTAGAGAAAAAAGACTTCTTTGGAAGTGGTGTGGAGAAGGCTGAAAGAGGGGATTGAGACTAGACATGGGGAGACTGTAATAATGCAGCTGAAAAATTTTAAGGCTAGAATTTAAGAAGTGGCAGTGGGGATGGAGAAAGGGGATGAATTTCTAGATTGAGATGATAGAATTGATAAGGCTTAAGTGATTAGAGAAGAGGAAAGAGTTAAGAAAATTTGGGGTTATACCCTTTGGTAGTATAGGTATATTTGGTGAAAATTGGTACACAGGTTTTAGGGGGAGATTTTTGGTGGCAGTAGATGAGTTTCAAAAATATTGAGGTAGTTGCACATCTGGGCATCTACATG
This sequence comes from Homo sapiens, assembly GCF_000001405.40. NCBI lineage: Eukaryota > Metazoa > Chordata > Mammalia > Primates > Hominidae > Homo > Homo sapiens. The sequence continues at coordinate 76,087,521 of NC_000015.10, forward strand.
TCCAGTGGACAGAACTAACAGCTATGGGTCTGAGACTCTGGGAGAGTCCTGGGCTGGAGATAAGGACCTGGAGTCATCAGGAGGTAGGCATCGTTGAAATAATCATGAATGAGAGAGTGTATGGATTAAGCAGAGACAAGAGCTAAAAACAGAACCCTGGAAACCTTGACATTTAAAGGGCAGTAGGGAACACACAGCCCTTGAAGGAATCCTGGGAGACCTTAAAATGTCACATCATAGAAGCCAAAGAAGGGAAAAGTGATTAAACAAATGTGAGGGGCTGATGTCAAATGCTGTAGAAGTCAAGTCAAAAAGAACTGCTCCCTCACCACTCCATCTCTCCTAAGCCCCCCTCAAACCTCAGCAGCTCCTTTCTCAGGCTACTGGAATGTCTTTTCCTGAAGGTGCACAGAGACTTCCAAGTCTCCAGATCCAGTGATCTATTCACAACCTTATCTCTTACAACTTCTTTGCAACAATCAAATAGCTTCTTGAAATTTTCTCCTAGGCTTTTGTGACTACAGGGTCCTTGTTACCCTCAAAGCACCCTCAGCATGGCTCTTCTTCCTGCCTCCTGAACATAATCTTTCCCCAAAGTCCTGTCCTCTTTTCTTCCTCAACATCCACTGAAGTGTCTTCTAGTGGTTAGACCTATGCTAGGTGCTGATGATACCAATATGTAAAACATAAGCCTGGCTTTTAAGAGGTTGATGGCATAGCCATAGAGGAAGATGAAAATAGATGGCAATAAGACAGTGTGATGAAAAGTTATTAGCAGGGTACTCTGGGAGTGTACAGGGAGCAACTGGGCCTGAAGAAGTTAGGAAAGAAACAGTAAATAGAAAAGCATCAGCCAGGCATAGTGGCTCACACCTACAATCCTAGCACTTTAGAGGCCAAGGCAGGAGGATCCCTTGAGCCCAGGAGTTCGAGACCAACCTGGGCAACAGAGGGAGACCTTGTCTCTATTGAAAAGAAAAAAAGAAAATAAAGTGGTTGGGCCCAGTGGCTCACACCTGTAATCCCAGCACTTTGGGAGGCCAGGGTGGGTGGATCATGAGGTTAGGAGATCGAGACCATCCTGGCTAACACAGTGAAACCCCATCTCTACTAAAAAATACAAAAAATTAGCCAGGCGTGGTGGCAGGCGCCTGTAGTCCCAGCTACTCGGGAGGCTGAGGCAGGAGAATGGCATGAACCCGGGAGGCGGAGCTTGCAGTGAGCTGAGATCACGCCACTGCACTCCAGCCTGGGCTACAGAGTGAGACTCCATCTCAAAAAAGGGAAAAAAGGCGGGGCATGGTGGTTCACGCCTGTAATCCCAGCACTTTGGGAGGCCAAGGTGGGTGAATCACTTGCAGTCAGGAGTTCAAGAGCAGCCTGGCCAACATGGTGAAACCCCGTCTCTACTAAAAATACAAAAAGTAGCCAGGCATGGTGGCACATGCCTGTTACTCCAGCTATTCAGGTAGCTGAGGCATGAGAATCGCTTGAACCTAGGAGACAGAGGTTGCAGTGAGCCGAAATCGTGCCACTGCACTCCAGCCTGGGCAACAGAGCAAGACTCTGTCTCAAAAAAAAAAAAAAAAAAAAAGAGGAAAAAGAAAAGCATAGAGTCTTCAAGAGGAAGTATTACAGGTGTGAGCAGGGGCCGTGATCTTCAGAAGTTTCATTTATTTATTTATTTATTTAGAGATGGAGTCTCGCTCTGTTGCCCAGGCTGGAGTGCAGTGGCGTAATCTCGGCTCACTGCAACTGCCGCTCCGGGTTCATGCCATTCTCCTGCCTCAGCCTTTCAAGTAGCTGGATCTACAGGCGCCCGCCACCACGCCCGGCTAATTTTTTTGTATTTTTAGTAGAGACGGGGTTTCACCGTGTTAGCCAGGATGGTCTCGATCTCCTGACCTTGTGATCTGCCCGCCTCAGCCTCCCAAAGTGCTGGGATTACAGGCTTGAGCCACCGCGCCCAGCCCAGAAGTTTCTTATAGCTGAATTGTAGAATTCGTGGGGTTGAAGGGTGAGAGGGAAGGCTGGAAATGGAAATGGGGAGAGATAAATTGCAAAAGGTTGTGTATGATACTAATAAGTTTAAACATTCTGTGAGCAGGAGGGAGCTAGCTAGGGTCTTAAATAGGGCAAAGATATGGTCGTGCGTTTTTTGTTTTGGGATGATCACTAATTGAATGAAGGATGTACCGACAGGAGAGGCAAGGGCACAGGCGAGGGCAGAGGGGCAAGTTGGGAGTTGTTTCAGTAATCCAAGTGAGAAATAATGAGGATCTGAATTAGGGTAGCAGTGAGACTAGAGAAGATGATGAAACTCCAGAGACATTTCTGAGAGATTTGAGAGGATTTGGCAACTGGTTGGGGGCTGTGAAAGAGGGAAAGATTAAGGATGACTCCCATGGCTCTTAACTGGGAAGATTTGGGTGGATGGTAACTTCACAAGACAAAATAAAAACCACGAACATGGAAACAGCCTTTGGATGGAGGTAAGATAATCAGTTAAGATTTGGATAGACTAATTTTGAAATTCGTGTGTGACATTTAGTGCTTTATGTCATCAGATAGTTGGTGGCTGAAATCATAGTGCTAGATGAGCTATTTCAGAAAGCCCATTTATGAGAAAGACCGTCAGTGGGTAGAGATGGGACATCAGAGAATATCAGTATTGAAAGATTGGGAAGAGAGCCGGGCATGATGGCTCACTCCTATAGTCCCAGCACTTTGGGAGGCTGAGGTGGGTGGATTGCTTGAGGCCAGGAGTTCAAGACCAGCCTGGCCAACATGACGAAACCTTGGCTCTACTAAAAATACAAAAATTAGCCAGGCATGGTGGTGCACACCTGCAATCCCAGCTGCTCAAGAGGCTGAGGCAGGAGGATCACTTGAACTTGGGAGGTGGAGGTTGCCGTGAGCCAAGATCACACCACTGCACTCCAGGCTGGGTGACAGAGAAAGACTCTGTCTCAAAAAAAAAAAAAAAAAAAGAGAAAAAGAAAAAAGTTGGGAAAAGAATGCAGAACCTCAAAGGAAACAAAAAGAGAGGAAAAGGGCAAAGGATGCACAGTGTCCCAAGAACCAAGGGAACTGAGAGTTTTAAGAATCAGAGGGTTATCAACAGTGTCAAATTCTACAATAAATGGGTAGGGTTAAAAGTGTCCACGGGATTTGGGAGCTAAAACAATCTGAGCTCATAGAAGTAGAGAGATTAGAATTGTGACTATTAGAAGCTGGGAAGGGTGAGGAAGAGGGTAGGACAGGGAGAGGTTGTCTAACAGATACAAAATTACAGCTAGATGGATGGAATAAGTTATAGTATTCTATAGTACTGGGGGGTAAATATGGTTAACAGTAATCTATTGTATATTTTCCAAAAGCTATAAGACAGTATTTTAATATTCACAACACAAAGAAATGATATATGTTTAGGTGATGGATATGCTAATTACCCTGGTTTAATCATCACACATTGTATACATGTATCAAAATATCACTGTGTATCCTATACATATGTACAATTACATGTCAACTAAAAATAAAAGGGAAAAAAGTGTCCACTGGGTTTGGTAATTAGGAGATCCTGGCTAACATATCAAGATCATTTTTATTGGAGTGTAGTGAAAGCCATAGTGTTGAAGTGAGAGGAAAAAAATGGAGAAGGCATGATGCAGACCAAATTGCTTTCAGACATGTAGAGACTCAGAAGATTTTTCTATATAATTTTACTGAAAAAAATTACTTGAGGGTGTACTCCAGCAAAGATAAAAGGAACTCAACAAAGAGGAAGACATGGGACCTCAGAAAAAAAATGGAGCCAGGCCAGGATGACAGTTATGCAGCAGACCCACAGAGTAATGTGTCTTAAATTGACAGTTTAAGGGCCGGGAGTGGTGGCCCATGCTTGTAATCCCAGCACTTTGGGAGGCTGAGGTGGGAGGATATCTGGAGCCCAGGAGTTCGAGGCTGCAGTGAGACATAATTGCACCACTGCTCTCCAGCCTGGATGACAGAGTGAAACCCCATCTCAAACAAAACAAAACAAAAATTATCAATTAACAGAAAATTTGGGGATCTTGATGATCTTTCATAAAATGGAGAAAACATTTATTTCTGCTTCCTGTTTCTACTTTCTATAAGAAGTAGGCAATGAGAAACCTCAGAAGGATAAAGAAAAACCTATGGAGGCTGGGCGCAGTGGCTCACACCTGTAATCCCAGCACTTTGGGAAACTGAGGCGGGAGGATCACTTGAGCCCAGGAGTTCAAGACCAGCCTGGGCAACATAGTGAAACCCTATTTTGAAACAAAAAATACAAAAATTATCCTGGTGTGGTGGCACATCCCTATGATCCCAACTACCATGGTGGCTGAGGCAGGAGGATAGCTTGAACCCAGGAGGTCAAGACTGCAGTGAGCACTGATTATGCCACTGCACTACAGCCTGGCAACAGAGCAAGACCCTGTCTCAAAAGAAAAAGAAAAGAAAAGAAAAGAAAAACCTATGGCAAAAGTCATGGATCAAATATGAAGCAGGCTAAAATATAGTATCATGTTGAGCGATATGATAGAGTATAAGAAAAAAAGAAATCTGTATACTTGAACTTTCTCTATCCAGCAACATGGATATAATGAAATAGTACTATATCCCTTTCTGTCCTGATTTAACCACACTACCTGATTCTGCAGTGAATATACTGTAATTATAGTATAAATGCTGCTTATTGGTCTTCATGTTTTAGATTCAGTTTAAGAGCAATTTCCCAAAGCATGCTAAACTTTGTATAGTTTCAGAACAGAACACAAATTATTTAAAGCTCAACATGTAACAAAATATTGGTACAGCTAATCAAAGTTGGCATGTTGAGAAGGATATTAATAATCCAATAGCTGGGCGTGGTGGCTCATGCCTGTAATCACAGCACTTTGGGAGGCCGAGGCGGGCGGATCAGCTGAGGTCAGGAGTTTGAGACCAGCCTGGCCAACATGGCGAAACCCCGTATCTACTAAAAATACAAAAATTAGCCGGGCTTGGTGGTAGGTGCCTGTAATCCCAGCTACTCTGGAGGCTGAGGCAGGAGAATTGCTTGAACCCGGGAAGCGGAAATTACAGTGAGCTGAGACTGTGCCACTGCACTTCAGCCTGGGCAACAGAGCAAGACTCCATCTCTAAATAAATAAATAAATAATATAGCTAATAGTCACTGAATCTATACTATGTTCTAGTCAGTATTCTAAGCCTTTTATGGGTTATTGAATTCATGACAATGCTATGAGTTAGGTGCTTTTTTTTTTTTTTTTTTTTTGAGACTGAGTCTCGCTCTATCACCCAGGCTGGAGTGCAGTGGCACACTCTCGACTCACTGCAACCTCTGCCTCCCAGGTTCAAGTGATTCTCCTGCCTCAGTCTCCTGAGTAGCTGGGATTACAGGCGTGCACCACCACACCCAACTAATTTTTGTATTTTTAGTAGAGACGGGGTTTCACCATATTGGTCAGGCTGGTCTCGAACTCCTGACCTCGTGATCCACCCGCCTCGGCCTCCTAAAGTGCTGGGATTACAGGCGTAAACCACCGTGCCCAGCCAGGTGCTATTTTTATTTATTTATTTATTTATTCTTTTTTTTATTATTATACTTTAAGTTCTGGGATACATGTGCAGAATGTGCAGTTTTAATTACATAGGTATACACGTGCCATGTTAATTTGCTGCACCCATCAACCTGTCACCTACATTAAGTATTTCTCCTAATGTTATCCCTCCCTCTAGCCCCCCACCCCCCAACAGGCCCTGGTGTGTGATGTTCCCCTCCCTATGTCCATGTGTTCTCATTGTTCAACTCCCACTTATGAGTGAGAACATGCGGTGTTTGATTTTCTGTTCTTGTGATAGTTTGCTGAGAATGATGGTTTCCAGCTTCATCCATGTCCCTGCAAAGGACATGAACTCATTCTTTTTTATGGCTGCATAGTATTCCATGGTGTATATGTTATTGATGGACATTTGGGTTGGTTCCAAGTCTTTGCTATTGTGAATAGTGCTGCAATAAACATACGTGTGCATGTGTCTTTATAGTAGCATGATTTATAATCCTTTGGGTATATACCCAGTAATGGGATTGCTGGGTCAAATGGTATTTCTAGTTCTAGATCCTTGAGGAATCACCACACTGTCTTCCACAATGGTTGAACTAATTTACACTCCCACCAACAGTGTAAAAAGCATTCCTGTTTCTCCACATCCTCTCCAGCATCTGTTGTTTCCTGGCTTTTTAATGATCGCCATTTTAACTGGTGGGAGATGGTATCTTATTGTGGTTTTGATTTGCATTTCTCTGATGACCAGTGATGATGAGCATTTTTTCATATGTGTGTTGGCTGCATAAATGTCTTCTTTTGAAAAGGGTCTGTTCATATCCTTTGCCCACTTTTTGATGGGGTTGCTTGTTTTTTTCTTGTAAATTTGTTTAAGTTCTTTCTGGGTTCTGTATGTTAGCCCTTTGTCAGATGCATAGATTGCAAAAATTTTCTCCCATTCTGTAGGTTGCCTGTTCACTCTGATGATAGTTTCTTTTGCTGTGCAGAAGCTCTTTAGTTTAATTTGATCCCATTTGTCAATTTTGGCTTTTGTTGCCATTGCGTTTGGTGTTTTAGACATGAAGCCTTTGCCATTGCCTATGTCCTAAATGGTATTGCCCAGGTTTTCTTCTAGGATTTTTATAGTCCTAGGTCTTATGTTTAAGTCTTTGATCCATGTTGAGTTGATTTTTCTATAAGGTGTAAGGAAGGGGTCCAGTTTCAGTTTTCTGCAGATGGCTAGCCAGTTTTCCCAACACCATTGATTAAATAGGGAATCTTTTACCCATTGCTTGTTTGTGTCAGCTTTGTCAAAGATCAGATGGTTGTAGATGTGTGGTGTTACTTCTGAGGTTGCTGTTCTGTCACATTGGTCTATGTATCTGTTTTGGTGCCAGTACCATGCCGTTTTTGTTACTGTAGCCTTGTAGTATAGTTTGAAGTCAGGTGGCATGATGCCTCCAGCTTTGTTCTTCTTGCCCAGGATTGTCCTGGCTATGCAGGCTCTTTTTTGGTTCCATATGATTTTTAATGTAGTTTTTTCCAGTTCTGTGAGGGAAGTTAGTGATAGCTTGATGGGGATAGCATTGAATCTATAAATTACTTTCAGCAGTATAGCCATTTTTACAATATTAATTCTTCCTATCCATGAGCATGGAATGTTTTTCCATTTGTTTTTGTCCTCTCTTATTTCCTTGAGCAGTGGTTTGTAGTTCTCCTTGAAGAGGTCCTTCACATCCCTTGTAAGTTGTATTCCTAGGTATTTTATTCTCTTTTAGCAATTGTGATTGGGAGTTCACTCATGACTTGGCTGTGTTTGTCTGTTATTGGTGTATAGAAATGCTTGTGATTTTTGCACACTGATTTTGTATCCTGAGACTTTGCTGAAGTTGCTTATCAGCTTAAGGAGTTTTTGGGCCAAGACAACAGGGTTTTCTAACTATACAGTCATGTCATCTGCAAACAGAGACAATTTGACTTCCTCTCTTCCTATTTGAATACCCTTTATTTCTTTCTCTTGCCTGATTGCCCTGACCAGAACTTCCAATACTATGTTGAATAGGAGTGGTGAGAGAGGGCATCCTTGTCTTGTGCCAGTTTTCAAAGGGAATGCTTCCAGTTTTTGCCCATTTGGTATTATATTGGCTGTGGGTTTGTCATAAATAGCTCTTATTATTTTGAGATACATTCCATCAATACCTAGTTTATTCAGAGTTTTTAGCATGAAGGGCTGTTGAATTTTGTCAAAGGCCTTTTCTGCATCTATTGAGATAATCATGTTGTTTTTGTCATTGGCTCCATTTATGTGATGGATTATGTGTATTGATTTGCATATGTTGAACCAGCCTTGCATCCCAGGGATGAAGCCGACTTGATCGTGGTAGATAAGCTTTTTGATGTGCTGCTGGATTCAGTTTGCCAGTATTTTATTGAGGATTTTCGCATCGATTGTCATCAGGGATATTGGCCTGAAATTTTCTTTTTTTATTGTGTCTCTGCCAGGTTTTGGTATCAGGATGATGCTGGCCTCATAAAATGAGTTAGGGAGGATTCCCTCTTTTTCTATTGATCGGAATAGTTTCAGAAGGAATGGTACCAGCTCCTCCTTGTACCTCTGGTAGAATTCGGCTGTGAATCCATCTGGTCCTGGGCTTTTCTTGGTTGGTAGGCTATTAATTACTGCCTCAATTTCAGAACTTGTTATTGGTGTATTCAGGGATTCGACTTCTTCCTGGTTTAGACTTGGGAGGGTGTATGTGTCCAGGAATTTATCCATTTCTTCTAGATTTTCTAGTTTATTTGCGTAGAGGTATTTATAGTATTCTCTGATGGTGGTAGTTTGCATTTCTGTGGGTCAGTGGTGATATCCCCTTCATCATTTTTTATTGCATCTATTTGATTCTTTCTTTTCTTCTTTATTAGTCTGGCTAGCAGACTATCTATTTTGTTGTTCTTTTCAAAACACCAGCTCCTGGATTCATTGATTTTTTGAAGGATTTTTCTTGTCTCTATCTCCTTCAGTTCTGCTCTAATCTTAGTTATTTCTTGTTTTCTGCTAGATTTTGAATTTGCTGTTGCTTCTCTAGTTCTTTTACTTTTGATGTTAAGGTGTTGATTTTAGATATTCCCTGCTTTCTCTTGTGGGCATTTAGTGCTATAAATCTCCCTCTGCACAGTGCTTTAAATGTATCCCAGAGATTCTGAAACGTTGTGTTTTCGTTCTCATTGGTTTCAAATAACATCTTTATTTCTGCCTTAATTTCATTATTTACCCAGTAGTCATTCAGGAGCAGGTTGTTCAGTTTCCATGTAGTTGTGCAGTTTTGAGTGAGTTTCTTAATGCTGAGTTCTAATTTGATTGCACTGTGGTCTGAGAGACTGTTATGATTTCTGTTCTTTTGCATTTGCTGAGGAGTGTTTTACTTCTAATTATGTGGTCAATTTTAGAATAAGTGTGATGTGGTGCTGAGAAGAATGTATATTCTGTTGATTTGGGGTAGAGAGTTCTGTAGATGTCTATTAGGTCCACTTGGTCCAGAGCTAAGTTCAAGTCCCGAATATTCTGGTTAATTTTCTGTCTCGTTGATCTGTCTAATACTGACAGGTGGGTGTTAAAGTCTCCCACTATTATTGTGTTGAAGTCTAAGTCTCTTTATAGGTCTCTAAGAACTTGCTTTATGAATCTGGGTGCTCCTGTATTGGGTGCATATATATTTTGGATAGTTAGCTCTTCTTGCTGCATTGATCCCTTTACCATTATGTAATGCCCTTTTTTTCTCTTTTGGTCTTTGTTTCTTTAAAGTCTGTCTTATCAGAGATTAGGATGCAACTCCTGATTTTTTTTTTTTTTTTTGCTTTCCATTTTCCTGGTAAATATTCCTCCATCCCTTTATTTTGAGCCTATGTGTGTCTTTGCACGTGAGATGGGTCTCCTGAATACAGCACACAGATGGGTCTTGACTCTTTATCCAATTTGCCAGTCTGTGTCTTTTAACTGGGGCATTTAGCCTGTTTACATTTAAGGTTAATATTGTTATGTGTGAATTTGATCCTGTCATTATGATGCTAGCTGGTTATTTTGCCCGTCAATTGATGCAGTTTCTTCATAGTGTTGATGTTCTTTGCAATTTGGTATGTTTTTGCTGTGGCTGGTACTGGTTGTTCCTTTCCATGTTTAGTGCTTCCTTCAGGAGCTCTAAGGCAGTCCTGATGGTGACAAAATCTCTCAGCTTTATCGCTTGTCTGTAAAGGGTTTTATTTCTCCTTCACTTATGCAGCTTAGTTTGGCTGGATATGAAATTCTGGGTTGAAAATTCTTTTCTTTAATAATGTTGAATATTGGTCCCCACTCTCTTCTGGCTTGTAGGGTTTCTGCAGAGAGATCTGCTGCTTCCCTTTGTGGGTAACCCGACCTTTCTGGCTGCCCTTAACATTTTTTCCTTCATTTCAACCTTGGTGAATCTGACGATTATGGGTCTTGGGGTTGCTCTTCTTGAGGAGTATCTTTGTGGTGTTCTCTGTATTTCCTGAATTTGAATGTTGGCCTGTCTTGCTAGGTTGGGGAAGTTCTCCCCAACCTAGATAATATCCTGAAGAGTGTTTTCCAACTTGGTACCATTCTCCCTGTCACTTTCAGATACACCAATCAAACGTAGATTTGGTCTTTTCACATAGTCCCATATTTCTTGGAGGCTTTGTTTATTCCTTTTTATTCTTTTTTCTCTAATCTTGTCTTCTCTCTTTATTTCATTAAGTTGATCTTCAATCACTGGTATCCTTTCTTCCACTTGATTGATTTGGCTATTGAAACTTGTGTATGCTTCATGAAGTTCTCGTGGTATATTTTTCAGCTCCATCAGGTCATTTATGTTCTTCTCTACACTGTTCTAGTTAGGAATTCGTCTAACCTTTTTTCAAGGTTCTTAGCTTCCTTGCATTGGGTTAGAACATGCTCCTTTAGTTTGGAGGAGTTTGTTATTACCCACCTTCTGAAGTCTACTTCTGTCAATTCATCAAACTCATTCTCCATCCAGTTTTGTTCCCTTGCTGACAAGGAGCTGTGATCCTTTGGAGGAGAAGAGGCATTTTGGTTTTTGGAATTTTCAGCCTTTTCCCACTAGTTTCTCCCCATCTTTGTGGATTTATCTACCTTTGGTCTTTGATGTTGGTGACCTTCAGATGGGATCTTTGGGTGGTTGTGCTATTCCTTTCTGTTTGTTAGCTTTCCTTCTGACAGGCCCCTCTGCTGCTGGTCTGCTAGAGTTTGCTGGAGGACCACTCCCGACCCTGTTTGCCTGGGCATCACCAGCAGAGGCTGCAGAACAGCAAAGATGCTGCCTGATCTTTCCCCTGGAAGCCTCGTCCCAGAGGGGCACCTGCCAGATGCCAGCCAGAGCTCTCCTGTATGAGGTGTCTGTCGGCCCCTACTGGGAGCTGTCTCCCAGTTAGGATACACGGGGATCAGGGACCCACTTGAGGAGGCAGTCTGACCCTTAGCAGAGCTTGAACACTGTGCTGGGAGATCTGCTGTGCTTTTCAGAGCTGTCAGGCAGGGACGTTTAAGTCTACTGAAGCTGCACCCACAGCCGCCCCTTTCCCCAGGTGCTCTGTCCCTTGGAGATGGGGATTTTATCTATAAGTCCCTGACTGGGGCTGCTGCCTTTTTTTCAGAGATGTCCTGCCTAGAGAAGAGAAATCTGGTAGTCTGGCCACAGCAGCCTTGCTGAGCTGCAGTGGACTCTGCCCAGTTCAAACTTCCCAGCAGCTTTGTTTACACTGTGAGCGTGAAACTGCCTACTCAAGCCTTAGCAATGGTGGTCGCCCCTCCCCCCCACCAAGCTAGAGTGTCCCGGGTCCATCTCAGACAGCTGCTGTGCTGGCAGTGGGAATTTCAAACTAGTGGATCTTACTTTGCTGGGCTCCATGGTGGTGGGACCCACTGAGCCAGACCACTTGGCTCCCTGGCTTCAGCACCCCTTTCCAGGGGAGTGAATGGTTCTATCTCACTGTCGTTCCAGGCGCCACTGGGGTATGGAAAAAAAGAACTCCTGCAGCTAGTTTGGTGTCTGCCCAAGTGGCCACCCAGTTTTGTGCTCGAAACCCAGGGCCCTGCTGGGGAAGGCATCAGAGGGAATCTCCTGGTTTGCGTGTTGCGAAGACAGTGGGACAAGTGCAGTATCTGTGCTGGAGTTCCTCAGGCTCAGTCCCTCACAGCTTCCCTTGGGTAGGGGAGAAAATTCCCTGACCTCTTGTGCTTCCCAGGTGAGGCAACGCCCCACCCTGCTTCAGCTCACTTTCTGTGGGTTGCACCCACTGTCCAACGAGTCCCAGTGAGATGAACCGGATACCTCAGTTGGAAATGCAGAAATCACCCATCTTCTGTGTCGACCTCGCTGGGAGCTGCAGACCGGAGCTGTTCCTATTTGGCCATCTTGCCAACAATCCCAGGTGCTATTTTTAAACCCATTTTCCAAATAAGGAAACTGAGGTGTGAAGAGGCGAAGTAGCCTGCCCAGAGTCATAGAGCTGGAAAATGGAAGCATTGAGATTGGCACCCTGGTTGTCAGGCCCCAGAATGTACGGGTGTGCTCTGCTGTCCTGCCTTCATGGGAGAGGCAGGGAGACGTATTTGATTGCCAACAGCCTGGGTTAGTCCATTTTCACAGTGCTATAAAGAACTATTCTTACCTGAGACTGGGTAATGTATAAAGAAAAGAGGTTTAATTGACTCACAGTTCTGCAGGCTTAAGGAAACTTACAATCATGGTGGAAGGCAAAGAGGAAGCAAGCACATCTTACCACCACAAAGCAGGAGAGGGAGAGAGAGAGGAGACAGAGGAGAGAGAAAAAGAAAGTGCCACACAAATTTAAACCGTTAGATCTCATGAGAATTCATTCACTATCATGAGAACAGCAAGGGGGAAATCTGCCCCTGTGATCCAATCACCTCCCACCAGGCCCCTCCCTCAACACATGGGGATTACAAGTTGAGATGAGATTTGGGTGGGGACACAGAGGGAAACATATCACTGCCTCATACGACATTCTAGAGGGCAGGAGATACTCACCCAAGTTGACGTAGTAAGACAAGTGAATTGTAAAAGTAACCCAAGGTGGTTTCCTCTGCAGGTCGGACTAGAGATGGGAGACTGGGAGGAAAACTTATATTTTCTGTTATTTTATATACTCCTGAACCATTTGAATTGTTATTACTATGTAAATGGATTACTTTCATAATTTAAAAATCCTATCCCTCCTTCAAGGCCTTGTTAAAAAGTTTCCTCCAAAAGCTTCTCTAATTCCCTCACTAAAAAATGGGTTCTCCATCCTTTGAGCTCCTGTGGAGTTTGATTTCTCCCCTCCTTAGAACCCACTACTTCTGACTTTACTATAGTTGCCCTTGAAAATGTCTTGAGGACAGTCTTTGTCAGATTTTCCTGGCATATCTCCATAGCCTTGGTGCCATGCCCTGCCTATCGTAGGTGTTTGGTCAATGTTGAATGAGCTGGATAAGTGGATTTTGCTAATGCCAGACTGTATCCATTTCATTTCCTTCAATTCAGGGAACTCAGAAGACACAGCTTAGGTTATTTCCATGTGTCAGTCATTTCGCTGCCCCTGGGAAAGAAGGAAATGGAAAAAGAAAGAAGTGTAGAGTGGACACTCTGTCCCATCTGCCTATAAAGACAGAATCACAGAATATCAACACTGAAATGGATCTTAGATCATTGTGTTCAACCCCATGATTTTTATAATACAGGTGAGGAAACTGAGGCCAGGGAATGAAAAAGACTTGAAAGACCACAACTAAATTTCCTGTTCAATTGTAGGACTTGTATCAGCTTAGGTTTTTAAGTAGTTTTTCCTCATCATCAAAGCAATATGTGTTCAATGCTTACCTTGGTTTTTTTTTTTTTCTATATTCTCTCTGTATTTCTACCTGAACATGGTTTTGAGCTTTTAATGGTGGTCTCTGCATGTAATGTTGCAAGCTGGCACAGATTCTTTTTGGATGTTAGTAGATGATGGCTGGGTGAATGGAAGGATGAATTAGTGACTTTCCCAGGATCACATGGCAGTCAGCAACAGAGCTGGAACTCAGCTAACCATCCTGCTGAGGGATGTCAAGTAGCTGAAGTACCTGGTGCAAAAGAGCTTCAGAGTTGCCATGACAACTACAGTAGTCTTCTAATTTCCATCATCTGAGTAAGGATCAGGACCAGAACCTTATTTACAGGCACAGAGGTTAAAACCCAATGGAAGAAAGGACTCTGCAGTAAGCAGTTTGTTGAGAACACCGGGACTGGTCTGAAAGATAGGCTGAGATAAATCATCCAGAGGACAGACACTGTTATCCAGGCAGTGCCCTGTCTGAAGAGATCCAGGAGGTAGACGCAAGTTCCAGAACTGGTGCAGGCACTGACACATTGGGAGACTTTGGGAAGGTCACCACTCTGGGCTTTGGCTTCTTTACCTATGAAGTGATATAGTCGGACTAGTTCCTACATTATATCCAAGGATTCTTCTAGTAGGGAAATGCTCTAACTCCACAACAGACAAATGTCAGTATCTAGAAAATGCAATCCTACTGCTCCTAGTATTTCAGTCTCAGACCCACAAAGAGGGGATACACCGCTCCCACCTCCTTTATCACCCTCAGACTGCACTCCCCTCTCACAGCCAGAGCAGAGGGAGAGCACCCTGCAGGCAGGTCATTTCCCCACGCCTGGCCAGCTGCCAACACAGGTTGGGGGTAGATGCTCGGAGGTGGCTTGATATGCTTCAAGGACTGCCCTCCATTGGACGGGGCACTTGGGAGCCACTCCAGCTATGCATGGCAAACAGCAGCATCCCCAACTGGAATTAGGGGTGTGCCTTCCTCCTACTGCATACAGATGGAGGCTGTGGGAGGCCGACAGTACTGGAAGAAGCCACCTGGGCTGGAGGGCTAGGTGATTGGGTGACCTGCGGCAACTCTTCACTCACCCATATCCAGGCCCCTAACATTATGTCCCCTAGTGTCTTCATGACACTAGGATGGGACCTCTCCATCCTCTCTACCTTCTTATACTCTTCCTCACTTATACCTCATTCATTTAACAACTATTTCTTGAGCAGCTTTGTTCTTGGTGCTGCAAAGACAGTTATCTTGAAATGAAATCCCTGCTTCCAAGTAACTTACATTCTAGTGGGGAAGATCATAAATAATTATCATAAAATTTATTCAGAAGGTGAGACATGTTCTGAAGAAAAATAAAGCTGGGAGATAGGGAATGTGGGCGGGGTGGCTGCTATTTTAATTAGGGTGGTCAGGGGAGTCTTTGTGAATAAGGTGACATTTGTGCAAAGACCTGAAGGAGATGAGAGAATGTAAGCCATGGACACCTGAGAGAAGAGCATTCCAGGTGGAGAAAGGTCTCAGAGAAGGAAGTGTGCTTGACATGTTGGAAAAATGGAGTCAGGCCGGGTGCGGTGGCTCATGCCTGTAATCCTAGCACTTTGGGAAGCCAAGGTGGGTGGATCACCTGAGGTCAGGAGTTCGAGACCAGCCTGAACAACATGACAAAACTCTATCTCTACTAAAAATACAAAAATTAGCCAGGCATGGTGGCATGTGCCTGTAATCCCAGCTACTTGGGAGGCTGAGGCAGGAGAATCACTTGAACCCGGGAGGCGGAGGTTGCAGTGAGCCAAGATGATGCCAGTGCACTCCAGCCTGGGCAACAGAGTGAGACCCTTATCTCCAAAAAAAAAAAAAAAAAAAACGGAGTCAGTGTGGCTAGAGAGGTTAACACAGAGGAAAGAGGTGGGAGAAGCTGGCGAGGCAGCAGGGGACAGAGGATAGAACCTAGAACCTTGAAACCATCATGCACTGGCCAGGATAGGAAGCCATGGGAGGTGGTAAACGGGGAGCAAGTCATCTGACTTGGGTTTCTGCTATGTGGAGGACAGGCAAAGGGGGAAGCAGGGAGACAGGAGTCTATGGCAGTAATCGGCCGAGAGATAGTGGGGGTTTGGACCAGGATGAGAGAGGTGGTGAGCAGTGGTACAATTTGGGAGGTATTATGAAGGTAAAACTGACATACTCGCTAACAGATCGGATGTGGGGCATGAAAGGGAGGAGTCAGCCAGGCAGGTAGTTCGTGCCTGTAATTCCAGCATTTTGGGAGGCCAAGGCAGGAGGATTGCTTGAGCCCAGGAGTTCAAGAACAGCCTGGGCAAAGTCTCAAAACCCCATCTCTGCCAAAAAAAAAAATCAGCCAGTCATGGTGGTGTGTGCCTGTATCCCAGCTACTTGGGAGGCTGAGGTGGGAGGATTGCTTGAGCCCAGGAGGTTAAGGCTGCAGTAAGCCATGATCACACCACTCTCTCTAAGGTTTTTTGGCCTGAGCAACTGGAAGGGTCGAGTTATTGTTTACTAAGATGGAAAAGGCCATGGTGGGGCAGACTAGACATCTAAGTGGAGATGTCTGGCGGGAGTTGGATCCACAAGTTTGGAATTTGCAGCAGTTGAAGATAAAAATGTGTATTTGGGGCTGGGCGCAGTGGCCCACACCTGTAATCCCAGCACTTTGGGAGGCCGAGGTGGGTGGATCACCTGAGGTTAGGAGTTCAAGACCAGCATGACCAACATGGTGAAACCCCATCTCTACTAAAAATACAAAAATTAGCTGGGCATGATGGTGCACACCTGTAGTCCCAGCTACTTGGGAGGCTGAGGCAGGAGAATCAGTTGAATCTGGGAGGTGGAGGTTGCAGTGAGTCAAGATTGCACCACTGCACTGCAGCCTAGCGACGGAGCGAGACTCCATCTCAAAAAAAAAAAAAAATGCCAGGGGCAGTGGCTCAGGCCTGTAATCCCAGCCCTTTGGGAGGCCAAGGCGGGCAGATCACGAGGTCAGGAGATCGAGACCATCCTGGCTAACATGATGAAACCCCGTCTCTACTAAAAATACAAAAAATTAGCTGGGCATGGTGGCAGGCGCCTGTAGTCCCAGCTACTTGGGAGACTGAGGCAGGAGAATAGCGGGAACCCAGGAGGCAGAGCTTACAGTGAGCCGAGATCACGCCACTGCACTCCAGCCTGGTGAAAGAGTGAGATTCTGTCTCAAAAAAAAAAAAATTATATTTGGGAGTCATCGGCAAATAGATCTGCACTCTCCAATATAGATAGTAGCCACTAGCCACGTATGGCTCTTTAAATTCAAAATGAATTAAAACTAAATAAACTGTAAAATTCAGTCCCACAGTTGCACAAGCCACGTTTCACATTTCAAGTGCACCATAGCCACATATGAGCAGGGGCTACCCTATTGGACTGTGCAGACATAGAACATTTCCATCATCCCAGGAAACTCTACTGGACAGCGCTGATATGTCTCGAGATGTGGTGAGATTTCCAGGGCAGCGGATGGAGAAACGTGAGCATTTAGAAGTTGGGGGCCCGGCGCGGTGGCTCACGCCTGTAATCCCAGCACTTTGGGAGGCCGAGGCGGGCGGATCATGAGGTCAGGAGATGGAGACGCTGCAGATAAGAGGGAGGCTGTGACGGGGGAGCATGTGGAGGTTTGCTCGTGATTGCTCGATTTCCCAGGGAAATGAGGAGGTCATCAGCTGAGAGTGTGAACAGAGGCGTTGGATGTGTGAGGAGAGGGGAGAAGGTGTAAAGTAGTCAGTCATCCAGGAAAGAGGGAGATTGTTGGGATTAGGGGATGGCAGTGGCATTGCTGGGCTGTCCCACAGGCCTGATTGAAGTTTGTGTTCCTGTCAGAGCCAGCTTCCAGGATTGACTGTTTTGCCTTTGTGTACTCACCTATGCAATCTTTTCTTATTGAAAGTTTCGGCCAGGCACGGTGGCTCACACCTGTAATCCCAACACTTTGGGAAGCTGAGGCGGGTGGATCACGAGGTCAGGTTCACAACCTGTCCTTAAAATAGAATAGAGTTCAAGACCAGCCTGACGAACATGGTGAAACCCCATCTCTACTAAAAATACAAAAATTAGCTGGGCGTGGTGGCGCACACCTATAATCCCAGCTACTCAGGAAGCTGAGACAGAAAAATCGCTTGAACCCAGGAGGCGAAGGTTGCAGTAAGCAGAGATCGCGCCACTGTACTCCAGCCTGAGTGACACAGCGAGACTCCATCTCAAAAAAAAAGTAAAGAAAAAAAAAGTTTTATTCCACTTCACTACCCCCTTGTGAGCCCCACAAACCATGGTCCTCCAAGGCACAGCCTGGGGTCCCCCTCTGAGGCTTCCCTGGAACCTCTTCCCTTTCATCTCCCTGGTGCATCCATACTTTGCTCATCCCTTTCTCGAATGCTAATCGTGTCACTTTGTCATTATTTGCTGACATGTCTGTTACTCTAAGGCAGGGATCAGAAAAATTCTTCTGTAAATGGCTAAATAGTGAATACTTTAGGTTTTCTGGGACACATGGTCTCTGTTGCACTATTCAATCTTCCATTGTAGTACAAAAGCAGTCTGACAGTATATAAATGATTGAGCATGGCTGTGTTCCAGTGAAACACTGCTTACAAAAACAGGCAGTGGGCTGGTTGTGGCTTGTAGGCCATGATTTGCCAAGCGCTGCTCAAAGAGATGGCAGGAATGATGTCTCCATTATCTCCATAGCCCCCATACCTGGTGTGGGATCTGGGCACCAGGCAGGGGCTCAGGAAATGTTTGAATGGATGAGAGATGAATGGATGTGCTAGAGTAGGTGGTTAGGCCTGCCAAGATATGTACATTATAGACAGTGTTCCCTCCTATATACAGGTTCCAGCAGATTTGTCAATGGCCAGTTTTATTACAGTAACATTGTGTACAGGGAAGGTTTTCATATGGAAACATGAGCCTGGATACCCAGGAAAGATCAAAGGTGGCCTCACGTTCTACTGTGTTCATGCTAAACTGCCACCCTGTCTAGCAACCTCTCTCCTCCAGATTCCCAGATGCACAGGCCCCCAGTTTAGCGGGATCAGGCTTTTCACAAACAAGCCCTCTGTGTTCATCCTCCCTCTGCACTGTTTCTGTGTTCCCCTCTGCCTCCCATCCCCCAGCCCCTGCAAAGAATAAGTACTCATCAGGTACCTGCCACGTGCACGGCATGGTGGGAGAATCAAAGATCCGCACTGAAGGAGCTCACAGTCTGGTACATCCCACTGGGAATGCCCTCTCCCTACCCGTGTCATATTCACAACTGACTTCCTTAACTGCCCCCCAAACCATCTGATTTCCCCCATCCTTTCTACTTTTTTTAAATTGACAAATAAAAATTATATATATTTATAGTATACAACATAATGTGTGTTTTTAATTTGTTTTGTGTTTTTGGTTTTGGGGGTTTTGGTTTTTTTAGAGACACGGTCTCGCTCTGTCACCCAGAGCTGGAGTGCAGTGGCGCAATCACGGCTCACTGCAGCCTCAAACTCCTGAACTCAAGCGATCCTCCTGCCTCAGCCTCCCAAGTAGCTGGGACTCCAGGTGCTTGCCATCACACTTGGCTAATTATTTTATTTTTTATTTTTGTAGAGATAGAGACTTGCTATGTTCCCCAGGCTGGTCTCAAACTCCCGGCCTCAAGCAATCCTCTTGCCTTGGCTTCCCAAAGTGCTGGGATTACAGGCGTGAGCCACCATGACCAGCCTACAACATGATGCTTTGAAACATGTATACACTGTGGAATGCTAGATCAAGCTAATTATCATATGCATTTACCTCACATACTTATTTTGTGTGTGTGTGTTGAGAACACTTAAACTCTAGTAATTTTCAAGTATACTATCTATTGCTATTAACCATAGTCCCCATGTTGTGTTCTTTCCTGCTTCTTCCAAGTCCTGCTCTCTGGTGGGCTCTCTTGGGTATGAGTTGATGGTGGATGTTATCTTCCCAACCACACGTAAACTCACAGAGCACAAGGACAGTAGAGTATGCTTTTGTTTCTTCTAGACTGTCTCTGTCCCACGGAAATATAACATAAACCATGTATGCCATTTAAAATTTTCTAGTTAGCACATTTTAAAAAGTGAAAAGAAACAGGTAAAAATAATTTTAATATCTTTTATTTAACCAATATGTCCAGAGTATTATTATTTCAACATGTAATCAATAGAAAATATTGTCAATGAGATATTTTGCATTCTTTCATTCATACGAGGTTTTCAGTTTCCAGTGTGTATTTTACAAGCACGGCACATTTCAGATGAGCTAGCTGCATTTCAAGTGCTCAGCAGCCAGGCGTGGCTCGTTGCCCTCATACCAGAGTATGTCGCTCACACAGGGCACATGGTAAATGTCTAATAAGTGACTGCGTTGAGTACTTCCTGGGAGGTGCCTTACACTTACATTCTAATCCTCATAGCACCATTATGAAAGAAACTGTTATGCCCATTTTCCATATGAGCAAACTGAGAGTTAAGAGCTTTCTTGCACCCAACTAGTAAGTAAGTTATAAAGTTCAGATTTGAACCCAACTCTGAGTCCAGAGCCTGTCCTAAAATAGAATATTCAAGCCCTGGAAGATTCTTTAGAAAATTATTCAACGTGTAGCTCCATAAATATCACTTGTGTTCCCAGCACCTAGTCATGTGTCAGCCATGTCCCAGGGGCTCAAATATAGTATTTGAATGAATTAATCTGATCTCACATTACAGATGTGGAAACTGAGATCCAGAAAGGGAAAGAGACTTGTCTAGATCATTCAAAAGGAGGAAGTCTACTCTAGAACCCACACTGCTGATTCCCACTGCACTACTCTTATTCCATATCCTTCTGTCATCCCAAGAAACCATAGGAGTTCAACATCTGAAGCTTTCTTTGCTTTGGGGGGAACATTTTAGCAGGCACCCTCTTCCCTTTGTCCACAACCTCAGAACTTGCCATACATCGTCCTTTTTCATTCTCTTCCTTTCTCCTTACTCTGGCTACCCAGCAGCCTAAAGGGTGGCAGAGCAGCTGAGCCTGGCTACGTGAGGCTCCAAGGAAGCCTGCACAAACAAGCAAAGCTCATTGCACGGGGGCACCACCCCCAGCTTCTATCTCAGGGTCATGCTCTGTCGTGACAACTTGAGCCATTTCCCTGGCAGGAGGGCAGCACGAATCTCCGAGAGGGTCACACTAACCTGCAGCCAGTGGCTGCCTGCCATGCCTGGATGCCTGGCATTGGAGCCTGGTTGCTGAGGCACCCTCGGGTTTGCTCAGTGCCCAGCCAGTCAGCAGCCTTCCAGGGAACTCCCAGCAGTCTCCTCCAGACAGGGTCACAAGAAATGTCATAGATTGTAGAAGCTTAGAACTGAAAGGGAATTTAAAGATCATTCATCCCAGTGCTTTTCAAACTGTAACGTCTTATAAATCTCCTGGGGATCCTGTTAAGCTACAGATTCCTGATTCACTGGGCCTGGGATGGGGTCTGAGGATTTGCATTTCTAATGAGCTCCCAGGTGATGCCAGTGCTGCTGCTGGACCCGGGACCGCACTTTGAAAAGCAAGGATCTAAGAAATCAAGAAACACAGAGGGCTTCTTTGTGAAGAGCCTGGTCCATTGAACTGGGGGCCTGTGCACCTGGGAACCAAGAGAAGAGAGGTAGCTAGACAGGGTAGCAGTTTAGCATTGATGTAGTAGAAGGTGAGACCATCTTTGATCTTTCCTGGGTATCCAGGCTCATGTTTCCATGTGAAAACCTTCCCTGTACACAATGTTACATTCTTGTCACCCCTTTGTTAGAGGTGAGAAAACTTAAGTGTGGGGGAGATTAATTAAATTCAGGGTACAAGTCTCCTAAGTAATAACTATGGTACTAACTGTATTTACTATCTGTAGAAATTTTTGGCACTCATCATAAACTACTTTAATATCCTCTCCTTCCAACTAGACTGTTGGAAGCAAGGCTGTATCTTACTCTCCTGTGTATCTCCCTTTGGTCCCACCCGAGAGGCCACATGAGCTGTGGAAAGCACATTACCTGGGACCGGGTCACCTGAGAAGATCTTTGTATCAGATGTTCCTGGGATCAAAGGCACAGTGGAATGAGCCCCAAGTTGGAACCAGAAAGACCTCAGCAGGTAGCAGACCTGAAGTGCAAGGTGAGGCTGGAAGTGGAAACAGAATGCAGGAGTTGGCAAGCTGTCCAAAGGGTCAGGTGGAGTTGTTCTGAACTCAGTCCATGGATTGAGAGGGAAGGCTGCTGGCTCACCTCATTATGTGGTGCCCAGGGCATGAGAAAGAGGCAGTGGGGCCATTTTTCAAGCAAGAAGCCAGGCCCAACACCAGGTTCCTCCCAAGGCTGTAGGATTTATTGAATAAATGCATAAAGAAAGGCCAAAAAAAACACAGCAGTGATAATTAAACATTTTTAAAGACTCCGCATGCTTGGCAATGATTACACACTTTCTGGCACACTTCAAAAGTGGCAATAGCCAGGTGCAGTGGCTCATGCCTGGGGTCCCGACAACATGGGAGGCTGAGGCAGGAGGATCGCTTGAGCCCAGGAGTGTGAGGCTCCATGAGCCATGATCCTGCCTCTGCACTCCAGCCTGGGTGACAGAATGAGACCTTGACTCCAATAAATTATAAAAGTGGCAATGACAGGCTTTTCTTTTTTCTTTCTTTTCTTTTTTTTTTTTTTTTGAGACAGGATCTTGCTCTGTTGCCCAGGCTGGAGTACAGTGGTGTGATCATGACTCACTGCAGCCTCAACTGCTGGGCTGAAGCAGGAGGCTGGCTAATTTTTTAAATTTTTTGTGGAGACAAGGTTTCACTGTTTTACCCAGGCTGGTCTTGAACTCTTGGCCTCAAGCGATCTTCCTGCCTTGCCCTCCTAAAGTGCTGGGATTATAGGTGAGAGCCGCCATGCCTGGCCAGGTTTTTCTGTTTGAGTTAAAAGTCAATTTTTCTTTTCTTTTCTTTTCTTTTTTTTTGAGACAGAGTCTCACCCTGTCGCCCAGGCTGGAGTGCAATGGCGCGATCTCAGCTCACTGCAATCTCTGTCTCCTGGGTTCAAGCGATTCTCCTGCCTCAGCCTCCCGAGAAGCTGGGATTACAGGTGCACGCCACCACACCTGGCTAATTTTTTTTTTGTATCTTTAGTAGAGATGGGGTTTCACCATGTTGGCCAGGCTGGTCTCGAACTCCTGACTTTGTGATCCACCTGCCTCAGCCTCCCAAAGTGCTGGGATTACAGGCATAAGCCACCGCACCATGCCAAAAGTCAGTTTTTCTTTAGATCAAGCTTGTCCAACCCATGGCCCATGGGCCACATGCAGCCCAGGACAGCTTTGAATGCGGCACAACACAAATTCATAAACTTTCTTAAAACATTATGAGACTTTTTTGTGATTTTTTTCTTAAGCTCATCGGCTACCTTTAACGTTAGTGTATTTTATGTGTGGCCTAGGGAAGCCAAAAGATTGGACACCCCTGCTTTAGATGTTAGTAAGTTGGGTTCTGTTCAGAGCAGACACAAAGCCAAGTCAAGCCCATAGACATGGACTGCCAAACAGGGTTGCCCAGTAGGTGCTGGAGGTCAAAGATCACCCAGGTGTATCTGTCTGCTGTGGTGCTTATTTTCCCAAAGGTAGAAAAAGAATATGATGAAACGACAAGCCACAGTCTGGGAGAAAATATTTGCAAAACACACTTCTGATAAAGGAATTATGTCCAAAATATATAAGGAATTCCTAAAACTCAACAATAAAACCAATAGTCCAATCAAAAAGTGAGCAAAAAATCTGAATAGACACTTCACCAAGGAAAATATACAGATGTCAAATAAGCATATGAAAAGATCTTCAGCATTGTATCAACAAGGAAATGCAAATTAAAACAACAACGGGATACTATTACACCCTTGTTAGAATGGTTAAAATCCAGAGCACCGACAACACCAGATGCTGGTGAGGATGTGGAGCAACAGGAACTCTCATTCACTGCTGATGGGAATGCAAAATGGAACAGCCACTTTGGAAGACACACTTTCGCAGTTTCTTTTTTTTTTTTTTGAGATGGAGTTTCGCTTTTGTTGCCCAGGCTGGAGTGCAATGGCACGGTCTCGGCTCACTGCAACCTTTGCCTCCTGGGTTCAAGCGATTCTCCTGTCTCAGCCTCCTGAGTAGCTGGGATTACAGGTGTGCGCCACAATGCCCAGCTAATTTTTGTATTTTTAGCAGAGACAGGATTTCACCATGTTGGTCAGGCTGGTCTTGAACTCCTGACCTCAGTGATCCGCCTTGGCCTTCCAAAGTGCTGGGATTACAGGCATGAGCCACTGTACCCGGCCCAGCCATATACTCTTGTGTCTGTTAACCTGTTAGCCAACCTTTGGCTACCCTCTCCCGCTTATCTTTGCTTGCCTCTAGTAAACACTATTCTAAGCCAATAGATCTTAAATGTTCTTGCACAATAAAGCGATTCTCCTGCCTCAGCCTCAGCCTCCCAAGTAGCTGGGATTACAGGCGCCCGCCACCATGCCCAGCTGATTTTTGTATTTTTAATAGAGATGGGGTTTCCCCATGTTGGGCAGGCTGGTCTCTAACTCCTGACCTCAGGTGATCCACCCGCCTCAGCCTCCCAAAGTGCTGGGATTACAGGCATGCGCCACCATGCCCGGCCAACACTTTGGCAGTTTCTTACAAATCTGAACATACTCTTACCATATGAGCTAGTAATTACACTCCTTGGTATTTACCCAAATGAGTTGAAATTGATGACTGTACAAAATCCTGCACCTGACGTAAACGTCAGCAGCTTTATTCATAATTGCCAAACACTGGAAGTAACCAACATGTTCTTCCATAGATGAATGGGTAAACAAACTGTAATACATCCATATAATGCAATATTTATCAGGAATAAAAAGACATGAGCCATCAAGCCATGAAGTGATATAGAGAAACCTTAAATGCCTCTTTTTCATTTTAAGTGAAAGAAGCCAATCTTAGAAGGCTGCATACTGTATGATTCCACCTATTTGACCTTCTGAAAAAGGCAAAGCTACAGAGACAGAAAAAAAGGTCAGTGATTGCCAGGTATTCAGGAGGAGGGAGGGAGGAATGAATAGGTGGAGCACAGGGGCTATTTAGGACTATAGCTCTACTGTTCTGTATGATACTCTTAATGGTGAACATGTGACATTATGGATCTGTCAAAACCCATAAAAGTAAACAACACAAAGAGTGACCCCTAATATAAACTATGGACTTTAATTAATAACAATGTATCAATATTGGTTCATCAGTTTTAACAAACAAATGCAACATGTTAAAAATAGGGGAAACTGTAGAGTCTGGGGAAGGGTATCTATGGTAATGCTTTGTACTTTCTGCTCAGTTTTTCTATGAACCTAAAGTTTCCATAAAAAATAAAGTCTATTAATTTTTGTAATGTGCTACCAAATTATTCCAAGAGAAGATCAGTTGCTGGACGATTGCTCAGCCACGTTTCTCCTTAGGCACAAAGATGACCTTGCACATCTGCTGCAGATGGCACCTCCACCCAGCTGTCCCCAGCACAGCATTGACTTGTCGAGAGCTGTCCTTTGAGTCTGATGGATTATTGAGACTTTTTGAATGCAGGAAGCACACTCATGGGGCCATCCAAGGGCCTTGCATTATTTTTCTGCCTTTGAAAAGCCACTGAACTAAATTTGGCAGATAAAAATATGCCTGAGAGATTTCTTTCTTAATTTGCTGATTATGAGCCCTGACCGTAAGGAGCTTACGGTCTAGAGTAGATGGTATGTGAGCATAAACCACTATAACACAAGGTAAACTATGATTCATAGTCTGGGAGAGGTACCGTTGAAGTGGGCAAGAGAGAGAGGAAATCCAGCCCCTCCCCACTGGCCTCAAGTGGAAGCAGTGACACCAGTTCTGAAAGTTTGGATTGGAGGGCCAGGTAGGAGTGAGACTCCTACCCACTCCTATGAAATATGTTCTGGGCCAGGCGCGGTGGCTCACGCCTGTAATCCCAGCACTTTGGGAGCCCGAGGCAGGCGGATCACGAGGTCAAGAGATCAAGACCATCCTAGCCAACATGGTGACACCCCGTCTCTACTAAAGATACAAAAATTAGCCGGGTGTGGTAGCAGGCGCCTGTAGTCCCAGCTACTTGGGAGGCTAGGGCAGGAGAATCGCTTGAACCTGGGAGGCGGAGATTGCAGTGAGCCGAGATCACACCACTGCACTCCAGCCTGGTGACAGAGCGAGACTCCGTCTCAAAAATAAAAAATAAAAGAAAGAAAGAAAGATGTTCCAAGCAGAGAGAATTCCATAAGCAGAGGCAGAGAGGTGAATAATTGTGTGTGCACATGCACTAGGAACAGATAGGTGGCTGGAGCACAGTGTAGAGAAGGATAAGGAATGGCTTAAAAGGCTGGGGCCAGATGGTGGAAGGCTCTGAATTCCTGGCCAAGGAATTGAGAGCATGTTCAGTAAGCAGTAGGCACCTCTGCAGGTTTGAGTCAGGGAATAAGCAGATCACACTGCGCTTCAGAAGAGTCACCAGGTGGCAGCGTATAGGATGTGCCTGAAGCACCGGGCACGGTGGCTCACGCCTGTAATCCCAGCACTTTGGGAGGCTGAGGTGAGCAGATCACAAGGTCAGGAGATCGAAACCATCCTAGCTAACACGATGAAGCCCCATCTCCACTAAAAATACAAAAAATGAGCCGGGCGCGGTGGCGGCTGCCTGTAGTCCCAGCTACTCGGGAGGCTGAGGCAGGAGAATGGCGTGAACCTGGGAGGCGGAACGTGCAGTGAGCTGAGATCGTGCCACTGCACTCCAGCCTGGGTGACAGAGCGAGACTCCGACTCAAAAAAAAAAAGAAAAAGAAAAGGATGTGCCTGAAGCAAGATGCCCAGCGGTAAGAACACCCATCAGGAGGCTACTTCAGGGCAGTTACAAGGACCCAGACAGTTGGAAGCTGTCTCTTCTGCGTCTGCACTCCCACGGCCCTTTATCAGTACTTCTCTTAGGTACTTACCAATTTTTACCTTATCTACATTTTTAATTAAAAATAGTTGTGGTTCATTATAAAGGAAAATTAGACAGTATAGAAAAATATAAATTGTAATCCCACCATCCATTAAATAACTACTGTTGACACTCAGGGTGTGTCTGTCCTTTCAGATATCTTTCTATAGGCCAGGCACAGTGGCTCATGCTTATAATCCCAGCACTTTGGGAGGCCAAGGCAGGTGGATGGCCTGAGCTCAGGAGTTCAAGACCAGCCTGGGAAACATGGCAAAACCCCATCTCTACAAAAAGTACAAAAATTAGCTGGGTGTTGTGGTACACGCCTGAGGTTCTACCTACTCGGGAGGCTGAGGCAGGAGGATCACTTGAGCTGGGAGGTGGAGGCTGCAGTGAGCCAAGATTGCACACTGCACTTCAGCCTGGGTGATAGAGTGAGACCCTGTCTCAAAAACAAAAACAAAAAACTCAGATATCTTTCTATATACATCACACTATATTGTTTTGTTTTGCTTTTATAAAAGGTAACATACTTTTAGAAACTACTTTTTCAAATTACTGTATAGTGGACATCTTTCCTTGCCAATATATCTAGATTTTTTATAGTTTTTTGTCTTCTGTTTTTTTAAATTGTGGTAAAACGTACATGAAATTTACTGTTATGACATTTAGCGCATCCACAGTGTTGTGCAATCATTACTACTATTTAGTTCCGAAACATTTTCATCACCCCACAAGGAAACCCCATTAAAGTCACTCTCTCCCACCAGTCCCTGTCAACCACTAATCTGCTTTTTTATCCATTCTATTTCTTATAAATGGAATCACACAATATGTGGCCTTTTGTGTCTGGCTTTCACTTGCCATAATGTGTTCAAGGTTCATCATGTCTAGATTTGTTAATAGAAATATCCCTTGTTGGCCAGGCACAGTGGCTCACACCCATAATCCCAGCACTTTGGGAAACCAAGGCAGGAAGATTGCTTGAGCCCAGGAGTTTGAGACCAGCCTGGGCAACATAGTGAGACCCCACCTCTATTTTTTTAAAAAAGAAATATCCCTTGTCTTTTTAAAATAAAGCATGCTCATAAAAACTACTGACAGCTCCCCTCAAGAACGCCACCTCCCTAATTTTAACTGCTGCTAATTGCCTAGGATCTAGCCATCCAGACCTTTCAGACGATTGGGAATTCATAGGGAACCGTCAAGTTGCTGCTTTCTTCCAACGTATTGTTTCCTTCACTTTCCCATCACCTGATGTGAACGTGGGAAGATGTCTTAGCTTTTCTAGTCATTTTCAGGACTTAGGTTCATTTTCAGATGTTAAAACATCCCACCTAAATCAAAACCTTGGTCTCTCATCCCACTGGCAGACCAGCTCTTCTGCTCTGGCCCTACGCTCTCTGCTCTCTGGCTCCTGAAATGTGCTTTTTTAAGTTCCCTAGAAACCCACCACCTGCGTCCTGGCCACTCCCAATGCCCCTGGGGAGGGGGTCGCATGCCCCATTCCACTGAACATTCTGCCTAACTTCTTGGGGCTGCCTTCAGTTCTCACTTTTGGCACTGTGTCCCCGGGATTCCCCTGGCCCCGGGAGGCCACCTTCTTGGGTGGGGGCCTGTCAATATGCCCAGTTATTCACTTGGCCTGTAGGAAGTCCTTAACTAGACAGGGCGCTTTTCGTATTTGTGGCCATCCTGCATCATTCAATATGTATCCCTTCTATATTTGGGGAAATTCCCACATTTAGTCCATCTACCCATGTGCAGCCAGGATGCAGCTATGTGACCTCTGCCAACCAGATGAAGCTGTGTGCCCTCAGCTGTGGAGGGAGATGTTGGTGTGAGGCAGTGACAACAGTGATGTTTTTACTGGAGCAGTGCTCAGCAGATGCTCGGTGTTGCTGACTTTCTAGGCCTGGCTTTCTCGCTCCCCTGCCCCGCCCCCCACATTCAGTGTTCTTTAAAAACTTATACTCTGTTTAAATTAACGAGTTGAGTTTTCACTAAGAACTAGCACCACGTCCTTGCTTAGCCTCACGGTTACAGGCAGCCTGCACCCACTGTGGCCCTCTCTCCTCGCCCTGCCATCGCCCACTGTGCCAGCCAGCCTGGGAGCCTGGCATGGGTTCCTCTACTTATGCACGTCTCCAAGCTCCGGGAGACACACACGAAGCTTGTCTAAGATCCTGCTCCCTGTTCCTCCGCAGTCTTTGTAGTTTGCTGGGCCGATAAGGCTCCGTAGCTTACCCAGAGGCAGATGCCAGACTCCCATACTGCACGCAGCCTCGCAGTGGCTTTCTTGGTTCTCACCTAGCTTAAGGGAAAAGGTATGCACCCCTCCCTCATCCTCAGGGAAGGGAAATGCTCACATTCTTTACTCCTAGGAATCCCCTTCAGAGACACCGTCCTGTCCCTCCCCCTCTCCTCCTCTTCACTCCCCTCCCTCTCCTCACTAATGAATCTCTAGCGTTCTCTCCTGCACCCATCCGGAGTGGGGGTTGCGGACCACCTTGACCATCATGAGTGTGTTCCAAATAGAGATGGTCTGGCATCTCTCTTTAGCAAGTGTGAGCTCTTACCACCTTTGTCCTTATCTTTAGGGCATCTGCAAAACTCTAGGACAACAGGAAAAGTCTCATTCCAGATCCTGTCTCACATATATTTTCTGTACATAGGGATTGTCAAACATATGTCATCCTGTAACCTGCTTATTTCCTATTATGTTACAGACAACTTTTCACGTTAATGAAAATAGCACATCCTCATCTATTTTTAAAAATCAGCCATTTTGTTTGAAGTATAATTTACAAACAGTAAAGCATATCTTCTTTTTTTTTTTTTTTTTTTTGAGACGGAGTTTCGCTCTTGTTGCCCAGGCTGGAGTGCAGTGGCATGATCTCGGCTCACTGCAACCTCCACCTCCCGGGTTCCAGCGATTCTCCTGCCTCAGCCTCCTGAATAGCTGGGATTACAGGCATGTGCCACCACGCCGGGCTAATTTTGTATTTTTAGCAGAGACAGCATTTCTTCATGTTGGTCAGGCTGGTCTCAAACTCCCAACCTCAGATGATCTGCCTGCCTCGGCCTCCCAAAGTGCTGGGATTACAGGTGTGAGCCAGTACACCCAGCCGAATCCATCAGGGTCTTACACTTGATGCATAAATTTGACAGTGTGTACATTTTTTTTTTCATTGACAAGCTGTTATTAAATCGACTTTTTACCTTATACTGATGGCTTCTCAGAGACAAGGTCATCACGTGCCGTACCACCATGTATACCAGCATCAAATGAAACACTACGGCAGTGCCTGAGGTGGTCAGTCATTTTGTCTTTATTTACACGTGGCAAAACTGGGCTCCGACTAAGAGACTGGCCCAGTTTTACAGCTGCCCAGTCTGGGACCATCTCCACACCCACCTCCCACGTAGCCTGGGTTGCTTATTAAGAGAGACCAAGCCGGTGTTTGGATCAGTTTGGGTCTTAGAGTGGTTTTATTATGTTTCCTGACCCTGAACGCAAGCCGTGATGAGAATATATCTGCCGTTTGTTTTGAATTGAAGGGAGATAAGAAAGGACCACTGAAGCTCTAGGAATAGACTCAGGGCTAGGCACTTCTGGAGGTGGAGAAGGATTTTGTGAGAGGAGACAAGCTGGGAATGGCAGTGGGTCCACAGGAGGGTCAGCAGAAGGAGAGGAGACTGGAACGAACTGATGCCTGGAGGTGTTTGTAAAATTAAAGAGAACTTGATTGTGGTCCTTGAAGGAGGGACATGAAAGTAGAGGTGATTTCAGGTGGGACACTTACTTAGGCCAGTGATTCTCAGGTGGAAACACAGGTTCCTGATCTCCTTGCTCAGAATCTCTAGGATGGCCCAGGAATCTGCATTTTAAACATGCTCTCCAGGTGGTTCTCAGGCCTGCTGCAGCTGGAGCCACTGGCAGATACCATTGGCCTCAAGGCCAGAAAGCTAATGCTCTTTTATGACCCTTGCCACTGACCAGATACATGCTTCAAAGTAAGGCCAGGTTACTGCACCCCTGGGAAGATCCACAGCCTTTTTGATTTTGCGGCCCACACTGACCTCCTCCTGGCTTAATCTTGTCCCATCTTCACTGAGCCACTCAGCTGGCCTTCAGCACATATCATCTTCAGTCATTATTTACATCATACTGCCTTGGGCCCTCCATTCTAATGAGATTGAAAACTTGAGGCCGGGTGTGGTGGCTCATGCCTGGAATCCCAGCACTTTGGGAAGCCGAGGCAGGTGGATCACTTGCAGTCAGGAGTTTGAGACCAGCCTGTCCAACATGGTAAAACCCCGTCTCTACTAAAAACACAAAAATTAGCTGGGCCTGGTGGGCACCTGTAGTCCCAGCAACTCGGGAGGCTAAGGCAGAAGAATCACTTGAACCTGGGAGGCAGAGATTGCAGTGAGCTGAGATTGCACCACTGCACTCCAGCCTGGGCATCAGAGCGAGACTCTGTCTCAAAAAATAAAGGAAGGAAACTTGAGGGCAAGGGTTGCCTTATACTGCTTTGCATCTTACTGCCCAGCCCTGAGCTCTGCACTTTCTAGGATCTCTGTAAATGCCCATTACCTAAGGAGTCCTAACCAATAAAATTGCCATCAGTGATGTAGAGACCTTGGTTTGCTTTCCCTCCAGTTTCTACCCTTTTGGAAGAAATGATGTTGGTTAGAAGAAAGGAAGATCCTTCCGGCATCCCAGGAGATTTACGTAGAGTGTCATCACGTAGTAGCATCATGCAGGGGGACAGCTCCGAGTGGGGAGCCTTCCATGAAGACATGGGTTCT
This sequence comes from Homo sapiens, assembly GCF_000001405.40. Classification (NCBI taxonomy): domain Eukaryota; kingdom Metazoa; phylum Chordata; class Mammalia; order Primates; family Hominidae; genus Homo; species Homo sapiens. The sequence continues at coordinate 76,118,884 of NC_000015.10, forward strand.
TCAGAGAGAGGAGTTAGTGAGTGGCACTTCCTCAACTCCTAGCTTAAAGCAGGCCCTACCTGGTGCCAAGGGGCGTTGTGCCACTGGTATTCAAATGAAGCTCTGCCAACAATTTAACCCTCGTCATCATGCACAGACCTGTGATCTGTGAGGGGAGACTGACTTCCCTGGGAATGAGGACAGGAAAGCACTACACCAGAGGGGCAAATCCAGGAAATCCTGGTGCCATCTTCCCAGAGTTTCTAGTACTATGTGGGGCACTAGCCTATATATTGATATACCAGTAATTAAAAGCGAATGACTCTTCCTAAAATTCTTCTCCTTTGCTAATGATTTTTATCTACTTGGTCAGGAACGCTATCAGATTTAAGCCTGCCATATTTGTACCCACTCTACTTGCCAGCTTGTAAGTCCTGGAGTGTTGGGAGGGGAAGGACACACAAGGAAACCCAAGGTTTAATCTCAAGGTTATGCTATTGGTTTCGTTTAGGGGGTTAGGGTTTATGGCAAAAAAAAAAAAAAAAAAAAAGAAAAGAAAAGAAAATAGGGTCTCAGGGGGACTAGCTGTTGCTGAAACAATTCATAGAAATATTGTGACGGGAGCCGGGCGCGGTGGCTCAGGCCTGTCATCCCAGCACTTTAGGAGGCTGAGGTGGGCGGATCACTTGAGATCAGGAATTGGAGACCAGCCTGGCCAACATGGTAAAGCCCCATCTCTACTAAAAATACAAAAATTAGCCAGGTATGGTGGAGAGCCCCTGTAGTCCCAACTACTCAGGAGGCTGAGGCAGGAGAATTACTTGAACCCAGGAGGTGGAGGCTTCAGTGAGCCGAGATCGTGCCACAGCACTCCAGCCTGGGCAATACAGCAAGACTTGGTCTCAAAAAAAAAATTAATTAAAAAAAGAAGAAAAAGAAATATTGTGATGGGGATAGTTCCCAAACTGGCTACATATTTTCTTTTGTGTAAGGATATCTGTTACTATTTTTGCTTTTGCCATTGTCCTCCATTTTTCAGATTTTTACTACAGTGCTCTGTGGGGAAGAGGGTATAATTAAGCAAGTATTTGAACTTAAATAGTCCACAGCCACCCTTCAGAGCTTGTGATTAAGATTCTCCCCTCAAAAGGGAGCTTTCCTACTTTGCTGTGAAGTGTGAATTGTTAAAGCCCTTTACAAAGCAATTTCATTTTAACTATTAAAATTTAAAATACATTCTCTTTAGCCCAGTAATGTCACTACTGGGAATCTATTCCATGCAAATGAAAATACCAGTATATAATGAAATGTGTACAAGAATGTTTCTAATAGCACTTTTCACGGTGGCCAAAAAAAAAAATCTAAAAAGAAACCGTATCAATGGGGCAATTTTTAACTAAATTATGGATCATTCGCACCATGGAATATATTATACAGCCACTAATAAAAGAATGAATTAGAGTTTTACTACCTGACTTGGGGGAGGGGGATTTCTACAAGATATTGTCAAATGGAAAAAGCAAAAAGCAGATAAGTGTGAATAATATGTATTAAAATATATAATGAACTATTTTTATACATAATTATATAAGCACAAAGAAAAGTAAGGAAAGATAGGCCGGGTGCGGTGGCTCACGCCCATAATCCCAGCACTATAGGAGGCCGAGACAGGTGGATCACTTGAGGTCAGGAGTTAGAGACCAGCCTGGGCAACATGGCGAAACCCCATCTCTACTAAAAATACAAAAATTATCTGGGCGTGGTAGCATGCCCCTGTGGTCCCAGCTACTCAGGAGGCTGAGGCAGGAGAATTGCTTGAACCTGAGAGGCGAAGGCTGCAGTGAGCCAAGATCATGCCGCTGCACTCCAGCCTGGGTTACAGAGCAAGACTGTCTCAAAAAAAAAAAAAAAAAAAAAAAGATAAGGAAAGATACACACAGATTAACATTGGTATGTGTTTTTGCATGCATATGTATATTAAGGGAGTACAACATGAGGCAGGTAATGTGGGGGAAGCAGGAAAAATAGAAAAACAGACTCCACTAAAACATGAATTTCATGATAATCAATTTATATAAAGCTGTATATATGCATGTGTGTATATATCTGAAAAAGGAAATTAGAAAATATATAAATCTTCACTAACTGGAAGGGATGTCCATATATACTGCTGAGTGATAAAAGCAAATTGCAGGGTTGATTTTATTTTGTTCAACACAAACCCACAAATATCAGCCTATAAATAAGAGTATATGCTTGCTTAATTCTGAGCAAGGATTTCTATGCCTGGGTATTGACATAGGGACCTCAAGAGAGGATGGAGCAGGGAAGTTGAAAGATTAAGGTGGAAGCTGCAGAGAGGTTTAACTTTTATGTATTTATATATAATACAAAGATATATATACCAATATATGTGATGTAAAATGTATTATTTTATGTGTTGCAGTGGACAATTGTCTATAATGTATCAGTGCTCTATTGCCACAATAATCTCATACAACAAACCACCCTAAAAACTTGGTGGGCTTAACAAAACAAGCCTTTCTTGGTGTTCTTTTTTTTTTATTTCTTTGAGATGGAGTCTCACTCTGTCACCCAGGCTGGAGTGCAGTGGTACGATATCAGCTCACTGCAACCTCTGCCTCCCAGGTTCAAGTGATTCTCCTGCCTCAGCCTCCTGAGTAGCTGGGACTACAGGCACTCACCACCATGCCCAGATAATTTTTGTATTTTTAGTAGAGGTGGGGTTTCACCATGTTGGTCAGGCTGGTCTCAAACTCCTGACCTTAAGTGATCCGCCTGCCTCGGCCTCCCAAAGTGCTGGGATTACAGGCATGAGCCACCACACCCGGCCAAAACAAACCTTTAACAGGTGGCTGAAGCAAGGAAGGAGATTGTGCCTGCCAGCGTGAGGAATCATTAGTTAATCATTAGTTACAGAAGTTTACAGCTCACAAAACACTCCTTGATAGTCTTTCACTATTCTCACTTCTTTGATGTAAATGTCTATCTATGCATCTGTCTCTACTACTACCCCATGAGTTTTTGAGTGCTGTGATCATGTCTCATTTATCTTGATAACCTCAATGTTTAGTATAGTTCCTGGAACATAGAAGATGCTAATAAGTGACTGAAGAATGAATTGAGAAACAAACCAAAAAGCCCTTTATTTAGATCATGAGTCTGTGGGTCAGTGATTTAGGCTAGGCACAGCTGGGTGGCTCTTTTGGTCTTGGCTTAGCCTCTCTCACACATGCCTGGAGGGCAGCTGTTGGCTGGCCTTAGTTGAGGTGACTGGGGCAATGACCATCCTCTAGCAGGCCAGCCTGAGTATGCTGTCATGATGATGGGAAAGGTGCAAGAGAGGGCAGGCCCAATCATGTGAGAGCTTTCATGTTTGCTTACCATCTATTTGGACAAAGCAAGTGGATTTGCTTGGTCAACCAAATGGCCAAGGCCAACCACCAGGTAAAAGGGTAATGAAAAATTACATGACAAACAGGGCATTGATACAATGCAGGTAAAAAATGGGATCTTTTTTTTACAATCTTACCATATGTAGTATGAAAAGTATTGAAGAAAGAGGACTTTTTCCCTCCATTTACCAAAGAATAGTTACTTGCCTGGTGCCATGTAGTATTCACTGGCAAAGTTAATTATATCCGGGTTCCTAACATATTTTAGTTAATAGCATGTAAAGCAAAAGATTAATTTGGAAATTTGCAAAGTGTTTGAAAGGTGGCATTTATACTTAAGATTTGCTTGATTGAAGGAGGGTTAGAGATACTGGGACAGCCGCTGCAGCCCTAGCTCATTGTTGGTGGTTCTCAAAATCATAGATATTTTAGTTCTCCAGAAACTCTGCAGAATTCTGGAGGGAAAATGACATCAGGCTGGGGCTGAGGATTGCTTGCTGGGTGGTATTATTTTCAGCCTAGGCCAGCTAGGGGCGAGGAGCAAGTGGATCCTTTGTCTCAGTGGGGTCACTTACAGAAGTGTTTGTTAGGGAAGCTCTAAAGTGGAAAAAAGATATTGAGGGGAAGGGAAGAATTACGATAATTGTCCTTTTGGCTTTCTGAAAAGAGTAACTGAGTAATGATGGATGGTTTGATTTTGTGTAACCTTATTTTGTGTTTCCCATGCTGCATGAGACCAGTAGTAATTGACAGACTACATCACTAAGTAAGTGAAAAAGAGCAAACAATAGAAAGTTAAAGGGGTCCACAAGAGACCTTGGCTCACCTAGAGATGAAAGCCACTGTGGGCTCTCTGCCCATTCATTTAGCAGATTTGCAGCTAATAATTTTGCAATAGACTGGAGATTGGAGTGGGAGAATGCTCAGGTGTGTGATTGATTTTCTTCATTTTAGCTCCTTGTTAATGGAGTAAAATATTAGGGGGTCAAGGTAACAACAAGGAGGACCAGCATCTGTTGTACAGAAACCTTTCTCATCAAGCACAAGAAATACAACCTTCTCCTCCTGAGGGTGTGGAACATGATGTCCATGAAACATGCCAGAGCTCAGTGGCTTCCCCCTAGGAGCAGATTCTAAAGCAGGCTTTATGATGTTAGAACTGAACCTCACATGCATGCAATGCTATCTCCACGTAAAAGAACCCCAAGGTTTTGTGAGAGCACATGCTGCCAGCCACTCACCAACATTTGGCCAGTCTTGTTTAGGGACCCAGAAAGCTTATCTCAGCTGAGCCTCAGAACCACATCAGAAGTGTCCAAACCTGGTCTAGCATACAATTAGTTACCTATGCCATAGTCCCTCCCTGCTTCTTCCTTGCTAAGACAACCGAGATTATGTTTATGGAAACAATATGCCTATCCCCAAGGGATGAATCTTTTTTTTTTTGAGATGGAGTCTTGCTCTGTCGCCCAGGCTGGAGTGCAGTGGCGTGATCTTGGCTCACTGCCACTGCAACCTCCACCTCCTGGTTTCAAGTGAGTCTCCTGTCTCAGCCTCCTGAGTAGCTGGGATTACAGGTGTGTGCCACCATGCCTGACTAATTTTTGTATTTTTAGTAGAGACGGGGTTTCGCCATGTCGGCCAGGCTGGTCTCAAACTCCTAACCTCAGGTGATCTGCCCACCTCAGCCTCCCAAAGTGGTGGGATTACAGGCGTGAGCCACCGTGTCCGGTCCCAAGGGATGAATCTTGACTGGACTAGGTTCACATAGCACCCCTAACTCCCTTGGCCAGCTGCCTATTGGCCCAGGCTCCTTTGCAGCCCTGTCCTAGCTCTGCCCAGGGAGACATCAGGAAATGTTGTCTGGAGAGCTTAGAAAGATGCCTCCTGAATAAAAGATCAAAGCCTTGTAAAGAGAAAGCCTTTGATTCTTTCTTCTCGTTTGGGAGTCGGTGTGAGGATGTGCAAGCTGGAGCTGTAGCAGCCATTCTGCAACCACAGGGAAACAAGCATAAGGAATCTATCACACACAAGACAGGGGCATGGAAGGATGAGAAGAGCTTGGGTTCTCTGTACACTGAAAACTAGAAAACATTGTTGAAAGAAATTGTAGAATGCACAAATAAGTAGAACGATATCCTATGTTCATAGATTGGAATAATTCATATTATTGAAATGTCCATACTGCCCAAAGCAATCTATAGGTTCAATACAATTCCTATCAAAATTCCAATAGTGAGTTGGGTGCAGTGTCTTGAACCTGTAATCCAGGCTATTTGGGAGTCTTAGGCAGGAGAATTGCTTGAGCCCAGGGGTTCCAGACCAGCCTAGGCAACATAGCAAGACCCCCAACTCTAAAAAAAATTCAAAATTATCCAAGCATAATAGTGCGTGCCTGTTGTCCCAGCTACTCTGAAGGCTGAGGTAGAAGGATGACTTGAGCCCACGTGTTTCAGGCTACAGTGAGCTATGATTGTGCTGCTGTACTCCAGCCTTGATGATGGAGTGAGACTCTCTCTAAACAAACAAAAATTCCAATGGCACTTTTCACAGAAAAAAAAAAATTCCTAAAATTTGTATGGAACCACAAAAGACCCCAGATAGCTAAAGCAACTTTGAGCAAGAAGAAAAAAAGCCAGAGGCAGCACACTTTCTGATTTAAGCTATATTACAAAGCTATTGTAATCAAAACCACATGGTCCTGGCATAAAAACAGGCTGACCAATGGAACAGAACAAAGAGCCCAGAAATAAACCCATGCCTTTATGGTCAACTAATTGGACAAAAGTGCCAAAAATACACAATGGGAAAAGGATAGTCTCTTCAATAGAAAAACTGGGAAAACTGGATATTTACATTAAAAAAGTAATCTGAACGCTTATCTTGCACCATACATAAAAATCAAAACCCTAGAGGAAAACATATGGTGAAAGCTGCTTGACATTGGTCTTGGCATTGATATTTTGGAGGCAAAACCTCAGGCAACAAAAGCAAAAATAAACAAGCAGGAATGACGTCAAATAAAAAAGTTTCTGCACATCAAAGGAAACAACAAAATGAAAAGGCAACCTACTGAATGGGAGGAAGTATGTTTTAGCAATATATCTGATAAGCAGTTATCAGATAAGGAGTTAAAATCCAATATATATAAGAAACCCATACAACTCAATATATAATATATAAGGAACCCATACAACTCAATATATAATATATAAGGAACCCATATAACTCAATATATAATATATAAGGAACCTATACAACTCAATAGCCCTGTTAAAAAAAAATGGGGCTGGGCATGGTGGCTCACGCCTGTAATCCCAGCACTTTGGGAGGCCCAGGTGGGCAGATCACCTGAGGTCAGGAGTTCAAGACGAGCCTGGCCAACATGGCGAAACCCCATCTCTACTAAAAATACAAAAATTAGCCAGGCCTGGTGGCACATGCCTGTAATCCCAGCTACCCGGGAGGCTGAGGCAGGAGAATTGCTGGAACCCGGGAGGCAGAGGCTGCAGTGAGCTGAGATGGCACCACTGCACTCCAACCTGGGTGACAGAATGAGACTCCATGTAAAAAAAAAAAAAAAAAAGGCAGTGGGGGGGATGGGGATGGCAAAGGTCCTGAATAAACATTTCTCCAAAGGAGACACACGAATGGCCAACAGGTTTATGAAAAGGTGCTTAACATCACCAATCATCAGGGGAATGCAAATCCAAACCACAGTGAGATATCACCTCACACCTTTTAGGATGACTATTATAAAAAAGTCAAAAGTCAAAAGATAACAAGTGTTGGCAAAGATGTGGAAAACAGAGAACCTTGTGTATTGTGGTAGGAATGTAAATTGGTACAGCCAGTATGGAAAACAGTATGGATGCTCCTCAAAAAACTCAAAATAGAACTACCGTATGATCCAGCAATCCCACTGCTGAGTGGGATTTCCTTTCCTTTCAAAGGAAAGGAAATCACTATCTTGAAGAGATATCTGCACTCTTACATTTATTGCAGCACTATTCACAATGTCCAAGATTTGGAAGCAACCTAAGTGTCCATCAATAGACAAATATGTGTGTGTACACACACACACACACCCACAGACATATATATATATATATATATATATATAGTGGAATATTATTCAGCCTTTAAAAAGAGCTCAATAATATTGCCACTTGCAACAAGATGGATGTACCTTGAGAATATTATGCTAAGCCAGTCACAGAAAGACAAATACTGCACGATCTCACTTATAGTTAGAATTTTTTTTTTTTTTTTAGACGGAGTCTCACTCTGTCGCCCAGGCTGGAGTGCAGTGGCATGATCTCGGCTCACTGCATCCTCCGCCTCCCGAGTTCAAGCAATTCTCCTGCCTCAGCCTCCTGAGTAGCTGGGATTACAGGCGCCCACCATGCCCGGCTAATTTTTGTATTTTTAGTAGAGATGGGGTTTCACCATGTTGGCCAGGCTGGTCTCGACCTCCTGACCTCAGGTAGTCCACCTGCCTGGGCCTCCCAAAGTGCTGGGATTACAGGCGTGAGCCACTGTGCCCAGCCTATATGTAGAATCTTTTTTTTAAAAGAAAAGTTGAACTCATAGTAACAAGAGAGTAGAATGATAGTTACCAGGGGTTGCGGGGGGCAGGTGGTGAGGGAGAAGAGGAGATATTGGTCAAAGGGTATAAATCTTCAGTTATAAAATGAATACATGCTGGAGACCTAATATATTAGGTCTGTGACTAATAATGGTTAATAATAACCACCATAGTGACTAATAATGGTCAATAACAACATATTGTATGCTTAAATTTGCTGAGAGGAAATCTCCAGTATTCTCATTACTACCAAACAAAAAAGGTAATTATATGATGTGATCGGTATGTTAATTACCTTGATTGTGGTAATCATTTCACAATGTATACATATATCAAAACATTACAGTTTATGTCTCAAATATATACAATTTTATTTGTCAGTCATACCTCAGCTATGCGGGGGAAAAAAGAGCTTGGGTGCCACTTCTCCAGTTCTGGAATCATCTACCTCTAGTCCTTTTTTTTTTTTTTTTAATTTAAGACAGTGCCTTGGTCTGTTGCCCAGGCTGGAGTGCAGTGGCTCAATCATAGCTCACTGCAGCCTCAAACTCCCGGTCTCAAGCAATTCTCCCACTTGAACCTCCAGAGCAGCTGAGACTATAGGTGCAAGCCACCACACCCAGCTAATTTTTGTATTTTTAGTAGAGATGAGGTTTGCCATGTTGGCCAAGCTGGCCTCTTACTCCTGATATCAAGTGATCCACCCACCTCAGCCTCCCAAAGTGCTGGGATAACAGGCATGATCCACCACACCTGGCCTGAAGTCTTCATTGCCTAAGTCACTGCTAGGTATACTGTTGTTTGCAAACAAAAGTATTTCTAACTGATACACCCTATCTCTGGTTCTTCAGCTTGGTCAGCATAGCTTCTGCTAATTCCAACACAGTAGCTTTGCAACCATTTAACTTCATTTGCAAAATAGGGATAAAAATAACTACTTTACCTTGAGCAAACTTTCTGATTCAGTAGATCAGAGTGTGGTCGGTGGGTCAGCAGATCAGTATCCTCTGGGAATTTGTTAGAAATGTACATTTTCGAACACTCCAGACATACTAAATTAGAAATTTCATGGGCGGAGCCAGCAAGCTGGGTTTTAATAAGCCCTTTAGGTGATTATTCTGGTACATGAGAACGTTTGAGAACCACTGATACAGAGGGTCAAGTGGAATGGCTGCATGTCAGAAACACCTGGGAAACTTAAAGAGCTTCTCAAACTTCACCTGCAGAGTTCTGATTTAGCATTTCTGCAGTGCACCTATGAGTTTCTGTTTCCCCAAAGATCCCCAGGTGATTCAGAGTAAAACCAGGCATGGGAAACGCTGAAATGGGTATGAAAGCAGGTCATGTGTGCCATGGGGCTGTCACTCAAGTAAGAGGTGATGAACAGACCTGGGGTCCTCTGGGGACAGGTGAGTTGAATTCTGCCTTTTTTTAGGGGACTGACTACTTGATCTTAGCAGCCTTTTTCAGCCCTAAAATTCCAAGGATATTAGCTTAGGAAGGTTGAACTTGGCAGATCTCGCTGGAACACATATATGGGTAAATACATAGACTCATGACCAACAAGTGGAAGAGACTGGAATTTGACTAAAGTCTTAAAAGCAGCCTTCCCACCCACCCAGTAAATCCAAAACAGGTTTTATCTTCCACTTTTACCAGGTTTATGGAATAGCAGGTTGGCACTTCGGATGTTCATTTTTAGAGTGCTAGACTATGCCTGCTTCGTGCTAGGCTTGTGTTTTGAGGGTTATTTTGTTTGGGAAATATTATTTTTAAATAACAAACAGGCTCAGCATTCCCATCGTCATAGGGAATTTTGCCTTCTAAAATGTGCTGCTTGTTAAGGATTAAAACCTCCAGCTGAAGCCACCTGCTTATTGTCCATCTAAATATGATTTTACCATCTTTTCCTCCCTCATCTTTGCCCTTGTACCAGAGAGGCCAGTCGTTTCTTCCCCTCTCCCATATCTCCTTTCCAGGAAACTGCTGCCACTTTTTCAGGGAATCTGCTCCTCCGCTCAACCCATGCTGAGTGAATGAATGAATCCCTGGAGCTGCTTAAACAACCATAAGCACCTCACTGATCATTTTGGAAGATACCAAGATGCTAATTCATTATTTTGAAAACAAATAAAGGGGCGAAAGTTAAGCATTTTCCTTCTTTGCTTATATAAACCATACCTTAGGCTAATCCATTAACTGAGGAGGGAAAGTCTGAATAGAAGCTGACCAATGAAAAAGGGACAACAAAATTAAAATATCACCATTTTTGCAAACCTTAATGAATTAATTGATATAGGAAGCAATTATCAATGGCTGTTAGTATAATAAAAAGAGGGACAAGAAGACAATATGTGTCTCCTACTGAAGTTATGGCACCACCTATGAAATCTTGCAAAAAAATTGAACCTGAATCTGATTAAAATCTATAAACTAATTAAAATGTATAGGAAACATAGGGGACAGAGAAACATGTTAGAAAACTGCTAAGGAGGCCAGGTGCATTGGCTCACACCTGTAATCCCAGCACTTTGGGAGGCTGAGGCAGGCGGATCACCTGAGTTAGGGGGTTCGAGACTAGCCTGGCCAACATGGAGAAGCCCCATCTCTACTAAAAATACAAAATTAGCCGGGCGTGGTGGTACATGCCTGTAATCCCAGCTACTCAGGAGGCTGAGGCAGGAGAATAACTTGAACCCGGGAGGTGGAGGTTGCAGTGAGCCAAGAATCACACCATTGCACTCCAGCCTGGGCAACAAGAGTGAAACTCCATCTCAAAACAAATAAATAAACAAAAAACAAAACAAAAAAAACTGCTAAGGAAATATAATCACCATAATCCAGACTGTGGGAAACTTTGTCAGACAAATGACTCAGTTTTTCCAATTAATTGCAAGGTGAAAAATGAGGTAGAGGAAGGGGAAACCTGTAGATTTAATGAGACCTAAGAGTCATATTAATCATAATGTGTGGCCTCTTTGGCTCCTGATTCAACAAACCTTAAAAAAATATATACAGGACAAATGGGGGAAATGTAAACAATGCCTGGATATTTAATGATATAAAGAAAATCCTGGCCAGGCATGGTGGCTCACTCCCGTGATTTTAACACTTTGGGAGGCCAAGGCGGGAAGATTGCTTGAGCCTAGGAGTTCGAGACCAGCCTGGGCAACATACTGAGACCTCCTCTCTACAAAAAATACAAAAGGTAGCCGGGTGTGGTGGCTTGTGCTTTTCAGCTACTCTGGGGGCTGATGGTGGGGGGATCACTTTTAGCCCAGGAGTTCAAGGCTGTAGTGAGTTTCCGTTGTATCACTGCACTCCAGTCTGGCCAACAGAGTGAGACCCTGTCAAAAAAAAAAAAAAAAAAAAAAAAAAAAAAAAAAAACCGCCGGGTGCAGTGTCTCATGCCTGTAATTCCAGCACTTTGGGAGGCCGAGGCGGTTGGCTCACTTGAGGTTGGGAGTTTAAGACCAGCCTGGCCAACATGGTGAAACCCCGTCTCTACTAATAATATAAAAAAAATTAGCTGGGCATGGCGGCACACGCCTGTAATCCCAGCTACTTGGGAGGCTGAGGCAAAAGAATTGCTTGAACTGGGATGTAGGGGTTGCAGTGAGCCAAGATCGCGCCAGCGCACTCCAGCCTGGGTGACAGTGAAACTGTGTCTCAAAGAAGAGATTGTTGACTTGGGGATGATGATAGTTTTGTGATTACTTCTTTTAAAAGGAATCCTTCTCCTCGTTATCCTTAGAACTACATATTGAAATACAGGTGAATGAAACGGCATCTAGGATTTATTCCAAAACAGTCATGAGTGGTGGAGACAGGCAGGGATACAGAGAAAAGATTGCCCATGAGTTAATAACGTTGACGTTGGGTGGTGGGGAATTAGAGGTCCATGATACAATTCTCTACAATTGTATATATTTGAAATTTTCCTTCCTAAAAAGTTAAATTAAAAAAAATTTTTCATAATCTTTACTTCTTTTTTGTATATGTTTTATATTGGCTGTATTAATGTGGTAATTAATGTTTATTATTTATAAATACAGATTTGTGAATTTTTACTTGTTCTCCACTACTAGAAATGTGCAAAAAGTTTGGAGTTTTGTATTTTTTAAATTTGCCTGCCCAGAGAGACAGGAAGGTCCATGAAAGTAATGACCTTCCCATTATATCCCCCACAGGGCTAATACCTTGTGTAGCATGTAAAATACTAATTTGGGGCTAGGCATGGTGTCTCATGCCTGTAATCCCAGCACTTTGTGAGGCTGAGGTGGGTGGATTACCTGAGATCAGGAGTTCGAGACCAACCTGGCCAACATGGTGAAACCTAAAAACACAAAAATTAGCCAGGCGTGGTGGCAGGCACCTGTAATCCCAGCTACTTGGGAGGCTGAGGCAGGAGAATTGCATGAACCCAGGAGGCGGAGGTTGCAGTGAGCTGAGATCACGCCTCTGCTCACTGCTCTCTAGCCTGGGCAACAAGAGCGAAACTCTGTCTCAAACAAACAAACAAACCTCATTTGGAAATACAACTTGTTGTTAAAACACCATTCTGGAAAGAAGGCTTGCTCACCTGGCTTCCCATTTATGGATATCTCAATTCTGACTTCATTGTCAGTTGGGTTTAGACATTCTATGTGATCAATCTTAGTCTCAGAAGACTTTATTAACTTGAGGTTTTATAAAGAGAACATAAAAAGATTGATACTGATTAAATCTGTTATGGAATTTTATAAGACTTAGTATAAAATGGATATGAAATCCCAAATACTATAGAGGACAGTTCTGTTTTTCATGCTTAGACCCTCCTTACTAAGGAATACTAAGGGAAGGTGAAGCCCTTGGTAAGATGTGGTTACAAAACATCTGTCCATTTCTCCTTGGTGTTGGCTCTGAGCCTTTGTCCCTTGCTTCTATTGCCCCACAAACATCTGGTGTGGATATGATTGGTGGCTTCCTCCTTGGCTGCCCTTCTGCTTTTAGAGAGCTCTCTGTCTCTGTTAATTCCAGTTGCTCTAAGTTCAGACTTTCCCAGGATTTCCTTAAGTTTCTTTAACTTGAGCACTCTCTTTTCTTAATTACACATTGCTTAAAGGAACTTCCTCGCTCCTTTAAGAACCTGGGTTCTGAGTTATTTTGTCTGCATATCTTCTGCTGGGTTGCCCTGTCTCCCAGAAGACTTCTAGATGGTACTGTAGCACTGGTTGATAGAAAAGTATATGCTGTTTACCAATCCAATTTTTTTTTTTTTGAGATGGAGTCTCGCTCTGTCGCCTAGGCTGGAGTGCAGTGGCGTGATCTCGGCTCACTGCAGGCTCCACCTCTTGGGTTCCAGCAATTCTCCTGCCTCAGCCTCCTGAGTAGCTGGGACTACAGGCGTCTGCCCCCATGCCTGGCTAATATTTTTGTATTTTCAGTAGAGACAGGGCTTCACCGTGTTAGCCAGGATGGTCTTGATCTCCTGACCTCATGATCCACCCGCCTCAGCCTCCCAAAGTCCTGGGATTATAGGCGTGAACCACCGCGCCTGGCCTACCAATCCAGTTTTTAAGAGTATATTCAGCCATCTAAATGTGTTGGAATATACTCAGGTTCAACAGACTATGCCCTTTTAATTTATAAAAAAATAATTATTATGGGCGGGGCACAGTGGCTCATGCCTGTAATCCCAGCACTTTGGGAGGCCGAGGCGGGCGGATCACTTGAGGTAAGGAGGTCAAGACCAGCCTGGCCAACATGGTGAAACCCCATCTCTATTAAAAACACAAAAATTAGCCCAGGTGGTGGCGCATGCCTGTAGTCCCAGCTACTCAGGAGACTGAGGCATGAGAATCACTTTAACCCAGGAGGTGGAGGTTGCAGTGAGCCAAAATTGCGCCACTGCACTCCAGCCTGGGAGATAGAGCGAGACTCTGTCTCTCAAATAATAATAATAGTAATTATTATTATTATTATTATTATTATTATTATTATTACTGGCCAGGCACAGTGGCTCACACCTGTAATCCCAGCACTTTGGGAGGCTGAGGTAGGTTGATCACTTGAGCTCAGGAGTTTGAGACCAGCCTGGGCAACATAGCAAAACCCCGACTCTACCAAAAGTCCAAAAAATTAGCTGAGTGTGGTAGTACGTGCCTGTAATCCCAGCTGAGGCTTAGGTGGAGGGTCACTTGAGCCCAGGAGGTCAAGGCTGCAGTGAGCCAAGATCGCACCACTGTGCTCCAGCCTGGGTGACAGAGTGAGACCCTGTCTAAACATAAATAAATAAATAAATCAGGCCGGGCGCGGTGGCTCACGCCTGTAATCCCAGCACTTTGGGAGGCCGAGGCGGGCGGATCACCTGAGGTTAGTAATTCGAGACCAGCCTGACCAACATGGAGAAACCCCGTCTCTACTAAAAATACAAAAACATTAGCTGGACGTGGTGGTGCATCCCTGTAACCCCAGCTACTTTGGGAGGCTGAGGCAGGAGAATCGCTTTAACCCAGGAGGCGAGGTTGCAGTGAGCTGATATCATGCCATTGCCCTGCAGCCTGGGTGACAAGAGTGAAACTCCATCTAAAAAAAATAAATAAATAAAATAAATAATAATAATGAAATCCAACACTTATATAGTACTTACTAAGTGTCAGACGCTATGCTAGTGTCTTACAGGCATGACCTCATGTAGTTAGTTCTGTTATTATCCCCATTTTTCAGGTGGGGAAACTGAGGATGGGGGTGTAAGTAGCTCACTCCAGGTCACAGAGCTAGTAGGTGGGAGTGAGGCTCTGACTGTGGCAGCCCAGCTCCAGGATCTATTCTTTCTCTCCGCTCTCGGAATGAGCTGAGAGGAGAAGAAGAGAAAAGCCTGCATGAAAAGACAGAACTACTGGAAGGGAAAGGGAAGTGGGAGAAAAAATACATGGAAAACATTTGAGATTTTTTAGACAAACCTTATTTTGAAGCCTCTCAAAGCTGCAGTATAAAGGGATGCTGTTTTGGGGGGCACAGCAGTTTAGTGGGAAGAACTGTGGATGAGAAGTCAGAGAACCTGGGCACTAACCTGGCTCTTCTACCATCTCTGTGACACAAAAAAGTCATTTTGTCACTCTGGCCTTGTTTCCTCATCTAAAAAAGAGAAATTATGCTTATTATTACTCTTCCATAGGGTAATTGTAAGAATCTATTCAACATTACTTTGAAGAAAAGTGCTAGATGGAAGAAAGTTCTAAGGACTCCCATTTTTAGATGAGCTTAGGAGGACTTTGGTTTGGCATCTGAAGGTAATAAGTTCCTATTTTTGTTTTCAGGGCACTATATTTGTATGTGTCTTGTAGAACCCACGCTTGGAAATGCTGACAGCAGGCTTCAGGACAGCTGAGCCCCACTAAACACCAAGAAA
The DNA here is from genome assembly GCF_000001405.40 of Homo sapiens. Taxonomy (NCBI): domain Eukaryota; kingdom Metazoa; phylum Chordata; class Mammalia; order Primates; family Hominidae; genus Homo; species Homo sapiens. Next base: position 76,134,260 of record NC_000015.10, read on the forward strand.
ACCCATGGCTGTGGCTCCATCTTTCAACATGACCAATCCACAGTAAGTAATGCTGGGATCTGCTCTCTGGATCCAGAACTGTGGCTATAAATCTCCCAGAAGATGAAGATCTTCTAATTTAGGCAGCCACTATGTACATTTCCTTTAGCAGGAGGCCACAGAAAATGGAGAAACCTTTCAAAAGCAAGACTCAAGACAAGATTAGGAAGCGCTGAAGGTGAATTAATAAAATGGGAATCGCAAGGAAATTTAGAAATCTGAGAGGGTTTCTAAAACCAGGCTTTATGAAACCCGGGGCAGAATTCTTAAGGGAGAATTGCTTTCATTTCCCAAAACCTGAGATGCCATATGAACCAATCACTTAATCTTACCAAGCACCTGCAAGGTGGTCACTTATTTTGTGTTTTGCAACTGGTTGGTATGAATACTAAGATGAAAACAGCACTCATTCTATTACACCACACTGTCCTGGCCTATCTAGATATGGGCCTGACTGCTCTGTCATCTGGAGTATGAATCTGTTATCTATTGACACAGTAATGCTGTGTAACAACCAACCATAGAACCTTAGTAGAATACAACAAAAAATGTTTATTGCTCACATGTCTGGGGTACTCAGCTAGACAGCTCCTCTGATCTTGGCTGGGATGACTTTTAAATGTGGGTGATAGCTGGCTGTCAGCTGATCTAGAGGAGGCTGGACTCTGCTCCACGTCTCTCATCCTCCAGTAGGCTAGGCTGCTCACCCTCTCATGGGTGATGTTGGAGGTACAAGAGCACAGGCAGAAATTCACAGAGCCTTTTCATGCCTCTGCTGGTGTCTAACCTGGCTCTTCTACCATCTAACATCTCGTTGGCAAAAACAAGTCACATGGCTGAATGCTGAATCAAGCGTTCAGCATTTTTGATGGAAGGAGCTATGAAGTTATATGCCAAAGGGCATAGGCTCAAGGAGAGGTAAAGAATAGAACCATTAATACATTTTGTCTACCATACCGTTCTTTGTATCTAAGGAAAGGGTGTAGGCTAAATATAGCCTATACACTGTGGGACCTTCACCTCACCAGAGGGGGCCTTGTCTCTCTGCTGAGGTGACCACCACATGGCCAGAGATGGTGCCGGGCCGCTGGGACCACTGATGGAAGGGGAACGTGAGGCAGAAACGTTGGAAAGCCAGAAATAGTTTGTTCGCACTTCTTAGAGCCATATCCTGTTAATTTCTCTTATTGATCAGAAAGTTCTCTTTGTTTAGTTCAGTGATCCATAGTTTCCTTGAGTAGTCCAGAAGAAAAGAGAACAAATTCAACCCAGCATCTGCTTTTTGGGAACCATCTGGGGGAGCTGGGATTCCCCCCATAAACACCCACACTTTTATATCAATTGTTGAGAAACACTGAAACCTCACATTCTGTTTCGTTTAAAGATCTTGAGTCATTTTGTAAATGTCAAGCAATGATGAGTACTATTATCTGTGCTTGACAGGTAGCAAAAAGCAAAGGTTTAAATAAAGCCTACAAATGAGAATTGGGCATTAGAAATTACTTGGTGAATTCAGGTGGTCTAGGCAGCCAGGCTGTGGCATTCAAATAAAAATCTCACTTTCTCCTTAGTTATCGGATAATCCAAGCAAAAGAGAAGTAGGTATATTAATCTCTGAACTTCCGGGATAACTGCAGCTGTGGGTTTTTTTTTTTTTCTTTTGAGATAGAGTTTCACTCTTGTTGCCCAGGCTGGAGTGCAATGGCCCAATCTCAGCTCACTGCAACCTCCATCTCCCGGGTTCAAGCGATTCTCCTGCCTCAGCCTCCCAAGTAGCTGGGATTACAGGCATGCGCCACCACATCCGGCTAATTTTGTGTATTTTTAGTAGAGACGGTTTCACCATGCTGGTCAGGCTGGTCTTGAACTCCTAACCTCAGGTGATCCACCTGCCTTGGCCTCCCAAAGTGTTGGGATTACAGGCGTGAGCCACCATGCCCGGCCTGCAGCTGTGTATTATTGGTTAGATTTCAATGGTTGTTGGAAAAGTTTAGAATTTAGAGCTCCCACACAAGTATAGGGACTTGTCACTCTGGAGCTCCTCCGATCTTCTCCATATGTCTGTCACCTATGTCAGATCATAGTGAGAAGGAACAGCCCTTAGGAATATTCTATTTTACCTCCTCATGTTCTGATTGGAGAAACTGAGGTTCAGGAGGAGCCCTGCAGAAGTTGGCATTCAAACCAGCACCAGAGCCCAAGAGCAGTTTACAGCAGAGAGGACTGCCATCTCAGTATTAAAACTGGGCCCTCATTACCCTGGGCACTGACCCTCAATGTTCCCTCCAATATTTAAATTTTACTCCTTGCCATTATACAATTGTTCCTTTCTAACTCTCATTGTTTGGACAGAGGCACAAGACTGAGCCCCTCAGATTCTACAGGATGAGATAGGGTCAAGGACATACTGGATGGACCGAAGATGGTGCCCCAGGAAGCTAAGGGGAAGTTTTCTAGTCCAGCATCTCTGGACAGGGTTGCTGTGGGTATGTGGGCAGGACAGTTTTTAGTCGTTATTGACATATTGCAGGATGTGTAGCGTCCCCAGCCCTACTTAAATGTCAATAATGACCAACCGTGGTCATGGTGGCAACCAAAAATGCCTCCACAAATTGCCAAATATCCCCTGGTAGATTGGGAGGCGGTACTGCCCTGGCTGAGATGCCCGGGAATGCCACTGGAGTGGTTAGTTATTGGCAGTGCCCAAGGTGAGCCTGACAGTAAGATAGGAAGAGACCCACAAGCCCTCAGACATTGGATCAAGTGACTGCCATCCCCTATTCCCAACCTTAAGAAGAGACATATGGTAGCACCAGTTCAAATAGGAAGGGAGTGGCTACCAGGGACAGCTGGAGCCTCCTGTCCTCACCACCCCAAGGCCCACTAGGTCTCTACAAGTCTCCATGCAGGCTCCTCAATCACCACAGTACATCCAGTTGTGAACAGAAACCTGTTTTCTCTATTGTGGAATAGAGAATAGAAACATTTCAAAACACCTTTACAAAGAAACTCAGGAGACAACTTAAAAGAATATCTTACTCCCATACAGAGTCCAGTGACCCAGAGTCCTGAAAGTCTAAGCCATAGTTTTGCGGGCTGGCAGTTATCCATCTGGGTCTTTACCTCCCCTTCATGAAGGACTCTGCCCCACTAAAGCTCATATTTCCAGGTCTGAGCACTTCCTCTTCCCATTCTCCCACTTTTCCCCAACCATTGAAAGAGATGGGACTGTTAGGGCCTCAGTCCAGTCCTCGGGTCCGCGGGTGGCCAGCAGGGAAGAGGGGCAACCTTAAGCTTCCTCAGCCCTCCACTGGCATAGCAGCATTCTCCCTCCTTTCCTTGAGGAATGGAAGAATTTTTTGGCCCTTGAAGATAACTCTTTCCCATTGTTCCTCCTCTCCAACCCAGGCCTGCCATAGAAGGAGGAATTTCTGAAGTTGAGATCATCTCCCAACAAGTAGACGAAGAAACCAAGAGCATTGCTCCTGTGCAGCTGGTGAACTTTGCCTATCGGGACTTGCCCCTGGCTGCTGTCGATCTCTCCACGGCGGGCTCGCAGCTCCTGTCAAATCTGGACGAAGATTACCAAAGAGAAGGGTAGGTGCTGGGACCATTGAGCTAGCTAAGAAGTCCCTGGGTTAGGCTAGGCGCGGTGGCTCACGCCTGTAATCCCAGCACTTTGGGAGGCAGAGGCGGGCAGATCACCTGAGGTTAGGAGTTCGAGACCAGCCTGGCCAACATGGTAAAACCCTGTCTCTACTAAAAATACAAAAATTAGCCGAGTGTGGTGGTGCAGCCCTGTAATCTCAGCTATTCAGGAGGCTGAGGCAGGAGAATTGCTTGAACCCGAGAGGCGGAGGTTGCAGTGAGCTGAAATTGCACCATTGCACTCTAGCCTGGGCGACAAGAGTAAAACTCTGTCTCAAAAAAAAAAAAAAAAAAAAAAAAAAAATTCCCTGGGTTTCTATGGATATCTTCCAAGAAGCAGCAGCCAAGATGAGAGATGCTAACTAGTGAGACAGCAGAGGTTCACAGCAGACCACTCAGGCCCTTTTCCTACTCACGCATTACTTCCTCAGAAAAAGGCACTGGGCACAGACAATACCTGCCAGACGACCTCTTAGGAGAATCATAAAATTTATTTTAGGACCGAGGCACTCCTTAATGACCCATCCAATCCCCTCTATGTACACTTGGGAAGAAGGGGACCCACAGTGATTAGGGACTTGCCCAAGGTCACAGAGCCCATAAGGGATGGACTTGAGCTGCACTTTCCCTTTATAAAGCAGACTGTCACTAGGAAGCAACCAGGAAGAATGTACCCTACATGCAGGAACATGCTTAGGATGTAAGGGAATCTAGAGAATTCGGCTAGGAGCTCTGCAGACATTAGGGCTCTCCCTTTCCAGGGAAGGCATGCGGAATATGTGGGTCCACAATTCAAAAAGGTGGTCCTTACCTCCTCCTACTTAGCTTGTCAATCAGCTTGGATGCCTTCGTTTCCCAATTCACTTCTCATTAGCGTGGTCTGTCTTACAAACATACTTCCTGAAGGTGAGTGGTAGAGGGCAAGAGCTAGGTGGGGCAGGGGAGAACACACCAGTTTGATGTCCTTGATTTCATGGGGCTTGGTGGTGTAGCTGAAGGCCAAAGAGGGGTAGGAACAGGTCCTAGGGTCACACAGCAGATCAGACTTCCGACTCTGACAAGGGCTTTCCCTAGCTTCACCCTGGCAGGACCTTAGGAGCCAGTTCTGGACTTTTCTTTCCTGGGTGCCAGTAAACACTTTGGAACATGCTGGCTGCTTTGAATATAAAAATGAAGGGTTGTCAGGTATTTTAGAAGCAAACGAGAAGCCTTAGCTCAAGCTAAATTTGCAGAGCTTGGATTCCCTGGGCTTGTTTCTGGAAGGAGCTTCCCACTTCCTGAGATAAACCGCCTAACAATGGTGAAACCACACACCTTTTTTTGCAGAAACTACACCCCAGTGGCTTTCTCTGAAAATATAATTTTTCCAAGTATTATGCATATTGTCATCAGGACACTGGACAAAAAAGGATAGGCAAGCAGGTCGGAGGCAGCTAAGGGACACCTGCAGTGGCAGCACTGTCCTGAGCTCTGTCAGGTCCTTACCATCTTGAAGGCCGGGCTGAAACCTGAGGCCCCTGGGCCAGGGCCAGCTTCGTGCACATGTGACCTGTGCGGTAGCGCAGAGCCCCGTACTTAGAAGGGTCCCAACACTTGGCTAAATGCTCTGCCGCTGCTGTCTTGAAATTCTTAAGGAGCCCCACATTTTCACTGGGCTCTGCAAATGATGTAGCTGGTGGGTCCTTCTCTGAGCACCCAGCAAGTCACTGCGTCACTGCTCTCTGGTGGTCAAAAGCAGTAGTGCAGCCTTCTAACATGCCCTAGCTATTTCGGAGAATTCATTTCCTGCCCCCGGCCTGAGCCTGTTAGGCCCTTTTCACGTGAAGAGTAGCATGGTATGGAGAAAAGTGGGGAAACCTTCAGGGATTCTGCTTCGGAGCAAAGCAGTGTCCACATGTGCCCCCTGTGCGTGTTACGGCACCGCGGGTGGACCTTGCTATGGGTGTTCCCCCACCAGGTGTACCACCCTGTGATGTACCCCTTTCAGGGGTCCTGTGCTGTGGTGTACCCCTTTCCAGGTATCCCCTGTGTATCACTCCCTAGCCTGAACCCCAAGGCTGGCAGAGGCTTTGCCTTATCATTCAATTTGCCTCTAAATTGGGCCTTTGCAAGGTTCCTTCCCAAACAAACGAATCCAAATGAAGCGCCTGCAAGGCAGAGAGGCCTTTGATTTGATTTGAATCTCCAGGTGTGCCCAGGAAAGCTGTTCCCGTTGGGTAAATAGGAAGCAGCCCGAGGAAGGGATCTGCCTCGCTGCTGGAGCTCTCAGCTGGGGGCGCCGATTGGCAGCCAGAGGGCTTCCTGGAGGAAGGAAGCGCAGGCACAGGACCGGAGCCAGGGGAAACTGAAGCAAAGCAAAAACACACTGCGAGGGAGGAACGGCCTCTCTCCGCGAGGCTTCTTGGCTCTTGCTGCATTTCCTGGGGTTTTCCCAAAATGTCCAACCCGGCCCTTTCTGGGGCAATGGAAAACAAAAGGAAGAGTCCTCATTTACAGCTCTGAGCTTGGTTTCAGTCTTGTTCAAGATGCCTCTTCCTACGAAGGCCAGTGTTATGTATAGGAATGAACCTTTTCTGTAGGGAATGAAGAGACCTCAGGGACCCTGGCAGAAAGTGCTCCGTGGCCCCGCTGCCCGCCTCCCAGTGCTCTTGAGCTCCGTGATATTTCAGGGCTTTTCAATTTCCCTGAATCTGAGACCGTTAGAGCTGGAAGAGACCTAAACACATCCATCCTAAACCTTCTCAAAGGCAGCAGGGCCCAGGGAGTACAAGGAACTTGTGGAAGGTCACACAGTGACAGAGACGGGGGCGGGGCATGCTAGTTCATGCCTGTAATCCCAGCACTTTGGGAGGCTGAGGTGAGAGGATCACTTGAGTCCAGGAGTTCAAGACCAGCCTGTGCAACATGGCAAAACCCCATCTCTACAAAAAAAAAAAAAAAATTAGCCAGGCATGGTGGCACGCACCTGTCATCCTAGCTGCTTCAGAGGCTGAAGTGGGAGGATCACTTGAGCCCAGGAGGTCGAAGCTTTAGTGAGCTATGATTGCTCCATTGCACTCTAGCCTGGGCAACAGAGTGAGACCCTGTCTCAACAACAACAAAACATGACAGAGACGGGAATAGAGCCCTATCTCTGTGATCCTGATCCCTTGATCCTGGCTGGCAGCACTGGGCTTCCACTTCTCAGCCTTCCCTTTCTAACATCGTGGCTGTGACTGTGGGTAACATGCATTGTCCATGTGATTCCACTTCCAGCTACCCTGTCCAATGCCTTTAACTTCTCAGTATACTTTTTTTTTTTTTTTTTGAGACAAAGTCTTGCTTTGTCGCCCAGGCTGCAGTGTAGTGGCACGATTTTGGCTCACTGCAACCTCCGTCTCCCAGGTTTAAGCGATCCTCCCACTTCAGCCTCCCAAGTAACTGGGATTACAGACGCGTGCAATCATGCCCAGCTAATTTTTTTTTTCTTTTTAATAGAGATGGGGTTTCACCATATTGCCCGGGCTGGTCTCAAACTCCTGACCTCAAGTGATCTGCCTGCCTCTGCATCCTAAAGTGTTGGGATTACAGGCGTGAGCCACAGTGCCTAGCCTCAGTGTACTTTTTTAAAAAAGCATTTTTTAAAAATGTGGTAAAATACATGTAACAAAATGTACCATCTTAACCATTCCTAAGCGTAGGCTTCAGTGGCATTAAGGACATACACATTGTTGGGTAACTATAACCAGCATGCATCTCCAGAACTCTTCTTCTTGCAAACTAGAAACTCTATACCCAGTAAACAGTAGCTTCCTGTTCCCCCACTCCTCCAGCCACTGGAAACCACTATTCGACTTTCTGTCCCTTTGAATTCGACTACTCTAAGTGCCTCCTATAAGTGAAATCATGCAGTATTTGTCCTTTTATAACTGGCTTATTTTGCTTAGCATAATGTCCACAAGGTTCATCCATGTTGTAGCATGTGTCAGAATTTCTTTCCTTTTTAAAACTGAATAATCATCCACTGTGTGACTATACCACACTTTGTTTATCCATTCATCTGTCAGTGGACACACCCCACACTGGACTGTTTTTTCTCAAATGCGTCCATATTTTAGCTACTGTGAATAATACTGCTATGAACAGACCTGTACAAATATCTCTTCAAAACCCTGCTTTCAGGCCGGGTGCAGTGGCTCACGCCTGTAATCCCAGCACTTTGGGAGGCCGAGGTAGGCAGATCACTTGAGGTCAGCAGTTCAAGAGCAGCCTGGCCAACATGGCAAAACCCCGTCACTACTAAAAATACAAAAATTAGCTGGGTGTGGTGGCGCATGCCTGTAATCCCTGCTACTTGGGAGGCTGAGGCAGGAGAATTACTTGAACCTGGGAGGCGGAGGTTGCAGTGAGTTGAGATCACGCAGCCACTGCACTCCAGCCTGGGTGACAGAGCGAGACTCCGTCTCAAAATAATAATAATAATAATACCCTGCTTTCAATGCTTTTGGGTATATATCCAAAAGCGGGAATTGCTGGCTGACAGGGTAATTCTATTTTTGACTTTCCGAGGAACTGCCATACTGCTTTCTGCAGTGGTTGCTGCACTGTTTTACATTCCACCTGACAGTGCATGAGGGCTGTGATATCTCCTTGTCTTCACCAACACTGGCTATTTTACTTTTTGTTGATAGCAGCCTTCCTAATGGGTGTGAGGTGGTTTGGTGTGCTTTAAGTCCAGGAAAGTCCTGCGGGGTGAGGAAGAAGGAGCAGTCGCCTTGATGTGAAGTCAGAGCCCCATCTTGGCCAAGCTCCTTGACTTGCCTAGAAGCCCTTTGTCCTCCAGATAGCTGCTTAGCAGAGCCCAAACGGCAGAGCTGTCTGCTGCTCCTCTCTTCACCTCTGCACTCAGGCTGCCGATGGCTCAGGGAGGAAAATCATATGGCTGTGCAGACTGGGTGCCTCCCCAGACTCAAGGTCTCCAGCCTCGACTTGATTCTCAGTTTTGCCTGGCAGTCCTCTGCAGTCCTGGTTAGTCCCAAGGTGGCCAGTTCTGATCGCTTGTGTCTGCCTCAAGTCTCCTCTTTCTTGCCCTCAGCAGATGACCTCCTCTCCCAGTACCCTCAGAAAGTAGGCACAGTCGTGGATGGGCTGCACCGCACCCCGGTCTCTTCCTTCCTCCCTTTTAGGACCTGCCCCATTCCTTGAGCTCTGATTGCCTTCCCCTCCCGCCTTCTCAGGCACCTGCTTCATCAGTTACCTCCTCACCCCATGTCATCACACTCCAGTCTCGTGTCCTCCCCTGACTCCACGTCCCTGCTAGCCACCATTACCTCTCTTTTTCTTTGAAGTCAAACTTCTTGAAAGCCTCGTGACGTTTGCTACCTCCCCTTCACCCCTCCCATTCATGTCTCAATCTGCTGCAGTCCAGCTTCAGCCTCGTCCACACCATGGAAACTGTTCTCAAGCGCATCAGCCACTTCCTTGTTGCTACAATCCTTATTGTCCTTTGTCCAGCATTTGAAACTGTCAGCTACTCCCTCCCTCTCCAGCCTCCTTGTGTCTGCTGTTATAACCATGACCTCCTGATTTTCTTTTTTATTTAATTTTTAAAATAGAGACAAGGTCTCGCCATGTTACCCAAGCTGGTCTTGAACTCTTGGGCTCAAGCCATTCTCCCGCCTCGGCCTCCCGGAGTGCTGGGGTTACAGGCATGAGCCACCGTGCCCAGCCCTTCTCCTGATTTTCCTCCTCCATCTCTGGCTGTTCCTTCCAGGCCTTTTAAAAATTGTTTGAGGTTCCTCTGCTTGTTCTTTAAATGTTGGGTTCTTTGTTTTCTGCCTTTGGCCATTTTCACTCTACTAATTTTACACACTGGGTAATTTCATCCATTCCTATTACTTAAATTAATCTCCTTCAACTGGTAACATTCAAAGTCGTGTCTCTAGCCTAGGTCTCTCTCTCTCTCTAACACTCCCGACTTAGATCCAGCTACTTTCCTGGACATACTCACAGGGATCCCAAACGTATCTCAGAATCCTGATGAGTGTCTGTGGAATGATCTATTCTTCTGCCTCTGAGTTGGCTGCATACTTGAGAGGAGAAATGTTCTTGTCTGACCTGAATCATTGCTAAAAACTGCCTTTTCAGTGACAGCACTCAGATCCAGCCTGAGGAACCATGGCCTGCCTGTCCTGGCCATCTCAAACCCAGCAAGCCCCAGATTGAACTGTCTTTTCTCAATACGTATTTTCTAGGACCCCTAACCAGTAGAACCTAGACCTCACCCACCCATTACCAAAATGCCATGTGCATTTTGGCTCATTTTAACAAGCACCTACGTCTCTTTCCTGCTGCAACAAGTACCAGTGGGTTCCAAGATGCCCCAAAGCTACACGAAGCCTGCTGTGGTTACCTCTAGTCACCTATAGTCAGCCGTAGTCACCCTGGAGTCTGTGTTCCTCCTCCCTTGCTCTGGTTCCCTCCTGACCATGTCCAGTGCCCATGAAGCTACTGCTGCCGATGGTGTCCCTTCTGGGAGTGCCAGTACCAAGTCAAGGGGCTTCAGAAACCCAAAGCCCATGCCGTGTGGGCTCCATGCAGAGTGAGGAAGGAAAGCTACCCCCATGCCAAGCCTGTACCATGCTGTCAGTGCGCGGCTTATGGCCCCAGCTCCAGTCCTATGTGCTTCTGGCCTTCACCACTCTACACCCAGGTCACCAGTTCAACCCAAGAAGCTGGGCTGGCACATCATGCCTGCTCCATCATCTGCCTCTCCCTCCCTGCCTCTACCCCATCCCCAACCAGGTGCCTCCCTCCCTCAATAGTCATCACACAAAAACCTTCATGCGTGTCCACAGACGTGAACAGACACTCAGGAGAAGGGGAGAAGGGGAACAGGGGAGGTATCTGCACCCCAGCTGAGCCGCCCACAATGCCCTGTTACATGGATAACCTCAGGGGCCAGCTCAATGTCTTCTCCTTCATGCCTCATACTCCATTATCTCCAAGCCTTGTAAATCTCTACTGCCTTAATATCTCTTCTCTGCACCATTCTCATGAAGGATTGTTAATTCCATCAGCCAGTTGCTTTGGACTGCATGTAACAGAAAACCCATCTCACACTCACTGATGCAGGTACCATGGAGTCCAGGGCAAGGGTGGCTTTGAGATTGGTCCAGAGACTCACCAGTGCCAACAAGAACCAGATTCCTTTCATCTCTGCACTCTGCTGGCCGCAGTGTCGGCTTCATCCTGATGTTGTAAACTTCATCCCATGGCTTCTGAGAGCCATGTGACCCCTAATGTGTGGAACCTGGACCTCACCAACCCATTACTACCAAAATGAGCCACATGTACACTTCGGCTTATTTACAAGCACCCCAGGCCTCCTTCCTGCTGCGACAGGAACCAGTGATTTCCACTGGAAATGGTGATTTCCACTGGTTCCTTCCAAGAGGGCTGCCTGTGGTCATCAGGCCACATCCTTCCTCTTTCATGTCTGGCAGGTGAGAGTGGCTGCCCATCACTGTCTTCTAAGAGCAACAAAGAACTTTCCCAGAAGCCTCCAGCAGCTCTCTCCTTCATGTATGTTTGGCTAGAATTGGGTCACATGGCAAGGCACAGAAAATCCATAAGCCAATCAGGCCTTCCCCTTGAACTGTATCATTTCCCAGAGTACATTACTGTTACTCCAGTGGGATGGGATAGTGTGAACATTAGAGAGAGGATCATCCACAGCTTTTAAGGAAGCCAGTTCTCCTTTCATAGCCTTCAGTCTCGAATTAGCCCTTAATTTCATCCAGCGTCTCTAGACATTGTTTGGTTTGGGAAAGCTCTGCCTTCTTAGGCTGTTTCTTCAATGACTTGGTCAGTTGATGCTTTCATTCCAATGCAGTTGGACCAGTGTCCATTGTCCTGGTGGACAGTGCTGGGGCTTTGTGTTTGCACATAACCAGAGCCCCTGATTTCTTGTTCTCATTCTGTGATGTTCTTATCAGATGTCATCCCACTCAATGGTGGAAAAGTGAAGTACAGAAAAATGAGGCTGTCAGTGAGGCTGTCAGTGAGCCAATCATCTATCTTTGGAAGAGTGACATTGAGTTTGCAAGAATCATGGTGCAGAATGGAAGTTCTGTTTTCTCTTAACCAAGCACAGTACATTGAAGGTCTGGTTAGTTTTCAGGGTCTGGGTGAGACCACAGGCAACAAAAGAGAAAATTCAGAGAGACCAGAGTCTGCACCCTAGAGAGGCCCACAGACCCGTAGGAGAAATGGTGGTGCAAGGTGGGGGTCGTCACCCCCACTTTATAAATGACACTCTGTGCACACATAGAGATAAAGATGCTCCCCATCTTTTTAGTGAAAAGAGGGTGCAAAGATGGTCATGGGTGAGGAAGTGGGATAGTCTTTGTCAAAAATAAAAATAAAGTAAGAAATGAAAGATATTCAGTGTTTAGTAAGACAGTTATTTTATATCTTAGGGTTCTAAAAGGCCCAGCCTGAGAGGTCAGCGCTGGACTCCTAGGCAGGGGAAGCTTGGAGGAAGTTCGGGTCTTGGGCAGATATAAATGGATGTTATTACTTAGAGATGATGCCAACAGCACATTTCTGCCAAACTTTACATTCAGAGGAAAAAAACATAATGGGGGCACAGGGATATTTTTCGGGATTTCAGGTTAGAAAAATAAGACAGACCCAATATAGCAAACATCTCTAAATAAGGACTGAAATAATTTTAGATATGCCAGTGAGCAAAGACTGGGGACAAAGAAAAAGGAGGGGTAGGGACCTACTAAGCCATAGCCCAAAATACCCTTCTCTCTTCCTGTACTGTCTGGCTTGAGGGCCACAGCCTCCAGAAAGTCTTCTCTCCTCTAACCCCACCAGGCTAGGTCCTCAGCTCAGTGTATGCATAGCACCTTTCCTACCTCCATCACCACACCCAGGGGTGACAATGAGCTCTGCTCCTCTCTTTACAAGTCGGTCTCCAGTACCGGGCCAGGGGCTTCCTCACGGCAGGGATCAGATCACTTGAGCCTGGAACAGGGGTGTTGACTGATCAAGGAATGACTTGAATGAATGAATCAGTGAGTGAATGGGTGGGGCTGCATGCAAATAAGGATTAGAAGAGAAGGGGAAGCCCAGTTCTGTTTGGAGTGTTTGGAGGGAGTTGGGAGCTGGTCCCTAGATCTCTGTGGAGTCGAGGAAGAGCTGCACGGGAGGCCCCAGGCTTCTTATGCCTCAGAAGTTACTACTGTGGTTGTTGGCTGGCTCACCTCTGAGCATCCCTGCTAATTCCATGCTTTCTCCACAAAGTCACCCTAGAAGAAGGAAATCAGATTTGCCTCAGAACATGCCAACTTCACTTAGTAAGGTTTTAACGTCCTGGTAGAGGAAGGAAAAGCCTTTTGGGGTTCAGGGTTATGAGGCAGATTGATCCCTGCCATGGCCATGCAACTGCAGAGTCTGGAAATTCGGCATCATATGATTTAGGATGGCTTTGCATCCTTTTTTTCTCAGGGAGGAAAAGAAAGGAGCTTCGATAATCCACTTTCTTGATGCCAGTGAGATTTGTCTATAATAAAACACCACTCCTTTCTCTAGCAAGTCAGCTGTCCCTGGACCCCAAACTGACCCTGTGACCCCTCACTCCCTTGATATTTTTAGTAGGCTCCGGTTTCAAGGAGAATTCTTGATGCCCCAACAACGGAATAAAAGTTTAATTTAGACGAAAACATTTTTCCTGATGAGCACTGGTTAGCTGCCTTTCCTGTAGTCCTGGGGTCCAGGAACCCCAGAGAAGTTTCCTAAAGAAATCAATTAAGTCTGGTTGCAGTGGCTCACGCCTGTAATCCCAACACTTTGGGAGGCCAAGGCCTGCGGAACGCTTGAGGCCAGGAGTTGGAGACTAGCCTGGAGTGTGAGAACCCCTCTCTACAAAAATTTAAAAATTAGCCAGGCGTGGTGGTGCGCGCCAGTAGTCCCAGCTTCTCAGGATTGCACCAGTGCACTCCAGCCTGGGCAACAGAGTGAGACCCTGTATAAAAATAAATAAATTTAAAAAAGGAAAAAAGGCAATACATTCACAGATGTATTATTTCTCAGCAAAATATCCGTCCGTCCCCACCTGCTCACAAGGCGCAGGGTGTACAGCGGCGGGTGACCGCTAGATGGCGGCGGAGCGCCTCCGACCACCTGGGTCGGGGGTGTGTCGGGGATGTTTCCTGGAGAGAGGGGAGGAAAGTTTAAATGCGTGGCCACGTCCGGCAAGGAAAGTTAGGTGAATTTATGGTGCTGGGATGGAATGGGAGTCCCCAGTCATCTGCAGAAGCACCTGAATATTGACTTTGGCCAAATAGAAGGAGGGAGATCATGGCTGACCCAGGATTTGCCAAACCACAGCAAACCTGGAAAGAGCTGGTGGGTGGGGTGCCGATTTGTTCCCTCGTTCTCACCCGGTAGGAAGCTGACCGCCTCCAGGCCAGTCCTGTCCTCCAAGCACAGCACAAGGAGATTCTCAGACTTGGGGCCGGTTTCCAGAATTGAGGACTTCAGGGTGGCGGGGACTTTACAGGCACTTCATCCAACAGCACCTCATTCCCACCCCTAAGTCAACCTTGAACCCCTTGCCAAAGACTTGACAAGTGGCTCCTGAGCACAGCCCACCTACATGGCAGCCCTTCTGAGATGTGTGGTCAGTGTCCTTTGTCCCCCCAAGAAGGGACAGCCAATCCATGGTGTGTGTTGGCCACTGTGCCCTGGGTGGGGGTTGCCAAGTGTATGGCAGTTTGTCCACCCCTTCACCCCCCACCTGAGCTCTTGCCACCATACCCTACTGTTTCCCAGCGTTGACATTTCCGAGGATGCAAAAAATCTGAGATTCTGGGACAAGCAAATGTCAGACTTTGGTGACCCCAGCTGCACACAACCCTCCTCCCTCTCTTCCCGCAAGGCAGCAGGGCTAATCTTTAGCTCTGATTGCAGAACTGAAGCTGCCGGTATGGAAACTTCAATTTATTTAGTTATCCCAGAGCTCTGGGAGAGTCACCTTTCACCTCCATCCTGAGAGTTCTGGTTTCGTGGTGTGTGTTTATGAGCCCGCATCTCAGAGTCTGTGTGCTGCTGTGGCTTGCCCCCTGGAATTGGGTACAGGGAACAAAGGGGAAGCTTAACAGTGTTTTTCCTGTGGTTCTGGTTCTCTCTGGGTGAGAAAGAAGCCCCACTAACAATTGCAGATGTTTTGTAAAAGGGTGTCCCTGTAGGCATTGGGTTGATGGTTCTCACAGGTTGAGATTATGCATCTCTTTAGAGACATCATACACAGTGAGCCCATTTCTTTCCTGCCTTTTTCCTCCCCTTGTTTGTTTTGCCTTTTGAGTGGTCTAGAACTAGGAACACATTGGATCATCAGAGTTCATGGATAAGGCTGTAGGCTCCGTGAGGATGAAGGCTCTGACCACCCTCCTGGGCCCAGTACCCAATACAGTGCCTAGCATTTGGTGGTCATATGAGAACCATGCCTGGAATGGAATGAATGTTGAAACTGTTTATTCATCCCCCTTCTAATGACCGTGTATCTAAATCATCACCATAGATCATAGGATAAACACTGTGTTATGGGCTTGACATATGTTATTTTTAATATTTTTAAATTTCACAACAACCTGTCAAAGCAGATATCTCCATTTCAGGGATTAGGAAACTAAGGCTCAACGATTGCACTCAGAGTTCAGTCAGTGGTACAACTGTGATTTGGAGACAGTAGTTGCCAGCAACAGCCAAACAGATGGAAAAGTCTGGCTTTCCCCTCCATGACAACAGAGAAAAAAGGACTTGCCTTTTAAAGCAACTAGACGAGTTAACATTTGTAAAGTGCTCACAACAGCTCCTGGTGCACAATATGTATCTTAAGTGTTTGTTTAATCAATAAAACTAAAGTCCATGTCAATGACAGAAGTTACATTTCAGTCAGCCTCATGGCTTTCTCCAATATTTTAATCATCTGGAATAAATATAGTAAAGTGGGACCCAGGGGTTTTGCTGACCAACAAAACCATTGGCAAAGTCAGCTGTGACACCCAGGACACAGGTGTTCAGCATCATAGAACTGGCACGAGTGGAGCTAGGCGGGGCCCCAAATTACCCAATCCTGGGGCTTTAACCTGGAGCCTGGGTATCCTTAGATTATCCGTCAGTGAGATTCAAGGAGTCCGTGCACTCCCTGGAATGTTATGCACAGTGCTGTAGTTTTGTGCATTTGGGGGGTGTAAGGGCATAGCTTGTATCCACTGCTGGAGAGCTCTGCAGTCCAGAAAGCTTTTGAGCCCTTGTCTAGCAGAGCCTTCCTGAAGGCAGAGTGACAGCAGCTGGGGAAGCCCAGGGCCCCAGGCTTCGATCTGGCTCCTGCTACCAGGCAGCTTCCAGTCTCATTTTGATCACCTCCCTCAGCTCCTTCCTTGAGAACTTGAAGGATGAAAATCTCAAAGTAGGGCCGACAGGGTTAGCTAGTTTGGCTGCCTTCAGGGAGATGGGCTGATGCCGTGACTCTCCACTGCCTGTGAGCCCCTTTTAGGACACCTTGAGGGTCTCCACGGTCCCCCTGCTCTAGCCACTCCCCAGCTTGCACCTCAGGAGATTCAGTGCAGTCACTCCCCTCTCTGCCACCACGTGTCCTCCCAGCCACAGACAGCCTGGCAGCCACTGCAGACCAATTGCATAGTGGATTGTGGGGTGGGAGAGGCCAGGCCCCACAGAAGCAAGCACAGCCCTCCCCATCCTGGCGCCACACGGCTCTACTTCCCCTTCCAGATTGGGGCTGTTTCAGTGCCAGGCTTGGGAACGCTGCCTGACAGAGCAGTGGCTTGAGCCAGCTCCTTCCAGGTCACCCCTGTGGCTTTATCGCATATAAAGCCTCTGCCGGAAGTTTGTCAGTTCATTTTCATATTCTAGAATTTATTCTTTGAATTTTTTATGCAAACACCTAAGACTATGAAGCAGAAGCAGTGAAGGTACTCAGCCTCCCCTCCCACCCCAGGATTTCTCTGAGGCCTCAAGAGTGACTACCTTATGGTAGAATACTCGCCCACCTGCCAGGACATGCCATCTGCTTGTTGGTATTTGCAGACTCTGGCAGCCCAAGCCGGGCCCCTGGAGCTGTACCCTCCCTACAGCAGCACCAAGACAGGACATTGGGAAACGCCTGCCCTCTCGTGGCAATTCTGGGGATAACACCACCCTGAGAACCAGCCCTGGGGCCTTGATGGGCCGACGCTGAAGACAGAAGGAAAGCACCTTCTCTAATTAAACAGTCAACGCTGATTTCCCCTTTGGCCCACTAAGCCCCTTGAGTCATTACTGAACCACTCAGGAATCTTTTGAAACTGGTCACATTCTATTTCACTGCTAAAACACAGTCTTCTAGGAATGTCCGAGTCATCTGAATTTCAGATGAAATTTTATTGGCAGCTTGGGATTTTCAAACACTGGTCAACCAAAAGCCTGCGGCTTCAGCCCAGCCTCCCAGCCCCCAACCCACCCTCCAGGGCCCTGTTCTGGAGCCCTGGGGTCTGTGGTCTTGCAGTCTAGTGCAGCCCTGCCCTGTGTTTCTGCTCTTCAGGAAGGAGCCCAGAACCTACCTGAACACTCTTGCCCCACCCCACACACATAGCCTGCCTGCACTATTTCCTTGATGCTCCAGGGCTGCTTGACCCTGGCTTGCCTTCTTTGTCTCATCTCTCCTACTCCCAAACTCCCTTTGCCATACCCCCTTTACCTTTCTGAGATACCTGTTACCTCTTAGTAGGCCGCCAGAAGCATTTGTTCTCACCCAAAGCACCTGGGATCTCATTGAAATGCAGACTCAAATTCAGCAAGCACGGGGAAGGGCTGAGACGCCGCATTCCTAACAAGCGCCAGGTGATGCTGCTGCTGCTGCTCTGTAGATTCCACTGAGTATCGAGGACCTGGAACAGCGGTTTTCCATCCACCTTGATTGCACACTGGAGTCATCTGAGGAGGCCTGGGTCCTCCCGCAGAGGTTGTTGTTCAGGAGGTCTGGTGTGCAGCCTGGGCATTGGAGTTCTTAAGAGCTCTGTTGGGTGCTCTAGTGTGCAGCTGGGCTGAGATCCACTGACCTGGAGGCAGATCCCACCCCCAGTCTCCATGGCTCCCTGCTCCAAGGCAGCCAGGCCTCACCAGCCACTGTATCCCCTGGGTACCATCTTTTCCTTGACAGTGGTCTTCTGTCCTTCCACTTCCGTCGAGTCACCCCCATGTGCCTTGCCCTGGGGTTACCAAGAGGAGGGGGTGCACAGAGCAAGATGCAAGTGGTACCCCCAACAAGGAGACCTGCACGAACTCACTCCCAGACTGGCACAGTGGAGGGGTGGGTCGCTGAGGGCAGAGTGTGGGCAGGGGACAACTGAGCTGGCGTGAGAATGAAAGGACAGGCCCAGAGCAGCGTGGCACAGGCCTGATTGTGCAGCTGCCTCGGGTTTCTTGGGTGCTGTGTGTTGGCTGTGCCAAGGGCTGTGGCTGCACCAGCAGCATCTGCCCTAGCTGGTGGTGGGTGGTGAGCTATACCCCCTGCTGAAGGGGGAAGCCCTATCCTCCTCCCGGTCCAGCTCCTGGCTCCCATCACCCTGGTGTTTCTCATACTGGAGGTACTTCGGGGCTGAATAGAATTTTACCAGAAACAGTCCCTATTTAGTGTACATTTCAACCATGCCTGGATCGCTGTCCCCTCACCCCCATCAGCTTTCTCACATGTCGCTTTCTCACTGAGGCCTGCTCTGACCACCATATTTAAAATGTCAACTCATCCTTTACCCGTCCTAATCCCTCCACCAGCTCTGCGTGTCTTCCTTGTAGTACCCATCACACCAGCACCTGTTGTATTGATTGCCTGACCCTCTCTCCCACTAGAGTGTAACCTGCCCAAGAGCAGGGATTTTCGCCTCTCTTGATCACGCTGCCTACCTTAGCTGATGGTGGGGGCGGCGTTCATTTGACTTCAAGGCCGTCATCCCCTGCCTGGCATTCGAATCCTGCCATCTGCCCAGTCCTCTACCTGGCTCTTCCCTGAGGCTGAGGAGTGTGCTCTGGTGTCAGGGCCAGGCCAACTATGGGCTGACTTCAGACCACAGGTAACTCCAGACGCCCACCTCCTGCAGCTTCCTAACCACCTGATATGGTTAGTAAGTTTCTCTAACAAAAAAAAAAAGAAGAAAAAAACGACATTTTAAACAGCAATATAAATTGGCTTTTCCTCCCTTGGAGGCAGGTCAAGGTCTGAGTCTCCTGTTGATAGGGAACTGAATATATGGAACTAGTGCTCCTGAATACAATGCTTCGTTTCATTCCCTACTCCCTTCAGGACCCTCCTCTGGGGTAGAAGGAGCAGTGTCTTAGGGATGTCCAAGGCACGAAGGTGAACAAATGCCCGGCACCTTCCGTGGAACGTGAAGACGAGGCTTCCTGCTGGCCAGCCCAGGCAGATGGCCCTGGCAGCTGCCCTTTTTATTCATAACCGCCTGAAGGTGCTTGGCTCAGATTTCAAATGACAATGACATGCCATCAGTTTTAGGGGCCGCAGACAACGGTAATGGGCATTGGGGAGAATGTGGAATTGGAGCCAGGTGTCCTTGGGCCCTAGAAAAGACCATGCTAGAGCTGTGGGGGAGGAGTGAGCAGGCAGAGGGCAGGAGGGGAACCGGCTTCCGGGGGCGCTGAGGCGGCTGGAGGCTGGGTGTGAACTTGGGGTGAGAGGTGTGAAGGATGAAAATGGGGCTGGCAAAAGGGGAGGCAGGAATGTCACATCGTGGGAAAAGAAGCAGGGGGAGTAGGTGAGGCCGGAAGGAAGAATCAGGAGGTGAGGAGGGTGGCCAAGTGATGATAGCCAAAGATATCTTAAAATGCAAAGGCTCGTTAATGGATGGAAGCGCTGTGCCGCTGGCACTGCTGCGGGCAGCAGCTTTAGGCTTCTGGGAGCCTCCAGCCCAGCAGGGCCAAAGCTGTCATCTGAGCACCTGGCTTCCCTGGCCAGGTCCCTCCCTCCTGCCCCTTCGGGACAGATGGCCTTCCCATGCGCTTTTCCCCAGCTCATCCTGGCTTTCTGCCTGCATCCCAGGGTTCCCATGCATTCTCTGATCAAATCACAGCCGCCCTCACCAGGCCCTCTCCGGACCCCTTGGCTCTTGAGTTTAGGGCTGCCAACTTTACCAAATAAGAATACACGATTCCCAGTTAAATTTGGATTTCAGATAAGCAACAGATCATTTTTTAGTATGAGTCTGTTGTATGCAATGTTTAGGGTATACTAGAAAATTGCTCATTGTTTATGTGAAGTTGGGATGTAACTGGACATACTGCGCTTGATCTGGCAACCCTCCTGAGCTCCTCCCAGTTTCAGTCTGGGGTTTCCTCTGTAGCCCCTTGCTTGGTGATTGGCCCCTGTGTGCCGGCATGAAAGCAGAAAGATGTGGTTCTGCAATGGACTTCGAAATCCACCTGGAGTGGGCGATGGGGATGTTCATTGATGGCCTTCACCATCTGGCCCCCACAGACCATTCTCCTCCTGTTTTCTGCTTGTCCCTTAATGGAAAACCCTCTCTTTTGACCTGGCTGATTTCCTCATCTCTTGCCCCATACTCTTGGACCATGCGGGGTTCACATCGACCATCCCCAGCCCCATCCAACAAGGCCTCTTCCTCTTCCTCCTTTGCCTGTTGATGTCCTCCTACCTGTCTTTCTGGGAGCAGCTCCCTGAGTTTGGGGACTGGACACCAGTCTTTGCATTCCCCACAGAGTTGAGGACGGGGGCCTATCATTCCCAGAGGAGTTAGAAAATATTCAGAATGATGTGAATAAGCCCAGTGTCCTGCCAGGTTTCTTGAAGAGCTGTGAGCTTTGTCTGTCCTTCCAATGGCGGGGGACTCCTTCAGGCTTTCCCTGGATGGACTGTGAGGAAGAAGTCTCCTTGAAGCATTCACATTATTCCTTCCGAGAGAAGGGGGCGCCTCAGGGCACAGCCCCCTTCCCAACCCCATGTTCGGACCATCAGATATTTTATCATCATCGTCGTCATCATCACCAATCCATTTCAGCTGCATTGTCTTTACAGGGCAGATTAGTTCCCTCATTTAACTTTAGTGACCTGTGAGTTCAGGAGCATTATCCCTGTTTATACATGGGGAGGCAGAGGCGGAGGCCACAGTGGTGAGGAGCCTTCACTCGGGGCCCCAGGGTGGCTGAAGGCAGAGCCAGAAGTGTGGCCTCCTGGGCTGGTGCTGTGGCTGCCACTTCAGGATGCCTAGCTCTTCCTCAGCAAGGGAGGCAGGCAGGTCCTGTTCATACCTAAACTACCAAGCAGGTGAGGTTTGACCTCAGCTCCCCCATCTCTGTATTCCCCAGGCCCCTCAGAGGGGCCTTTCTTGTGCTCCTGAGAGGAGGGTGTCTAGTGCCCTGCAGAGCCCACCCAGCTCAGATTCTGTGACCCCTCCCACCTCCAGACCTGCTCAGGAAAGCTGCTGTCCTCGGAGGCCTGACCTCTGCTGTGATGTCCAGGGTCATATAGTCAAGGGTTTCCCTGAGAGTCCGTGGAACTCTAGTCTTGCCAGATTCTCACTCTGTGACAAAGGGTGTCACGGTCCAGCAAGTTTGGGAAGCCCTGATTCTGTAATCTCTTTGGGACCATGATGATGCATAAGAGCATATTGAAGGCCCTAAAATGCCCCACAGAGAAAAATATCCATTTAACTTCGTTGGACCCAAATTTCCCAAAACGTACCCAACCATGGAAACTTTTGCATCAAATAACAACTATGAACATTCTGTGGAACTAGTGTTCCACTCAGTCTACTTTGAAAAACAGCAATCTGGTTCAAATCTTCCTTTTTATAGCTGAAAAATGGAAAATCCATTCAGTGACTCATCGAGCATTTATTAAAGGCAA
Organism: Homo sapiens; assembly: GCF_000001405.40. Classification (NCBI taxonomy): domain Eukaryota; kingdom Metazoa; phylum Chordata; class Mammalia; order Primates; family Hominidae; genus Homo; species Homo sapiens. The sequence continues at coordinate 76,155,876 of NC_000015.10, forward strand.
ATTGAGATGCTCTCAAATGCCAGAGCCCATGTCACCGCATTCTTAGACACACGGAAGTGCAGTAATAACACATTGTTTCCACGCTGCACTTGCCACATAGGCCGACTGTCCGCTAACCCACCAGATGTTGGTCTCATACCCTTTTCAACTTTGAGAAGACTGAAGCACAGAGCTGCATGAGCTGCAGGTTTGCATATAAGCCCAGCTGTGAGCAGTGGCTCATTCCTGTAATCCCAGCACTTTGGAAGGCCGAGGTGGGCAGATCACCTGAGGTCAGGAGTTCGAGACCAGCCTGGCCAACATGATGAAACCCCATCTCTACAAAAATACAAAAATTAGCCGGGCATGGTGACACACACCTGTAGCCCCAGCTATTTGGGAGCCTGAGGCAGGAGAATTGCTTGAACCTGGGAGACAGAGGTTGCAGTGAGCTGAGATTGCACCACTGCACTCCAGCCTGGGCAACAGAGTAAGACTTTGTCTCAAAAAAGAAAAGAAAAGAAAAGAAAAAAAAAGTGGCCAGCTCCATTTCTTAATGAGATATTTTCACCCTTTATGACGCTCCCCAGCCTCTTGAATGAGGTTGTGTTTCGCCATGAAGCCTAGAGCCAGGGAGAGAGCCCGGGAGGAGTGACGCTGGTGGGTTTGAGAGCAGGGCTTTGGCCGGGGTCCACCCTCTTGTCCCCTCCCACTCTGAGCCTCTCTTCTCCCCACTTTTGTCCCCACAGGTCTAACTGGCTGAAGCCGTGCTGTGGGAAGAGAGCAGCCGTGTGGCAGGTATTTTTGCTCAGTGCAAGTCTCAACAGTTTCCTGGTAGCCTGTGTAATATTGGTGGTGATTCTCCTGACTCTGGAACTTCTAATAGATATAAAGCTTCTCCAGTGTGAGTAGCAAGAGAGATACATATGCCAATACATATGATGTCAATATTCAATGTGCATCTGCATTCATCAGGGGTCCCCAACCTGCAGGCTGTGATCTGCCCCCGCCGATGCTGCTGCCCAGCCTCAGGCCCTGGGGCTCATGGGGATGGCCGCTGGGGAGGAAATACATCTGGCAGCTTCTCTCTCTGTCACCCCCAGCCTCAGTTTGCCCCTCTCTGCCCAATGTGGCCTCTGCAGTCCCCTCCCCAGCATTCCATGATCAGAAACTGATGAGATGAAAAACGTTGGGGACCCCTGTATGCATTTTTTTTAATTGCTCCCATTTGGAATTTTCCAGGTTGGAATTTTCTGTAGTCTAAAGAGAGTTCCCATTTACGGAGGCATCTCAGCTTGTAGTAACTAATTATGACAGCGACCACAGTGATGATAAGATTCCTGGTATTTTTATCCAGCTGTGAGTTGGCAGTGTGATTTATACGTATCGTGATAGTTTTTAAAGCATTTTTCCGCACATTTGACACTACAGTAACCCTGTGAGATGGGCGAGATGGATATGATCCCATATTATAGACGAGGCAAATTAAGATTTGGAGAAGTGAGATACTTGCCCTAAGTAAGAGGTATTGGAGCTGGGACTTCAAGGCACCAGGTCATTTAACTGCTTGGCCAGTTCTCTTCCTCTTGGCATTTGTCTTAGTTTCACGTTAAACCTTGTCTTCCACCTCTTCTGTCCTGGATGTCCCATAGTGACATGGCTGTCTGAGTGGAGAATCCACTGCTTACCCCACCAGGCCTACCCCCCACTGTTTGTCACACCAGAGGGGCAGGAGCAGGTGTCTTGCCTCTTGACTTTGGATAAGTAAGTGGTTTCTGGTACAGTTCCTGGTTCCCTGTATTGCCCTGACTCAAAAGGTAGATCCTTCAAATGCAAATTTAAAAAGAGGCACAGGCCAGGTGTGGTGGCACATGCCTGTAATCTCATTTGGGGAGGCCAAGGTGGGAGGATCGCTTGAGCCCTGGAGTTTGAGACCAGCCTGGGGAACATGGCAAGGCCCTGTCTCTACAAAAAAATTTAAAAATTTCCCTGGCATAGTGGCACACGCCTGTAGTCCCAGCTCCTCGGGAGGCAGAAGTAGGAGGATCATTTGAGCCTGGGAGGTCAAGGCTGCAGTGAGCCGTGATCACGCCACTGCACTCCAGCCTGGGTGACAGAGTGAGACCCCATCTCAAATAAATAAGTAAATAAATAAATAAATAAATAAATAAATAGAGGTACAATTATCAGCTCCAGAGAGATTCTTTTCCTTCCATTGGCAAAATCCAGGACTGTAGATCCAGTCACCTCCAAACCCATTCAGACGTCTTGGCCTTCCATTCTCAAATGCCCCCAATTCCTTTATGGGATCCTGTGAACTCAGGGTCTGTCCAAGCTCCCTCCAAGTCACATGAGCCTTCTCTGCTCTCTCAGAGAGCGTGGACGGTGAGCACAGAATTGCTTTTGTCTGATAAGCCTAGTTGGGTTTTATGCAGCTGGTGGCCCCTTGGTTCCAATTAAAGGATCTTCCAGCATAAAGTGACCGGTACTGGTTTTACACTCAACCTGTCTTCAATTAAACCATGTTGTATACTTTCCCTCCCACTCACCCATACTGTCTGCTTTTTATGAGACCTGCCCATAACAGAGCCTTTCTTTCCCCGTGGCGGATTGTCCTCGGGGCCCTCGGCTGCTCGGGCTGTGACAAGGTATTGAGGAGAACTGAGAACCCAGCCGACACTGGAATTTTGCTTAAAATTAAGTATCCAGGAGATTGATTTTGGTCGGAGATCCAATAGCAGCTCATAAAAGGCATCTTAAATTCCATAAAACGCACAATCAGAGATTTATTGCTCTTCTAAAGCAAACCGTAAAAAAAGGCACAGGAATTCATTTGAGAAATAATGGGGAGAGATTTTATGTTTTCAGAATCATCTGGAGGTCTTCTTGGAGTCACACGGGCCTCAGCCTCTTCGTTCCCACTGGTATTCATGTGGCCTGACTCGGAGCTCATCTTCTAAGGGTCGTCTTGGCCCAAAGCCAGGGGGCCTCAGAGTCTCCCACCTGGAACCTGGTTTTGCAGCCGTCTTCCCCTGGCTACGCTCTGTGACTTGATTTCTACCCACCCCTAGGGTCTGCAGATCCCAGAGCTTCGGGAGAGGTTGTGGGTTCCTCTGTTTCAGTCTGGCCCTCCCTGCTGAAGGCACTGGGCACTTTCCCTTGGCCCTGGGGGGGGTTCTGAGCAGTGTGCCAAGCAGGCCTGGCTGCAGCTCACGAAGGAGGTAGAGCAGGCATGTTCTCAGCAGCATTCCTGCCTCTCACCCCCTCTCAGCCCTTCCCCAGTATCCCAGGGTATCCCACCAGTATTTCTTTTAGGCCTCTGGGGAGCCCTCTACCCTCTGGGGCAATCCCTCCCACCCAGTCTCCATCAGAGCTCACCTGACCCTTGTCCTGGGCCCCAGCATCCTGCTTTTGGCCTCGCTGGCTAAAAACCATGCCATGCCAGGGTTCAAAGGCTGGCTGTGGCTTCATGTATTTTAAAAGGGCTTTCCAAAGAAAATGCCTTAACTCTAAGGAGTGGCTGGTGAAAGGTGGGGCGGGAACCCTCAGGGGCTGATGGCTGTCCTCACTCCCACTCCAGAACCTGGGGGCGAGTAGGGCAATGTGGAAGTTTAGCAGACCTCATCCCACTGGCTCTGCCAATCTAGGGAGGGAGGCAGACACCTCCACCCCATGCCCAGCTCCCCTGCCAGTCCTCACTGCAGCCTTCTCTCTAAAACACACTGGCCGACACCACCGTCTCTGCCACTCGGTTTCCAGAATGAAAAGTCACAGTAAGCTCACCTAGAGTCCCCTGACTGTGCACAGCACTTTGGGGGTGAGCTGTGGGCTGGATTTCTAAAAGCCCATCCAGCCTCAACTGAAGCTGCCTACACAGCCCAAAAGCCGTGAATGTCTTCATGAGCCCCTTCTGGAGAGCTTCTTTCCTAGACTCTGGCTACAGCCAAAAGCCCACCAAGACCAAGCAGGAGCTGAGAGAGGCGGCCTGTGGGGGAGAAGGAGGCAGTCCCTTGCGTCGGAGGCAAGAAGAACAGCATCGTTGGCTCCCAAATGTCCTACTGCCTTCACTGCAGACGCCAGCTGAAGCTGCCCTTGCTCTCTGACCCAATTTCCACCAGATCTAAACGTTCATGCAGGCGGGCCCCGGGGTCCCAGAGGTCTGGACGGATGCTGCGAAGCCCCCATAGCAACGCACCTAATTCCTCACTCCTAAAATTGGTCCTTATCGTGTCCATTGCAGTTTCCAGCGCATTCCAGTTTGCTGGCGTGATTCACTGGATCAGCCTGGTCATTCTGTCCGTGTTCTTCTCAGAGGTAGGTGGAGACTCTGGCCCTGTCACCTCCTCTGTTGGGTGACTCCTGTCCTGGGGAAACCAAGGTCTACTTCTCGAAATGGTTTCTAGCATCAGGTCCCCTGCTAGCCCTTGAGGCTGCTGGGAGGGAGACACAATATAGATAGATGATCTCTGCGGGGGGAAGTGGTACAGGGAGCCCAACCCAGCCAGGGGGGTTTGGCCCTAGCAGGTGATTCCTGGGAGGAACCCCAGTGGATGAGCAGGTGTTCTCCAGGTGAGGGGTGGGCGATGACTGGTGAAGGTGAGACTGAATGTGGCGTCGAGGGGCAGCCAGTGTTGGGTGCAGCCAGTAAGGAGCGGGCGGGAGGTGAGGCTGAAGCCAGGTGCCCACACAGGGAAGCTCTTGGGCCGCTGTGGCTGTGGTCTTGGGCCCACAGTTGGCCGGACCTTTGGGGCTGAAGCACGCAGTGGGTGGGGGAACGGGGTCACAGGGCCAGGCAGTGGACCTGACCTGGTCCTGCAGGGGCCCTGGGTCTGACAGGGCCGAAAGATGTGCCTCTCAGTGTGAGTGCGAGGCTGTATTTCCGAGGTGGGGGCTCAGGGAGCACGGATCGCCGTCAGCGTTGCTGGAGTCGGCTAGTAGAGACCAAGTGCGAATCTCTGTGGTGAGGGGAGGGGGAAAGTTTATGGAGATCCGCAGGCCCCCGGGCTTGGTGCAGAAGCTGGCATGTCTGGGCAGCACATTCCTCTGTTTTTTCATGGCGGTGAGTGACACTTCCTTTGAGCAGTTCCCAGGCTGTCCCAGTGAGACTCTGGCCTGCATCTGGGTGTGGGAGGAATTGGCTTGGTCCTGCTGCAGGCAGGGTTTTATCCTGTCCCGTGCGCACTGGAGGGTCACTGAAGGACAGGAGAGTTTCATGTGGAAAACTGGTTTCTCCTAACAGAGCCTAGGACTGGCCCAAGTCAGCGGGCCACTGTGTCACTCTACCCTTGAGTGTCCCATCCCTGCTATGGGTACATATTAGCCCATGCAAAGTCCCGTGGGCCTTTCAGCATGGCTCAGGAAACCCTCAGGGAAAGGCAGGAACGAGGGAGGCACAGCACCTGCTGGGAACATACGCACATCTCACACCAACGGGAGCTGCTCTACCTGAGGCACAGGGGCTCTGGGACCCCGAGACGGGGGGCCTTGAAGGGAGGAAGGATGCTATGGGAGAGGGTGGCGTGGGCAGAGGCACTGAGGTGGGGAACCCCGGGAGTCAGGAGTCCCAGCATCCTCCTGTGTGTCCCCTCTGGCCTAGCTAATGGCTCTGCTCTCTCTCTCTCTCTCTCCCTAAAAATCAGGAGGGAGCTGGGCTTTGGGTCTTGAGTCCAGAATCCTGAGTCCGGGTGTGGGGTGTGGTGGGCCGGGCAGCAGGCATTCCAAGCATGGAACATTCCCTTTCCTGGGCCTCGCCTCCTACAGCCCACGGAGCTGGCTGGTGAGCCTGGGCCTGAGGCTCAGATGGAGGGGGCAGATCGCAGCACTGCCCTCCCAGAAGGGGTCCTAACCACCTCCCTGAGACCATTGCCCTGGAGGTGCCTCTGCCCCGCAGAGCAGAGTGCCTGCTCCCCAGCTTACAGCCCCCATGTGGGTCTTGCCCTCCCTGGCCTCTTGTCTCTGCCCGGCCAGGATTCCCTCCCGCAAACACATGGGCCGTGGCCAGATGTCTCCTTGATGCAAACCTTGGAAAATGTGCCATGTGTCTGTGACTGCCAACAAAAATGTTTAATCAGTTGCTGCGGTTCTTCCCCTCTATCCCTCTGCTTTAGTTTTATTGGCTTTTGCAGAATTTATTGCCCAGCGTTAATTTGGCATTCCCTTCCTGTCACTGCCGGAGACAAGCCACCTGAAACAGACAAACCCCTGTGCACAGGAATCGCAGCCTCAGAGTCCCCCATAGGCACCCCCAAACCAGGGAAGGGCTGGGTCCTCCCACAGCTGAGCGGGGAGAGCAGGGTCTGCAGGAGACTGGGGAGGAAGGGCTGGCTCCGTTACCTTGACCTTGTCAAAGATGGTGAGGGGGTGGAGCCAGGCCGCCGGTAGCAGGGGCCACCCCTGCCAGTGTCCAGCGTGAATGGAGGGCCGGTGCATGGAGATCGAGTGACGAATGAATGAGGCACAGAACCTGCGGGAATACACACACAGCTCACACCACACTAGCAAGCACAGATTTCCATGGTCTTGCTGCGTGCCCGTAAGAACCATGTCAGAACCTTGTTACTAGAAGGGTCTCATGGAGGTCTCCTGCCTCCAGACAGCTTGGAAACATGCGACCATGTCTGTGCCCCTCACAATGACTGGGATGCCCAGTAGGAAGGGCCAGGAGAGCTCAGTGTCCGTCAGTGGTGGGTCAGCCTGTGTGTTTGCCCACCATACCAGTGGCGTCCTTTCAAAATACTGCACAGACAAGGAGAGCAGCTTAGGGTTATGCGGCCAGTTAAGATCAAAACTGGACCTAGGGCTCTGGGCACCTAAGCTGGTCTCTTGCCCCTGACTGCATCCTTTGGAGGCCCTGAAGCTGGCAGGGTGGGCAGGGACCAGGGGTCTCTGGGAAGGACCTGAGAAAGAAAGTCCGACCGAGTGATCACTCAGACCACAGACCCAGGACGACTGGCACCCCCTCCTCAGCTGGGAGAAATGAGTACCACGTCTTCAGGTCTGCCAGTTCTTTCCTGGTTAATACCCAGGGATGTGGCTGTGGGCCGAGGGTGGGGCGGCACTCCGAGCCTCCTTGGCCTTAGGGAGTGGGCATTACTCCACAGGAAATTCCAAGAAGGTCACCCCACCGGGGCTCCTGCTGTCCTGGAGCCCTGGGCCTGTCCTGAACAGTTCTCCACCCCTCCTCTCAGCTGAGCCTTAGGACAGTCCTGGAAGGTGGGTAGGACATTTTATGAGTTGTGAAACTGAGGCCTGGAGAGGTGCGGAAACCTGCCCAGGGCCTGCAGGAATGGCAGGTGGGCCCAAGTGCAGGCCTCTGGGTGGGTGAGCGGGCCTCTGCCCCGGCCTTTGCCCACCCTGGAGCTCTGCAGGCTGCTCTGGGAAGATGGGCTACTTTGCTCTGTGCTGGCCCCAGGCCATAGAGCTAGGCCCAGAGAAGGGGAGTGTGAGGCTGGTTTGGGCTCCGTTTGAGGACATCTGTTCAAATGGGCCAAGCTGTTTGACAGTGAGACAGATGCTCTCAAAGCAGTGAGAGTGGGTGCCCCTCATCAGGCAGGCTGTGCAGGGGTCCCTGCACAGGGTCCAAGGTGAGACTGGATGCCCATGAGACTTCCTGGGCCCCAGTCTTCCAGGTCACGCAGGGTCACTGCGCTTCACGTGGCCCTGCAGCACCAAGAATATGCAGGGCCTTGCAATCCAGATGGAGAATTGTGCAAACGTTCCTCCAAAGCGCAGCCCCGCCCTTGGCTGAGGCCAGGCCCAGCTGGCCACTTGGAACTGGGAAGCCTGCTGCTCCTCCCCCGAGACTGCAGGAGTCCTTGGGGCCTCCTGGCCAAGGCCAGGCCACCCTGCAGCAGGGCCCAGTGCAGGCTGTGGGGTGTTGGTCGCATCCCTGGGGTCTGGAAAGGCCCAGGCAGCCCCAGCTCTTTCCCTGGGAGAAGAGAAAGCGGAGCCGCGGCTGGCCTTCTAGACAGGAGCCTCAGGCAGTGGTGGCAGCAGCTACTGACTCTCCTCTCCCTCTCTTCCTCCTCCTTCTGTTGAGGTGAAATTCTCTTCACATAACCCTTTTACAGTGGACAATTCCGTGGCATTTAGTACCCACACGGTGATGTGCAGCCGTCACTTCTACCTGATTCCAAAGCACTTTCATCACCCTCAAAAGGAGACCCCATTCCCAGTAGCAGTCACTCCCCCTGCCCCCTATACGGCCGCCCTGCCAGCTAGTAATCTGCTTTTGTCTCTGTGAACTTAACTCTTCCGGATATTTCATGTAAACAAAATCTTACAGTGTGTAGTCTTTTGTGACTGCGGCTTTTAGCATGTTTTCTCGGTTCATCCACGATGTAGCACAGCACACTTTCTTTTTTCTTTTCGAGACAGGGTCTCACTCTGTCACCCAGGCTGGGGTGCAATGGTCCAATCACAGCTCACTGCAGCTGCAACCTCTTTGGCTCAAGTGATCCCCTCACCTCAGTCTTCCAAGTAGCTGGGATTACAGTCGTGCATCACCACACCTGGCTAATTTTTGTATGTTTTTTGTAGAGATGGGGTTTCGCCATGTTGCCCAGGCTGGTCTCAAACTCCTGAGCTCAAGTGATCCTCCCTACTTGGCCTCCCAAAGTGCTGGGATTACAGGCAAGAGCCACTGTGTCCAGCCCCAATTTTTCTTCTCCTCACCAGTGTGAGACTGGTGACAGTGTCAGCTACCACACAGATCTTCACATTTCTTACTTTGGCCTTGTAGTTGGATCCTGGAATCCACGTCTTCCTCTTGCCATTGTAGTTTAACCCCAGGGAAAATTTGTCCAAGAGCAGATCTGCTTCTTAAGGAAGTGCCAGGGGTCAGCCAGCAGTGCCTGGTACCCATGGTGGCTGTTCCTTAGACCAGCCTGCTCCCCTGAGCCACGCACCACCCTACGCCCCCAACCCACTGCCGACAGTGTTGGGTGGCCGCGGGCTTGGGGCTAGACACGGCTGCTCCCTTCTCCCTGGCTGGCGGGCCCCACATGGGGATGGCTCTGCAGGGCACAGGGGTGTCCAGCCCCCATTCTGCTCACTAAGAGGTGATCTGGGGATCTCCCTCTGCCTTTTAAAAATTTGCACAAAGCCAGCTTATAGACTAACAGCTACTTCTGCCTACATCTCCTAAGGTTTCCAAACTCTGGCAGCCTCATCAGGCCCCTCCCCAGGGAAAGACGCTGATTCTGCTGAGGGGAGGGCCTCGGCCTCAGGCAGCAGGAAGGGGCAGGAGCCCTTTCTGCCATTTGGCTGAGGCAGGGCCTGGACCAGGTGCAAGGCTTGGGATTTCCCACTCTCCCCTCCTGCAGCCTGAAGCCTGGACCCCTTCCTTCAGAGAAGTCAGCTTTTGCTTCCCTTGGAAGAGATGAGGGGAGTCCCTTCTTGAGAGCAGGGCTTGACCAGGAGCAGAAGATGAGGGCACCTGAGGCGGAAGGCAAGAGGGGTCCAGGGACCAGAAGGTTCACTTGCCACTCTTCGCACCTCAGTTTCTGCATCTCTCAAATGGTATAAAAACTTTGCTCATAATACTCAATAAATGGCACCATCCTTGAGTGTTTGCCAAGGCTGTAGCCTACACTGCTTATCAGAGCAGCCTCCTGAAGGCAAAACTGGGATAAAGGAGGCTGAAAACCCTTCGCTCCAGGTGGGAAAGGAGGAGGCTGAAGCTGGGGATTCCAGCTCCTCAGATGCTCCTTCAAAGGCCTTTGCAACTTTTAGGGGCCAGTATTGCAAGGCCACGGCCCTGGGGCTGGGGCTGGGGCTATGGCTGGGGGTGGGGCAATCCCTCATCGTCACCCTGCTTTTTTAGTGAGCCGTGTGCCTCGCTGAGCTCTGGAGCAGCTCTGAAGGTGGCCGCATGAGGGGCGTGGATCTGCTTTCAGTCCAGATCTGTCCAGAGATCCGGCCAGTGTCAGGTGGTTAGTAAGGAATGATCGGAGCCAGAAAGAGGACTAGACTCTTGACTCCCCATCTAACACCCTTTCTCGTTATTGCTTGTGGGCCTGTGGTCTCCTGTTGTAACCCGGGGCAGGGTCGCCTCACACATCCCTGCGGTTCCGTCGGGTGCTCCGGGGGAGTTTGTTTAAAAAGCATATTCCGGGGCTTGTGCCCAGAGTTTCTGATATCCTGGCTGTCCACGAGAGTCCAGGAATCTGCGTTTCACGTAAACCCCCCGATGCTGCTTAAGCGGGGAGTCCTTGGCTGCACATTGAGAAGCACAGGCAGTCCGTGGGTTAGTCCAGCGCGTGTTTTCGGAGGTGTTAAGACTATACTCAGTCTGTGCGGGGCAGGGCAGTGAGGTTCTGTCCCTGCCTCCGTGGACAGTGGGTCTCGGCAAAGGTGTCTGGGGAGGGGAAGGATGCTGCGGGGGGGAAAAGCCAGCAGGTGGGGTGTATCAGAGCCAGGGTCACTCTGGCCTTGACCCTGACCTGGAGCCACCGCTTCCCCATCTCTAGCAGGAGGCCTGGCTGGGAGGTGTTTCCCAAGCCCTCTCCACAGCGGCCTCTTGCTATTCTGTTTCCATGGGCTGAGCTAAGAAGGAAAGGCTCCCAGAAGAGTGGGGCTCAAGCCAGGCCTCCGAGGATGGGTCCCCTGCGGATGGGCCAGCACAGAGGGAAGGCAGCGGCTGGGATTCTAGCTGTTTCACCTGCTTCCCTGGCACTGCTCTGGTTCATAAAACCATTCAGCCCCTTTCCTTCCCGGGGCACAGAGGCTCTGGGTGCGCTGTCTGCTGCCTCCTCTTCCTGCTCAACTTCTGCTGGCTGAGTCCCACCCTGGCCGGCTCCCTCCACCCCTCACTCCTGGGCCTCTGCCTTTTCAGCTAAGAAGAGTGTTGTTTCTAAAGAAGCATGATGATTCCTCTTATTTGAGGATCCTAAAGGAGTCAGATTCATAGAGACAGAAAGTAGAATGGGGAGAGGTAGAATAGGGAGTTACTGTTCAGCGGGTACAGAGTTTCAGTTTGGGAAGGTGAGAAAGCTCTAAAGGTGCATGGTGGTGATGGCTGCACAGCAGTGTGAATGTACTTAACACACTTGGACACTTCAAAATTGTTAAGATGGTGTGTTTTGTGTTATGTGTATTTTACCACCATTTTAAAAGGAGAAGAAGGGGGAGGAAGAGGAGGAGCGGCTGCCATAGCAGAAATTATATTTGCACCAGGCCGTATTCCCATCTTCCCAGCCTGGACTTTTGTCTTGGACACCCCAGAATTGAGAGTTCAGGATAGATATGGCTATTGTAGCATTTCAGAGGAGACAAACACTAAGTTTCAATCTCAGCACAATTACAGGGGTTGGGCAGCAACAAAAGAAACCATATGGCTGGGCGCGGTGGCTCATGCCTGTAATCCCAGCACTTTGGGAGGCCGAGGCTGGCGGATCATGAGGTCGGTAGATCGAGACCATCCTGGCTAACATGGTGAAACCCCGTCTCTACTAAAAATACAAAAAATTAGCCGGGCATGGTGGCGGGTGCCTGTAGTCCCAGCTACTCGGGAGGCTGAGGCAGGAGAATGGCGTGAACCTAGGAGGAGGAGCTTGCAGTGAGCCAAGATCGTGCCACTGCACTCTAACCTGGGCGACAGAGTGAGACTGTTTCAAAAAAAAAAAAAAAAAGAAACCATATTATTATGTGGTGTGTGTGTGTGTTTTGGAGACAGGGTCTCTCTGTCACCCAGGCTGGAGTGCAGTGGCATGATCTCAGCTCACTGTAACCTCCGCCTCCCAGGTTCAAGCAATTCTCCTGCCTCAGCCTTCTGAGTAGCTGGGATTACAGGTGTGCACCACCACACCCGGCTAATGATTGTAGTTTTAGTAGAGATGAGGTTTCACCATTTGGCCAGGTTGGTCTTGAACTCCTGACCTCAAGCGATCTGCCCGCCTTGCCCTCCCAAAGTGCTGAGATTACAGGTGTGAGCCATCGCGCCTGCTTGTTACATGGTGTTCTTACACAGCTGAGTACACTCTGCAGAACCAGAAACCTCTGGGTCCAAATGTTACCTTCATTCCTGATGGTTGTGTGGCTATGGGCAGCTTCCTTAACTTCTCTGACCCTTTCTGTAAAATGGGAATCACATGTTAGAAGGGCTGGCCCAGGGTCTGGCATTCACAGACATATAGTAGATGGCAGATATTATTCTCATAAATAGGAAGGATTATAACATGTAACCCACCTCTCTGGCAGAAGGAGAAACTGAGGCCCAGGGACGGGATTTGACTTGCCCAAGGCCACACAACCAGCCCATTATTGAGCTCTGATCTCAAGACATTGTGGCCACCCCACCCAGATCTCTCCCCACCCCTGCAAGCTGTCTCGCAGTTAAGCGTGGGGCCACCCACCCAGAGACCGGGAAGTTATAGCGGAGCGGACTTCGGGCTGCCACATGCTCCTCTCTCTACTCAGAGAAGGCAACATGACTGTCCCCCACAAGCATTCACCTTCCCATCCCTTCACAGAAATCAAGATTGTCCTTCACGAGAAAGAGCTGGATTTTACCAGCCAAGCCTTTCTGTGGCATAACAGCTGTGGGTGATGATCCTCCAGGCAGCTTCGCAGAGTTCAGAAGGCTAGGCTTGTACTACAGGCATGCGGGAGAGGGGCACCATCTGGTGTGAATCACCGTGAATTAAAGTCATCTTGGCTCAAGGAAGAGCCTGCAGACAAATGCACCGGCATCTTACGAGACCAGCATTTAGGGGCTTCTTTGGAGAAAGATGTCCTCTTGGTGAGGAAACCGCTCCTGAAGGCAGCACCATTCGGGAATTATTCCTTCATGCACGCATTGTTCATCTGTCCACAGTGCATAATCGCCTGGTGGCTACTGTATGCCAGGTGTTAGGGATAAAAGAGAGACAGCAGACCAGGTCCCTTGAGCCTCCACTGGGGGATGGGGAGGGAATCAGCACAAGGTACAAGGCAGTGCTGTGGAGGGTGACGCCCAGAAACCATAGGAACACCCAGGAAGGAGGCACCAGCTGAGCCGGGGAGTGTGCAAGAGCTTCATGGAGGTGACGTTCAAGCCAGAAGGACAGGAAGGGGAAAGCCCTGCTGGCTTAGGCACAGGCCAAGCTGCTGTTACAAGAAAACCAAAATACAGGGGCTTAAACAAGGCAAGGTCCATTTCTCTCTCACGGAAAAACACATTAAGTGGATAGGTAAGGCTTGGGGTTGTTGGGGACCCAGCAGGCTTTTGTCTTGCGGCCTGGCCCTCCTTGGTTGAAGATGGCACACCATCACACTTATGCACCCAATTCTGGGCCTTGGGAAGACGGAAGGAGGAAGAGGAGCCTAATTCATTTAAGGGCACAACCTAAAAGTTGTACTGGGTGCTTCTGCTTGCTACCCATTGGCCAGAATGTAGTCACAAGGCCACTCCCAGATGCAAGGAGGGCTGGGAAATGTAGTCTTTAGTTGGGTGGCCATGCTGGAGCTTCAGTTATTGTACAGGAAGGAGGGAGGAGATTTGGGGTCGGGGAGTGGAGAAGGGAGTCAACTGCGTTTTTGCCACATGCAAAGACAAGGCCATGAGAGAGAGAGCTTGTATATTTGAAGATTCGTAAGTGGTTTGCAGCATGACAGGAGTGGCAAAAGATGACACAGGAGAGGCAGGCAAGGTCCTAAGTATCCTTCCAAGGGATTTGAGTGTATTCTGTATGTACAGGGAGCACTGAAAATGGCATCAGCAGTGCCCAGGGGATGGCACAGAGATGTGGGGTCTGAGCCTGCAGGCAGAGGAACCAGCAGGAGGCACGGCCACCACGAAGGCTGGAGCTGGGGCACTGGCAGTGGGAGTGGAGAGGGCACAGGGGCCAAGGAATGCTTAGTGGATGGCGGAGACCTTTTCCTTTTACTGAATGCAGAAGCAGAGCTCTGAGTGCTGAGCTCTGGAATCTTCTCGGCTGGAGGAAGACCTGGAGAATAACCACTTTCTCACTTCCTTTCCTCAGACTGTTCTACGGATTGTGGTGCTTGGGATCTGGGATTACATCGAAAACAAAATAGAGGTAAAGACCAATGTCCACCCCCAAAGCCCCCACTCTGCCATCCTGGAAGCTGGAAAACGTCATGTCCCATCCATTCCAGGGTGGACACCATCAAGAAGGCTGGTTCCTTCTCCCACTTGACCTCTGTGGCTGTGCATGTTGGGTGGGGCAGGGAGGGGGAACTGAGACTGTTTCCAGCAAAGGAATGTTCTGAAACATTCATTTAGAATGTTAAAAGGAATGCAGAACTCCTTGAAGTTCTGCAAAATTTTACAATTTGAATCAATTTGAAAAGCTTTTGAAATGTGTTTTAAAACAAATAAATCCACCCTAAATGGAAAGCTGAGCGGGAAACTGTCAACGTGCTTCTCAGGCTGGGTTTCCGTTCTGCTTCCCGCCACACGGGTGGGTGTGGTGGGTGGGATGAGGTCAGGGAGGCCTGGCTGTCGCTGGCAGTGTTGTGCACACAGACAAGGCAAGGCGGCCAGATCTGCTGCCCACTCCTTCCTCACCTCTCCATCTATATTTCAGCCTCTTTGGCTCAGTGCTGGGATCTGACACAGTGCTGGGATCTGACACAGTGGGCCTGGCCGATGGATGGCTCAGAACACGGCCAGGCTGGGGCAGGCGGACGGAAGGGCAGGGCCCAGGGCTTCATTGTGCAGGCTGGGCCCACTTCTCACCTAGCCCTGCCCCGCTGGAGAGTTAGAGACTCTGCACTGGACACAGCTGAGATGCGGGTTCCGGGCTCCTGTTCCCCTCGGGGAAGGAGGCACCCTGAGCCTGCCTTCAGCCCCTGCCCTGCCAGGGAGGGATCCAGCTTGGCCTCTGCCCAGGGCCTGGGATACAGGATGCAGGCCCTATCTTGAGAAGGGGCAAGACAGCCCAAGGCCATCTGAACTAAGGGCTGGAGATGGGCTGAGGTCACTTGGAGGACAGAGTGCATTCAGGAGAACGTCTAGGAGGAGGAGGCCCCTAAAGACTCAGGAGGGTCAGGAGGGGCCACCCGGGGTGGGGTGGCCTTCTGGTGGGGGCCCGGGCTGCTGGAAAAGTTGGGCAGCACCAGCTGCTTTGCCTGACTGACCCCTGGTCCCGGACACACGGCAGGGCCCAGGGCACTGAAATGGGCCTCCTCTCACAGGTGTTTGACGGGGCTGTGATCATCCTATCTTTGGCTCCGATGGTGGCATCCACTGTGGCCAATGGACCCAGGAGCCCCTGGGACGCCATCAGCCTCATCATCATGCTCCGGATCTGGAGGGTGAAGAGGGTCATTGATGGTGAGTGGCCCGAGGGGGGTGTGGTCAGTGGGGCTGCTCCAGAAAGTGGGGCTTTCAACTGAGAGGAGATGCCGTGTGATGGGGGTACACCCTGCTGGCGTCAGGACGGAAGGTGAAACTGTCGGCAGGGAGAGGGGCCAGCTGTCCCTGCTCACTCGCCATCACGCGTTCATGCACACTGCCAGGGTGTCACACGTACACGCTGAGCTTCCCACTTCCCATTTAGGGGCCATGTGTTCATTCCCATGCAGCTATTTACTGTGAGCCTGGGGGGGCCAGCCCCCATGCAAGCCCTTAGAGCAGGGCCTGCCATTCTGGAAGGAGCAGACTTTTACACCCTGGGCGTCTCGATGCACACCTGCTGCTGGCTCCCCGATGGCTGCCAGCCTCACCACTGGCTCTATCCAGGTCATCTAGTCAAGGCCTTGCTCCCTGCAGGCTTTGTCTCACCTTTGAGTCCACCAAGGACAATCTGGCTGCCCACAAGCCCATTGACCTGCAAACAAGTAGAGAAGGGAGCTGCTGGCAGGGGCTGGCTTTTGGCATGTGCTTCTGTCATCTTTAGTGACGTGCCTTTCCATCCCTGGGTCTCCATTTGCAGAAAGTATCTGGTCCACTCCTTTGTCATTGCTTTATCATTGCCACCCCACTGGGCCACTCTTGTCTGGAAAGCTGTGCCCTGACCTGGGTGGCTCCTGTGTTTCCAGAAGGTGGTGACAGACCAGAGTGAGTGGCCCAGAGGACATGGGGGACAGAAAACCCACCCCTGAAGAATGGTGCAGGATACTGGGGGTGGGGGGTGACCCAGAGGATGACGACAGAGGCAGGACACTGAAGTCATCTTATGGAAGGGGGAAGACTCAAGTCGCTGGGCTCCAGAGGGTGTCCTTGGTCCCTGAGGACAGGACGAAGAGGCCCACCCCACCTCAGCCAGATAAGGAACAGAGCCACTCATAGGGGGCTGGTCAGCCTCCAAGAGAGGTCCCCCTAGAGTGACCAGGAGGTTGTATAGACAGTGGTTCCCAGGATGTTTTGTTGGTTTGGTTTGGTTTGGTTGACAGCAAAGCCCTTTCTTCAGCAAAATCGTACCCAGTCTGTAAAAGAGATTGCAAGTGGAGCTGCTTTGGTTGACTTGGAGTGGAGGGGCCTCACAGCCCACCTACTTGCCTTCTCCCTTGCCCTCTGAGGCACCTCTAAGAAACTGCCAGGCCTTCTGGAGCACGGTTTTAAAACCACTGGGATAGATGCTATGGTCTTTTCCAGCCCTGAATTTTGATTGCAGATGATAAAAATTGAAGCCATGAGAATATTCCGCCAGCATTTGCCACGCAGGTGCAAGGCAGAAGCTGTCACCCTCAGGGTGGGCTCCCTCTCCCTGGGCCTCACCCTATGTTCCACCCTGCGAACACTGTGGGATTTGGTCCTGATGAAGATGCTGCCATCTTGTCAGGGATCCCCCAGTAGGGAATCTTCATCAAACTGGAATGTGTTTGGGTCTCACTTCAGAAGCCTTCGGAAGGCTGGGAAGGCTCTGGGAGATCACCTGGTTCACTCCCCTCATTTGACAGATGGGGAAACTGAGGCCAAGAAGGATGAGGGTCACATAGTGAATCAGGCTCAGAACCAGAAGTGGAGCCTAAGACCCCTGACACCCACCAGCGCTCTTTCGGCTGCTCACTCCCTGCAGTCTGCTCAGGGCCCTGTTCTTGGCTCTGTCCATGAGAACATCCACCCCCGCTCGGGGCAGGATCAGCGCCTTCTGGGTCTTTCTTCCAGCTGTGAACAGCCGCACACCCTCACACTAATGGATTTTGAGAGCCCCCTTTGTGACGCTCTTCCCAGCTGTCCCGCCCTTTTCCTGACACATCAGGCATCACGGAGCTACCGGGAGCCTCAGGAGAGAGACGTGCTGGTGAACAGATGGGCGTTAATTTGCTACTCTTGCAAATTAACCCTGGGTGTGAACTGGCTTCAGCAGAGATTTGAGGAGGCAGCGGCATCTTGGGGCGGCCTCTGGACCTGGAGATGGGTCTCAGGGACACGTGGCCGGTCCTCAAGCAGAAAAGTCCCAATGTCTCTTCTCTGCTGATTCCTGCAACAGCCAGGAAACATCTGGAGGTGCAGAGGCTGTGGGTGGAAAGGAGACTTGGAGAGAGGAAATGTGGAGGGTTCTAGAAATCAGGGGCAAGAGAGGCATGTGACCGAGGCTTCTGAAGAGTCAGGAAGGGCTGGGTTTCGAGGGGTGCGGGAACAGTGTGAGGAGAAAGGCTGTGTTAAAGTCAGGAGTGGACACTGAGACTTCCAGGAGCCCAGAGCTACTCTGAACCCACAGAACCACCAAGGGAGGTGTCCGTGGGACTACTGCTGGCTGGTGGAGCACAGGGCCCTCAACCTCAGAGGCCAGGCTTTCTCTTCTGGGTCTCACTATATCAGTTATAAATAGGATCATCTGAGTAACAGAGACTCAGAATAACAGTGTCTTAACACAGAAGCGTATTTCATTCACGTGAAAGTCTGCAGGCCAGGCATGGTGGCTCATGCCTGTAATCCCAGCATTTTGGGAGGCTGAGGCAGGCAGATCACCTGAGGGCAGGAGTTTGAGGCCAGCCTGGTCAACCCTGTGAAACCCCGTCTCTACTAAAAATATAAAAATTAGCTGAGTGTGGTGATGCACGCCTGTAATCCTAGCTACTGGGGAGGCTGAGGCATGAGAATCGCTTGAACCCAGGAGGTAGGGGTTGCAGTGAGCTGAGATCATGTCACTGCACTCCAGCCTGGGTGACAGGGTGAGACTCGGTCTCAAAAAAAAATAAAAAAAAAAAAAAGAGGTCTGTGGGAAGGTGGTCCAAGACAGATATGGCCTTGACTACAGTCACTTACTCCCTGTAGTCAAGAGCCCAGGCTCCTTCTGTTTTTCTGTTTTGTTGCTCTGCTGCACTTAGCCTACTTTTCAAAGCCACCTCATGGTCCAAGATGGCTGCTTCCGTGCCAACTATCACATCCTCATCCTAGCCAAGAAGGAGGAAGGGAAGAGGATAAAGAGGCAAAAGGAAGGCCCACTGCCTTCTCATTTTAAACATCTTCATCCAAATATAATTCACATGCCGTAAAATCCACCCATTTAAAGTCCACAATTCAGCCAGGCATGGTAGCTCATGCCTGTAATTCCAGCACTTTGGGAGGCTGAGGCGGGTGGATCACTAGAGGTCAGGAGTTTGAGACCAGCCTGGCCAACGTGGTGAAATCCCATCTCTACTAAAAATACAAAAATTAGCCAGGCGTGGTGGCGGGTGCCTGTAATCCCAGCTGCTCGGGAGGCTGAGGCTGGAGAATCACTTGAACTTGGGAGACGGAGGTTGCAATGAGCTGAGATCGCCCACTGCACTCCAGCCTGGGTGACAGCAAGATTCCATCTCAAAATAAAAGTTCACAATTCAGTGGTTTCTAGTATATTCAGAGTTCTGCAGCCATCACCAAAAAATCTAAGTCTGGAGTGTTTTCATGACTCCAAAGAGAAAGCCTACACTCATCAGAGTCACTTCCCATGTCCACCTCAGCCCTAGGCAAGCACTAAGCTGCTTTCCATCTCTATAGAGTTGCCTGTTCTGTTCCATTACATTTCATATAAATGGAATCATGTGACGTGGTTTTTCTCTGCTGGCCACTCTGATTTAGCATCATGTGTTTGAGGCTCATCTGTGTTGTGGCTGGTGGCGGGACTGCACCCCTTTTCATTGCCAAGTAGTACTCCACTGCATGGCTAGACCACAGTTTATTCACGCATTCATCGGCTGATGAACATTTGGGTTATGTCTACTTTTTGACTGTTAGGAATAATGCTGTTATGAATGCTCATGTGCGAGTTTTGTGTAGACACATGTTTTCCTTCCCCTAAGGTACCTAGGAATGGAGTTTCTGGGTCATATGGTCACTCTCTGTTTAACACTCTGAAAAACGGACAAACCGTTTCCCTAAGTGGTTGCCCCGTTTTCCTTTCCGCCAGTGTGTGCAGGCTCCAGGGCCGCCCCATCCTCACTGGCCCCAGCTCCTTTGTGAAGAAGGCTCCTGCAGCTGCTGCATGCCACCTCCACTAGCATCCTATGGTCCAGAAGGTGGTCTTGTGGCCACCCATAGCTGCAAAGGAGGCTGGAAAATAGTCTTTATTCCAGGCAGCTGTGCACACAGCCCAAAAGTATGGGTTCTAGCACTATGGAAAACAGGAAAACAGCTACCCTGGACACCATGAGCGAAGGCTGTGGCCCTCTGTACTTTCTGGATGCTCTCGGGTACCTGGACATTTCCCCTTCTAGATCCACAGAAATGGCCCAGGGCCTCGAACCTGCTGCTGCCTGAATGCTGGGCCCGCCCTTCCCTAGTCCAAGCCCTGCCACTGCTGAATTCTTTACAGGGCTGTCTCTGTCTTCCAGCCTACGTCCTGCCAGTGAAGCTGGAGATGGAGATGGTTATCCAGCAGTACGAGAAGGCCAAGGTCATCCAAGACGAGCAGCTGGAGAGGCTGACGCAGATCTGTCAGGAGCAAGGGGTAATGCACTGCCACTTTCGGCTCTGTCCGTGGTCTTGCTGGGGACACTGGTAGTGCCTAAAGCCATGGGTTGCTAGAGCTGCAGGGGCACCAGAGGTCAGGGAGTTCCTCCAGCCCCTTGTTGGACTCATGGGGAACCTGAAGCCCAGAGAAGGGGACACATCTCCAGGTTCACTGATGTATAGCCCAGCCAGGCATGGACTCAACCCTGACTCCCAGGCCAGGGTTCTTTCCACTGTAGCACGGTGACTCTTCAGCTCCCCAACCTGAGTCTGCCAAGTCGCCCCCTCAGTTCATCAGAGTCTTCTCGGAGACATGGTCGGTCTCTAAAGCCAGTCGCTAATTCTGTCTGCTGAGGGTTGCTGGGCACCATGGTATGCCCATTGCCACGCGGGACGCCCAGGGCCCCAGAAAGATGCTAGCGGTGCTCTCTACCCTCCAGGAGATGTGATGCAGACTCAGAGAGGCAGGTGGTGGGCCCTGCAAGGATGGGCTCAGCAGAGGCAAGGGGGACTGGCAGCTGGGCCAGGGGCACCCTGTCGGGAATCCAGAGACCTGCATTCAAGGCCTAGCCCTGCTGCTCCCACCCCGCCGGACTCCGGCCAAGTTGGGCCACCCCTCTGCCCTCAGTTCCTTCCTCTGTAAGATGAGGTGGCTGCTCCCATGTGAGTGGGACAGAGGAGTTCAGAGGAGGGGGATTGGGGTACTCAGGAGGGGGTGGCTGCTGGATCCCGCAGCAAGGCTGAGAGCTCTGTAGAAGTGCAGCTCGGTGTGCAGGGAAGGGTCCGGTCCCAGGCTGTAAGGTGGGAATGCTACTGAGGGGACTGGCAAGGTGGTGGGAATGTGGGGGATGGTCCAAATGACATGCATGGTCATTCCCATTCTGCCCGATGGATTCTGGGGAGAGGACAGGGCCACTGCCCCCAGCTGCGCAAGCCAGAGACGCTAAGCCTGTGGCTCTCTGTGCCCAGGGCCAGGCGAGTTCTTCACGGGCTGTCTTCCAGCCCATGTCCTGCCAGTGAAAGTGGAGGAATGCCCGTGGCCGCATATTGATGTGGGCACTGAGCCCTTCTGGCTTGCAGTGCGGTGAGGATGGGCACCCCTGGGCTCCCTATTCCTCCCCCATTGCTGGGTGCCCAGGCAGTCTCCAAGGTGGCCTCAGGGTTGAGGTCTCATGTGGCGTACAGGCCTGCTATGTGTCTGCCCGTCCTATCGACCTCCTCTCTCATGTGTCTGGTGCATAAACACCCCGACTGTGCCAAGTGGAGTCACCTGTCATTTTGACAAGCCCTGTGCCATGCCACCTCTTGGGTTTTGGTTGCGCTGTGCCCCTTGCCTGAATCCCCGCCCCTTGCAAGCTCTGTCTGTCTAATTCAAGTCCTAGCCTCTCTACAGAGCATGTTCCCCCCGCCAGTAGCCTCTGCACCTCCTCCCCCAGCCCTGCAGCAGCCCTCACTTGTCCACATTCACAGGGCACTGGGCACTCACTGCCATGGTCAGTGCTCCTTTATGCCTGGGGCAGCTCTTCCCGCTGAAATAGATGCCCCCTGAAGGCAAGCCTTAGTCCAACTCACATCCGGCCCCAGCCAGCACTCCGCGCGTTGTAGGTCTTGGTCAATGTGTGTTCAGTGTATGTCGTGGGTCTTGGTAAATGTGTATTCTGTTGCGGGTCTTGGTAAATGCATATTCACTGTACCTGTTGGCTCCTCGACCAACCCCAGCCTCTCACAGTTTTGGGGTGGGGGACACGTCTGTGGAATGTCACAACAAAGTGATCCTGGGAAATGTCCCCACAGGAACACGCACACAGTGTCTTCAGAATCATCCCCTCGGAATGTCTGTCAGGAAACCAATCTTTTTATCTGCTTTGGGAACACTATGACCTTTTGTTTCGCACAGAATGCCTATGCGTGACAAGAGGGGTCATCAGGGGACATGGCCCTCAGGGGCACGTTGTCCAAGGTGTCCCGAGAGCAGGGCAGGCTATGGAATCCTAGACTAGGAAGAGAAGCATTCCCTTCCTGAGGAGCTGGCATCAGCTTCATTCATTCTCTTGCCATATCGCGTGGTTAGCCAGCACCGTCCAGAGCTGCTCTGTGCTGGGCTTGTGCCGGGCATGTGGATGCCGCCTAGGACAGGGTGTGACCCTCGTCCTCACGGGGCTCTGGGTGACTCAGGGGGTTTGGCAGCCCATAAATAGGCAGTGGAAATCTGGTGCAATGCCTGTATCACATGGGCACGTCCCGGGCTCTGCAGGCCAGGATGGGGAAGGCTTTCCAGAGGAGCTGATGTGGAGCAGAGCCCTGGGGAGAAGGCTGCCAGGCAGAGGGAACAGTGTGGGGTGTGCGAGTGGGTGCAGTGCCCCCGGGGTTCGGGGCCATTTAGAGGGTGAGCAGAGGGAGGCAGTAGGATTGGGGACAGGCTTGGGAAGGGGCTCTGTGGCTGACCAGAGAGTTTGGGCTTTATCCTGCTGGGACAGAGGAAGCCTGGAGGATTAAAAGCAGGACTGGGGGATCTGCTCAGATGTGAGTTGTTGATGGAGCCTTCTGGCTGCCGTTGGAGGCTGGATGGAGAGGGCAGGGTGGAGACAGGAAGACTGGGGACAGAGGCTGGAGAAGAAGGTGAGAGAAGCTGGGCTTTAGGCAGAGGGGGCTGCAGGGAAGTGGGGAAAGTAAAGTGCAGGGTGTCATCCAGAAAGCGACTGGAAGCCGATCAGGCAGTTCTCATTCTGCTGTTGAACAGGAAAACAAATGCTCTACTTCACTGCAGTTGGCAACGTGAAAGACACGGACACAGGGCTGCATCCGCCCCTCATAAATTCGCAGCCTCCCAGCCCAGCAGGGAACGCGCTGACCCTGCCGCACACCTCACCTCAGCCACACATGCGCCACGTGGCCAGGAGAAAATCCTAACGGCAACCCCACCTCCCAGGGTTTCCACCATGACCTCTGTCCGGAGCCCCCCGGGGACCCCAGGTTCCTGCCGTCCTGGTTCAAGTCACCTCCACATGTGGCCTCCTTCCCGGGGGTCTCAGCCGGAGGGAGACTCCCTTGCATTCTGCACAGGAAAGAGCCAATAAATAAAGACAGATTCCCTCTAGGTAGCGACATCTGGAAAAGAGATGAACAGAAACGAACCATTTTAATTTAAAAAACACCTGAAGCCTGTCATCTTAGTTAAGACAGCAGAAAGGGCCAGACAGGCTGGACTCCCAGTGGGGCCACCGGGGAGGGTGGGGGCTGCCTGGCCAGAGGGACCAGGAGGGCAGCTCTCCTGGAGTCTGTGGTGCCCACTCCACAGAGCGAAGCAGACAGATGCCTCACTTGCAGCTGTATTTTCAGACCTGGTTTGAGACTTGACTGGGTAACAGATACCCTGGAGGAAATGAGACTGTGGGCCCTGGAATGTCAGAGATGGCTAGACCCTTGGAGACAGCAGCCCATGGAATGGTTGAGAATAGACTTGGTTCTAAATAGACTTTGAGCTGGCTTCGAACCCAGGTGTGTCTCTCTTTAGAACACTTACTGGCCTTGTGGCTTTGGGCATTAATGGGACATCTATGGGCCTTGGTTTTCCTAATCTGAAAAATGGGTGTAGTAATAGAATCCTCGAAGGATGGTGATGAGATCGTAGCCTAAAGCCTGACACATGATGGGTAGCAACTAATGGGTGTGGACCCCGAAGTCCACCAGCCCCACCACACCTGCCCCACACACCCATTTTACAAATAAGAAAACTGAGCAGTGGCAGCTCGCCTTGGGGGCACACAGCTAGTCCAGGGGGGCATAGAACCAGGTGTCCTAACTGTGAACACTGTTCTTTTCCAGCCCATCACGTTGAGCCTCCTTTTTCCTACTCATGGCACTTAGCACTCAGCAAAAACATTGATCAGATTATGCATGGGGTATTTTATACTGCAGGCACAGACCTGGCTCCCCTCAGCTGTCTCAATGGCAGCCCCCAACCCCGTTCCAGGACAGTCTAGTATTCCTTGTGACAAACTCTTGCTGTCTCCTTGCTGGAATTCTCAGAGTATAATGAAGACATTTCCAAACTGAATTCACATATGCTGCCTGAAAAATTGACATTTACCAATGAAATGTGTTAGGGTCCCAGTTTAAATACAACACCTGGCCTGGCGCGATGGCTCACACCTGTAATCCCAGTGCTCTGGAAGGCTGAGGCAGGAGGACTGCTTGAGGCCAGAAGTTTGAGGCTGCAGTGAGCTGTAATGACACCACTGCACTCCAGCCTGGGCCACAGAGCAAGACTGTCTCTAAAACAAAACAAAACAAAACAAAACAAAACGCTTTTCACTCCCTTGCTCTCTTGCTGGGGTGTGTTTGTACAACTATTTCAACTATTTGCCACAACTTCACCCAGCTCTTTTTAAAAAAATAAACTTTATTTTTTAGAACAGTTTTATATTGACCAAAAAATAGTGAAGCAGGTGCAGAGTTCCCTGTATCCCTTGTGCCTGGCTGCCCATCATTAACATCATACACTAGTATCATTTGTTACAATGAACAAACCCACATTGATACGGTACTCAGGTTTTCTTAGTATTTAATCTGTTATGTCCTCTGTTTGCTCCACGTCGCATTCAGTAGGCTTAGGCTCCTCCTGGCTGTGGCAATTTCTCAGACTTTGTTTCTGATGACCTGAAGGGTTTTGGGGAGCACTGGTCGGGTGTTTTTGTTTTACAGGATGCCCCTCTGTTGGGATTCGTCTGATGTTTTTCCCAGGGTAAGCCTGGGGTTGTGGGTTTTGGGAGGAAGACTGCAGAAGGAAAGTGCCATTCTTATTGTCTCACATCAAGAGGACACACTGGCCACGTGACTTCTCACTGTGATGCGGCCTGGATCACCCGGCTGGGGCAGCGTGGGTCAGGTGTCTCCACTGCACAGTTACTCTCTGTTTCTTCATCTTAAGCTTTTTTTTTTTTTTTTTTTTTTTTGGAACAGAGTCTCACTCTGTCACCCAGGCTGGAGTGTAGTGGCGCCATCTTGGCTCACTGCAACCTCCACCTCCTGGGTTCAAGAGATTCTCCTGCCTCAGCTTCCCGGGTAGCTGGGATTACAGGCACCTGCCACCATGCCCAGCTAATTTTTGTATTTTTAGTAGAGACGGGGTTTCACCATGTTGACCAGGCTGGTCTCAAACTCCTGACCTCAGGTGATCCACCCGCCTCACCCTCCCAAAGTGCTGTGATTACAGGCATGAGCCACCGCACCCAGCCCATCTTAACTTTTTAAGAAAGATTACATTGCTTCTTACCGTGACCCTGTGGAGACTCTCAGGTGAGCCTGTTGGCCAGTTTCTTGCATGAATATCTGATTCATTTCACCTTCTGTGCTACATGGCAGTTCATTTCTTGTCACAGGCCCACATGCAAGGTGCTCCAGAATCACCTTATATAACAGATGAAAGGTCCCTGGGGAGGGCAGCTGGCCCAATCCAGGATTTGGCAGATGGGGCATCTGAGGCTCAGAGAAAGGGAGAGGTGGGCCCAACGTGGCACAGCAGTTATGAGGCCAGGACGAAAACAGGTCTCTTGTTGCTCATTCCAGTGCCTTCCCTCCTGGATCACACTGGCCCTCTGGCTTTGACAGGGAAACAGGCTTCACTGCTTCCCTCATTCCTATGATCTCTTCTGGTTGTGGACACACCTCATGCTTAACAGATTCCTACTTGGGGAGGGGTGCCTAGAGGATCCCGGGAGGGGAGGAGGTCTCTCTGCTGGTCAGTCATACCATTCCAAAGCCCTGGCCATGCCTTCTGCAGTCCCTTCCAGACTCCCCGCTGCTGTGATAGAAGCACATGGCTTCTGACCCCTGAATTCAGCAATTCCTCAATTCCTTAGGTGGAAGTTCTTTTCCATTCTTTTTGTTTGTTTGTTTGTTTTTGGTGAGGGGTGGATCTTGGCCAGAATTTCATGACGAGTTAGGCTCGCTGGTACACAGATGGAGTCCAAAGTCACGATGCTAGAGGCTGCCCTTCAGAGAGACGGTGTGGATGCCTTGTCTCTCTCTCTGTCTTGGCTGCTTCAGAAACCAAAGCCATTTTAGATGCAGCAGTTAAATCAATGCAACGATATACTCTTCTGACTCATCTCACGAAACCACCTCTGAGGTTTTATGTACCTCCATGCGTGGGATCTCGCTCTAGTTCCGAAACACATTCTGAAGTCTCCGTTACACCCGCTCTTTCATGTTTAAGCCTGGTAACAGCTTTTGGTACAAAATAGTATGATCTGACCTGGCCCACTGTGGAAGTTAGTTTCTCTTCTCTGACGTTCTGCTTCCTCAGCACCATTCACCCTGAGATCATTGGCAAAATACTGAGGGATATGAGGCTCAATCCGGGGTGACTCAAGGTCCAGCCTCCAAGGAGACCAGTGGGACCTGTGAGCCCCTTAGGACATCCTTAGACCTTGGGAAAGGTGAGTCCCTTGTCGGGGAGCTTGGAGGAGTGGAAAGAATCCTCTTATTCGGGGAGCCAGCAAGCCAGATTCAAACCTCAGCCCCACCAGTGACCAGTCATCTTCCCTTTAACCCCTGAGCCTCAGCTTCTCATTGGGGAAATTGGAGGTAACAAGGCCTACATCGTGTGGATGCCATATGCATCAAATTAAATCTGGCCTGCTGGAGGCTTTCAGTAAGGGTTAAAAAAAAGAGAGAGGTCGGGTGCGGTGGCTCACACCTGTAATCCTAGCACTTTGGGAGGCCGAGGCGGGCAGATCACGAGGTCAGGAGGTCGAGACCATCCTGGCTAACACGGTGAAACCCCGTCTCTACTAAAAAAAAATATATATAAAAAATTAGCCCGGTGTGGTGGCGGGTGCCTGTGGTCCCAGCTACTCAGGAGGCTGAGGCAGGAGAATGGCATGAACCTGGGAGGCAGAGCTTAAAGTGAGCCGAGATCATGCCACTGCACTCCAGCCTGGGTGACAGAGCGAGACTCAGTCACAAAAAAACAAAACAAAACAAAACAAAAAAAACTACTAAATGTATCTATATGATGGTTGCTCATTCACAAATGCACTGTCATGTTTTAGCTCATTTTTCCTTTGCTGGTGAAAGTTGGCAGGCTGGGTACTATTAATCCCTTCACATGGAAAGACTGAGGCTCAGAGAGGCTATTCTTTGGCCAGATCCTGTAGTTTTTCATGGAGGGACTAGGAAAGAAACCCAGGGCTTCAGTGTCCATTTCCCTGCGCCAGAAAGAGGCATCTGCCTGAGTCACTGATAGTTAGGGTGAGTAACACCAGTTGTTGCATCCAGCAAATCCAGAAATCTGAGTCCTGACACAGGAGGAGTACATTTGTCACTCTCATCATACTCCAATGCAGGTTGCAATGGGGCAGGGTGGAGGGACCCTCTGTTCCACACAAGTCACTCAGGCCTCCAGGCTGCTTCCATTTTGTGGCTTTTTTTTTTTTTTTTTTTTTTTTTTTTTTGAGATGGAGTCTCGCTCTGTGGCCCAGGCTGGAGTGCAGTGACATGATCTCGGCTCACTGCAACCTCTGCCTCCTGGGTTCAAGCGATTCTCCTGCCTCAACCTCCCGAGTAGCTGGGATTACAGGCATGTGTCACCACCCCTGGCTAATTTTTGTATTTTTAGTAGAGATGGGGTTTCACCATGTTGGCCAGGCTGGTCTCGAACTCCTGACCTCAAGTGATCCACCCACCTCGGCCTCCCAAAGTGCAGGGATTACAGGTGGGAGCCACCAAGCCCGGCCGATCCTTCTTCCTCCAAGTCCTCGGAGTCTTCTCCAGTCAGTGGATAGGAAAGTGAGGCTGGGGAATTGGGCACAGCAGGTTTTTATTGGCCAGGACTGAAAATGGTGATATTGCTCTGCCCCCGTTTTATTGGCAAGAGTCAGTTGCACAGTACCAACTAGGGGCACCAGATGCTGTCAGAAGTGGTCTTTGTGCCCAAGAAGAAAACAGTCGCCTGCACAGTCACCCAACCCATAAAACAAGGCCAATGGGCTCACAACATTCCCTACCCTTTCCCCGGTTCCACCACAGCAGGCGGCACAGCCACACTTATCAAAGTCCTTCCTGGGGGAATGCCATGCCTCCCTGGCCTGTTTTCCTGAAGAAACAAGATGATAATCTTGACCCTGCAAGCTGTAGGCATTTCTGATGGAGGAAGATGTGAGGAGAGGAAGCTGTCACGCCCCCCCTCCATCCCCTTCGCTGTCTTTCACGTGGAGGAACCGGAGCAGACGTGGGAGGTGGTGGGTGGTCTGATTGGGAGCCAGGGCCCATCTCCCCATCCAGGCCTCTCGCTGGACCCCATTGTCCCCTGGTTTTCTGGACCCCTGAGAGAATGCCAACGGCTCTGCGTAGGTCACTCGCCTTTGAGGCTGGGCTAGCAGCTCAGAAAAGGGGCCAAAGGGCAGGAATAGCAGGAATAAAGCCGTGGTTCCATGCTGGCTCCAGGGACGGGGCTTGAGGCTGGCTCATTCCAGAGAGCTCCTTCTTTTCCTACAGAGGCCACAAGTTCCCAGCTCAGCACAATAGCCTTTGTTACCTGGATTATTCAGGATCTCCACTGTGGGAAGTGAAATTTTTTTTAAGATGGGAAGTGATTTGTAAAACAGCCGATAGCTTTAATGACAAGCCTATTTAGCTGATAAAATCAGCCATCAGAGGAATAACTTATGTTATCCTTTTGCCATAATTTAAATTTATGGCCAACTACCAGTCATCTTCACAGTGGATGGAAAGGGGCCAAGGTCGATCTCAGCTTTACTCTGCTCCTAAATCATTAGTTTGCAACTGTCTCCTGATTTTTATTGTTACCAACAACGGTGAAACTAATGGAAATAAACATTGGATGCTATCCCAACAGCAGATGGGTTTGAAGGCAGGGCAGCCTGTGCAGACAGCACTAATAGGATGGAGCAGAATTACTGCTATTGCATTAGATACCATCGAGCTTCTGGCCAAAGTGTGCATTGATCAGGACAAGGCCCGTGTCAATTGGACTCCACAACCGGACCATTAAAGGCGGAGAAGCGCTGGGTGTGCCCGTCCTGCCGCCCCGGTGGGTCTGACCCCTCCTGGGCTTGCATTAAAAGCCCGGCCCCGATGGAAGGGGCCTGACTCACTCCAGTAATGCATACTGCGGGCTTCCCTGTGGATCCCAGATGATCTGGGCAGGTTATCTGATTAGAAATACTTAGCTAATGATGTGCACTAAATGGGGCTGTGACTGCACTTTAATTCTTCCCAAGCCTAGGGATGGTCTTTTTTTCCCACCGGGCCCATTTGCCAATGGAAGATTTGCTTCATCGGAGCCACTGTGCACCTTCTTTTCCTAAGGCACAGGCCCGTGTGAGCCCTGGGGAGCCCCGTCCTGTTGTGTTTCTTCCTGTTTTCAGCAGTTTGACTGCAAGGTGCTTCTGTGTGGATTTCTGTGGGGTTTTTTGGTATTTATTCTGCTTAGGAGTTTCTTAAATTTGTGGATTGATGTTTTTTATTAGATTTGGGAAGTTCTTGGCCATGGTTTCTTTATTCATTGCACCTGTCTCATTCGTCTCCTCTTGGAGCTCCAGTTGTACCTGAGGCCATTTGATTATGTCTCACGTTTCTCTTAGATCCTACTCTGCTCCACTATTCATTCTCTCTCTCTCTCCCTGTCTCCTTTTTTAATGGCTGTAAGTTTTGATGTTTTTCTATAGACCTGTCTTCAACAACCCTACTACGTCCAATCTCCTGTTAAACCCATCCAACCAACTACTCAATTTCAGATACTGTATATCAAGATTCTAAAAGTTTGATTTGATTCTTTTTATAGAGTCTAACTCTCTGCTGAAACACTACGCTCATTTTGTCTGTCTTTCTCCCCTATTTTTGTTCACATATTAATTGTAGTTATTTTGAAGTCCTTGTTTGTTCACTCAAATATTTACCCAGGTCAGCTTCTATTAACTGTTTTATGGCTTGATAACCACATGTTTTTCTGCTTACTTGCATGATGAATGATTCTCATGGTGTGCTACACATCATTGATGATGCATTTTAGAGGCTGTGGATTCTGTTATCCTTCTCTGAAGAGATGGTTCTCTGGGAACGGGGCATTTTGGCAGGGAGTAGAGGATGGCCCTCAAGACAGCAGCAAGCCTTAACTGCACTTACACTTCATTCCCTCCAGGTGGGGTCCTGGAGCTGGTACAGAGCTCGTCATTGACTTGGAATTCAGTGAGTCCATTTGCCTTATTGGACACACAGTGAAACCAAGGCCCGGGGAAGAAAAGAGGCTCACCCAAAGTCAGGGCAAGGGAGGGGTGATGGGCCAAGAGCTCAGCCTCCAGCCCCTGCTTTTCCCTCTGGTGACTTTCTGTTCTCCTGGCCCCTGCTACCATCAAGCTGCCCTGGATTCTGTTGGGCTGAGTCACTTCCATCTTGCTTATAAGGCTGCAAGTTCCCTGGCTCAAGGTCTTGGGGGCTAGAAGCCAGGGGCGTGGGCTGTGGCCCCTGCTTTGCTTCTGAAGCACCATGTGGTCCTGGCCTTTCCCCCATCCTCCCTCCCAGCACAGGAGGCTCCTTCCCACCTCCGGGCCTCAGTTCCCCATCTGACTCATGAGGCCCCAATGTCCTAGGGCCCCTGGGAAACACTGTGGAGGCACATGTGGCCATGATAAGCATAGGAGGAGCCAGGAGCCCAGCTCTGAGGGTCCCGCTAGCACCTCCTGAAGTTCCCCTGGGCTGTCCCAGCCTGTGACTGGGCCAACAGCCATTTTGCCCATGTGTGCTTCCCCTCTGAGGAGTCAGTCATTCCTTCTCAGGGCAAGATGGACAGCTTCCAGTCACCCCACACCCTCTGGGTGTGAAGCTTGCCAAAATCTGTCCCCTAAGCAGGTTGTCCTCTCCCTCACCGCCATTCCAGTCCATGCCATGTGCTGATATCGCACCTCCGAGGTAATTCTCTTATCCCTCCTCTTATCTCTCTCTCCACCTTCGTCCCTACCTACTTGTCTCTGGCATGGACTGCTGCAGTAGCCTCCCACCTGGCATTCCTATATCCACTCTGGCCCCATCCAATCTGTTCTCCATTCTGCGGTCAGCATGGTCCTTTCAAAATGCCCATCTGGATCACTGTGTACCACCACTCCCACCACTCCACCCTTCTGTTTGGAGGATTCCAGTGGTTTCTTGTTGTTCTTTAAAACATCTTACTGTGGCTCCAGGCTCTGCCTGGTGGGGCCCCAGCTGAGCTCCCCAGCCCCTTACCTTCTGGCCCTCTGGCCCTTGTACACACTATGCCTCCCCTGCCATAAGTACCAGCCCAGGGCTGTGCTTGGCTCTCGGAGGCGACTTGTTCCCTGCAATGCAGCTGACAGCCCGCCTTGTTGGGGCTATCCAGGTTTTACCTGCAAGCTGAGAAAGGCATTTTCATTCCAAAACCTGTAACAGAAGGTTAACATTGCCCCACCATGGTTTACTTGACTTCCTACTGAATGAATGAATGAATGTGAGAACTGCCACACACTTGGAGTTCATCTCTTTAGCTGAAACTTGCTTCTGTGTATGTGCCTACGTCTGCACATGTGGGCCTGG
This sequence comes from Homo sapiens, assembly GCF_000001405.40. Taxonomy (NCBI): domain Eukaryota; kingdom Metazoa; phylum Chordata; class Mammalia; order Primates; family Hominidae; genus Homo; species Homo sapiens. The sequence continues at coordinate 76,187,248 of NC_000015.10, forward strand.
GGCTGGGCAAGCCCTGACCTCTGGCTGTCTTGGCCTGAATTCCAGCGGGACATTCTTGGGCAGCTCCATATCAATTACAAGCCATCAATAATGCATCCCTTCAGAGCAGCCAGGAAGCCATTAGCTGGCCTGCAGGCCTCGATGAGTGGCCTTGGAGAAAGTGGGCTGGGTGTGCCCATGGGAGGTTCAGATCAGCAGGGCAGGAGGGGCTCCCCCAGCAGAGCTTGGGAGGGTTGCCTTATGGGCCTTCAGTCGCCTCTGAGACCTTGCTGCCAGAGGGTTGGCTTGCACCCTGTCATCCTGCACAAAAAGGCTGCCCTATAATGAGCTAGCCTCGCTTTCTCACTCTGTGAGCCCTCCAGCCACCTTTGAGTGTTTTAAGTGCTGGGTTGTTGAGGTTCAGTGTCTGAGCCCAGTGTGAGCCCAAAGTTAGGGCTGAGTCTGTGACCAGCATCGGGCTCAGTGTGTGATCAGGGTCAGGGCTCATTGCATAGCCAGCATGAGGCCTCAGTCTTTGTCTTAACTTTGGGACAGGGGTGCAGCTCAATTGGTGGTTGGATTTAGGGCCCAGTCTGAAGCCAGGGAGTTGAACAGGCTAACTGGTTTCCTGCATTGATTTGTTCATGTATTCAGCAACGTTTATTGAGTGCTTCTTGCATACCAGGCAACACAACAGATAAGACCCCTGTTGGTTCGCAGATGATATTCTCCTGGGGGTGGAGGGTGGCAGGGGTGTGCTGGAGCTCTCACTTGCTCACGAGAACCCATTGTGCACATTTCCCCCAGGGCGTCTTGTTGGTAGCTTGAAATCAGCCATGCTAGGAGTATGCCTTCCCCCCCCACCCCGCCCCACTGGAACACCACTAGGGGCTGAACAAGAGGTAACTGATAATCCTTTAAAAATGGTGGTTTGTTTTCACGCTGCTAATAAAGACATACCCAAGACTGGGTAATTTATAAAGGAAAGAGGTTTAATTGAGTCACAGTTCTGCATAGCTGGGGAGGCCTCAGGAAACTCACAATCATGGCAGAAGGGGAAGCAAACACGTCCTTCTTCACATGGCAGCAGCAAGGAGAAGTGTCAAGCAAAAGGGGGAAAAGCCCCTTATAAAGCCATCAGATTGAGGCAGGCAGATCATGAGGTCAGGAGTTCGAGACCAGCCTGGCCAACACGGTGAAACCCTGTCTCTACTAAAAATACAAAAATTAGCTGGGCGTGGTGGCACATGCCTGTAGTCCCAGCTACTTGGGAGGCTGAGGCAGGAGAATCACTTGAACCCACGAGACAGAGGTTTCAGTGAGCCGAGATGATGCCATTTACTCCAGCCCGGGTGACGGAGCAAGACTCTGTCTGAAAAACAAACGAACAAACAAAAACTAAACCATCAGATCTTGTGAGAATTCACTCACTATCATGAGAAAGCATGGGAGTAACCACCCCCAAGATTCAATCACCTCCCACTGGGTCCCTCCCACGACAAATGGGGATTATGGGAACTACAATTCGAGATGAGATTTGGGTGGGGACACAGCCAAACCATATCAAGCATGATCACAAATATTTATCTGATTTCCTTCCCCAAACCCCAATGGAATGATAGTAAAGAACAAAATCATAAATGCATAAGAATTAAGAAACTATCTCTTGGACAAGTACAGTGGCTCACACCTGTAATCCTAGCACTTTGGGAGGCTGAGGAAGGTGGAGGATTGCTTGAGTCCAGAAGTTTGAGACCAGTCTGGGCAACATGGCAAGACCCTACAAAATATATCTTGTCCCTACAAAATATAAGAATAAAAAAATTAGCCGGGCATGTGCCTGTCGTCCCAGTTACTCAGGAGGCTGAGGTGGGAGGATCACTTGAACCCATGAGTACAAGGCTGCAGTGAGCTATGATCATGCCACTGCACTTTAGTGTGGCAGACAGAGTAAAACCTTGTCTCAGAAAAGAAAGAAAGAAAAAGACAGAGAAAGAGAAAGGAGAGAGGGAGGAAGGGAAGGAGGGAAGTAAGGAAGGGAGGAAGGGAGGAAGGAAGGGTAGGTCTCTGTCCATCGTGACAATCTTGTCTCAAAAAAAGAAAGAGGGAGCAGAGAAAGAAGGAGGGGAGGGAGGGAGGAAGGAAGGAAGGAAGGAAAGAAGGAGGGAAGGAAGGAAGGCCTCTTTAAGTCTTGTCCATCAGGACAAAGAGGAAAGAGGTTTTAGTGAATTGCGGGGAAATGAAGACTAGACAAGAAAGTGGCAACTGATTGAACAGAGTGGGGCATGTGTCACTAAAGTGCTCACAGAGGAGGACAGTGAGGGAAATGGGGTACTTTTCCCCTCGGAACCCCTGAGAGTCTGGGAGGAAGGGGGTGTAGTGTGAAGCTGACACTGGGTGGGGGTGGCTAAAGGTCTGCATGCATAATATTTGAGATCCCAAGACACCCTCCCAAATCCTGCATGGCCAGGAGACTGAGCTCCCCCACCCTGCAAGAGTCAAGGGGTTTGTCCTTGGGAGAAAATGAACCAGGGGGCTCTGCATGTGGGCACTGGGTTAGGCAGGGACCTGGGGAAAGGTGGAGGGCTGAAAATGAGGATTAAATGAAAATCTTTCCCCCTAAAAGTGGGACCCTCTGCCCTATTCCCCTGCCCTACTCCCAGCACAGAGGCAACCAAAATTATAGCCTCAGGCAGGAAGCTGAAAACCTGCAGTCCCAGAGACCGAACCTATAGACACTGACATTGGGAGGCTGTCCAGTGCCAGGTTGCTGCCTGGCCACCCTGTTGTTGGTGAATGCTTTTAGTTGTATGTGTTTTACGTTCATAAAAGTAAAATCAACAAAATATTAAAATAAATACACAATAATATCAGAAGGTGATAAGTTCAATGCAGAGAATTCAGATAGGCTGATGCAACTGAGTGCCTGGGGGGCTGCCCTAGGTGGTGGGTCAGGGAAGGCCCCTCTGAGGGGGGCCACCGTGTGATCTGGGACAGAGGAAGCAGCTGAGAACGCGGCCCTGAGACCAGCGCATGCTTGGTATCTTTACAGAACCAGAAGAAGGATTGCGTCTTGGGGTCAGGTCACGGGAGAGAGGATGAGACAAGTTGGTCAGGTGGGCAGGGCCAGATGGTGCACGTGCTTTGTAAGCCAAAGCTAAGGAGCTCGGGCTGTCTCCCAGGTGGGGTGGCGAACCATCGAGGTTTATGGACAGGAGTGTCATGATCTGACCTGGGTGTGGGAGAGTCCCCCTGAGTCCTGTTGGAGTGATGGCAGAGGGACACAGAAGCCACGGCTGTAGGGGCCAGAGCTGGCAGTGGAGGTGGAGGGAGGCGGGACAGCTGCTGGACTTGGGGGATGGATGGGATGTTGGGGTGGGGGAAAGGGAGGAAGCAAGGAAGGTGATTGCATTTTTGGCTCCAGCTAAAATGAGATAAAAACACTTGAGGAACAGGTTTGGAGAGACAGTGAGGAGTCCTGCTTTGACCAGATTGATTTTGCAACTCCTGTGAAAGTGATACTGTCGTGGAGGCATTGGCGATGAGAGTCTGACACCCCAGTTTGAGGGGTCAGGGCTGGCGAGGTGCATTTGCGCGGCATTGGTAAGTAGGTGACCTCTTAGGCAGGGCGCCCGGGCGTGGTATTTCTCTGTCCGCCCTCCCGACTCGCTCCGTTTAGAAGCGGTGCGAGGCGTGCGGGGAACACTAGGTGGCGGTGAAGGCTCTCCTTCCCGCGAGCCCGCGGCCGGGACCTGCAGTGTCAGACCTAAACTCCTCGTTGGCCCAGATGTCCCATGAAGGCCTTGGCGCGTGAACAGCCATCTCACCCACAAACCCAAGAGGTATCTGGAAGCCTTTCCAAGAAGCTTTCCCCAACAGAAAGTAAAACAAAATTAAAATGTGTGCAGCTTTTACAAGGCCAGGTTGCTGCCTGGCCACCCTATTGTTCATGAATGCTTTCAGCTGTGAGTGTGCTTTACCTTCGTAAAAGTAAAATCAACAAAACATTAAATACACAATAATATCAGAAGGTGATAAGTGCAATGCAGGAAATTCAAATAGGCTGCCACGCCATCTGGGAGAAAGCCCTTAAGAGGAAGCAACCCAAGTCCTCAAAGAGGTGAAAACCCCATTTTACAGAAAAGGAAACTTAGGCTGGAGAGGTGACGGGACTTGCTCAAGGCCACAGGGCCAGGAAGCCACACGGCTTGGACTGAATCGGTCTGGTCCTGGGTGCCTCCTCGTGGAGAAAACGAGCCAGTGTTCAGACCAGCGGGCAGTGACGCCAGGATGGGGTCCCCCAGGCTGGGACGGGGGCCCTGGGTGTCCTGAGGTTTCCTGTTCTGAAAGAGGCTTTCATGTTGTCGAGCACCCCTTGGGGTCACACATCTGGGCGAAGAGCTAGAACTGAATTTGCACCCAGGGCTCCTGACTCCCCGTCCAGTGGCCTTTCCACAAAGGAAACACGTTGTGTTTCCTCTCCCGGGCATCCGTGAGATGGGGGCCAGACTGCAAGGCACCTGAGACGCAGGATCGCACAGGTTGGAAAAGGCTCCGCAACCGTAAGAAGCTCTTGCGAACCGCGATGCTGGGAGATTCCTAAGGAATCATCCAGCTGCGGGAGGCTCAGCCCAGTCCTCCCCACCCCGCCCCCATGCAGGAGCAAAGCGCCCAGAGGTCAGGCTGGAGGCCCCCGCCGGCCCCTCGCCGCTGATTCAGCCTTGCCCGTCTCCCTCCGCAGTTTGAGATCCGGCAGCTGCGCGCGCACCTGGCGCAGCAGGACCTGGACCTGGCTGCCGAGCGCGAAGCGGCGCTCCAGGCCCCGCACGTGCTCAGCCAGCCGCGCAGCCGCTTCAAAGTGTTGGAGGCCGGCACGTGGGACGAGGAGACGGCGGCCGAGAGCGTCGTGGAGGAGCTGCAGCCCTCGCAAGGTAAGCCCGGGTCTCCACCCGGCCCCAGAGTGTCACGGCCGGGGATCCCCCTCGCCTCCCTCTCGCGCCCCGGGACTGTGCGCAGAGTGGATGGGGTTCCTTTCAGGTGTGTGCCCCTCCTTCACTCGTGATTGGGGGACACGCTCAGATCAGTAGCCTCGGTACTGCCTGTCAGAGCCCAGGAGAGAGCATGTAGTCCAGCCACCGACCCAAACTAGAAATGACTCGTCCCCATTTCATGCCTGTGGCCACTGGCGTGCGTTGTGTGTGGTGTCTTCCCTGTCCTCGCGGTAGCCGGAGGAGGAGGTGTGACTTTTCTGTTGTATGGCTGAAGAAACCGAGACCCAGGAAAGCCGTCCAAAGGCGCATCGCTAATAAGTGGCAGAGCCAGGCTTCCAGACAGAGGTCTGGGGCTTCCTACTGGACTACCACCTACTGGGGCCCAAACAAGTCCAGGCCCGGGGCCACAGTAGCCCAGAGCTTGAGCCTTGCAGACGGTGAGAATTCACGAGACGGTGATGTTGGTGGAGATGGGAACACGAGCGATAGCCCAGGGTAGGGTCCTGTATGGAAGGGAGTTATTTCGAGATTCAAATCCCAACTCTTCTGTCAGCCAGTTATGTGATGGGACTCTCTTGGGGCCTTAGTTTTGCCAGCTGTCAAGTAGGAGCAGTACTGAGGCTTCCTCACAGGGCTGCTGCGAGGCTCAGAGGTTTCGGGAATTGCACGGGGCCACCCAAGCCAGGAAATGGTGGTACTGGGCTGGGAACTCGGGCTGTGGGACCCAAAACCCCAGCTTCATCCAGGAGCCACTCTGCCTTGGCATGCCGTGTCCCCTGCAGGGCAGTGAGGACGCAGCCGGGCAGGCTGAGCAGCTGGGGAGGCAAGAGGCCTGAGCTCCAGCCTCTGCCACTCCTCAGCTCCATGACTGGAGGCTTCAGTGTTCCCTTCTGTAAAATGGACTCTTAACTCCAGCTCTGTCTGCCTCACAGGACTTACGAGGAACCGATGGGTGTGAGAAAGCTCTGAGGGCTGTAAGGCACTGCAACACTGCAAACAGCTTTTGGGAAACGAATGGTTGCTTTTTTTTTGGAGACAGGGTCTCACTCCTGGAGTGCAGTGGTATCATAATAGTTCACTGCCACCTCAGACTCCTGGGCTCAAGTGATCCTCCCACCTCAGCCTCCTGAGTAGCTGGGATCATAGGTGTACACCATCTCACCCAATTAATGTTTTTATTTTTGTAGAGGTGGGGTCTTGCTATGTTGCCCAGGCTGGTCTCAAAGTCTTGGCCTCAAGTGGATCCTCCTGCCTCAGCCATGGAAAGTGCTAGGTTTATAGGCATGAGCCACTGTGTCCAGCCACTCTTTTGAGAGATCTTCAGATCTTAGAAACATAGGATTTGGGGGCTAGAGGGGATTTCTGGGTCCAGCCCTTCAGCTGATGTGAGAATCCCCTCTATAACTCTCTGCCATGAGCCATGCAGCCTCAGCTCGCCCTCCTCTAAGTGCTTCATACCTCCCTGGGGAACCCACCCCACCTCCACATGGCTCTGCCTGTAAGAAGATTCTTCCTCAGACTGCACTGAGGCCTGGTCCCCTGCCCCTGCCTCCCCACCAGCTGTGGGTTTCACGCACAGGCAGTGCCATCCCAGCTGAGACTGTTTAGAGATTGTTTCTCCTCCAGGGACCATCACCTGCATTCCCACAGCCAATCTTCGGGGACGTGCTCTCCAAGTTCTTGATGTACTGCCTCCTCCCAGAGCTCTCCAGCGTTTTGGTCCCTCTCAGAGTAATATCCACAACTGAATGCAATTACTGGGGCGCTGCAAGCCCAGGGCAGAATGTTGAGGTGGCCACTACTGCTTTTTTTTTTCTGGACCCAGGTCCCCACGATGCAGCCAGTAGGCTCCTGAGTTTGTGGGGACCACTTGGCTGAGCTCATAGCTGACCCAGCCTCACGTGCTCCCCACACAGCTCAGCTGAGCCACGTGTCCCAGCAGCCCAGCCTTGGGCAACAGGCTTTTTGTAGCCTCGTGCAGAACTTCACAATCATCAGCGTCCAGCTGTAGCTTGTTTGATTCCTGCCTTTACTCCAGGGCTTGGTAGGTCCTGATTCACAACCCATCGCCAATTCCTGATTAGTTGAAACAGCCCCCTTCTTCATCTTCATCGTTCAGCCTTTGTTATGTCTGGACCTTGCCCAGCTCCCTGCCCTCTGCAGTCTCCCCTCCCCCACCATACCGTGATTGTTCCAAAATCTTTCATGCCACTCCCCGACTTCCACCTTTCCTGGTTCCCTGTGTCCCTCAGGAGAAAGCCCACGCCCCTTAGGCTGGTGGATTAGTTTGCTAGGACTACCATAACAAAATGCCACAGACTGGCTAGCACAAACTAGAGAAGTGTATTGTCTCACAGTGCTGGGGGCTGGAACCTGAGATCAAGGTTGGGCACGGTTGCTTCCCTCTGGGGGCTGGGAGTGAGAATCTGTCCCACGCCTCCCTCTGGCTCCTGGTGGCGGCTGGCAATCCTTGGCATCCATGGCTTACAGTAGCATCACCCTGCTCTGCCTTCATCTGCACATGGCGTCCTCTCTATGCACATGTCTGGGTCTAGATTTCCCTTTTTTATAAGGGCCCCAGTCATATAAGGACCTCATCTTAACTAATGACATCTGCAACCGCTTTCTTTCCAAGTAAGACCACATTCTGAGGTACTAGGGGTTACGGCTTCAACATGTGAATGAAGAGGGGGTACCCATTCAACCCTTAAGAGGGGGCAGGCACATAAGACCCCTGACGATCTTGCCCCGGGCTGCTTCCCCAGCCTTATCTCCTTCCACCCCAGCTTGCCTTTCATTCTAGAGGAATGGAACAACCTTTAGTTCTGTAAATGTTCTGTACGGTTTCTGAGTCTCTGCATGCTGTTCATGGGATGGCCCAACCTGCCTACCAGACTTCTCTTCATGCTTAGAACCCATCTTAGAGTAAGCTCCCAGATCTCCACACCGTTCCCTGGCAACCTTACACCGACTCCCAGGTCCGGATCCTGCCCCACTGCCAGGAGCGTTTATGTGTGTCTCCCCTCTAAACTTACTTCAGGGCCTGCCTCAGTCAGGTCTCCATAGAGTTTGTTGCATTGAATGTAATCTTCAAGCCGGTAACTGATCAAAGAACAAAATAAGGCTGTCTGACATCACTTGTTCTGGTGTGGAGCCCTGCGTCTTCTCTGGGAGCTGAGGCCAGTCAGCAGTAGTCCACCCCAGAAACCCCACTCTTGGCTTTCAGCCTCTAGGCTTGTGCTTGTGGAATCCACCTTCTTATTCTTTTTGAAAGTTCTTCTGGAAGGTGGGAGCAATTTTTGCCCACTTCGCCTGGCTTCCTAAGGATGAAAGGAGCAGATTTACCATCTCAGCCCATTTCAGGATCTTCCTCTGTGACAGCCTCCTGGCTCTGCCCACAGCCCATCTTGAGGCTGCACCTCAACTCACCTGGGGCTTGGGCCTGCCCCGTGTTGTTCTTTCTGCAGGTCTAAGCACTCCCGGTACAGCTGCTCTCCGCAGCACCTCCTCTGTCTCTCTCATCAGGGTCATTGGCTTTAGAGCTAACAGCACAGCCCTTGTTGTCCCTCAGCCAATGACCTATAAGACCCTGAACGCCAGATGCCACATTTGAGCACACAGGGGAGCCAAGATCTGGGCTTGGAGGTTCCACAAAGAAACCAAGCCTTTAAAATACTCCTGCACATTCTAGGAGTGCTCTGAAGCTTTCAGTCCTGCCTGGCCCTCCTGCTCCTCCTCTCTCTGCAGCCCCCATAGTGGGCAACTTCCAGGAGGAGGAGGAGGGAGGCAGGGGCAGAAGGGAGAAAGCAGGTCAGAGTTGAAGGCCACTTGGGGGAAACTGATAGGCTATGTGTCACCAGCAGGATGTCACGGGGTCTGCAGTGTCCCTGCTAACCCTCCTGGAAACTAAGGTAGGGGATATCTGGATAGGGCAGGCCCAGGCCTCCCATAGAGGTGCCAGACACACACCCTGGGAGCAGGTGCAGATGCTTCTCCGTCCAGCCCTGGGATCCCCCTGCCCACTCTTCCCTGCTTCTTCTGGGGTGTCTCCTGGGTACCTCCCGGCTCTGTGGATACTGCCTGCCCCAGCCTAGGCACATTGTTTCACAGCCAGCCCCAGAGCATCAACAGCAAAGCCAGTGCCTCCAAGGCAAAGGGCAGAACACAGGGCTGGCGAGGAACACACATGATTCACAGCCTCGCATGGTCCAGGGACACAGGGCATCCCCCAGCTGATCTCTCCTTGACCAGGAACTGTGTCCAGGGAGGGATTTTCATGACATTAGAAATTATGGCTGGACAAGCTGAGAGCACTGTAGGCTACTCTGGAGATGAAGTAAGGGCAGTGCTTGTTGCTAACTAACTGTGACCTTCAGGCCAGCGAGGCTCTGAGGCCCACCTCATGCACAGGACACAGACAATCCAGGGATTAACCTACAGACATGAGCTGTGAGTCACAGAGCCTCGGGAGGGCCGTGTGTTTTGCAGGGTGGGGGAGGGCAGCCCAGGAGGGCGGGGTGCCAGCCCCAGCCGTGAGGAGGAAGCAGCTCCACAATCTCAACAGTTGCCAGCAGGTCACAGTCAGACAACGCCAAGCAGCTTCTGTTTAGACTTGCTGTAGCACAAATCATTTTTAAAACCTAGGCTGCAGAGTTCCAGGCTTTGGGGCCTGCCAAGTTCACAGTGCCCCTGTGTAGTCATTAATACTTCTCTCCCAAATTTATTAGTCTTGAAGCTCGCCCATAACTTATGAATTACAGCCCCTGGTGGGAGTGCCACGGATTTCACCATATATCACAGGGAACCTTCGCGTCCCCCACGCTGCTGCAGCATCCAGAGACACTGCCGCAGGGGTGCATGCGGCCAGCCTGCTCTGTGCCAGCCTCTGCCAGGCAGCCCCAGGGGAGGGAGCTGAGCTGGCACCAGTGCTTGTCCTTGGAGAGGAGCGGGCCTGGCTGATCATGAAGGCAAGGCTTTCCACTGGCCTCTAAATGTGTGGGCCTGACCGGGACACTGGGGACCCCAGGAACCCCAGGGCTGTAGGACTAGATCTGAAAGAGCCTCAGGCAAAGTAGCATTTGAAGCAACCGGAGGGACATGGGTTTAGAACTGAGGTCTGGGTTTGAATTTCAACTTGACTTTGAACAAGTTACTTCTGTGATCAGGGCTGGCTTCATGGATGCATGACCTGTGTGGTCACACAGGGCCCTAACTTTGGTTCACTGCTCTGCTGTTACCCTCTTGAAATTCTTAATACTTTTAAAACAAGGGACCTAGAAATTATGTAGCTGGTCCTGTCTCAGTCTTAGTGTTTTCAAAATGAAACAGGTGTAGAAGTTCTTCACTGAGAAGGATTGAGCATTTAGTCATATGCACAGCTCTCATCCCTTGTATACAGTAGGCGCTCAGTGAATATTAGTGCCCTCCCTTGGTGAGGGCTGCCAAGCCATGGAAGAGCAAGTTGGAGTTTAGGAGCAGGAGCCCAAACCAGGAATCAGAGCCTTGCCCTGGGCTTTGGGGCCTGGGTCTGCACAGGGCATGTGGTTGGCGCCCCATGCCCCTCTGCCACACCACAGTCCATGCAGCCTGGCCAGTCCCCACCACCTCCAGGAAGCCTGGCCCAGCTGACTCACCACCCTTTCTCTCCACCTCTGCCTCCTTGCTGGGCAGGTCGGGGGCTCCACCCAAGGGGTAAAACCCACATAATGAGCATTGGCACCGCTGCACTTGACGGGCTTTTAGGAGGATTAGTCAGGTTGGGTTTGCAAAGTGCTCACACCCTGGGAAGAAAGGCGCCAGGCAGCAGAGAGCAGCTGCCACAGAAAGCACTGAGACTTTGGAGCCAGGGGTTCAGGGAGGCAAGGGATGGCCCTGGGCTAAACATTCATGATCTCAGGGACTCTTTCCAGTTCACCAGCAGAGTAGGCATTTGCTATCCCCATTTTATGGATGAAGAAGCTGAAGCTCAGAGTGGCTAAGGGATCTACCTAAGGCCACACAGCATGTGCCCTGCAGAGCCGGGTTGGCCCTGGGTCTGTTTTGTTCTGAAGCCTGTGTTTGTGCCCATTCTTTCCTGCCCCTCCACGGACTGCACAGCACAGTCCCTTGGGGGTTCTTCCTGTGTGTCTCTAGGACTCCTCAGGGCTGAATCAAAGCAAACTCCCGGGGGCAGGGGCTTATTCTTAGATGGAAGGTGGGCAGCCCTGTGTGAGGCCAACAGTGTGGCCCATTCCCAGCCATAAACATCTGTGTCTGCCTCCCTTGCCACCCCTTCGCTCCCAGATCCCCCAGTCTCTCTGTAGGAGGAACCAGGGTGGGCAGTGAGACTTCCTACTGAGTGTGTGGTGACTCCATGGCTCCCTGGAGTAGGGGTGGAGGCTGGGAAGTCCCACAGGCCTCTGATCCAACCATAGTCTTCTGTCCAGTCCAGCCTAATGGTACTTGGCATATGCCAAACTCCATGCCAAGCACCAGGGAGACAGTAAAATGTGGCTTCTGCCCTCCAAGGCCCTTGGTCCCCCTCTGTGGGTGAAGACAGAACCGCAGCCCAAGTGTTCAGTTCTGGAAGAAGAGGATCCACCAGCCTGCATGACACAAGACAACAGGCAGGCCCGGCCTCAGCACCATTAGAGAAGTCCAGGCCAGCCTGGCTCTCAGACTCACGCCTTAAAGCTCACTCCAAGGCCCTGTGTGGGTCCAGGTCTGGAGCAGAGGGAGTAGGGACAGGGAGAGCAAGTGCAGACTGAAAAGACCCCTCATGGCCACCTAGGGACCTCGGCTCTGTGTCAGGCACATCCCGGGAGCAAGTAATCTAATTCATTGAACCCACAGGCAGGGCAGGAGTCCAAAGGGTAAACCATGAAGTCCAATCTAGGACTGGTCACAGGGCCAGGGGTCCCTCAACTGGTCACAGACTTGGTGGAAGTCAAAGTTGTTGGTAAGAGAGAGGCACTAAAAAGTGCCAGGGAACCAGTCACCAAGATGGAGGCGGATGGAGAAACCGAGTTCTATTTTGGACATGTTGAGTCAGAGGTAGCTGGAGGCCAGCCAGGAGTTGTCCGGGGACGGTCGGCCAGACCAGTCCGAAGCTCAGGAGGGATGTCTGGGCTGAAGGACTCAACTATGTAGGCAACACAGAGAAAGGAGAACGATCTAATACCTTGATAGACTGAGCCAGGACTCAGGATGTCTCCAGCAGGCTGACCCTCTGGGCTGAGCCCAGCAAGCTGATGTTTGCCCAGGGTGATGAGCCCTCCTTGGGGGTTACAATGAGTACAGGGTGGGGAAGGCCTGGTCTGGCCTCAGCTCCTGCAGAGAAGACCTGGGTGTCCGTGCTGGCCACAAGCTCCACATGAGTTGGCAGAGGAGGGCAGTTTCTGAACACGCTCGGAGGATGTGAGGGTGCATTAGGGCAGTGTGATCACATCGGATCTCGGGGCACTTGGCACAGTCTATTCAATAATCACGGCCTTTTAGCACAGGGGCAGGGAGATCAGTGTGTGAAGTGCGGACCCCTAGGTCTGGAGCTTTGAGAGTAAACACTAGTCCCTCCCTCCCATTCTGGTCACAGCTGGAGCCCATAGTGAAACGTTCAGGGTGGAAAGGCTGGGAAACCAGGGAGGGGTAGAGAATGCACAGGGGCTTTCCAAGGAAAGGAGACTTCCCAGGAGGGATGTGAGGGGCTTTTTAGGTGGTGGAAGGGCTGTCATGTAGACCGTGAGTAGAAATGGGCTTGTCCTTGGTACCTGTGTGGAGGGCAGGACCAGGACCTGTAAGCCTCACACATAGTAGGCCTTCCTGATTAAATGCTAATGGGCCGTTTGACCAGGAGTTGACGTCCCTGGAAGGCCCCGACTGTGCTCCCCGCAGACAGGGACTCCTGGGCTCAATACATGGCAGAGGGTGGGCTCACTGTGACTCCACTGAGCACAGATGAATGAGAAGCTGCCCAGGAGCTGATGACCAGAGCTGCTCCACTTCCTTAGAGGTGTGCAGGCTGTGGTGGAGACAGCCCTCTCAGGCCGGTATCCAGGGGACTCCTGTACTGGGGACTGGCCAAGATGCCTCCAGTCCCTTCGCACTCCGCTGTGACTCTGTCACCTCTTGGAACTTCAGAACCATCTGCCTGGCCCCATCACAATCTGAAAGAGCCTCGCCAGCGCCATCGGGGTACAGATGAAGAAACTGAGGCCCAGAGAGGGGATGGGACCTGCTTGAGCCCCCATGGCAGGCCAGTGGCAGCACAAGGACAACTCAGCATCTGGGATTTTCTCATTTACCCTGGCCTCCTCCTGCAAGTGGCTCTTGGGTTAAGGTTTCGCTGCTCTGTGGATACTTTAGCTGAGCTCATTGTCCTACTCACATCACATGGCCCTCTGGAGTCCCTGCGGGTGTGGTCTCAGGATAAAACCAAGATTGACCAGATCCCCCAACCTGGCCCACAGGGCCTGGGGGTCCTGAGCCTCCAGCTTGCAGGGATCAGTTACCCCTGGCTTCCCAGGGCAGCAGCCAGGCTAGACAGCATTGGCAGTACACACAGCGTATGGATGCCCAGCTGCAAGAAGAGTGTAGCTGGCTGATGAGGAGCAGGGCCTGGAGCCAGCCCGGGGCCCTCCCTCAACCCCAGCGTTAGTGCAAAACACACCTCTGACTGCAGGCATTTAAAGATCAAAAGAGGCCAGAAAAGCTTTTAAGAGCCAGGCCCTTCTGTGCTGCCTCCAGCCTCCCAGGGTCAGGGCAGACTGGCTTCTGCAGCTCACAGGTGTGCCTGGGAGGGGCCCTCAGAACACAGTGGGTCTGCTGACCCCATTCTTCAGAGAAGCTCCTGGGGGTGCAGACTCGGACTCTAGGGGCAGCCCTGGAGCACTTCCAGACTTCCACGGGGGAGGGAGGACAGCCCTCAGCCCTCCCATGCTGAGGGCTTTCTGGTGTCTGACCCCACCCTGGGCATTGCAGTCTCTGGTCTTCCTGCCACAGCCTCTCCCAATCACACCTGACCAAGTTCAGACCATCCTGTGGCCCCTCACTGCCTCGCTGCCCTTGGAACAAGGCCCAGCTCTTAGGATGGCTTTTGGGGTCTTCCAGCACCTGGCTTTCCTCCCACTCTCAGGCCACTCTGAAAATCTCAACTCTCCTCCCATTCCCTCCCTGCTCCTCTCAGGAGGTGAACCAAGATTCCTTATTATTTATTTGGAGACAGGGTCTCACTCTGTCACCCAGGCTGGAGTGCAGTGGTGTGATCACAGCTCACGGCAGCCTCAACCAATCCTCCCACCTCAGCCTCCCTAGTAGTTGGGACCACAGGTGTGCATCATCACGCCCAGCTAATTTTTAAAAGACCCTGTTCCCACCCCCCTTGACATGAGCTTTTCACCTCCCTTTCTGTTATTTGCTCAGTAATTATGTACTGAGTACCTACTGTGTGCAGGAACAGTGCAGGTGGTGGAGATCCCCAGCACCCCACCTCCCCAGGTCTGTTCCTATACTGCATGGAAGGCTGGAGCCCACAGGTGGATCGAGCCACGGGGGGCTATCTGGATGGCACCTCAGCCCTGTGGCTGGCTGTGTCCTGCAAATGGGATTTCAGGGCTTCTTTACCAAGGGCAGTGTTTCCAGTGCCCTTGAGAAGTTTAGGCAATGAAGGCTCAGGCCATCCAGACAAGGAAAAGCCCTGATAAATTATTTCCACACCCCTCATCTCAGAGATGGGGAAACTGGGGACAGAGGGGAAGGGGTCTGTCCAGGTCAGTACTAAGGCAGATGCTTCATCAGAACCTGGGTCCCCCAGCACCCAGTGCAGTCCAGCCCCTGGGGCAGGTGAGACAGGTGGTCCCCATGGAGAACTAAGAGGCAGCTCCCGTCACACACACCAAGGGCTTCTGTGAGACAGCTGCCTTCTCTTGTGACCGTGGGGGTGGGGACAGGAGTATAAGGGGTAGAGAATGAACTTGATGCACTCACCCTTCTCTGTCCCCACCTCTGTAGAAGCCACGATGAAGGACGACATGAACAGCTACATCAGTCAGTATTACAATGGGCCCAGCAGTGGTAAGTCTGGGTTGGGGCTGTTCTACATGTGCCACAACCCCAGCAATCCCTAAACCCAGAGACAACTCGGCCTGGCTTCAAAGCATGCCCATCACCTGGTGCCTGTGAACCATAACTGCAGGCAGTGCTCAAGGTTAAAATATCGGAGCTTCAGCTTCCAGCAAACTCCAGCACTGGAGCTGGGGGTCCCCAGGGGCTGAGCCTGCAGGTGCCAGGATAGGGGTGCTCTGTGATCACCCATAAGAACTGCATGTGGAACCCTGAAATTGGAAGGGGGTTGGAATCCAGAACTCCAAGTGACCTCAGTGCCCACCTGCACACATGTCAAGGTGGGCACAGTGGAGGCTGAGGTGCCATAGCACCCCTGGGTGTGAGAAGCAGCAGGCCTTGGGTACATTCCTGCTGGATGTTCTTGCACTTGAAAAAAACCTCAGGGAAGCCTAGTGGTTTTTACTTATGGGAAAAATTGAATTTTAAAATAACGCTGAGGCCTTGGGTGTCTCGTTTCTCCATAGCCCCCTTTCCAGTTCCGGGTTCCACATGCAGTTCTTGAGTTTGAATTTCGCAGCCCCCAAAACCTTGTATGCTCCATTGTAAGGCTAGAATATTATGTTGGGCCATGTGAGTAATGCATTTGAATTTTTTGTTTTCCACAATTTAGTCTCCCTAAGGCCTCATCCCTCTTCTCTCCTCCCTCAAAGCCTCATCCAATATGCTGGTTTCAAAGACCACCGTCTCCAGCCCAGACCTCTCTCCCAGTCCTCCACAACTTTGGGGAGAAACCTCCCCACCCTGCACCCTCTGTAGGTCAGCCCCGTGGTACATCTCACCTAGAGCAAAGAGCTCTGAGCATCCTCTGATCCTGTGATGCATGCTAAGCAGGCTCTGATCATCCCACCCCGCAGCCCCCACCCCTGCCAGTCCATCTGAAACTGAGTCATTCCTCAGACCATGGAACCCAAGTTCCCTGCCCTGGCACACCAAGTTTCCTGAGTTAGGATGGGCTAGGTTAGGCAGCTGTGGCAAATAACCCTGCATCTCGATGGTTTAAACAAACAAAGCCACAAAAGCCCACTGTAGGTTGGCTGGGGGCTCTGCTCCTGGGTCATCACTGTTACTCCAGCACCCAGTTGACAGAACAGTCACCATCTATCCTAGAACATTTGCCAGGGTAAAGCACCAGCTCATAAAGCTTCTGCCCAGAAGTGCCACAGGTCACTTCTCATGGGTAACTGGCCAAAGCGTGTCACACGCCTACACTTGAGTTTAACAAGATGAGGCATAATACCCCTCAAAGCAGGGCAGTGATGTTGGAGAACTGGGAGGGAGTTCTACCAAGGCCTCCTTCCACAAAGGCACGGTCTCCTACAGCCTAGCCACACTCATTGCCCACCGCCCGGCTCAGACCTGCTCTCTTCAGGGCCCCCAGGTGTGGCAGAGGTTGAAGTGTGACCAAGATCCCCTCCTACCTTGCAGACAGCGGTGTCCCAGAGCCAGCTGTGTGTATGGTCACCACGGCCGCAATAGACATTCACCAGCCCAACATCTCCTCGGACCTCTTCTCTCTGGACATGCCCCTCAAACTCGGCGGTAATGGCACCAGCGCCACCTCGGAGAGTGCCTCCCGCAGCTCAGTCACCCGGGCCCAGAGTGACAGCAGCCAGACGCTGGGCTCCTCCATGGACTGCAGCACTGCCCGCGAGGAGCCGTCCTCTGAGCCCGGCCCTTCTCCCCCGCCGCTGCCATCCCAGCAGCAGGTGGAGGAGGCCACAGTCCAGGACCTGCTGTCCTCCCTGTCGGAGGACCCCTGCCCTTCCCAGAAGGCCTTGGACCCAGCCCCCCTCGCCCGGCCCAGCCCAGCGGGCTCGGCCCAAACCAGCCCCGAGCTGGAACACAGGGTAAGTCTGTTCAACCAGAAGAACCAGGAGGGCTTCACTGTCTTTCAGATCAGGCCTGTCATCCACTTCCAGCCCACTGTGCCCATGCTGGAGGACAAGTTCAGATCTTTGGAATCCAAAGAGCAAAAGCTGCACAGGGTCCCTGAGGCCTAGAGCCTGCCATGGGCTGGGTGAGATGAGGGGAGACAGCCATCTCAAAGCTCTCCTGGGACCCTGGAGGCTGCCAAGGGCCACACGCGGGGCCCAGGAGCCCACCTGGCCTCCCTCAGGGTGCTGCCTGCCTCCAGGGAGGCGACGCCAGGCCAGGAGGCCACAAGCTTCAGACCTCAAAGCCCAGAGCTGGCGCCTCTTCTCGCCCTGCTCAGGGGAGGGTGGTGCTCGTGGCTGGGTTTTCTTTTTAACCATTTTTACAAAAACCAGCCTGTGGCCCAGCTTCAGCAGGGTAGAGTGTGGGGGGGCCAGCTCAGCCTCTTGCGTTGCCTTCGTTCCTGACGCCCACCCTGGACTCTAGGGAACAGCACTGTGAGCAGGGGCTGTCCAGCCCCACCCCTAAGCCGTCTTTCCCAGGAATCCTGGGTGGAGTCCAACACAATCACACGGAGACCACCATCTGAGCCTATGTCATTTGTCCTCATTCTCATTCCAGCATGAGCGTTTCTGAGTCTCTTCAAGACGAATCTAGTTTTCACCTTCACAGGATATAAAGGGATCAACCTAGAGGTGGGTGGGAGGGTCCTAGAGGGCAGGGGAACAACCATTTTCCAACCTTGGCTTTAATAATAAAAACCAGCTGCACTGAGACTCCCAGTTGGTGGAGGTTTTCCTTTGATTGCTAGCCCAGGTGAGGTGTCCAGAGTGGTTCCCAGCCAGGGCACCACCATCCACCCAGTTTCAGATACACATGGCATCCCAGGCTCCCTCCTCGTCCCGTGAGCAGTCGTGAATCCTGGTCATTCCACCCTCCAAATTGCTTGTCCCTGGCTCCCATCACGGCCGTGCTGAGACCCAGGCCCCTTGCCGGACTGGACTGCAGCAGCCTCCTCTTTGCACAGCCTCTGGTTTCACCCTCCCCAGTGTATCTTCCCAGGCAGCTAAGCCTCAGCGCCCCTGCTTAAAAGCCTCCAAGGGATTTTGTGTGTATAACCATCATGTGTGTATGACCATCATGTTTTCTTTTATATGCGGAGGGGAGTAGAGAAGACATAATTTTTTTTTTTTTTTTTTGAGACGCAGTCTTGCTCTGTTGCCCAGGCTGGAGTGCAGTGGTGCGATCTCGGTTCATTGCAAACTCCACCTCCCGGCTTCATTGCCATTCTCCTGCCTCAGCCTCCTGAGTAGCTGGGACTACAGGCACCTGCCACCACACCTGGCTAATTTTTTGTATTTGTAGTAGAGACGGGGTTTCACCGTGTTAGCCAGGATGGTCTCGATCTCCTGACCTCGTGATCCGCCCGCCTCAGCCTCCCAAAGTGCTGGGATTACAGGTGTGAGCCACTGCGCCCGGCAAGAAGACATAATTTTTTTTAAGGGCTCCCATTGCCTCAAGAGAACATTGAGTGTGACTCAGCCCCTTCGTGAGCTGGCTTGCTTGCCCCTCTGGCTGTCCTCCCATGCCTCTGTCCAGCCTGTTCTTTCTCCCCTCTACCTTGGTCTGGGTTATGCTCACCGTGACAGTGTCCTGCCTGTCCTCACCACTAGGCTGGGTGTCCTTGGAGCTCCTGTGGCCCCCCTGGACTCACCTGACAGTGCACCATGTCCCTGGCTTGGTCAGCATCTGCTTCCCTGCCTGCCTCCCAGGCTGGTCCTCAAGAACAACGAGCAGGCCTGAGCCCCATTAGAATCCCACAGGCCTGGGCATGGAGCCACTTGGGAAAGATGGCTGAATTGGAAGAAAGGGAAGGAAATTACCACGTGCTGGCAAAGAGCACCCTCCTGATTCATGGGGTGATGAACAGTTGTTAAAAAAGTGCTAAAGGTGGCAACATCCAACTGAGTCACTCTTGCGGTGTAATTAGAAGACCTACCAAGGGGAAGCTTTTGCAAAGGGCAAGAGTGGCTAACCTGAGGCGTCACCAGCAGCACTGCCATAGCATCCATCACTGGACACTGGGCCAAGGCCCCTACTCACATGGGCTCCTTTAACCCTTCCAGCGACACTGTGAGGCAGGTATCACTAACCCCATTTTACAGTTGAAGAACCTGAGGCTCAGAGAGATTGAAGAAACTTTCTGAGGTTGAACTCTAATGACAGGCCCTGAAACTGGGGCCCAAGTCTGCTGGCACCATGCCAGGCCCTGGGGTTCCCAGAGTTTAGAGCTTTGGGAAGCAAAGCAGTCACTTGGCTTTTGCCACTTGATGGGCTGGAGGGTATTACATGGTTTGTAATCTGTAGGGCAGAAGCCAGTGGGCTCCTTAACTGGTGATCTCCACCCAGTGGACTAGAAATGGCCACCCTCCTCCTCCAGGCTCACCTTGCTGAGCTGTGACTGGCCTTCTGCAGAGCTCCATTGTACCAGCTCTTGGGCTAGTGCTGCTACCTCACAGGCACATGAACCTGGCCCCATGCCAGGGGGAGCTGCAAGGCCGACTGCCAAGGCTGACTGCCAGCACTCGCGTCCGCTGGGGACTCCTACTCCAGGGAAGAACCACAGGATGGGGAGGGATGCCATGGGAAGGATGCTAGGCAAGTGGCAGCTGTTCTCTTCAGTTTGTCCTCTAGGAAATGGGTCTCTAGAGAGCTCCACTTTTTTTTTTCTTTTGTTGTTTGTTGTGTTTTGTTTTGTAGGCACTCCACCTTTTTTTTTTTTTTTTTTTTTTGAGACAAAGTCTCACTGTCGCCCAGGCTGGAGTGCAGTGGTGTGATCTCGGCTCACTGTAACCTCCACCTCCCAGGTTCAAGCGATTCTCCTGCCTCAGCCTCCCAAGTAGCTGGGATTACAGGCGAGCACCACCATGGCCAGCTAATTTTTCTATTTTTAGTAGAGACGGAGTTTCACCATGTTGGCCAGGCTGGTCTCGAACTCCTGACCTCAGGTGATCCACCTGCCTTGGCCTCCCAAAATGCTGGGATTACAAGTGTGAGCCACCGTGCCCAGCCATTTTTTTTTTTTTTGAGACAGGGTCTTGCTCTGTTGCCCAGGCTACAATGCAGTGGCGTAATCATGGCTCATGCATCCTCACCCTCCCAGGCTCAGATGATCCTCCCATCTCAGCCTCCCAAGTAGCTAGGACTACAGGTGCACGTTGCCATGCCTGGCTAAATTTTGTGTTTTTTGTAGAGATGGGGTCTTGCCAAGCTGCCTAGGCTGGTCTGGAACTCCTGGGCTCAAATGATCTGCCCACTTCAGTCTCCCAAAGTGTTGGGATTACAGGCATGAGCCACTGGGCCCGGCCAGAACTCCACATTTAAAAGCGGATTTCTTGGGGTATTTACAAGTTGCTGTAAGGTGAGACCCTGCTGAGCACTTGTTGTTGCCTTCATGTTGTGTTGGAACTGCCTCACAGATAGAGGCTGGGGACAGAGATAACAGGTGGTCCCCAAGTCCAGAGTCCACAACAGTCACAGCGTAAGACAGTACACACAGATGAAGGAAGCTACTTACTTGCCTGGGGACATCTGAAGGCCTCACAATGGAGGAAACATTTAAAGGCGATTTTAAAAGAGTAAGTATACCAAATCAACTCTTCTGTTTGTCGTGGAAGAGGAGAGCTGTTTTTAGGGGTAGTTTCAACGCTGAGCTACAAAACTGGCCCACTTCCAGAGAATGTGAGCAGGGAATTTTTGATTATCTCCCTGACATGAAGTCAGTTGTTAAACCACTTAAAGGGGAAAAAAAGGAAGGAATGTCAGGAGGAGGGTGGTGGGACAACAGTGCAAGCAGAGGAACAGCAGTGAGCTAGGCAGGGTTTGGGAACAGGGAGAAGTTTGGTGTCAGGAAGAGGATGGAATGGGTAGGAGGGGGAAGGGACCACATGAGAGCAACCTGGAAAAGGACAGGTGAGGCTGCTCACCAGAGGCCTTGGATGCCAGGCCAAGCCAGATGTTCTCCCTAGAGATAAAGCGCTATGGAAGGGCTACCACAGAGTCTTCTGGTAGTTGCAGAGGAGCAGCCAGAGGGAGGGGCCCGTGCCCAGAGGAGAGGGAACAAGGCTGCACATGGGCAGGCAAGATGAAGGCAGCGGTGGTGGAGGAGACGCTGGGGACACCTGACTGATGGGACTTGGGGGAACTGATGAGGAGGAGATGCCACCATTTCCAGTCTGTGGTGTCTGAGCATGAGACATCAGGATGGCTGTGCCTGGCACCAAGAGCACAGAGAAGGATGCCAGAGCCAGGAACATGGCAGTCCTTTCTGCAGACTCCAGAGCCCTTCCTCCAGCCCATCCCACAGCAAGTCCTAGGGTGGGGCCTGGGGGCCTGAAGTGCAGGAGATGGAGGTAAAAGCTTCGCCTTTCATGGCTCCCCTGGGCACCATATCCTACAGTTATGGCTGGCGGGCAGCTGGGGGCTGAGGGAGATGGAGCCTGAGCACTCCCTGGGAGGTTTGCAGCTCTGGGAAATGGCTCCCCGTTCTCCTGCACCCTTTTGGAGAACCCACTCTGGTGGCCCAGAGGAGTCATCGGGCTGTCCCTGAAGGGAGGGTCTGGTAACAGCCACTGTCTCCTGCTAGAACAAGAGGGTGGTAACAATAGTGACTCCCACGTCTGCATTTCCTGTTGTGACAGGTGCTCTTCACAGGCTTCCCTCCTTAGCACAGCCCTGGAAAGTGGGCGCTATCTTCCCTGCTTTACAGAGGAGAAAACAGCAGCCATGGAATGACTCATTCAGGGGCTTGCCCAAGGGCACACAGCTAACTAGTGAGCTGTAGTGGCAGGATTCAAACCCAGGTCTGGCTGGATTATATGCCATGCTAGATGTGAAATGAGCTGTCCAGAATCAAACCAGGTGCCACCAGGAAAGCCAAAGTAAGAAATCAGGACTCAGAGCCAGCAGTGCTGGTGACTGGCCCACCAGGGAGCTGGGCCAGAGTCTGCAGCCCCAGCCTGAAGCCCACCCAGGATGAGGGAACCATAAGGCCTTCCCTGAGTGGCACAACAGGCCCCTCTCCAGCCAGCCCTGGGCAAGGTTCCCAACCAAAGTGTGGCTTTTCAGATCAAGTCCCACAGACAGGAGTGTTGGGATGGAACCTGTGTGGCTAGAGGCTAGTGGCTTGGAATTCTATTTAGCATGGTGGGTGTCCACCTGAAATTCAACTCAGGAGCTCCTTTCTCCTTCCAAGACAGCTCTTGACGGAAGCCAGAGTCAAAAGAGCATGGCTTCCGCCTTGGTGCTGCCGCCACGCTCCTCCCTGGTGCTATTCAGTTACCTCTAAAGAGAGAAGACAGAGTTGGGGTCCCACTCTTGGAGCTGCTGACAAATTATCTGGGCCCAAGGAATCCCTCTTACTAACAAGCTGACAGTACCCTGTGCCCCACTCAACACCTGTGTGGAGTTGCTTCACAAGGACCCCCAACAACTCTGGGGGCTGAAACAGCCAAACCATGGACATCTCAGGGCTGGAGAGAGGTCTGTTCATCCCACTCTCTCCCATGCCTCCTACCTCAGGTGCCACTGTACCTATGCACGGGATGTGGCAGAGACTGGATTCTCAGCCCAGCCCTGTTTCTGGTTTGCTATGAGGCTCCAAGCAAATCCTTAGACCTGCTTCCTCCCCATGTACAACAGGAATGATCTTGTGCCTCCCACCCTGAAGGCTGCTGGGATAGCTAATGATGTAACAGAAGGGAAAACCCTTTGAGAATGTTTCAGGGGAGACACAAACAGAAAGCATCCTTATTAATGAGAAGCCTGGGGTGTTTTACTGCCAGCACATGCTCAGCACTTTTGGGGTCAGCTGCCCAGGAGACGCTCTTGCTGCTGCTGATAGTCTGGTGTGGGAGGGTGGCAGTGAGCCCCGCCCCTAGTCATAACAGCCAGTCCAGCCACTGCCTGCTCCTCTCCTGAGTGCATCCCTGCTCGCACATACTCATTTGTTCCATGCCTGTATTCACTCTGAGTGAGGTAAGAGAGCACTGTTATCCCCCAGACAGGAGGCACCTTATCTTCCTTCCTCTCCCTTTGGTCAGTACTATTGGAGTACTACTGGAGTACTTGCCAAAAACTTGTATTTCCCTCACATTAACTAAGTGAGGAATTCATCACTATTCTGAATATCTTTGACTCCACTGCTGAAAAGTTTGGTATTATCTCCTGGTGAATAGTTAATTATCCAAGGAAAATGATGAAACATTTGCTGCTAAAATTTATTGCAAGCTACCAGGAGACAGGGCTGGCATAATTTTATGCAGAGCCCCAGGCTGCAACATAGGGAAGCAGGCTGCCTCTTCATCCTGAAACAAGCAAATGAAATTGACTACCCTGGAGATCAATCAGGACATTAAACACTGTGATGGATGTGGCAGAATTCTTCAGTGTCTGAGATTTATGGGTCACCCTTCACCGAGCACTCTAGGAACCTCCCCAACATCAATTAGGCCTCATAACTAGGTATGCTCACCTCCGCCTCCACTGATTAAAGAAGCGATAGGGGGTTCTGGGACCTGCACCGTGCTAAATACCACAAAAGGCCAATGAGCAGACTGGATCCAGATTGCAGTACAAAGACCCCTGCTTCCCTGAGCAAAGAGTGGTTCAGAATGGAGGAGTGTCCGGCTAGAAGGGGACTCATGCATCAGAGTCTAGACCTTGCATTTTCCAGAGAAAGCAGCTCAGTGTGTCATGTTCCTGGGTAATCCTGTTCTTTGTCCATGCTGGCCTTCTGCCTGGAATGCACTTCTTCATCTGGTTGATTTTGCTGCCCCTTCTGAACTTGGTGAGGCCTTCATATCTTGCTGCCCTGCACTGCAGCCCACCCTAGTCAGGCTAGATTAGGTCCATCCTCTGCACTCCCATTGAGGCACTTGGGATATGGCATGTGGTTGGGAGCAGACTGGCCTGTGGTCACCATTTACTAGCCATGCGTCCTTGGGCAAGTGTTTTAAGCTCTGTAGGCTTTAGTTTTCTCATCTGAAGAAGAGTTGCTGATAATCCTTGGCTTATATAGCACTTTCATGTATGTCACCCCATCAGTGGGGGAAAGAGTAGGAAACATTCAAGAAATCAGAATCTCAGGAGAAGAGGCAGTTTGCCCCAGGTCAAACCTACACCTTGTGAGGTTATGAGACGTAAATGAGATAACGTATGTAAAGGGCTCAGCACAGCATCTTGGGCATAAGAAGCCCTCAAAAACAGTATTCACTGTCTCCATCTACTCACCTCGTATGACACCCACCAATACACTCATAGGTTAAAGCTTGTTATCTAGAAAGATCACCTAGTTCACATCGCCATTTTACAGATGATTAAAATGAAACCTGAAAGGAGGGAAGGTGACCAGGGTGCCTCTGGGGCAGTAACAGGAACAGGATGAGAACCCAAGGCTCCTGTTGACCAGTCCACCCAGTGGTCTCCAGGTCCCAGACCCAAATGTCCCCTATGCAGCCCACGCTGGGAAGGAAACACAGCTGGAGGTGAGCACACAAAAAGAAAGCACTCACCTGTCTTTAACCACATGCCCAGTTAGTTGCAGGAGATGAAGAAGGCAAAGGCCACGCAGATAAAGCCACCCCAGGGCCTCCCTCTCACCAGTCCCAATGCCACAGGAAGTAAATGCCAGCTTACTTCACAGAAAATCCCTAATTCCATCGGTGTTCCTTGCTTCTAATGGCAAGCCTGCTGTTTTGAAGCAATGCAAACCAGAGGATATAGTCCTGGAGAGAATGGGAGGACCACAGTCTAGTGGACAGGCCAAGTTTTCCAGACCTGGAGTCCAGTTCAGGTCCCACATCTCACCAACTGCCTCTGGTCATCTCTATGCTCATTTCTTCATCCAGAAGGTAGGCGTAATGATATACACTTTAGAGGAGCCTGTATTAGAAGGGTATATAATGTACCCAACACACAGGGAGTTCTTAATAAGTAGTATTTGTCCAAAGTTCTGTTTGTGTTCCAGTTCTATCACATGTGTTGTGACCTGGGGCAAACTGCCTCCTCTCCTGAGAGTCTGATTTCTTGCATGTTTTCTACTCTTTCCCCAACTGATGGGGTGACATACATGAAAGTGCTTTATAAGCCAAGGATTAAAAGCAACTCTTCCTTCATTTGCTCCCCACAAAGATTTTTTAAAAACACCAGAGCTGTAAGAAATTATGGCAGTGTATCATCCTACATGGACTTTTCACAAGGTTATCAGTCAAGCCTCCTTTAGCTCAGCAACAGCTAACCAAATCCATCTGCTACATTCAATGGTGTTCTCTGGGTTTCCCAGCCTCTTCAGCCCACTTTTATGTAAACTCAAACAAAAACCCTTAGTGAAAGACAGCGTGAAATGCAATCAGGCTGACCCTCCCTTTCAGAAAGAGAGCAGAAAGTGCACCTAGGGCTGGGGTTTCCAGCCCTCCAGCCCAGCAGACATGCTCAGGCTCTGGAGGCAGCAGGGCTCCCACTGCTATCCTGGGAGGAAGAGCCCTGCCCTCTGCCAGCCTTGCCCACAGCACTGGACCCATTTTCACAATCTCCAGGAGCCCATCCCCAGCCAAATCCATCTGGAGCCAGAGGATTCAGCCCCTAATGGCTTCCATCTTCTCCTCCCTCCCTCTGTCCTGCATACACCACCAAGTTATAGGCCTTCCTCAAAAACTATAAATGGCTCCCTGTTGCCAGCGGTGTTTCTTAAGACTTGTTCAGGTGGCACAGTAGTAAGTCATACAGTTTTTATGGGACATTCTTAATATACTGACATATCTAATTCTAACAAACAAGGAACAATTACCAACTAGCAGAAAGTATTTTAAATATTCAACAAAATCCCTGATATGTCCCAAGACAAAAACAAAAGCTGTGGTGGGTCAGTGGCTGCTGCTCTTTGTTCAGATCCACTTGCTACTGTCCAGTCACCTTGGAATCTGCTCACATTCTTAAGAAGACAAGGGGTAGCAGCTACCAAAGGTTTAGAAAGAAGTATGCAAGAAAGACTTAAGACTGGGAAACTGCTGTTGATAAATTTTTCCTGCAAATCAGGAAAAGTCCTGTATGGTATAACTTTCACAGTACCATCACTGGTCCAGTGGAAATGGCAGTGTTCCTTGAGGGCAAAGTCTGAGAACCATTGATCTCTAAGGAAAAAGGCCTCCTCAGCCTGTGAGTCAATGTCCTCTCCAATCTGGCCTCAACTACCTACCACCCTCACTCCTCTCCCTGACCCCAGTGTTTCTGCCCCTCACTGCCTCATGCACCTGAGCTCTGATATCATTTTCCACTTCTGCTCCCCTGCCTGCGAGGAATGGCCATGCCAGCCTCCTGATGAGCCTTCTCTGTATATGCTGTCCATCCTGAGACCTGCTTTCTGCTTTTACTGATGTCTCATCTCATCTTTCCTGGTAGCTGTAAAATCCTTCAGGGCGGGGGCTGTGGCTCCAACAGCCTGTACTCTCAGAGTCTGGAAGGATACCGTCCCTCCCTGTCAAGACCACAAGCTACTTCGGGGCAATGGCTGGACCACACACTTTTCTAGGTATTTTCTTCAGAATCCCAAACAGCACAGCTGGTGAGCCAGAGAACCCAGCAGGGAACATGTCCCCACAGAATTGCTGAGAGCGAGTGGGACCTGGGGGAAAGCTGATGCTGTCCCCTCTCAACTACTAAGAAGCTAGGCCCAGGGCCATTACTAGGCCTCAGGCCTTCTGCAAGTAAAGAGGCCTTCTGCAAGTGAAGAGGCCATCAGCTTCAGCTCATGGACCTGTTTGGCTCTGCCCTCAGAGGGCTGCCTTTCTAACATGCCTATTTCTGTCCTCCCAGGGACTCTGTGTTCTGCCAAAATAACCAGGCCACCAAATTCTCAGAGGCTGTGTGAGGTTAACCAAAGACCTCAAAGAAACTAGGGAAAAAGGCAGGAAACCTATATGCAAGAATTAAAGAAAGCTACCCCTAACACCTTTCCCCCATACTGTTTCCAGAGCTATTGCTCTGGGTGCTAAGGCTGGACACAGGCGCAGAGTCAACAGGAACTGTTCGGTTTCCAAAAAAACAGATTAAAAGGGCACATTATATATGTGTGCCTCTTGCATATATAATAGTTTTAACAACTTGCCTCCACCTCACATGGCTGCCTTTTTACGATAAGCTCTAAGTGAGCACTCAGAGGGACTTTTTGAGTTGAATAAAATCCCACTGGAGGGACTATTCCAGAACACCCATCCCTCCTTCTCAACCAGGGTCCTAAATGTGCCCCTCCCACCCAGCATGAAGTACTTAGTGCTCTTTACCTGAGGCTGCTGTGCAGTCGCACTGTCCCTTGAGCTGAGGTGAGGGAGAATCACGTCCTTAGTGAAGTTACCACTCTGAAGCCAGTCTGCCTGGTTTCAAATCCTGACTCTCATTTATAAGCTGTCCGAATTAAGGCAAGTTATATGACCTCTTTGAGCCTCAGCTTCCCCATCTGTAAAAGAGGGATAATAATAGCATCTAACTTACAGGGTGCTGTGAGAACTGAAGGGGTTTAATATGTATAAAGTGCTAGAACAGTGCCTGGTATATAGTAAGCATTATACTTAATGCTATGATGATGATGAGCTGTAAATACTAGTCCAGTGAACAGCTGCTTGGGGCTGAGGCAGGGCAGCCATGACAGGAGGGAGCAAAGGGAGAAAGACCAACCAGTTCAACTCTGAGCCGAGGCACCACCTGGGATGTCCCTCCCTGAGCCAGCACACCTTCTACTGGGGGTGCCTCTGTGGCCATCACCTTTGCCATCTCTCCTGTCCCCCAGTTATAGCATCCAACAGGGATGAGGGGTAAATGGAAAAAATCTTGAGCAAGGTTAGCCCTCTTAGGAAGAACCTCACAGATAAAAACAAGACATAGGAATTACTCTCCCAAAGGTGATTCAAGCCATGTGGCCTTGGCCAAGTCACTTTACCTTCTTCACTTCTCTGTGCTTCAGTATGCCCATCTATACAACAAGGGGTCTGACCAGATAATCACCGGGCTCAGACATTCTAGGATTCTTCTATTCTAACAGACATTACTTGCAAAGAGGCATCATTCTACTGCTCTCCTCTCATCTCATTAAAAGAAGACTGAAATGCCAAAGATACAACTTTTAAAAGTGTTTTATAGCAACTGATTGTGACACAAATCAGAAAGGGTTCACTAGTCAGCTGGGGAAGGGCCCCAGGCTGGTCACACAAAGGCACTCTAGCCACCTCCATCACTTATCACTTCCCTTCTCTTCCCTACTGTCTGCTTGATCCAGGTCACTACTCCTACTTCTGCAGATCTGATTCAGGAGGGCAGCCCTCTTTGTTCTACTCACCTACCTACCCACGCCTTCCTGCAGGCCTGTTCAAAGCCTCACCAGCCTCTGCTCTTGGGCCTGCATCCACACCAGCTGCAGCCCTGGTGACACTCTTGGACCTCAGCTGTGCCCTGGGCAGCAGAATGAGAGTGCCAGAGGTGACTACACAGGCCTGGGTGCTTCCTAAGAGAGCCCAAAAGAAGCCAACAGAAGGCAAAAGAAAGGCTAGAGCATTCTCTGCACAGGATTTTGAATGTTTATAATAACATCAAACTATCTGCTTGCATCAGAGGCCATGCTGTCTCAAAGCAGCCCCTCCTCCACTCTCCCTCCTTTACAGACAAAAGTCCTATAAACTGACAAAACCTTAAAATTAAACGGAAAATGAAATTTACCTTAAGCCAACTAAATACATGGAGCTGGGTCAGGTTTAAGTCAGGTCTGCTTTTGTCACATTAGCTATGGTCTTCTGAAGACTGGAGTATGTTTAAGATAATATTCATGCTTTATAGCCGTGCTTTTTTAACTCTGCACTTGCCAATTCAGTTACCTTCTCCTATGAAGTTTGCCCTTCAACAATGAGATTAGTAGGTTGATTAGGCTGGTGGAGACAATCATGTTTACAATCTTCCTAAAACATAGAGCTCTCCATGAACAAGAAAGGCAAAAAAATAAATAAATAAACAAAATTTTTACTCCTTTTCTTCAATTTTCTCTAGAGGCTAGGCATATTTCTGATAGTTTTAAAGCTGTGGAAAAGCTTTATTATAGATTTTAGTACAGAATTTAAAAAGTTCAAACAATAATTGTTTGGAACCACAAATAATTAAAAGGAAACACAGCAATCCCATAAACAAGCATTCTGGCATCTGTTAGAAATTTTCCCTCAAATTATGAAATGTAGCTCTCCATGCTTTCCAATGATTGTTATAATACCCACAAATATCTGTGATTTCAGTGGAATACTTTAACAAAAGTTTTCTTTTTAAGGCATGATCCTGATTCATTTTTTCTTCAATATCTCAGTCATTTCAGGAACTACCTGCAAATAAAAACAAAAAGTAATTAAGCAACTAGAGCCTTCACTGTGATATGGTCACAGCTCCGTAAGCATTACAGGGAGGCCAAAAGAAACAACACAAATCACTGTTGAGGCACGAGGGCCCCCTCCTCTCCACCAGGAACCCCCTGTTCTCCGGTAGTCTCTCTTCCCACCCAGGGCGACTACCCAGGACCCAGGGCTGACAGGGCTTACAGCCCACTCATTGCCTAGGTGCCTTTTGCCTTTTTTTTTTTTTTTTTTTTTTTGAGACAGGCTCTCACTCTGTCACCCAGGCTGCAGTGCAGTGGTACAATTATGGCTCACTGCAGCATCTACCTCCTGGGGTCAATCACTCCTCCCACCTCAGCCTCCCAAGTAGCCACCAACCTGTCTAATTCTTGTAGAGATGGGGTATCGTCATGTTGCCCAGGCTAGTCTCGAACTCCTGGGCTCAAGTGATCTGCCTGCCTCAGCCTCCCAAAGTGTTGAGATTACAGGCGTGAACCACTGCACACACTGCTACCTTTTGGCTTTGTGACCCAACCACAAATTTCAAGAAGGCACCCTAGAAACAGGAAGCCCAATTTTTCTTGTCTGGGTGAAGAGTACTGTGTATTTACCTTCATGTTTTGCTTGGCATTCTTCCCACCCTTAACTGCATTCCTGACTTTCCTTCCAAGTCCACACCAAAGTCTCTAGCTTACTGCAATTATGACTCCTGCCAACCTCCTTTATACTTGTTCTCTCACTGTTCGTTCATTCATTCATTGTTCATTTCACAAACATATTGGTTGCTTTTTCAGCAGCATGCTACTATCATCTGGCACACAGAAATGTGCTACATGCTGAACATTCAATATCATCACTCTTTATTAAAATCAAGACCTTGTGTGCTAATGCAGTGGCCGGTCAGCAGACACAGTAAGAAACCACAGCAAGGGGAAATGGCCTGAGTTGGCTCCCATTTTAAAAAGGATTAATTACTAACCCTTAGTCGTGGCAGTGCAGTGGCTGCAACTGGAGCTTCCAGTGTAGAGCTGCTTTGTGACTGCTTGGACAGAGGAGAGCTGTCCAAGGGGGCTGCAGGGAATGTCACACAGATACTCTGAAAACTGGTCCAGCCACTTGTGCAAAGTATCAATTACCCAGTCTTCCAAGGGGCTTTCGGCTGCCTTAGCTCACAAAGATTCCAGCTGAACTCACCACTGATGAATACAGCCTCTCAATTATTTAAGAGAGCTACATTTCCATTAGGTGGAAATAATGTGTTCGTACAAAATTTATTAAGGAAATTGTCGACATGTTGTTTCTTCCGAATGTCACTGTCTCCAGCCTATTAAAAGGCCCATGTTTACCATGGAGCCAGCAGGCATTTGCTCAGGGGTGGCATTAAGTGCTGGCACCACTTCTCCCAGCTTTCCTCAGTGGAGAGACCATGAGCTCATGCCAGTCACACAGATGACATGCTAACTGAGTTTCACACGGGACCTGTATATTTCATGAAAAATAAGATAAAGCCCAACTACTTTTACCACGAAGTGAAACACTAATTTGGTTTAGAATATATAACTTTTTAAAATTTTACCGAATATATCCTTACCACACTCCCCATGAAAGGGTTGAGAGGATTTTCTCTATCATCTGTCTTTTTTTATTAGATCAACCACACACTTTTTTTTTCTTTTCCAAGACAGAGTTTTGCTCTTGTTGCCCAGGCTGGAGTGCAATGGCGCAGTCTCAGCTCACTGCAAGCTCCGTCTCCCAGGTTCAAGCAATTCTCCTGCCTCAGCCTCCCAAGTAGCTGTGATTACAGGCACTCACCACCACACCCGGCTAATTTTTTTTGTATTTTTAGTAGAGATGGGGTTTCACCAAGTTGGTCAAGTTGGTCTCAACCTCCTGACCTCAGGTGATCCACCCACCTCAGGCTCCCAAAGTGCTGGGATTACAGGCGTGAGCCACTGCACCCAGCCCAACTGCACACCTTTAAAGCATACCACATGATGCCTTATTTAGGAAAAAGGAAATGCTAACTCAGGTTCATTGAGTGTCTGATGGCCTGAGCACACTGAAAGATCTGGATTCTTGTTTCTGTTCTCTTTTAGATATTGCAGAGGCAGCTCCCTACTCAGTAAGACCCAATAAAAGTCACTTAAGTTTTTTTAAAAAAAGACAACCTACTGATATAAATCACAGTACAAGTATGTTTCACTCATTCACTTAGTACTTCCTCCAGGTAGTACTAAGGGAAACAGAGAAGCTCTCTGTCACTGTGGGAGTGACAGAGGAGTTCTGCCTCCTAGTTGGCAAGCATAGACAGAGAGGCCTATGAACCACCCAATCAGAAGTGTCCTCAGCTTATACTGGAATGTAGGAGAAGGAGAAGAGAATAGCATTAAAAGCTCCAAATTCAGGAGTTCTGAGGAAGATCAGTGTGGATTAGGAAAATTCAGAACATCAAACTAAAGAAGAAAAGGATTCTAGGCAAAAAATGAGGCACAGACAGAGATAAACAACTGCAGGTTCCAGAGATAGTAAAGAGATTGTAGTGACTACAGGGGAGAAGAGGAAACAAAAGAAGGTTTAGAAAGATAAGTAGTTTGCCAAGTTCATTCAATGGGAACAGAATAGTCTCTTTGAACAGATAGATGGTGCTGGGACAACTGGATAATCACATGCCAAAGAATGAAGTTGGACTCCTACCTCACACCATATACAAAAATTAACTCAAAATGGATCAACAACCTAAATATATGAGCTAAAACCATAAAACTCTTATAAGAAAACAGGGGTGAATCTTCATGACCCAATATTTGGCAATGGATTCTTAGATATGATGCCAAAAGCACAAGCAACAAAATAAAAAAAAAGATAAATTGGACTTCATCAAAATCTAAAACTCTTGCACATCAAAGGATATTCTCAAGAAGGTGAAAAGCTAACCTACAGAATGAGAGAAAACGTTTGGAAATCATATCTCTGATAAGTGTTTAGTATCCAGAATATGTAAAGAATTCACACAAGTCAACAAAAAGAGAAACAGCCCAACTGAAAATGGGCAAAAGAGGTGGATAAACACTTCCCTAAAAGAGATATACGAGTGGCCAATGAACATCTTTTCATATGCTTATGTGCTTAACATCACTAGTTATTAGGAAAACGCAAATCAAAGTCACAATGAGACACCACTTCACACCTACTAGGATGACTAGAATTAAAAAACAGAAAATAACAAGTGTTACTGAGGATGTGGAAAAACTGGAACCCTTGTGTACTGCTGGTGGAAACGTAAAATCATGCAACTTCTATGGAAAGCAGTTTGAAGGTTCTTCAAAAAGCTAAACACAGAATTATCATATGATCCAGCAATTCTACTCCTAGTTATATACCCAAAAGAACTGAAAGCAGGGGCTTGAGCAGATACTTGTAGGCCAATGTTCACTACACTATAGATTAGGCAATGGGTTTCTGTTTTTTGTTTTTTTTCTGAGATGGGTTCTCTTTTGCCCAGGCTGGAGTGCAGTGGCATGATCTTGGCTCACTGCAACTTCTGCCTCCTCCCAAGTTCAAATGATTCTTCCATCTCAGCCTCCCGAGTAGCTGGGGCTATAGGTGCGTGCCACCATGCCTAGCTAATTTTTGTATTTTTTGGTAGAGATGGGGTTTCGCCTTGTTGGCCAGGCTGGTCTCGAACTCGTGACATCGAGTGATCCACCCACCTTGGCCTCCCAGTGCTGGGATTACAGGTGTGAGTCACCATGCCTGGCTGGCAATGGTTTTTTAGATATGAGACTTCAAGCATAAGCAACAAAGAAAAAATTGGTAAGCTGGATTTCATCAAAATTTAAAACTTTATTTTAAAACTTTTTCTCCCCCTTTTTCATAGGCATTGACAAAATTTAAAACTTTCATGCTTTAAAGGACACCATTAAGAAAGTGAAAAGACAACCCACACAATGGGAGAAACTATTTGCAAATCAAATATTCAAAAAGGGACTTATATCCATAATATATAAAGAACACTAACAACTCAAGAACAAAAAGATAATGTGATTTAAAAATTACAAAGGATCTAAATAAACTTTCTCCAAACAAAATATACAAATGGCCAATAAGCAGATGAAAAGATACTAAATGTCATTTGCCATCAGGGAAATACAAATCAAAACCACAATGAGATACCACCTCACACTCATTAGAAGGGCTATATTTAAAAAGACAGACAATAACATACATTAATGAGTATATAGAAAAACTGGAGCCCTCACAAATTTTTGGTGGGAATGTAAAAGGGGGCAGCCACTTTGAAAACAACCTGACGGTTATTCAAAATGTTAAACTCAGAGTTACCAGGTGACCCAGCAATTCCATTCCTAGACATCCATCCAAAAGAAATGAAAACATAGGTCTGCACAAAACCTCATATGTGAATGTTCATAGCAGCATCATTCATAATAGCCAAAAAGGGGAAAAACCCAACATGTCCATCAAATGATAAATGAATGAACAAAATGTTACATACCCCTACAATGGATATTATTTGGCAAGAAAAAGAAACAAAGTACTAACACAGGCTATAACATGGATGAACTTTGAAAACCTTATGCTAACTGAGAGAAGCCAATCACAAAGATCACATATTACATAATTCAATTTATATGAAACATCCAGGACTGGCCAATGTATAGAAACAGAAAGTAGATTAGTGGTTGCCAGGAGCTGGGGCTGGGGGCTGGAGATGCAGAATGTAAAACAGGGAGTGAATGCTGACAGGTATGGAATTCTTTTTGGCATGATGAAATGTGTGATAGTGGTTGTGTAACTGTGAAAATACTAAAACCCACTGAATTGTACATTTTTAAATGGTGAGTTTTATGGTACGTGAATTATATCTCAGTAAAGCTGTTATACTAAAACAAACAAAAAACAGGTGGTGCCCTATGCCCTATCACTGTGACTACAATTATAATATTTACCAGCACCTACTATGTACCTGGACAGAACAGGCAGGCTAATATTTGTCACAGACTCTATTAGTATTAGGTACAGTATAATCTCATTTAATCTTCATTACAACCTTTAAAGAGGTAGTGTAATATTTACATTACTTACAAGCAAGCTGATGTCCAGAGATTAAATAACTTAGCCAAGATAATTTAACTAGTATGTGGCCAAGGCAGAATTGGAATTAAAGCTCTTAATTACTATAACATATTATTTCTGAGGGAAAAACAAACTTGTCCTTTATAACTAATGATTGTTGAAGGGTCAAGCAAAACAATTAATATAAGAGAATAAAATGTTATGCATATTCATTTTTACTCCAGATACGGTTCTACTTGGTGAGCAAAATATCACCTAGGGAATTATTAGTCTAACAGCTGTATATACATGTTATACATGATACAATTTGCAATTTAAAATTTTCACACAAAAATTAGGCTAAAAAAGTCCTTTCTGTACGCTATTATTTGACTTCTATTTTCTTTAGATCATAAGCCAAAATAGGTAATGCTAATTAATTCTCACCCATAATTTGTATAATTAATTGTATTTCTTAATGTTATATAAAGATATTACCTTATATGTTTCTTAATGTTATATAAATATATTTTTTAAAATTATAATTTTAAAATATAATTACAATACATAAAATACAAAAAATAAAAATAAAATATTAAAAATATAAAATATATAACATTAAGAAATATAATTATACAAATATTGTATTTTTTATTTTTTAATCAAAAGTATTAAATATTTGATTTTTAAAATATTTTAAATATTTGATTTTTTAAAAACGAGATCGCCCCAGTAAGGAATATATTCACCAAACCACTTTGTCTGTGCTCTTGTGTCAGAATTACTACAGTATTCACCTACAATAAGCTCATTCTGATTTCAGCTGAGAAAACAACTTCATGCGTACTCTGTAGGTTCCTAGAGTCTGTCAAAGGTGCGATTTTTACTGCACCTTATCCAAGGTACAATAGTAGTGGTGAGCCACCCAGCTGTAGTACCTGCTGAGCCAGAGAGGCAGAGAAATGAGAGAGAAGGGGAACAGAAGCAGGACCCTGGCTTAGTTGTGCCCATAACCTGTGGATTGTCCCAAATCACATCTCTCTGGGACAGGCAACTTAAAAAGAATGCACCTGGCTTGTGTTACTCACATGGTAACAAAGAGGAGTCTGCCATATGTTTAATATTTTTATAATCTTTAGTTTTTTTCCCCCAAACTGAATTTTTTTTTTTTTTGAGACAGGGTCTTACTCTGCTGCCCAGGCTGAAGTGCAGTGGTGTAATCATGGCTCACTGAAGTCTCAATCTCCTGGGCCCACGTGAACCTCCTACCTCAGTCTCCCAAGTAGCTGGGACCACAGGCACACGTCACCAGACCCAGCTAATTTTTGTATTTTTTGTAGAGATGGGGTTTCACCATGTTGCTCAGGCTGGTCTCCTACTCCTGGACTCAAGTGATCCGCCTTTCCTCGGCCTTCCAAAGTACTGGGATTACAGGCATAAGCCATTGTGCCTGGCCTCCCAAACTGCATTTTTTAAGGAGTGATTAACTTCTCTACTTTTGTATTAATCAAATACATATATAACTGTACTTCAGAACTTTTTTTTTTTTTTTTTTTGAGACAGAGTCTTGCTCTGTTGCCTAGGCTGGAGTCCACTGGCACCATCTTGGCTCACTGTAACCTCTGCCTCCCAGGCTCAAGTGATTCTTGTGCCCCAGCCTCTCAAGTAGCTGGGATTACAGGCATGCATCACCATGCTCGGCTAATGTGTTTTTCACAGTTTTAGTAGAGACAGGGTTTCACCATCTTGCCCAGGCTGGTCTCAAACTCCTGAGCTCGGGTGATCCACCCGCCTCGGCCTCCCAAAGTGCTGGGATTGCAGGTGTGAGCCACCGCTCCTGGCCATGTACTTCAGAACTTCTAAGCTGTAGGAGATAGTCATTGCCTTAACACAATTCTAGCTAAAAGAACATAAACATGATATCTTGGTCTGAAGTCTCTCTCTAGTCCAATGTGGGCTTCCTAAAATACCAAAAGGAGCCTGAGAACCTGAAACTGGAAGTCAGCTGACTAGATGATTTTTAAGGCCTCGTTCCACTTCACTGTCTTAGGACTCTTTCTCACTGAGAAACCTCCGTGTCCACACACATGCATAGTCTCATGCCAAACCTTGGAGCTGCCCTTAATGCAGGAGCACAATGTGTGTGACCCCATTCTATCAATAATGACTACAAAGAAGCTCCTGCCCCAAGGCAGGTGTCCACTGGAAGAACACTGAAAATTTCCAACTGCTTAACAGTTTATCTTTTTATCATGAAAGCCCCCATGTGAGTTTTAATACATAGTACACAGGCAGACAGAAAAATGTAACAAAATTACTTACAAGTTTATTAAAATATTCTCTTGAGGAAAAAAGGCAACCACAGTAGACATCTACTTGCAAACATGGATGAGGTTCAGAAAGTATTTAATTTTGCTTTTAAATAAAAATAATATTTACCCCCTATTCACACCAATAGTAAGAACTGAATTCTTACTACGTGAACAAAGTTATCATTACACAGAGAAAAAAAAATTCTCTTTTTCATACCAGCCCCCCTTCCCACTGGAACATCTTAGTGGGAAAATGACTGGCATTACTGTTTGTTCTTACACACTTGGGCCAGGCAACATGAGCAGCTGACCTACCTGAATCCCAAATACCAAATACAGAGCTTCAGGGTTACTGAAGAGGGGTAATGTTTTTCCCAAGCCAAAATCTAAGCTCTTTGGCGGGGGCCTTCTGAGGGGAAGTATGCCCAACACTGAGCCAGAGCAAGAGCCCCATCCTAGTCTTTGCATGCAGTCTGAGCCATCACGGAGTAATCGGCTCAAGGGTCCTATTTCCATCCTTCACTGAGCATGAACATACTTCAAAGTACAAATGTACTCTCCAAGCACACTCACTAGGTTCCTCTAGATCATATGCAGTGCTGGTGAAGTCACAGAAATGGGCCAGTCCTCTTGCTGAGGGAACCACCTGTAGCTCTGTTCTCAGGCTGAAGCCTCTCCACTAAGGCCCATAGCCCCTCGCTGTGGTTCTACATGAGGGGTTCCTCACCCCAGCAAACCCACTTCTCCTAGGGTTGGATGCTATTTTCAGAGTGTCAATTCCTGCATAAGTGATTTCTGCATAAGATAACCTAGAAACGTGTAGGCAGACCCAGGAAAAAGAAGAGACCAGGCCACGCATGAGTCATGACCTTTAAATGTAGCCAAATGAGTATCAGGTGCTCATCACCTGTAATTCACTAATTAATATCATGAAAGTAATTTTTCTCATGGGAAGGTCAAATATGGAGGTGACGGCAAGAGAGAAGGAACACTCAAAAGTGAAGAGTGTGAGGAGTGAGAAATAAGTGCTCTCCCTACACTCGTCAGCTAAGGAAGGCCATTAACCCACAAACACAGCAAGCAGAGCATTCCTATTGAGACAGATAAGCTGGATATGGGTGCCTACTCTCCCCTGAAAAGCTCTAGCATTCTTGGCAAATCCCTGAATAAGGGGGTTTGATGTTAATTTCTTTAGGGTACCTGCCAAATATGATTCCAGGTTATAAATTACTTGAATCACTTCACATTGTGCATTAACTTAGCACATGAGATGCCAAAAACCATGTGGGTTTTTTTTGTTTTGTTTTGTTTTTGAGACAGAGTCTCTCACTCTGTCACCCAGGCTGGAGTGTAGTGGCACGATCTCTGCTCACTGCAAGCTCCGCCTCCTGGGTTCACACTATTCTCCTGCCTCAGCCTCCCGAGTAGCTGGGACTACAGGCGCCTGCCACCACGCCCAGCTAATTTTTTGTATTTTTTAGTAGAGACGGGGTTTCACTGTGTTAGCCAGGATGGTCTCGATCTCCTGACCTCATGATCCGCCCGCCTCCGCCTCCCAAAGTGCTGGGATTACAGGTGTGAGCCACCACGCCCGGCCGCCATGTGGATATTTTAAAGACAATTTGGACTCTTTCTTAAAAGGAAAGTTATAATGCTCTATATAAACAACACATATCTACTCTTAGAGCAACTTAACTTTAAGTAGGTCAAAATTGTGTACATATATTAACAGTATACATACAAACACAGACACACAAACACACAATGTTTTCTTTTAATAGCTTCATCCCTAACCATTTCTGAGAGTTTCTCGGATGACAATCTAGATAATAGCAATTTCTCTCAAGGCCAGCTTACCTTAAATAAATCTGCAACTATTCCATAATCTGCCACTTGGAAAATTGGAGCTTCTGGGTCTTTATTAATTGCCACAATTGTCTGTGAAATAAAAACAAAGAGTTTGACTTTTACCAAGAAAACATTTCACACAGACTGATAGTTCTATTTTAACTTCCAATATATTAATATTCTTAAAATGTCTACCAAATAAGATTTGAGGCATCTGTGTCAACACTGTAAATTTATTAGAAATTTCCAGGTTGGAATGTAATAAAATTCTCTCTTACCCACATCTAGCCCATCTCAGTATTAAAGAGTTTAAAATCATTATTTTTTAAAAGTTCTTCTTTTGACTTACAAAAAAAATATTTGATTTTAGGTGAAAAAGTAACAAATCTATACCCAAATCCACAGCCTTTGTAGTGCAAATTATTTTGTCCTTCATTTATTATTTTAAAATTATTATTCTGGAGGACAGGCACAGTGGCTCATACCTGTAATCCCAGCACTTTGGGAGGCCAAGACGGGTGAATCACCTGAGGTCAGGAGTTCGAGACTAGCCTGGCCAACAGGGTAAAACCTGTCTCTACTAAAAATACAAACATTAGCCAGGCATGGTGGCATGTGCCTGTAATCCCAACTACTTGGGAGACTGAGGCAGGAGACTCACTTGAACCTGGGAGGCAGAGGTTGCAGTGAGCAGAGATCACGCCACTGCACTCCAGCAGTGAGACTCTGTCTCAACAAAAATAAAAATAAATAAATAGGCCGGGCACGGTGGCTCACGCCTGTAATCCCAGCACTTTGAGAGGCCGAGGTGGGCAGATCACAAGGTCAGGAGATCAAGACCATCCTGGCTAACACGGTGAAACCCCGTCTCTACTAAAAAACACAAAAAATTAGCCGGGCGTGGTGGCGGGCATCTGTAGTCCAAGCTACTCGGGAGGCTGAGGCAGGAGAATGGCGTGAACCCAGGAGGCGGAGGTTGCAGTGAGCCGAGATCGCGCCACTGCATTCCAGCCTGGGCGACAGAGTGAGACTCCGTCTCAAAAATAAATAAATAAATAAAATAAAATACAATAGAATAAAATAAAACAATTATTCTGGGATATTCTAACAATATGAAAGCTAAAGTATCTTGTCAGCCTGTTAGTAAGGGACGTTAAACAGCTTTAAGTCCTTATGTACATAGCAAATAGATTAATAAAAGAAGCAAATTACTTATATCTCTTATAAAAGCTGTCAAACATTTCTCTTATTTGCTATAAAAATATTCTTAAATGCAGGCCAGGCATGGTAACTCATACCTATAATCCCAGCACTTTGGGAGGTGGAAGTGGGAGGATCACTTCAGCCCAGGCGTTCAAGACCAGCCTGCGCAACACAGGGAGACCCCATCTCTACAATAAAAAATAAAAGCTTATGCCTGTAATCCCAGCACTTTGAGAGGCTGAGGCAGGCGGATCACTTGAGGTCAGGAGTTCGAGACCAGCCTGGCCAATATGGTGAAACCCCACCTCTACTAAACACACAAAAATTAGCCAGGTGTGGTGGTGCGCACCTGTACTCCCAGCTGTTTGGGAGGCTCAGACAGGAGAATCGCTCAACTCTGGGAGGTGGAGGTTGCAGTGAGCCAAGATTGTGCACCGTATGTTAGCATGGGTGACAGAGTGAGACTCTGTCTCAAAAAAAAAAAAAGGAAAAGCTATCATTCAAATCATTCTTTTATTAATATCAGATAGTTTATCAGTACAAATAGTTTGGTATTCCCCACAGATGCTTCTAACACCACTGCAGTTAGACTCTAATGTAGTATTATTTTAATAGATTGTGGACTAAAAATAATTCAAATCTCTAGAAGTAAAATTAAGTTTCTACCTACCTGGCATTGTATGTTGTGAAAACAGCTGGTATTAAAAAATACATTAAGTATTTTGATGTAGCCTGACTTAAAATACAGGCTACAGGATATCCAACATCTGTGTATTTCCCTTAGAGGGGTTCCTCAGAGAGATGTGCAGAAGATGCCAGAATGTCTAAGATTGGAACATGGTATAGTCCAGGTAACTGCTAATCCAGAGAAACATGCTACACACATTAAGATGCATAGTCAGAGACAATAAACAAGTTTCAAACGTGAGCCTCAAATCCAAAGGCACAAGAACAAACATTCTGAATTGCAGGTGTTGATTTGCATTGGCGTGTTTCTCTTTTGGGAATGTGTAACCTGC
Source organism: Homo sapiens (assembly GCF_000001405.40). Taxonomy (NCBI): domain Eukaryota; kingdom Metazoa; phylum Chordata; class Mammalia; order Primates; family Hominidae; genus Homo; species Homo sapiens. Next base: position 76,228,062 of record NC_000015.10, read on the forward strand.
TTCACGGCGATAAGCAGAGATTTGTTTAGTTATTGATGGTAAATTATTCTTCTAGAGGCCACTTAGTCAGACATCTGGGAGTTTAATCATCCGAAAGCTTTTTCATTATACTATATAACAATTGTTATTATCATTATTACTTTGAGACAGGGTCTCATTGTGTTGCTCAGGCTGGAGTGCAGTGGTACAATCAGCTCACAGAAGCCTTGATCTCCTGGGCTCAAGTGATCCTCCCACCTCAGCCTCCTGAGTAGCTGGGACCACAGGGGTGTACCACCATGCTCAGATAATTCTTTCATTTTTTGGAGAGATGGGGTTCTCACTGTGTTGCCCAGGCCACTCTCCAACTCCTGGACTCAAGTGATCCTCCTGCCTTGGCCTCCCAAAGCGCTGGGATTACAGTGCCTTGGGATTACAGTGCCACTATGCCTGCCTTAAAAGTTATTTTTAAAGAGAGAGCATATAACTGTGGGCAAGGAACCACTACAGTATTTAACAAAAAAGATGTGGGGCTGGTTATTGTTCTTCAGATTATTAAAATAATATTCCTAAATAATCAATTGTAAAGAACTATGATAAAGTCTTGCTTGTATCCAAAGCTCTCTCAATAGCTCCTCACAAGCTCAAGTTCTTCCTCCTTACTAAGCTTTGAAATGCATAGATTGTATTCAACCATATTATTATTATTACTTTTTTTTTTTTTTTTTTTTTTAGATGGAGTCTCGTTCTGTCACCCTGGCTGGACTGCAGTGGCGCGATCTCGGCTCACTGCAGCCTCCGCCTCCTGGATTCACGCCATTCTTCTGCCTCAGCCTCCCAAGTAGCTGGGACCACAGGCGCCCGCCACCATGCCCAGCTAATTTTTTGTATTTTTAGTAGAGATGGGGTTTCATCGTGTTAGCCAGGATGGTCTCGATCTCCTGACCTCAGGTGATCTGCCCGCCTCGGCCTCCCAAAGTGCTGGGATTGCACGTGGCCTCAACCATATTACTGTGTATTAGTTCAGAAAGTGCTTTCATTAGATTCATTTGATTTAACAATCAAATCTTGAATTCCTTCAACTAAACCAGGATTCTAATTAAAATTGCAGCTTGCAGGGAATGCAACTGTCAGATTTAAACCATTCTAATATCCCATTTTAGAACTAAAGACTGTCTCCTATGCAGATAATGGGGCTATGACAACACAGGACGACACAGACAACAGGATAAGACAGTGACAACAAGGGCTATATCTTTTTAAGCATTCCCAGCTTCTAGTACAAGGAATGGTCTTAATAAACATCTGTTGACTAGATGGAGATACAAAGTCTTGGCTGACCCCCAACACCAGTCTCCTTACTTCAACTGTTCCCTATTTGCTCTGACGTACACTACCTAGTGTCTCTCCCACAATCCAGCCCTGTTGGCATGGGGTGAGAATTTTCACTGGTATCTTCTTGACAGGCAGAATCTTTTATTTTTAGAGAAGCAGAATTCTAGCTATGTCTGAACTGGTCTGGCTAAAAATATACTTTAAGGCTGCTGGTGTTGGAGTTTCTTTCTTTTATTTATTTATTTTTTCTTAATGCAGCAATCACATTTTCCCCATTGGCACTGCTGTTTTCATAGTTCAGTAAAGAAACCTACCATCCAACTGTAAAATCTGACTGGTTTTGGGCCAGTTCATTTAGAAGCTACAAAGAGGTAGTGCATGCATTTCAAATTAGAAGAAGTTAAGCCTGTTAAAAGTTTTATAATCTTTTATATCAAGCTTCCATCTGAATGGATAAATGCAGGAATGTCAGAGGCATCTCTGACTTCATGAAAGGTAAGTTCATAATTCAAACTATATATTATTATGCATGAATTAATGTGTCATATTCTGAAATATATGTTCAGAATCATTACACAGGACTTTCAGAGTAGTCCAAGTAGCAAGTTAAAATCAAGTGTTTCCTGGCCGGGCGCGGTGGCTTATGCCAGTAATCCCAGCACTTTGGGAGGCTGAGGCAGGAGAATGGCGTGAACGCGGGAGGCGGAGCTAGCAGTGAGCCGAGATCAGGCCACTGCACTCCAGCCTGGGCGACTTCAGCCTGGGTGACAGAGCGAGACTCTTGTCTCAAAAAAATAAATAAATAAATAAAAATCAAGTGTTTCCTTCCTCTACTTATTGCACTTTTTTTTTTTTTTTTTTTTTTTTTTGAGACGGAGTCTCGCTCTGTCGCCCAGGCTGGAGTGCAGTGGCGCGATCTCGGCTCACTGCAAGCTCCGCCTCCCGGGTTCACGCCATTCTCCTGCCTCAGCCTCCCGAGTAGCTGGGACTACAGGCGCCCGCTACCACGCCCGGCTAATTTTTTGTATTTTTAGTAGAGACGGGGTTTCACCGTGTTAGCCAGGATGGTCTCGATCTCCTGACCTCGTGATCCGCCCGCCTCGGCCTCCCAAAGTGCTGGGATTACAGGCGTGAGCCACCTCGGCTCACTGCAAGCTCCGCCTCCCGGTTCACGCCATTCTCCTGCCTCAGCCTCTCGAGTAGCTGGGACTACAGGCGCTCGCCATCATGCCTGGCTAATTTTTTTTGTATTTTTAGTAGAGACGGGGTTTCACCGTGTTAGCCAGAATGGTCTCGATCTCCTGACCTCATGATCCGCTGGCCTCGGCCTCCCAAAGTGCTGGGATTACAGGCGTGAGCCACCGCGCCCGGCCCCATACTTATTGCACTTTTGATAATTACTGAGATACTGAGATATTAAGATGGCCTGATGCTCCAACCCAAAATGTGTTGGTTATACTTTGATAACAACCCAAGAAGTGGGGCCCTGCTGATATATGAGATTGTGAGGGTTACAGGACCAAAGTGAAGCAGACAGAGAGAGAATCAGGGATCAAAACCTCAAAAATAAGTTACACGTTCAGAACCTCATCAAATTGTTTAAGTCTGATATTTTCTATCCACAGATTGTGATAGCTGAAGGGCAACTTAGTGATCATCATTCAATACCCACTATTTAGTAGACAAAGAAACTGAGTTTGCAGACAGCACTCATCATGCATTAAGTTAGCAGTGGAGCTATAACTCAGGTTCAGGCCTCTTTCCATGACACAGCACTGCCTCTGTGACCAATAATTTTTAAGGCAGTGAACGGTAGCTTTTATTTCTTTCAGTTCCCAGATCTACGTTAGTGTGAATGGCTTGACTACATGCATTGTAACTACATGGAAACATACAAGGTAAGCCAAATCCTAAAATGTGGAAACGTTTTCTTTTAACATCACTGATGTACAATTACCTTGCTGTCTTTCATCCCAGCTAAATGTTGGATGGCTCCAGATATTCCAACAGCAATATAAAGTTCCTGAAATAAAAGAGGTCACATTATTAATATGTATTTATATTATATAATACTTTCCAAAGTGTTTGCTGTTAGCAATTTAAGTCTTAGGCAAAAGATATGTTAAATAAAATAGAGGCAAAATGTATTGCTTAAATTATGCTTTTCTTTTTCTCTGATCTCCTTAACCTACAGTTCTCTTTTTCCTATGAATTCCTATAGCAATGGTAGTAAAATAAATATGTGGATAATGAGGATTACTGAACATTTACTATGTGCCAGACACAGTGTTAAGCATTTTACATCAAGTGTCTCAATCTCACAATTACCTGTGAGGTAGCATTTTTCATCTGTGGCACTCACTTGAAAATCACTGCACAACCCATACATGCTGTACATACCCATTAAAAATTAACAACATACACACATTGTATATTAACATATAAACACATATACTCAAATATATTAAAATAATTTTTGACTTAGTTGTTTGGCTTAGTTGTTCGCCTTATCACAAAAGGATATTTGTTAAAATGGTAATTAGGATATGTTTATTAAACTTTGTATTTAGAAAAACCAGAAATACAAATTACTATCAAGAGATTTTAAACACACACACGTACACATACACACACACACACACACATTCTCTCTGAATAAAAAATAACAAACTTCTCAAAGGTATGGGCTGAACCTTTGTGTTTCCAGAGCCTAACAAAAAGGCCTCCATACCACAGTTTTTTGGTAAATGTTGATGATATTTGTACCTCTTCCTGCCCCTCTGCCCTCAATAATTACAAAGGGAATGATGACTGACACTGTTCTGTCTCCTTATCTAAAATTTTTACAGTGCCTTTGTTTGAAAATAAAAACACACTTCCATTATGAAAAACTTTAAGCACTTTAATAAGTGCTTAATTAGAAGAGCTTACCTGCTTCATTCTGTTTACCAGGTATGATTAAAGCTTCACTTGAAAACCTTTTCCCACAGAAAAACTGAACAAACAAGTCCTGGCCTGGGTAGGAGGTATAACTACCATGTAACCAGACTGACACTAAGGTTTTGTCACAACTGACAGTAAAGTCTCTCCTCAATATGAATAATATGTGGAAGGCACTGAAGGTGGTTCTGTTATACTTACTTTTATTACAGGGCAGATACTTCAAAAGCCAATGACAGTGTCAAGGTGGTCCCACCTTGTTTTCTGCACTGCTTATGATCTCATTTAACAATTGCTCAATCCAAAATAAGAGAGCATTTCAACTAGGATCTGAAAATAATGTTATTACCTCCTAATGTCATGATTTTTCATAGCACCTAATTGTATATGGCCACATACAAGTCAATTCACCTCTCAGGGGCTCACTTTTTCCAATTGTAAACAGAAGAGGTACACCTCCAGCACTGGTGCTTGTAAAGAAAGCTCCCCAGGATACTCTGATGTATAGCCAGAGCTGGAGAACCACTACAATAAGTGATCCCTCAGCTCTTTGGCAGCCTGAATCTGACAACTGTCTAGCCCCCTGCAGTACTCCCTGATCTTTACAAGCATAAAGTGTCCAACTGCTCCTAGAGCAGCACCATGTAACCTGGAAAAGGAAACAATCTAGTCCCCAAAGTGAGTTAATCATCTAAAAATGAGATGAGCTTGTTTTTTGAATCAACTTGTTCTATAGTTACCAAAAGCCTGAAGACAAGAACAATTTGGCGTAATAAGACTGTGTCTTAGGGTGGGGAGGAATGCTGCAGAAAGTATGGATGAGGATAAAAAGCAATTGCATGCTCTGTGATTCTACCTTCAATGTATCCAGTGTGTCAATTGTGACCCTACATAGTCGGACAATGCAAGGAGGCCCTGACATCATACTGTCTCTCAGACATGGACACTTGCATAAGTAGTAAACTTCTTCCACTACTTTCTATTTAAGATTTAGAAGTAATTCAATAGGCTTTTTTTTTTTTTTTTTTTTTTGAGATGGAGTCTCACTCTGTCACCCAGGCTGGAGTGCAATGGCACAGTCTTGGCTCACTGCAACCTCCACCTCCCAGGTTCAAGCGATTCTCCCGCCTCGGCCTCCCGAGCAGCTGGGACTACAGGTGTATGCCACCCCACCCAGCTAATTTTTGTATTTTTAGTAGAGATGGGGTTTCACTATGTTGGCCAGGCTGGTCTCGAACTCCTGACCTTGTGATCCACCCACCTCGGCCTCCCAAAGTGCTGGGATTACTGGCATGAGCCACGGCGCCCAGCCTTCAATAGGTAATTTTAAGGTCACCTCAGTTTATTCTGACTAGCATTTCATTCATAAAGGGACATTTGTTAAACTGTTAATCAAAATATACTAACATTCATATTCAGAAAAACCCGGCAAACAAATTCTAACATAAAGATTTTTAAAGCAAGCTATTTAGCTAGACACCACTCTTTTAGGTATATTCTCAAAGCAAGCATTGGAAAAGACCAGTAGTCCTGTAAACGAGTCTTTCTGTCATACATGTCTACAGCAAATTCAAGTCTTAAAAGCTCCATGTGCATTATAAAATGCTAATAAAAATGTTGATTCACTCTGGCAGTAAACATAAACATAATATAAATGAAATTACTTAAAACCCCCTGTGTCCCCAAAAATGAATTCCATTGACTTTAACCATAAGTGTCACTAAGGAAATAAGAGATTCTGGGCCAAAACAAACTGAAGGCAGTTGCTCCAGGGCCATTTCTACCTTTCTGATCACAATAAATGGTCCAAATGGATCCACATGACCAACAGGACTTTATTTTACTGTCTTGCAAACATGGTCCTCTGAATAAACATAAAAGCACTGAAACAATAACCCAGAACAAGTATAGGGATTTTGGCGGCTGCTCTGAGGCTCTGATAGCTCTCTCAGGAAGAGAGGCTTTTTCCCTCCTTTTTAAAAAACATGTACAGGCAATTAGACTAATATCTTAGTCTAATTCCTCATGGTTCAGAAAGCATTTTTGTATTTCAATAATAATAATAATTAGTATACACAAAACTCTCTACAGATGCTAATTTATGGGGCACTTCAGATGCTGCTTCACAACATAACAAGACAATCCCTTCCCTGAGGCACTTTCCTTCTAAATCAGATAGTAAGACCATTTGGAGAGAAAGTGAGAGATGTTGCCAGGGAGTACAGCAATTAAGGGTTATACAAGGCGTGGTGGGGGACGGTGGGGATTAAAGGAACCAACAGAAACAGAAAGAAGGAGGGAGAGTCCTAGAGATAGGCCTCGTGGCTTTAGAATCTAGAAGAGTGAGAATTTAGAAGAGAATGGATCAACCCCAGGTGGCTGATAGCAGTCTGAGTTGATCACTCTGTGATGCCAAGAATAGGGGCTGTGCGGAGAAGTAAAGCCACAGGATGGGAAGAGGACCAGAGCTTATTCTGAAATATAGAGAAGGGATAGCACTTAACCTTAACACAAACAAGTACTGGCAGAAAAAAGCACAAATACCTCTTCCTTTGCCAAAACCTATAGACTCATTCAAAGAACTCAGGGGCTGAGGTCTAAACTAGTTACAGTGGGCTGAGATAGAAAGGGCAGCAGGACTGAGAAACTGTTGCATCTGATGCGGTTTAACAGGTTTACCGTATCACTGTGGTTAAGAACCTAGGCTCTGTAGCCTCATTGCCTCCATTCAAATCCCACCTCTGCCATCTGATAGCTGCATGACCATGGGCCATTCATGTAACCTCTCTATGCCTCAGACTGCTCATCCAAAACACTGGAATTATAAGAACTCCTGCTTTATAGGGTTACTGTTGAGGCTCGTCCTTAGCATAGTATCAGATTTCCCAAGACACATTGATGTGTCACTCACGGGTTGAGGTTTATTCAAATATTGATTTTCTCAGCCCACTAGGTGGCCAGGTGGGCTCCTGAGGTAGCCTCAGGACTACCATGTACAGCTGAGCAGGCTGCACACTGAATAACTCTGAAGGAGGGCACCACTCTTAACAGTCACTATAGCCCTGCATTTTTATTACAATAACTTTCCAACAGATGGCAGTAAAGTAACTTGAGACACCAGTACTTTATAATTTGTACAAAAGAGTTGTGTGGACTTGAAGTACTGGGTGGCCAGAATCCCCTGTGGTACAAATATTCTAACTGTCTAAGTGTACCATAATAGGAAAGAGTTGAGCAGCACTGGGTAACTGATTTTACTGTTGTTGATATTCTTACTGTACCTTACAGGTAATATAAAGATGACTAATTCTCTGTGCCCTGTCCTCAAGAAGCTCACAGTCTAACAATTACAGGTTACGGCAAGGTCACAAAAATCTGTAATCCAATAAAGGAAAATGGAAAAGAGGTGTGATAGAGCTACAGTCTCTCATCAGCCCCTCACTTTCCTACCTGCCACTGAGAAGTGGAAAAGCCGTTAGGAGCAGAAAACAGATTAGGGGACAATATCTTTACCTTCTGACAAACAGGGGCCCACTTTTGCCATCTATCCCCATCTGTTCCTGCTCCCTTAAGTCCTTTAGACAAAACAAGCTTTTAAAGCAGGTTTTAATGGTCCTGGCTTAATGATAAAACTGCATGTCTGAGAATTAGAGGGATGATTGGAATGAAATCTTCAGACTTTTACAGAAATCTAACCAACCTGTGGATTCAACATGGCTAGTGTTCTCTGGTGGATGATTAGGTTTTTGGCTGCTTTCTTCAGAAAGTAAGTATATACTAACATCACTCCTGCTTTACCCAAAACACGTGCCCAAACCTGGAATTCTAAGATGTATTATCTGAGCTCTGCTTTTCCAGAATTTCATGTAGAAGCTAAGGGGAAAACTGTCCTCTGCTACATTGCATTTTCGCTCATCACTGTTAAGCCCCAAACAGAGTTATTCGATACATCTATACTTATATATCTTGTAAGCCACATATTTAATGTTAAATTTTCTAGTGGCCACATTAAAGTAAAAATAAACAGGTAAAATTAATTTTTAATAATGTAATCTCAGGTCAGACTAACTATATTTCAAGTACCCAATAATCACATGTGGCTTAGAGGTTATCATACTGGGCAGCACAAATCCAAAATAATCATAGAACAAACTAAAGAGCCTTCTTGTAAACTCCACTAGGGAACCGTGGACTATGGTCTGACAACAGATCTAAAGACAGAATGGCATTGTCTTATGTGTCTGTGTTGCTTCTGTTGGCTCAGAACAAGACCATTTACAGGTTCTATTATGCTCAATGGGAACGTGAACCAAAAAGGAAAGTCAGCAGTGTGGCAGAGCTGAAGATTAGCATTAGAGGCAGCAACATTAAACAAGAGTAGCCAATATAGAGAGTCACAAATAGATGACAAAAATCTATCAAATTTCAGGTGGTGTGGCCCATTATAGGAAAACCAAAAGCAGATGAAAACTACTGGTTTAACATGATCAGTTTATACTCTGAAAAAGCAACTCTCTATCAAATTTTGTTCTCCAGTAACTTATATTTAGTTCTTAAAACTCTAGATGGACCTGAAAAATATTTCCTCAAAAACTCACAGTTCTAAAAAAGATTTTAAAAGTATCTGAAATATGTGAGTCAAAAAAATTAAAATGGAAATTTAAAAATACATGGAACAAAACACCAAAAAAGGAAGGGTATATCAGAACATGTGGGATGCAGCTAGAGTGGTATTTAGAAAGACTGATTGATTTTGAGACAGAGTCTCACTCTGCTGCCCAGGCTGGAGTGCAGTGGCACGATCTTGGCTCGCTGCAACCTCTGCCTCCTGGGTTCAAGCGATTTTCGTGCCTCAGCCTCCTGAGTAGCTGGGATTACAGGAACGTGCCACCTCGCCCGGCTAATTTTTGTACTCTTAGTAGAGATGGGGTTTTGCCATGTTGGCCAGGCTGGTCTCGAATTCCTGACCTCAGGTGATCCACCCACCTCGGCCTCCCAAAGTGCTGGGATTACAGGCATGAGCCACCATGCCTGGCCGATACTTAGAAGGATTTATAACCTCAAACACATATTAGAAAACAAGGATGATGGAAAATTAGTAAGCTCAGATCTCAACTCAAGAAAGTTGAAAATGAGGAGGTAAAAGAAACTACTACATTATTCAATCATTACAGTTAAATAAATAAGAGCTGGGTTCAGATCCTGACTCTCCCACTTACCAATCTGCATTCTTGAGCAAATTATTCAATCTCTCAAAGGCTCAACTGCTGTTATGTGTAAAATGGAGACAAATACCTGCAGCTAATAGGATTGTTGTGATGATGAAAATAAGATGCACATAAAGTACTCAAAATATTTCTATAATGCTATTATTTCTAAAATGATCATCAAATCTCTAAACTAGAAGGCATTTTTAATGTTATAGTTCTAAACAGAAAAGGAGACAGCCAACTGTCAAAAATTTCACTTTAAAATGGTAACTATTACTATCTATATATCTATAGTCAAGAAAGTTGTTACTAACTTGATACAATTCTTCCAGGGGAGTGTACTGGGAAAAATTTTCTTTGACAGCTGTTAGTTTCTTCTTTGCATTTAGTACTGACCATACAGTTAGAATTTCTGCCCAGCTTCCTAGCCAGTGCTTGCCTAGGAAGTTGGGATGATTTCTTTACAGATTTCTAACACAATCTTTGTGCAAGGATACATATCCCAGATGCAAGTACTAAGACATATCAAGTTGATCATATTAAAAATATAATACATATGAAGTTGAAATTATGTGAGTTTATGATATAAAATCATAAATTCATGTTTTTCTGGAATTGGAACAGTATTCTGCCTGCAGCAACTTCAGATCTGCTTTACTTTAAACACAGTAGAATGGAGAGATTTAAATGTTTACTTTTTGTTTATATGAAATACGAATATGAGTAGGGTGGTTAAATCTGGAGCATTCAGAGCAGAAATACCATGCCAATATTGTTTCCTCTCTTAAAAAATCAAGTTTTAAACTTTTCTGCCAAAAGTGTTCCTTTCTAGATAGAGGTAGGGAAGGAACATGAAAACTTACATTTCTTTAAATAAATAAAAATTTAAACACATCATGTAAGTGGTTCTATCTAGAATTCAGAGATCCAATGTTATGTGCTCAAAAAAACAATACCCCTAAGACTGCCTCAATCAGGACAAGAGTTATACAGAATGGCAAATGCTTTCTCAACCTTCTTTTCTCAATAGACTACACAGCCATAACCTTAAACAGCAACTGTTATAGATAAAACATAATATACATATACATAACAAATGCCAGGTTAGGAGTTAAATGAATTTATCATAGCAAATAATGAATGTGTCTTTGGGAAGTAGATTAACCAAACTATATTTTCTAATTATTGGAGCCTCCTGTGCATTAATATTGCTATATTTCATCCTGCTGCTCATTTAAAAGGCCAAACTATTTCCTTTGTTTGCCAAATCCTGTTTAAGTCTCTTCTCTTTTTGGAAGAGGCCCCAAAACTCAAAGCACAACTATCTGTGGCTCTTTTCTCAAACAGCTCTCTGCCCGTATTATGAAATTCTCAGGTGGGATTCTGGCTAAACTGAGTTTCACATGAAGGGAAGATTTTACCCATACTCTTGGTTTGAAGCTGAAATTATATCCCATCCATGAGACAACACCCCTTTACTAAGATTAGCTCCTGTTTTATTAGAATTCAAGACAACACACTAGTCATCACAGCTATATGTACTGTCTATGTTACGCCAGTAACTATGCTGTACTTTATACACACGACCTCATTTAACTATGACAACAACTCTATAGGGTAGAAATGATTCCTATTTTATAGAAGAGAAAGCAGAGTCTCAGGCAGGCTTGCTGAGTTGTCCAAAATTATACACACCTAGTAAAAGGCAGGTTCTCCCTCCCCAGCTTTACTGAGGTATATTTGACACATAAAAATTATATATATTTAAAGTATACAATGTGATGTTTTGATATAGGTAAACATTATGAAATAATTACCACAATCAGGCTAATTAACATATCTATCACATCACAATTACTTTTTGTGGTGAGAACACTTAAAATTTACTCTCTTAGCAAATCTTAAGTATACAATCCACTCTTATTAACTATAGTCACCATTCTGTACAATAGATCCCCAGAATTTATTCATCCAGCATAACAAATTTTGTATCCTTTGACCAACATCTCCCCATTTCCCCCACCTCCCAGCCCCTGGAAGCCACCATTCTACTCTCAAAAGGCAGGCTTCTTAACCTAGGTTGATTCTAAATTCAGCACTTTTTCTATACCACATATGACTCAATATTATTACTGTATTGGTAATATGCTTTAGCTGAAGTCACCAGTCTGTTAAAAGTCCACAAAGTATATTTATCTTAGAGAAAGATCCCTAAAACAAGATGAGACCTGGTGAAGAGCCAACTGAAGTTTGTACATATTAAAAAAAAAAAAAAAAAGTATTGTCAATTTTAGCTAACATTAGCTTTTACTCCATGTTGCTAAAAGTATCAGTTTGTACATTAGCTCTGTGTCTCCTTATCATGAATAATGACAAGCTACACTGTTTAGATTTATTGCTCTATCAACCACTTGCATGTCAATTAGAAAGCCTCTAATGCACACCCACCACACACATGCACCAGCTGGAAGCCCTTCAAGGAGACTGACTCACAAAAGAGGCAAGGCTCCGAAATTATTTTTGTTGTTGTTGTTGATGATGTTTCTTTCTTTTAATTTATGTAACCTGCACTGAAAATTAATACTTTCCAGCTAAAGATTTTGATCTGGCTTTCAGTGAAGTCAATATCTGGTTCCAAATAACTGCTAAAGGGAAATGTCTAGAGGCAAAGCCAGAAAATGCATTTGGAAGAAAAGCAGGGGCCCTTATCTAGCCTCTGAAGATTTTTCACATGAATGGAGATTCCATGGCTCAGTAGATGGACTTGGTTCTTTTTAGTGATAGAATATGTAGTCAAAGATTCTTTGAAATCTTAAATTCAAATTCATTCTTAGATATAAGCTCCTCCATATTCTTTTAATCAGCCTACCTTTTCTCCCAGGACATATAGGGAACTAAGCAAATGTCTTCTTCACATCTAGTCTAATATGTCCAGAGCAGGTGGGATGTATATCACTAGCACACACTTCATTATGTACGTCACATTTTTTGTTCAAAATGTAAATTTAATAACCCAGTTGCTCAACTACAAAGTTAAAAGAATTTTTTTAAAACAAGGACATTAACTATATTGTGAAACACAATTCAAAAATTTAAATGTAAATCAGAAAAAAAGTGAAATTTCAACCCTTGGCCTTTCAATGTTTTCTAATTGTAGATTTCAATTATGCAAGATGTATAGGACCTGAAACAAGTTTTTTTTTTCTTAAGAGAATAGTTTCACATTCAAATATAACTTCAGCTGTGCTCAGTGGCTCACGTCTATAATCCCAACTACTTGGGAAGCTGAGGCAGGAGGATTTCTTGAGTCCAGAAATTTGAGGCTGCAGTGAACTATGGTCTCATGTTGCCATACTCCAGCCTGAGCAACAGAATAAGACCCCACCTCTAAAAATATTAATAATAATAAATTAAATATAATTTTTATATTTAACAATTTTATAATTAAATGCTTTGCATTTACCTAATTTGCTTCTATACCAGTTCAGAGATTTTCCATTGTGGGAAAATACACTTTAAGTGTACCTGAAATTATGAAAAGCCAAGTATATTATTATATACTTACCTAAAACTATTCAGACAGTTAATTTACATTGAAATATTTGTGTCTATGATATCAAAATACTTGAACATGTAATCAAGTCTATTACAAAGCTTTGCATTTTAGCAGGTCAAATAAAAACTTTATTTGAAGGCTGGGTGCAGTGGCTCATGCCTGTAATCCTAGCACTTTGGGAGGTCGAGGTGGGAGGATCGCTTGAGGCCAGGAGTTTGAGACCAGCCTAGGCAACACAGCAAGACCCCATCTCTACAAAAAATAAAAAACAAATTAGCTGGGTGTGGTGGGACACATCTGTGATCCCAGCTACTTGGGAGGCTGAAGCAGGAGGATCACTTGAGCCCAGGAGGTTGAAGCTGCAGTGAGATGTGATGGCACCACTCCACTCCAGCTTAGCTAATAGAGTGAGACCCTGTCTCAAAAAAAGTTTATTTGGCTGGGCGCAGTGGCTCACACTTGTAATCCAAGCACTTTGGGAGGCTGAGGCAGGCGGATCACGAGGTCAGGAGATCCAGACCATCCTGGCCAACACGGTGAAACTCTGTCTCTACTAAAAAATACAAAAATTAGCCAGGCATGGGGGGCGGGCCCCTGTAAGTCCCAGCTACTCGGGAGGCTGAGGCAGGAGAATGGCATGAACCCGGGAGGCAGAGCTGGCAGTGAGCCAAGATCACACCACTGCACTCCAGCCTGGGCGACAGAGTGAGACTCCATCTCAAAAAAAAAAAAAAAAAAAAAAAAGTTTATTTGACTATCAAATTTTTTTTTTTTGAGATGGAGTCTCGCTCTGTCGCCAGGCTGGAGTGCAATGGCACGATCTCGGCTCACTGCAACCTCCGCCTCCTGGGTTCAAGTGAGTCTCATGCTTCAGCCTGCTGAGTAGCTGGGACTACAGGTGTGCGCCACCACGCCCGGCTAATTTTTGTATTTTTAGTAGAGACAAGGTTTCACCATGTTGGTGAGGATGGTCTCGATCTCTTGACCTCGGGATCCCCCCGCCTTGGCCTCCCAAAGTGCTGGGATTACAGGCGTGAGCCACTTCGCCTGGCCAACTATCAAAATTTTTTATCAGCAAAGTTCTTTAATTGATCCAAGTCAAAACATGCTAAATTATACATTTCTACGTAGAATTTTGGAGTTGTAAGGAACCTTTGAAATTATCTATGCGATCTCTTTATTTCATCAATGATAAAAATCAAGGCCCTGGGAAACAGAGCTGCCACCCAAACCTAGGTCTCCTGACTTCCAAGTAGTATTCTTTCCATTCACCAAACTGCCTCCTTTCCCAAATCACTAAGAGCTGGCCATTGCTTACACATAGCTTTTCTTGACATTTAATCATAACTTCTATGTCAAGAAGTTTATGAGAGCTACAAAGCAACCAGAGGAAACCAATTTGAAGGTTCCTCAAAAAGTTACACATAGAACTACCATATGTCTCAGCAATTCCAATCCTAAGTATATATTCAAAAGAACTGACAAGAGGGACTCAAACAGATACTTGCATGTGAATGTTCATAGCAGCATTATTCACTATAGCTAAAAGGTGAAATAAAACAACCTAAGTACCCATTGACAGATGAATGGATAAGCAAAATGTTTACAGATGACTGGACCATAAAAAGGAATTAAGTTCTGATACATGATACAATATGATGAAATGTGAAAATGTGCTAAATGAAAAAAGCCATCATAAAAGGACAAATATTGTTTGATTCAACTTTATGAAATATCTAGAATAGGCAAATTCATAGAGACAGAAATAGATTAGCAATTACAAGGGGCCAAGGTAGAACGTAATAAGTTATTGCTTAATGGGTACAGGATTTCTATTTGGGGTGATGAAAACTTTCAGAAATAGAGTAGTGATGGCTGCACGTTGTGAATGTGGTTGAAGTCATTAAATTGTACACTTAAAAATCGTTAAAACAACTGGGTGTGGTGCTTCACACTTATAATCCCAGCACTTTGGGAGGACAAGGTGGGTGGATCACTTCAGGCCAGGAGTTCAAGACCAGACTGTCAACATGGTGAAACACTGTTTCTATGAAAATTCAAAAATTAGTTAGGCTTGGTGGCACATGCCTGTAGTCTCAGCTACTTGGGAGGCTGAGGCAGGAGAATTGCTTGAACCCGAGATGGCACCACTGCACTCCGGCCTGGGCAGTAGAGTGAGACTCCATCTCAAAAAAAAAAGAAAAGAAAAAGAAAAAAAATCGTTAAAACGGCAAATTTTATATTTTACCACAATAAAAAAAATCACTAGAAACCTTGACAGAAACCATCACAGAATTTCCCATGTTTAAAAAACTTCATTCTAGAATCTTGTGGTAATTATTAAAAATTATTTACATTAAAAATAATAAGGAAAACCAGGTATAGGATTTATAGAAATTCACTGTACTGTCTTCAAAATTTTACTTTAAATTCAGGCCAGGCGCAGTAGCTCACGCCAGTAATCCTAGCACTTTGGGAGGCCGAGGCGGGTGGATCACAACGAGGTCAGGAGTTTGAGACCAGCCTGGCCAACGTGGCGAAACCCCGCCTCTGCTAAAAATACAACAATTAGCCGGGCGTGGTGGTACACACCTGCAATCCCAGCTACTAGGTAGGCTAAGGCAGGGGAATCACTTGAACCTGGGAGGCAGAGGTTGCAGTGAGCCCAGATCATGCTGCTGCACTCTGGCCTGAGCGACAGAGCAAGACTCTGTCTCAAAAAAACAAAAACAAACAAACAAAAAAAAAACAAAGTTTTTTTCTTAAAATCCAAAACCGTTCTCAAAATTATTATTATTATTGTTATTATTATTAGTTTTTTTGAGACAGAGTTTCACTCTTGTTGCCCAGGCTGGAGTGCGATGGTGCGATCTCAGCTCACCGCAACCTCTGCCTCCCAGGTTCAAGCAATTCTCGTGCCTCAGCCTCCCAAGTAGCTGGGATTACAGCATGTGCCACCACTCCCAGCTAATTTTGTATTTTTAGGAGAAATGGAGTTTCTCCATGTTGGTCAGGCTGGTCTCGAACTGCCAACCTCGGGTGATTTGCCCGCCTCAGCCTCCCAAAGTTCTGGGATTACAGGCGTGAGCCACCACATCCAGCCCTCAAAATGTTTATTTAAGAGAAAGCTATCTGAGTTGTGAAGTTCAGACCAAAGACTTATGAAAAACTCATTTAAGCACCTTCTAAAATTGTAAGAATTGGAGTAGAGCTTGTAATATGGAAAATAGTAATGCCAGTTAAAAATAAATTTACTATACAACCTAAGATCCTCTAAAATAATCTCACTTTAAGGAAGTGGAGTATACCCTCCTGTCTCAAATACTATTTCCCAAATTTCCTTTCAGACTAAGTTTGGTTAATATTAATATATAGTTAAACGATGTTATTAAACTCTTCTTCTCTACACCTCAGTGCTTGTATCTTTGGCCTTGAGGTGAACACAGTACTGAATTACATATGCTAAATGACCAATTATCCATTGAATCAACATTTTCTAGTAAAGTGTCTCATGTTCTTTGACATTCATGTGCCCATTTATCATACCTGAAACTATATGAGAAAATACATTGGTTTTTATAGGAAAAAAAAAAAACAAAATTACATAGAATAAGAATAGAAATTTAGAATAGTTTTATTTCTTTCAAGTTACCACACCAACACAGCTACGACAAAGACTGCTGTCTACTCTTATTGATTTTCATGTCAGCTGTTAAATTAGATTCACTATCTACAAGACATGTCAATTTATCATTATTGGTGGCATGCTTTTAAACAGTTACCATATATATGTAAAAAGGAATTCAACACTCTCTGAAACTTACAATTTTTAACTTTATATAATAAAATGATAATGGATAAAGAACTTCACTGATATTGGACCTCTGGAATAAATGTTTAGAGCAATCAGTCTAGTAAAAATTAGCTGAGAAGACAAACCAAAGATATAATTAAAACTCCTAGTTTTTTGGCAATTAAGTTTTTAACTATTGTACAACCAAATAATTTATATATACAAACCACAGTTTATAAATTCTACAACTTCTTCTTTGTCGTTTTAAACTTCACTGTATGGGCTTTGATAATCCAGGCCATGTAATTACCTTTAAGAAGCATGCTTAGGGTTTTTTCTGGAGTACAGGTCCATACAGCATTTCTCTCTGTCCTCTTGGGAACAAAACATCAATTGCTTTCAGCTAAATGCACTCACATATGAATATTTTAGTACAATTTAATGCTTCTATACCAACCCCAAAGGAACAGAGCATCAATTTGTGAACACAGTTCTCTTGGAGTTAAAAGCCAAGCTAGATAAAGCACTATGAAAGCAGCTGTCAATCTTCAGCTTTTTAGCAAGTTAGAAAGGCAGCCCATAAATTCAGTCCTAGCTGTATACAAGTAAGTCTATAAAGTTTGTTCCTACACAGACTTTTCAACAATAGTGAATTTTCAAAAGAGAACCCAGAAACAAAATTTATTATCTTGATACATTTTTCAAAAACTGCTTATTCACCTGGTAACTTTAAACTGACTTCTATTCACTTAGTCTCACCATTATGAATGGACAGTTGGTCTGTTAGTAAAATACCAAAATATACACAAAATAATCTACTCCCACTAAGAAGTTGCACTAAGCGTAAGAACACATTTCCCTGGCATTAGAAAACAGATTCTTTAATAATTGCAATATGCTTATATGTTCAGGTGGTTAGGAAGGTAAGGTCAGCACCATCAAAAAAGCTAATAGAAGGCAATCTAGAAATAAGTATTAAATGGAAACTACCACCAAATACGCCAACCTTTAAAAGGCCATAGAAATTAAATGCTAGTTGTAGCGTAAATCTGAGACTCTATTAAGTTCAACAAATATTAATGTGCTAACAAAATCCAGTAAGTGTGTCAAACCTCAGGTAAAGAAATAAGAATTCAATACCTGTTCATAATTTCAAAACAAAATAAAACAAAATCTCTTAGAAAACAAGGATTTATGACAGTACTGTAAAAATGGCTAATACACAGCACTTACTATATACCAGGCACAGTTTTTAAGTGTTATATAAATATTAACTCATTTAAGCCTGTTTTACATATTAATCTTTAAAATCATTTAATCTTTAATACTACAGTATGAAGTATGAATTATTATTATCACCATTGTATAGTTGAGAAAACTGTGCTACAGAGGGGTTAAGTGATTTGTCCAAAGTCACACAGCCAGCAAGTGGCAACACCAAGGGCTGAATCCTGGCAACCTGGCTAGAAAGTCTGGATTCTTAACTATTCTATGACACTGCCTATTGTAGGGAACTTTTTAAAATCTGATAAAGGGTATCCACTAAAAACAGACAGCCAACATAATACCTATGGTGAAACAATGGAGTAATTTCCTTGAAATGAAGGACAAGGATGTTTATCCTCACCACTTCCGTTCAACAATGCCACAGCTAACACAATAAGAAAAGAAAATTGGTTGGGCACGGTGGCTCACACCTGTAATCCCAGCACTTTGGGAGGCTGAGGCAGGCAGATCACGAGGTCAGGAGATTGAGACCATTCTGGCTAACATGGTGAAATCCTGTCTCTACTAAAAATACAAAAAAAATTAGCCGGGCGTGGTGGCAGGCACCTGTAGTCCCAGCTACTCGGGAGGCTGAGGCAGGAGAATGGCATGAACCCGGGAGGTGGAGCTTGCAGTGAGCCGAGATCATGCCACTGCACTCCAGCCTGGGCTACGGAGCCAAGACTCCGTCTCAAAAAAAAAAAAGAAAAGAAAATTAAATAAAAAGATGAAGCAAAATTTCATTATTCATTATTCCCAGAAGATATGTCTGTGTATGTACAACATCCAAGAAAATCTACAGATAAATTAGTAAGAGCAGTATATAAATATCAATTGCATTCCTATATATCTACATACTTTTATAACAAAAATTATGAAACTGCCTAAACAAGTGGAGAAATAAAATCATGGTCACAGATAGAAGATCAAATGTTGCAAAGATTTTGACTCTTTCCAAATTAATCTATACATCCAATGTTCCTCACTTGAAGAATTTTCGCTATCTGAGTATTTGTTACAATATGTACTTTTTAAACCCAGGAGTCACTATTCAAATTTAAAAAAACAACTATCAAGGATTTGTAGGAGTGCACATTTAAGGTGCTTATGAATCTAAGAGAGACCATCCAGTCTACTCAGCAGCTGTATCTCAGCTATTTTCCTGACAGGACCATATCTTATGCTCACATTCTATAACCACGAGCAAAAGGAACACAAGGAGACATACATTTTTTTAGATTTTTTTTCATCTAAGACTGCAGACAATGGTTCACAGCCATCTATTTCTGGACCTCAGGAGTGGAGAAAACTGTCCATCACTTCTTAGGATCCAATAGTAAGCTCCTTTGCTAGAATCTTTCCATACATTTTGACTCACCACTGAACCGCAACCATGATAACAGCCCCTTCTCCCACTTCTCACCACCAAATCTAACTCAGGCAACTCTTTAATCAGTACATTTTTTTTTACGTGGTCTTGGTTATTCACTAAGAGTTATTTGCATTCATCATGTATCTTTAACATATTTTCTCATTGCTTATTTACATTATGGTACGTGTTTGGAGCAGTGTAGAAGAAATAACTGATACTGTACAGTTTCCACACTATTCTGTCCAAAAACATACCAAATAATGAGTGTAATAAGTGTTAAGTAACTGGTGTTTTACATGCATAATGCAGATTTTTACATGAACTGGGATTCTTATAAAAGTGTTTTAAGATTTTGTAATTGAGGGAAAATTATTTGAGGTTTTGAATAGACTGTGAACCAGTTATTAATTCTCCCTATTAAGATAATAAAATATAGGTCTGAGTTCTCTGAAGCTTTAGTATCTATACAATTTTAGTAATAGTCTACATCTGGATAATGAGTTATACCTACATTTCCGATCAATATTTCAACTGTGAAGCTTAACAAATGAATTCTAAAACTGTAAAGTAACGCAGGGAACCAACAGCTAAAAACATTTTGGAGAACTGAGAAGGGAGATACTGCCCAACCAGATAACTTTATTATAAAGCTTAAGTGTAGTAGGGGTACAGTAATAAACAACTGGCCAATGGGACAGAATAGATGGCCCAGAAATAGACCCCTGCATACATATAAACTTGATATGTAAAAGATGATGCTGTGCATTAGTGGAGGAGAGAGGGAATGTGTAATAAATGGTGCTGAGGTACCTGATTAACTACATGGGGGGAAAATGGAATACTCACTTCACATTAAACATAAAAATCAAATCAAGTAGATTATAATTATAAACCAAAATGTGAAGGACAAAATTTTTAAAACTTTTAGAAAAAAATACAGGTGAATATCTTTACAACCCTAACTTAGGAATGATTTCTTAAATAAGACACAAAAAATACATATCAAAAAGGAAAAAAATAAGTTGAACCACATTAAAATTAATGCTCTATCAAAAGGTATTATTTTTTAAAATGGAAAAGACAGACATAAATGAAAGAAAATGTATGCAACACACATAACCAACAAAAGATGTGTATCCAGAATACATAAAGAACTTCCAAGAATCAGCCTGGCCAACATGGTGAAACCCCATCTCCACAAAAAATATACAAAAATTAGCCAGGTATGGTGGAGGGCACCTGTAGTCCCAGCTACTCAGGAGGCTGAGGTGGGAGAATTGTTTGAACCCAGGAGGTAGAGGCTGCAGTGAGCCGAGATTGCACCACTCCACTCCAGCCTGGGCAACACAGTGAGACCCTGTCTCAAAAAATAAAAAAAAAAAATTCCAAGAATCAGTAAGAAAAAGATAACTTAATAGAAAAATGAGCAAATGGTATTAACATTAAATATTCAAAGGGAAAAAAACCATAAATGGATATTCCGCATATGTAAAGATATCTCACTAGTAATCACAGAAAAGCAGATAAAAAGCACAGTGAGATTTCATTCCCATCAGGCCAGCAAAGCTTTTTTAAAATTGTGCTAAAATATATATAACATAAAATTTACCATAGTAATTTTTTTTTTTTTTTTGAGACGGAGTTTCTCTCTTGTTGCCCAGGCTGGAGTGCAATGGCGTGATCTTGGCTCACCACAACCTCCACCTCCCAGGTTCAAATGATTCTCCTGCCTTAGCCTCCCAAGTAACTAGGATTACAGGCATGTGCCGCCACGCCTGGCTAATTTTGTATTTTTAGTAGAGATGGGGTTTCTCCGTGTTGGTCAGGCTGCTCTTGAACTCCCAACCTCAGGTGATCCTTGCACCTCGGCCTCCCAAAGTGCTGGGATTACAGGCGTGAACCACCACGCCCAGTCCATGGTAATTTTTTTTTTTTTTTTTTTTTTTTTAGATGGAGTCTCGTTCTGTCGCCCAGGCTGGAGTGCAGTGGCGCGATCTCGGCTCACTGCAAGCTCCGCCTCCCGGGTTCATGCCATTCTCCTGCCTCAGCCTCCCGAGTAGCTGGGACTACAGGCGCCCGCCACCACGCCCAGCTAATTTTTGGTATTTTTAGTAGAGACGGGGTTTCACTGTGTTAGCCAAGATGGTCTCAATCTCCTGACCTTGTGATCCGCCCGCCTCGGCCTCCCAAAGTGCTGGGATTACAGGTGTGAGCCACCATGCCCGGCCCAGTAATCATTTTAAAATATATAGTTCTGGGACACTAAGTACAGTTACCTTGTTATGCAACCATCACCACCCATCTTCAGAACTACCGCCTATCTCAAGAACTGCAAAAGTTTTTTTAAAACTGTAAATAAGCAAAGTTCAGAGAGCTGTTAAAACTGTTGGTAAATATAAGCTGGAATAACCACTTTGGAAAACAATTTGTCAAAATCTGGTAAAGCTAGATTCTCTACAATTAGCAATTTCACCCCAAGGCATATTTCTCTAGTAAAACACTAACATACAAGTAAACATTATTAATAATCTTCATGGTAACATTATTTGTAAGCAAGAAATTATAACTACTTAAATAAACAACCATTAATAAGAAAATAGGTAAAGTGTGATAAATTCATATAATAGAATACCATACATAAATGAAATACAAATGAAAAAAATGCTACCTGCATTAACAAAGATGAACCTCACAAATGTAAGATGGATTGAAAAAAAGATAAAGAACATATATAGGACATTACTAATGATAATTTCAAAAATATACACAATAATATTATATATCAGTGCTCCCCAACTTTTTTATACCATGGCACACAGAAGATAACATTTGTATGGTACACGAACAAGGCTGGTCATAAAATCCACTGTTCCAAAGGCTGAGAGGATCAACATCTGGTATGCCTCTAAATCATTCATCATATTCATATTGAAAAATCTCAGCTATATACTGCTTAGGGATCTGTAGATATGTAGTAAAGTAAAAATGAAATGTCTTGAAACAATAGTAATCAAATTTAGGATAATGGCTACTTTTTTCCTTTTTTTTCTTGCTCTGTTGATCAGGCTGGAGTGCAGTGGCACAATCATAGCTCACTGCAGCCTTGATCTCCCTGGCTCAAGTGATCCTCCCACCTCAGCCTCCTGAGTAGCTGGGACTACAGCTACATGCCACCACACCCAACTAAATTTTTTTTTTTTTTAAAGTAGAAAGGAGGTCTCGCTATGTTGCCCAGCCTGGTCCCAAATTCCTGAGCTCACATGATCCTCCTGCTGCAGCCTCCCAAAGTGCTGGGATTACAGGTGTGAGCCACCCACCATGCCCAGCCAGTAATGGTTACTTTTGAGGGGAGGAAAAAATGTGTATTAAAGGAAGAGTACACAAGGGTTTTCAACAGTACTGTAATATTGTTTCTTAAATTCAGGGATGAAAACATTAGTGTTTATTATTTCTATGTAAATTGTATATATATTTATATTTTCATAAATTTATATATAAACTTTTAAATAAAAAGAAAAGAATGGGAAGGAAAAGGAATACAGCGAATATAAGCTACATTTTCAAGCTTAGCCTAGCAAGAGAGGTGAAAGGGGCAGTAGGTAATGAGGAAAAGAAGCTGCTGGGCAGATAAAGGGTTTTCTTTTTAAGACTATAGAAAAGGGGCCAATAGAGGAGAGACTCTGACTCGGAGGATGGGGTAACTAATGGAACACTGTCTCAAAGAAGGTACAAAATGATGGGGTCCAGAGGAAAAGCAGACATATTAGCAAAATTAAAAAGGGAGGCCCTCTTTTTTTATCCACATGTAGATAAGCTGGATTTTTGTTTGTATTGCTTTGCTTATGTAGAAAGTACAGTAAGTTTACTTGTGAAGTAGAAGGAATGGTCAGTTTCTGAGAGTAAGATAATGATACTAAATAAGGGGTTTTAAAAGGGGTGACAATTTAAAATAAAGTAGTTGAAATACTAATAGACGACAAAAATCAGAATTCAGTTCCCATAGACACATTTGTAGAGATCTGGGGCTATGCAATTCAACAATTTTCTCTGGACAGTAGTTCTGATAATGTGCTCAGGGCGCTAGTCATTCCGCACAGGTGTAGTACAGACTGTCTCAGGAAAATGAGAAAGGGCGAGAGCTGAGCTAGTAGCACTCTAGATATACCACCCCACTTCAACTCCACTTTTTCCCATATTATACATGGGGCTTCCTGATAAAATTTCCTTTGAAGAAGGGTTCTACAACTAGATCACTAGTCACTACCCTAGAATAAGCCTGAACAGCAGATACGAAATCACATAATTTCTGCCTCTCACGAAAATGCACTTAATATTAGGCAATTAGTGTACACTGAGGGACATTATTAAAAACGCAGTCCTATGAAACCACTGTCTTATTTACAGTAAAGGTATTGTTGAGGATGTCAATCAATAGAGCCTTCTTTATAAGGACTCAAGGGATATATCTCTCTCTCTGATCTTGATACCAGGCCAAATGATACTTCCCATGTGCCATTAGTTTGTTTTTACGTTGGGACACTGTACCTCAGGGCACTGATCTTGTTTCCCAATATGAATTGGCTTCTAAAAACCAAATTTGCAGCCCACATCTAGCAAATGGACAGGACCATATAGAATCTTTTTTATTAAGGTGACTTTATTTTTATATAATTAGAGACAGGGTCTCACTCTGTCACCCAGGCTGGAGTGTAGCGTCACAACTACGGCTCACTGCACCCTTGAACTCCTGGGTTTCCTTCTACTTCACAGGTAAACTTATTGTACATTCTACAACTCAGCCTCCAGTGCTGGGATTATAGGCATGAGCCACCTCACACAGCCAGAATTTTTATTTACACACTCTCACCTCGTTTCAGCCTATCTTTCTAGCCTTTATCTTTCACCTGAATTTTCTCAGGATGACTCAAACTGCTACCATCACTACAGATAAAGCAGACTTTGGCTGCCATAGGTAGAGATGCAGGGGGCAGGGGCAAGAACACTGAGAAAGCCTCACTCTGAGGCCCAAGTGCAGAGGATCTGCCTAAGACTGAGACTAAATAAGAACCAAGAACCATCCCTTACCACAACCATATAACTTAAGACTAAAGAGATGACAACTAAACGCAATACTTGGCCCTAAAGTGGATTCTGTATTAGGCTAACTGATAAAACTGGAGTATTCCATTAGAAAATAAAAAATTGGAATCAGAATATGAACTGACAAAATTGGGATATGGTATATAAATGTGTTTTGGTTATATAAGAGAATATTTCTATTCTTAGGAAATACATACTGAGGTCTTTAGGGGTAAAGGGCTATAAATGTTACTATCAACTAGTTCAGAAAAAATGTATGTGTATACACACACACACACAGAGTACTTTTTTTTTTTTTTTTTTTTAAAGAGATGGGGTCTTGCTGCATTATGCAAGCTGGAGTGCAGTGGCTGTTGATAGGTATGATCATAGTGTACTACAGTCTCTAACTGCTGGCCTCAAGCAATCCTCCCACCTCAGTCTCCTGAATAGCCGGGACTACAGACGTACACCACGGTGCTCAGCTGTACTGCTTTTAATTTTCAACTTTTCGTAAGTCTGAAATCATTTCAAAATAAAAAATAAAGAGGAGAAGAAGTCTTTGTTACAATAGTAAGCTATGAACTGACTAGTGTTTTCCTATCACTGGGTCTGAATTCTTGCAGAGAGCATGAATCCATAAGCATACTAGGAATTGTTCCATAATCTTTCATATTCATATGTAAATTATTGTGAATGACCCAAAAAAGCATTTAAAAAAATAACAAAATTCACGGCATCCTTTGAGTATTACATATTTTTTTCAAATTAATAAAATATTATTTTGTGAGGATAACCAAATCAGACTTTGTGTCCCCTTACTTTATGAAGTAGGGAACTTATTACTATTGATCATCAGAAAGAGCAGTGCTGATGATGCTTTCCATAGCTATTCAAAGTGGCAAAAAATGAGAGGATTTTCAAACAATATAAAGTTGAAAGGAAAGTAGAAAACGAAATCAAGCTTTAAAAGATTCAAGAGGCTTCAATGGTAGAGAAAACAGACCCAAATTAAATAAGAATAAATGAAAATACTGCGTTCAGCTTTAAAAACAAAGAAATACTGAATTATTCCTAGACAAAGGAGACGTGGTTTAATAGCAGGCAATTCAAGTGGGGGAGGGGAGAGATTTTGGATGGCCACAAGTGTAATTCTTGCCAACAGTAGGATATGGCTGCCAAAAACCTAATGCATTATTAAGTAGCA
Organism: Homo sapiens; assembly: GCF_000001405.40. NCBI lineage: Eukaryota > Metazoa > Chordata > Mammalia > Primates > Hominidae > Homo > Homo sapiens. The sequence continues at coordinate 76,253,799 of NC_000015.10, forward strand.
TTAATTAAAATATTATTTAGGGAGATAATAATCCAACTCTGCACTAGTCAGAGCACAAGTGAAGTAATGCATTCAATTCTGGGCCTCAGGACTCTTGGCTTATGGCCCTAAGGGAATAGCTTGTATCAGACCAATCCTCCTGCTGAGAACAACTACAAAATCTGGTTAAAACACAGATAGCAACTGTTTAAGTACAATGGAGATCAACTTAGGCAGGCAGCACTGAAGGAGGCAGAATCCTGTAAGGGAGGGAGGCACATTGAAATGAGCCCAGCATATATCTCCATTTCCTCCCTTGGGGCATTTGCAGATTCCCCACAGGGATAAAAGCCAATCCGAAAGGAGATACTCTGGATAGAAACCTGCAGTCTTTTTGGTTGAGGAAACACACAAAAGACAGTATTCGTGACTGCCAAACCAGCTGGAAAGTGAGGGAAAAATTCCAGAAGGAGAGAACCACAGAGGGAGAACCACAAACTCTGTACATACACTCCACTCAAAACTCTGGCTGACCCCCGCATTAGGCATGTATGAGGTGAGCTCTAGGCTGCCAGGCTAAGACTAAAAGAACTGAACATAAGGAGATTGAGTCTGGAATTTGAGTTCAGCCAAGTTAACTGCCTGCTAAAACACAAAGTTAATATTCTTAATAGGAATATAACAGAATCCATAATCTCTACAACGTATTCAGTGTCTGTACAATATATTACAAAACTATTAGACAACCAGCAATTCTCAAAATATGGTCAGGATAACCCCGAGAGCCCCAAGACCCTTTCAGGGATTCTGCAAAGTCAAACCTATTTTCATAGTAATACTAAGATGTTATTTACCGTTTTTTTCTTTCATTCTCTCACAGTGCGCAATGGAGTTTCCCAGAGGTGCCAAGACTTTTAAAGAAACCATCACTCTGATGGCTAATAGAATGTATGCATCTGTATTTTTATGTTTCCTAAAAGTTTTTAAGGTAGTTGATTTTAGGTATAAATTTGTGTGTATATAGGGATTAACTTAGTTTGTTCTCAGGACAGTACAGCAGTGTGTGTTCTTACAGTTAAAACTGCTATAATTTCTATAATTTCATTATTGTTCAATAAACCAATGTTTGAAATACTAAAGGTTTCCTTGTGCCTGCAAGGAAACACAAGAAATACACTGTTGTCTTACATGGCAATAACATTTACATTTTTTTAAACTTTTATTCATTTTTAAATTTCTCTAAAACTATTCTATTTTGATAATATTTATACTGAAATAGAGAAGACTAACTTTCTCAACCCACTGCAGCAACAACCATGTCTAAAGATGCTGAAAAAGATGAAACCGATAACAGAGTTCTCTAACTTATGGAAAAGAGAAATATACTCTAAAAAATACTGTGTGAAATAAATATATGAAAAAGTTATCTTTCTCTTAGGTTTACAGATGCTAATAATTTACCTTACTCTATCTTATGCAAAGGAAGTGATGACTATTTTCAAAACAAACATTCAGAGTTGAGAGAAAACTAAACTGGATTTTATTTTAACATAAATGACATGAGTTTAAGAGCCAAAAGCTGTTATTTTAGCTTTTCAAGCTAGAAAAGAAAAAGTCACTGAAGAATCTTAAGTTATCATATTTCATTGGTTAGAGAAGTATAGTTGCTGAGAGACTAATAAAGGTGACATTGCTGAATTCCTGCTTTGAAAAATCAGGAAAACAAATCATGGCACTGTCACATTCCAGTGGTACGTAACTTGCTGAATAAAATATTTAGCTGTAAACATGAATATGAAGATAATATTTCATCTGCAAAATTATACTTTTGCCTGACAAGTCTGTAGACATGACTGTGTTTCCTGCTTTACTTCTATTGTCCAGTATTGATATCAAGGAATCACTGAAGAATATTTTTACATGAATCCTTGGCAATGAACACAAGTGGTGATGAAATACTCAAAAGGTTAAATAGCTTTTTGGAATCCCATGGTTTATTCTGGAAAAACCAAATTGACATTTGCACTGATGATGTGAAAATGATGGTGGGTAACACTGCCTTAGTGGTAGTTTCAAGTCAGTGGCACCAAACTCACTGCATTCTTCATGGCCACATACTCACAGTTTTTTGTTGTTTTTTTTTTTTAAAGCCACTTTCACCTAAGGTCCTTGATAAAGCAGTAAGAATTATTAACCTTGGCAGAGCACGGTGGCTCACACCTGTAATCCCAGCACTTTGGGAGGCCAAGGCAGGTGGATCACTTAAGGTCAGGAGTTTGAGATCAGCCTGGCCAACATGGTGAAACCTTATCTCCACTAAAAATACAAAAATTAGCCAGGCATAGTGGTTCACACCTGTAATCCCAGCTACTCAGGAGGCTGAGGCACCAGAATCACTTGAACCCGGGAGGTGGAGGTTGCAGTGAGCCAAGATGGTGCCACTGCACTCCAGCCTGGGCAATAAGAGTGAGACTCCGTCTCAAGGAAAAAAAAAAAAAAAAAAAAATATTAACCTTATTAAATCTTGACCTTGGATTACATGTATATTTAATATTCTGTGTGACAAACTGTGAAGAATGTAGAAAGCACTTCCACTTCATACCAAAGTACAATGGGTTGTCTCGAGGGAAAGCACTTGTTTAATAGTTTGAGTTGCAAGCTGAACCAGGTACTTTTTTCATGAAACACAATTTTTACTTCAAAGAAAATCTGACAGGCATTTGCATTTTTCGCAGATATCTTACTGTGAATAAAGTGACCTCATCAATTCTGAGATAACAACTGATAGTATTTCTTATCAAGGACAAAATTTGAACTTTTAAGTGAAAATCAAAATTCTAAAACACTTGTACCGATGACTATGAGCTTTGAAGATTCTTCTAACAAGATGAACAAGATGAGTGATGCACCACATAACAACAGTTTTTGGTCAACATTACACTGCATATATAAGGGTGGTCCCATAAAATTATAATGAATCTGAAAAATTCCTATCACCTCAGTGATGTCATAGACATTGTAACATCATAGCACAACATATTAACTTTTTATGTTTAGATACACAAATACTATTTTACAATTGTCTACAGTATTGAGTACAGTAACATACTATACAGGTTTGTAGCCTAGCAGCAATAGGCTACCCCATATAGCCTAGGTGTTTAGTAGACTATGCCATCTAGGTTTGTGTAAGTACACTCTATGATGCTTACACAATAACAAAATCGCCTAATGACACATTTCTCAGAATATATCCCTATTGTTAAGTGATGCATGCCTATATTAACGAACGTGACTTTCTTTTTTAAGTCTTCAATTTTATTTGTTTTAAACAGCAACTAACAGCTTGGAAATGTCCCTAACAGTTAGGACCCGCCCCATGCATTCCAGAGGTTCCCCCACCAAGGCTGGGGCCCAGGTTCCAGGGACTCCCCCTCATCAGGCCTGATTTCTCTCTGGAGACTTGGGACAGAAAAGGCTGTCCAGTTAGAGGGGAAGTTGGCACTAAAGTTCACCATTTAGAAGGGTTGGGCTCAGACACAGCTGCCTTTGTTAGTCTTAAGATATTTTGAGAAGTGTCTGTTCGGAACAGAACTTCTCAAAAGAAGACATTTATGCAGCCAAAAGACACATGAAAAAATGCTCATCATCACTGGCCATCAGAGAAATGCAAATCAAAACCACAATGAGATACCACCTCACACCAGTTAGAATGGCAATCATTAAAAAGTCAGGAAACAACAGGTGCTGGAGAGGATGTGGAGAAAGAGGAACACTTTTACAATGTTGGTGGGACTGTAAACTAGTTCAACCATTGTGGAAGTCAGTGTGGCGATTCCTCAGGGATCTAGAACTAGAAATACCATTTGACCCAGCCATCCCATTACTGGGTATATACCCAAAGGACTATAAATCATGCTGCTATAAAGACACATGCACACGTATGTTTATTGCAGCACTATTCACAATAGAAAAGACTTGGAACCAACCCAAATGTCCAACAATGATAGACTGGATTAAGAAAATGTGGCACATATACACCATGGAATACTATGCAGCCATAAAAAATGATGAGTTCATGTCCTTTGTAGGGACATGGATGAAATTGGAAATCATCATTCTCAGTAAATTATCGCAAGGACAAAAAAACCAAACAACGCATGTTCTCACTCATAGGTGGGAATCAAACAATGAGAACACATGGACACAGGAAGGGGAACATCACACTGTGGGGACCGTTGTGGGGTGGGGGGAGGGGGGGAGGGTTAGCATTAGGAGATATACCTAATGCTAAATGACGAGTTAACGGGTGCAGCACACCAGCATGGCACATGTATACATATGTAACTAAATTGCACATTGTGCACATGTACCCTAAAACTTAAAGTATAATAATAAATAAATAAATAAATAAAGATATTTTGAAATTTGGTAGCATGCTCAGATTGTGGGCATGGAGAGGGGCTCCTGAACTCCTCTCCAGCCTCACTCGCTCTTGGGCAAGCCTCATAGCACCCCTTCCTCTTGCTGGCTCAGCACGCTGCCTTTGGAAGAGGGACACCTTATAGCCTGGGTGCTCCAGCATTCCTTTGTGTGACCCGGTCAGCTGCAGGGAAGCATCCTCCCCTCAACTTCTCCTGGCCTAGACAGGGTACGGAATCAGAAAAGTGATGAAGATTCAGACCTGAGATACCCACCCCTTACCAACCCTTACCTAAAAGGGAATATTACAAGAACATCTCTTTGTGACTTGGAGGGGCAAACCTGGATATTTAAACCCCGAGGGTGGTAACAGCTGGGCCCTCAGGCTGGAGGCAGCCCAATGCATGCACTTAAGCAGCAGGAGCAGCTCAGCGGGACGGTAGAGCCTACAGGGCTGGACCTGGACCCCCCACTGCCATCCACACCCATGGTAACCATGGAAACATAATCACTCTGCTCCTGCCAGCTGTCTGGGTTCAGACAACCAGGACTGGCCCACTTCCATTAAGCCAAGGCCTAAACTGATGCCAGGCTGGCCACAGAGTGGTTGCAGGAGGAACTGGGATTGGGTGATTTGGTCAGTCCAGGCTTCCCAGCACAGCTTGGGAGGACTACCACAGGAGCCTCCACACCTTGCTGTCTGGGCTGAGGTCAGACAGGGCTTTGTCAGCCAGCACAGTGGCCATCAGAGCCAGCCAAATTGCCCTGATGCCCTCTGCCTGTGAGCTAACAGCTATTGTGTGGCAGTAGCCCTTGCTGCAGCAGCAAAAGCCTCTGTGTCTCATTGAGGGGACTCTCTGGCTGGTGCTCTGCCTGCCCTGGCTGCTCAGCCAGCCCTCCAGGGGTGAGGATGTATCAACATTCACTGGGAGTGCCACCCACTGTCCCCATGCCACTGCCATCCCCAGATCCACTGTAGGGCTGATCCCCGCTAGGCAGCTCCAGGCTGCCTCCCACAGTGGGCTCCTTGGCTCTCTCGATGTTGATGTATAAGGGGTCCTGGCTGGCGGATAGCACAGACAGCTGGCCCAGAATGTTCTCCAGTTCCATTCGCAGACAAGTAAAGCTTGGGCGCTGCTTGGGGTCAGCACTCCAGCACTGGTACATGAGATCATACAAAAGGTCGTCTGAAGGCCTAAGGAGACCTTGGCTTGGATGGAGTGGGAGTGTAAGAACGTCCTCCATACACTCTGGAAGCTGTTTCAGGTGATTCCCGCCAATGAGGTAGTTGTAAATCTCAGTGTTTTCGATGCCAGCGTATGGTGTCTGCCCACGTGTCATGATCTCCCACATGGTCACCCCGAAGGCCCACACATCACTGTGCACAGTATACAGGTTGTCAGCCAGGCTCTCCAGGGCCAGCCACTTGACGGGCAATTTGGAGGCACAGCCCTAACAATAGTAGCCCCGCTGTAGATCTTCCAGGAGAGTCCAAAGTCAGCCACACACACGGTCATGTCCCCTGCCAGCATGCAGTTCCGAGCGGCCAGGTCTCGGTGGATGAAGTTCCGAGAGCTCAGGTACTCCATGCTGCAGGCAATGTCCACCATGAACCGGATCAGGGTAAAGGGGTTCTCCCCAAGCCAGGAGGTGAGCAGGAAGGCGTGCAGGTCCCCATGCTTCATGAAGGGCAAGATGACCACGGGGATGGGGTGACAGCCTTTAGCCCTGCTCCAGAGGCTCAGAGGCTTACCCCAACAAGTTTGGCCACATGTGGATGGTCAAACTCCTTCATGCAAGCTGCTTTCCTGAGGAACTCTTCAATGTCACTTGAGGCAATGAGATCAGCTTTCAGCATCTTCATAGCCACTTTCACAAAGGAGCCATCCTCCTGCTTCAGCTGGGCCTACCGCACTGAACCAAACTCTCCTTTGCCCTATATCCAGCCAGGGTGAACTGCTGCTCTGGGATGAGCACATCCTCCAGTTTTTCCTTTAGTTCGCTGTTGATGCCCAAGCTTTCCAATGTGGCCTCGATGCACTTGGGCCTTTCTTGATTGAAGGACCGGGCTGCCCAGAAGTGAATGGCTGGCTCTCCCCGGGAAATGACACTGTCAAAGCCTTGCCCAAACCACGTCTCTTTCGGTCTCTTTTGAAGCAAGATGAGGGCCAGGGCAGCAGCCGTCACCAGGGCCGTTAGCACACCAAGGACCACAGGTACCCAGGATGTGCGGCTGTGAGGAGGGCCCTTCTGGCCTGCATGGTCATGAGAAGAGACCACCAGTGGCTGACTCCAGGGTCCACAGCCAACTGCACTGGAGACACACACACGTACGATCAGGCCCTTTTGGGGATCCCAGCCTGTCAAATTGGCCCTGGTCCCCTCCATTGTCAGCTCATCCTGGGTTCCATTGTCTTAAACCCAGGACAGTTTATAGGGTCCCAGGGGGCCTTCCAAAGGGCCCTCGGGGATCACTTCTTCCCACTCCAAGATGAGGCCTGAATCTGTGTGGATGGCATGGAGGTTTTGGGGAGCGCTGGCTGGGGCTAGACCCTTGGTCTGAAAGGGCACCCAGTCAGCATAAGGAGAGGGCCCCAAAGCATTGGCACAGCACACCCTGAGGCTGTAGCTGGTGGCAGGCACCAGGTCCCGGAGCAGGCAGGTAAAGGGGGGCACAAGGACCACAACAGCCAGGACTTCCCAGCCTCCTGGGGCCTGTGTCACCTGAACTGTACAGGACTGCAGCAGGGCTCGGCCATCAGCACCTGGCATCCAGGCCACACTAGTGTTGCCGCTGGAAAGCTTTGTCACGGTGATGTTGAAGGGGACTGCAGGCAGTGCTTGAAGGAGAACAGTGGCTATGCGAGAAGAGGCCAGGCATTTTAGGCTGTGAACTTCACAGGAAAACATGGGTGCTCTGGGTCACCCCTGTTACATTTAAAACAAATGGAGAGGGAGCAGGTCCCCCGATCTTCGTAGTTCCTCTCCACCAGACAATGGTAACAGGTTCAGGGGGACCCACAGCCTTGCAAGACAGTTGGAAAGGGGCATTGGGTGGCACTGCCAGATCTTTTGGCTCCACTGTGAAAAGTGGCACACCTACTACCGTGAGCCACACTGGCTGGGAGATCTGGGTTTCGCCCCCATCCACCTTGCACCAGTACTGGCCCGTGTCAGAGCGCTCCACTGACTTCAGGCTGAGGAAGCCGATCCAGTGCTGCTCGCTGACTGGGATGAACCAGTTCTGGACCACAGACCCATCCTTCACCCACTGGATGTCAGGCTCCTCCATCCCCTCCATGCTGCAGCTGAGCTTTACCAGCTGCCCCTGGGACACTGTCAGCTTTGCCGGGACTCCCACGAGCTTCAGACCTGCCTGCAGCTGCGGACTCTGGGAGCAGCAGAGAAGTCAGAGCCGCCAGCAGCAGCCCCAGCTGCTGTGGCGGCAGCAGCAGGAGCCCCAGCCGCCCCATGCTGTGCCTCAGCACCATCTGTGGTGATGCCATACCATGCCAGGCCCGGCCCACGAGTGAGGAGGGAGGAGGGCTGAATGTGACTTTTTATATCGACAAATGTGTCAACATTTGGAAGATCTTCATAACTCAGTAAACCATTATTTTCTAAATGAACAATGCATAATATTATAAAGTGGTAAAATATTCACTCAGGCCAGGTGCAGTGGTTCACACCTGTAACCCCAGCACTTTGAGAGGCCAAGATAGGTGGATCGCTTGAGCCTAGGAGACCAGTCCTGAAATGATCCAGATTTTGGAATTAGCACACAAGGATTTTAAAGTAGGTACTATACCTATGCGCAAGGATGTAAAGTAAAATATCTGTAATGGTCAAACAGATAAGAAATTAGAGAAATAAAAATTTTAAAAACAACTAAATGCAAATCTCAAACTAAAAAATATAAAGCCTAGAATAAGAAAGTCCCTGGATAGGTTTAAAAGCATATTAAAATTATACAAGAGTCAGTGACCCTGAAAATGGACCAAAAGAAATGATCCAAGCTATAGAGTAGGGAAAAAAAAGAGGAAAAAGAATCAACAGAACTCCAGCAATCTGGGAAAGAACATCAAGATATCTAAAACATGTGTAACTAGAGTCCCAGAACAAAAGTGAGGAAAAAAAAATGAAGCAGAAAAAATAGTAACATAAAACGTCCCAAATGTGGTAAAAGGCATACATTTATAGATTTAAGAAGCTTGCTATCTGAAGCAGGTTAAATACAAAAAGACACACCCCTAGGTATACCATAATCAAACCCCCTTTTTTTTTTTTTTTTTTTTTTTTTTGAGAAGGTGTCTCGCTCTGTCACCCAGGCTGGAATGCAGTGGTGCAATCTCGGCTCACTGCAAGCTCCACCTCCTGGGTTCATGCCATTCTCCTGCCTCAGCCTCCTGAGTAGCTGGGACTACAGGCGCCTGCCACCATGCCCGGCTAATTTTTTGTATTTTCAGTAGAGACGGGGTTTCACCGTGTAATCCAGGATGGTCTCGATCTCCTGACCTGGTGATCTGCCCACCTCGGCCTCCCAAAGTGCTGGGTTACAGGCATGAGGCACCACACCCGGCCTATCATAATCAAACTTCTAAAGATCTACGATAAAGATAAAATCTTGAAAGCAACAACAAAAAACATACAAAGGAACAATACAAATAATGGCTGAGCTCTCATTAGAAACAATGAAGACCAGAAGACAATGGAACTTAAAAGTGCTGGGGGGAACTATACCTGAAATTCTATACCTAAGAATAGATGTGTCAGGACGGCCCCGGTAGGCACCAGTGGCCTTTGGAACATGTCTAAACTTGCTGGCTCCTTGCTTCTAGCACTCCCCTTATCTCAAGTAGCCATATGTTTCAAAGAAAATGCTACACCATCATAGCTGTAGCTCATTTGCTTGATATACCACTTCCTTTCAACCCCCACATCCTCACCACCTGTTTCTTTGTTTGATCACCAATAAATAGTGTGGGCTTCCAGAGCTTGGGGCCTTTGCAACCTCCATACTAGCGTTGGCCCCCTGGTCCCACTTTCTTTCATCTTTTCTCATTCCTTTGACTCCGCCGGACTTTGTAGCCCCCATGGCCTGGTGTTGGGTCTGATCACCCCAATATTCATGGCACCCAACATGGGGCGACAAAGACCACAGTGAAGGAACGCTAGAGCATGTGAAAGCGGAGGATGCATCGTCAGAGGACACCCAGGGACGACTGAAAGAAGCTCGGTGAGGAAGCTGAGCGCTTGGAAGAACCAGGGTAACAATGGGATGAAGTTAAAGCAAACATTTTGCTTATTTGAATTTCTTAAGGCATTTATTACAAAGGGGAGTGAAAGTTAGTACTCAGAATTTGTTATCACTCTTTAGTACAGTAAAGCAGTTTTGCCCATGGTTTCCGGAACAAGGGACTATGGAGTTGGATGAATGGGAGACAACGGGAAGAGATTTTAAAAAGGTGTATAAAGACAGAGCAAAAATTCCAGTTTCCATTTGGTCAGTGTGGGCACTAATAAAGGTAGCTCCTGAGCCATTTCAAACGATGATGAGGCAGATTCAGATGAGGAAGAGGAGGACGAGTGTAAAAAACTAACTTCAGATTCTGAGTGTGAGAAACAGCTACCGGAGGAGATTAAAGAAAAGAAAGGAAAACTAAAAAAAGTATGTTTTACTAGCCCATCAGCTCCACCTGCTGAATTAAGTGAATGGCCACCTCCTCTCTCCCCCTTACTGGGTGAGAAAATGAATCAGCTGAAAAACTTACTCCTCCTGTAGTTGCAACATTAAAACCTGGAGCAATTGGTGGTGCTATACAAAATTCTATTCAAAAAGCTAGAGCTGAGGGAGACCTTGAAGCATGGCAAACCCAGCAAGAAGGACAGAATATAGCTAATTGGGCCACTCTTCCTTTTAAGTTTTAAAGGAATTTAAGCAAGCCATTATTCAATATGAACCGAACTCTCCTTTTGTGAAAACTTTGTTGAAAAATGTGGCTCTTGATAATAGGTTAATACCATATGATTGGGATACTTTAACAAAATCTGTTCTCACTCCGTCCCAGTACTTGCAGTTTAAAACATGGTGGGCTGAGGAAGCTCAAACTCAGGCAAGGGAAAACACACAAGTGCAGTCACCTGTGCTTGTTTCCTTTTAACAGTTACTGGGAGTTGGCCCTAATTGGGGTCGATTAGAGAATCAAGAAGTAATGGAGGGTGTTGCCATTGTTCAGCTGTGCTCTGTGTGCTTATGGGCATGGGAAAGGGTAAATGTTACAGGGGGAAAAATATCCTTCTTTCAGTTGTCTGACAAGGACCTAAAGAACCATATATTGATTTTATTGCTTGGCTCCAAGAGGCTGTGGCTGTATATAAAGCCATAACTGATAAAACAGCTCAGGATGTTATAATACAGCTTCTTGCATATGATAATGCTAATGCAGAGTGTCAAACTGCTATTAGACACCTGAGAGGGAAGGCTCATTTAGCTGAATATATTAAGGCTTGTGATGGCATTGGAGGTAACTTACATAAGGCTACTCTTTTAGCTAAGGCTATGGCTGGATTGAAAGTAGGAAAGAATATGTCCCGTTTCTCAGGCTCTTGGTTTAATTGTGGGCAATTTGGACACACAAAAAAGGAATGTAGAAATGGAAATCAAAAGGAAAAACCACTACCATCCATCAACAGAAAAGTCCTGGTGTATGTCCCTGGTGTAAGAAAGGCAATCACTGGGCAAATCAGTGCCATTCTAAATTTAGCAAAGATGGACAACCTCTTTCAGGAAATAGGAAGAGGGGCCTGCCTTCGGCCCCTCAACAAACTGAGGCATATCCGGCACAGCCAGTGCCCTTAACAAACATACAGCTGTCCCCCGCCACAGCAGACAGTGCTGCCATAGACCTCTGCAGCACAATTCCTGTCTCCTTCCTAGGGAGCCACCAAAGAAGGTCCCCATGGGAGTTAGGGGACCCTTACCCTCAGGAACAGTCAGTCTATTACTTGGAAGTTCTAGTCTAAATTTAAAAGGTGTCACTGTGCATATGGGAATAATTGACTCTGATCATACCAGAGAGATTCAACTAGTTATTAGTTCCTCGACTCCGTGGTCTGCCTCCCCAAGAGAATGAATTGCTCAGTTGTTGCTGCTACCCTACATAAAACTAGGAAGCAGCACAGTGAAGAGAACAGGAGGCTTTGGTAGTACTAATCCAGCAGGAAAAGCTTTATATTGGGTTAATCAAGTGTCTGATAAAAGACCTATTTGTATAGTAACTATTCAGAGAAAGGATTTTGAAGGACTAGTAGATACTGGAGCTGATGTCTCTATTTATTGCTTTAAATCAATGGCCTCGACACTTGCCCAGACAAAAGACTTCCACGGGTATCGTTGGCGTAGGGACTGCCTCAGAAGTTTTTCAAGTCCCTTGATTTTACCATGTCAAGGGCGGGATGGCAGGGACAATCCAACCTATTATTACACCTATTCCTGTCAATTTATGGGGTAGAGACTTATTGCAACAATGGGGTGCTGAAATATCTATTCCTATGGATCAATATAGTGATATTAGTGGACAAATGATGAAAAATATGGGATATTGCTCAGGAGAAGGACTAGGAAAAAACAAAAATGGCCAATCAGAACCTTCAGAAGGACAAACAGATCAGACTGGATTGGAGTATCATTTTTAGCAGTGGCCATTGTTGAGCCTCTGGCTCCCATTCCTCTTGTTTGGCTAACTGCCAAACCAGTTTGGGTGGAGCAATGGCCACTGAAACAGGAAAAACTGGAAGCTTTAAAATAACTGGTGCAGGAACAATTGCAAAAGGGACATACAGAGCCTACTTTCTCCCCTTGGAATTCTCCTGTATTTGTCATTAAGAAAAAATCGGGTAAATGGAGAATGCTAACAGATTTGAGGGCTGTTAATGCTGTAATTCAACCGATGGGCAAGCTACAACCAGGGCTGCCCTCCCCAACAATGACTCCAAAATACTAGCCTCTTATAGTGATAGATCTAAAGGATTGCTTTTTTTACCATTCCTTTAGCTGCCCAAGATTATGAAAAATTTGCTTTTACTGTTCCCGCCATAAATAATAACAAACCAGTGCACAGGTATCATTGGAAAGTACTGCCACAAGGCATATTAAATAGCCCGACTATTTGTCAAACTTATGTCGGGAAAGCTATTAAGCCAGTTGGAGAACAGTTTAAAAAAATGTTATATTATCCATTACATGGATGATATTTTGTGTGCAGCTGAAACTAGGGAAGAATTGATGTGCTACAAACAGAAAAGGCTGTAAATGCGGCAGGGTTAATTATAGCCCCCGATAAAATCCAAACTTCTACTCCCTTTCAATATCAAGGAATGAAGTTAGAACAAAGTGCTATTAAGCCTCAAAAAGTTCAAATTTGGCCGGGTGCGGTGACTCATGCCTGTAATCCCAGCACTTTGGGAGGCCAAGGCGGGTGGCTCATGAGGTCAGGAGATGGAGACCATCCTGGCTAACACAGTGAAACCCCGCTTCTACTAAAAATACAAAAAAATTCGTTGGGTGTGGTGGCGGGCGCCTGTAGTCCCAGCTACTCAGGAGGCTGAGGCAACAGAATGGCGTGAACCTGGGAGGCGGAGCTTGCAGTGAGCTGAGATCACGCCACTGCACTCCAGCCTGGGCGACAAAGCGAGACTCCGTTTAAAAAAAAAAAAAATTCAAATTTGAAGAGATAATTTAAAAACCTTAAATGATTTCTAAAAATTATTAGGAGACATTAATTGGATTCATCCAACTTTAGGCATGCCTACCTATACTATGTCTCATCTCTTTTCTACTTTACAAGGTGATTCTAACCTTAACAGTAAATGCTCCCTGTTCAAAGAAGCATTGGAGGAACTTCCATCAATTGAGGAAAAAATTCAGCAAGCACAAGTAGAACGAATTAATCTGATACAGCCATTACAGTTTTTAGTTTTTCCTACTAAGCATTTGCCTACAGGAGTTTATAGTTCAACAGGATGATCTGGTTGAGTGGCTTTTTCTACCTCACAATACAACCAAAACGCTCACTCTGTACTTAAATCAAATTGCTGTGCTAGTAGGACAAGCGAGGCTGCGCACAACAAAGCTAATGGGATATGATCCAAATCAGATTATAGTTTCATTAACAAAACAACAAATTCAACAAGCCTATATTAATTCGCAAGAATGGCAAGTTAATTTGGCCGGTTTTGTTGGCATTCTTGATAATTATTATCCTAAATCTAAGATATTTCCATTTCTATAATTAACATCCTAGATACTGCCTTCTGTTACTCAAAAAGCCCCCACTGGAGCAGCCATTACTGTTTTTACTGATGGATCTACTAATGGAAAAGCCTAATTTGCAGGACCTCAACAGCAAGTTTTTCAAACTGACATTGCTTAAAGAGCTAATCCTACTTTAAAAACTCACATACAAAAGGGAGGGGACCAGCAATATAAGACACTGCAAATGCAATTGCATTTAGCTTTATTAACATTAAAGTTTTTAAATTTATAAAAAGATCAACCCACGACTGCAGCTGAACAACTGACAGGACAAAAGGAAAATAAAAAGGCTGGACAAGATATATGATGGAGGGATGCACATACAAAAAGCTGGGAAAAAGGAAAGATAATTATATGGGGAAGACGATTTGCTTGTGTCTCTCCAGGTGACAACCAGGTGTCTGTGTGGGTGCCCACCAAACATCTGAAGATCTATCATGAGCCACAGCATCTAGTGGACCCACCTGTACAGTGCAAATTGAAGGTTTAAGGATTGCTTTTTTGCAATACTATTGCACAAGAAGGATAAGCCTCGATTTGGTTTCTCTATGCCTTCTGTTAATCAGAAAAAGCCTGCTTCTCATTACCAATGGTAACTTTTACCCCGCAGTAATTAACCAAAGAGGCAGAAGCTGAGTTACAAATGCTTCAGCAATGGCATGCCTCCCAGCTACAGCAAAAAAAAAAAAAAAAAGCCTTTGCTTCTGTTTCAGTAGATTTACTAATGTAGGGGTGAGGGTATGTTTGTACTTTTGCAGGAGATGAAAAAACTGTGTGGGTGCCCTCAAGGTGTGTATGACCATGGAGCGGGAGACTGGAGGGACCCATGGATCCCAACCATGGACCGGGTTCCCCCAGTACAAGCCATGAGCCAGGTCAATCTGAATACGAAGACGGAACGAGGACCAACCAGAGTCATGCTGACATCAACCCCCATAACATGGGACAGATCAAGAAAACCACACAGGAAGCTGAGAAACTGCTGGAGTGCCAGGATTTTACCTTTTGCTGGGATTCAGAGCTACAACAGATGCTTAATGGACCAATGTTTTCTGACTGAATTCCTCTCTACCCTTCTACCCTAAATACAAGAGACCCTAACAGGTAGGCAGGAATATCATCACCCCTATTCAGCATGAAGAAGTTACAGAAGACAGACCTCCATCCTTCTGCAACCCTTAGAATTAAGGGTCCTCTTGTAAAAGGGAAAGAGGAAATATGTAAGAGGCATTCAAACCAGAGTGACTCCATTTTGAATAAGGGCTAAGAAAAATGAAGCTGGATCACCAACAGGCAATTAAGAGCTGCACAGCCTGCAATTGCCTTGCTCAATTAATTCAAAAACAAAAAGAGGACCTTTTGGATTCAAAGTTGTGTTATGTTACTCTTAAATGCCATCTGGAGGGCAGAGATGAAAATCTCACCCTTGATATTGTAAAACTAAAATAGCAGGTTTTTGAAGCCTCTCAGGCTCACTTGAACCTGCTCCCTACAACTGGTATTTTCAACAAGACAGCCGATGGGTTGTCTACATTCAATCCTCTTAAGTGGATTAAGGCCATTGGAAGCTCTACACTTGCAGATTTTGTTCTAATAATTATGTGCTTGTGCTGTCTCCTTTTAGTCTGCAGATGCGGAAGCCACCGCTGGAGAGAAAGCTGCCGTCAAGAACAAGCAATGATAGCTGTGGCGGTTTTACAAAAAAGAAAAGGGGGGCATGTTGGGAGAAGAGCTGAGTGTTGGGAGAGAAACTGAGGCAGGGCTTGCATGTCTGACATAATATAAAAGAGTTTTGGAATATGTCTGGGGTCCAGGGTCTAAAATACCTAGTGGCCTTTGGAACATGTCTAAACTTGCTGGCTCCTTGCTTCTAGCACACCCATTATCTCAAGTAGCCATACGTTTCAAAGAAAATGCTACACCATCACAGCTGTAGCTCATTTGCTTGATACATCGCTTCCTTTCAACCCCCACATCCTCACCACCTGTTTCTTTGTTTGATCATCAATAAATAGCATGGCCTCCCAGAGCTTGGGGCCTTTGCAGCCTCCATACTAGAGTTGGCCCTCTGTTCCCACTTTCTCTCTTAACCTGTCTTTTCTCATTCCTTTGACTCCTCCGGATTTTGTAGCCCCCATGGCCTGGTGTTGGGTCTGATCACCCCAACAAAAAGCTATCCAATCATCTTAACAGATGCAGAAAACATCTGACAAAATTCAAAACACATTCCTAAAACTCTCAGCAAATCAGAAACAGAAGGGAACCTCCTCAATTTGATACCATTAAGAAAATAAATAGGTAAGCCATGGACTGTGAGAAAATATTTGTAAAACCCGTATCTAACAAGAAACTTGTAAAGGAATATATAAAATATGTCTACAACTCAATAATGAAAACAAGCAATTCAACTAAAAAAGGGCAAAAGATTTGAACAGGCACTTCATAAGGAAGATGTTTAAATGGCCAATAATACAACGTGCTCATCATCATTAGATGAGCATCAGATTAATTGCAGGGAAATGCAAATTAAAACCAGTAACATCCACCAAAATGTCTAAAACACCAAATGGTGAAAATGAGGAGCAACTAGAACCCACATACATAGTTGGTAGGAGTGTAAAATTGTGCAACCACCTTGGGAAAAAGCTACCCAGACAAAGATGCCAGAGTCCAAGTAGGGTGGGGAGGGTATCTATACAGGAAGACTATTCAGTTCCAGGTGTTGGAGCTTGAGTGGGGCAAGGAGGGCATCTGTGCAGGGTAGAGTACTGGCAGGGTCTAGGTTTCTCACCATAGGAGAAAGGCATTACAAATAGGAAAAGGGAGAAAACCAAAATTAACCCTGTGGTATGAGACTAGAATTGGAGATACCAGTGTACACTTATGGTTTTCAACATATACAACTGATACAGAAATATAAATGTAAATGTGTTTGTATATGCAGGTAAATATATATATGCATATATTTGCCTAGACATACACATGCCCACACACATTCTCTAGCTTTTTTCACTGAGATGTCATGGGAGCAGTGACATTTCAATAGCAATGAACATAACTAGCATTGAGATATTGGCTTCTAAATACTTTTCTTCAGCAAAAGGAACCAGGATTCCTTGGAGAAAGGACTGGTTCCAGAGATGGGACAGGAAAAATACAAAATGAGCCTGGAACATCTTGTCTTGTCAGGAAGTAAAAAAGGATTCAAAGAATGATGGGAACACATCAAAAAGACACAGAGGGGCCTCTCACTAGCCAAACATGGGACAATTCGTACATCAATAATAATGACAACCATAGATTTTTACCCATTGAATAAAATAGGTACCATAAGTCCATACTGATATAAACAAATGAATAAATCAAAAGTTTATTGGCCGGGCATAGTGGCTCATGCTTGTAATCCCAGCACTTTGGGAGACCAAGGTGGGCGGATCACTTGAGGCCAGGGGTTCCAGACCAGCCTAGCCAATATGGCAAAACCCAGTCTCCACTAAAAATACAAAAATTAGTTGGGCGGGTTGGTGCATGCCTGTAATCCAAGCTACTCAGGAGGCTGAGACATGAGAATCATTTGCACCCTGAAGGCAGAAGTTCCAGTGAGCCGAGATCACACCACTGCACTCCAGCCTCAGCGACAGAGCGAGACTATGTCTCAAAAAAAAAAAAAAAAAAAAAGTTTGAGGAAAACTGGGATATTTACATCATTTCAAAGTACCTCCATATAAAATATGTATTACAATGGGAAAAGTAACTTTACAGTGGAGAAGTTGGCACATATTGCCTTAATCAAAGGATTAAAGTGAAAATCATTAAATGAAAGACCAAATGAAATTGTATACCATCTGATAGGATGAGGTATCACTTCTGTGATATTCCTGTTCAAGATATATAATCTAAATTGAAGACATTAGACAAATCCAAATTGAGGGACATTCTATAAAACAGCTGTCTGGTAATCTTCACAATTCCCTCATGAAGTGAAGGTAAGACTGTGGAACTATTAATATTTAAGATTGAAGGACACATGACAGTTAAAATGTAATATGTGACTCTGCACTATATCCTTTTGCTATAAAGGACATTTTTGGAATAACAGGCAAAACCTGAATGTCAGGGTCTGATGCTTAGATGGTATTATGTATCAATGTTAATATCCTAATTTAAAAAGTTGTATTGTAGTTATTAGGAAAATGTCCTATATAACCTATTTGGGGATGATCACAGCAACTTACTCAAATGGCCCATAAAAATATAGGTTTTTTGTTCTCTACTTGTAAGTTTTCTGTAAATTTGAGATATAGTTTCCAAAAAAAGTTTCAGATCCTTAACAAAATGTACATACATAAATTACGTGTGTATATATGTATATGCACATATATGCGTATATGTGTGTGTATATACACACACACACACACACACACACACCCTGAGTTAATGAATCAAAATTCTCTCGGAGGCTGTATAGTTTATGTCAAAGTCTTCAAAGCATTTAATATATTTCCTTATGAAAAAAAATTTCGATGGTTCTATATCCATAAGAGTAATATTGAATAATGCTGATGGTATGCCATTTATTTTCAATATAGGAAAGGATACCACCAGCCACTCCCTGCCACTCTGCTCTTCTATTTGATAACCACAAGCACTCTCTGTCAGTCAAAATAAGTCTCTGTCACTTCAGTGTATATCTCTGAATTTCTTTCTTTCTTTTTTTTTTTTTTTTGGAGACAGTCTCGCTCTTGTCGCCCAGGCTGGAGTGCAGTGGCACAATCTCGGCTCACTGCAACCTCCGCCTCCTGGGTTCAAACAATTCTCCTGTTTCAACCCCCACAGTAGCTGGGACTACAGGCACATGCCACCACACCCAGCTAATTTTTTGTATTTTTAGTAGAGACGGGGTTTCACCATATTAGCCAGGATGATCTCAATCTCCTGACCTCGTGATCCAACTGCCTCAGCCTCCCAAAGTGCTGGGATTACAGGCTTGAGCCACTGCGCCCAGCCTGAATTTCTTGTAGACATATTTTTGGTTAAGAAGGTTGTGGGTCTGCTGATCTTTTATGAAATCAGACCTACAGATGTCTACTTATGTAAAATTGAAAGATTTCCACAAATAATGTGTGTGCCAGTCAGGCATGGTGGCACATACCTGCAGTCCCAGCCACTCAAGAGGCTGAAGTGGCAGGATTAATTGAGGCTAGGAGTTAGAGGCTGTGGTGTGTTATGATCATGCCTGTGACCAACCCCTGCACTCCAGCCCAGGTAACATAGCAAGACCCTGTCTCTTAAAATATATACATATATATATATATATATGCGCATGTGTGCTAGAGCTCATTAAATGTCAAGGAAGGCTCAAGCTCATCTGCTCAATAAATCCACTCTCACAGCCTAATTCGGTATGACAAGCAAACAGGCCACATGATGATGTGACTTAATTTATGAATAGTTCTAATATGTATTTTAAGCTTTAAATCTTCTTTTCTGACTTCTTTTCTGACTTCAAGTAAGTTGAGTAACACAAAACGTATTAAGCATAAGAAGAAAGACTGGTGCATTAGGTTATCAAAATTAGAAATCTCTACTCATCAAAAGAAAATGAATAGGAAGTCCTAGCATGGGAAAAATACAACACACATCTGACAAAGAATTTGTATGTAGGTTATATAAAAAACTCCTACAAAGAGAAAAGAAAAAGAAAAAGAACTCAAGTTTTCAACAGGCAAAAGACTTGAACAAATACTTCGAAACAAACTTCAGGCCGGGTGCGGTGGCTCACGCTGTAATTCCAGCACTTTGGGAGGCCGAGGCAGGTGGATCACAAGGTCATGAGTTCAAGACCAGCCTGGCCAAGATGATGAAACCCCATCTCTACTAAAAATACAAAAAAATTACCTAGGCATGGTGGTGGGCGCCTGTAATCCCAGCCACTTGGGAGGCTGAGGCAGAGAACTGCTTGAACCCAGGAGGTGGAGGTTGCAGTGAGCCGAGATTACACCACTGTACTCCAGCCTGGGTGACAGAGCAAGACTCATCTCAAACAAAACAAAACAAAACAAAACAAAACAAAAAAAACTTCAAAAATAAAAAATAAGCCTTGAAAATGTTGACTACAGCATCTTAAAACTGTGAATGAATATCTCATAGAATAGAGCACTGGGATGTAAGATTTTTTTTTAATGGACAAGACTGCATATTGTTTTGAAATATATAAAAAACATGTTTTCCTGCATACTATACAAGTTTAAACTGGCTGAGACTCCTATTCACTGAAAATCTGTATCACCTAAGAAATATAAACAGTCATTATCAACTGTGATTCAACTTTGAGACCAAAATTTCCTGCTCTTCCAAGTTTTAGACAGGCTTAACTGAAGAATATTCTAGTATCACTTATCTATGTAGAACAGAATTTTCTGAAATTGATACTATAAGACAAAATACAGAAACTAGGTGTTCAGGAAGATATAAGACTAAAACTGTCATTCACAGCTCCCAATTTCAAAATTCTGTTCATTAAAATAGGTTCATTGTTCTCATTGATTTTATACTCTCTAAAGGCTTTATGGAAATAAATCTTATCAATGTGAACTTATAAATCTGAGTTGATAAAATGCTGCTTTTATCAATGTTTTATTTGATGTAATATGACTTAATTTGATAAAATGTTCCACTGCTTTAAAATACTTGAATAATAAGCTGGATTTAAGAACTGCTGGGCATTTTACTAGGATCAAGAACTACACAGACCTTGTGAAAATGACATATTCACCATGGTACTGGCTAACTGCTCAGGAACACTGAGTAAGGTAAATCACTGAGATCACTGTTCAACAAATACATACAGTACTTATCCCCATAACATTTTACACAGCATATTTTATTGCAATACTTACTGGTGCTACTATTTTTCCCGTCTGTCCAACTTGCATGTCATTGGGAACAAAGCCAGCATCAACAGCAGCACGGGAAGCACCAACTAAGGGGAAAAAATATTTGTCATTTTTTTCAAGCTCTATTATTCAGCTAGTTAGGATATTCACTGATAACTGTAAACAAAGACATTGATTTAGAATTCTAAGTACTAGTATATTTTATACAGAAAGCTTCAAGGAATAACTTCTTTTTATACCCAAGTATTTCAGATTTTAATTTGGGCTTAACTCTTCTGCATGCTTTATCAAAATGGCAGTCATAAAATTTACACTATAATGTTTAGAATGTCATTATATAATGCTCCTTTAAGTAATAACTTCACAAGTTTTGAAGAAAGGTTTTACAATATTACCTCTTGTAATACTATAAAGAGAAGATACTGGACAAAGAGTTTCATATAACAAGATGAAGGTTTAACCAGTATTTGCTATCAAATTCACAAATAAAATTTAACAGACTTTCTATTCTCATTCAACAGGAGTCAACAATGAGCCCTATACTTGGAGTAAAACAACCCCTTCCCCAGCAGGAGTCAAGAATGAGCCTCAGGCCTCTTCATCTCAAGCTGAAAAGGACAGAGGGAGCCATAGACAATACAACTAACAACCTCCAAAAACGCACAGCCTCACCACCACTATCTTGAGTCAGCCAGGACTAATCACACCCTGCCCTTCATTATGTCTGTCCCCATAAGCCCCAAACTCAAAGGTTATCCTTCATAACCCATACACTGATCCCCATAATGCTCTGCATGCTCCCTAACCTGCACCAATCTCCCATATTCCTAACCCTTACACTGTGATTTCTGGAATATGGAGCCCAATATCAGCGAAACTTAAGTTATATTAAGTTTTATTAAAATGTAAGTTTTAGAACTTAAAACTTTAAGTGTATTAAAACTCAGGTTTTATTTACCTAATAAAACTTAACTTTAAATTGGCTCCATCTGAAATTAATATAGCTACTCCTGCTTTCTTTCAATTAGCATCACCATGGTATATCTTTCTCCACTCATTTACTTTATATGTATATGTATTTTTATATTTAAAGTGGGTTTCTTGTAGACACCATATAGTTGGGTCTTACTTTTTCATCCACTATGACAATCTTTATCTTTAATTGGTGCATTTACACTACTGATGTTGAAAGTAATAACTGACACAGTTGGATTAATATCTACCATATTTGTAACGGTTTTCTATTTGTTGCCCTTGTTCTTTTTTCCTATTTTTGTCTTCCACCAACTGAGCATTTTAAATAATTTCATTTTGTCTCTTTTCTTAGCTATTAGTTGTATTTTTGTTTTACTTTAGTGCTGGTCCTAGAGTTTGCAATATTCATTTACAGCTAATCCAAGTCCACTTTCAAATAACACTTTACTACTTCACAGGTGGTGCAAGTACCACTTAATAGCAAGATAATCCTAATTCCTATCTCCTGTTTCTTACATTGTGATTCATTTCACTTATACATGAGCACATAAGTAATTGTAATACATGAGCATATGTAATTGAATACAATGTTATTATTTTAAACTGTTACCTATTAGATCAATTAAGAAAAATAAAACTTATTTTACCTTCACTCATTCCCTCTTCAATGCTCTCACTTGCTTTATATACACCAGAGTTTTTGACCTCTATCATTTCCTTCTCTCTAAAAGAACTTTTAACATTTCTTGCAAGGTAAGTCTATGACATATTCTGCCAATTTTTGTCTGAGAAAGTCTTTATTTCTCTTCCATTTTTAAAGGATAATTTCACAGGGTATAAAATCCTACATTGGTGAGTGTTTTCTCTCAGCACTTTAAACATTTTACTACACTCTCTTCTGCTTGCATGGTTTCTGAAAAGAGATCAGATCTAATTATTATCTTTGCTCTTGTACAGGTATGGTGGATTTTTTCCTCTGGCTTCAGTATTTGTTATTTTTTATTTCCTGTAGTTTGCAAATGATAGGCCTAGTTGAAGTTCTTCTGGCATTTCTCATATTTGGTGTTCTCTCAGCTTCCTAGATCTGTGGATTGGTATCTGACATTAATGAGGGGAAATCCTCAGTCAGATATTGCTTCTGTTCCTTTCTCTCTTCTCCTTCTAGTATTCCCATTACATGTTATACTCTTAGAAGCTGTTCCACAATTCTTAGATATTATATTACAGTTCAGGTTTTTTTGTTGTTGTTGTTTTTTTCTTTTTCTGGTTATTTTTCTCTTCGCTTTTCAGTTTTGGAGGTTTCTACTGAGATATCCTAAAGCTCAGAGATTCTTTCCTCGGCCATATCCAGTCTACTAAGAAGTCCTTAAAAGGTATACTTCATTTCTGCTACAATGTTTTTTATCTCTAGCATTTCTGTTTCTTTCGTGGATTTCTAGCCCTCTGCTTATATTGCACATCTTGCTTGCTTTTTATTCATTAGAGACCTTAGTATACTAATCACAGTTGTTTTAAATTTCCAGTCTGATTATTCCAGCTCAGTCTGGTTCTGATGCTTTCTCTGTCTCTTCAAACTGTCTTTTACCTTTTAGTATATCTTGCAATATTTTCTTGATAGCCCAACATGATGTACACGGGTAAAAGGAAGTGCTGTCAATAAGCCTTTATTACATGGTGGTAAGGTGTTGGGGGAAAGGAAGCATTCTACAGTCCTATGGTGACGTCTTGG
The DNA here is from genome assembly GCF_000001405.40 of Homo sapiens. Taxonomy (NCBI): domain Eukaryota; kingdom Metazoa; phylum Chordata; class Mammalia; order Primates; family Hominidae; genus Homo; species Homo sapiens. Next base: position 76,277,113 of record NC_000015.10, read on the forward strand.
TCTTTTACTAAGACCGTACCTCAATAAGACCATATTGAGACTGTGAACTTTACACATGCTTCTCAGTTCCTCTCTCTCCCTTAGGTGGGACAGGATGGCTAGAATGGCTGAAGTTGAGTATTTACCTTTCCTCAGGTCAGTTAGGCTCTGATAAAGCCCCACAAGTTAATCTCTGGTTAAACAGTTCCTCCTGAAGGAGATCAGACCTTGTTAAGAAGAACAGAATGCTCTGGCATATTTTAAAATGGTTCCCTTTCCCGTCCCCTTGTCGGAAGCATGAGGTGATTTTTCTCTAATTTTCACCATGTGGAAGAGCTCCTGAAGGTAAAATTCACAAAAATGTTGGGACCTCACACTGGATACCCCTGGAGTTTTTTGTCAAAAACAAAAACAAAAAAAAAAAACAAAAAACCAGAGTCTCACTCTGTCGCCCAGGCTGGAGTACAGTGGTACGATCTTGGCTCACTGCAACCTCCATCTCCAGGATTCAAGCGATTCTTCTGCCTCAGCCTCCCAAGTAGCTGAGACTACAGGTGCGTGCTGCCACGCCCAACTAATTTTTGTATTTTTAGTACAGATGGGGTTTCGCCAAGTTGGCCAGGCTGGTCTCAAACTCCTGGCCTCAAATGATCTGCCCACCTCGGCCTCCCAAAGTGCTGGGATTACAGGCATGAGCCACCGTGCCCTGCCCACCTGGAGTTTTTAACACGGAACCTCCAACAATTCATCAACAAGACTTCAAGTCCCCCTACCCCACCACCAGCTCCTGTGGAGGTTGCTACTTTTGGGTTTCTGCTCTGGGAAGTTGTGATTATCTGTATTTGCTTGTTGGTCTCTCCAGTTTGGGGGACAGCAGTTTGCCATGCAACCTCACTTCTCCTATGGATCTAAGATGAGTTTTGATTCTTCAGTTTGTTCAGTTTTTTACTTGTTGTTAGGACAGAATAGTGACTTCCAAGCTTCTTATATGCCAGATTGGAAACCAAAAGACCTACACTAGTCTTATCTTAATTCCTGGAGATTTCAACACTTGGAGATTTGAACAACTCTCCTCCAGTGAGCTTGCCCACCACCCTACCTCAGCCACACCCATGATCATATCCTAGACATTTTCTTTACCAAGATTGCTTAATACTCCCAATTTTCAGCGTCTTTCTGACCTCCTCTTTCCAGCAGACATTCACCTCCAACATTCCTCTGACCCCACTGTAATCTACAATTCTATTAACTCTCCCCCATTGTCCTCTTGTTTTTGCCCACCTTAAATTCTATGATCAATCATTCTAACCATTCCTTTGCTATGCCTTCAACTTCCTTGTTCTCCTCTTATATCACACCACACTCACTCAGAAAAACCTCCCTCTTCCGGCTGATTAAGCAACCTCTCCAGTTTTTCCATAGCTCTTCTCCTGTAGTTCAGCATTACTGGAGAAAACATCCAAATATCCAACCATGTGAAGTATATTTTCCTCTAAATAAATAAACCTTAATTCCTGGCAGTTATACTAAGTTCCCCCAGTCCTTTCATTAGCTGTTTCCTAAACTATAATTTCATATATTTTCTTCTTTTCAAACTTCCTATACCTCTTTAGCATCCTCATTCTCAGCTGATGACTTTGCTTCTTATTCACTGAAAAAAACTGAAAGGATCAAAAGAGAATTTCCACATGCTCCAAGTAACACATCTACCCACCACCTGCAGCTATGTCCACATTGTCTCTTGTCTACTCAAGGACATCATTCCAGTAATTCTGACTTCCCTCAGGGGAGAATTACTGAGGGAGAATAAGGGAGTGACGTCCTTGAGTGAAGTGAAAAAGTATGTGAAGGGAAGGGGAAAAAGTGAAGAGAAAAAATATGACTACTTTTCCCTCTCTACTGGAGCATTCCCATCAGCATAGAAGCATGTTATTACCTGTCCCAGCTTTATGAAGTCCCCCTGTTGGCCAGACTCCTCTTCTAGCTACCATCCATTTCCCTGCTTCCCTATATAGCAAAATCCCTCAAAAAGTTATCTGTATTCACTGTCTCCAACTCCAGCCCTCCCATTCTATCTCTAAAAACCTTTTCATTAAAATATAACCTACACACAGAAAAAGACAAATGTGCTGCTCAAGAGCATTATCATACAGTGAAGACAACCATGTAACCACTACCTATGCCTTTTATTATTTATTTTTTTAGAGAGGGTCTTGTTCTGTCACCCAGGCTGGAGTGCAGTGGCATAATTACAGCTCACTGCAGCCTTAACCTCCTGGGCTTAAGTGATTTCTCCTGCCTCAGCCTCCCAAGCAGCTGGGACCACAGGTGCACACCACCATGCCTGGCTAATTCTGATATTGTTTGTAGAGACGGGGTTTTGCCGTGTTGCCCAGGCTGGTCTCAAACTCCTAGGCTTAAGCAATCCTCCCACTTTGGCCTCCCAAAGTGTTGGGATTACAGGTGCGAGTCACTGCACCTGGCCAGAATTGTTCTTTTAAACCCACTCTAATCAGACTTTTGCTTCCATCACTCCACTGAAACTGCTCAGTGGCCAACGATGTCTAAGTGGTTAAATCCAATAGTCAATCTTCAGTCCTCACCGTCCTTGACCTGTTAGCAGTGTGTGTCATAGTTGATCAATTTTTTCCCCCCTCAATGAAACACTCCACTTGGGTTCCAAAACATAGCCTCTGCCCTGGTTATCTAGCCTAACTTATCACTCCTTTTTGGTCTTCTTTCTCCTTTTCTCTCTTAGCTCTCAATCATACAGGGTTTATGGCTTAGTCCTGAGTTTTTTTTTTTTTTCCTTAAGAGACAAAGTCTCATTCTGTTGCCCAGGCTGTAATGCAGTAGCTATTCACAGGCACAATCATAACACAATACAGCCTCAAACTCCTGGGCTCAAGAGATCCTCCTGCCTCAGCCTCCAGAGTAGCAGGGACTACAGGCTCACACCACTGCACCTGGCCTGGGACCTCTTTTTTTATCTACACTCCCTCCCTTGGTAATTTCATCCAGTCTCATGGCTTTCAATATCATCCAAATGAACTGATTCTCAAATATGTACCTCTAGCCCAAACTTCTCCATGGAACTTCACATTCCTATACCAACTGCTTAACTGACATGTCTACTCAGATGTCTGTTATTAGACATCTCAAAGGTTAATATGCCCAAAACTGAACTCCTGATCTCTCCCTGGAAACTGCTTCACTCGAGATATTCCTTATCTCAGCTAACTGTAACTCCATCCTACCACTCGCCAGGAAAAATACTTTCTCTCATAATCCACATCCAATCTGTCGGGAAATCCTGATGGCTCTACCTTCAAATATATATCTCAAAACTGACAATTTCTCCCCACATCAACTGCAACTACCCTGGTCCAAACTATGAGTATCTCCCACCTAGACGACTGATATAGCCTGCTAATTGATCTCCCCATTACTATACTTACCCCCTACAGCTTATTCACAAAACTGCAGCCAAAGTGATCCTTTAAAAATGTGTTAGATCATGTCATTCTTCTGCTCAAACCTTGAAATGGTTCCCCATTTCATTCAGAGAAAGAGCAATCTCTACAATGTCCTATAAGGCCCTATGTGATCTGGTCTTGTGTTGCCTCCCAATTTTATCTCTTGCTACTTTCTCTTTTGCACTTTCCATTCCAACACTGGCCTCCTTCCTATTCGTCAAATAGGCCAGATGTGTTCCTGCGTTAGACAGGCTCTGTGCACTTTACTAGTTGCTCTGGTCTGGAACACTCTCCCTCAGATCTCCTCATGGGTCGCTTCCTCACCTCCTTCAAACCTTTGTTCAGATGTCTTTTTTTTTTTTTTTTTTTTCAGACAGTGTCTCTGTCACCCAGGCCGGAGTACAGTGGCACAATCTTAGCTCACTGCAACCTCCACCTCATGGTTCAAGTGATCCTGCCGCCTCAGCCTCCTGAGTAGCTAGGACTACAGGTACGTGCCACCATACCCATCTAATTTTTGTATTTTTAGTAGAGGTGGGGTTTCACCATGTCGGCCAGGCTGGTCTTGAATTCCTGGCCTCAAGAAATCCGCCCACCTAGCTAATTTTTATATTTTTAGTAGAGGCGGGGTTTCACCACGTGGGCCAGACTGGTCTTGAACTCCTGGCCTCAAGTGATCCGCCCGCCTTGGCCTCCCAAAGTGCTGGGATTCCAGGCATGAGCCACCACACCCAGCCAGATGTCTCTTTCTCATTAAGGCCAAATCTGGCTATCTTATTTTAAACTTCAATCTTTCCCTTCAATTCTCCACCCCCCATAACCCATCCTATTAGTCTCCCTAACACTTACGACTCTCTAACATTTTTTTTTTTTTTTGAGACAGAGTCTCGCCCTGTTGCCCAGGCTAGGGTGCAGTGACATGATTTCTGCTCACTGCAACCTCTGCCTCCCAGGTTCAAGCGTTTCTCCTGCCTTAGCCTCCCAAGTAGCTGGGACTATAGGCACGTATCACTGCGCCCAGCTAATTTTTGTATTTTTTAGTAGAGACGGGGTTTCCCCATGTTGGCCAGGCTGGTCTCAAACTCCTGACCTCAGGTGATTACAGGCGTAAGCCACCACGCCTGGCCCATATTATATTATTTACTAATCTATGGTGTTAAGTGTCTGTAGTAGGCAAGAAAATGGCCCCTCCAATGATATATTCACATCCTAATACCCAGAACCTGTGAATATTACCTACGTGGCAGCAGATATATATAAAGCTAAGGATCTTGAGAGGGAGTTTATCCTGGATTATCTACATGGGCCCTAAATGCCATTACACGTATCCTTTTTTTTTTTTTTTTTTTTTTTCCAGACGGCATCTCACTCTGTTACCCAGGCTGGAGTACAGTGGCACAGTCTCAGCTTACTGCAACCTCCGCCTTCTAGGTTCAAGGAATTCTCCTGCCTCAGCCTCACAAGTAGCTGGGATTACAGGTGTGCACCACCACATCAAACTAATTTTTATATTTTTGGTACAGATGGGGTTTCACCACGTTGGCCAGGCTAGTCTCAAACTCCGGACCTCAGGTGATCCGCCCACCCTGGCCTCCCAAAGTGCTGGCATTACAGGTATGAGCCACCACGCCTGCCATGTATCCTTATAAGAGGGACACAGAAGGAGACTGAATGCAGTCCCACAGAGAAGATGATATGAAGACAGAGGCAGAGGTTGTAGTGATGTGGCCACAAGCCCAGGGATATCAGAGTAGCCACCAGAAGCTGGAAGAGGAAAATAACAGATTATCTCCTAGAGCCCCCAGAGGGAGTATGGCCCCTGCTAACACTTCAACACATCTCTGGCCTCCAAAGCTGTGAGAGAAAAACTTTGTTGCTTTAAGCCACCAAGTTTGTAGTAACTTATTACTGTAGCCAAAATAAACTAATAGCACCTAAAATAGTACCTGGAATATGGCAGACACTTGATAAATACTTGTTCAAAGAAAGAAGGAATGAAAATAAACCCTGAAATACTACCATCTGATTATACAGTGTCAATATAATGCCTTTATTCTGACAAAACTATTACTGTTTCTATGGGTACACGTGTTATGTAATAGAAATTTCGCACAGGAAAACCACAGAAAGTTACAGGAAAACCCTCGAAAGTTATATGTTAAAGTCTTAAAAGGAGGGTGAGATGACAGAATTGGGACATTTTAATATATATTCATTGTAGTGATTGTGTAATTCAAAAATAATCAAATGTCTTTAAAAAGATTTTTTTTCAAAACAGGGTCTCAATTAGGTTGCCTAGGCTGGTCTCAAATTCCTAGGTTCAAGCAATCCTCCTAACTCAGCCTCCCAAGTAACTGGGATTACAGACACATGCTACTGTGCCTGGCTTAAATTTTTTTGGTTTTTCAAAAAACATCACTCCCTTCTCATCAATGTACTTTTAGCAATAGGTTCTACCTTACCTATAAATGGTTAACTACAATTCTATATTTTTAACTACAAACTTAAAAACTTTAAATGTATTTCTATTTGTATAAGAGTTATATTAAGACCACCAAAAAAAAGATGAAAAACCAGGGTATTCCTGAATCTGAAGTAGGCACTGAAACTAACATTTCATTATTTTGTCTTTTATTATTTTTGAGACAGGGTCTCACTCTGTTGCCCAGACTGGAATGCAGTGGCACGACCACAGTGCACTGTCGCCTCCACCTCTCAAGCTCAAGCAATCCTCCCACCTCAGCCTCCTGAGTACCTGGGACTACAAGCACACACCAATATGCCTGGCTAATTTTTAAACGTTTTGTAGAGATGGGGTCTCACTACATTGCTAGGGCTGGTCTCAAATTCCTGGGCTCAAGCAGTCCTCCTGCCTCAGCAACCTAAAGTGCTAGGATTACAGGTGTGTGTCACTGCGCCTGGCCCATTTCATTATTTTTAAAGTGAAGAAAAAAGAAAACCTACTAAGATTAGGCAAAGGTAAGAGATACTAGGAGGCCTTCTCCTCACTGAATGCTATATACCATTTACTTGGAGGCTTAAGAAAAACTGGTTCAGAGAGAAAAACTGAAAAATCCGGAAAAGTAAAATAATTTGTAGGGCTGAAAGACTTACACAAAAATGAAATAATGAAGAAAAAATATTTCCAACAAAAAGGGAATATCTTTCTACTAAGGAAAATAACTTTACCTGCAGCATGTAGTTGATCTGCCAAGTCATATAACAACTTAAAGTTCTCTCCACTCTTCAAGCCTCGACCTCATTTAAAAAGATGAAAAAAAAAAATTAGGCAAACATCAAATACATTCTGGAACAATTTTGCTATTTTATATACTGGAGTAAATTTTCATATTATGTAACTGCCATATTAAGCATGTCACCTCCTCTATAAACCTTTTCTGGCCTCTGACACTCCTATACTTCTATAAAGCATTCAACACTACTATGATTACCTAGTTAACTAATTGTGTAATTAATATGAGTTTTTTTCCCACTAGAATAAAAACTCTTTAATTTCAGGATCTATATCTATCTTGGTCACTGCCATATCTGCAATATTTAGCAAAACTCTACATATAATAGATGCTCAATAAATTTCTCTGAATGACTGAATAAAGTTATTATTTGAATGGGAGTCATCTCAAGGACTTTAAACTCCTCGAGAGGAAGAACATTCTGCCTTTTCATCTGTTTCTCCAGCACTTGGCAATAAGCCTGTCATAGAACAGATAACCAATATACATTTCTTGAATAAATAAGTGAATAAACAAGTCAGGGCCCAGCTCGGTGGCTCACACCTGTAATCCCAACACTTTGGGAGGCTGAAGTGGGCGGATCACCTGAGGTCAGGATTTCGAGACCAGCCTGACCAACATGCAGAACCTCCGTCTCTACTAAAAATACAAAATTATTATTTTTATTTATTTATTTATTTATTTTTTAGGAGGAGTTTCACTCTTGTTGCCCAGGCTGAAATGCAATGGTGCGATCTCGGCTCACTGCAACCTCTGCCTCCCAGGTTCAAGCAATTCTCCTGCCTCACCCTCCTGAGTAGCTGGGACTACTGGCATCCACCACCATGCCCAGCTAATTTTTTGTATTTTTAATAGAGACGGGGTTTCACTATGTTGGCCAGGCTGGTCTCGAACACTTGACCTCGGGTGATCCACCCGCCTCGGCTTCCCAAAGTGCTGGAATTACAGGTGTGAGTCACCGCGCTGGGCGTAGTGGCACATGCCTGTAATCCCAGCTACTCGGGAGGCTGAGGCAGGAGAATCGCTTGAACCTGGGAGGTGGAGGTGGCGGTGAGCAGAGATTGTGCCATTGCACTCCAGCCTAGGCAACAAGAGCGAAACTCCATCTCAAAAAGAAAAAAAGAAAACGAAAAACAAGTCAGATATATCACTTCAAAATATTAATTTTTTTTTCTCAATGATACTTGCAATAGAAGGCTGTCTGAAAGCTTATTTTGTTGGATGTTTAATTGCAAGGATTTAAAAAGCATAACAGTCCTTATTTTTTCAAAAAGTTAGTCAGTGGGCCATAAAAAAATCATTGTTTTTAAAGACAAGGAGCATGATGTATAAAAATAAGCATGTCTTATGCAATATTAACAGTTTTGATATTAAATGTTAAGAAACTTTTTAAAGAGTTATACACAAAGACATGGACAACTCTGGAAATCTTTCCAAGTGGAAAGAAGGGTAGGAATTATACACAAGATGGCCCTGAAATTCAAGCCAGTTCTATCTATAATTGAGAAGCCAACCATACTCTGCAGAATTCATGGAAGTCCATCAATAAGATGGCACCAAGTGGCAAAGTTATGCAGATAAGATTTATACCATGCTCCCCCTGGTGCCAGTGACTAGGTGTGCAACAGAAACCCCAAACTGTGTATTATGCTCATAATTTCATTTTCCTAATTGGTTAAATGGGAATAATATCCCAAACTTCCCAACTTCTTACATTTGAAAAAGATCTGTGTACTTCTAAAATAAATACTAAAAATAAAAAAAAAAATCAAAGTATTTTCAATTTACATCTTTTAAGATTAATATTTCACTTACCACCAGATACCACCACTTTGGCACCTGTTAGCTCTGGTCGATCACTTTTTGTTAATTTCTGGTCAAGCCACTCTGATATTTCCACTGGTGAAGTACTTGATGCTGCATACATTAATACATAATAAAACAATGACTATGATTTCAAGTTCTATAACAAGAATTATTTTCAAGAGAAACACACAAGTATATAATTCCACGAAATTTAAGTTAATTACTGTGAATTTTCAGTGCTCCTAATTAATTCTCTCTGATAATGGAAAGACTTAAGGAGACTAGATTCCAGCCTTTGCCACATTAGCTGTATGACTCCAGAAATCATTCAATTCTCTGAGTCTGAATATAGAATAACTTTCTTTCTATGAGGTTCAAATAAGACACTATATATGTTAAAGTGTGACACCCTCCACACGTTTCCTATTACATTCTTCTGTTATACTGAATCACCCAAATATAATAGGAAACAGTGACAAGAGTAAAAAAGCTTAATCTTAATAGATCCTCTGTCTCCCACTCCCTTGATCTACCAAAGCAACTATCCTAGTACCAAAGATAATGTGAAAAAGATGTAAGTTATACATATTTATTATTTTTGTATAAGCTTGGGAATATCATTTAAATTGAACTTTCAAATACTATTCATTAGAAATGTAGGCAGAGGTCATCTCTTATTATAATACAGTCTATGAATTAAAAAAGTAAGAAACAAAACAAAAAAACTCCAAATGAACACTCACCCTTTTCTGAACTGGCACTACCGCCACTTGTTGCTGCAGCATCAAAGGATGTTCCACGGACAGAAAACACTTTCACTTTCTCATCACACTTCACTGTACATAGAGCATTTCCTGAAACATACAATCTATTTCTTAAAAGCAACAGCAAAAGGCAACAAAACTAGCACTCCTTTGATGCTTGGAATTTACTTCACAGACAAGGCAAGAAATAACTATTGACCAGTTGTCTTCTAACTCTATTAAGTATAGGAAAAAATGAACCATAACGGTGAAGAAACATATCAGCAGATATCTGTATAACCCTGGATGTCTTTAAAAGCAGGACAGGTACTACCACACCTAGAAGGAAGAAACTCGAACAGGCATCCACACTAAGAAGGTACACTACACCTCTAAAAGGAATATGAACAAAGCTTCCTTCTCCAAAAACAATACAATCAGTAACTCAAAACTATGAGCTGCAACAACTTAGGAAGAATGTAGCTACTGTGCATGCTAAAGGAGGAATATCTTGAAAACACAATAGGTCATAAAGAACAGGTATGAATGTGCTAAGATTTTAAGAGGATTTGAGACACTCTGGATTAGCTATCACATTAACAGTAACCTAAACCATGACAAAATATTTTCCCTCAAACATTATGGAAGATGAAAAGTCTAATTTCAGAATTAGCCATTCATACTGGAATACACAACTTTAATCAGGCAAAAAACGAAGAGTTCACTGCCTTCTCCGACCCCACTAGAGACCAGTGTGCTAAGCAAAAAATCAACTGAAGAGACACTGAAATGAATTTCTTTTCTTTTTCTTGAGACAGGGTCTTGCTCTGTTGCCCAGGCTGGAGTGCTGTGGCATGATCACAACTCACCATAGCCTCGACCTTCTGGCTCAAGCAATCCTCCCACCTCAGCCTCCCAAGTATCTGTGACTACAGGCATATGCCAACATGCCTAGCTAATTTATTTTATTTATTTATTTTTGAGATAGGGTCTTATTATGTTGCCCAGGATAGCCTCAAACTCCTGAGTTCAAGTAATCCTCCCACCTCAGCCTGCCAAAGTGCTGGGATTATAGGCACGAGCCACTGCAGCTGGCTAAAATGAATTTCTTAATGCCTATGGAAATGAAGTAGAAGCAGCAAAGATTGAGAATACTATTTTTTTTTAAGTTTTGCTTTTCCAGGTACCACTTACAAAATATATTAAATTGTGAATCTAATTTTTATTGATCACTAGGAAAATATCACCCTGCAAACTGAATAAACAGGCAGGAAATCTCTGTGTTTGCGATCCATCAGAGAGAATGCCATGTCAAGGGCCACCAGCAATTCTAGACTAAAATTTTCCTCAGAAACCTTTAAGATGGTCCACTTAAAGCAATTGTATGGTTTGATTTAAAATTCTATCTTCAAGATTAATTTATGCTTTTCACTAAAATTTAACATGTTGATTAATTATCTTCCTTGAGTACTCACCTGCATAAATAGTTCTCACAAATGTGTCAGGTGACTTGATTGCAATGATGTCAGAAATCGGGGCAACCTCAAGTTTGGCTGCTACTCTGGGCAAAAGGTTCTAAAAGCAAAATAAGCAGTGAGTTAACACACATACATAGTGATGGAAGACTATAAATGATCAGTAATGACATATTCTAAATGCATATTCTGTAGAAATTTTAATTCAAATATTTTATATTTCGTGTGCACCTTTGGATACACAACTTCAAGCACAGCTTTTTAAATAGCCTTTGAGATTGAGTACTTACCATTACTCTAACTACATTAAGAGTTTCATGAGTTTTACAGTATTAAGCCACCTTAATGCAATATATTGAACTATGAGATATGAAATTTAATAAACATCAATTACCAAGTGTGACAGTTGTGGATTATTGAATTTAGATAAGAAAAGATAGAACAAATTTAGAAGGGTGGTAAAATTCTCAAATACTGAAAAAGATTATGCTTGTATACATTTACTTAATGTATATAAAAGAAAAAAATTCACAGCAGACATTTCACCTTTTGTTTAAATTGATATTGTATAAAAAAAAGAGTAAGGCCAGGTACAGTGGCTGACACCTGTAATCCCAGCACTTTGGGAGGCTGAGGATCACCTGAGGCCAGGAGTTTGAGACCAATGTGGCCAACATGGTGAAACACCATCTCTACTAAAAATACAAAAAATTAGCCGGGGATGGTGGTGTATGCCTGTAGTCCCAGCTACTCAGGAGGCTGAGGCATGAGAATGAGAATTGCTTGAACCTGGGAGGCGGAGGTTGCAGTGAGCTGAGATAGTACCACCACACTCCAGCCTTGGTGACAGAGCGAGACTCTGCCTCAAAAGAAAAAAAAAAAAAAGGAAAAGAATAACACTAACCTGAAGAACAGCCTGTGTAGTACATATTTAAAAAGCAACAAAAATAAAATAAAGGTGTGTTCTTGTGCTTGTACTGAAATAGATGCATGTGCTAACTTTGTCCTCAGCAGCAGGAATCCTTGGGAAAGTCACAGTTCCCCAAGTCTCAGTTAATTCTTCTTCTTCTTCTTCTTTTTTTTTTTTTTTGGAAACAGGGTCTCATTCTGTTACCCAGGCTGAACTTGCAGTGGTGTGATCATAGCTCACTGTAACCTTGAACTCCTGGGCTCAAGAGATTATTCTGCCTTGGCCTCCTGAGTAGCTGGGACTACAGGCGCACGCTACTGCGTCCAGCTCATTTTTTGGTTTATGTTTTGTTTTTTTCTGTAGAAGCGGGGTCTTGCGTTGTTGTCCAGGCTGGTCTCGAATTCCTGGCCTCAGCTGATCCTCCTGCCTTGGCACCCCAAAGTGCTGGGATTACAGACATGAGCCACCATGCCCATTCTGAAGCACCTACTTAATCTGGTTTAAAAACCAGATTTGTCAGTATTTAAAGCTAGCTTCAGTAAGTAATCCTCCTCCTGAACCACCTTCTTTAACTGTTCAGGAATTATTACTGGAATAGTTACTTGGCTGAACAGATTATCTTACAAATTTTATGTTATACAGACTTTGCCTCTTTTAAAAGTTTTAGAACTTTCTAAATTGCTCAAAATTTAATGTCTTTTGTATTTTCATTATCCCTTGTTTAACATATCTTCAAGAAATTTTACCATGGTACTTAAAAGTATGTTTTCCTGGATCTGGTCTTCTATCTAAACATCATGAGGGTGGATGGTACACAGATATCTATCCTATTAAAAATATATCCCATCCAACAAGCTGCCTGCATGGTTTCTGGGAAGAAGAAGCAATAATTGAGTTCTTTTTGTGCATAAAAAATGACATATTTTAAAATTCTAGCAGACAAGTATAAAAGTGTGTTATCTCAAAACCACAGCTGGTGAAGGACTATCATACAGCAAATTGTTTGGCTTCTTCTGATAGACGTTTCTCATTCCAAACCCATTTACAGGCCGCACGACCAGCTACTATTATGTGACCCTTATTCTCAAAACTCCCATCTGTTACAACATAGCAATCATGGCCAGAGTACTAAAATCTAGCTAATGACAAACACCCTTTCATGGTCTAACACTCTGTTAGGTGAACTGTCATCATAGAAGGAAACTCAAGGCTCATGAAATTATTTAAATCATCCAATATATAATCAAAACTCTCAGAGACAGAACGGTCCACAAAGATTATTTCACCCATCAGACTGGAGGAAAAAATGTTAAAATGTATACTACCAAGTGTTGACAATTAAGTAATAGGTATCAAAATTTTTAAACTACATAGCATTTGACTCAGTGATTTCACCTCTAGAACTCTATTGTAAATAAATTCCAGCCCATGTTTACACAGATACATGCATGACCATGTTTTCTTGCAGTAAAGTATATAAATGCAAAAAACTGGAACCAAGTTAACTGTCCTTAGCTAAACATGGAATCTTATGCAGCCATAAAAAAAGAGAAACATTATGAGCCAAAGTCGCTACTCTTTTTTTTTTTTTTTTTTTTTGAGACAGGGTGTTGCTCTGTCACCCTGGAGCACAGGCTGGAGTGCAGCAGTGTAATCTCAGCTCATTGCAGCCTCAACCTTCCAGGCTCAAGCAATTCTCCCACTTCAGCCTCCCAAGTAGCTGGGACCACAGGCATGCACCACCACACTCAGCTAATTTTTTTTTTTCATTTTTTTGTAGAGATGAGATCTCACTGTATTGCCCAGGCTGGGCTACAACTCCTGGGCTCAGACAATCCTCCCAAAGTGCTGGGATTACAGGCGTCAGCCACCGCACCCTGCCCAAGTCATACTCTTAAGTAAAAGCTACTATTCACAAAACAATTCATGCCATATTATCCCATTTTAGAAGTAAAAAATATATAGCTGTACATGTACTGTAATTTAAAAATCCATAGAAGGAGGCCTAAAAGAATGTACAATTGTTAACAGCTATACTTCTAAAGAGGGGAGGGTGAGTTGGGAATAAGAAAGCAGGACTTTGACACCTTGCTCTGCACACTGCTGTACTACACGCAGTCTTCCTAATAAGGATGTATTTGTGTACAACTTATTTTACAATTTTTAAAAGTGAAAATAGGCTAAGCACAGTGACTTATGTCTGTAATCCTAGCACTTTGGGAGGCTGAAATGAGAGGATGACTTGAGGCCAGGAGTTTAAGACAAGCCCGCACAACATAGGGAGACTACATCGATACAAAAAATTTGAAAATTAGCTGGGCATGGTGGCATGTACCTGTAGTCCTAGCTACTCAGAAGGCTAGGATAGGAGGATCGTTTGAGCCCACAAGTTGGAGGGTATGTTGAGCTACAATCGTGCCACTGCACTCCAGTCTGGGCAACAGAGCTAGGCTGAAGCAGGCAGATCACCTGAGGTCAGGAGTTCGAGACCAGCCTGGTCAACACGGCGAAACCCTGTCTCTACTAAACATACAAAAATTAGCCAGGTGTGGTGGCACGCACCTATAATCCCAGCTACACACGGGAGGCTGAGGCAGGAGAATGGCTTGAACCCAGGAGGTAGAGGTTGCAGTGAGCTGAGATTGTGCTGCTGCACTCCAGCCTGGGCGAGGAAAGTAAGACTCCATCTCGAAAAAAAAAAAAAAAAAAAGTAGGCCAGGCGCGGTGGCTCACGCCTGTAATCCCAGTACTTTGGGGGGCCGAGGCGGGCGGATCACGAGGTCAGGAGATCAAGACCATCCTGGCTAACACAGTGAAACCCCGTCTCTACTAAAAATACAAAAAATTAGCCGGGCGAGCTGGCGGGCGCCTGTAGTCCCAGCTACTCGGGAGGCTGAGGCAGGAGAATGGCGTGAACCCCGGGGGGCGGAGCCTGCAGTGAGCCGAGATGGCGCCACTGCACTCCAACCTGGGCGACAGTGAGACTCCATCTCAAAAAAAAGAAAGTAAAAATAAAGACTAAAAATGACACCTTATTAAGAATGGAACAAAAGAAAAGAGAGCTAAGATAACACCCACGGCCACAGAGAGAGAGCAAGAAAAATCCACTGACGAATTCCTTGTCTTAAGCTCCCATTACACTCCTCCCTCCATTTTTAACTTTATGTAGACTGCTATCCATCTTATAACACACTCATTCTTCAGACACATCACAATGCACATGATCAGATTACAGCTTTCTTTACCTTAAGGATGTCTTCAACCACCACAAGCCCTTTCCAAATTCCCTACGTAGATAAAATTTGGCTTTTCTAGATATCCATCAGCCATCCAAATAAACCATCTCTTAAAATGGGCTACTAATAGAAATGACTCTTGCTCGTTCACTCTCTCTCTCACATGCAAGCAGAATTCAGCATTACTTTTACATGCAGAAAATTTTAAAATAATAGCCTAATTAGAGTTTTCTCCACAACATAATTTGAAAACCTGGAAATGGTAGTTTTAACGGAAAATTATGACAAAATCTTGAAAGAATAAATTTTAGCAAAACTACCACATCAATTCAGATAAATCCAGATTGGCTACATAAACAGTCTGTTGCATACTTTCAGCACAATGAAATCTAACCCTTTCAAGCAGTGATATCAGATTCCACATTCTCAACCTTCTCACCTTTCCGAAGGCAGATGCTCCAGCACAGATGTGTGTGTAATTGAACTGCTTCTGAGTTGCCAAAATCAATGGTGTCAGTTCCTCTGAGAATTAAACACATTTGATAAAAAAATATTTTGAAATACTTTCATATTCATATATTCAAGCGTAATTTAGACACTACATTTTTTTCTACTGGAAAACCTCACCTGGAAGTAGGCCTTTGTACACATCATGCTGAGCCACCAGAACTTTTGCTATGCCTGCTACTTTACAGAGATCTTGTGCCACCTATGATTAAAAGATAAGTTCCTAATTATCCATCTATCAGAAATATACAAATAAAGCCACCACTATAAATATCAACAGATCATAAAATCTTAATGGCCAACTGTAAAAATTATTCTTATTAGCAAAAGGGCCAGTTAAGAATTAAAATATATTCCGGCCGGGCGCAGTGGCTCAAGCCTGTAATCCCAGCACTCTGAGAGGCTGAGGCAGGCAGATCACCGGAGTCAAGAGTTCAAGACCAGCCTGGCCAACATGGTGAAACCCCATCTCTACTAAAAATACAAAAATTAGCTAGGCATGGTGGCGGGCACCTGTAATCCCAGCTACTTGGGAGACTGAGGCAAGAGAATGGCTTGAACCCAGGAGGCGGAGGTTACAGTGAGCCAAGATCACACCACTTCACTCCAGACTGGGCGAAAGAGTGAAACTCCATCTCAAACAAACAAAGAATTAAAATATTAAAATACATTCCTTAACAAAGAAAATCTAATGCCAATAGATCTTACTACTGACTGACCTTACACTGTCCAACTACCAAGCATTTCAACAAAAATTCCTGCCTTGAAAAAGAAAAGTGCTAATTGACAAACCAAAATCAACATGGCTCTTTATTCAAATTTTGTTATAAATTGTGCTTTTTACTTTTGGTTCAATCCAAGTGTAAGTTCAATGTCCTGGAAATGGTGAAAATGAAGTTCTCTAGTAACATCCCATTGTCAACCACTGAGTTCCTGCCCACATACACATATTTATCTATGACAAAGCAAAATATTTCCTATTTTAATTCTTCATTTTTCCTGTTTGGAATTAGAATGGGGTTCTGAGAAAGCTTTTTGATGATTCAGATTTTCTATATTCAGAAGGCAATTAGATTTCCCCTTTTTAAGTATCTTTATTACCTCATGGCTGGTTTCCACTTTAGCTAAGTCATATCAGTCATACTATCGTCTTCTGTCTCCTTGTTTACCTCCAAACTGATTCATTGATTCACTGATGAGTAGGATTAAAAGGCTGTGCCTTGTGCCACCCTCATATGAACTGTTAGCTTGCAACAATATTCACTGAAGAAAGGATGCAGTGCAAGAATACATTCTCTGCTAAACCAAGTGTTCACCGGCATACCATTTGTACTACAGAGGCCCTTTATTATGGATGCAGCTGCATTTAGCTTCTCAAACTTTAAGAGAATTTCCAATTAAGAAACTCAGTTAATTGCAATGTAGCTGCATAGCAGCATGGGATAGAAAATGGGGCAGAATTTTCCCATTGAAACTATCTTGTTTTTACTGGCAAAACGGCTGGCATTATACAGAAGAATAACTTGCTGTTTATGACAAGTAGCTGAATAAAATGGTATAAAACCGAACTCTATTAAACGATCTCTTCATACAGGTACTGGTTGTTTTCTTTAAAATTAGAACATGACAGGTTAGGATTGTAACTGAGTACAGAAGACGATTTCTATTTTGATTTTTCTCAAAGTAGTATAAAGTATCAAAGTCTTTTTAAAGTAATATTACAATAATTATTTTAAATCACAGCAAAACAAACAACAAATCACAAATTCCTATATATCCAAAAACAGGGAAACCAAAAAGATAGCTTAGCCATCATATACTGTGGCTAATACAGACATACAAATAGATAGCTTAGCCATCACACATCACACATTGTGGCTGTATCAACTATGTAAGATCCTACAGTTGTTAGCAGGAATTGGGTAAAGAAATCCACATAACTAATCATAAACCCACCAGAATATGTTCTTTTATCAATTTCATGTAAAAAATTAGACAGAAGCAACACCAGCAGTATGAACCTCCATTATCACATGCTCTGAATTATTGTTATTTTTAATATATTTTTTGAGACACAGTCTCACTTTGTCACCCAGGCTGGAGTGCAGTGGTACAATATCTGCTTATTGCAAACTCTGCCACCAAGGTTCAAGTGGTTCTCGTGCCTCAGCCTTCCAAGTAGCTGGGACTACAGGCATGCATCACCACACTGGCTAATTTTTATATTTTTAGTAGAGACAGGATTTCACCATGTTGCCCAGGCTGGTCTCAAACACCTGACCTCAAGTGATCTACCCACCTCAGCTTCCCAAAGTCCTGGGATTATAGGCATGAGCCACCATGCCCAGCCAGCATCAATTATTTAATAAAACATAAAATCCTCAAAACATACTCCCTTCAGATTTATTCCTCTGTGAAGTTTAAGCCCCCAACTACACACTCAGCAACTCCTATACCATGTGAGAGGGAACTGGTGGCTGAAGGTGTGTAAGCTTAACTGAAGCACTCATCTATATTGCAGGCTGGTGGTATAGACCCTGCAAATCATATCATAGCACCTTTCTAGAGGGTTAGTGTTCCAAGCTGTTATCATCTGATTTCAACAATAACAACAACAACAACAACAAACAAACCCAAGAACATCTTTTAGTACCAGCTAGAGTTTGGAAAGAATAGTACTTAACATTCAAATTCTTCTACCAATTAAAAATTAACATCCATAATACTTTGTCCAGATTTACCACTTTCAGGAATTAGAAGCAATTACCAAGTATATTCATCAACACAAAAAAGAGATCAGCTATTAACCTCTAAGGGGACTCAAATATTATCATTCCACTTGGTACCTGATGGCACATGATGGTGCCAGTGGAACTAAATCAAGTATTCTACTGCATTTCAAAAGATAAAATGCTTAGGGAAGAAACCTTTTAGTTCCTTTTTCACACATGGTAATGGTTGTGACACTGACCATTTAATGAGGATTAGAGCCCAGTTTGGGTTACAATCCTAAGCATAATTCTCTGTTGCCATCTTTTCCTGTCTCTTGATGGAGATAATATTTGCTATGGCTGACCTTAAAAATTTCTCACCTTGTCACATTTGGTTCCAGCTACTAAGCAGGACACTTCACCTCCAAGGCGTGTGGCTGCAGTAATGGTATTTAAAGTAATGGGTGCTAGGGAATCATTTGCATGCTCAGCTATTACCAGGGTACTCTGAAATCGTAGCAATGAGGCCTAAAAAGAGCAAAAAGGAAAAAAAAAGGTAAAGAATGTTGTCACAGGGTTTTTTTTTTTTTTTTTACTAATTGTTAAGCATGTATGCTTTAAAGAAAACTATTCTGTACACAATATTATTCTATAAATTTATTTATAAAATACTTGTTCTATAGCGAAAATCTAGCTATTTGTGTCTATCACTGTACCACTAATATTCTTTTTTTTTTTTTTTTTTTTTTTGAGATGGAGTCTCGCTCTGTCGCCCAGGCTGGAGTGCAGTGGCGCGTGCGACCATGGCTCACTGCAAGCTCCACCTCCCAGGTTCATGCCATTCTCCCGCCTCCGCCTCCTGAGTAGCTGGAACTACAGGCGCCCACCACCATGTCGGCTAATTTTGTTTTTGTACTTTCAGTAGAGACGGGGTTTCACAGTGTTAGCCAGGATGGTCTCCATCTCCTGACCTCGTGATCTGCCTGCCTCGGCCTCCAAAGTGCTGGGATTACAGGCATGCGCCACCGCACCTGGCCTACTAATATTCTTATCTAATAAAAATTAGAACGCAAATTAGCCTTCTATTGTTAGGAAAAATGTTTAATTACTTCAAAACAACTTTCCCACTAATCTACATCTGATAAGAAACTACTATATAACTAAATGTAAATTCCTTAAACAGAACATATTAACTACCTAACTAGGAACTGGTCAAATTCTACTACCAATTACATTTGGTTACATACTGTACTCCTACAGTATAGGAGTACAGTATAATCACAAATAATGGGTTTGAAATCAGTCACGAAAGTTGATCCCTATTGTTTCAGTCAAAATGCATTCAATACCAAAATAATTGATAATGGAAATATGTTTTTAAAATATGACACTAAACAGCAGTTTTGCCAGGTTTTGACTGTTCAAATATGCTTCTGGATTCAAAAAAGGAAGCTTGCAGACAGTATCTTGGAACCAACCAATATCCAGCCCTATCTAATGCAGACTATCAAGAAACCACCAATCATTCATGGTCATGTGGAATAATTTTAAACACAAGGAACACAAAGATGAACAAGAATGGTCCCTGTATATTTCACAGGAAATTAGACTTGTTCATATACAATTATAAAATAGAACAGTTTTTCAAATAATGAAGAGATCCAAAATGTTGAAGGCTACAGATCATGAAGTACAGTCAAGTGGGGAAGGAAGGAAGTTCAGGTGTTCTATCATGTGAAAAGATGAGGAATGGCACCATAGGCATAAGGAAAAAATAAAATCTTGGAACTATTCTTATGGAAAATGGCAAAGAAAAGTGAGAAAAAGAGGAACTGTGGATCAAATGGCATGGTTACGTGGCTTAATTCAGCAATAACCTTAAGCTCTGGAGCTGGAGTGAAGAAAGCATAGCATGGAATTTACCCAGAGCTGGAAACTTAAAAGGAGGGTATGAATTGAAGGGAAGTCAGGACAGTTCCTGGAATGAAATGAAAGTTCTTAGAAAGCAAATACCATACCTGTTTATATTTTGTATCCCCAGAATCAAATACAATGTTTGTTTTCCAATGTACATCTGCAGAATTAATTATATGGTACCCTTTCTTTTTTCGTTGGAAGAGCATCATATTTTGGAAAGGACTTTGTAATAAATAAATAATTAAATAAAATTAATAAAATAATTAAAAATAAAAAATAATTTAAATTATTTAAATCACATTTCACAAGAATTGCCAGTAACAAGCTATTTATTACCAATATATATCCGGCATCATATTTTTTATTATGTTTCACACATCATTTGCCATAAAAATTATGAGATTTCCATCACCATTTGAAGAAAAAATCCAAGATTTGGTGGCAGAAGGCCCATACTTGCTGTAAATTATAGTTCTATCATAAGATAAATTAAGTAGTTATCCTAAGGAACCATCAAGCTTTTAGAACTTCCAACTGGAGATTATATATACTTTTTAAAAGATTTATCAAAATTAGATTTATAAGCATAAACAACAAAAGAACATATTTAAGAACCCACTCAGTCCATCTAGCTGATCGATTTTTACTAAGCATTATATACATCATAAAGGTACTCTATTTTATTGACTCCTCTATAATTTTTAAAATATTAAACTTCCTTCTAATTCAATGTTTTACATTCCATTTCTCAGATACCACCTAGAGAGAAGCTACAGCCTCTAGGCATGGTTATGCGGCTTAATTCAGCAATAGCGGTTGTGTAGAACCTAGAGCAGAAGAAATTGGCCTGAACTTTTAAAATGTTATTCTACAATCTAAAGCCCATCTGCAAATTTAGGAGGATGAATCAGATTAGAGATTTTTTTTTTTTTTTGAGAGAGAGTCTTGCTCTGTTGCCCAGGCCAGAGTGCAGTGGCGTGCTCTTGACTCACTGCAACCACCGCCTCCAGGGTTCAAGCAATTCTCCTGCCTCAGCCTGCCAGGTAGCTGGGATTACAGGCATGCATTACCACGCCCAGCTAATTTTTGTATTTTTAGTAGAGAGTGGGGTTTCACCATGTTGGCCAGGCTGGCCTTGAACTCCTGACCTCAAATGATCTGCCTGCCTCAGCCTCCCAAAGTGCTGAGATTACAGATTGAGCCATCGCACCTAGCCAAGATTAGAGATTTTCAAACTGCATCTATAGAAGGGTTCTAGGAAGCTATCTCAGGAGCCACCACATGGGATAAGGTAGGGACTAGGCATGTACAGCTGCTAGAATGCCCCCCTACCCAACTTTGCTTTAACCAGATTAACCAAACTAACATTGATGGAGCACTGTGCTAAGCAGTTTTATACATAGTATCCTATTTAAAATTCCTACAAAGTCTATGATGGAGGTACTAGTATTACTCTGACTTCACAGATGAGGAAACTGGAGCTTAGCAGCTACACAGGTAGGAAGCAGAGTCAGGTTATTCTAAGTCCAGGTAGTCTGACTCCACAGTTTGAGTTCCTAATTACCAGCACACATCAAAGCACCACCATTTTTAGCTGTTTTATACATGGGTCATTCCTCTAAGATTGCACTTGGCAAACATTCTTGTGCTTAAAAAAAAAAATAGCATTGTCAGAAAGAAAAATATAATCTCAAAAGACCTCTTTTCCTGCTCTAAAAATTCTATAACTCTAAAATCCTATTTTAAGCAGAAGAGTAGTACAGAATATGACTAAAGAGTAAAAAAATACATGTCCATTATTGAAAACGTTTTAAAGGAAACAAATTTTCATTTTATTATTTTATAACCCATTGCCTCTCTACACTTTAGGATCAATCCTCTTTTAACAATAGTTATGAGAGGAAAAGGAGCCAAATTCTTAAACATTTAAAGATAACTATTGAAATACTTAACGAGGTAATTGCCTCAAAAGGAATCTCGATCTCTTCAAACACTGCTATTTAAATAAAAATTAACTATGCAGGCCTATGCCATCCATAAATTCTTAGTCATCAGCCTTACCTGGGCTCTCAAAACTGTCTAGCAATGCTACCACAACTTCCTTGTTCGCACTCTCACCCTCCACAGCAATGATTTCAAATATCCTCTCCTGATGTTTCTTCTTTTTCTTTTTTGGAAACAAAGTCTCCCTCTATTACCCAGTCTTGAATACAGTGGCACAATCACAGCTCTCTGCAGCTTCAACCTCCCAGGCTCAAGCGTTCCTCCCATCTCAGCCTCCCAAGTCGCTGGGACCACAGGTACACGCCACCATGTCCAGCCAATTATTTATTTTTTGTAGAGGCAGGGTCTTGCTGTGTTGCCTGGGCTGGTCTTGAACTCCTGGGCTCAAACGATCCTCGCACCTTGGCCTCCCAGAGTGCTTGGATTACAGGCATGAGCCACTGTGCCTGCCTCCTGATGTTTCTTAAACTGCCAACACATTCTGCCCCCTACTCTTAGAAGGTAGCCTCACCTCCTACTTCACAATGACAACTAAAGCCATCAAGGGACCTGATTTCCTTTTCTGATACTCAACATAGAAATTCCTGTCCCTGCCCTATTACAATTCCTGTCCTTGCCCTATCACAATGGAAGCTGCTGTGGATCCTTTCTCCTGGGTCTAATCCCTTCATCTGGGATCTAGATTCCATTCTCTCGAATCTACTCAGAGACTGTAATCTACACTTCCCAGTCATGTCTCCAGCTTCTCCCTTTACCCTGGTTCCTTCTCATCAACATTTAAACATGATTGAGGCTCTCCCCATTTGCAACAATCCTGCTAAAAAGCCACAAACCCACATTCAACTCTAGCTTCTCTAATTCCTCATTCTCACTCCCTCCTCAATTACTTGCATCTGGTTTTTGCCCTCACCCAAATTACCAACAAACCCTTTTCAGGCTTTATGTTACTTGTTATCTCAGCAATGTTTAAAGTTACTGACTACTCCCTTCTGCCTTCCATGGCTTAATTTAACCCCTATAGAAGAGTGGCTCAAATATTTTATATATATAAATCTCAAATAGGGTTCAAAGCTCTTTCCTAAGTGCTAGACTTATAATATGGTTACATCTGTATATCTAAGTGCTTAACTTGCCTGTCTCATCAAACACTTTCCATCTCAGCAAATTTAAACTTTAACTCATGTTTTCCCTCTGTTCCTCCAGCCCCTTCCCCATACTGCTACTTCTCCAGACTTCGATCTGCCCCAACCATGACCAGAGAATCATGTCTGGGTTTTCTCTCAACCTTACATCTAACCAACCACTCAAGTCATAACAATTCTTCCTTCTAAAGAGAGCTACTCCTAAATCCATTCACTTCTCTCCATCGTCAATGCCAATATCCTAGTGCAGGCCATTATCCTTCTCCTCTATTACCCCACAGAGTCTCCCAACCCAGCTTGTTTCTAACCTACAATTCTGCTTCCTACCAATCTATTTCTCTCAGTGATCGTTCCATGACACAAATCTAACATGTTATTCTCCCCTGCTTAAAACACTGCTATTGCTTTCTGCCTCCTCTGGATATGGTAAACTAGACTCCTTAGGTTGGTTTATCATGTGTTTATTTTATGGCGTGATCTACCTCCCTAACCATATATCCCTCACTCCATTTATGCCTTATTTTCAGATACTTGAACTTGCCCTGCTCTCTCAGACTTCCAGCCTTCCCACACATTGCTCCCTCTGCCTAGTGGACCTCTTTCCCTGTTACCCTACTAAATTCCAATTAATCATCCTTAGGTTTTCTGCTGAAAGGTCAATTCCTCCAAAAAGCATTAGTACAGTTGCAGTGGTAGAGTACAGGCTTTGGAGCCAGCCACGTTGCCTGGGTTTGAATCCCACCTCCACCATAACGTCTCAGTACCTCAGTTCTCTGACTGTAAAATGGAGATGATGATAATAATATTAATATCTCATAGAGTTGTTGTGAGGGTTAAATTAATAAATGTAAAGCTCTTAGAATGATGCCTGGAACATATTAATCCTCAATAAATGTTAGCTACACATAAAAGCCTTCTTTGGACCGTCTCGGACTAGTTAGCTTTGCTAGCACCAACATGGTACCTTGTAATTGCCTTCATTACAGCACTTATCACACCTGATCATATTCACCTGATTGTCTTCTCGTCCCCCTTTGATACTGAGTACAGGAGCAATGTCTGATATTTCTTACCACTATAACCCTAGACTCCAGTATCCAGCACAGAGCTGACACCAATAAGGGAAGTGAACATTTTTTTTAAAGAACTCTTCGTTGGCCAGTCGCAGTGGCTCACGCCTGTAATCCCAGCAATTTGGGAGGCCGAGGCCGATGGATCACCTGAAGTCAGGAGTTCGAGACCAGCCTGGTCAGTAGAGTGAAACCCCATTTCTCCTAAAAATACGAAAATTAGCTGGGCATGGTGGCACACGCCATAGTCCCAGCTACTCAGGAGGCTAAGGCACAAGAATCACTTGAACCCTGGAGGTGGATGTTTCAGTGAGCCGAGATCACACCACTGCACTCCAGCCTAGGCGAGAGAGACTCCATCTCAAAACAAAACAAAACAAAACAAAACAAACACCTCTTCATCAAAGGAATGAGAACACAAGCCATAGACTGGGACAAAATATGTGCAAAAGACATATCTGATAAAAGACTTATCTAAAAAAAATAAAGAACCCTTAAAAGTCAACATAAAAAATGAACAATCTGATTTAAATAGGGGGAAAGGATCTGAACAGGTACCTCACCAAAGAAGATGGCCAAGAAGCATATGAAAAGATGCTCAACATCAAGATGCTCACTAGGAAATTGCAAATTAAAACGAGATACCACTACACACTTATTAGAATGGTAAAAAACCAAAACACTGACAATACCAAATGCTAGTAAGGATGTGGAACAACAGAAACTCTCATTCATTGCTGGTAAAAATGCAAACTGGTGCAGCCACTTTGGAAGACAGTTTGGCAGTTGCTTATAAAACTAAACATAATCTTACCATACAATCTAGCAACTGCACTCCTTTGTACGTACCCAAATGAGTTGAAAACTTAGGTCCACACAAAAACCAGACGTCTACAGCAGGTTTATTCATAACTGCCAAAACTTGGAAGCAACCAAAATGTCCTTCAGTAAGTGAATAAATATTCATACAATGGAATCTTATTCAGCAGTAACAAGAAATGAGAATGACATGGAGGAACCTTGAATGCATATTACTTAGTGAAAAAAAAAACAGTCTGAAAAGGCTACATGCTGTCTAATCCCAACTATATGACACTCTGTTAAACGCAAAACTATAGAAACAGTAAAAAGATCAGTGACTGCCAGGGATTAGGAGAACAAAGCATAGAGGTTTTTTGTTGTTGTTGTTTTGTTTTTTCCAGGGGGAGTGGGGGCGGGGGCAGTGAAACTATTCTGTATGATATAATAATGGTAGATACCTGTCATTATCCATTTGTCCAAACCCATAGAAGGTACAACACAAAGAGTGAATCCTAATGTAAACTATGGACTCTGGGAAATGCTGATGTCAATGTAAATTCATTAATTGTAACAAATGGACAACTCTGGTGCTGTATGTTGACAGTGGAGGAGGTTGTGGGTGTGTGGACCAGGAAGACTCTCTGTACTTTCCATTGGATTTTGCTGTGAACCTAAAACTGCTCTAAAACATAAAGTCTATTTTCAAAAAATTTTATTTTTAGAGACAGTGTCTTTCTATGTTGCCCAGGCTGGCGTCCAATTCCTGGGCCCAAGGGATCCTCCTGCCTCAGCCTCCTGAGTAGCTAGGACTACAGATGTGTACTACCACACAGGCCAAACTCTACTTAAAAACAAAACAACACAAAACAAAAAAACTTCTGCCAGGTGCAGTGGCTCACACCTGCAATCCCAGCACTTTGAGAGGCCGAGGCGAGTGGATCACCTAAGGTCAGGAGTTCGAGACCAGCCTGGCCAACATGGTGAAACCCTGTTGTCTCTACTAAAAATACAAAAATTAGCTGGGCGTGGTGGCAGGAGTCTGTAATCCCAGCTCTTCCGAAGGCTGCGGCAGGAGAATTGCTTGAACCCAGGAGGCGGAGGTTGCAGTGAGCCAAGATTGCACCCTTGCACTCCAGCCTGGGTGACAAAGCAAGTCTCCATCTCAAAAAACAAACAAACAAAAAATGATTTAAATGTAAGACCTCGAACTATAAAAACCCAAGAAGAAAACATAGGAAATGGCATTTTGAACATAGACCCTGGCAAAGATTTCATGACGAACACTCCAAAAGAAATTGCAACAAAAATAAAAACTTACAAGTGAGACCTAATTAAACTAAAGAGCTTCTGCACAGCAAAATAAACTATCAACAAAGTAAACAGACAACCTACAGAATGGTAAAAAAAAATCTGCAAACTATGCATCTGACAAACGTCTAATAACCAGAATCTATAAGGAACTTAAATCAACAAGCAAAAAACAACCCTATTAAAAAATGGGCAATGGACATCAACAGACACTTCTCATATGTGGCCAACAAGCATATAAAAAAATGCTCAACATTAACTAATCATTAGAGAAATGCAAATAAAAACCACAATGAGACATCTCACACCAGTCAGAATGGCTATTATTTAAAACTCAAAAAACAACAGATGCTGGCAAGGTTGCAGAGAAAAGGAACGCTTATATACTGCTGGTGAGGATGTAAATTAGTTCAGCCACTGCGGAAAGCAATGTGGCGATTTCTCAAAGAACTTAGAACATTCGACCCAGCAATACCATAATTGGGAATATACCCAAAGGAATATGAACCATTCTACCATAAAGATACATGCATGTGCATGTTCATGGCAGCACTATTCACAGTAGCAAAGACATGGAATCAACCTAGATGCCCATGCAAGGGATGGACTGGGTAAAGAAAATGTGGTATATATACACCATGGAATACTACACAGCCATTAAAAAGAATGAGATCATGTCCTTTAGAGCAACATGGACAGTGCTGGAGGCCATTATCCTAAGTGAATTAATGCAGGAACAGAAAAACCAAACATGGAATGTTCTCTCTTGTAAGTGGCAGCCAAACATCAAATACCTATGGATACAAAGAAGGGAACAATAGATACCTGGGCCTATTTGAGGGTGGAGGGTGGGAGCAGGGTGAGAATCAAAAAATTACCTATTGGATGCTATGTTCATTACCTGGGCGGCAAAATAATCTGTACATCAAACCCCCAGGACACACGGTTTACTCATAATAAATCTGCACAGATACCCTGCAAACCTAAAATTGGCCCAGGAGTTTAAGACCAGCCTGGACAATACAGTAAGACCCTGTTTCTATGAAAGATAAAAATTAAAAAATTAGTCAGATGTGGTGGCGCATTCCCGTAGCCCCAGCTACTTGGAAGGCTGAGATGGAAGGATCATTTAAGCCTAGAAGGTTGAGGCTGCAGCGAGTCAAGATCACACCACTGCACTCCAGCCTGGGTGAGAGTAAGACTCTATTTCAAAAAAAAAAAAAAAAAATTGGGGGAAAAAATACAGCAATGATAAATGATTTTAGACAAAACTAAAAAATGAAGTGATGTTTTTATCTAAAGAAAATCCTCGGCCAGGAGCGGTGGCTCACACCTGTAATCCCAGCACTTTGGGAGGCCGAGGCGGGCAGATCACAAGGTCAGGAGAGCGAGACCATCCTGGCTAACATGGTGAAACCCCGTCTCTACTAAAAATACAAAAATTAGCCGGGCGTGGTGGCGGGCACCTGTAGTCCCAGCTACTTGGGAGGCTGAGGCAGATGAATGGCGTGAACCCAGGCAGCAGAGGCTGCAGTGAGTCGAGATGGCGCCACTGCACTCCAGCCTGGGCAACAGTGAGACTCTGTCTCAAAAAAAAAAAAGAAAGAAAGAAAGAAAGAAAATCCTCCGCTCTATTACTTTATCACTCAGTAACAATAGTTTAAGGCACCTCAGTGTGCAAACATAATTTCACAGATATCCTTTCAGTGTTTTCCAGTCCTCTAACAAGATTAAACCTCTCCCAAACACCCTCTATGTTCTGTAACAATGACCACACTTAAAATAATGTGTTTCTTCCTTAATCTGTTTGCATCACAAGGGCAGGGACTAGGTCTGTCTTGTTCTCCACTGTGAACTTGGTATCTACCTCTCTGGCACACAGTTGGCACTCAATGAATAGTAACTAAATGAAAACTTTTCTTAAAATTATCAAAAACTAAAAAGCAACTGTTTCCTCATTGATAATGTAATCAACTAAACATGTATAAGGGTAACTAAACAGTACATAAACTGTTACATCACTAAAACAGACACACCATCATGCTTTTAGAGAAGTTCTCTATACTCTGTTTAGACTTGGTTGCAAATAGCAAAATATGAAGTTTTCTTTCTCATGCCAGCCACATACCCATATAAAGTTGACTGGCCTTTATAAGATAGTATACTTCTTGTGGGCAGGATTTAAAGAGGTTATCACCCTCTCTGCACCCTTTCAAAGCTAAATTTCTTGAAAATAATTTCCACAGACACCAACTCTTATTACCTCACCTTCCATTTTTTCAGTTACTCATGCAAACTGGCTTTCACCTTCACAACACTGAATCCAATCTTTCCAAAGTCACCAAAAACTTCATTATGGCTAAGTCCAATGAACACATTTTGGTCCTTCTCTTTTTCAACCTCAATAGTTGTTTTTTTTTTTTTCTTGTGGGGGTGGGTATTTGTTTGAGACTGGGTCTTGCTTGCTATGTTGCTCAGGCTGGTCTCCTGGACTCAAGTGATCCTCCTGCCTCAGCCACATGAGTAGCTGTGACTACAGGCACATGACACTGTGCCCAGCATCAGCCTCATTTTTGACATTGTTTTTGCTTGTCAGTTTTTTAGAGTTCTTGCTGTGACTTGAACTGTATATTCACATAGTAAAGTACCACAGATGGTAGAAGAAGAAAAAAAGCTGGAATCTAACTCTCTACCCTTACAAACCCACTCATAACCTAAAGTAGTAAGAATGATTGTAACCTATACCTCCACCCCAACCATCTTTGGAAACTAGGTGTAATGAGGGTATAGAGGGCAGGGGAGGGTTTTTTTGCTTCTTTTTTTTTTTTTTTTTGAGACAGAGTCTCGCTCAGTCGCCCAGACTGCAGTGCAGTGGCGCGATCTCAGCTCACTCCAACCTCCGCCTCCTGGGTTCAAGCAATTCTCCTGCCTCAGCCTCCTAAGTAGCTGGGATTACAGGCACGCACCACCACACCCAGCTAATTTTTGTATTTTTAGTAGAGACGGGTTTCACCATGTTGGTCAGGCTAATCTCAAACTCCTGACCTCGTGATCCACCCACCTCAGCCTCCCAAAGTGCTGGGATTACAGACATGAGCCACTGCACCCAGCCGGTTTTTTTGCTTCTTAATTAAAAAAAGAAAAACAGCAAGAATAAGCTATAAAATCTTTCTGAGTCATACCCAAAAGGATAATATATAAAGTCACCTATCCCTATTTTAACATACATTTTGTAATTTTTAAAATGTATATTTCTGTACTTTAAATACTTCCTTTAATCCTTTTAGTAATAAAATATAGCAGCTTTTAATCATGACCAGAAATGTTATATGACATTGACTGTAATACTAAAAACACAGTCAATTTACTTCACTTTAAGAAAGGACAAGACTCTTAGTAGACACATTGGCAGGCATCATAATTTTACTGAATTCACCTTATGCAATAAATTTTCTTTTAGAATCACACCAAAATTGGCTCTCTTTCTTCTTTCAATAGAAATTAAAATTTGCATGCAAATTACAGAGTTCAATCTTATTCATCAATACTAGACAGAAAAGTGTCATGTTCCTTCACACCAGTTTCATAGCTTCTCAGTCCTGATAGATATTCCTTCCCACCTGACAATAAACACAGTAAAAAGAGTACTCAAATGACCTTGAAATTGTTGTTTCACTCACCACATAAATATTTTTCTGCATCTTCTTATTCTTCAATAAATCAATTTCAAGAGCAAATTAATAAATAACAATAATTAGGATTAATATCCCTGCAAGAATATTAACTAACTGCAAATGCCTACCTATTTGCCTCTTGGTGTGTTCTCTAGCTCTTTATTATAGATATAAAAACTATCTTTGTTAACAGATGACTTTAAAGACCATTGCCACACACATAAGGATGAAAGACTTTACTCAATGGCACAAATCAGTCAGAACTAAAAATGGAACTTAGATACCAAATGCAAGTCATTGAACTTATATCCTAATAGTTTAACAAAGTGGTTTAAAAGAATACATAAAATTTACCATCTTAACCTTTTTTTTTTTTTTTGAAACAGCGTCTCACTCTGTTGCCCAGGCCGGAGGGCAGTGGTGCTACCTGGGCTCAATGCAGCCTCAAATGCCCAGGTTCAAGCAAGTCTCGTGCCTCAGCCTCCCAAGTAGCTGGGACTACAGGTGTGAACCATGGCGCCTGGCTAATTTTTTTTTTGGTAGAGATGGGGTTTCGCCATGTTGCGCAGGCTGGTCTCGAACTCCTGAGCTCAGGTGATCCATCTGCCTCAGCCTCCCAAAGTGCTGGGATTACAGGTGTCAGCCACCATGGTTGGCCCCATCTTAACCATTTTTAAGTGTTAAGTGTTAACTATATGCACATCGTTAACAGTTTATGGTAATCTTTTAACTGTAATTCCTAACTTTATTTTTTTAAATATGGTTTTGGAAATGTATCCTCTTCCTAAATGCATTAATGGTTAGCTACAGAACATTTTTTTTTTAATTTCAAGAGTGGGGACTTGAGATAAGCTATTTTGACTTTGTGATATCACAAACATATATATGTAAACAAACAGGAGTCAGATTGAATGGGCCCCACTTTACAAACATGAGACAACTTCAGCATAAGGTAGAAATGTATTATCCTAAATAAGGATCCATGTATCCATAAATCCATAAATATGCAAGAAGATAATGTTCTTCCTTATAGTAGAATAACTAAAAAATGTACGAAGGTATCATGGAAATAGAAAATCACCATTTTGCATCATAGTAATCATTTCTCAGGCAAAAATCATCAACAGATGCTAAGACTGGGTAAAAGTCTGATGAGAAATAGGACAGTCACATAGTCTCAATGAATCGCCTCACAAATTAGTTAAAAATTACAAAAGGAGGAGTATTAACTTGACAGTGGAGAAACCTGGCAAACAACACTTTGGCTAAGTAACTAAAGTCAGCATTACCACTAATGGGATAAACCAACATTAAGTACCTGCTAATATGATGCACGGGGAACACAATACCACTTTTGTGATATTCCCACCAAGAATACATGACCTGAATCTAATCATGAGGAAACACCAGACAAACCCAAATTGAGTGACAGTCTGGAAAATAGAAGGCCTGTACTCTTCAAATACACCAATGTCATCAAACCCAAAGGAAGGCTGAGGAACCTTTCTAACAGAGTAAAGAGACATGAAAACCACTTGCAGGACATCTAGAGTATCTTAGACCAGAATAAGGAAAATTGCTATAAACTGTACTAATGGGACAACTGGCAAAATTGAACATCCATAGATTAGAAAACAGTATTTTATGGTGAAACTTCCAGATATTGCCAATTACAGTGTAGTTAGAAAGTGAACCTCTTTGTTCTTTTAAAATATCACTCAATTATTTAGGAGTAAAGGGCACATTTGCAACATACTTTCAAATGGTTCAGAAAGATAGTATTATGTATATATGTGGAAAGATAAAGCAAATGTGTCAAACTGCTAACATGCTGGGAAAACCAGGGGAAGGGTTTTGAGATTTCTTTGTACTATTCTTGCAACTTTTCTATAAGTGCAACTATTTCAAAATTTAAAAAGTTAAATACAGGTATATGTCCCTATTAATATATGGGTCCACTTTAGAAGTGTTGCCACCATTTCTTTTATGCTAGAAATCCAAATCTCTCCAACATTCTTAATGACTTTAAAACAGCTATTCTAGGCTGGGCGCGGTGGCTCACGCCTGTAATCCCAGCACTTTGGGAGGCCAAGGCGGGCGGATCATGAGGTCAGGAGATCGAGACCATACCGGCTAACACAGTGAAACCCCCGTCTCTACTAAAAATACAAAAAAATTAGCGGGGCGTGGTGGCGGGTACCTGTAGTCCCAGCTACTCAGGAGGCTGAGGCAGGAGAATGGCGTGAACCCGGGAGGCGGAGCTTGCAGTGAGCTGAGATCGCGCCACTGCACTCCAGCCTGGGCGACAGAGCGAGACTCCGTCTCAAAACAAACAAACAAACAAACAAAAAAAACAGCTATTCTACTTAGCTTGACTTCAAATTTTAAAAATAAGTCAAGGTCAAAGTCTTTGGCAAACCACAATGAATATCTGGAAGTAATGTCTATACACATTAGCCAACGATGTGGATAGTAAAAATTACTTAATCATTCCATTTTTTTCTGTTAGCTCTACAAAATTACTGAGTCCTAAATTCCATCCCCCACCACAATTATAATTTCACTTAGGCCAGACTTGTAATCTGTCCACAAAACTGTTTTCCAACTGCTGCATAGAGCAGCATTCTTCTGGCTCAGGTTCCTGGAATTTCCCCAAATTCATGATTTTCACTTGTTTATGTCTAGATCCCCAACCGGGAGAAAACATGTCCTGAGGGGAAGACAGGACACTAACCTGAAAGACATGGGTTTGAACTCTTTAGGGGAGGGGAGGGTCAGAACTTTTTATTAAACAAGGAATACGCACAAGAAAAAAGATGTCTAAGGCCAGGTGCGGTAGCTCAGGCCTGTAATTCCAGGACTTTGGGAGGCCGAGGCAGGTGGATCACTTGAGGACAAGAGTTCGAGACCAGCCTGGGTAACATGGGGAAACCCCGTCTCTACAAAAAAAAAAAAAAAAAAAAAAAAAAAATTAGCCAGGCGTGATGATGCGCACCTGTGATCCCAGCTTCTCGGGAAGCTGAGGTGGGAGAATCGCTTGAACCTGGGAGGCGACGGTTGCAGTGAGCCCATATCGTGCCACTGCACTCCACTCCAGCATGGGAAACAGAGCCAGACCTTGTCTCTTAAACAAACAAACAAACAAACAAACAAAAGTCTAATGTCTACAGACATCTAGAAAGAGCTCCAGCTATGCCTCAGAGAGAAAAATCCCAGGAGTGGATGGGAAAATATCCATGCCCAGAAAAAAAAAAAAAAAAAAAAAAAGGAGAAAAGGTACAAACCATCAGGTAAGTTTCTGACCCAAGTTTACCAATCTTGTTTCTCATTTCACCTAAATGTAAACTAGGAAAACTACACAATCCACAATATAAATTATTGTTACTTGACTTGTGACTGGTCAGTCTCCAAATACTCCTTTCCCACAGCATGAGAAGGAAAATATGTTTCCTATCAGTCCTTCTCACAACAGAAGAGAGAAATGTGGTTTGTCACTAATGAAACACTGAAAATGTACCACTGTCACCAGTTAACCTAATCTACAATCTGCTGGTTAAAAGCAGGTCAGCCTGAAGCATATAAAAAGACGTCTGCCTTTCAAAACTGGCTAAAGCTGTCAAATCGGATCGCAGGTTTTACAAATACAATCACCTAAATTCAGCCCTGCTCCATAAACCAGAAAGCAGAACCAGCTTCCATAACTGGCCACGCAGCCTCCCACCCCACCCCACCCCCGCCCTTGACAGTGAGTGGGTCGGAGTAGCCACGATGCGCCCAAAGTGTTTAATTCTTCCAGAAATGCCGGCCTCCGGGAGGAATCTAGGTTTGAAACTTTCCCCAACAGGGCATTCCCCGGTGACATTTTGCTCCCTCGGGTGTGGAGCAAGTGTGGAGGACCTGGCGGCCCGAAAGTGCCCAGAGTGACCGACAAAGGTGGGAAACGGCAGGGCAGAGAGTGGGCCAGAAGAAGGGGCAGCAGACGCGCAAATTCACATCATTCGGGGTCACCCTGACCCCAAACCTCTGACTTCTGCCCCGAACTGGCGTTCCGCAGGGAGTCCAGGGTAGGCCCCAGAACTTTGGACCCAAGTCCCAGGCGGGGACCGGCCTGCGGGCGCGAGGGCTGGTCGAATCTGAGGGGGCCAGTGATCTTTGCAAGACCCCATAGGGACGGCGGGTTGACGGGGGGCCGTCCCTGGGTTCGCCTTCCCAGTCCGGACTCACCGCCCGCCGGAGCTGCCCCGGAGCCGCCGCTCGGAACATGGTCTCCGCTTCCGCCGCAACCTCGGCCTTACAGCAGCCCCGTGCCCGGCCAACTGGCGCCGCCTCAGCCAGTCACCTAATGCTCGCGAGACGCGCGAACGAGATAAGACGCCCTAGGCCGGGAGCACGAGCCCGCGGTTTCCGCCTGCCCATTGGGCGGCTGCGCAGCCAATAGACGGCGGGAAGTTAGGGGCTAGACTGGGAAGTGGGGCAAAGGTGAGGCTATTCCCCGGGGACCTTCGAGTAAGCCCGGGCCGCGGAGCGGCAGAGACAAAGCTGGCCACCCGCTGATGACCGAGCTCAGACTGTACTGTCTCACAGCCCCGCAATGGTCAGCACTGCTAGAGTGAACTTCAAAACTGAGCTGACCTCGGGGTAAGGTACGAGTGGAGCCTTGCCAATTCCAATTAGATACCTTTCCTATATGCCCCTATTTCCCCCTGTATTTCCCCATGGTAGCAATTGTCACATGGGTTGTAATAACCTAAGTACTTGTCTGTGTCACCCATCTGACTGAAGATCTGTAAGGGCAGAAAGTATGCCCTTTTTTTTTTTTTTTTTTTTGAGAGAGAGAGAGTCTCCCTCTGTCACCCTGGCTGGAGTGCAGTGGCGCGAGCTCAGCTCACTGAAAGCTCCGCCTCCCGGGTTCACTCCATTCTTCTGCCTCAGCCTCCCGAGTAGCTGGGACTACAGGCGCCCGCCACCACGCCCAGCTAATTTTTTTGTATTTTTAGTAGAGACGGGGTTTCACAGTGTTAGGCAGGATGGTCTCGATCTCCTGACCTCGTGATCCGCCCGCCTCGGACTCCCAAAGTGCTGGGATTACAGGCGTGAGCCACCGCGCCCGGCCAGTATGCCCTACTTTTAAATTTTGTGTCTACCTGCAACACCTAGCACAATGCCTGGTCCATACTAGGCATTCAATCAGTATGTGTTGAATGAATAAGCAAATGAATAAATGACTGCTAATGAGTCTGGACTTTAACACGAAATTTTTAAGAGGGAAGTGGTATGTTCAGAAATTGTCTCAATTCCCAATTCAGCAACAACCTACCTTTCCAATGTTATCTAGTCTATCAACAAATCCCGTTGACTCTACCTTCAAAAGATAACCAGAATCCAGCAATATCCTCCAACACCCCTTTGCTCCTCTGCTGGTATCACCTTCACTCAGGACCCTGTCCTCTCTCGCCTGGATCATTGCAAAGCCTCCTAACTGGTCTTTCTGTTTCTGCCCATGTTTCCAGAAGCCTCTTCTCCAAACTGATGGACTGATCATGACCTCTGCTCAAAGCCCTATGGTGGCTCCCTCTCCTCCCACTGCCCTCTTCTCTCACTGTTCCCCAGATACATAGGCCTTCTTGAGCACACAAGCCTGCTCCTCTCAGAGTTTTGCACTCTGGCTCTTCCCTCTGCCTGAAATGGCCTTCTCTTGTTACCCGCGTGGCGTACTTCCTCACTTCATTCAGGTCTCTGCTCAAAAAACACATTTGCAGAAAGGCCGGCCTTAGCCTCTCCACCTAAAATAGCACCCATGCCACTCCCAGACGCCCTATCACCTTGTTTGATTTTTTTTCTTGGCATTTATCACTGCCTAACAGGATGCACATGTTTGTTTATTGCTGATCTCACTGCATTGGAGTGTAAATTCCCTGAAGCAAGAGCTTTGTCTGAACTAACAAGCACTCTAAGGGCCTTGCGCTTTTGCTCTTCCCTCTGTCTGAAATTCCCTTCCCCATCTGACAGCCCTCTTTAAAACCCAGATCAAGTGACAATTCTTTTGTTCTGTTTAAGACAAGGTCTCACTCTGTTTCCCAGGCTGGAGTGCGGTGGTGCCATCACAGCTCACTGCAGTCTCGAACTCCTGGGATCAAGCAATCTTCCTGCCTCAGCCTCCCAAGTAGCTGGGACTACAGTCATGTGCCACCATGCCCAGCTATTTTTTTTTGTAGGGGCAGGGTTACCCAGGGCTGGTCTCGAACTCCTGGCCTCAAGTGATCTTCCCACCTTGGCCTCTCAAAGTACTGGGATTACAGACATGAGCCACCACGCCTGGCCCAAGTGACATTTCTTTTGTAAGCTCTTTCTCAATTCTGCAGGATGAATTAATCCTTTCCTCTTCTTCACTCTTGTAGCTCTATGAACAAGGAGGTGAGGACCCATCTTAAACTTAAGTTGCACCCACTTCGAACACGTCTGAACTCATGTTGCCGACAGAGCTGTGGACCCCTGTCCCCCAGTCAATCTGCCTGTGGGAGGGGCAATTTAGTATTCCATGTCTCACTGCATTTACCTCCTAACCAGTCCCACACTGGACTAGAATCTGAGACCTATGGGAGTGGAAGGAAGAGGGAAGGGTACTTTTAGTAAAAACAGAAAAGGATATTTTACTAAAAACCATATAAAAAACTGGGATACAAACTAACCTCCTTCCCTACCTCCCCACCCATGACAAAGCGAAATACAAGGGGAGAGCGGCTGCCCCGCCCTGCCCCCACTGGGCAGATTCAACAGCTCCCAGGCTTGGGCAAATCAGCAGCAGCTGTTCACCCCAGAGTCTCGTTGCCCCTGGGGGTTCCTGGTGGAGCAGTTCAGAGCAGAGGGAGAGGCTAAAAATGGGCAAAGTCTGTGACACCTGACCAGACCTGTTCTGATCACACATGAAACGCCCCCTGAGGCTTTGGGATGTATCAGGGTTCTACAATCACAACCAGGTTATGTACCACAGAAATGTGTGTGCTAAGACATTTCTATTAGAAGATTTTCCCTAGAGGCATATGACTTTCCCACTCCATTAGGAGCCGCTTTGGTGGCAGGACCTATGGTTTCCTTTTATTTACTTATTTTTATTTTATTTATTTTGGAGACGGAGTCTCACTCTGTCACCCAGGCTGGAGTGCAGTGGCGCGATCTCGGCTCACTGCAACCTCCACCTCCCCTCAGTTTCAATGGATTCTCTTGCCTTAGGCTCCCAAGTAGCTGGAATTACAGGTGCCCACCACCATGCCCAGCTAATTTTTGTATTTTTAGTAGAGATGGGGTTTCACCATGTTGGTCAGGCTGGTCTCAAAGCCCTGACCTCAGGTGATCTGCCTGCCGTGGCCTCCCAAAGTGCTGGGATTACAGGCGTGAGCCACCGTGTCCAGCCTATTTATTTGCTTCTTATTTTTAGATGTTCAGCAAACATTTGTAGAAATATGTGTCCAATGGGCTAGGTGCAATGGCTCACACCTGTAATCCTAGCAATTTGGGAGGCCGAGGCGGGCGGATCACTTGAGGTCAGGAGTTCAAGACCAGCCTGGTCAACATGGCGAGACCCTCCCCCCACCTTCACTACTAAAAATACAAAAATTAGCCGGGTGTGGTAGCATGTTCTTATAATACCACCTACCCCTGCAGCTAAGGCATGAGAATCACTTGAACCTGGGAGGCAGAGGTTGCAGTGAGCCAAGATTACACCACTGTACTCCAGCCCGGATGACAGAGCAAGACTCCATCTCAAACAAAAAAAAAAAAAAAAAAAAGAAAGAAAGTAAATATTTGTCCAAAGAAGAAAGGGCAGAAAAGAGAGGGTGGAGGAAGGAGGATTCAAGGACTACCACAGTCAACCCTTGAAGATGACTCCAGCATATTTGGAGCAACACCTCTTTCTTCTCCACAGGCCAATTTCAGGAGCAGCTCCTCCAGGATTCCTGCTGGAAACTTAGAAGAGAAAGGTCCCTGGGACCAACTACAGCCCTAGCTGCTGCAACTTTCTGGGGGTCACAATGGTACTTATCGTCTCCTTCCTCAGTATCCATTCTAAATCTCCCCCTCCCTCAGCTAGCACCTCCCCTGGTTTGAGTGGCTAATGCCTCCATCCTGCCTCGTGGACTGAAGATCTCAACCCCTGACCAGCATGCCCTTCCCAAGCCTGTTTATTGTCATAATTGGGCAATGGAGGACTCAGAGGCACCCAAGTAGGTTACTCTTAGCCAAGATGACTCCCCTTCTGGTCTTCTGGTCCCTGCATACAAGGTGCCCAGGTGGCAGCTGTAGCTTATAGCTCAGAGGACCCTTGCTGTGTCCTCTGGTGAAAGATTCCCCTTTGGGGACAAAGACCTCTAACCCTGCAGGTCCCAGCACTATATAAAGGTCTTTGGTTCAAGGAGTATCCTAGAAGATGAACCCCACCCTTATCAAGTGCTGTCTCCAAGCTGCTGCTTCCAGTGGGCCTTCAGCAGCCATTCCGATATCCTGTCAGGCTGGCAGTGTCTGGATGATCCAGCCTGTGAATCGCTTAGGGAATCCTCTGATCACGGACTCATTTCTGCACCTCCATTGCAGTAAATTGGGTCCCTGGCCTGATGGATGTTATGTGGGATCCTGTGACAGTGAATCAGATACTCGATAAGCCCTCAAATAGTGGTGCTGACTAAGGTCCTGAGAACAGGAAAGGTAAACAGTACCCAGAATATATGCGTTTTCTTGACATGGTGAATCTCGACTTTTTCCAGATGAAAGGGGTTCCATGTGGTTAGGATGAATCTTGCCTTTTCCAAGATAGAAGGGGTTCCATGTTGTCAACTTGCACCGTGGAGCCAGCTGGTCTTCTGGAGGAATGGTGCCATATTGGGGGCTCATTCAGCAGTGGCAGTAGCTCAATCAGGCTTCGTAAGTGGGAGCCCATGCTATTAGGCTCCTGCTGCCTCTGTCTCTGCCACTGTAGTCATTTCATGCATGTGCCCTTAGTACCAGCACTAGGTGGCTGATGACAGAGGCCGACTAAGGTCAACTGGCCCAGATATTTTTGTCCTCTTAGTTACATGGTGGCTTTTCAATGGTGGATGGTTTCTGGTGGGTGTTAACATGTAATACAAACATCTTCATACTTGGTGCCCACTCCAGACACCTATCCTCATGCCCCTACCCCAGACCTCCCTGTCCCCCATCTTCCATTCCAACCTTTCTTCTTCCGGGGCCCTGGCTAGCCAGGTAGGCCATTCCTCACTGCCACTGAGTACATAGATATTCTGTGCTTGAGATGCCTCTCTGTGCAGGAAGAGTGGATGGCCAAGTGCACCTCCTGAAGCTCTGCCCATGGAGATTTTTCTTCACCATTGTCTTTCAAGGCTGTCCCTAAGTGGGGCTATAGTGCAACTGCCATCTATTTTCAGCTTGAACTCACATACTGAGCAGACCCTCCATTGACCAAGTATAGGATTTTTCCTCCTCTTGTCAGCTGGTCATAAAGGATCCTACCTACAACCAGAAGGGTGCACCAGGGGAGGTGTGTTGAGGTAGTAGTGGTGTTCATGGGGGTCTAGGCTGCCAGCTCGTGGAACTTGCTTGTACCTTCTGGTCTTACTTATTTTAAGTCCCAGATGTACCAGTTCCATCCTAGGATGCATTGTTACTGACTGCCTGGTATTGTGACTCGGTGGGTTTGGCAGAACCCAGCTCATGATGGGTAATTCCTGGCATATGGTCACTTGGTGTCTATGATCAGGTCAGTAGCACACCAGGAGTTTTTCTCAAAAGGCACATAAGTCTCCACTGCAGATGGCATGGCCTTGCTCCAATACTGCAGGGGCCTGTGTTGTCATTCTCCCAGTAGAGCTCGTCATCAACTCCACACAGCATCTTTTCCTACCACTAACACTAACACCGTCTATGGAAGCACAAATGACCAAGTAGCAGACTGCCTGGACCTGCTGTATAACCTTTTTATGCTCTGAGCTCCAGTTAATGCTGGGAGCCTTTTATGTCACCTGCACTGATGGCATGGGTTGGAGCAGTATTTCCAGATGTGGAATATACTGTGTCCAGAACCCAAAGAGGCCTATCAGGCCTTAACACTTCTTTCTACATGGTGGGAGGTGCAAGATGCAATAATTTATCTTTTTCTTTGGATGAGATATCCTGGAATGCCCTAACTCTGGACCCCTAAACATCTTATGTGGGAGACCCCTGAATCTTTGCAGGATTTATCTCCTACCCTCTAGAATGTGGTCGCTTGGTGTCTATGATCAGGCCAGTAGCACACCAGAATTTTTTCCCAAAAGGCACGTAAGTCTCCGCTGCAGATGGCATGGCCTTGCTCCAGTACTGCAGGGGCCTGTGTTGTCATTCTCCAAGGCCTCTAATGTGCTATCCACTTTTTTCCACCCAGCTGAATCAATGTAATGTCATTGATGTAAAAGATCAATGCGATGTTCTACAGTATGTCCAGATGGTCCAGACCTCTTCAGGCTGTATTGTGATTGATAGATGCTGAAAGTTAACATAGCCCTGGGGCAAAACTGTGATTGTAGACTGTTGTTTGTTCCATGTGAATGCATACTGTTTCTGATCCACTTTTCTCCTAGGGCTAGAAGAGAACCAATTCACCAAATCAATGTCCACATAAAATGTACCTGGGGCTGTGTTAATCTGCTCTAGCAAAGATACCAAAACTGGTGTGGTGGCGGCAATAGGGCTACTACTTCTGTGGGTTTGTGATAGTCTACTGTCATCTTCCAGGTTCCGTCTGGTTCCTGGAGGGACAATACTAGTGAGATAAAGAGGAATAATGATCCTTGAAGGTTAGAACCTTGAAGTTTGCCTCATTGTGTGCTGTCAAGGAGGTCCTCTAGCTTTTATACATGGTTCTCAATTGCCTGTTAATCATTCCTACTCCTTTGTAATTTTTTATCAAGGGCATGGAGCTTAGCAATTGCCACCCAATGTCATTGTCTTTACTATTTCCCCCATATTCCCTTCCACAAGCATCCCATCCCAATTTGCCACTAGTGCAAGTCTTAAGAATTGGATATCACCTTATGCCAAAGGCTTGTTCCAGCTACCAGCAGGGTTTGGGTCCTCAGTGCCAGTCTGGTAAAAAGTAATGCAGCTCCAAACCCCCATCTTACCACCTGTTTTCTCAACCACTCCCACACTCCTGCTTTCTCTTGGATGCAAGATCGAGACAAGTTCAGAATACATCATGATAGATAGGGGGTGCCCTTAGGAGCCACACCTGTGTGAGGGATGAGACAGCGGAACTGGGCAGAAGCAGTAGCTGGGCTGATATGCAGGCCTGAACAATAATCCAGTGGAATGTGAATTATTCTGTTTTTAATTGTGTTTTTTAATGCAATAACAGTATAGCTATGCTAAAAGAATATGATATTTGTTGACAGACTAAGCACTCACCACAGTATTTCCAGCTCACAGGAAAACAACCATCCAAAAAACTTAGAAAATTTAAAATGGAATATATGTTCTTTTTGTTTTTTTGAGACAGAGTCTCGCTCTGTCACCCAGGCTGGAGTGCAGTAGCATGATCTCGGCTCACTGCAACCACTGCCTCCCAGGTTCAAGCAATTCTCATGCCTCAGCCCCCTGAGTAGCTGGGATTGCAGGTGCATGCCAACATACCCAGCTAATTTTTTGTATTTTTACTAGAGACGGGGTTTCACCCTGTGACCTCAAGTGATCCACCCACCTCGGCCTCCCAAAGTGCTAGTATTACAGGTGTGAGTGACTGCCACCAGCCAAAATGCAACATATATTCTTATGTGATGTATTTAGACTATCAGGCTGGGCATGGTGGCTCATGCCTGTAATCCCAACACTTAGGGAGGCCGAGGTGGATGGATCACTTGAGGTCACATGGCAAAATCCCATCTCTACTAAAAATACAAAAATTAGCCAGACGTGGTGGCGCTTGCCTGTAATCTCAGCCACTCGGGAGCCTGAGGCAGATGAATCACTTGAACCCGGGAGGCAGAGGTTGCAGTGAACCGAGATCACGCCACTGCACTCCAGCCTA
Organism: Homo sapiens; assembly: GCF_000001405.40. Classification (NCBI taxonomy): domain Eukaryota; kingdom Metazoa; phylum Chordata; class Mammalia; order Primates; family Hominidae; genus Homo; species Homo sapiens. Next base: position 76,319,181 of record NC_000015.10, read on the forward strand.
AGAGACAGAGCGAGACTATGGCTCAAAAAATTAAAATAATATTAGGCCAGGTGTGATGGTTCATGCCTATAATCCCAGCACTTTGGGAGGCTGAGGTGGGAGGATCACTTGAAGCCGGGAGTTAGAGACCTGTCTGGCCAACATGGCGAAACCCCATCTCTACAAAAAATTAGCCAGGCATGGTAGTATGCACCTGTGGTCCTAGCTACTCGGGAAGGTGAGGTGGGAGGAGGAGCCCAGGAGTTCAGGGTTACAGTGAGCTAGGACTGTGCCACTGCACTCCAGCTTGGGTAACAGAGTGAGACCCTGCCAAAAGAGAAAAAAAAGCATGCTAGTGCCTTGAGGGCCTTTGCACTTGCTGTTCTTTCTGTTTAGAAAGCTTTTGCTCCAGATCTTCTACATGGTTTGCTGCTGCTCTTCATTCAGGTCTTAGCTTCAATACTACTATACCCCCTGGGATGGGCTTTTCCTGACCACCTTCCATATTTCTTCCATTCCCTTACTATGTTTAATTTTTCAGAGCAAGGACTTTGTTCTATTCACTGTTGTATCCCTGGCACCTAGAACAATGTCTGGTACCTGCAGGTACTCAATGCATACTTCATGAATGAACAAATGAATGAGTGGATGACCGGATGAGCAGATGCACTTATGAAACCTCAGATTGGCCTGCACTTCTCTCTCCCCGTTCCTCACCCCTCTGGCATTTGCTGCTTTTGTTTGATTGTTTTAAATAATCTTTACTGAGATATAATTCACAAGCCATAGAAGCTACCCATTTAATTTATATAAATCAATGATTTTTGGTATATTCACAGAGTTGTATGACCATCATCACAATGTTTGAGAATGTTTTCATCACCTCAGAAAGAAACCTCTGCCTCTTTAGCCATCACACCCCTATCACCCCATCTCCCAGCAAAGTATTGTCGAGGATGTAGAGAAATTGGTACCCTCATACATTACTGCAGAACCCACATAAATGGTGTGGCTGGTTTGGTAAACAGTCTGGCAGTTCTTCAAAATGTTAAACATAGAGTTACCATATGACTCAGCAATTCCACTCCTAGGTATACATCTAAGAGAACTGAAGATATATGTCCCATTAAAACTTGCACACAAATGTCCATAGCAGGCTGGGCGTGGTGGCTCACGCATGTAATCCCAGCACTTTGGGAGGTCAAGGTGGGCGGATCACTTGAACCCGTAAGTTCGAGACCAGCCTGGACAACATAGCAGAACCCTATCTCTACTAAAAATACAAAAATTAACCAGTTGTGGTGGTGCGTGCCTGTAATCCAAGCTACTCAGGAGGCTGAGGCAGGAGAATCGCTTGAACTCGGGAGGCAGAGGTTGCAGTGATCCGAGATCATGCCACTGCACTCCAGCCTGAGCGACAGAGTGAGACTCCGTCTCAAAAACAACAACAACAACAACAATGAAAACCCCAAATATCCATAGCAACATTATCCACAATAGCCAAAAAGTTAAAATAACCCAAATGTCTAGCAACTGATGAATAGATAAGCAAAATGTGTTATATTCATAAAACAGAATATTTTAATTCAGTAATAAGAAGGAATGAACTACTGATGCATGCTACCACATAGATGAACCCTGAAAACAATATAAGTGAAAGAATCCAGTCACAAAAGACAACATATTGTATTAATTCCATTTTTGGGAAATATCTGGAATAGGCAAATCTATAGACACAGAAAGTAGATGAGTGGTGCTTTGGGCTGGGAGGATGGACTGAGGGATGGGGAGTGACTGCTAATGGGCATGGGCTTTCTTTTGGACATGATGAAAACGTCCCAAAATTGATTGTGGTGATGGTGACGCAACTCTGTAAATATGCTAAAAGTCATTGAATTATACACTTTAAATGGGTACATTGCATAGGATGTATGTTATTTATTTATTTTATCGCAATAAAACGGGTACACAAGATACGCACATCCTGTGAGGGTGAGGGATGTTATGATAAGTCCTCTCTTTTACATTGTCTTTAAAAACAAAAGATAAATCATTTGAAAAGGCAGTGCCTTAACTGTTAATAATTACAAAGGCCTTGTAACGTGTCTCACACACCAGCCTTGACCCACAAGCATTTCAGGATTCCGTGAGTGAAAACTGCTGCTGTACACCTAATTTAACGTGCTCAACACCCTGCAATTCTGTTATCCATCAGCATGGCTCGAATTACACTGCTTTCTATAGTGGCTCCAGAACTTCTGAATAGGCGGGGAAGTGCAGGGATGTGTTTGGAAGCTGCGTGTGCACAGCAGACCCGCTGTTGCTACTAACCGTTTGGAAGCTGATGGAGATCGGACCCCAGGGCGCTGCTTCTGGGTGGTCCCTTCTGCTATTTCTGTATGGGCCATGTAGAAATGGGTCTGTATTTCTAAAACCTGCTTCATATTTTCAAGGCCCATTTGTGTTCTTAATAAGCAATTATTTTGCAATGACATTGTGCCTTTCTAAATACCACCGATGAAAATGGACCTACCTTTTTAGCAATGTCTGCCAACAGGAGTTCTTTCTTTGTGCTAAAAATAACCGCAGATGATTTTGACTGTGCCCCTTTCCGATTCTCCTTTCAAGTTATCTCTTCCCTTCCCGCATGTTGTCATTTCTCTATTTGAAAATCATGACCGTGAAACCTTGAACATTTATGGGTTGCACAACAGCTTCCCATGGTATATTTTTAATAATTACTACTCTTATTATTACCAGATGTTGAACTCCCAAATGATAACAGAGTGACAGACTTTAATGGTAAGATTATTTGAGCAAGAGAAGTGTGATTATTTTGTTTTTTCAGAGATAGCAGGTGCCTGACCTGGGTTTGTATCCAGTTTTTTCTGTGTTAAGCCGAGAAGTTTTATAACGGTTCCTTAATCTCACTGATCTTCTGTGTCTTCATTGGGAAGTGAGGCTAGGCTGGGTGTGGTGGCTCACGTCTATAATAGCAGCACTGTGGGAAGTAGAGGTGGGTGGATTGACTGAGCTCCGGAGTTCGAGACTAGCCTAGGCAACATGGAGAAACCCCATCTCTACAAAAAATACAAAATTAGCTGGGTTTGGTGGCGTGCACCTGTAGTCCCAGCTACTCAGGAGGCTGAGGTGGGAGAATCACTTGAGCCCGGGAAGCCGAGGCTACACTGAGCCATGATCGTACCACTGCACTCCAGCCTGGGTGGCAGAGCCAGACCCTGTCTCAAAAACAAAAAAACAAAAAAACAACAAACAAAAAAAAAGAAAAAACAAAAAAGAGAAAAAAAAGAGTGAGGCTAATACCTTCTTTATAGAGTTTTTTTGTTGTTTATTTTTTTTAGACCTAGTCTTGCTCTGTCACCCAGGCTGGAGTGCAGTGGCATGATCTTGGGTCACTGCAACCTCTGTATCCTGGGTTCAAGCAATTCTCATGCCTCAGCCTCCCAAGTAGCTAGGAGTACAGGTGTGCACCACCACGCCCAGTTAATTTTTGTATTTTTGGTAGAGACAGGGTTTCGCCACATTGGCCAGGCTGGTCTCGAACTCCTGGCCTCAAGCAATCTGCCCGCCTTGGCCTCCCAAAATGTTGGGATTACAGGCGAGAGCCACTGTGCCTGGCCTCTCACAGGGTTTAGGTGAGAAATGTGTGGGATTGTATGTTTTAGTAGTTATCTATTGCTGTGTAACAAATTACCCCTCAAGTTTAGCAGCTTGAAACATTTATTATCATACACAGTTTGTGAGGGTCAGGATTCACGGAGTAGTTTAGCTGGGTGGTTCTGGCTTGCGGTCTCTCATGAGGTTGCATTGAAAACATCAGCCAGGGCTCTGGTCTCTGAGGACTCGAGTGAGACAGGAGGTCTCATTCCAAGCTCACACATGTGGCTGTGGCAGGAGGCTTTAATTCTGTACCACATGGATCTCTCCATACGGCTTCTTTCAGAGAGAAAGATAGAAAGGGGGTGAGGAGTGAGGAGACCGGGATAAAGCTGCAGTCTGTCTTTCTTTCTTTCTTTCTCTCTCTCTCTCTCTCTCTCTTTCTTTTTTTGAGACAGAGTCTTGCTCTGTTGCCCAGGCTAGAGTGCAGTGGCGCAATCTTGGCTCTTTGCCTCCCGAGCAGCTGTGACCACAGGTGCCCACCACAATGCCCGGCTAATTTTTCTATTTTTAGTAGAGACGGGGTTTCACCGTGTTAGCCAGGATGGTCTCAATCTCCTGACCTCGTGATCCACCCGCCTCGGCCTCCCAAAGTGCTGGGATTACAGGCGTGAGCCACTGCGCCTGGCCAAAGCTGCAGTCTTTCATAACCTCACTCAGTAGTTACCAGCCTGGGCAACACAGTGAGGCGAGCACCTGTGGTCCCAGCTACTCAGGAGGCTGAGAGGGGCGGATCACTTGAATCCAGGAGCTTGAGACCAGCTTGGGCAACAGGGCAAAACCCTGTCTCTGCAGAAAATACAAAAATCCTCCGGGTGTAGTGATGTGCACCTGTGGTTTCAGCTACTTGGGAGCTTAAGAGGTGGGAGGACCGCTTGAGCCTGAGAGGCTGAGGCTGCAGTGAGCTGTGATCGCACCACTGCACTCCATCCAGCCTGGGCAACAGAGCGAGACTGTGTCTCAAAAAAATAAAATTTAATTTAAAAAGGAGTCCTTCATAAAGATGGCAACAATAGACATCATGGACTACTGTGGGGCATGGAGGGCGGGAAGGAAGGGTTGAACAACTGTTGGGTACTGTGTTCACCACCTGGGTGATTGGATCAGTTGTACCCCAAACCTCAGCATCAAGCAATATACCCATGTAACAAAACTGCAATGTACCTACCCCAAATCTAAAATAAAAGTTGAAGAACAAAAAGAGTCCTTGCTAATTTAAGGTACTGACATAATCCAAGTAATTCACACTTGGGAAAGTAGGGGATTCCTCTGCCCTGCAAAATGTGACAATTACAAGTTGGTGAACTCTACAGTTTGTAGTTTAGAAGCTGAAACTTACATTAAGGATCCCAACTGGAATGAAGACAGCCATTATAATCGTCTGTGAGAAAAAGATATACTAGCAAATTGAAGGTATCCACAGTTGTGCATGGGTGGTTTTATTTATTTTCCAAAACTGTTCTTTCAGACATTAGCTGCATCTGTAGGCGTACTGACAAATCAGCTTTTAAATTCCCAGGCTCTTTATCTCTGTGTGAAAGCAGCTATTTGACAGTGACTCATATACTTCGTTAATTTTATAGGTGTTTAATATAATCTACATATAGACATGTATGTACTATAAAAACGGTGACCTTGAGTTTAAAATATTTTCTAATGTAGTCTGACTTCTGGTTTGTCCCAATTAGTGAGACTTGACTTTATTGATATTTCGCTTGTACTAAAATATTCATATTTCAGGCTCTTAGAGGAGACATGTATGATTCATGGGATTAATGGCAAAGGAATCTTCCTACATTATCACATTAGCCTTGCATCTCACTAGCCTTCATAATGCTGAAGTGAAGCTTCGGATTTATATACAAATATTGAATTATTATTCTGAGCTTAATAAAACATGCATATCTTTCCAATATACCCAGGGACAGAAATGGACACCAGAACTTTCTCTGATGCTGAGGCACCTGCAGGTGCCCAAGAGACACTAAGTGAAGTTTCACTGGATGTCTGTCCTTCCCTCTAATGCCCTTGGCTGGCTTTTCCAGGGCACCTGAAGACTTTATGGTTCAGTAGCTCAGGGCCGAACTTGCTCTCCTCTGCTCCTTGGAGAGATAGGAGGTTGAGATTGATACCATCCCTGGTCTCACAGATTGTCCCAGACCTTCCTCTTCCATGAGGCAGCGCAGGAATTTATGTCTCTTGTTCGTGGCTATGTTCTCAGTGCTTAGAAAAGAGATTTCAGGCTGGGCGAGGTGGCTCACACCTGTAATCCCACCACTTGGGAGGCCAAGGCAGGTGGATCACTTGAGGCCAAGAGTTCAAGACCAGCCTGGCCAACATGACAAAACCCATCTTTTGTATTTTGTAAAAATACAAAATTTAGCCAGGCGTAATGGCATGCACCTGCAGTCCCAGCTCCTCCGGAGACTGGGGCATGGGAATTCCTTGAACCTGGGAGGTGGAGGTTGCAGTGAGCCAATATCACATCACTGCGCTCCAGCCTGGGTGATCAAGTGAGACCCTGTCTCAAAAAAAAAAAAAAAAAAGAAAGAAAGAAAGCTTCAGTGTAGAATACCGTGGTTAAATGTTTGTGTATATTATCCATAAGTACTTTCATAGGATAATTTCTAGCAGAAGGTTTGCTGAATCAAAGAGATTAGGGTTTTAAGGCTTTGGCAAATTTTTCCAAACTGCTTTTCAGAATGTTGTATCATTTGACACTCCTTGTAACAGGCTATGAAAGGGGCAACTTTCCCACACTCTACCAACACTGGGAATTTTCAGGTTTGGGATTTAAAAAAAATCCTTGTCAGTGTGACAGACCAAAAATGGCAGTTCACGATGCTTTAATTTGCTTTCCTTTGATTATTATGTGGTGAACACACCCCGAAGTGACCCCCAGTGAGTCACATCTTTGGATAATACCCCCCCCTTGAATGCCTATGACTTGTTTAGAAACAAGAATAGAATATTCCAAAAGTGAAAAGATTTTTTAGATGTAATAAAAGTTGCTAATGAATTGACTTGGAGTTAACAAAAAACCATATTATTCTAGGTGGGCCTTACCTAATCAGGTGAGTCCTTTCAAAGGACTCCTTGACATTGGAAACTCAAAGCAGCAGAAACTCACTGTGGCCTTAAAGAAGCAAGCTGTCATGAAATGAAGCTGCAAGGAAATGAATTCTGCCACCAGTCTGAAAGAGCTTGGAAGCAGATCCTTCCCTAGCCAAGCCTCCATCTGAGGATGCAGCCCAGCTAACACGTTGATTTCTGCCCTGTGACACCCTGAGCAGAGAAATTGGTGAAGCCACCCAGCCTTCTGATTTATAGAACTGTGAGATAATGAATGGGTGTTATTTCAAGCTACTGAGTTTGTGGTAATTGTTATTATGCAGCATAGATAATATAACTAACAAAACTACAGGTTTTTATGTGTTGATCATATTTTTTCTTCTTGCCCATTTTTCCATTAGTATTAGCATTCATCATTTTCCTATTGATATTTGAGTTCCTAACACATTTAGGCTTGTAAGGGTATCAACCCCTTTGTCATAAATAATAAACTGCCATTGCATTTTTGTTGTTGTTGTTTTTGAGACAGAGTCTCTGTCACCTAGGCTGGAGTGCAGTGGTGTGATCTCAGCTCACTGTACTTCTGCCTCCCGGGCTCAAGCTATCCTCCTGCCTCAGCTTCCCAAGTAGGTGGGACTGCAGGTGTGCGCCACCATGCCAGGCTATTTTTTGTGGTGGCTAATTTTTGTATTTTTTTAAGAGATGGGGTTTTGCCATGTTGCCCAGGCTGGTCTTGAACCCCCGGACTCAAGTGATCCACCCCCACCTTGGCCTTGCAAAGTGCTGGGATTACAGGTGTAAGCCACCCTGCCTGACCAGCCATTGCATTTTTTTTTTCTTTTTCTTTTTTTTCGAGATGGCATCTTGGTCTGTCACCCAGGCCAAGTGCAGTGGCATGATCTCTGCTCACTGCAACCTCCGCCTCCAGGGTTCAAGCAATTCTCCTGTTTCAGCCTCCCGAGTAGCTGGGATTAAAGGCGTGCACCACAATGCCCAGCTAATTTTTGTATTTTTAGTAGAGACAGGGTTTCACCATGTTGGCCAGGCTGGTCTCAAACTCCTGAACTCAAATGATCCACCCGTCTCAGCCTCCCAAAGTGCTGGGATTAGAGGCATGAGCCACTGCACCCGGCCGCAGAGAACCAGTTCTTGAACATTTATTAGCACCTACTGGTGGAGTGCATGTACCTGTGCTGACTGGTCTAAACCAATAAGAGAATCCCAAATTCTTTGCCAGTGATGGTTCAGAAATGGCACATCTAAGCCAATTTGGGCTAATGGAACAGAAAAGAGGTTTCCTGGGGGATTCTGAAAAGAAGCCAGCTTCTCCAAGGGAGCATATGGTCCTGGGTATTTTGGCAGCCGTTTCGTGACCACAAGAACCATCCTTAAAATGAGACTGCATCTGTGGACAGTAGAGCAGAAAAACAAAAAGGACCCGTTGATAACACTGGGTCACTGAGTCATTCATCTCTGGGGCTGCCCTACCTCTGTGCTTGTTGTTTGAGCCAACTCATTCCTGGTTAATGCCACTATTTTTTTTCTTTTTTTTTTTTTGGAGTCAGAGTCTCTGTCATCCAGGCTGGAGTGCAGTGGCGCCATCTCAGCTCACTGCAACCTCCATCTCCCAGGTTCAAGCGATTCTCCTGACTCTGCCTCCCAAGTGGTTGGGACCACAGGCATGTACCACCATGCCCTGCTAATTTTTTTTTTTTTTAAGTAAAGGTAGGGTTTTGCATGTTGGCCAGGCTGGTCTCACACTCCTGGCCTTAAGTGATCCACCTGCCTTGGCCTCCCAAAGTTCTGGGATTACAAGTGTGAGTCACTACTCCAGCCTAATGCCACTTTTAGCAGCGCTATCTTTTAGCCAAAAACATTCTGCTGATAATGAGAAGACTGAATGAGGTAAATGCAGTCCCAGCCAGCACCCAGCACATAGCGGTTGCTTAGTAAATGACAGCACCTTCCCTTACCCTCCACTCCAACCCAGGGTCCTCCCTGTGTCCACAGCATGCCTGCATTCCTGCCTTTGCTCCCAGCACTCTCCCTCCTCCTACACAGGCCACATTTGAAGACTTCTCACCTTTTAAGACCCAACTCCAACTCCATATCCTTCAGGAAGCTTGTCTAGTTCATGCGGAATTCTCCTCCCCACCTACTGCCTTCTGTGGTTGCCTGTGCTTTCCTGAATCTGGGTCTTATCTTCCCAACCAGAGTGAAACCCCTTGAGGGCCAGGACCATTCTTCATACAGCAGTTGGCCTCCTCTCCTGGGCCTCGCTCAACCTCTTGACTCTTGTAATGTTTGGTCAGTATTTGGTGGTGGACCGACAGGCCATTAATCTTTTCTCCCTCTTGATTTTTATAAGCTGTGGGCACCGGCATTCAGCTGAATAAGATTCATTCCTCCAACAGCAAGAGGAGCATTATTACTTTGTTCTGAAGGTCTTTACAAGTATAAGGCATGTCTAAAGCTGCTATAAATAATTTATATTGTCCATAACTCAAGCTGATCAAAATAGACCTCATCACAGTGATGCGGCAAAATCTGGTACAAGCTGCTTTTCTCCTGCCTCCAAACCAATTACACATTCGGAGCAGATGAAAATCTGACTGGATTCCCTCCTGAATCGGATTAATGCCCCATCTACAATCACATAAATCACAATCTGTCCATGATTAGACATCGGATAATCCCACTGGACAAGAGGTGACAACCCAGATTCTATTATCTCATTTATTATCTATTTTTGGAATTTACCGGTAACTCTAACCTCCAGGAGATGTTTCCCAGTGAAAGAGGATCTGCTGGAGATTCTTTTGAGAAATGGTTTCTTGATGGACTTTTGTTAGAGTTGTTGCAAGGTGATGAATAGACAAACTAGAACAAGAATGATTGGTCCTTGTTATAAGAAAAAAAACACACATTTAGCTTCTTAAGAGTACATGTTGGAGAGAATAAATGGCATCCTTAAAAGCCTTTAAAAGGACAATAACTTTATGAAGAGATAATCTCATGTTTGAGAACATATGATAAGGCGTTTTTCATTTGTTTTAATATCATAAAGACAAGCATCTCTGACTGATAAAGGGGATGTAACCAGCCCACAAAGTCTGCAAAACCTAAATCCACACACATCTGTGCAGGACAGAGGAGCTTATTACAATATTCAGTTTTCCTGCTGGGAAAATTTGAATCTGGAAGTACTACTAAAGAGACATGCAAGGAGCACATGAGTCATGACAGTTCTGACGCCACGCTCATGGTTACTGACTCGCAGGTGCTGGAGCATTGGAGCACAGCGAAAAACCTGAAGTCACTCCCACTCTGGGATGGTACAATTCACAAAGCAGCATTGTTCCCTGGAATCTTGCTAACTGGATGTCAACCCAGATGTATTTTTCAATATATTTAACAATATCTGTAAGTCACAAGTAAGGGGTATTCTTTTCCACCATCCTCAGGATTACAAATAGAAATTCTTCCTTCACCCCATGTCAATGGTTGAGATTAATTTATCGCCCATTCACACCCTTCCCCCAAACCAGCCTTGCCCCTGTCCCGCCCATTTCTGGGGAAGAGAGGGGAGCCACTCGTCAAGTCAACATGCGCACCATCCTCCTCGGTCCCATCTCCTCCCGGCCCTCCTGACACATGTCCTTGTTGTTGCTTGTCTTGCTTGTCACATCTAAGTGTTCCTCTTTCCCCGGCATAGCTGTGTTCATCCATTTCCCCACTTAAATCTCTTCAGCCAGGCAATGGGAGGTTTCCCCTTTTCCAAGAGAATCACCTCCAAGCTCCTCAGCGTGGCACTTGGGCTTCCCATGCTCACCCAAATATCCCTTTCTGTCTTTCGTGCCTGCTGCTTCCTCCCTGACCGTCCGGCCATGTGGGCCTGCCTGGGGTGGCTATGGGTTCTCCCGGTCTCCATGACTCTGCTTGTGCCACTGCCCATAGTCACCTCTGGCTCCAGCCTCTCCTAGCTGCCCACGTTTTCCCCCAAAAGCACTTGATTCACACACTGCCTCCTTCTGTCTGCCAGACCGTTCCCTCTTCCTAGGAGACCTTCCTGCTCCTTTTGTGTCTGGAAGAATCCAGCTTATCCTCCAAGGCTTGGAAGAGACACCACAGGCTCCTCACCCTGCTCTGTGCACCACCCCCGCTTTGTGTCCTATGGTAGCTCCAGGTCATTCATGGCTCTACTGCAGCCTCTTCACAGTGCCGACCTGCACCTCCCTGCCTCATCTTTCCCATCTCTACTACTGCCTGTCTCAGTGAAGGGCACTCGTCCATCCAGGGCCTCTGCTGCAAACCTGTCCCATTTGGCAAGAGGCTGGCCTCTCTGCAAAAAAGGCGCCCAGTCCTGCTTCAGGGAATCCATTCCCTTTAGAGCTCCGTCGGTCCCTCCTTCCTTCCCTTTCTTTGTCATTTTGCTCAGGACCTGGATCTCGGCAAGAGGAGAAGTACTTCTAGAAGAAAGCAGAACACTAGAAGGTAAGCGCCATGGCTGGGAATATGCCAGTGCCTTTGGCCAAACTGCTCAGAACCACTCCCAGGCCATGCTAGCCAGCCTGGGTTCCCCCTTCTGGAAAGATGAGGAAAATGCAGCTTTCCCCCAAAGCCACTGGGCACAGCTCCTTCCCATGGCCTCATCCCTTCCTAAGATCTGGGCCTGGGAGGGTATCCCTGGGCTACCCTCAGAATGTGATTTGGAAAGAAATGACAGCCTTCATATATATATATATATATTTATATTTATATTTATTTATATTTATATATTTATATTTATATATATTTATATATATATTTATATATATTTATATATTTATATATATATTTATATTTATATATTTTGAGACGGAGTCTCTCTCTGTCACCCAGGCTGTAGTGAAATGATGCTATCTTGGCTCACTGCAACCTCCACCGCCTGGGTTTAAGTGATTCTCCTGCCTGAGCCTCCTGAGTAGCTAGGATTACAGGTGTGCACCACCACGCCTGGCTAATTGTTTATATTTTAGTAGAGATGGGGTTTCACCATGTTGCCCTGGCTGGTCTTGAATTCCTGAGCTTAGGCAATCCACCCACCTTGGCCTCCCAAAGTGCTGGGATTGCAGGAGGGAGTCACTGCATCCAGCTCCATATATATATTTTTAAAGGGTTAATTTTTCTCCTCCTCGTGTAATGACCCCATGTGGTCTTTTTATCTCCTCCCCACTGGCTACTCCCCATTGATCCCCTCAGGACAAGAGTACTATAGATTATGGGTTGGTTGGTTTTAATACAGAATCATCTTGGCATATGTCCATGATAACCCAGGTAACAAACAAAACTATTCCCATCTGGACACACTCAAGTACCACAGGTTCATAACCAGTCTCATGGACAGCTGTGGGGTGTGGGTCTGAGTCTCACGGACAGCTGTGGGGTGTGGGATTGAGTCTCAGTCGCAGTCCCATCTCTTTACTAGTTGTGTTAACTTGTGAAGGATATTAGTTTATTTATTTCTCAGTGGCTGAAAGATGGTATTAGGACCTGTCTCAGAGGCAGGGCCAACTTCACAGAAACCCTGTGCATGGAGGGGTAAGACACACTTGATTTGATGCTCTGCCATTGCTGTCTTGAATTTTTATTTTTATTTTTTTTTTGAGACAGAGTCTCTCTCTGTCACCGAGGCTGGAGTTCAGTGGCACGATCTTGGGTCACTGCAACCTCTGCCTCCCGGGTTCAAGTGATTCATGCCTTAGCTTCCCGAGTAGCTGGGACTACAGGCATGCGCCACCACACCTGGCTAAATTTTGTATTTTTAGTACAGACAGGGTTTTGCCATGTTGGCCAGGCTGGTCTCAAACTCCTGACCTCAATTGATCCACCTGCCTCGGCCTCCCAAAGTGCTGGGATAATGGGTGTGAGCCACTGCCCCTGGCCATTGAAATTTTTTTTTTGAAAATTTTGATGATTATATTTCAAGATTTTTTTCTGTGCATGTACATGCACATACACATACATAAATACTCAAACTTTTTTTAAATTATACTTTAAGTTTTAGGGTACATGTGCACAACGTGCAGGTTAGTTACATATGTATACATGTGCCATGTTGGTGTGCTGCACCCATTAACTCGTCATTTAACATTAGGTATATCTCCTAATGCTATCCCTCCCCCCTCCCTTTTTTTTTTTTTTTTTTTGAGACTGAGTCTCGCTGTGTCGCCCAGGCTCGAGTTCAGTGGCGCAATCTCGGCTCACTGCAAGCTCCGCCTCCCAGATTCACGCCATTCTCCTGCCTCAGCCTCCCGAGTAGCTGGGACTACAGGCGCCCACCACCACGCCCGGCTAATTTTTTTGTATTTTTAGTAGAGACAGGGTTTCACCATGTTAGCCAGGATGGTCTCGATCTCCTGACCTTGTGATCTGCCCACCTCGGCCTCCCAAAGTGCTGGGATTACAGGTGTGAGCCATCGCGCCCGGCCTGAAATTCTTAATAATTTTTTAAACAAAGGGTCGTGCATTTTTATTTTGCAATGGGATCTGCAAATTATGTGGCCATTCCTGCTCAGGAGATTGGTGGGCACTTTAATGAGACCTCATACGGCTGCTTAGCCCAGAGCCCCAGCTACAGCACGTGCTCAGTAACTTAGGGAAGAGAGAAGGGGACTCAGGAAGGAGTGAGAGGGGCCCAGCAGTGCCTGTGGGTACCTGTTTGCTCAAAGGGAATCTGGGGTTGGGGAGGCAGGCAAAGCTGGGGAGAGAGCATGGGTCTTGGATGTCAGGAAGCCTGAAGCCTGACCTTGACTTGCCAAGTTTCTTCCTGCCCCCAGGCCTTAGTTTCTTCTTTGAAACATGGTGCTCCATCCCTATCTCAAAAGCAAGTTCTCAGATGCCTGTGGTGGGTGAAGATGTGGATGCTGAGGCTGTCTCTGGCCTGCTGTATTCAACATCTCCAACTACCTTTGGAGAAGAGTAAAAGCCTTTGGGAGTGGGGCAGAAGGAGAATGGAGGGGGATGGAGCCTGGAGCAAGAGGAGAAGCCTGGTCCAGTGACTTAAGCTGGGCAGCAAGGTCTCAGCCCTGGACAGCAGAAGATCATCCAGAGGGAGTCCAGCAGGAAGAGGTCTGGCCTGGGTTAGGGGACCTGGCTTCCGGCTCCATCTCCATCACATGCTGGGTAACAGGTCACCAGGCCTCAGTTTCCTTCCTGATATTCACAGTAGGACTGATGCTCCCACACTAGCAACAGCTTCCTCTGTGTTGGCTGGACATTGTGCATGGGGCTGTGCCTTTGTAAGTGATGTGGTAGAGGAGGTTTTGGGGAGAAAATAATCAGGGAGACTTCTCTGTGCTTCTGAACTCTCCCCAGTACAGGCTAGTTTTATGGGATAAAGCATAGCTATGGAGCTCAAGCTGCCATTCCTGATAAGGAGAAAGTGATCTAAGACCCAGGATAGGAGGCACCCAGGTCTCCTGCATGCCAGCCTGGGATGTGGAGAGTGTGTGGCCCCTCCATACCTGAGAAGGGAGCAGCCAGGAGGCAGAGAACCAGGGTAGGGCCACATCAATGGTGCCTGTGGCCGTGCCCAGCAGGTGCAGGTGTTTTCTTCTCCCATGTCAGTGCTGGTCTCTCAGGGGTGGCTGTGACCAGAAGTCACACATGGAGTGATTTTGAAATGGATCCCTGGTTTTACAGCTCCAGAGATGTGAAATGGGTGAATGATGGAGCTACACTCATGTGGCTCTTCAATGGCACAGTGAAAAAAGCAAGCAAGATGGAGCCAGATAGACCTGGGTTCAATGCCAGCAATGATTTAACCTGTGACCTGAGGCAGTAACTTCCCCTCTCTGAGCCTCAGTTTCCTCGAGGATTGGAGGGGCCCAATACTACTCACCACATGGCATTACTTTTAAGACCTAATAGGCTAACAACAAGGACTTTGCACATGGTGGCCCTGAACAAATATTTGTTTTGACCTGGCTTCCTAGCATCCCAGGAGGGGTGACCCTCTCCAATCCCCACCTCCCTAGTGAAGTTTCAAAGGACAGGTTTTTCTGGACGGGAAGGAAGAGTTTCTCTGGGCAGGAGACGGTTAAAAGCTGGGACTACGATTCCAGCCTGGGGCTGCCCCCTCCTGGCCAGCTGTCTGAACCCCTGAATTATAGATGTGCTTGCTCCTGGCCTGGCGAGCAAGAGCTAGTAGGTGCTGGGAGCCAGGCCTAGTCCAGGGTCACCTAAGGGTAGGGCCATTGGGCCAGACGCACCTCCTCACTCCACATGCAGACACACACACCGAGTCCCCTCCCAGTTCTGACTGTGCACCCACATTCACAGATATAACCTGTACACAAAGTCTATGCACAGACCACACATCTCCAAACCCCATCTACACAGCAGACACACACACAGCAAGCACACATCGAAATCACAAAGAAATCATCAGATGACACATACTGAGACATACTTAGACCTCCCCTCCCCATCCAGACACACGCAGGCAGGGTGGGCAGAGGCTCCCAACATAAAGATACAGCCACAGTCATAACTGTCATAATTAACACATATGGAGCACTTACTCTGTGCTAGGTATTGCTCTAAGCCCTTTCCAGAGAACAGTTTATTTAATTATTATGTAATAGAGATAGCTACAATTATTATACCCCCATTTTACAGATGAGGAAACTGAGGGAAGGAGAATTAAAATAAGATGCCTGAGGTCACACAGGTGTCCTGGCACAGCCTCAGGCACAGATACCCACCCCCTCGCTCTTGTCCCCCATTTACATAAACACATTCATTCAAACGCAGCATCCCCCAACCCCTGACCTGCCCGCACACACTCAGGGTGAGCGCTCTTTGGGGGACTGTTGACTAAAGACGCAAGAAATGGCCTATTGGCCAACGGGTGGTAAACTGTAACAAGAGCCGGTCCGGTGGCCCGGCGCGGTGGCTCACGCCTGTAATCCCAGCACTGTGGGAAGCCGAGGTGGGCGGATCACGAGGTCAGGAGTTCGAGACCAGCCTGACAAACATGGTGAAACCCGGTTTCTACTAAAAATACAAAAATTAGCGGGGCGTGGTGGCGCTCGCCTGCAATCTCAGCTACTCAGGAGGCTGAGGCAGGAGAATCGCTTGAACCCGGGAGGCGGAGGTTGCAGTGAGCCGAGATCGCACCATTACACTCCAGCCTGGGCGGCACAGCAAGAGTCTATCTCAAAAAAAAAAAAAAAAAAAAAAAAAAAAAAGCCGGACCGGTGAGAAGACTAGACCTCCTAAAGGTGGAGGCGGAGCTCAAAAGCCGGACGCTACTGGACGAGGCTTAAAGCGCTCGCCCCAGCGCGGGGCCGGTGAGGAACGTTCACCGTGGACCATGGTCGAATAATGTTAGCGTGCACTCGGGGCCTCGCCCTAGCCTTCTGCAAAGCCTCGGCCTGCGCCCTCGGCTGCATCCGTTTCGACGCCAACCAACCTCATGCTCTTAGTAGAACGGCAGTAGCGACCGCGCCCTCAGGCCCACAAGCCCGAAGGTCTGGGCAGGGTCTGGAATGGCGGTGGAGACACTTTATCCGCAGGCGTTTCACCTCGCGCCCCACCCAGGCGCACACCAAGTTCTTGGTACTCCTTTTAATGGGAAAACAAGAACAGACACCATGGTTGGATAAATGTTATTTATAATTCATGGGCCGGTCTTTGAACCCTTTCAAACAAAACCCACAGCGATTTCTTTGAAAGAATGCCTGGACTGTGCTCAGAGCTCTCAGATTTTCTCAGGACCAACGAGCCGCCGCCTCGCAGATACCACTGTAAATTACCCAGCGCCTTACGTTCGTTTCTGATTATTTGCATTGCAGTGGGTTTGTTAATGAAGGACAAGAGTTTAGAAAAATCTTTTATTTTGGAAGTTGGACACGCAATCGACCCCAGCAGTGTTCCTAAAAGGAGCTATGCCATTTGGATGGGGGAAAAATGAGGGGGCGGGGAAGTCCATGTTACATTTAAAACAACAACAGCAACAAATTAAAAGCAAAACAAAACAACAAAAAAAAGGAAGTGGAGCAGGAGGAGGAGGTGGTGGTGGAGGAGAGGGAGGAGGGGCAGCAGCAGCGGCAGCAGCAGCAAGGATGGAGTCAGGACCCGTCCCAGTCCCGGGTGAGCGCTTTTGGATCTGGGTTCTGGCTCAACCCACGTAATGCCCCAATCTAAAGTTTTCTACGTGTGTGTGGATAGGAAAGTCTAAATAGAGTTTATCAGAACCCAGGTGGTCATTCTCTACACTCTCTCTAGCTTGGACCCGAAGAACAAAGGCACATGAGAGGAGAAAGGTGACCAGCTGGACGATGACGGTCACGTCCAAACGGATCCCCCTTGTCCTCGGCTCTCTCGTCCTGAGAGTGGGTTTAATTTTTTTTTTTTTAATTTATATAAGAAGGGAGCTCTTAAAGGAGAGCCATCTCCACCCTCAGGTATCCATCACCCAGCTCCAGCGCGCCTGGGAAAACCGCCCCGAAAGTCCAAGAGGAAGCTCAGAGTTGTAACGGCCGCGGAGCCAGCTCGGCGGTGACGCAAGGTCCAGTCCAGATTGCCAGGCCCGGGGCATGAGAGAGGATCCTTGTAGGTTTCGGAGGTGGGGGGGCTGCACTCCATTGTTCACTCCGGGCCAATCAGGGTTGGCCCACTTCCTCCCAGCCAATCTCCCTTCACCCCCAGCCTCCAACCCAACCCACCCCGCCCATCAGCCCCTGGATCCCCATCACCTCCCCCGCATCCCCGGCAGTTCTGGGGAAGCTTCGTGACGCCACAGGTCCCGCCCCCAGCTCCGGCCCGGGGCTAGTGCGTGTTGACGTCATGCTGCGTGCGGGCCGGTGCGGAATCGCTCCTTCAACTCCGCGGGGCAGTAGGAGTTAGTTAGCAAAGAGCCGAGGCCGGGCGCGCGACCCTCGTCCTTCTGCCCCTGGCCGCACACTTTGCGCACATCTCTTTTTCTGCATGGTGGATATTATTTTTCATTATCCTTTTCTGGGTGCTATGGGTGATCATTCCAAGAGTAAGTATTTCTGTGTGTGTGTGGGGTGGGGTGTGTGTGTATGCTTAATATGCAAAATTTCTAATGCAGAAAAATGTTTAGTGGATTCTACAAGTGGCTTCTATTTGTCAGAATAGTTTAGGAGAGGAAAAACGAATGCATGTCTCCTGCAGGACTGCTTATCTTTGGGAATCCTGTTGTTTTATTTTATAAGTAAACACTATTTCTCAAGCCGGCTAGGATGACTTCGGGCTGCGAAATCTGCTTCTGTTTTGCGCAAAGGCAATTAGGTTTGATTTAGGGATGTGGGTTTTTTTTTTTTTGGTTGTTGTTTGTTTGCCTTTCGGTTTTTCAAAGCTAGGAAGCTTTCTTTCGCTTGCTCTGGGATATTTAAACTAAGAAATGTCTGAGAGGATGAGCGGGGACTGCCGAAAGACGATGTGTCTGTGTTGGGATAGGAGGCAGCCGCTGTGAGTGGGAGTGTGTGAGCGGAAATGCCAGGACAGCACCGTTAGGTGTTGATATCCAGGCGTCCGCAGTGCCTGTGTATTTACTCTCTTCTTAGTTTCGTGTTTGCGTTTAGTTTCAAGACACGTCGACAAAACGACTGTCATTAATGAATGTAATAACGAAATATTTGGGGTGGGGGACAGAAGAAACCTTCAGCAATCCACAAGATACTGGTTTTTCGTTTCCAATGCCCTGGACCTTTAGAGAGCTCATCATCTTTCCTTATGGTCGCAAGTCTTGAAAGAAAGAGCAAGAGAGCGAGCGGGTTGGGTTGGGGCTGGAGTAGCCGAGGCCGGCCTGGGTCCGGGCAGTCAGGCCTGACGCGGCCCCGCGCCCTTCCCCGGCAGAGAAGCCCGGGACGGCCATGTGCGTGGGCTGCGGGAGTCAGATCCACGACCAGTTTATCCTGCGGGTGTCGCCCGACCTCGAGTGGCACGCGGCCTGCCTCAAGTGTGCCGAGTGCAGCCAGTACCTGGACGAGACGTGCACGTGCTTCGTGAGAGACGGGAAGACCTACTGCAAGCGGGACTATGTCAGGTGAGGCCGGCGGGAACGCGGGCTGGGCCACCGCGCGCAGGGGCCGGGGCCGGGACTGGGGATGGCGGCCTGCCCGCGCGCCCCGGCCCTGCCCAGGGAGAAGGCCATCCGCATCCCGCACGGGTGCCGCAGCGCTCCCCCGGGCCCGGGAATGCCCGCAGGCGGGTCACCGCAGTCTCCTGGTGGCCACAAAGTGTCCTGGGCGCGCGCCGGAGCCGTAGCAGCCAGGGAGATGAGGGCGGCCGCAGGCCCAGCGCTGACACCGCCGCACCTTGGGCCCGCAGGCTGTTCGGCATCAAGTGCGCCAAGTGCCAGGTGGGCTTCAGCAGCAGCGACCTGGTGATGAGGGCGCGGGACAGCGTGTACCACATCGAGTGCTTCCGCTGCTCCGTGTGCAGCCGCCAGCTGCTGCCTGGGGACGAGTTCTCGCTGCGGGAGCACGAGCTGCTCTGCCGCGCCGACCACGGCCTCCTGCTCGAGCGCGCCGCGGCCGGCAGCCCGCGCAGCCCCGGCCCGCTTCCCGGCGCCCGCGGCCTGCATCTGCCCGGTAAGCGCGCCGGGGCCTGTGCCGGGGTGAGCGGGGTGTATGTGCGTGCGTGTGTGTAGGGGTACGCTTGTGTCCCTAACGAGAAGTTGTCAGTTGTGTGTGGTTCCGTCTGCCGGGATAGTGTTTTTCTGTATCAGTGCGGAACTGTGTGCTGGGAACAAGGCTGTGTGTATTCTCGTGTGCTCGGGAGAAACTGCGTGTGTATGAGTGTGTGAGCACGGAGAATTGTGCAGAATCGTGTTCTCCATGACCAGGAACATGCAGGGCACAGTGCTAGGAGCAGAAGAGTGGATGACAACAGGGAATCTTAAGTGGTGTCCGTCTTGGGGCTTGTATTAGGAATTTCTTGGAGGAATATGTGTTATTGTCAGAGGGTAAGGTTTGCCCAGGGGTATGTGTGTAAGTAACACAGCTCCAAACTGGGAGCTGGGCAGGAGCTTGGTCAGCCAGGAGCCAAGAACCCAACAAAGAGGGGTTTTTGCCATCTTGTTTTGAGGCCCAGTTTGATGAACAATTTAGCCAGGTTCTTCTGGGGGAGGGGGAGTATCAATGCATAGTGGACTGTCACTGGAATATTCTGGGTCCTAATCAGCAGCTGCCCAGAGATGGGGTCTGAGTGTATAATGGGCAGGTACGGCTGAACAGAAACAGAGGTGCCTCCACCCCAGGCAAGGCAGTTTCCCCCAGGTAGCCATAGGCCTGCAGCACAGATCCGTAGACCAGGCTGGGCCTCTGGGTGCTGTGTGGCCTTGCCCCGCTCCTCCCCTCTCTGGATCTTCACTTCCTCCCTATAGAAAGAGGAAACTGGGCTGGATGGGCTATTTGTAAATATTTGTCCAGACCTAGAAATTCGTAGAGGGGAACATAAACCGAAATGGTGCAGTACAGATCCACGGTATATATGGGTCGGGATCAAATGGAGATGTGAAATGGGAGCAAGCGGGTATTCAGTGCACCCCCATCTGGGATCTCGGAGAGGCTCCCCTTTGTTTGTTTCGGGCTTCAGGGTGCAGGCTCTGGAATCAGTCACTGTTTCCCCGGGATGGAGAGAACCTGGGGCCAAGCGAGGAGAGTGCCAGCGGCTGCTCAGCACCTTGGTCGGTGGGAGGCCACTGGGCTGGGGAACCTGGAGCCTTGAGGAAGGAGACAGGGGCCGAAGCCCAAGGGCGGGCAGGAAGGAACTGTTGCAAGCCCTGGAGGCCCGTCCATAACCGTGGATGAGTCTTCTACACATGTGGCCTGGCCCTGTCCAAATGGGCTCTGAAGGAGGGGAAGGGCCCTCGTAGGCCCCCGGCATATTCGCACCTCCCACCCAGTCCCCTGGGCAGCGCCTCGCCCTGGGTCCACGTCGGTCCCTTTCCCTCTCCAGAGTCCTGGGCAAGCCTCTTTCCTCTTCCTCTGAAACTCCGACTTCTTCCGGAGGGCTTCGCTCGTTCCGAGGGTCCTGCGACTGGAGGAGGCACATCCCTGAGCAGCCACTCCCTCCCCGCAGCGGCCTGTCGCCGAGCTCCCGCGCCCTGCTTGAGCTCGGGAGAGATCGCTGCGGGGCAGTCCGGCCCGGGAGCGAGAGAAAGAACGAAAATGCACAGCTCTCTCCGAGTAAGGCGAACAGATGGAGAGGAAGACGAACAATTAAACGAAACAAACAGAATAAAACAGAAACGAAATCGGGCCCCGGGGGGCTGGGCCACCCGGAGGTTGGGCTCGGGGCGGGTGGGTGGCGGCCCCTCGCTAACCTCTGGCCTCACCCTGTCCTGGCAGACGCTGGGTCGGGCCGGCAGCCCGCGTTGCGCCCGCACGTGCACAAGCAGACGGAGAAGACGACCCGCGTGCGGACTGTGCTGAACGAGAAGCAGCTGCACACTCTGCGGACCTGCTACGCCGCCAACCCGCGGCCCGACGCTCTCATGAAGGAGCAGCTGGTGGAGATGACCGGCCTGAGCCCGCGGGTCATCCGCGTCTGGTTCCAGAACAAGCGCTGCAAGGACAAGAAGAAATCCATTCTCATGAAGCAGCTGCAGCAGCAGCAGCACAGCGACAAGACGGTGAGCAGCCGCTGGGCCGGAGGCTCGAGTCGGGTGGGGGCTGCGCTTCCGCCGCGGTATCTGCGTGCCCTTTTCTGGGCGAGCCCTGGGAGATCCAGGGAGAACTGGGCGCTCCAGATGGTGTATGTCTGTACCTTCACAGCAAGGCTTCCCTTGGATTTGAGGCTTCCTATTTTGTCTGGGATCGGGGTTTCTCCTTGTCCCAGTGGCAGCCCCGCGTTGCGGGTTCCGGGCGCTGCGCGGAGCCCAAGGCTGCATGGCAGTGTGCAGCGCCCGCCAGTCGGGCTGGTGGGTTGTGCACTCCGTCGGCAGCTGCAGAAAGGTGGGAGTGCAGGTCTTGCCTTTCCTCACCGGGCGGTTGGCTTCCAGCACCGAGGCTGACCTATCGTGGCAAGTTTGCGGCCCCCGCAGATCCCCAGTGGAGAAAGAGGGCTCTTCCGATGCGATCGAGTGTGCGCCTCCCCGCAAAGCAATGCAGACCCTAAATCACTCAAGGCCTGGAGCTCCAGTCTCAAAGGTGGCAGAAAAGGCCAGACCTAACTCGAGCACCTACTGCCTTCTGCTTGCCCCGCAGAGCCTTCAGGGACTGACTGGGACGCCCCTGGTGGCGGGCAGTCCCATCCGCCATGAGAACGCCGTGCAGGGCAGCGCAGTGGAGGTGCAGACGTACCAGCCGCCGTGGAAGGCGCTCAGCGAGTTTGCCCTCCAGAGCGACCTGGACCAACCCGCCTTCCAACAGCTGGTGAGGCCCTGCCCTACCCGCCCCGACCTCGGGACTCTGCGGGTTGGGGATTTAGCCACTTAGCCTGGCAGAGAGGGGAGGGGGTGGCCTTGGGCTGAGGGGCTGGGTACAGCCCTAGGCGGTGGGGGAGGGGGAACAGTGGCGGGCTCTGAAACCTCACCTCGGCCCATTACGCGCCCTAAACCAGGTCTCCCTGGATTAAAGTGCTCACAAGAGAGGTCGCAGGATTAACCAACCCGCTCCCCCGCCCTAATCCCCCCCTCGTGCGCCTGGGGACCTGGCCTCCTTCTCCGCAGGGCTTGCTCTCAGCTGGCGGCCGGTCCCCAAGGGACACTTTCCGACTCGGAGCACGCGGCCCTGGAGCACCAGCTCGCGTGCCTCTTCACCTGCCTCTTCCCGGTGTTTCCGCCGCCCCAGGTCTCCTTCTCCGAGTCCGGCTCCCTAGGCAACTCCTCCGGCAGCGACGTGACCTCCCTGTCCTCGCAGCTCCCGGACACCCCCAACAGTATGGTGCCGAGTCCCGTGGAGACGTGAGGGGGACCCCTCCCTGCCAGCCCGCGGACCTCGCATGCTCCCTGCATGAGACTCACCCATGCTCAGGCCATTCCAGTTCCGAAAGCTCTCTCGCCTTCGTAATTATTCTATTGTTATTTATGAGAGAGTACCGAGAGACACGGTCTGGACAGCCCAAGGCGCCAGGATGCAACCTGCTTTCACCAGACTGCAGACCCCTGCTCCGAGGACTCTTAGTTTTTCAAAACCAGAATCTGGGACTTACCAGGGTTAGCTCTGCCCTCTCCTCTCCTCTCTACGTGGCCGCCGCTCTGTCTCTCCACGCCCCACCTGTGTCCCCATCTCGGCCGGCCCGGAGCTCGCCCACGCGGACCCCCGCCCTGCCCCAGCTCAGCGCTCCCTGGCGGCTTCGCCCGGGCTCCTAGCGGGGAAAAGGAAGGGGATAACTCAGAGGAACAGACACTCAAACTCCCAAAGCGCATGATTGCTGGGAAACAGTAGAAACCAGACTTGCCTTGAAAGTGTTTAAGTTATTCGACGGAGGACAGAGTATGTGAGCCTTTGCCGAACAAACAAACGTAAGTTATTGTTATTTATTGTGAGAACAGCCAGTTCATAGTGGGACTTGTATTTTGATCTTAATAAAAAATAATAACCCGGGGCGACGCCACTCCTCTGTGCTGTTGGCGCGGCGGGAGGGCCGGCGGAGGCCAGTTCAGGGGTCAGGCTGGCGTCGGCTGCCGGGGCTCCGCGTGCTGCGGGCGGGGCGGGCCCGGTGGGGATTGGGCGCGGCCGAGGGGGTGGGGCTGGGCGCATGCGCGCTGAGGGCCCTCCCAGAAGCAGGAGCGCCCCATTGGCGACCCCTGGGCACCTGGCGGCCCAGGCCCGCGGGCAGGAGGCGGGACCCGTTTGGGCGGGAAACCTGCGGCACTTGTGGCGGTTGAGCGGCGGACTCCGGCCTAGGGTTATGCGGGCGAGGGCGCGCCCCGCTCCCGGAACCAGCCTTGGCCTGGCGCCTGCCGAGCCCCGAGCCCCACTCTCGCTCGGCGCCGCGGGCCCTCCCGGCGCTTCCTTCCCCAGCGGTCCGCGGCCCTGGGTGAGGCTCGAAGCCCCGCGCGCTGCCCCTGGCCCTGCAGCACAGCAGTGAGGCCAACCCCGGCCAGAGCGGGCGGCCGTGACGGGCCGTGCCCCGCGCTGTCCCCGGAGTGGATGCGCGACGTGATCAATCCGCGGCATTTATTAATTCCACAGTCTAGACAGAGGCGGGGGCCGGGCGGCGGCTGCTTATCTGCGTTTGGCATCACCTGCAAGCGATACACCGAGGGGCCGCAACGAGCCCCCGCTAGGAGCGCGGCTGCCGGGAAAATAAGTCCACCCAGAACCAGTCTGGCGTGTCCTTGGTTTATTTTCTTTCCAGACCGAAGTGGAGGGGGTCGGGGGTGGCCCGGGTGGGAGGGAGCTGGGAATGGCCCCTGGATATGCCGTGCCCAGGTCACTTGGTGTGACATTTCAAACCCCTGCGACTTGTTTTCTTGAAAACTGGCTTTAGTGATCGCAGGAAATAACCGAGAGATACTGAATCTCCAGTAGGCCTCCGGGCAACCGCGCATACACAAAAACAAAAAACCCCAAAAGAAAGAAAGAAAAAAAACCCACGGAGGCTCAGGTTTTACTCTTTACAAATATTTAACCCTTTGGCAGCCTGGGACAGTTCTTTTCCAAGACCAGCCTTCACTTAGTGGACTGAGGGAGCTTCCCGACTACCAGTTAGTCCACCGCTGTTGTAAGAACATCTGGCGTTGAGTTGTCGTTTCCCTGTCCCTCGAGTTAAGCGACCCACAAGCATATCCTTCTTTGTCCAAGGTTTGTTTTGAAAGTGGGCAACGCCCTAACTGGGTAGGGGATAGTTGCCATCTTAGCTTAGGTAGGGGCTGGCAAGGAAAACGTGTCTGGGGGGCCCTGTAGTCTTCAGATAGAAAAGTAGGTGCCTTCTGTTAGCCATGGCTGCTTGGATGGCCAAAGGCCACTGTGGGTTTTTCAGCAGCGCTTTTAGCAGAATTCCTTCACACTGCCCCCACCCCACTTGCAGATGATGGAAGGCTTGCTGGCAATTACTGAAAGAAAATGGGAGGTGGGAAAATGGAGCTGCATTTATATTTTACTTCCTGAATGTCAAGGTGATGCTGGCACAAATATTAAAGGGAACATTCCCCTTCTTTGGGATATAGGAAATGCTGCTGCAAACTTAGAGATAAGGGAAGAGATATGCAGAGTTAATGAGGACCAGCTTTACCTCTCAAGTGCCCAGAAATGGCTTTAATAATCAGGTCTGGGTTCTTTGAGGCTTCCTTTCTTTAACTTAGACCATTCCTTCCCAACAGAAATACAGATTTCTCCTTTTACCTTCTGGCTGGCCATTAGATAGGGGGCTAAAACTTCGAATAAATCTCACTGTCAAAAACTTTTGATTTATCCAGAATATTTGGGTTTTCTCATTTTTTTTAAAAAGGAAATAACAGGTTATTGAATAAAGAATTTCATTAATGGTTAATTAGCTCTGAATTTTTGCTTTTGACAGATTGCAGCGTTTTAACGCTATGAATGGAAACGTCTACATTAGTTATCTCAACATCTAATTAGTTATCTCTTTCCTCATCATCCATGAATCAAAAATCAAATTCCTCTTTTTGTTATTTATATGATTGTGTCTGTCTTTTTTGAATATTGGGAAGTTACCTAGATAAAAGTGGTTATTGTGTGTTAAGATTCCTGCATCTCTCTGTATCACTGTACAAAACATTACAAGCTTTTCTCTTCCATAGTTGCTACCCACCCAAAGGGGTGCATCGTTTTCTATGTGGGTTTCCAGGGAAAGGATTCAACTCTGAAGCCTTATTACAGTGGTCCCTAGTGAGGTGTCACATCTACGCTTGGTTAGTTACATTAATAAATATCAGTTTTACGGGTTCCCAAGTCATCTTTAAACATCTTTTGTAATACAGTAGGGATTTCCCCATAAATTAAATTACCTGTAACAATGACAAGTGTTGTATTTTATACTTACTGAACTTTTAATATGAGATACCCAATTGCATAGTAAAAAATTCAATAAAAGAGGCCATAGGTGGAAAGTGGGAGTTATTTAGCTAGATTCACTTTAGAATACGATTTTCTCAGAAGACTTAACTATTAATTTGGATAGCTCTATGCAATTGAGGAAGGAAAGGGATTCCCAGAGATAGACAGTTTATGGCTATAAGTTTTTACACAAAATTTAATACATATTGAAAGACTGCATAATTCTGGGAAATTCAGAGTCCCTGTGGCAGTATTCCCAACAAACTTTAATATTTAATGGATTGTGGAACAGAAATCAGGCTTTGTGTTTTGAATATGGAATAACAAAGCTCAATTTTGTCAGAGCTGCCAATACAGGGTTTAAATGGATATTGTCTAAGATTGTTCTCTAGAAAATTTGAGGTTCTACCTCTTCTGCCTAGGGGAGGACACAGATGGCCACACATTTAGTTAGCTGTGCTTTCTCATGGGTGTTCACCAAAGAGAGTAAGAGAATTAGCCAAATAGCAGCATGCTAGAGAGAGAAACAATGGATGAATATTTGCAGAGAAGTTCCCAGGGGAGTGGTGATAAAAGCAGGAAATTCAGAGTTTATGAAGCTGATGCGGGAAAGATTAGAGGCTTTTAAATCGGGGTCTGATTGATGTAAAAGTAAACTTTCTTGAAAATACTGGGATTCAGTGCAGTAATGAGGATTGTGTGGCCAAGTACAGACTAGCACCTTGTTGATGGAGACTGTGCATGAAAGATGCAGATGAATAGAGCTAGATTGAGAGTAGTAATGAGAGCAAGAAAGGGCACAAGGAAATACTCCATTGGGATCCAGATGTGGAGTTGGGTAGGGAGCGGCTCAATGTATACAACACATTTGGGGCCCCAGCAACAATCCAGCCAGAGAGGCGGGAGTGCAAGGTGAATCCAGCCATCCGCCTCGGTACCTCCTGGTCCGGAAGGTCAGAGCCAGCGGGGGAGTGGGTCAAGGCGTAAGCCCAGGGGCCGGCAGGAGCTCAGGAAGGCCGGTTCCCCGTTGGGAAAGAGCGTGTTTAAGTTAAGGCGTGGTTTGAGAGTAGCTAACCAGAGATCAGGTCAGCTGTTAGGGCGTGGGGGAGGGAGGGGGCAGGGAGCAGGGACGAGGAAGTGGAAGAATAGGGGATTGTGAGGAGTGATTTCTTTCCAGATTATCGAGACTCAAGACTTTCCAGAACGTGGCAAAGAGCCCTGGAAGAAATGTCCCAGGAACGCCGCGGTCAGGACCGAGGCTCCCCGGGGCCAGGTTCAGGGTTCGAGGTCCCAGCCTCGCAACTGCTGGCGTCTGGAGGGCGGGAGAGTGGCCGGGCCCGAAGCTGCGGCTCCGACGTACAGTTGCGAGTCTGGGGCGGTGGGCCCCGCAGAGCTCCGGGGGAAGGGAGCCGCCGCCGCTGCGGGGAATTGGCTTGGGCAACGCCGCTGAGTGTTCAAACGTCGCTGCTCCCGGGCCTTGGGCAGCCTCTCCTACCTGACCCAAATTCTGGGCTGCAAAGCCCGGGCGAAGTTGTCGCTTTCACTCCGAATACGCCCAGTCGCACCGTCAACTTCATAGGCTGGGCCCGGCAGAGGCCTTTCGCCTCCGCCCAGCGGTCTCCGCTGCGGCCCCTCAGCCTCTGGAGAGCCGGGGGGCGGCCCTCGCCCCGGCAGAAAGCAACCTGTGGCGGCACTGCGTCCCCGCGAGCTACAACCAGACGCGGCCGCGCTCACCTGGGCGTTGCGCTCCCCCGAGCCCCGGAGAGTTTAGAAGCCGTAAAAGCCCGGGGAGCTGGAGCTTAAATCGCCCGGACCGGGCCGGGGCGCCCGAAAGCAGTGAACTCGAGACCCCCAGGAACCGCGTGCGCCGGGAGGCACCGGGACGCTCCCGGGCCCGAGCCGCGCAGGCTCCCGGCTGGGTGGGGCCTGGGTTTGCTTCTTACGCCTCCTCCTCTCCGGGACGAGGGGGCAATGAGACCGTTCAATTAAATGTTTAATTGAGAATTCTGGTATGGTTTCTGGGAGGTTAGTCACAGCTGTCTCAATTATTTATGGCTTTTGGCAAATTTCCGACCAGATAAGTATATTCTATTGTGAAGCATCTTGCAGGAAATCTTATAAATACTTGATGATTCCTTTCAGCTGCAAGGATCCTGCGTCCGAGAGCGCGGGGCCAGCGAGCTTTGGGAACTCCTATCCCTAGTGTGGAAGGAGCCTGCGGCCGACACTTGCCTCCGTACCCCGGGGCCGCTCGCTGGGCCCGCGGCAGCCCCCGCCTGGGAGGAGCATTGGGGGCGCCAGGGGCTACCCCTCGGTCTCGCAGGCGCGGAACTCAGCCCGGCCCTGCGGCTCCGGGAGTTGCTGAGCACTCGCGGCCAGCGGCTGGAGTCCTGGGTCCCGCTCTCTGGTGCCCGGCGGCGGAGTCGCCACGCGAGGCTGGAGGGGTGGCCCTAAAGCCCGTCCCTCTGGCTTGGAGCTGCGGGTCCCCGCCCTCGAGCCGGAGCGCCGCGCTGGACACCCGCGGGGTGGGGGCTCGGCTGGGCTGAGCCACGGAGACGCCAGGGTCCCGCGGTGGCGGGGGCGCCGATCGCACTTGGAGGAGCTTTTTTTTTTTTAATCATACCTTTTAATTTTCTGTTTGCAAAGAAGTAAAAAATAGCAAATATGTAACCCGGCAGCTCTGTGAGGCTCCAAAAAGAAGGGTCCAGAACACTAGGTGGGTAAGTTTGCTTTTGAAAAACATACAACTTCTGTATTTTCCAGTCCCTCCCCGCCCCGCAGTGTCGAGTCGAATACATTTTCAGATCTTTTTCCCCAACCGGATCTTTTTTCTTGGTAATGTTTGATCAGTATCTGACAGAAATTACTACTGATGTCACTCAGTGAACGGCTTAGCACTGACCATCGGCTTAGTGAAGAAACGATGAGGACAAGACATGAAAAGGTCAACATCTCCAGGCAGACACTGAGAGGTGCACAGGAGTTATGTGAAACTCATTCAGAACCATCGCGACTTTCTGTGTGACTTTTATTTCAGCGTTGCTTCATTTCACAACCATGTGAGAAAATACTCTAGGGTGATTCACTAGGACACATCTTTTTTATCACTAATTTTTCCTTAGGAGAGTAATTTCAGCTCGGCAATGCCAAGAGAGGATTATCTGCTAGGAGAGTTCGGGCAGACCAATGAATACAACGCCCTAAGTTGATTTCAAATAGCCCCCAAACATATTATGTAGTCAGAATGCAAAAGTGTTGCAAATATCTTTACCGTAGACCTTAAAAAGTTAAATTTAGAGCAGGTAAACTTTAATTAAGTCTTTATTTAAGATACTTCAAGAGCTGGAGTTAACATTTTTCTTTCAGATTCGTATTTCCTTAACATGAAAAGTCAACAATGAAAACAGAATAAGTTACTTTATTACAAGAACAAAACAGACTTGCTAATTTTATGTCTCCTTTCACCCATATCACAAATGCAAAGTATATATTATCATAAGATGGAAATTACCAAACTCCAAGATACTCTGCATAAATGAAATAAACTCAACTTGCAAAATTAGCAAGTAGAACATTCAAGTATCTACAGTCATTATAAATAGTGTAAAGTACATGCCATATCTACAGTGTGGGAAGAGTATAAACATGGGAAAATGAGTTCTTAAGGAACAATTAGAATGTTTGTTTGGACAATTTAAAATATTAACAAGGGTACTCAAATACAGAATCAACCAAAACATTTATTTTTTCTCTTTTTTCAAGAAAAACTGTCGAGCTTCTTCCCAGGCCTGCTGAGGAAATCTGTTAGCCAGCTCAAGATAGTCTTGGGAACCAAGGCATTTCCCTGAGAGGGGGATAAAAGAGAAAAAAGTTAAATAAAAGAGGGTTAAATTCTTTGAAGATTCATAAATTAAACTTATTTTGATATCTGAGTATAAAATGGAGATATCCACTTCAAATAAACCATGACACAATTTAGGTAAATAAGGTGATTGATCTATATGTATCAATCTATCTGTAGTATAAAATATATGACATATATTTTAACCACAATCCAGTTTGTCCTTTAACATATTCAGACATTAACCCCTATATAAATTACAAAAAGATGTTTTTGGACTCCACAATGAGAAAAAAATTAGCAACCAGGCAAGCACAGTGGTGCGCGCCTGTAGTCCCAGCTATTTGGAAGGCTGAAGTCGGGGGAATGCTTGAGCCCAGGAGTTAGAGGCTATAGTTTGCTATGATCGCACCTGTGAGTAGCCATTGCACTCCAGGATAGGCAACATAGAGAGACCCTGTCTCAAAAAAAACAAAAAACAAAAAACAAAAAAAAGAACAAACTAAAATGACAGTCCTATATTCTATCCTTAAGTTAGCCATGAAAGGGGAAAACTGTATGTAAATGATGACGTTTTCTGAAAGTCTATTTAATTTAAAACATGAATGTAGTTTTAAGTATATCTTTAAAATTATTCAAATATAGCACAGCCTATCTAACAAAGCAGTAGGAATGAATGATAGGAGCTTTACTGGCCAGTGACATAGGTAAAGTAAACAATTGCAGCTAGACAGGCAGTAGGTATTTGAAAACCAAAATTCTTCCTGGGCAATAGGAATGTGGTATTACCAAGAGCTGCTTTTATATTTAAAGGTTTACCTGGACAATGAACTCAAAATATCTTGAGACATTTTATGAGGACTTAATCTAGGCAAAAGGGGAACAAATACCCAAGGTGCAAACTGGCAACTTAGGCATCATCATTAAAAAAAAAATCAAGCAACATATTATGAGCTGTCATTAACATAGTGATGACCCTTTCTGAGCAAAGGAGAGACCAATTCCCCCTTTGCTGTTCTGTGGGTTAAGCCTACTGTAACTGGGGGAAAGCATGAAAATCAGGGAAGATGGTCCCTTGGAAAAGAAAGAAGGTTGAGACTTCCACAGGCCTCAGTCCACCAAGCAGAGAGAGGCAGCTTCTGGGACTGTGTCTTCCAGACAATGTAACAAATTGTGACTCATCTTTATGATCAGGAGAAAGAGTAAGAAAAAAATGCTTATACTTCTTAGTGGCAAACAAAACAAAACAAAACTGCTGTACAATTGAAAATAAATACATTAGATTTTTCTAAGCATTTTAATTTATTCAAAATGAAATTGTTTTGTAAGAACAGTAACACATTTTGCTGATTTCTCCCCAAGTATCCTCCAGTAGTTAAAACAAAACAAAACAAAAAAAGGGCTGTGACTGGGTCAGGGCAGAACTGAACTTGCAGACTAATTCTTGCTCAGACAAATGGTACCGACAAGGATGTGGACTTGAATTTCTGAAAAGTTGCATAGCTTTCTGTTTAACTTTTCTGGGTGCCTGAGTCAATAAAACGTCTTTTTTTTTTCTTTTCATGATATTGTAATAGCTTTAGTTATATTTTCTTCTGTGCACTTTTCAACACCTGTCCACTGTAGAGGACTTTGTGTGTGTGTGTGTGTGTGTGTGTGTGTGAAAGAGTCCAAGGTAACACCCCCACCCCCACCAAGTAAGGGTTTCTTGGTGGGTGCCCTAAAGGGTCCTGCTGGGAGTGTACCTCTAAATGGCCACTTTAAAGACTATCAAACTAATGGAAGAATTGAAGAAGATCTGGATTAGGTTCTCATTCATCAGAGATGCTGTCATAACACCCAAAGAGCAACTTGTACTTCTCAATTACAGTCTGGGTAGCAGAATATTTAAAAAAGTAAAAATGTGGTAAAAATTCTACATCTCTAACTCTGATCACAGCAAACACCCCAGCAGGAATGCTATAGGAAAAAAAAACAACTTGTAAATCTTTTGCCCTGGACTTTGCCAATTAGATGACTTTTTCTCCATGTAAAACAATTATTTTCAAAACAAAAGTTCAACTACTTGAACTTGGGGGGAAACTGTGGGCTACTATTACTGATAACTTTATTCTGAACATGGATAAGGAACCAAACCTATGTGATTTCAGCATTTATGTGAGAAATGTGGGCCAGTATTAATGATCTGGCTCCTGTATTACAAAGCGGCTCTTTAGTAATTATTTACCATTTAATATATCTTGCATGAGATGATTATAAATTATACAAAGATATTTGTGCTTTTCTTTTACTCCCACAGATTTCTATACATATTTGGATGCATTCATGCTTCATGACAAAATCGATTTCTTTACTTACTGAAATATACTTGGTATCTGAATCTCAAATATTTTTAGGTTATGTATAAAATTTTACATATAATGTAGCAGTTCCAGAGGAAAGGATAAGAAAGATGTCCATTTGGCTAACAAACACATGAAATTTAATTTCAATAGAGACATACCTTTGGGTTGGTAAGGCTGGTTTTCCGCTTGACCTGGAGTCTGTGCCAAATCCTGTATGAGGAGAGAAAAGTGTTTTTCTATCAATGCTATGAACAGAGAATTTCACTAAGGGTGGCTTTAAATATACTTCTGATTCATGCAACCACTTTTGTATGAATATTTTGGGGCCCAAATATAAACGCTGAAGAAACTGATGTTACGTAGTGCAGGTTCTCATAAATAGTAATGACTTACATCTTGCTAAATTATCACCAGGGGACAACTTGCTGCCTACTTTGGAAATTACAACTTTTTATCTAATAAAACTAAAATTTAAGCCAAATTTACTATCTTAAAATATCAACAGGTGTTGATCATTTTTTTAAAAAGTACAAATATGAAAGCTCTATGTATTCTGCAGCTAAATCTTAAAGTCTGGTAATTTTGCATGTAGATGGAAAATGAAAAATGTAATATAAAATATGTAAATCTTCAGAAACCTAAGACAACCAGCTGCTATTTTAATATCATTTTCTAGTAACTCAGTTATAATGTAACACATAAGAGACCTTGAGGAACCACATTATAAACTAAAATCCTATCTATATTCATTCTCTTGAGCACAATTATTTATAGAAAAACACTTGATTTAACTCTACAAGTCTAATATGCTATCTGAAATAAACAATATAAGAAATTTTTTTTAGCATTTACAAAATTTATGTTACAGATTTTTTTTGTAAGACAAAGGTAGACTTAGTACTTTGTGATCAATATCAGATAAACACAAGAAATATATATAATCTTTAGATCCTGATATCATTTGTATCATTATAAGTCATTGTCTATGCAGTTGAAAACATAAGGAACTAAGCTGATACAGATGTGAAATTGGTTTCGCTCAAACATCACTGTCTCTTTGTTGAAGCCTCTCTGCCCACATCATAAAAACCTGCACATCATCTCCCTGAAGTCCCTAGCTCCTTTTCCTGCCTTACTTTTCTCCACAGCACTTATTGCCATAGCACTTAGCATAGTATCTGACATACTATTTGTTTTACTAATTTTTTTTTTGTCTTTTGCTTGACTCTTCTCCACTTTAATGAAAGATCTGTGAAGGCAGGAATTTTTATCTGTTTTATTTGTTGCTGTATTTGCAGTGCCCAGCACACCTTACACACTCAAAAATTACCTGTTCAATAAAAGAATGAATAATCTGAATTTAGAAAGAGCACACTCTTAAAATTATCCATAATGTATTTGTATTTTCTTTTTTTTTTTTTTTGATGGAGTCTCGCTCTGTCACTCAGCTTGAAGTTCAGTGGCATGATCTTGGCTCACTGCAACCTCTGCCTCCCAGGTTCAAGCTACTCTCCTGCCTCAGCCTCCCGAGTAGCTGGGATTACAGGTGCCCACAGAGACGGCGTTTTACTATGTTGGCCAGGCTGGTCGCAAACTCCTGACCTCAAGTGATCTGCTCACCCCGGCCTCCCAAAGTGCTGGGATTACAGATGTGAGCCACCACACCTGGTCCATAATGTATTTTCTATTTAATTTAATCCTAAGGCTCTAAAAATATATGAAGAATCCTAAGTGTTGATATGATGTTATATACTGTAAAATTTTCTTAAGATATTAACTATAAGACAGTTTTTGAAATCCATATTTGTAGATCTAAATATCTAATTTAACTTTTTTTCCAGAAAATAAAACGTAGATTCAAACAGAACAATTAAGCCGAAAACAAAACTTTTCTAACATAATTGATCTAGTTGCGTTTATTAATTATCTAATACAGGATAGTTTGGAAAACATAAACTTTGAAATGTTGTCTAAGATGAAGAGGGCTCGGGGAACTCCTTAGCTATCCTCTAGTTCCCAGCCAGCTGGGTACTATCATATCCTTTTGACAGAGATAGATGTATATTCACCAGAATATGGAAGAATACTAATACAGAACTCTGCTTTCTGTTTCATTATTCTGAAGACCAGAAAGTACTGTCTACTCATCACATGTGTGTCATGGAGCAAAAACACATCTTATGGTGGAACATGTGAAAGAAATGGGAGATTTTCAGCAAATAATGCTCTATAATGACAAAAAGAAATTCACAGGATGAGTTAGTTAGTAGCAAATGTTAAAGCATAGTCAACTTGGTTTTTCAGCTGACTAAGTTAATTTAGATGTGGAAATAGTACTTTGCTATGGCACTAATTCTGATTCTAGCCCTACAGAATTTAAAATATAAGGCTGTACTTAAAAGTTGTTTTACATTAAAAAAATCAATATAACAGGTTTTTATTTTATACATATAAGAAAATCATATTTATTTAAAAATGTACAAATAAACTAATTTTAATTCATCTTTCTTCAGTAATTATCTATTTCCTATAGTTAGAATAAAAGCAAGATAAATACAATAGTTAAAGCCTTAAAGAAGTCTGGCAGTCTTTTAAAAACATTTCCTGAGTACGGGTTACCATTTCATTAACTAGAAAAGTATCCTTTCTTTGAAATCCTCCAAGTAGAAATTATACAACACCCAATCGCAGTTCCAGTAATATTTCAG
Source organism: Homo sapiens (assembly GCF_000001405.40). NCBI lineage: Eukaryota > Metazoa > Chordata > Mammalia > Primates > Hominidae > Homo > Homo sapiens. The sequence goes on from NC_000015.10 coordinate 76,353,787, forward strand.
AAACTATGCTGATATTTTAGAAATCAATTTTGGAGCACATAAATATGTGAAGATTTTAAAAGGTAGTATGGAAGGCAAAAATAAACAGCTGGCTTACTTTTACATTTCTGTCGCATTAGTTTACACACAAAGCTAGACAATTACGTATAATGTAGAAGGTACCTGAATGAAAGTGGCCAGTAAAACACAGCTCATCTCTTGCTCCAGAATGATCTTGTTCTGATGGTTGTTGTAACAAGCAGCGATAAGTGAAGGGAACAGTACTTTGATCAGCCGTGGGTCACTGAAATACTGGAAGGGCAACTGGCAGAGCTTCTGCAGCACTGTGGGGTGGCGGCCGGACTGCACGATCACCTGAAATGGAAGAGCAGCCCAGGTCAGCTGCCGAAACGCCCCAGCCTGTCCCTCACCCACCTGCACAGTGTCGGCTAGTACCATGGAAAACATGCTGAAGGAGTGTAAAGAAAAAGACTCCTGACTCCGTACCAGAGCTTAATTTAAGTGATACTTGAAAAGAGCAGAAAAAAAAAATCTCATTTCCCAACTTAAGGAAAAGATCCTGAAAGTTTTGCACTCATTTAAAAGTTATTATAATCCACGATTAAAGGTGTAGCTGCCACGGAGTAAGGACGCCTATGAAATGGATTCAGAATGCACATTGCTTTAACAAAGTGCTCCCCACACCCCCTTAAAGCAGAGTAGTCATATTCCTTAAAACCTGCAAAGAGTTCACTCACAAGAAAGTAAGGCCCTGCCCACTGCAGTCTTCCCTTAGCTTAGCTCACTGAATACACTCAATGCAGACAGATCTATTCTGTATGCAGGCAGGTCCAAGAAAGAAAAGGTAATTCTAAGGAAAATGGGAACAGTTTCAAAAAAAGTTATAGGCTCCAAAAGACCTTTCCTCCAATCTATACTTCTTATCTTTGTTTCCATCAGTGCCACTGAGTCTAAAAGGAGAACTGTTTAGATAAATGAGACTGTTGTCTTGAAGCAGTCTTAAGTTTACAACTGTGTACATTTAAAGAAATAGGGCAATGCAACGAATGGGCTTGCAGGGAAGCCCTCTTAATTTACTCCCTAGGCCTCCATGATAAACTAAGAAATGTCAAAATTAGATCTGTTTCAAGTAACCTTGATTAGACAGTTCTAATATGAAAGAGCTGGGTGACCCAAAGCCCACTTCGTGGTATAGGAGGAAGCTCCTAGATGGTTGGGAACACTGTAAACCTAAGGTCAGAACTGTAAATTGTACTTGGAAAAACACAATTTTACAGGTACACACCCAGACAGGACTACATTCAAATTAAAACCAGAAGGAAAGAATGAAACAGCAGAGGCAGGAGTAACATAAATTACAGGGATTTACAAGTTTTCAAAGTACTTTTAACAATACTTTAAGAACACACTCTCAGATGATAATGCAGTTTAGTTTAAGAACAAAATCAACAAAGTAATAGTTCACATATTTTCGTTCAATAGCTAAAATGACATCAAAAGCCTTTAGAGACTGTTGATAGGGACTTGTTAATACCTTCAAATCCAGAAGGAATTTTAAAGACTTGCACTGTGTGACAATTCAGCACATGGCTATGTGCTGCCATTTCTGACTCTGGCTGAGAAGAATATGCCCTATCATTTACTTTATTGATAAAGGCATTTACTTAAATCTTTATTTTAACTATTAGCTGCAAATTTTGTAACACAGCCAAATGTTCCCCACATTAGAATTTATGATGATATGATTATTAGAAGTCTTCTTTTTTTTTTTCCCCTCCTTGGACAAAAATTAAGAACAAGTTTTTTCTTTAGATCTTCATTGTTAAAACGCTATTATTGGAAGATTTGCTAATTGAAAAATATTACACTGGCCAGCCTGGCTGGTGCAGGTACAATGTTAAAGACAACTCCTGGTGCCTGGCATATCAGCACAGAACATGAAGAGCTTAACTGGAACTTACTCCATTTGGGCTCCTGAACCTCACTGGAGTGAGGCAGAGCCCCTTAGGGACCTGTTGGTTCCCTCAAGGAACAGAGCTAGTTATCAGCTGCCGTTTACAGAGCGAGTTTACAGAGATGACCAGCAGTGTAGTGAGATGACTTGCCAGAAGCCATTACTTTTAAATCCCTGGATTGCAGAAGATGCAAATGGATGTAGGCAGTTTGGTTACCATTGGAGTTCTAAGGAGCTTTACCCATTGGACCACGTATGACAGGACTTAACCAGGCTACAGGTAAGGAGTCTACTACGACTGATGAGAACCCCCAACCCTACCACCCCATGGCTTGGTTATGAGCCAGAATGGGACATCTAGTCTATGCTGTCTTTCCAACCACATTTTAGACATTGTGGAGACAGGATCAGGAGGTTCAGGAAGGGGCCAGCCCACAGCACTAACACTCAGTGGGCTAATTCAGGTGGGCTTGTGGCATAGAGGGTGGCAGTCTGATGTCATGAGCACAGATGAACCGTCAGCTGAATTGGACTAAGCACTACCCTTTGGGGCAGGGGGCAGGGCTGGAAATGCAAACAGCCTGACCTTAATGATCAGGGTTTTGAGTAGGGTTGTCTTGAGAGGGTTGTCTGAGGGGCTTTTTGAAAGATGTGGAGATGAGAGTAGGGCTCAGTTTTATTTCATCCCACCATTCACTCTTAGGCCTTAGGTGGTAAAATGTCACTTGGACTGCTTGAGCTTTCCAAAGTCAGTGGAGTCATCATGGAATATGAGAGTCTTGCTCAATGAACAAAATACGCATAATTAAGAGACATCTCAGATTTACACTATGGTGTTCTCTCCATTTGCCTTACTGATGGAGCTCTTACTAAGTCAATAACTGTTGGTCTGTCACCTTTGTCCAGACAAAGGGCTGCCCATAAGTCCTAAGGCAGGCACCACTGTGAGCCTGGCCAGCCACCTGCCTCATCTTTCAGAGTGCACAAGGCCAACACAAACATAAAGGGGCTTCCCACAGAGCTTCCTTCCAGAGCACTGCACCAACGGCAGGGAATGGACTACCTGTAGATTTCTTTGGTGGCCACACTCATCAGCCAGAGAGAGCAAGTAGGGAGCATGCATGGCCTCAATAGTAATCAGAAGCAGTCTTTCAAATATGATGCCCACCTTCAGACGCAGAGTAGGGCTCTGAGGAAATCAACGGAATTTCCAACAACATTCAGATCAAAAGACATTGAAATGGAACCTTGTTCCTGGATGTGATTCTTAAATAGGTGCTAACTAAAGAGCTAGGAGATCTGGGTTCTTGTATTTATTTACCAACTGGCTTTGTGACCCTAGGCAAATTGCTCCATTGCTCTGGGTTTTAAGGTGGTGAATTTAAAAAGAAGTAACCTTTTTATTGACATCACACACACACACACACACACACACACACACACACACACCCCTATGGCCACTCACCTACCTCGCTTAGGTGAATAAGCTGAATTTTCACAAAGTGTATACACCGGTGTCACCAAGTACCCAATTAAGAATGAGAAGATGACCCAAAATGCTGGATCTTTAAATATATTCTTTTTGACATACAAATGGCCAACAAGCATATGAAAAAATGCTCAACATCACTAATCATCAGATGAATGCAAATTAAAACCACAATGAGATACCATCTTACACCAATCAGAATGGCTATTATTAAAAAGTCAAAGAATAACAGATGTTGGCGAGGATACAGAGAAAAGAGAACGCTTATACGCTGTTGGTGGGAATGTAAATTAGTACAACTTCTATGGAAAACAGTATGGAGGTTTCTCAACCGAAAATAGAACTACCAACTGGGTATCTACCCAAAGGAAAATAAATCACCATATAAAAAGGATACTCACACGTGTATGTTTATGACAGCACTATTCACAATAGCAAAGAGATGGACTAACCTAAATGTCCATCAACAGATGACTGCATAAAGAAAGTGAGGTATGTATGGGCATATATAAATACACCATAAAATACTACTCAGCCATAAAAAAAATGAAATCATGTCTTTTGCAGCAACATGGATGGATCTGGAGGCCATTATCTTAAGTGAAATATTCAGAAAGTCAAATACCACATGTTTTTGCCTATAAGTGGGAGCTAAATACTGTGTACACATGAACATAGAGAGTGAAAGAACAGAAATGGGAGGGAAAGGTGGGAAAGTGGGAGAGGAGTGAGGAATGAGAAATTACCTGATGGGTACAACGTATACTATTCAGGTGACTGTTACACTAAAAGCCCAGACTTCATCACTATTCAATATGTCCATGTAACAGAAATACACTTGTACCCCCTAGTTTATTTTTAAAAAAGATGGGAGACACACATAAAAATAAATCAGTAAATAAATATAATCTTTCTCACTGAAAATTACATTCCTACATTTTGAATTTGGGACAAATCAGATGGAAACTCTTTGACTAAACAGAACACAAGAGAGAGTACTTCAAGGCTTCCTTGGAGCTATTCCTGATCATTCTCTGGAGACAAGACCGTAGGTGCATAGCTCCCCTTTTGGTCTTCAAAGCAGAGGCTAGTGGACACCTGGAAACCGTAGGTGAATTTTCAGTGGAGGGAAGAAGTTTATAGATTCAATACAAAACTATCTTAGTTGGCTTGGGCTGCCATAACAATATACCATAGACTGGGCCACTTAAACAACAGAAACTTATTTTCCACAGTTCTGGAGGCTGCAAGTCTGGTATCAGGGAACCAGCATGGTGGGGCTGGTGAGGGCCTTCCTTGTTGGCAGACAGCTGCCTTCTTGCTATGTGCTCACATGGTCTCTCCTTGGTGAGGGCATTTAGAGAGCGAGATCTCTCCTTTCCTTTTATAAGGCCATCAGTCCTACTGGATTAGGGCACTGCCCTTACAACCTCATTTAATTACCTCCTAAAAGCCCTGTCTCGAAATACAACTACATTGCAGGTTAGGGCTTTAACATATGAATTCTGGGAAAAGAGTTCAGTCCATAGCACAATCCTCATCATTTCTCATCAACCTCAGCCGGAATTATGTTCCATTAGAAAGGCTACCATCTCTAACCAGGTGCACTTCAGAGTCAGTTGAGTGGCTTTCCCTGGGCCAACTGTCTGTCAGTGGCCATAAACCATGAAGCTACAGCTCAAGAGTGCTGGTGTTAGGCAGCCCTGGGCTCTAGGTCTGGCTCTGCCCCCTGATCTGCTATAGTCACTTAACTAATTTGAGCCTTAGAGTCTTTATAAAATGAGGGTAGATGGTAGCCTTCAGGATTTAGATGAGGATCCAATGAGATAGTGTCTGTGACCATAAAGTACAGAACAATGTTAGTTATGAGTGTTTGGTTAGCTGACCAGTTCTGCTGCTCTGAGTCTTCTCCCGCTAGACCTGAAGCCCCCTCCCAGTGTGAGGCTTCCTAAATGCTTTCCATCATCTTGCCCCCCTCCCCATCACCCCAGCCCCATCTCTCCATAAGGACTACTCTTCAGAGCACAGGGTCTGGCAGAGGCAGGCCCCACTGTCTTGCTGGGACTCATCAGCAAGTTTCGTGCCACGTAGGAAGCCATTGCTGAGGTCTCTCCCTGGCCCTGCCTGCACGAGAGAGCTGTGCAAACAGTGATGGGGCTGCCAGCCAGGATCTTGCAGTGGCAGAGTAGGAAATGTATTCTGACAGCTCTGAAAAGAAAATCCAGGAAAAGCATGATCCAAGAAATACAGGTAAGTGGTACAAAGAAACAGTGGCTTAACTTACTGTGCATGTGTGTGTTTTGAAGCTATTGTGTTAGGCTTGTCAACCTGAAAACAGAGCAGGAAGAGCAAAAGCTAATAGGCTGGTGTTGTGGGCTCCTGATTGAGAGCAAGGATGAGCTTCCCTTGAAGCACTTAAGGAAATCCTTAAGCCCAGGAAGTCTTCCCAGGCAGAACAGCCAAAGGCAGCCTTTCTTGTTCAACCCAAAGACATGGCAGCAACTATCACATAACTAAGTATATGTAGCTGAATCCCAAGTTACAGAAGGGCAGGAACTATGTTTTTGGTATTGAATCCTCCATTGCTCTGCTGGGGGCTAGGCACTGAAGGAGGGCCTCAAAGTTACTGGAATGAATGAAATAAAGTGACAGGGGGCCCCTAGTTAACAAACTAATTGGTGCCTTGACTTGGGGTAGAATCATACCACATCTTGTCTCATGAAATACAGATGGCAGATTTTGGATTGAAGGCTTCAATGGTGTCTACATCACCTTAGGTCTGCACATTAAGTCCTTGAAGAATAGATTTTGTGATAAGCTGTCTCTTACCCTAGAAGGAAATTAGGATTACAATCCTCAGGATCCTGGGCACCAACTCAGGGATCCCTGGTCTGGTTATAAGAGTTCTGGAAAAGCCTCCTCCTTTTGCAGGTATGGGCAAAACTGGTGTTTCACTTGGTATGAAGGAATTCAAGGCCTTCTAGGACAATGCTTTGCCAAAACCTCAGTTAACACAGCAGAAAACCTGTTACTGGCAGAGATGGTACTCAGTAGGCTATAAAGCCCCTCTACCTACATTATCCAAGTCTCTAAACTCTGAAATGGGCAGACAGGGATGACTATACTCTTACAATGGGGAAACTAATGCTCAGAAAGTTCAAGAGAGCTTGTCCTGGGTCCTCCAGCTCGTCATTGGTAGAGCTGGGCTTAGCAATCTCTTATTATTCCAAATGCTAGATTCTTCCTCACCTCAAAGGCCCATCTACGGTCACTGGACTCATGAGCCCATTCCTTCCTGGGCAGAAGGGCTGTCTGTCACTAGGCCTGAACTCACTTCCATGACTGGCTGCCAGCCAGCTTCTTGCATGGCTCTGCCAGCCCGGATGAAGATGAGGATGACATACTGCCATTCAAATAAACAAACCAACTGACATAGATTAAACTAACACAAAAGACTTTTTTTCAAAAACCTATACTCTTCTTGGCTTGGTATCAAATAACCAGTTCTTGGTTATGTGCTGGCTGTGCCAAGGGTTTGTCTCAAATTATCAGATGTAAGAACTTGAAAGAGAGGAAGGGTTGGTGATGGGACTAGATTCTCAGGAGTGAACTGTTGGAACACATGACTCTAAATTAGTACTGTCTTAGGATGGCCATTTATTTGGATGCCTTCTGGAGCAGCCTTGACAGGTTTTGAGTGCCTTGCAAAACTGGTCTTATATTTTTGAAAGAAATGCTATTATGTCAAATATATTTGTAATATTAATACTTGGTGTTACCCAAAATTTAAATTAAAAAAAAAAAAAAAGGAAAGTGGAGGTGGGATAGTGAGTGATCACGAATCTGGATTAAAAATGCAAATTCTCCTGGAGAGAGTTTGCAGATTTCACATTTGTAAAATGACAACTGTCAAATTCACTCCATAAAATTCCAAGGAGTGGCTAGGAGGGCCCATGGAGAGTCTATCACGTTGTATAAATGTAAAACAGCCTGATTCCCTCACCCAGAGGGACCTTTCCTCCAACTGTGACCACATGGAATTCAGTCAAGAACGTGAAAAGAAGCAAGCGGGCCTTTCAGCAGAGAGATGAGTCCATTCATCAAATATTTGCTGAGCATCTACTCTAGCCAAGCATGGTGTTAGGCACTGGGAATGGAATACTGAACAAATCAGAGACATTCTTGCCTTCACCGAGTGCCCAGTTTTTCCACAAAATCCACACCAGTTACTTACAAGAAAGTCTTCCAAGCTCCAACTCAATCTACCAAGTCACATTTCAGAAGCAAGTCTAATAAAAGTGGGCTTTCTGGCCTAGAGTAGACTGAAATCAGCAATTAGAAAAGACACTGCTGGTTTAAATAAATTGACAAGAGGAAGAAGCACCAGCTGACATTAGTAAGTGAAGGCGTGAGAATTAAAATTATTTTAAGCAGACATGAGAATTCAAAAAGTTGCCTAGAATCATTTGGTGTAAAAGTATCTCAACCCTTTTCAGTTGGTCTTGAGAGAGCATTACTGTATTGTAGTAAAATATCTTATTAATTATAACCAATTATCCTTACTTAGTATGCTACACTTTAAAAATCTGCTTCCACATACCTAATAATAGTAATGTGCCTTAACATCGTAGTAGGAACTCATTTCTGAAGGCATCAAAAAATACATAATACATTCAGCATAACTGGTTTAAGATGGAAGGAGACATCATAATATTGTAAAAGGGACTGGAAAGTTAATGTTAAACACATTTTTTTTTTTTTTAGAGGGAGTTTCACTGTTTTTGCCCAGGCTGGAGTGCAATGTGCAATCTCTGCTCACTGCAACATCCACCTCCCGGGTTCAAGCGATTCTCCTGCTTCAGCCTCTCGAGTAGCTGGGATTACAGGCACCCACCACCATACCCAGCTAATTTTTGTATTTTTAGTAGAGACGGGGTTTCACCATGTTGGCCAGGCTGGTCTCGAACTCCTGATCTCAGGTGATCCACCCGCCTCGGCCTCCCAAAGTGCTGAGATTACAAGCATGGGCCACCGCGCTCAGCCCACATATTGTTTTTTAAAGGTAAATTTGGTCATCTGAAAAATTCACTTATATGGGAATAGTTTATTCCCTGACCATACCAAACCATGACACTAAATAATAAAAATAAAGTAGAAAAAGGTCTGTAGTAGTTTCTTGCTCCCTCTTTTTTTTTTTTTTCAAGATGGAGTCTTGCTCTGTCGCCCAGGCTGGAGTGCAGTGGTGCCATCTTGGCTCACTGCAACCTCTGCCTGCTGGGTTCAAGCAATTCTCCTGCCTCAGCCTCCCGAGCAGCTGGGATTACAGGCAGGTGCCACCATGCCCGGCTAATTTTTTTATCCTTAGTAGAGATGGGGTTTCACCATGTTGGCCAGGCTGGTCTTGAACTCTTGACCTTGTGATCTACTCACCTCGGCCTCCCAAAGTGCTGGGATTACAGGTGTAAGCCACTGCGCTCAGCCCTTGCTCTCTCTCTTTCTCTCTCTTATATAATCTACATACATAATAGATAAACCCAGGATGTCCTATAGTAAAATTCCCAGCTCTTTAGAACTCACTTATATTCAAGGAAACAGAACAGAAAATGGTCAAGTTCTCTTTTACCTACTTACACTCTGCCTCTTCTGATTTTGCTAAGACCTAAGAGTGATCCTGCATTTTCTCCTTATTTAGGAGAACTCCATCAGTGGTTTTAGAAAGCTCTCCATATTGTGTTATTTTTATTAGTTGTTTTTTACCCCAGAAGGCCGTCTGGCAAGTTTCTAAACACTTATGTCACTGGGACCCCAGCACTGTGCCTGCCACAGACCAGAAGACAGAACCACATACGGCCCTGCTCCAGATACCAGAGCAGTTGTTTAGGCAAAGACAGACTGCTATGAATCCCCAGTTTCAACAGTCTCAAGGCTGTCTGCTCTGTAAGGATAATGGTTAAGCCCCCTATATTCACTGCTGTATTCCTAGTATTTGGCATAGTGTCTAACACAGTGCCTGGAAAACAACAGGTGTTCATTAACTATCTGGGGAATGAATGACTGAGGACCAAATCCTTACTCCAGGGAGCCTGTACCTACCACACCAGAGCTCTGGGCCTACCCATCCCGGGCCTTCAAGGACTCAGATAACACCATCTTTCTATGTGTGAGAACAGTTAGCTGAGTATTTTGGCCAGCACCCTAACTGGTCCAACAGCCTCTTGGCACAGTGCCACAGAGAGGAGGGGTAGGGTAGGGCAGAAGCAGCTTCTTTCTGCTGGCTTTGTAAGCACCTGTCAAAACCTAAGGCCAAATCGGTTCCATTGGTTGGTGTGGTAGGGTGAGTGGTACATGGAGTCAGAAATGTAAATAGTTAAATTTCACCAGGGCAAATTCTTTATGCCTAAGAATTCTTGTTTTACTTTTTCCCTTGTCAGAGACAAGGTGTCCTTAACAGGGGCAAAAATAGGTGTCTAGACATCTAAATTCATTAAAAAAGACAGCAGAGAGAGTTTGTAAATCATTGGAACAAAGAATATTTTTCTAGCAGAGCAGAAATAAAGTAGTTCCTGCATTCCTCTCCACAAAACTGGTCCTGCTACAATGCTATAGTAAAAAGGCAGCAGCTGCGGTGGCCAGGCGAGGCCAGTGCAAGAGCCAAGCATCTCTGTCCACATTGCTCTTACCAAGTTTGTCACACCTGAAGACCAGGCCTAGGAGCAATATGACAAGAGGGTCCTTGAGGCCAATGACCTCTATGTGTCATAAAGAATATGGCATGCCCCAAACACACACACCTTGCTTAATCTGATACCTTGGGGTTAGGGTAGGGAGGGTACAGAAGTGGCTTTATTTTAATATCACAGGAGAAAAGTTTAAAGAGTCTATGCATATACATGATCAAGTCAAAATCAGTGCAGAGAAACACAAAGAGTCCTTTGGCTAGCACCGCAAACAAATTCCTGTCCTCCCAGATCTGCTTCTTCCATTAGATGATTTCCAAACTGAGATTAAGTACAGCAGCCTTGGCAGACCATGTGGGAAGTAGGCCCTTTAAGCACTAGCCTTCTTCCCGGTGGTCCCAGGGATCCACTGCTCTCTAGCACCAGCAAAGTGTCAAGGACGAGGAGGGATGAGAGAGAAGGAAGAAGGGAAAGAGGAAAGAAAGTAGCCAGGATCACCAGAAGAAGCTAAAAAGCCAGTAGTTGGGGGCTTGCCTTTTATAGGCTTTGGAAATAAGGTGATGCTAAAGAAACAAGGGCTTTTCTCATGTAGTGAGGGGTGAATGGCTGTTTTGCTGTGTCCCTCCAGGGAAACTGAGTGAGATGGCCCCTGACCAGCTGCTGTCTGCTTCCTATGGGAAAAGGCTGTGTGCTTGGTACCAGTAGCAGAGGAATGCAAAAAAGGCTTTTCCCCTCCTCAAACATCATTCTATTCCTGCAGGGGAGAATAATGCTTCAGAACCAGGGATGCTTGTTTACAGCCCTGGGGCTTCAGTGTGGAAGTCTGATGCTCACCTACCATTCTCCATATCCGGGACTTTGGAACATAGTCTGAGCGTGTCATTCTCCTGCTTGTAACACTTAGGGGCTCCTCATCTCTGAGGGGATCAATCCTCAAGTTCTTGGGTCCCTCCTGACCTGGACCCTGCCTGCCTCTTTAGTCTTAGCTCTTGTTTCTCCTACATCCTGAGCTCCAGTTAGAATAAACAGCTTGCAGTCCCCTGAACCTGCCAGGCCATTTTACATCTCAAACCTCTGGCATAGATCCAGGTTTGTTAATTATTTCCCCCAGCCCCGAGAATGTCAGCAACTTGAGGGCAGGGACTTTGTCTGTTTTGCTTCCCACTGTATCCTGGATGTCTGGAACAGTGCCTGGCACACTGCAGGCACTCAATAAATGTCTGCTGAAGGAAGGAATGAGTCTCAGCACTGAAGGCACTGCCCCTGGCTGTGGATGTCACAAGGACAAGGATTGGGTTGTGTTCATTTCTGCATCTCCTAGCACATGGTTTGACACAGTGTGGGCATTTTGTAAAAGCTGATAAATGAGAGAAGGAATGAGTGATGAATGTTCATAGGGATGAAAAGCTAACAATACTGGCATTTCTCCAAGAATGAGTTACCTTCCAGTCTTCTGTGTTAGGGCCTCTTTTTCCTTCTTTCATGTTGTCTATTCTGTGAGAAGAGTTACTTTTTAAATGAAGCATATTTTAAATTCTGTTCAAACACAGCACAAGAAAATTGGGCTAGATTTTCTCAAAGACTTGGCTAAGCTAAAAGTCATGGGCTCTACAGCTAATCAGGGACAATGGCAGCAAGTGCTGCTTCCATTTTAATTTACATTTGAGAAAGAACCCTATCTATAGAACACTGACCTTGTAAATTATACAGACTCACCATATCATCGTAAATTTGAGAAACTACTTTATTTTGGATTTTTTTTGAATATTTGCATTATCTGTGTCTCTTTTACCATTGGGGCTGGGGATGGGAGGAAGGCTGGTCACAGAAAGCCCTGGATAATATATCAGGAGGCCTGGTTCCAGTGACGTGGAGTAAGTCCTTCTCCTCTCTGGAAATGAGGGGAGTTTGAATAGATGATCTCTGAAGGCCTGTGAACCTGCAGACATAATATAATCCTGTGCTATGGCAATCGTGCACTTATGCATCCTATGCTGCCCATACCTGCATAGGTACGACATTTAAACATGGTAAAAAGAGAAGGCGCTTATAATATTTTTTTCTTACAAAGGAAAAAAGTCATCACATAAAATATGCCACCCCCAAATTCTCAATGAGTACCTATCCTGATTTTCTAATCTAGCTTATTTAAGAAAAGAGAACTGATTACTTACACACTTACACACACACACACACACACACACACACACACACACTACTGGAAAGATTATGTCCATTATAGACTAACGGGATATGTGCATGGAGGCACAGGGAGGTGGGCAGATGAATGGACAGCATTTAATAATGCCTTAAAATTCAAAGGTTCTAAGTAGGGTCTGGAACTTTCCTGTGAGAACTGAGGACAAACTTTCCTTACTATGGAGCTTTTGGGTGTTATGAGAACAGGAGGGTTAATAAATGCAGTGCATGGGCTGATAGGTTTTCTGGTCATAACCTAATAGCTGCCAGACAGCATGGATACATTCCACGGAACATTTATGGGCTCTCCAGCACTAGTCTATGACAATTTTATTTAATCATAAAAATATAATAGTCATCAAATCTTTTTGGAGTTTCCAGTTTACTGCTTTCTCAAGTGAAATAAATGGTCTCTCGGATTTCTTCTGCTTTCATCTCTCTGCTCTAAGTATAGTAGGATAAGGTTCCAATTAAGGCCCATTAAATGTTCACATTGATTCATTGAGCCATTCTCCAGTTTCTTTTCCTAACACAATCTCAATGCACCTCTGAGTTGTCTCTGTGGTGTGTTTTGTTTAGCAGTTGCCCATACATAAAATAATTATTTGGGTGTGAGTTCTCCTTCCCTCCCACTTCTATAGCCCAAGGTGGTGAGTGGAGATTCTCCTTCACTGCCTTCCAGACAAGAATAGGTTTATCACCTGTCAGGTGTGTCCAGGTGAACCAGGCATGCCCCTTTGGGAAGGGAAGCTGGCAGCTGACCAGAACCAGACTGATACTCCAAAGTCCCCTTGGCAGCTGTGTCAAAACAGTGTTTTGAGTGGCAGCCCTGAGACTCTGAGGTGGGAGGATCCTCTGTACTTCTACATGTTTTGGTCCACAGAGGAACCCTGTAGGCAGACGCTTCTCACAGGTTCTCCACAGATGGGGAACCATGTTCTGACAGCTGGTCTGGCCATGACTTCCCAATTCATCTTATAATTATCTATTCTTCCTCTATCAGAGCTGAAAGGCTTCTTCAGAGCACCCAGGCTAACTCTTTATACAGACAGGAAACTAAAGCTCAGAGAAGGGCAGTGACTTACCCAGTGTCAAACAGCTGTAAAGCTGTAAAAGGATCCAGCAGTCCTGACTGCTGTACCAATATTTGTTCCATTGTGATGGGCTTTCTGTAACTGATGAGGGTCTTATATAAAATCTCCTATCTCAGGAGAGGTGTTCCCTGTGATTACAGCCTAAGCCTTTATACAGTCTTATCTCAGAGTGATTTTTATTACAAACACCCCCTCCATGGCTGAAGACCAAGGCAAGTCCAGAAAAACTGGTCATGAATTAAACTTTGATAAAAGATTCCTTCTGGCCTCATTTTCTTGTGTTGATTTGATACCCCAATAGAAGATTTTCAAGTGAGCAAAGGATAACTGAGGTTCGTGCACACTCCTGACCTGGCAGCAGCCCCTCAGGCTGGCTGCTGCCTACCTCAGTTGACGTCCTGGCAACACAGCCACTCAGGCAAGCCAGGAGTTCCTTCTGACCTCTCAGAGGTTTGTGGAGTAAAAAATGTATCTAGTGTGAGCATGCGGCACTTTGAACTACCCTTGTGTGGAAAAATTCACTAAAACAATGAAGAAAATAAAAGGTATCTTTTATTTGGATTCTGTGAAGTTGGTAACTTTTAATGCAATTGGCCAAAATTGCTAACTGGCAAATTTCTCCGTTCTTATGTCAGCCAGTTCACTCATCAGAAGTCTCAAAATAAATATTTAGGTATAAATCATTTTTAATTAAGAATTTTTGCTCTACTTTTGGAAAAAAAAACCCACATTTTTTTCTTTGGTGCTATAATATTGAGAGTAACTTGGTTCCAAAATGGTTGCACTGCTGAAACTCAGGCTCTTCCTTAGACATGATGTATTTCTATTTTATGAAAGGAACGTATCTGTCACACAAAGAAAGGAAATACAGAAAGCTGAATGCTTGTGTGACAGCTAAAGAATAAGCTGCCAACTCTGGGAGAACAGAAAGTCCTTGAGTGCTGGAGTTTCCACTCTGAGCCCACCACCGCAGCCTCCATTCACGAACTGGGATGGGGCTAAGGGAGTTTACCAAGTGGGTGTGACCTAGGACTGACCATCTGCCTTTGAGGCAAAGAGTGAAGTAAAAATGTTTGAGCAGGAATTAAGCCAACTCTAAAAGTTCTAAATGCTGGAATGGGATTCTGGAAAACTGCCACTCTTAACACACAATGACTCTAGGAAACCACTCCTTATTTCTGTGCGTGGGGAAACACCCGAGGTGAGTACAACAGATTCATTTTCGGAATTTGTAGTCAAATTAACGTTTGGCGTTTCTCACTAAGTCACTGAGTTACAAGAGAGCTGGAAAATGCATGGCATGCAGCTCAGGCAGAACCAAGTTTCACGAGCTTCGCTGTCCAACTTACTTGCCTGTTCTGATCCGCCCAGAAGCTTTCAGGAGCCTTTGACAGGGCGTGGTGCAGAGCAGACAGTTACATGATCAGCATGGACTTCACTAGAGAGAGCTCAATGGGGGCAAAGGGGTTAAGGGGATCCTTCCTTTCAGGGATCACAAGAAACTCCAACTCTGATAGCTGCAATCTATGGGGCCTTTCCAAATGAAAAAGCCAGTTGCTAAACAAAATGAGTACGCAAAGGTGCATATTCCCAATATAGTAATATGCAGGCAGTCAAATCATCAGTCATTTGAGTTAATTTAATTATCAGACCACATTTAATTATCTAATACAAAATGTAAATAAAGTGAGGGGTTGACAGCACATACTAATTATGTTCATTATAATAATTAAATGGGAAGGAATTTAGAAAGAGTCAAGAAAATGCCATAAAATACAGGGAATCTTTTGATTAAAACAACATTTTAATTAGAAACTGCAACCCTATAGGAAACAGAAGATTCATTCCATCAAGGATGGGACGTCACTTTTATTATCCAGGTTTCTCTTCTCAAGTCATCCTTGGTATCAAGGGGCTCAGTCTTTCCAGTTAATAGACTAAATGGTGGCAAATAAAAAGTGCCAATCCTTTATGCAAAGCAGTTACCTAATCAAACAGTAGGCTGCAGCAGGCTTTCAGGATGCCCTGTCTTATAAAGACACAAGCTGCTTTCCCAGTAGGAAATCTATGATGCCCTGTGGACAAATTGGTTCTGTAAATTAACATGACTTCTGACTAATGATAAGGAAATATTAAATGAATTGAGCATCTAATTTCTCCTGTGAATTTCCTCTGATTTACAGAAAGTGGCAACAGGCGAAACAGATTCACTTCTTAAGTATAGAAGTGAGGTGGAAACTCACTGAACTGCCAGTGGTGAGGCTGGGCTCTGCCAATTCTCGCTTGACAATTCCTTTTCCTTCTCTGAGCCTCAGTTCCTCCACCTACAATATGAGGGAGATGGACTAGATATCTCCCAGAGCCCTTCTAGGATGAAGGTGCCATGAATCTATGACTGAAGAAGCTAAGGCCAGTGCTGAAAACTAAACTTACCACACCCTCTTAGCAAATGCTCGCTTAGCAAATTACTGGATTTCGTGGGGGCAGTAGAAAGGGAATTTAATAGAACTAGTTTTAAAAGTGAAATCAAACTAACAATTAACTTTTCAGTTATAGAAAACTTCCCAACTCTATTGGGATATGAGCAGTTATCACCTCAGCAAGCTGTGGCTATTCCTATACCCTGCCCTTGCCCCGCAGCCTGACTGGCATGGAGTACAGCCATGAGCTGGGGAGCACAGCCTTTAGTGCATGTAAATCAACTGTGGCTGAAGATGGCATCACAGAGCAAGGTACATGACATCTCACCTGTAAGAAGTCTGCTTATAAGTGTCCGTCATTGGGCTCCCTCTACTAATAGTGAGGAGCCAAAGTATACTGAGTTTTTAATGATAAGTTGCCACACAGTAGGCAGGCAGCTCATTAAGCTGTCTGCTGCAGGTGGAATCTGGAGTAGGGTAAGGAAGGTATGGAAAACCACAAAATAGCTTGGAGTCCCCATGAGATCAAAATGCTGCTCTGTGGTTCTAGTTTCAGCCTTTAAAATGTCACAGACTCATGGAACTCACAGGGGAGGTCATCTAGTATAATCCACTTCTTTTTTGTTTACTTCATTGTGTAAAATATGTATAACATATAATTTACCATTTCAATTTTTTTTTTTTTTTTTTTTTTTTTGTTTTAAAGACAGAGTCTTCCTCTGTCGCCCAGGCTGGAGTGCAGTGGCATGATCTCGGCTCACTGCAACCTCTGCCTCCCGGGTTCAAGCGATTCTCCTGCCTCAGCCTCCCAAGTAGCTGGGACTACAGGCATGCACTACAGCACCTGACTGATTTTTGTATTTTTAGTAGAGATGGGGTTTTGCCATGTTGGTCAGGCTGATCTCAAACTCCTGACCTCAAGTGATCTGCCTGCCTCGGCTGCCCAAAGTGCTGGGATTATAGACTTGGGCCACCACGCCTGGCCCCATTTCAACTATTTTTAACTCCACAATTACAATATTGTGCAACTGTCACTGCTATCCACTTCCAGAACCAATTTGCTTCTTTGTAGAGTCAGTGATGTTCAAACCTCAAGAGGGGAAAGAATTTATCTATGATCACACAGCTAATGGCAGAGCTGGGGCTAGAACCCAGGCTTTCTATCTGCTAAATTGTGGACCATTTCTACTCATAAAACATGTTCATTTACACTTTCCAAGATCTTTATGAGTCTCCCTGAATAAGGCACACAGATAGGCCCTAGAAGCTTTCCAGTCAGCATCTAAGGGAAAGAATGGCAGTTTCTGAAATGTACTGTCTTGGTGAACCCGCATCATCTTCTACACCCCCCACCGCTAGCCAAGGTGCACTTCAGTGATCGCTAGCAGATGGTACCTGTTACATGCCTGGCCTTCTTAAGCAACGTAAGATGAAATGAAAAGTACACTGAGTTGGGCTTTGCAAAACCTGGATGCTAGCCCTGATCTTTCATAGAGAAATGATTCTCTGTGTCATTTCAGGGAGCTTACTTTATCTTTTAGAAGCCCAACTGCTCATCTGTCTGTGAGGTAAGAATAATTCCTGTACTTACAGCCTCACTAAAGTGCTACTGAGGTTCAAGAGACAAGAGATGGCAAGAATAGTATAAAGAACTCTACAAATATAAGGTATTTCTACCTTATAATATTTCTCTCTCTCTCTTTTTTTTTTTTTTTGTTGAAACGGAGTCTTGCTCTGTCACCCAGGCTGGAGTGCAGTGGCGTGATCTCGGCTCACCGCAACCTCCGCCTCCCAGGTTCATGCAGTCCTCCTGCCTCAGCCTTCCCAGTTGCTGGGATTATAGGCGTGTGCCACCACGCTCGGCTAATTTTTGTGTTTGTAGTAGAGACGGGGTTTCACCATGTTGGCCAGGCTGGTCTCGAGCTCCTGACCCTGTGATCCGCCCACCCCGGCCTCTCAAAGTGCTGGGATTACAGGCGTGAGCCACCATGCCTGGCTTATAATATTTCTAACATACGGCCGGGTGTGGTGGCTCATTCCTGTAATTCCAGCACTTTGGGAGGCCGAGGTGGGTGGATCACCTGAGGTCAGGAGTTCGAGACCAGCCTGACCAACATGGAGAAACCCCGTGTCTACTAAAAATACAAAATTAGCCGGGCGTGGTGGCGCATGCCTGTGATCCCAGCTACTCAGGAGGCTGAGGCAGGAGAATCGCTTGAACCCAGGAGGCGGAGGTTGTGGTGAGCCAACATGGTGCCACTGCACTCCAGCCTGGGCAACAAGAGCGAAACTCTGTCTCAAAAAAAAAATAAATAAATATTATGCTTAGAAATATCATCTCCATAATGTGCAGTGTCTCAGCTTCTTAGAATTACTATCTTTTCTATCAGCTTCTTACTTCTCTACCTTTTTTTTTTAATCTTGTTCTTTCTTCTCATAGATTGTTGCATTTCAGCAACTGCCCCAGATGTAAACTGACCTCTGTAAACTTCCCTCAAATCAGAAGTGGATGTCCAGTTTAGTATTCCATCCTTCTGGGAGGCAAGGTGTTGAAACACAGGGTCTGGCTTTTTTCACTTTTCTAATTTCTTCCTCAGCATGAGCTTACCTCTCACCAAGGATCTTCAAACCTCACTGTATCCTCTTCTTCTCCAACTGACAAGTGACAGGGTCTCAGTCTGTTCCTCCTCCTTGTGTTGACCAGTGCTCTCTCCACCCATTTCATCTGCTTTTTTTCCCCATCCCAGCATTCCCAGTCATCACTTTCCCACCATGTCCAAGTCAGGTCTTACATGCCATCTCCAAATATGAGTCACCCATCCCTGATGCCCCTTAACTCGGAGCCCAGAGATGCCAAAATTGTGTGTTTTATCTAAAGGAGAGGATTAGTCTGTGATCCAGCATCAGCAGAAAAACCGTCTGAAATCCCATGAAATTCTGAGTTCAGTAAGTTTATCATAACAGAGTTGGTTTAAGCAAAAAGTTTTAAACCATCCTTAATATGAAATGCACCAAAAGCGCTGAACTTTGTCCTGCAGAACTGCACACAGCAAAATATTATCACATATACAAATTACTCACCTCTTTCAAAGGCAGTAGGCAGTGTCAATATATGATAAACAATTTAAGTATAAAACAAGACATTTTTAGGTAAACCATGAATGTCCATACAAGATAAAGCCATACAGCCATTAAAAATACTTAACAAAGATTCTGATATAATGTTAAGTGCATAAAGCAGGACGCAAGCATTTGTACAGCATGACCTCAGCCATGTAAAATTAGTCATAGAAAAGAGGCTGGAGGGGAATCTGCCAAAATGTTAACAGTGGCTATCTCAGATAGTGAGATCAGGAATAAATGTGATTCCATTTTTTTCTTTATACTTGCCCTGTCTTTTTCTTTCTTTCTTTCCTTTTTCTTTCTTTCTTTCTTTTTTTTTTTTTGAGACAGAGTCTCGCTCTGTCTCCCAGGCTGGAGTACAGTGGCACGATCTTGGCTCACTGCAACCTCCGCCTCCCACGTTCAAGCAATTCTCCTGTCTCAGCCTCCTGAGTAGCTGGGATTTCAGGCGCCTGCCATCACGCCCAGCTAATTTCTGTATTTTTAGTAGAGACAGGGTTTCATAATGTTGGCCAGGCTGGTCTCCAACTCCTGACCTCAGGTGATCCACTCGTCTCGGCCTCCCAAAGTGCTGGGATTACAGGCGTGAGCTACTGCGCTGGCTGCCCTTTTTCACAATAACTAAAATCAGAAAATAAAATCAACTTTTAAGAGAAAATAAAAAGCAATTTAATAGGTTGAATGGATGCACATGAAGAAAAAAAAAATCTACACGGATGATTTCCCTCAACTTTCCTTCCCCTGAGCAGTTTGTAAGAGATCTGTGAACCTACTAGGCCTGGTCCACAGAGAGGACAGAGCATCCCCATCAGGGAGTGTTTGAAAGGGAAGGACACTGTCTGTGCTGTAGAGGTAGGAGGGGAGAAAAAGCTGCCATCTACTCCCCTGGCAACAGGGTCTGTAAAAGGGGAACTTTTCTGTGTATAATATTCTGGTAAGGATCCAAACTGTCTATATTTTAGCCATGGGAATCTTTCTAGAACAGACTGCTTATTCCTGCAGTGCGGTTCAGGGAATGCACTGAACATACACTTTGCCTCCATGCTTACTTGAGGTATCAGAGGCATCAACAATCATCTAGGAAATACAGAGCAGGGCTTAGTGTCCCTCTGAACCCAGATGGCTGTGACTTCCGAGTTCTTGGGCCTGCCTTATTTTTTTTTTTTGTCTTTTTTCTCCTTCTCAGGAAAGCAATTTCAGCTCTCGTTGTACAGCTTCTCACCTTGTACTTGGCTCTGCCACCACAACCATCTCTTTTATTCCTGCCCAGATCTAGTTTGCTGTAGGCTAGATAAACCTTGCAAACACACTTGTTAGAGATTTGCCTACAATAAAAATTAGAAAGTTTAATCAGAAAAATTAGAAAGCTGGGGGCAGTGGCTCACACCTGTAATCCCAGTACTTTGGGAGGCCAAGGTAGGTGGATTACAAGGTCAGGAGTTTGAGACCAGCCTGGCCAAGATGGTGAAACCCTGTCTCTACTAAAAATAAAAAAAATTAGCTGGGCACGGTGGTGGGTGCCTATAATCCCAGCTACTCAGGAGGCTGAGACAGGACAATCACTTGAACCGGGAGGCAGAGGTTGCAGTGAGCCAAGATCACGCCACTGCACTCTAGCCTGGGTGACAGAGCAAGACACTGTCTCAAAAAAACACAAAAGTTTAGAGTAAGAGTTAAGGGGTTGTTCAGAGGCTTTTTTTAATCTTAGCTACAATCTATACAATTAAGGTTGGCTGAGTAGGGGGCTTTTTTTTTTTTTTAGACAGAGTTTTGCTCGTTTCCCAGGCTGGAGAGCAATGGCGCGATCTCGGCTCATCGCAACCTCTGCCTCCTGGTTCAAGCGATTCTCCTGCCTCAGCCTCCCGAGTAGCTGGGATTACAGGCATGCGCCACCATGCCCGGTTAATTTTGTATTTTTAGTAGAGACGGGGTTTCTTCATGTTGGTGAGTATGTGGCTGGTCTCGAACTCCTGACCTCAGGTGATCCACCTGCCTCGGCTTCCCAAAGTGCAGGGATTATAGGCGTGAACCACTGCGCCCGGCCAAGTAGGGGGCTTTAGATGAATGAGGTTGTCAGGAATTACTATTTGATATGCTAGTTATGCCATAATCCCAGTTTCAAAGATAAAGAGAAATAAGGTACTTTATTATTAGTAAAAAATCTATAACAGATTTTCCAGCATCTTAAAAAAGCAGAAAGCAAGCCAGGTGTGGTGGCTCACACCTGTAATCCCAGCATTTTGGGAGGCCAAGGCAGGAGGATTGCTTGAGCCCAGGAGTTCAAGACCAGCCTAGGCAATGTGGCAAAGCCCCGTCTCTGCAAAAATTAGCTGGGTGTGATGGTACCCGCCGGTAGACCCAACTACTCAGGAGGCTGAGATGGGAGGATCGCTTGAGCCCAGGGGGTCAAGGCTGCAGTGAGCCATGATCATGCCACTGCACTCCAGCCTGAATGACAGAGCAAGAACTTGTCAAAAAAAAAAAAAAAAAAAAAGCAGAAACCTATTTACAAATGAAATCTATGAAATCTTTTTTTTTTTTAAATCTATGAAATCTTGCTCAGAAACCAAATAATTAAAGCAGTTTAAAGCAAAACTACTCTGAGTGACCTAAGCGGGAGAGTCCTACCCTCTCAGCCTCTCACCAACACCAAAGGAAGGCTCTAAGCACCTAGGCAGAAGCCAGGAGCCAAGAACAGTTTCATAGAGCACCAGACTCTAATACTATATGAAAAGTGACCCAACTTGGAAGATGTAAACTACCTTATCAAAACAAAAACCCTGATAGCTAGAGCAGCAGACTCCATGTGGTAAGGAAGTAGATAGTAAACAATCTACATGGTAAGAGAGTACATGCTTCTCTGTGGCTTAAGAATATTTTATTAAAAATATTTTATTTTTATAGCTCTAAGAGGAGGCCCTAGGGCTAATCTAGTTCTTATCAAATCTATTTGAAGAGGGCCAGGTGTGATGGCTTATGCCTGTAATCTCAGCACTTTGGGAGGCCAAGGCAGGCAGATCACCTGAGGGTCAGGAGTTCAAGACCAGCCTGGCCAACATGGCAAAACCCCATCTCTACTAAAAATACAAAAAATTAGCCAGATGTGGTGGCGGTTGCCTGTAATCCCAGCTACTTGGGAGGCTGAGGCATGAGAATCGCTTGAACCTGGGAGGCAGAGGTTGCAGTGAGCCGAGATTGCACCACTGCATTCCAGCCTGGGTGATAGAGCGAGCCTCTGTCTCCAAAAGAAAAAAAATCTATTTGAAGAGAAGGAGCTAGAGGCATATTCCTGCAGTCTGGTTAAAGGGCTTTACAGAGGACATTTGGGTTCCAGCCCGCTAGCCTGCCTTTTCTCATTCCAATACCTCACACTCTCAGCACTGGGGGAGCAGTCTAAGGAACTTTCCAGGGCCTCTTACCTGGTTATCTGGGTGGTTGACAGTGAAGTAGCCCACACAGACGATGACCTCATGAAGGAGGCTTTCACAGGAGACTTGGCTGCAGTGGCCCAGCAGGGAGCTGGCCATGTGCCGGAATGCAAGGGACAAGCCCTCTGCCCCTACAATAGACTGACAAAGACAAGGAGCAGTTAGAAGCCCTCAGCCCAGGGAGAGCCAGGGCTGCAAATCACAAAGCAAGACTGGCCCTGTGTACTTTCTGCCATGGTGGTGGAAAAACATGACATTTCTACAGTACTATGCTTAATGCTTTAGTTTAGGGGTTCTTGTTCTAATAAATGTCCCATAATAAATGCAATGTTTAACCTGAAAAGGGACAGTAGTAGACCAAATGCCTGTACCACGTGGATCAAGACATTATCTACCTAAAGCACAGTTATTTATTCTATTTTTAATAACTTAATTTTTCTCATATACAAATATTCTTACTGGAGAAAATCTGGAAAAGTATAAAGAACCTAAAATTCACCTGTAAATCTACCATTTAGCTAAATTCCAACACTTTTTTTTCTGAAGGAGAAAATATTTTCTTGTACACAGAGTTAAACATATATTTCTAATTATGTTTAAACAAAAAATGTAAATAACAACTAGTTATTATTCAAATAAGTAGCTCTATAAACCGAAGGCTCCCAAAAGAATGTAAAAAAACAAAACAAAAAATTCTCCCTAAAACCATGAAATCCCTCAGCTATGGGACTTCTGGGATCCTTTCTCCAGACAGGCAAAGGGCTGTCGGCGGTGGGCGACTCAAGAAGAGAGTCTGAGTCTGTCTGTGCAGCCTGCAGCTTCTATTTAATAAACATGTCAAACAGACAGAGCGACAGGAGGGCAAAGGGGAGAGGCGAAGCCCACAGAATATACTCGCAGCCCACACTGGAATGAAGCACCACTGCTGGCCTGTGGGAAAAGGCAGAGTTTTAAACTCATCTCTTGATTTGAGGTCTTAGTGGGCTTGAACCAGGTTGGATACGTTGCACCTTGGAAGTTTCAATGAATTCACTTCACTTAACAGTGGGTGAAACAGAGCCATTTTAGCGAGCATTCCTGAAACAAAATTACTGCTAAATTTTAAGAGTGCCTTTTGTCTGTTTCACAGCCCCAAAACAAAAAAATGTTTTTCAAGCCCCAAAGAGACTTCAGAAGGACTTTGCTCCTTTAAATCAAGCAGTGACACCTTCTCAGCTCAGCCTTTATTTAATTAGTCACGTCCAGCATGCTGTGACCCAGTGCCCTCTGTTTAACCTTCACTGATAAGAGCAGGTCAAGGGGCATGTAAGTTTGAATATAAAAATTAAACCAATTTTCAAGGAAACTATATTTCCTTTTTAGCCAGAATTAATTGCCAAGTCAGTACATTGATTTGTTTCCTGAGACCACCTTCAATTGTAAAAACTGTCAAACTGAATGCAATATACAATATCCCCAGTCTCAAGGCCACCCATGCCAATATGAATTCAGAGTGAAATCAGACTCTTTGCTGAAGAGGGAAAAATATTTTGACAGCCTTATTGGTATACAATGAAATGGAACCAGCTAGGAAAATAATCTAATGGATAACCTTTTGTACTATTACATGATGGGTTCTCACACAAAATAAGCATACAGGTTTGTGGCTTTGAAGAAGGGTGAAGGAGCACTGGGAATGCTGCATTCAGTTTCCAACCTTCTGACTCAGCATGTCTGTTTAGGTAAATTCTTCTTTTCAGAAACTCAGTCAGTTCACATTTTCTGAGGGCCTACTATGTGCTAGTGAGCACAGCACTTTTATGCAATCATATTTAATCCTCAAATAGTCTTGTGAGGTAGGTGTTCTTAATCTCTATTTTACAGATGAGGAAATGGAGTCTTAAGTGTTCAAATGACTTGTCTAAGGTCATACAATTTGAAGAGGTAATGTGATGGCTCAAAGTCAGGTCATTCTGACTCCAGATTCAGGGGTCTAATGAGGATGCCTCCCTGTAACAGCTCTGTATTCTTGTGATGCATTCGAACCCAAATCATCAACATGTCTTATATCATCTTGTCTAACTCTGCAGCAGGTCAGACAATTTATCTCAGTTTTTTTCTTCAATTCCTTTGAGCCTCCCAGGCAATTCATAAATTGTCTCTCAGATTTTTCTGAGGTCAGATCATGCTGAGATGTACACCTTCCTTCTTTCCACTTAAAATCTCTTTTCCTGTCCTTTACATACATAGATCCTAAAATCTCACTTTTGACATGTAAGTTGTTTTGATGAACTAGAATATGAGTTTCTCTGACCATAACTATCACAAAAATAGTAGTTTTCTGGAAAACTCATCCGTTGCTATACAGTACAAATACTATGTATTTAATTTACTTAAGCATTATATTCTTGATCACGTCCATCTACATAAATGGTGTCTATGTAGACAGATGTGTTGCTTTAGCTGGTGAAGCCTATGTTTCCCTTCCCTTGAATATGGAAGGCTTATGACTGATTCAACCAATAAAGTATGGTTGATAGGTAAGTATATGACTTCTGAGGCTAAGTCATAAAAAGTCCTGTAGCTTTTGTTGGTTTCTCTTGGAACTCTTGCTTTCTGGAAGCTTCCTCTTAGGACACTCCCACTCAGAATCGAGACACCATAGTGTTTTAAAAAGCCCAAGTCACATGGAGAAGCAGTAGTAGATGCTCTGGCCACCAGTCCTAGGTGAATCTTGTCTTTGAGTCATCCCAGGCATCAAACATGACAGTAAAGAGCCTCCAGATGACTTTAGCTCCTAGCTGTAGCCATGACATCATGGAGCAGAGACAAACCATTTCCACTGTGATAAGCCCCATCTGAATTCTGAACTCCTAGAATCTGTGATCAGAAATAATTGTTTCCCCCACTAAGCTCATCTGTTTGTTTTTAAATGCATAAAAGTAATTAAGAAAAAATACGTAGTCATTGGTATATTAAAGGCCCCGATGCTAGAAATTCTGGGCATTTAGGTCCCCTCACATGCTGATGAAGAGTCAGAAAGAAACATGAAGGGTAAAGGGTACCTGGAAACTACAGCTAGGAAGAGAATGAGAAAGAGTAAAGGCAAGACTGATAAGAGAGGAGAGACAGGAGAGAGACACAAAAGAAGAAAAAACAGGAAGGAAAGAACTGAGAAGGAAATATAGAGTTGCATGAGAAGAAGGAAGAAAAGGTACTGGAGAATTGTGAGAACCAGTCAAGAAAGGACATTCCAAATGAGAGCCAGGGCATTTGATTTTGAGAATAATTGTTTTTTATTTATTTTTTATTTATTTTGTTATTTCATTTCTTTTTATCCCTAGAGACCCTGATTTTGAGAATAGCTGAACCCTCTTGAACCACTCTGGTTTTATTCCTGCTGTTTTCGGCAAAAGTGGCTCAAGTAGGGGATAAGTTTCAAGATGGATATAGCAAGGATCTGGAAAGGAGAAATGTTTTTATCTTAGTTGGGCACAAAGGATTCCAGAAATAGGCTTTTGATTTTTCTTTTTGATTTTTTTCTTTTCCTTTTTTTTTTCTTTTTCCTTTTTTAATGAAATCACTTGACATTATCGCCCATTATTAAGCCCTTTAGGCTTAAAGGCACTAGGGAGCAGGTCTGGTGAAGTTCAGTGGTGCGCCTTTGTGAGTGAGCCTGCACAGGCCACAAGTTCACAGGAGGAGAGGGGCAGGGAGCAGGGACCTAGGGCTCCCTGATGGAGTGACTGACCGAACAGCTGACTTATCCTAGATGCTTGTTTATGATATGGAGTCCCCTGTAGCAGTATAAATGTTGGCCAAGAAGACCCGTGAAACAGGAAGCTAAGAGACAGTTTTTAGATATTTGCTATTCCATAATCTGTTAACAAAAGAAATCACTCCCTTTCGACGCAGCTGATGGGTAGACTGGTGGACTCCATATCCTGAGCATGTAAAGTTAAGGTTCCCTGATTTCCAAACTGTTTCCAGACAGAATACGGTGGGCTTACGTCTTCATAAAACACAGATGTTATGTTCAACCCTGAGGCAAGAACTACTGACATTTTTTGGAGCAGATATCTCTCATTTATATGTGGCTGTAACCTCCCAGAACTCTACGTATTGTGCAGTCAGTTACCTCCTAAGGCTAGTTCAACTGCTCTGGAGACAGAAAAGCATTAACCCAAAGGAAGGGATTTCTGTTCTTGTGACAGATAAACTAATTCTACAAAGTTGAAAGATACTAGATCCAATGATACAACTTAGTCACAAGTTTCCTTTTTTGAACAAAATGACAGGAAGACATCAATTAAAGAATGGCACATTTGTCATCAGCTACAATATAGAAGTATTCTTCTCATCTCAGAATGGCAAAGTCCACTATTTTCATACATTTGTTTCTCTATAACCTTTTTCCCTCAGAGCAAAGCAATTCATCTAAATTATGGGTTCATCATCTGCCAAATTTGTTCCTTTTTTAATGAAATCACTTGACAGTTAATAAACTGAAAGAGAAAGTCTATTCCTTGGGGCTTGCTCTGTTCCAAAGGTTCAGTGTTTTTGAAAATTAAATTTCCTACATGAAAAAAAAAATCTGTTTCCAGGCTGACAGTCTGGTGTTATAGCATAAAGCAATTCTTCTTTCTTTAGCTATAAAAACTTCATAGCTAAAGATGCAAATCCCTGTAAAGCTAGTTATACACTTTACATTGGACACAAAATCAGCTAAACCATCCGTAGAAAGTCATATCAATCAATTTATCTAATTTTGGTTCTATTTACGTAAGAAACCATTACTTTCCTTAATATTTAAAAGTTGATGAGATGATAATGTCCTGATATAAAGAATTCCAGACAAAAGATTTATAAATAGCAGCATGGCAAAGGATGAACATAGGCTTTGGGGTGGGAGAGTCATGGTTACTAGTCCTGGTTCACAAACATGTAACCTTGGGCACATTACTTAACTGTCAGCTTCTCTATCTGTAAAATGGGTATAATAATACTTTGCATGGTAGCTATGAGAATAAATGAGAATGCTAGATGTTATAGAGCATCTAATACAGTTCCCAGAAAATAGTAGTTTAATAAATTATAATATATATTATAATTCCATTTATTGTAGTTTATTCCTTATGCCCCAATTCAGGAGAAGAATCTGACATCCTATCTACACTAAAATACTAACTCTTGATTGGTTAACATCGATATAAACCAATACTTGGTACCTGAAAAGCAGGCAGATGAAGAGCTGCAAAGCTGTTGAAGAAACGTAAACTCTGAATGGCCACTTGGATGGTATTTTGAGTGTAATTCTCCTTGGGACTGGCAGTGCTGGGGTCCAAGATGGTGCCATGGAAGAGGACACAGTAGAGCATATGAAGAACTCCAGCCAGGTCGGTTGCCTGAAGAGCAGCTGTCAGCCCTGTGGGATCCTGGCGATTATTGTCAAATATGCTGTATGACCTGACAAAGAAACATTCAGTTCTTTGAGAAAAACTACTTAATGGATGTTAGCAATTTGTATAGGTTAAATGAAACAAGACAAGCAGACCGTTAAAAACAAACCATCTGAGTTGTATAGTATGGTAACAAGAAACTTCAAGGAATAAATGCAGCCCTCCCCACCAACTGCACTGTGGCTTTTTCTTCTCCTGGAAGACCAGGCTGCTGCAGCAGTGTCAACTGAGCACTCTGCAGCCAGTGCTGAGGCTGCCAACCACCCTTCCCACACTTTATAGCCTACATAACCTCACTTTGTTTAGTATCCTGGGTCTGGGCAAAGTTGACAGAGTCTGTGAAAGCTTTTGGGACTCAGAGGCCAAAAACACTCCTAGCTTCCTTTCTGGATATATAAAGGCACTCTTCTTAGGGAAGGCAGCTATTAGGGAAAGCATGAGGCCTCAAAAACCCAGTAATGTGTTGGTATACTGTGGTAGGGAGATTCTTCAGCTGCTATTGAAGCCCCTTTTCCAACATTGAGGAGTACAGGCAGGACAGGTTGTAGAAGCCACAGTCCCAAGAATAAGCAAGTACTGGATTAGGTCTACACAAATCAGATGAAGTCAGCTTAGCTACCATGGCAGGTAATGTTACAGAAGAGCAAGAAGAGACAATGGCAGTGGCAAATGAATTCCTAAAATCAATAGTAAAGCAGCAGGGGTATGCTAAATCTACCTCATCCTTGAACTAAGGTATTTTTTATTTTTTTCTTTTATTTTTTTTTTTTAATTTTTCCCTTCTTTTCACAGGTGTTAAAAAAAAAAAGTAGAACCACTCAATGTGAGGCTTGAACCCACTGACTCTGGGATTAAGAGTCCCATGCTCTACCAACTGAGGTAGCCAGGCAATTCTGAATTAAGGTATATGTGAAGCATCTAGAGGCCAAGAGCAGGCAGTTATAGTAAACATGGCTGCCAAGCATTCACCCTTTTAAACAGAAACTGTACAAAGATTTCTAAGGAATCACCTCTCCTTAACTCATAGCCAATATGCTTCACATAGACCTCCCTCCCCATTTACTTTGGCTCAAGGGTGCCCAGGCCTAAGGTAAGCCACACATTTCTCTGGCTGTTGAGCATCACTCAGGGATGCCACACGTCACAATCAGAGCTAATGGGGTAGAGGGAGATACTTTTGCTGAGACGCTTGGGAAGAAGTCATCACTTTTTCCTCTAGATGTAAGGTCTGGAGTTGCTATAGCCACTTGTAATCACTGCACAAAACCTCAGGTATCTTATTGCTCTTTCTTCATGACACTCTGATTTTTCTCAGGAAGGCAAGTTATAAGTTTCTACTCAATGTTTTCCTTTAATTTGGCATGATCTACACAATACTGAGCAGGAGTGCTTTTATGTTTCTGTCATGGCATAATACCTTTCCCTACTTTTTAACACTACGAGTTAGTGTTAAAAATCTGGGTTAGTGTGTGTATAGGTGTGTGTGTGTGTGTAAATACACACACACACACCTACACACACATATATATACATATATACACATATATATAGGTTGTCATTTGTCATTCTTTCAGCTGGAACCCAGGATGGGAGACAGTCCTTGAAGAACTATGCTTACTTCATTATCTTTCCTAGAAGCACTCAAGAGGTGTCACTAATTAAACAAGAATTGAGAGGTGCTGACTGGCAAATTTCTAGTATCTTGTCTAGTTTTCTCAATTCATAACTTAGTTTTTCCAAAGAAATCATTTTATTCATTTTACTTTGCTAGCTGCATCAAAGCAGTTTTATTCATAACCACGGTACACATTCATTTCTTGAATGTGCACTATTTCTAGTATTTCTAAGAATACAGCCAAATGATATGACATCTTCATATACCTTGTTCTCTACTCAAGAAAGAAGCTCTCTTATGAAATACTGTCATCTTATTTATATGGCAGGATCTGCCAAGTACATTCATATCTTTCACCTTATCTCATTCTTACTGGGTTTTCATAGTTGGTAGAGAAGTTATTCATCCTGTCATTGTGCACATGAAGCAAGTGAGACCTAGAGAAATAAGGTGAAGTGTTTTAGGTCATACAAATTTTTAGTGGCAAAAGCAGGGATATCACCCAGGGCTTTTGACTGTTTAGGGTCAGTGCTTTGTCCATGGACCAAAATATCCAGGTCAAACGGAGGCTGACCTCCTCTTTTCTCTCAATGTCTTCTTCTAAGTCAAATTTTGTGATTAAGTAAATACTGTTAAGATATACAGAGACTATAATGCAATCTTGTATTGTCGAGGGGAGATATTTTTGTCTCATAGTACTCAATAAAAACAAAAGTTTAAGAAATGATATTTATTTGCTTATAGGTATATCTGAACCTTTACACAAACTTCTGTTAGCTAATGTCAGCTGGCCCTTACTTCCTTCCATTAAAGCCAAAAGAGTTAGGGGTCAGACCCTGACTAGAGACGTGAGTAGAGATTAATGTGTCTGAGTTTATTATATAGGTTCCAAAAAGGGGCCTGTGTTTGTTTAACACTGATTGCCTTTTAGAACCAGTGACAAGTCAGAAGATATTTCTCCCTAAAGCTAATTTCTAATAGGTTTTCAGAACCTTGAGGATGAGTGACATCACTGCTGGTGACAACAGTTTTACTGCTCTGTGATTCAGAATGGTGACTTTCCCTTTACTCTTGTGTTGCTTTTAAACTGATTATCAGCATATTCTAATACAGATATTCAGGAATATAGCTTTTTCACTTAAAACATCTTATAATACTTAGTCTTTCTAGCATTTATTAAGTGACAAGAATTCACTGCTATTTCCTCTTCCGAAGAATATGTGTAAAAAATCTTTTTTTTAAAAAAAGTGAAGGTTATCAGAACATCTCCTCTCCTGCACCATTATTTAGGAAAACACTCATCTGATGGATTATAAAACAATACAGCCCAGTCTTTTGCAAATATTATCCTAATGAAATGAAAACGGTAATTGAGGAAAATCTGCTAAATAAGCATTTAAGAACTTAGATGTGGAAATGGTTCAAAATGCATAAGATAGTGCTTCATGGAAAAGACCATTCATGTTGAAGAGAGCCCACAGAATATATGGGGGCAAGGGGAGGGTTTGACTGTCCCATTTGGCTTCCACAGGACTAATGTAGACATGAAGGGACCATAGAGAATGTTTACTTTTGATTTAGCTTGAAGTACAGATAATTTGTCCATGAACAGGCCACTGGCTTCTGTTGGTCTTAACTGTCAGTTATAATCACTTTAAGCCTAAATGTTTATAAGAAAAAAGTAAAAGGCCTTATTCATATCAGGCATGTGTAATGAAGTTTTCTTCAAAAAATACATAGAAGATGTGAAAAATAAGATCTGAAATTTTGTATAGTACATTCTGAGATATTTGTAATTTTACCAGATTTTAAGGTGTTTTTGTTAGGTCTCCAGGACTAGAGATCTTAGTGAGATATTCATTTCTGTTTATCAAAAGCTAGATTCAATTAGGAAAAACTAAAATTGGTTTTTCATCAATACTGCACAATGCCTGACAAACCTACTTTACCTTAAAGGAGAGTACAGCTGGGCAAAAACAGCATGATTTGTGTGGGCATGAAGTGCCATCCATTCCATCTTCATAAACCACTTATACACTGGGCCTTAGTTGGCCTAAAAAAGCAGCTGTGACAGTTCCAGACTCTATAATCCCTTTTCTTCTGTTTGTTTGCCCTGATTTCCATGGTCCCCAGATTTCCAGCTTGGTAACATCCACTCTGATCTTCAGTGCAGGTGATCTTCTAGATTGTTCTCTTAGCTTCTTGGAGTTTGGCTTCATTTTGGAATCCCTGAGGGATCTTGTGAGAACATCCCATTTTAGCCCTTAAACCCACAGACCTGCACTCAAAGATCTGCATAGTGTTGGAGTGGGTGAGACTAAGTCATTGTCTCCCCCAATGATGGATGAGAATTTTACTGTTCAAGGAGAGGTAAATTATTTCTCAGCAGTATCCCAGTTTTTGGATATTATGTCCTGGGATATTCTGAGAAAGCCAAACTGTATCCAGTGACAACATCATTCATCAGGGTTTAAGGTGAGCACAAACAGGCATGATGTTCTGTCAGGTATTCTGTCTAAAAAGCCAAAGTACCTGTGCTCTGGGAACTCTGAGCACCTGTGATGTGCAAGGTTAAGGAAGACCAAGCCCCTGTTCTAGAGGCATTACAGTCTAATAGGGGCTGGTGGGTGTATCAGTTTCCTATTGCTGCTGGAATAATTACCACAGGCTAGTGGCTCAAACAATAAAACATTTAATATTTTACAGTTCTGAAAGCCAGAAATTCAAAACAGATCTCACTAGGCTAAAATCAAGGTGTCACAAGAGCTGTGTTCCTTTTGGAGGATCCAGGGAAGAATCTGTTTCCTTGGCTTTTCCACCTTCTAGAATATGCCTGAATTCCTTGGCTTATGGCCCCTTATTGCAGCTTCAAAGCCAGCAACAGAGCATCTTCAAATCTCTTTCTAACGCTGACTTTCTTGCCTCCCGTCTTTATTTATAAGGACCCTTGTAATTACATTGTGATTACCCTGAATTATCCAGAATAATCTCACCATCTCAAGATCCTTAACTTAATTGTATCTGCAAGATCCCTTAAGCCAAGCAAGGTAATATTCACAGGTTCTGGAGATTCAAATATAGATACTATTGTAGGAACTTTATTATGCCTACTCCAGAGAACCTAGTCATTCATGATTCATTCATTCAACAAATATTCACTGATGGCCAACTATGTGGCAAGCCCTATTCTAGGACCTGGAGTTCAGCAGTAAAATCTATGACCTTTTTCTCATAAAGCTTACATTTTAGTGCAGGAAGATATAAACGAACAAATATATAATATGTAACGTATGGTGTGACAGAGGAGCAAGGGACATGGCTAGGAAATGAAGAAGTAGGAATGTGTGTGAAGCTACTTTACATAGGGTGGTTGGGGAAGCCATTTCTAAGGCATTATTTAAGCAAAATTCTACAGAAAGTGAGGAAGAAAGCCATGTGGACACCTGGGGGAAGGGTGTTTCAGGTAAAAGAGCAGAAGATCCCAAGGCTTGGAGCCAGGAGCGTGCATGACAAGTTCAACAAACAGCAAGAAGGCCAGTGTGGCTAGAGCGGGTTGAGTAAGTGGAAGAGTAATAGGACATGAGGTCAGGGAGGGAGCAGAGAAGATCAGGTAGAGTCTTGGAAACCATTATAAAACTTTTACTGAGTGACATGGGAAGCCATTGTAAGGTTTTGAGCACAGAAGTGATATACTCTGACTTCATTTGAACAATGAGCACTACAGCTACTGGGTTGAAAACTCTTTAGAACAGCCAAGGCAGAAGCAGGAAGACCAACTAGGAGGCTGCTTTAATCATCCAAGTGAGAAATAATGGTATATGAATCAGGATGGTAGCCATGGATGTGGGAAGTGATTGGATTCTGAAAATATTCAGACGGGCAAGCCAACAGATTTCCTGATAAATTGGATGTGGGTGTGAGAAAGAGGAGTGAAAAATGGCTCAATGCTCTTTGCTTGAGTAACTGGAAGACTGTGGTTGCCATTTACAGAAATGGGGAAGAAAGTGAAGAGCGCATGTCTCAGGAGGAAAACCAGGAATTCAGTTTTGAACTGGTTAAATGTGAGATGCCTATTATACATCACAGTGGAGACAGTGGATTGGAAGTTGTGTGAAATAAGCTTCCCAAGCATAGGGATTTTTGTCTCTTTTGTTTCACAGGTATATCTCCAGGGCTTAGAACAGTGTCTCATATACAGTAGCTATTCAATACATATGTGTTGAATGGCTGAATAAATACACAAGCCCAAATTCAGAGGAGGAGTCTCGGCTTGAGATATTTGGAAGCCATCAACACAGAGATGGTATTTAAAACTAGAAACTTATTCTAGTGAGTCTAGAGTCTGAGGATTGATCCTTGGGATACCCCAAAGTTTAGAACCAGGAGAGATGAAAAGAAACCAGCAAAGGAAACTAAAAAATAGTCACCAGTAGGGTAAGAAGGAAACCAGGAGAGTATGGTGCCCTAGAAGCAAAGCAAAGATAGCTTCAAGGAGGAGAAAGTAATCAATAACAAAGTTTACCTACAAATAAACATGAGGACTAAAAACAGGAGAAAATATACACAAATGACTTAAGTCTTATTTTTAGATCATAAAAACTAATTCCACACGCTTAAGATGGGAAGAGGGTAAGTAACAGGGAATGGAATACAGTTTGTCAACAATAAGTGGGAAAAAAGACTTAGCAAATTAGGTGCCTACCAGTTCAAATGAGAAAACAGCACTGCTTGATCACCAAAGAATATAAGTCAATTTTGACTAACAGGAGTACAATGTACACAACAAGGAAGGTTTAGTTCTGCTCCAGTGCACTGTATGACTATTCTGGAAGTACTGTGTCCAGCACTGGGTGCAGCGCTAATTCAGCACACAGAGGTATCAAAGTTCCCAAGTAAAGTGATCCCTGTGGTAAAAGTGTCTGGAAATAATGTCACCCAAGGAATATTTGAAGGAATTGGGAAGTTTAGCTCAGAACTGAAGGACACAAAGGCTGTCTTCAAACTGAAGAAGTATTTATTTATGACCCCACGGGAGACACGTTACTAGAAAGCATATATGAAATAAATCTATGGAAAATTTTCTAGGGCTAGGTGT
Organism: Homo sapiens; assembly: GCF_000001405.40. NCBI lineage: Eukaryota > Metazoa > Chordata > Mammalia > Primates > Hominidae > Homo > Homo sapiens. The sequence goes on from NC_000015.10 coordinate 76,388,319, forward strand.
GGTGGTACACGCCTATAGTCCCAGCTGCTTAGGAGGCTGAGGCAGGAGCATCACTGGAGCCTAGGAGTTCAAGGCTGCAGTGAGCTATCATCGCCTCACTGCACTCCAGCCTGGGTAACACAGTGAGATCCTATCTCTGAAAAAAAAAATTCTAATAATGAGAACATCTAAAAGTGAAGTGGGCCGTTTGGTGTGGTATGACTTCTTCTTCATCCTGGAAGAGGTGGAAGGTCACATCCACTGTAGTAGCAGAGGGCATTTAAGACTCAGCTGGGCATGAGCCTGGATGATGTCTAAGATTCTGTTCAATTCTGGGATGTTACAACAGATGTAAATCTACTTTGAAAATTACAGTCAGTCGGCTGGGCGTGGTGGCTCACGTCTGTAATCCCAACACTTTGGGAGGCTGAGGTGGGCGGATCATGAGGTCAGGAGATTGAGACCATCCTGGCCAACATGGTGAAACCCTGTCTCTACTAAAAACACAAAAAAATTAGCTGGGTGTGGTGGCACACGCCTGTAATCCCAGCTACTCGGGAGGCTGAGGCAGGAGAATGGCTTGAACCCAGGAGGTGGAGGTTGCAGTGAGCTGAGATCACGACACTGCACTCTAGCCTGGCGACAGAGTGAGACTCCATCTCAAAAAAAAAAAATTACAGTCAGTCTCTGTCACAGACACACACACATACAGCACACCCTCCCTCTCTGACCTTTTATGTTATTTATATAGTAAGATGTGGACAATAGCTTGTTTAATGCAAATCTAATTTGGAGCTCTGTTGAAGAAAATGGGGATGACTTAATGGAGAGCTGAGGGTAAAAGAAAAGTCAAGGTGGAACGTATGTATGTGTAAGCAATCTAAGACAGTCAGGACATTTGGTTAGAGAACAGTAAAAATAGGCCAGGCATAGTGGCTCATGCCTGTAATCCCAGAACTTTGGGAGGCTGAGGTGGGCGGATCACCTGAGGTCAGGAGTTCAACACCAGCCTGGCCAACATGGTGAAACCCTGTCTCTACTAAAAATACGAAAATTAGCCAGGCATGGTGGCATGTGCCTGTAATCCCAGCTACTAGGGAGGCTGAGGCAGGAGAATGTTTTGAACCCGGGAGGTGGAGGTTGCAGTGAGCCGAGTTTGCATTACTGCACTGTAGCCTGGGAAACAAAGCAAGACTCCGTCTCAAAAAAAAAAAAAAAAAAAAAAAAAAAAAAAGGCCGGGCGCGGTGGCTCACACCTGTAATCCCAGCACTTTGGGAGGCCGAGGCGGGCAGATCACGAGGTCAGGTGATCGAGACCATCCTGGCTAACACGGTGAAACCCCATCTTTACTAAAAAAGAAATACAAAAAATTAGCTGGGCGTGGTGGCGGGCGCCTGTAGTCCCAGCTACATGGGGGGCTAAGGCAGGAGAATGGCGTGAACCCAGGCGGTGGAGGCTGCAGGAGTGGAGATGCGCCACTGCACTCTAGCCTGGCCGACAGAGTAAGACTCCGTCTCAAAAAAAAAAAAAAAAAGAAGAAAAAGAACAGTAAAAATAAAGGGAAAATTAAAAAGTGAGAACATTAGGTAGGACAGGCTCAGATACCTGGGAGAATTTCCAGTTACCTGATGATGAGTTTCAGGTGAACTCAAAGAGGAACCTTTTTTTTTTCTTTTGAGGCAGGGTCTTGCTCTGTTGCCCAGGCTGCAGTGTGGTGGCACAATTGTAGCTCACTGTAACCTTGAACTCGTAGGCTCAAGCAATCCTCCCATGTCAGCCTCCCAAGTAGCTGGGACTACAGGCATATGCTACTACACCTGGTTAAGTTTTTAATTTTTTGTAAGATGAGGTCTTGCTATGTTGCCCAGGGTGGTCTCAAACTCCTAGCCTCAAGTGATCCTCCTACCTCACCTCTCAAAGTATTGGGATTGCAGCCGTGAGCCACTGTGCCTGGCTAAAGAGGAACTCTTGAGAAGGGAACCTTCCTGAAAGGAGAAGTAACAGATGATGAAAACGGAATGGACAGTCTTGCTGTTTGGGATCAACAACCTGGAAGAGGCTGAAGAAAGAGCAAGACCAGAGGACACCAATAAGAATGGAAGGTAAAGGACAAGGCCACTAAGAAGAAGAAACTCTGGACCCTGGCAAAGGTCTGAATGGAGACACAACAAAGTGGAAGAGTAAAGAGGTGACAGGCTCAGGACAATCTTAGGAAAACGAAGGGTGAATGGATGAAGGGGCAGTGAGGAGCCTATGAGGTGAGAAGGCAGGCAGCTCTGGGTGACTGACAACAAGATATGCTCCTAGATCTTGGAACTGCAGGCTGGGGCTGTTGTCCAGTACTGCCTCTCAGATGGGACACTTTTGACCTCTCTAGCTTCAGTTTTCTCATACTGTAAACAGCAAAGGACCCTGTGCTGACACACTGGTTTGGCTAGTTGATACTTTGGGGCTCTCTTTACAGTTTGGAAGTTGGGCTGAAGGAGCTCTGCCAGAGGCTATGTTGTGTTGCCAAGTAAAGGTAATTGCTTCTGCTGGGAGGGTAACTGGGAGGAAAAAACTGTCATATCAGGTGCTGCATTAAGATTCCAGTACCCTCCTAAATGATCTTTCTGGCTTCCACTCTTGCTTCTCTAATCCATTTTTCACAGAGTAAACAGATGCTTTTTTACTTTTTAAGCCACTCTCCTGTTTAAAATCCTCCAGTGGCTTCCACTCACACTTAAGAGCAGAATTCAGATTTCTCACCTTTCTGTCCTCATCTCCTGGCCTTTACTTATTGACTTCAACTTCTACCACTTTCTTTCTGGCTCTTCACATTCCAATATATCACTTTCTCTGTTTCTGGAACATCCACTTCAAGGTCTTGCCATTCTTCTCAACTAGAATACCCTTTGCTTGGGTCTTTACATGCCTGGTTCCGTCTTAGCTTGTCATCTCCCCAGAGAGGCCGTTCCTGACCACTTCGTCTGCAGAAGCCCTTGACCAAGACATTCGGCTATATTACCAGGCTTTATTTTCTCATGTCACTAGCTAAAATAATCTTATTTGTATATTGGTTGATTGTTTTTTCCCCATTAGACTGTAAATTTCATCAGAGTGGTATCTTGTTCATCAATCGATCCCCAGTACCTTGACAAGGTCTGGGACATAGCACATACTCAGTAAATAGGTATGAGTAAATATTTGCCAAAGAAATAGAAGGAAGAAAGGGAGAACTGATCTTAGCAAGGCATGCCAAAGGAATGAAGGCCTTGGATGCCTATTTCCTAACTCAGAGAAAGAAGAACATGAGATGTGGGCAGTCCTTCTTCTTATGTATAGAATAGGCCCAGGAAATGGGATTCCGACATAGGCCAATGATCGTTCACTAGTATTTGCTAGCTCTACCAATGAACAGCTGTTTCTCAAGTTCTTATTTTGTTTTGTTTCAGGTGCTATGTGCCTGACGGGAAGCTGCTAGGATATTTAGCTTCTTTCTCTAGGTAAATACTTTTAACTCTAGACACAAACCATGTATACAAGGAAAGAGAAATAATGAACTGCACGTTGACAAATACCAAGTAAGTGGCATAAATGGTATGTTCCATCTCATATTTCAGAGGAAAACATCCCTTTGATGGAATCAAATAGGACTGGATTGGATTCTGGGAAAGAAAAGTCAAAGATGACTAAGGCTTTGGGTCTTAAAATCTACTCAGATTGCTGGAATCATGAGCAGAATAAGGCAGTCAGGAGGGACAGCCAACTTTGGGTGAAAGCCAATGAGCTCAGGATCTAACATATTAAATATAAGTTCCTGGTAGAAATTGCCAGTAGGAATTCCAGGAGGAAATGTCTATCATGGCCTTGTTATGAATATGGTTTGGGCCTTAACCTTACTTGCTGTGGCTTGATTTACCTTTCCTGCCTATCTCCTTTTAATTTTTAATTAAAAAAATAACATATATATACTTCTATAAGCTATCTCAAGTTTTTGGAACAAAATGTGTTATAATGAATACAAGAATATGTAAAAAATAGCATCTTAGACAAGAAGTAAGAGTGACAGATGTTAGCCCCCATTTACTCCTGTCATGTCCAACCCTGTGAGGGAAGAAGTAACACATTCATTTTCATATGTGAACAACAGGCTTTGAAAACCTAAAGAACCAGGGCTAGGCATGGTGGCTCACGCCTGCAATCCCAACACTCTGGGAGGCTGATGCAGGAAGATCACTTGAGCCCAGGAGTTCGACACCAGCCTGGGCAACATAGGGAGAGCTCGTCTACACACACACACACACAAAGCAAAATCAGAGAATTAGTGGAACGCAGCAGTGCATCCCTGTAGTCTCAGCTACTTGGGAAGCTGAGGTTGGAGGATAGATTGAGCCTGGAGGATTGAGGCTGCAGTAAGCCGTGATCACTCTTCTGCACGCTGCCACAGGTCACAGAACTGAGAAAGCTGAAACTGAGCCCACATCTTTCTGACTTCCTAACCTTTGCTCTTCAACATAATATTACACACAGTTTTCCTCTTGAGATCCTGCCTTCTCAGTCTCCTAGAGCCAGTGAGAATCTGGCTGCAAATGTATCCTGGACACATTCTGCTCCTCTAAACCCTGCATGTTGAGGCCATCATCCCTTGTCCCCTGTGAGAATGGTAAGTCAGTGGAGACTGTCCTAAACTTTGGCCCTACGAGCTGGGGCCCAGCCAGTTCCCTTTCTGCCTAGCACATAGTGAGCACTCATGTGAACTGTACCAATGAAGTTGTCATCTTTCCATTCCTTCAAGTAACTAGGGCTTTATGTCAGCTGGGATGGATCTTTCGGAAGTCCCTCTATTAGCACTTTGCCATTGTGAGTACAGAGACACCCCAGAAGTTCCTGCTTCTGTATTCTTCCCATTCTCTAGATCTGAAGGATAAGGACAGTCACTCCTCCTTATTAGTCTAGTGGCTGTTTTAACTCCTTTGACAGCGTGAGCAGGACTCTTGAATGCTTGTAGGGAGATAGCCCACATGAAATACTCAGCTCAGGGTGTATCAAAGGTGCTTAACAAATGTTACTTCTTTTAGTTCCACTTGCCTAGTCCTGTTACATTCACTTCATTGCCTATCTCCCAATACCAACAAACCCTTTGTCCAAAGACAGTAGCTAATGACAACAAAATATTTAGGAATGGGCTGACAGTATCAAATAAGAGACTGCAGAGAGAATAGAAGGCAGCTGAGAACAGGAGACTGGGAACTCATTTATCTTTAGGGTAGGGTGGAAAGTAGCAGGCTATATTTTTCAAGTATAACCACAGCAACATTTCTGGTCCCCTATGCTCTTCTAGAACCTTCATCCTCCCCAGGAAGAGGCAAAGTCTATTTCTCCTTTTTTTGAAGCTGGATGGAACTTCATGACTGCCTTGGTGAATAGAATGTAGTGCAAGTGATGCTGTGTGATTTCTGAGGCTGAGTCATAAAAGGTGATATGGTTTCTAGCTGCTCTCTCACTGCCAGGATGCTTGTTCTTGGAACACAGCCACCATGCTGTGAGGAAGCCAATTAAGCCTATGCAGAGACCCCACATGGAAAGACCCCTGGCTGACAGCCAGCATCTACCACAGATGTGTGAATAAGCACTCAGATGATTCCAACCACCAGCCTTCAAGTCTTCTGAGGCCCCAGACATTGTGGAACAAAGATAACCCATCCTCTCCGTACCTTAAAAGAATTCCTGACCCACAGAATCTGTGAGATTAATAGATGGTTGTTTTATGCCACTAAATTTTAGGGTAATTTGTTGCAGTTATTGTAACCGTAACAAGAAGAAAAGCAAAGGAAAATATGAGGTACCGTGAGACCAGGGGAGTTCAGGAAGAAGAGTAGGTTCATATTAGTCTGCATGTTGCCAAGGAGCAAGTAGGCCTTATACTAATAGGTAGCACTAGGGAGACAGATTTCAGCTTGGTATAAGGAGAGATGGTTTAAGCAACAACAACTCAAGCTCCCCTTAGTTAAGTAACGAATTTCCTGTCACTGGAGGTGTTCAACAGAGACAGAGAGGCTTACTGAAAAGATTCAAACCTGACTGGAAGACCAGATAGGGGACTTTAAGTTTCCTTTCAATCAACAGAATGTGGCAGTAGATTAGATCTGGGGTATCAGGAGGAGAGATTAGAGATGATGAGGTTTGGAGCTTGATGCCTGAGAGACTGGTGATACCATACACAAAAAGAGTGTCTATGGGAGGGTTTTTCAAAACATTCTTCTTTCCATTCCTTTCGTCTCTTACCTGGACAACTGTTAATGCCCCTTGCACTTTCCACCTTCTAATACATTCTTCACACGACACTTGACCAGTGCTCCCAAATATGGTTCTTAGCAGGTCACTTCCTTGCTCAAAGGCTTTAAAAATTCATTTTATGTTTTTAAAATTTTTGTGGGTACACAGTAGGTATACATATTTATGGGATACCTGAGATATTTTGATACGAGCATGCAATGAGTAATAATCACATCACGGAAAATGGGGTTATCTGTCTCCTCAAGCATTTATCCTTTGTGTTACAAACTATCCAATTATATTCTTTTAGTTATTTTAAAATGTACAATTAAATTATTACTGACTATAGTCACCCTGTTGTGATATCAAATATTTAGTCTTATTCATTCTAACGCTTTTATTTTTTTGTACCCATTAACCATCCCCAGCTCTCTCCCACCCACCCACTACCCTTCCCAGCCTGTGGCACCCATCCTTCTACTCTCCATCTCCATGAGTTTGTTTTGATTTTTAGATCCCACAAATAAGTGAGAACATGTGATGTTTATCTCTCTGTGCCTAGTTTATTTTACTTAACACAATGACCTCGAATTTCATCCATGTTGTTGCAAATGAGAGGATCTCATTCTTTTTTATGGCTGAATAGGACTCCATTGTGTGTATGAGTACATTTTCTATATCCATTCATCTCCTGATGGACACTTAGGCTGCTTTCAAATCTTGGCTATTGGGAACAGTGCTGCAACAAACATGGGAGTGTGGATATCTCTTTGATATACTGATTTCCTTTCTTTTGGGTATATACCCAGCAGTGGGATTGCTGGATTGTATGGTAGCTCTATTTTTAGTTTTTGTAGGAATTTCCAAACTGTTCTCCATAGTGGTTGTATTAATTTGCATTCCCACCAACAGCGTATGAGGGTTCCCTTTTCTCCACATCCTTGCCAGCATTTGTTATTGAATGTCTTTTAGATAAAAGACATTTTAACTGGGATGAGATGATATCTCTTTGTAGTTTTGATTTGCATTTCTCTGATGATCAATGATGTTGAGCACCTTTTCATATGCCTGTTTGCCATTTGTATGTCTTCTTTTGAGAAATGTCTCTTCAGATCTTTCGCCCATTTAAAAATTGGATTATTAGAGTTTTTCCTATAGAGTTGTTTGAATTCTTATATATTCTAGTTGTTAATCCCTTGTCAGATGGGTACTTTGCAAATATTTTCTCTCTTCTGTGGATTGTCTCTTCACTTGATTGATTGTTTCCTTTGCTGTGCAGGAGCTTAACTTGATGTGATCCCATTTATCCATTTTTGCTTCGGTTGCCTGTGCTTGCAGGGTACTATTCAAGAAATTTTTGCCCAGTACAATGTCCTTAAGAGTTTCCCCAATGTTTTCTTGTAGTAGTTTCATAGTTTTGAGGTCTTAAAGTCTTTAATCCATTTCGATTTCTGTATATGGTGAGAGACAGGGGTCTAGTTTCATTCTTCTGCATATGGATATCCAGTTTTCCCAGCATCATTTATTGAAGAGACTCTTCCCTAATTTATGCTCTTGGCACCTTTGTCAAAAATGAGTTCACTGTAGATGAATTTGTTTCTGGGTTCTCTATTCTGCTCCATTGGTCCATGTGTCTGTTTTTATGCCAGTACCATGCTGTTTTGATTATTACAGCTTTGTATTATAAAGTCAAGTAATGTGATTCTTCCAGTTTTGTTCTTTTCCCTTAGGATAGCTTTGGCTATTCTGGGTCTTTTGTGATTCTATATACATTTTAGGATTGTTTTTTCTACTTCTGTGAAGAATGTCATCAATGTTTTGATAAGGATTGCATGGACTCTGACGATTGCTTAGGGTAGTATGGACATTTTTAACAATATTGCTGCTTCCAATCCATGAACATGAAACAGTTTTCTATTTATTATGTCTTCTTTAATTTCTTTCATCAATGTTTTATAGTTTTCATTGTAGAAATCTTTCACTTCTTTGGTTAATTTCTACATATTTAACTTTATTTGTGGCTCTTGTAAATGGGATTACTTTTTTTGATTTCAAGATTGTTTGTTGTTGGCATATAGAAATGCTACTGATTTCTGGACATTGATTTTGTATCCTGCAACTTTACTGAATTGGTTTATCGGTTCTAATAGCTTTTTGATGGAGTCTTTAGGTTTTTCCAAATATGAGATCATATCATCTGTAAAAAAGGATAATTTGACTTCTTCCTTTCTGATTCAGATGCCTTTTCTTTCTTCTGTCTGATTGCTCTAGCTAGGATTTCTAGTATGATGTTGAGTAACAGTGGTGAAAGTGGTCATCCTTGTTGTGTTCCAGATCTTAGAGGAAAGGCTTTCCATTTTTCCTCATTCAGTATGATACTAGCTGTGGGTCTGTCATACATGGCTTTTATTCTGTTGAGGTATGTTTCTTCTCAACCCAATTTTTTGAGAGTTTTTTTTTTTTTTTTTTTTAAATCATGAAGTGATGTTGAATTTCATCAAATGCTTTTTCAGCATGTCCTGAAATGATCATTTAGTTTTTGTCCTTCATTCTGTTGATAATGATGTATCACACTGACTAATTTGCATATGATGAACCATCCTGACATTCCTGGGATAAATCCCACTTGATCATAATGAATGATCTTTTTTGCTGAATTTGGTTTGCTAGTATTTTGTTGAGGATTTCTGCATTAATATTCATCAGGGATACTGGTCTTTAGTTTTCTTTTTTCCATGTTTCTCTGATTTTGACATCAGAGTAATAAATACTGGCCTTGTAGAAAGAGTTTGGAAGCATTCCCTCCTCCTCTATTTTTTGGAATAGTTTGAGTAGGATTAGTATTAGTTGTTCTTTAAATGTTTGGTAGAATTCATCAGTGAAGCCCTCTGGTCCTGGGCTTTTCTTTATTGGCAGACTTTTTTTTTTTTTTTTTTTTTTTGAGACGGAGTTTCACTCTTGTTGCCCAGGCTGGAGTGCAGTGGCGTGATCTTGGCTCACCGCAACCTCCACCTCCCAGGTTCAAGCAATTCTCCTGCCTCAGCCTCCCCAGTAGCTGGGATTATAGGCATGCACCACCACGCCCAGATAATTTTGTATTTTTAGTAGAGACGGGGTTTCTACATGTTGAGGCTGGTCTTGAACTCCTGACCTCAGGTGATCCGCCCGCCTTGGCCTCCCAAAGTGCTGGGATTACAGGTGTGAGCCACCGCGCCCGGTCAGGAGACTTTTATTATAGCTTCAATCTCATCACTTGCTAATGGTCTGTTTTGGTTTTGGATTTCTTCATGTTTGAATCTTGGTAGGTTGCATGTGTCTCAAAACTTATCCATTTCCTCTAGTAAAAAGGTTTTAATGACGCTATTGCCGTTACCACATCTCAGCAAATTATTTTATGTAGTTCACAAAGTCTTTTTATATTTACGATCTCATTTGAGCCTCATAAGGATCTGCAAGCATTAAAATACCACCATATATATCTCAAAGTTCAGTTAAGGTACTCTATTCTTTGTATTTTTCTCCTTTATGTCTTTGCTTATGCTATTTTCTTGGTCCACCTTTTTCTCAACTCTACATGTTCTAATCTTTTCCATCTTTCAAGGGCCATGTTAAATTTTAGCTGCTCTAAAAAACAGCTAATCCCCACAGACAAGTAACCGTCATTTCTCCCTCCTCTGAACTCCATCAATGACAATGGTGATAATAGTGGCCAACATTTATGAAGCATTTACTATGTACCAGGCAGCATGTTAAGTGCTTTTGTTATCTTCTGTCCTCTTGATCACTCTCTGTCTTGTACTGTAGATAGTTGTATAGGCATCTTTTTCCCCCTACAAGCTTACAGAGTCCTTAGACAAAATTGATGTCTTAGCCATTACTGCTTTCTCCCAATCCTAGCACAGGGCCTGGCACAGAGCAAGTGCTACATAAATATTTGTTCAATGAATGAATAGGCAGGCGGGCAGAGTTAACATTTACCTTTGCTTGAACAAATGGTTTTCAAGCACCCTTAAACACTTGAAAAGCACTCATTTATAGCCACATAATAAATAGACTAAATCACAAATCATTCTTATCTTTTCATGACACAGGTTTCCAGAACTTTGGCTAGAACACATTTTGTTATTGTCATCTATGGATGTGAAAATGAAAAACACAAATATATATAACATCAAACTTGTTTTTGTATACAAATATTCTTGAATTCACAAGTCTTTTCCAACCAATCAGAATTATCCAGGTTTTATAAGTTCCTCTCTTCAGTGTAGTTGTAAGGATTGCAAACTCTTTTACTGTGGGTCCACTGCTTCCTGGCTTTGTTGCCATAGTGCCTAGCACAGTTAGGAATACTGTAAATGATTACTGATTAAGTTAACAGCCCATGTTGGTTTCAATTTATAATCACTCATTATTATGCTGATCCTATTAGTTCTGCTAAGGAGTCAGCACCTTAAGGGGGACCCAATGAGCCTCAACCAATTACAGCAATTGAGCTCCTGCCCTGAGATTTGAAAACCATTGTTTTCTCTTTACTTGTAGGACCAAGAATAGAAAACTGTTAACAGTAAAGGCCAAAGAAATAGGCATTTCATTTTTTTTGAGATGGAGTCTCACACTGTTACCCAGGCTGGAGTGCAGTGGTGCCATCTCGGCTCGCTGCAACCTCCGCCTCCTGGGTTCAAGCAATTCTCCTGCCTCAGCCTCCCAAACAGCTGGGATTACAGGTGCCTGCCACCACTCTCAGCTAATTTTTGTATTTTTAGTAGAGATGGGGTTTCACCATGTTGGCCAGTCTCGTCTTGAACTTCTGACCTCAGGTGATCCACCTGCCTTGGCCTCCCAAAGTGCTGGGATTACCTGAGCCACCACACCTGGCCAGAAATAGGCATTTCTGAGAGTCCCATTACAGACTATTGAATTTTGCTGAAGTGATTAAGAATCATTTGTTAACAATATTAAAATTCTGAAGCAATTCTGACATAAAATCAATCCTTTCATCAGAGGATCACGATTTCAATTTTTACTTAAAGAAATGCAAGTTCATTGTTCAAAACTAAGCCTGGTACAAGTCATCAGCTATTGCTTTTCTATCCCAAGTTGAAACAAAGACTAACAGCACAAATTCTGACATCCAAATCGTGTTTCGGAAAACCTAGGTAAAAATTTGGCTGAGTAAGGTGGCTCAGGCCTATAATCCTAACACTTTGGGAGGCTGAGGTAGGTGGATCATCTGAGGTCAGGAGTTTGAGACCAGCCTGGCCAACATGGTGAAACTCCATCTCTACTAAAAATACAAAAATTAGCCAGGCATGGTGGCAAGCGCCTGTAATCCCAGCTATTCGGGAGGCTGAGGCAGGAGAATAACTTGAACCCAGGAAGCAGAGGTTACAGTGAGCCGAGATGGCGCCACTGCACTCCAGCCTGGGCGACAGAGCGAGACTCCGTCTCAAAAAAAAAAAAAAAAAGAGAAAAGAAAAGAAAAGAAAACCTAGGTAAAAATTAGAAGATTAAGGGCACAATAGGAGAGTAGTGCAAAGGCAGACTAGCGGTAATCACCATCACAAAGGCTGGGCCACCAGCAGACTGCAGTGTTTACTCAAAGCCTGGAGATATCAATTAGTCCCCTTAATTATCTCAGGCTCTGCCATCACAAGAGGCAATTTTTGAAGCCCTCTCTAGCTCCTCTTCCTCTTTCATTCCTGTCACAAAAGGGCTAGGAGGACAAAGCCTTCCTTGACTCTGGTTCTGGCTAGCTTCTGGTAGCCAAAATAGACATTATGTGAATTACTCCAATAAAGCAAAAACCACACTACCTTTCCTCTTAGACATGGCTATGACCTATAGCAGAAACTCTATTTAATGCATGCAACAAAATGCTTGTCACTGTCATTTATAGCTTAGAAATATAATTTTCATGAAGAAATAAGCAGGAGAAAACAATCTGTAAATATCAGAAGTAAATGAATCTGAGGAGGTAGAAAAAACTCCCTGTATTCCTGTGGTCTGGTGGTGTTCAGGAAATGTTGGGAGACTGAAGGATGAGAGGAAGAACAACAATAAGGGGTCATTTTTCTCAGCTCTTTCAGAGAAGTAGCTTACACTGATACTGCAAATAATTTCCTAGGTAAATTAAGCCAGGAAACCACCTGGACCTTCTTTCTAGAATAATCTGTTTTTGTAGTAAGTCCTACTAACAGAAGTTTGCTAAGCAATTGAGGTTAGAGAAGGAAATTATAATGGAGATAAATAGATTAAGAATTCTTAAAAACCATCAAGAGTAAATCACTGTTTAAAATCCAGTTGTATGTGTACACAGAAGGAATTATATTTCATATACATAATAAAATAAATTATATAGTAATTAAAAATTTTAAATAAAATGTATCAGATGTGTAAACATGTAATTTATCAGATGTATAAATATATAATAAATATAAAATTTTGAGTGGTAGACAGTATAGTTTCCAAGTTTGAGAATATAAGCAGTTTTTCTTAGTGGAAATATAAGTTTGGTCCTAGGCATGCCTGAAGATTATCCAAGTAGACCAAAGTTTACACATATATGTATATGTATATGATATGTATATGTATATGATAATCTTATATCATATATAACAACCCTTAGGCATGTCTAGGACCAAACTCATATTTCCACTCTGAAGAACTGTTTATATTTCCTAATTTGAAGACTGTGCTATCTACCATTCAAAATTTTATAGTCAGAAACCTGGGAGTCATTCTAGATGCTTCCCTTCCTTTCACCCCCCACATCATGAAACCCTATGCCATCTCCCCTACATTTGTTCTACTCCCTCGTAATGTATTTGCTCATCTCTATTTTCATTGACCTTACTGGCCCTCAACATGTCTCAGTTGGATTATGCAAGAGCTTCTTTACTAATCCTTCTGCCTCTAGGCTTGTGCCATTCCAGTCATCTCTGTGCTTCTTAGGAGTGATCATTCTGTAACAGAAATTTGATCCTGTCCTCCCTCTCAAGCAACTTTAGCAGCCTTTGACAGCTCTAGTCTAGCTCTTGTAGCCCTTTGCACCTCCCAAGAACTAACATTTATGGAGCTCATTTAATACCTCATCTCCTGCTGCTCTCCACATTTACCCAATTGCACAGCTACATCAAACTAAACATGACGCTAACTCTTGTATGTCCGTATCTCTTGGTTTGGGCTGCCCTAAAAGCAGACCCTGAAAAAATAATATGGGTGCAAATAGATTATTTGTGAGGATGTAGAGAAGAGAAACAGGGAAGGGAGAAAACTCAATCAAGGATGTGTTAAAGAACAGGTTACGGGCCAGGCGCGCCCAGCACTTTGGGAGGCTGAGGTGAGTGGAGCACTTGAGGTCAGGAGTTCGAGACCAGACTGGCCAACATGGTGAAACCCCATCTCTACTAAAAATACAAAAATTAGCCAGGAGTGGTGGCCTGTGCCTGTAATCCAAGCTACTCAGCTGGCTGAGGCAGGAGAATCGCTTGAACATGGAAGGCAGAGGTTGCAGTGAGCTGAGATAGTGCCTCTGTACTCCAGCCTGGGCGACAGAGTGAGTAAGATTCAGTCTCAAAAACAAAACAAAACAAACAAACAAACAAACAAAAAACAGGTTAGGGCTTAGGATCCTGTGAGAACTGTACAGAATATACTCAGAATTGTACTACTGAACATTAGGGAAGTGGGGGTATTATCTACCAATTTATTGTTTGTATTATCTACCAATTTATTAACGCCACTACTGGAGGTGTTAAACTCCTCTGCACTCTAGCAAATAGCTCCTTGTCCAGAGAACGTCCTGAGGCAGAGAAATACAGAAAGCCATTGGCAGATGACCACGTGAACCAAAGGCACCAATAACATCTGGTATACCACATAATGTACATATCATACCGTTTTTCTCAACTGATTTTTTTCCTTCCACTTGTCTTGGATTCTGCCTATGGAAGCCTTTTTTGACCTCCTCTGTAAGTGCTTTACTTCCTTTTCTGTGCAAATTCTCTTCTGCTATAACTATTACTTTATAAGTCTGACCCCACACTAGACTCTTGGCTCCCTGAGGGCAGTATCTTTAGTACCTACCTAACTTGGTGTTTGGCACAGGACAGATGCTCAATGTCTTCAGGACAAGAGCATGACTGTGTGCATTAAAGAGAAGATCCTGTTTCCATGTTCCATATGTAATTGAGAAAATTTTCAAAGAAATGAAATATATGCTTCTACATCCTGAATAATATAAAGTCAAGCAGAAGGAGTATCAAGCTAGAAATCTCAGGACCTCATTCAAGTCAGTTTGGCTCAGTTGTTTTTCCTACAAAAAACAAGTGACGGTGAATGACCCTTAGGTTTCTTTTAAATTCCATAGATTTTAAGTGACTGAATCTGCGTGTAAGTGACAGCTGAAGCCCACAGACTGTAAAACAATCACATACGGAAATGCTTATATTTGTGATATTGATCTGGATTCGAGAAAATACAGGTGACACAGACTTGAGATGCTGGCAGGTTTGTAATGTAATGAACACAGGGAAACTGTGTTCAAAAAGAGAGAGGGTCAGCACAGGTCTCCTGCCTGAGAGGACACCTCCATGGAGGGGCCTGGCCAATGCACAGGAACTAGCTGGGCAGCATGGTGGCCTCCAAGCTGGCAGGTGCCACTGTTCCAGATGGACAGTGTTTGGTATGCCAACCTCTGTGTACTATGGTACTACCTGATCCTACGTAGGTCACAGACCTACAAAAAGTCACTTCCTGAGCTCTCACTGAAGGTAGGCTTGGTCTACATTTCTTGATGGGAAGAGACTAACTTGAAACACTGAACACAGGCATGCTTGGCTTCCCTGACTTCTCTAGACAGTCTTAATTTTATTAGAACGTGACTGGTGGTGAGGGACTGGGTAAGAGTAAGGAAGGATAGGTGGGCTTAGGGGTCCTATGTATAATGAACTAAAAAATGTTGAGGATGTTCATTTTAGAATATAGTTTCCCCCTCTTAAAATGTTCTGAATATAGTCACTGGTATTCTGTGAACACTGAATATAGATGGATAATATTTCCTTAAGAAGCTAGACTTTAGAAGCTTAGACTGGACAAATTCCTAAAAATACAAAACACATAATTAAAAAATAGGTAATACATATGTGCTGTTTAGAATTAATTATAAGAAAATTATTTGATTGAACATCCTCGATATGCCTAAGGGATATGTCATATTCCTATCAGAAAAATGGAGGCACTATTATCAACGATTCTTACTTGGTGAGGGATGGGTTGGGGAGAAGACAAGAAGACCCAGAGGGTTACTTGTGTCCTTCCTAGAGAATTATTGTTTTTGAGGACAGTCCGCAGGGTGGGATGGGGTAGGATGGAGTAGGATGGGGTAGGGTAGTCTAAACAGCCAACCAGGCCAGTAGTAGTCCCTGGCACACTGGCTTTCACTATGCCCATGGGTCACGTGTGACTTCAGGGACCTATTGTTTTAGATGGCTCCCTTCCCTTATTCATGGAAGTACTCTGGAAGAAGGGACAGAGGGAAAATAAACCTAGCAGCCTATAACTGAAAGCACATGAATGACGGTAATGAGCACTTTCAGGCTGTACTGTGTAGGGCTGACGGCTTGGCTTGGTCTGGTCTAGGCTTTGTTTCCTTCGATGACTGAAGGAGAATCACTGGACTCCTCTGGATCTCAGTGGAAGAGGGACTGGATGACCTCTTAGGTCTCTTCTAGCAATGACAGTCAAATTTATGACACCAACAAGAAAAAAAGACTGGTGAGAGTGTGTGGCCCAGAAAAATGAGAAATTAATATACATCTCAATATAGAAAGCCAATGATGGGGAAAGAACAAAGAGGAAAGATGGCCAAGATGACCACTTGAATTCCTATGAAATGACCCTAGAATGGGCAAAATTCAAGAGATGTTCCAAAAGTTGAGTCTAGATTGAGATCAAGTAGATGCCTTACCTTCCAGTGACAGCAAAGCACAGTGTACACATTGCATGTAAGAGTCCTGCGGCATGCTGCAGAAATATGGCCATCTTGGGATTCTCATCCACTGGGCCTTGCACCGAGAGGAAGCAGGCACACAGTTTGTCAATCAGACCCATGTTCACCACGTAGCTAGATATGGGGGAGAAATGCATGTTATCAATCTGAATAGGCCAGCAACATCTTCACCTTCAATGATAAATGCTACCATACACAGGCTTGGACCCCTCAAACATGCAGACACAACACAAGTTTGAGTAAAGCATCTCAAGTAACAATTTCCTTAGATTTACTCCTGAATAATCAGCTCTTTCTGTAAGTATTTTTTTCTCTCTTCTTTCTTTTGGTTATTTGAATATTATTTTTCAAGAAAAAAATGAATGACAATGATTATCTAGTCATTCTTACTGGTCTAAAGAGTCTAACAACAAGTGAAATGATTTATAATGACCTTTATGCTCTTAAAAACTGTTCCTTTTTAAAGTACTAGGTAGCCCCAATGCAAGGATTTAGAAGATACAGTACAATGATTCAACTCAGACACTCTTGTTACAACTTACACTTTTTTTTTTTTTTTTTTTTTTAGAGACAGCGTCTCACTCTGTCACCTGGCTGGAGTGCAGAGACATGATCATAGCTCACTACAACTCTAACCTACTGGGCTCAAGAGATCCTCCTGCCTCAGTCTCGCAAGTAGTTGGGACTACATGCGTGTACCACCATGTGCAGTTAATTTTTTTTTTTTATTTGTAGAAATGGGGTTTTGCTATAGCTGCCCAGGCTCTTCTTGAACTTCTGGCCTGATGCGATCCTCCTGCCTCGGCCTCCTAAAGTGCTACAATTACAGGCATGGGCCACCATGCCTGGCTACAACTTAAACTTCTAAAGCCAGTTGTAGGTTCTCTGTTTTTAAAGACTCTGTCACCATTAACAGCATAACAAACAGTGAGAATCTAATTGCTTTTACTGAAAAGTACCAGTCCTGAGGGTTGACAACAACATTTAAGAAATCATTTCCATCTTTTCAGTACAAAACAGTTTTCTAGAGCTGTTTGTAAACTGGACTGACAACAGTAACTCTTTTATTAATCCACAGAGCAGCAATCATTGAAAAGAATATTTTAAAACTATAAAAGACCTTGTAGATAAATCAACCTTGGCCTAGAAATTCAATGCTACTGCACTGACATGTATGAGAAGGGTAGGACTGCAAATATAGCAGTTCTGCAAATCAACATGTTAACTTTCAGAGATATACACAAAGGAATTGAGGTTTTGGTGTGTAAGTGCACTACAGTCCCCACTATTCATTTACCAACACAGGTTTTTGTAAAAGGAAGGATAAACTGATGAATAATTCATGTCTGGAGCCATTCCAAGTTTACTATGTTGAAGGTACAAAATAGTGCCTCCTTTCATCTTTTACATTAGACTATGTATCTACCTGGGCTACTGAGCACTCCTACAGTTTTAAAATTGGGAAGTATGAAATGACGACCACCAGACCTCTTCTAGTAAAGGAAATTGATAGACTGATATATGTACACACTGAGAATCTTATTACAATCTGATTGAACAAAATTAGACTTTTAAAAACTGGCTTTTACATTTGCACAGAACTCTTCAATTTAGAAAGTGTTTTGTCTGTAGCCAGACACGGTGGATCACACCTGTAATCCCAGGACTTTAGGAGGCTGAGGCAGGTGGATCACTTGAGGTCAGGAGTTCCAGACCAGCCTGGCCAATATGGTGAAACCCTGTCTCTACTAAAAATACAAAAATTAGCCAGGCATGGTGGCTGGAACCTGTAGTCCCAGTTACTTAGGAGGCTGAGGCAGGAGAATCGCTTGAACCCGGGAAGTCGAAGTTGCAGTAAGCCAAGATCATGCCATTGTACTCCAGCCTGGGCAACAAAGTGAGACTCCATCTCAAGAAAAAAAAATCAAGTGTTTTGACTGGGTAAAGTAGCTTACGCTTGTAATCCCCACACTTTGGGAGGCTGAGGCAGGAGGATTGCTTGAGCCCAGAAGTTTGAGACTGGCCTGGGCAACATAGTGAGACCCTGTCTACACACACACACACACACACACACACACACACACTAGCAAACAAAATAAAAGAAAGTGTTTTATCTTAATCATCCCAATGAATTATCCCAAGAACACCATTAGGGAGCAGACTGTAAAAGCTTTTGTTTTTATCTGCCCAGCACATTCTCCTCTCCTATTTCATATGGTCCTGGGGGCATTGTTAAAGATGCTACCTGCTTGCTAATGCAGGAGTGAGCATGTGCTTCAGGACAGTCAAAGTACTCATCATCTTGGCCATAATGACTGGTTCCAGGATGAGTATATGACCTAGGGAGGACCACTCAACATCTTCTGTGGGATTAATATATGACCATAGGAAAAATATCTTTCCACTGGGGATATCTAAACTAAAATATGTAACTCTGGGGGTGCTGGTAGTCAACTTGTTACATGGAGAACATCTGCTTAGAGAATAAAGCCAAGTAGAGATAAGTAGAATTGAAAGAAAGAAACAAAGCTGTAATGGCATATGGGGACGCATTCTGAGAACTGCATCATTAGGCAACTTTGTCATTGTGCAAACATCATAGAGTGTACTTACACAAACTTAGATAGTATAGCCTAACCTAGGCTATATGGGATAGCCTATTGTTCCCAGGCTACAAACATATACAGTATGTTACTGCAGGGAACAATGCAGGCAACTGTAACACAATGGTAATTATTTGTGTATCTAACCATAGAAAGGGTACAGTAAAAATATAGTATTGTAATCTTACAGGACCGCCATTGTATATGTGGTCTGTTGTTGACTAAAAAGTCATTATGCAGTGCATTACTATACTCAGAGCCTTGGCATCTAGTTCAAACCTTGACCTTCCCAGGTACACAAGCCATTTTACTATTCTGTTTTACTTACGTTGTTTCAAGCTAAGGTTCTAAAAGAGTTCTAACCAGAGTGAAAACTTGTTTTTTTCTGATTATAGTGGTAATATAGGCTCATTATAGAAATTTATATAGTAAAGAAAAGCAGAAAAATCAGTAGAAAAAGTTAGCCATAATTTCACCTTTTAAAGACAATCACAGTTTGATAATTTTCCTTTCATGTTTTTCTATTTGATTCTTTCTCCACATGATTGACATTATACCGAATTTCATTCAATGACTATTTAGGCCCCTTCTATGTCATGAAAACATCTTGGTTAAGCATTATATTTTAAATCTTTATTGACAGAATAGGATAACAAATACCCATGCATTCATCACACAGCCCTTACTACCATCAACCCATGGCCAATCCTATCTGTCCACACCCATCCTGCATAAAGTTTAAGCAAATCCAAGGCATATTATTTCATTTGTAAATGTTTCCATTTCTATCTCTAAAAAAAATCACTTAAAAAAAACAAAACCACAACATCATTATCACATCTAAAAATCACCATTTCTTAATATCATCAAATAACTGGTGTTCAAATTTCTAAATGTACCATAAATGCCTTAATATTTTAAATAGTTTTTTTTAAAATTAGAATCCAAACAAGAACCACACATTGTGACTGGTTAATATGACTTAAGTCTCTTTTTAATCTGTTAGCTACCCTCCATCTTTTAAAACCCCCTTTGAAAATGTATGTATTTGTTGATGAAACCTGGTTGTTTATCCTATACGCTTTCCCACAAGTTGAATTTTGCTGATTATATCCCTGTGGTGTCACATAACATTTTTTGGAACTATTTATTTCCTGTAAAATGATCTAGGTTCTAGAGGTCTGACTGGATACATAAACATCATTTTTAATGATTGAATAATATTCTACCAGTGGAATGTTTTTGCAACTTTTGGTTGTTTTCAATATTCCTTATTATAAACCATGCTGTGCCAAACATTTTGAGTAGAAAACCTTGCCAGATTTCAGACTATTTTCCACAAGTGGAATTACTGAGTCAAAGGGTATGCATATTTTTAGGGCTCTTGATATACATAGCCACGTTATATTCAAGAAACATTAAATAAATTTATAGTCTCACGAGCAAGGTACGAGAAAACCCAGTTCACTATGTGGGGGTTGGTATGACTATCCCCATTTGATAGACAAGGAGACTGATGCTCAAGGAAGGCAACGCACAAGCTCAAGCAAAGACGGCTGGAACATTCTATGGTTTTCTGACTCCTGATAAGAGGGTCCTTTGCACTGAATTCACTGCTTTTCTGTGGCATTTTTTGGGTCCTTACTGAGGTCTAAAGTGATCACACAAAACTTCAAAACCATGTAGTCTCAAGATGAAAATGGCTTAGCTAGGTTTCCGGTACCATCCTTGAAACAGCCAGAAAGGAAGAAAGACTACAAAATGAGCAAAGAGATAAAAAGCATTGTAAAGCCAAGGCAAACTGAAACAACCACTTGTTGAGTGGTTGGTCCTTTCTGAGTATCGTCTCCTATAGGTTACTGGGCCATCTACAGTGCCTACTAATGAGTCAGTCTAATGTTTTTCTAAATTGCCTATGTCTTGACTGCATGGACAATCTTTAAATGACTGGCTAAGAAGATGCTTAAACTAAATGGCTCTAAAAGGTCAGTGTAGAGAAATTCATTTTGTCAATCTCATTGTTTTGAGGGAAGAATATGGAACTTTCTAATGAACACTGGGGTCAAAAGCAACATATCTTTTGCATTGTAACTGTTAGGTTGAAATTATAATGTTGAGGCTATTACCACACCCAGGATGAAAAGCTTTAATACAGAAAACTTCCTAGTCTTCTTGGAACACACATCCTGGGAAAGAAACATGCTGCTGTAAATGATAAATAAATGGGTCTCTCCATTTGCTTTGCCATTTGAAATTTAAAATGAGTCCCTTTGCAGCTTTCTGTCATTGGACTTTACAAACAGAAAGGGATATTTAGAAACATATACATTATGTGTGTGTGTGTGTGTGTATACGATGTTCACTATTTGGGTGACGGATTCACTACAAGCCCAAACTTCACCATTAGGTAATATATCCATGTATTATGTACCCCCGAATCTATTAAAAAAAAAAACTAAAATGAGTTATTGTTTCTTTGTCCATCCTTGTCTACCTATCCACTCTCACATTCCAACCAAATTGTTGCTTATTAGGGTTCTATCCCTGAACTAAATTTAGTAAAGTCATGCAATTCCATGGTTTCAACTATCCTCGATATGTTAATAATAATTCCCAATTCTATCTCAAGGCCTACTTTTGTTTTTCTTTTAGAGACAGGGTCTCACTCTGCTGCCCAGGCTGGAGTATAGTGATGCAATCATGGCTCACTGCTGGACTCAAGGGTCCTCCCACCTCAGCCTCCTGAGTAGCTGAGACTACAGGTGCATGCCATCAGGCCTGGCTAATTTTTTTTTTTTTTTTTTGGTAGAGACAGGGTTTTGCCTTGTTGCCTAGTCTGGTTGTGAACTCCTGGACTCAAGCGAGCTGCCCTCCTCAGCCTCCCAAAGTGCTGGGATTATAGGCATGAGCCATGGCATCCGGCCTACTTCTTTTCTGAACTTCTTTCTTAAAGTACTAGTTTATGAATATTTTCCCTTGGGGGTCCCAGGGCACCCCTATATTTGTATGTTCAAATAAAACCTCATTATCTCTTCTGAAATCTCCTTCTCCCACTATTCTTGTCCAAATGAATGTCATTATTCATCTCACAGTAATGCAAGAAATTTTAAGATAACCGTTTGTAATCATGCATTCATCCACTCAATTATTTCTAAGTATGATGCTGATGCTAACCTTAAGGACCTCTTAACATTGTAGCTGACACATAATTTCTACATTACTATGATTAATTCTATAATAGAGGTATGTTCAAAGTATTACTACTATATAGCAGAAGTGCCAAATTTTGGCTTAATGGGCCAGGGCTAGCTTCTCAAAAGAGGTGGCATCTTCATATTTTTAAATGAATTCATCAGGTAGACAAGGCCCAAGGCTGAGGTAGATAGAAGCTAATTCTACCTCTAAAATAGTCCTAAATCCTTCTTGCTTCCACTCTAATTGTTATTGCTATAGTTTGGTCAAGGTCACATCCTATCAGGCTAAGTTACTGTGGGATATTAGAAACAAGGCCTGACCTGAGTCTCAGCCTCTTTATATCTACCCCACTAGTAAAGTTGATTCCTTCATATATGGCTAATGAATGTCTTCCTTCAGTTTAGAAGTGTTCTATTCTTGCTTTTTTTTTTTTCTGTTGTACTTCTCCTGTTACCTTATTTGAGAAGATCAATTATTCAACATTTTAATTCTATTGTCTATCCTTCACATCTCTTGTCTTCTTGCTAATCACATTTGTGATAACCTTTGTCCTTTCTCTCTGCTGTCACTGTGATTAATAATCAACTGCTTTCTCTTGAGATATATTCCAAATAATAAATGCACAAAACTTAAGTGTTTGGTTTGACAAGTTTTGAAGACCATATAAATCTACATAACCATCCATAAAAACAAGATATAGAACATACTCATCATCACAGAAAGATCCCTTGTTTTCTATCCAATCCTTTCCTATCTCCATATAAAGGAAATCATTCAAAATGTTCTCTTTTATATCTGTCCCTGGCTAAACATGATGTTTTTGAGATTTATTCATGTTGGTGCATGGGACAATAATTCCTTTCTTTATATTGTTGATTAGTATCCCACTGTATGAATACAGGTTGAGCATGCCCAACCTGAAAATACAAAATCCTCCCAAACCCAAAACTTTCTGAGTATCAACATGATGCTCAAGAGAAATGCCCACTGGAGCATTTCAGATTTTGGATTTTCAGATTTGGGATGTTCAACTGGCAAGTATAATGCAAATACTCAAAAATCCCTTCCCCGCCCAAATCCAAAATCCAAAACACTCTGGTCTCAAGCATTTCAGATAAGGCATACTCAACCTGTATGCTATGATTTGTTTGTTCCTTCTCTTGTTGATGGATGTATATGTTATTTACAGTTTTTGGTTATCATAAATAAGACTGCTATGAAAATCCATGGGAAAGTCTTTTTGTGAACATGTGTTTTCATTTCTATTGGGTAAATACCTAAGAGTAGAATTGTTGAGTCATAGAATAGATGTGTTTAAATTTACAAATTTATAGAGTTCTTCAAAGTGGTCATTTCATTTCATTCTCCCAGAAACAATGTATTAGATCTCCAGTTGTTCTATATCCTTACCAACATCTGGTATCATCAATCTTTTTTATTTTAGCCGTTTTATTGGATTTGAAACAGTACCTTGGTATGATTTTATTTTGCATTTCCCTGATAACTAACATACTGAACACACTTCCATGTGCTAAGTAGTTATTTGTGTATCTTTCCATGTGTTAAACGGTTATTTGCATATTTGTATCCAAATAAATCTTTCCCCCATTCCATGACCGCAAAGATATATATAGTCCCATATTTTCTGCTAGAAGTCTTATGGTCACAACTTTTGTGTTTAGATCTGTGATCCATCTCAAATTAATTTTGTATATAACAAGAGGTTACTTTTCTTCCATATGGATATCCAGTTGTTCTAGCACCATTCATTAAAATAACTTTCCTTTCCCTATTAAATTAATCTGATCCCTTGATCAGAAATCAACTGACGAGAGGTTGCTAGAGGTTGTGGGGGAAGGAGGAATGATAGATGGGGTTATATGATACTGTACTGATGAGTACATGGCATTATACATTTGTCAAAATCCGTAAGATATTTAACACCAAGAGTTAACCTTAATGTAAACTATGGACTTTAGGGTGATAATGACATCAATGTAGGTTCACTGACTGTAAAAAATGTACCACTCTAATGAGGCCTACTGGAGGCTGTACATGTGTGTGGCCAGGGGGTTTATGGAAATACTCTATAGTTTCCACTCAATATTGCTGTTAACTTTTAAAACTGCTCTAAAAAATAGTGTATTTTTTTTTCAAAGCCTAATCAGCTCCCCCACCCCAAATAATTGGACCGTATTTGTGTAGGTCTATTTCTGTGCCCTCAATTCCATTTTGACCTATTGATCAATCTTATACCAATACCAGACTGTCTTGATTAGCATAACTCTGTAGTAAGTCCCCAAATCAGGCAAGTCCTCTGACTTATTATTCTTTTTCAAAATTGTTTTGGCTGTGTTAGAGCCTTAACTTTTCCATAGAAATCTCAGAGCTGACTTGTAAATTTATTTCTAAAGCCTGCTGGGATTTTGATTAGGATTGCACAGAGTCTATAAATTAATTTGGGGAAAAATAATGTTTTACCAATATTGAGTCTTCTGATCCATGGATATTATATATATCTCCGTTTATTTAGGTCTTTAATTTCTCTCGGTAATGCTTTGTAGAGGTGTTGCTTTACTTTCATGAGATTTACTCAGAGGTATTTGATATTTTCTGATGCTTTTTATAAATGGTATTGTTTTTTAAATCTTGATTTCTATTTGTTGCTATACATAGCGATATGACTGATTTTTGCATAAGTTATATTTGTATATTCAAACCTTGCTTAAATCTTACTTAACAGTTCTATTAAATAATCATTTTTTTCTTGGTAGATTACATAGTTTTCTATACGTGCAATCATGAGACTGCAAATAATAATAGTTTTATTTTGTCCTTTACAAACTTTATGCCTTTTCTTTTTCTGCTTCTTACTGAACTAGCTAGAACTTTCAATACAATGCTGAATAGAAGTGATGAGGGTAAACAGTCTGTGTATTCCTAATCTTAAAGGAAAAGTGTTTATTATTATGTACGATTTAGCTGTTTTTCCCGTCTATTCCTAATTTGCTGTTTATTTTATTATCATGAAGTAGTGTTACATTTGTTTCATTTTTTCTGCATCTACTAAGATGATCTTAGTTTCCTTTTGTTGAGGTCAGTGCCAGGAGATAATCCTCAAAAGGTCTGACATTTTTGCATGTCTTGTGAGCAGATGAACTAACAGCTTTTGTTCTAGACTAGGTTTTCCAGAATGTTTGTATAGGGAATGGTCTTGGAAAATGGTGATGATGTCTTCCTTTAGAGCAAAGGTCAGTTATGTTGGCTGTCCAGTATAGTAAAGATAGTGTCTATCTCCCAGGCAAAGGTTGAACAGGTCTATTTTTAGCCCATTTTAAAGATTGGGGTTTCCTAAGATTGTGGGGGTTTCCTCAGCTGTGATGTAAACTCACTGCACATGCAACATCCATCTGGGCCCACCCTGTGTTGTTTCCGTGGGACCTGGGGGTAAGAAAAACTGATGAGAACATAAAGTTCAAATTGCTTGCTGTCTGTGAGTAATGAGGTCCCTTGTCTCTGACTAGGAGTCTTGTATCTTTTGCCAGCATCCATGAAACTGTGGGCTAACTTGTTAGCCTGCAAAAAGGGTAAAATCTATGAACTTTCATGGTTCTTGATAAGTTAATATGGCAATTTCTAAATGTTAAAACTAACCTTGCATTCCTAGAATAAATCTCATATCGTCATGATCCTTTTATATATTGCTGAATTTAATTGCTACATTTATGTTCACGAGGAATGTTGATCTGTAATTTTATTTTTTGGAATATCCTTGTCAGATTTTGGTATTAAGGTTATACTGGCATCATAAAACAAGCTGGCAAGTATTCCCTCCTCTCCCTTGAGAGAGTTTGTGTATGATTGGCATATTTCTCCCTTAAGTGCTTTGTAGAATTTAGAAGTAAAGCCATCTGTACCCAAAGTTTTCTTTGTGGAAAGTTTAAGAAAGTAGATTTCTGTTTTGGTGGAATAACATCAATTTACCGTTCAAATAGCTCAGAAAACCTCAAGCAGAAAAAGTGCAATGAGAACTACACTGAAGCTGATCATGTCAAACTGCTGAAACTCAAATATAAATAAAAAATCTTGAATGCAGCTGGAGGAAAAAAAAGACACAACCTACAGGGGAAAAATGACATAAATGAAGGCTGATTTTTTATAAGAAACGATGGAAGCCAGAAGACCATGGAATGACATCTTTAAAGTGCTTCAAGGAAAAAAAAAATTGTCAAGCATGGAAAAGACCAAACAGTTATGTGAGAAATTAATATTAAACAAACTAGACTTCAAAGCAAGGAGTATTTAACACCAATAAAGAGGAATAATAATAAAAGGGCCATCTGAAAGACATAACAGTCTAACGGAGTTTCAAAATACTTGAAGCAAAATCATACTAATTAAATGGAGACAGATCCATAGTCACAGTTGGAGATTTTTAACACTCCTATTTTGCTAATTGTTAGAACTGGAAAAATATTAAGAATATAGAATTATGTTGTTCAGTATAGTCATTAGCTTTATGTGTTTACTTAAGTTTATTTGATAGAATTTGCTCTTTCAGTCCTTTCAATGATTTTGTAAGCACCTAATTCTGTTTTATATCCTTTTCTGCTTAAAATAGCTACAATGGCTTCATTTTCTACAACTAAATCCAGACTCATACAATGACTGACAAACAATGCTCAACCTCACTAGTGATAAAGTCAGTGTAATGAAGACGACAAAAACAAAACATTGCATAGCTATCAGACTGACAAAAACACTAGCAAGGATATGGGGAAATGGAAACTGCAGTTTTTTTGATGATGGGAACTAAAATTTGTACAATTACTTTAAAGAACAATTTGGTGTTAAATTGTTGAATATCTTTGTCAGATTTTGGTTTTAAGGTATCAACTTTTTTGGTATTTGGTATAAATTTTTGTCAGCAAACATTTAACAGTATTTTCTGATAAAAGTTGAACATGCATTTATTATATCATCCATAAATTACTCCTTTAGGTATATACCCTTGAGAAACTCTGTACAAGTACAGAAAAAGACTTTTATAAAGACATTTTACTACCTCATTGCTTGAAATAGTCAAAAGGAATAAACTATTGCCCTGAGGTGGAAAATGGATAAATTTGGGAATTTATTCACAGAATAGAATCTGAAGAGCAGTTAAAATGAATCAGCTAGATCTATATGAATCAACATAAATAAATATAAAAAAGTTAAAACATGTTATGTTTAATTGCATAAAAATAACAATTGGCAAAATAATATCATAGCATTTACGTAAATTTAAAAAACGATTAAAAGTAGAATATGTTGTTTATGAAGATAGATACACACACATACACACATATAAAAAATACATGAAATGATATACACAAACTCTTAACAGTGATATACCACTTGGGAGAGAGTAAGGGGAAAAGATAGGGAAGGGGAGGGGGAGGCAGTTGTATCTGCAACAGTTGGTTTCTTAACAACAGGGAAAAGGTCTAAACCTAAGACAAATATGGAAAATCTTATCAGTTAACAATTGTTGGTACACAGATATCTATAATTTTATTTTGTGTATGTTGACAGTATTTCATAATAAAATAATAGAAAATTTAAATATTAAAAATGGCAATAATGACTAAGTGTGAAAAAGCATTTGCAATATTAAGATGAAGGGTTAATGTTCTGAATATATAAATAATTTTTATAAACATTTCAACACCTCCAATAGTAGAAAAATGGGCTAAGTACATAAGGAAGCAACTTACAAAATAGTAAAAATGGCCAGTGAACATTAAAAAATATTCCCCATCACTAGCAATATAAAAGTTAAATACTGGCTGGGTGCGGTGGCTCACGCCTGTAATCCCAGCACTTTGGAAGGCCGAGGCAGGTGGATCACTAGAGGTCAGGAGTTCAAGACCAGCTTGGCCAATATGGTGAAACCCTGCCTCTACTAAAAGAAAAAAAAAAAAAGTACAAAAATTAGCCAGGCGAGATGGCACATGCTTGTAATCCCAGCTACTCAGGAGGCTGAGGCAGGAGAATCACTTGAACCCAGGAGGCAGAGGTTGCAGTGAGCTGGGATCACACCACTACATTCCAGCCTGGGTGGCAGAGCGAGACTCCATCTCAAGAAAAAAAAAAAAGTTAAATATTTTCATCTCTCAGTTTGGCTAAGGTTTAAAAAGAATGATGATACCCAATATTGTCTAGGTTGAGGGTACAAGGACATACTCATGGGTACTCTTTGTGTAGGTCAATCTGGCAATATGGATCAAAATTCTTAAGGTATATTCTCTGACCCAGAAATTCTACTTTTCAACATCTATCATAAGAAAATAATCAATTGTATGAAAATAGAAAAACAAAAGGAAAAGAAGAGCATACAAAGATGTTCTTCAGTGTTATCTGAAAAAGTAAAAAACTAAAATACACTTACATGTGTAATAATAGGTTACCTGAAGCAAATCATTCCTAAGTAGTGAAATACTTGGAAAACCAGTAGAAATTAATTTGCAAGTTTCTACTGACTTGAAAAAGTGAATTAAAAAAGTATATGATATGTTGGGTGTGGTGGCTTGCACCTGTAATCCCAGCTACTCTGGAGGTTGAGGCAGAAGGACTGCTTGAGGCCAGGAGTTGAGTTACAGTGAGCTATGATCATGCCACTGCACTCCAGCCTGGGTGACAGCACACACACCCTGTCTCTAAAAAAATAAAAAATAAAGTTTAAAAAAGCACATTATAAAAGAGTATTTATAGGTATTATATTTAAATAAAATAACTACATATATATACACTAAAAAACACAAACCCGGTAATTATCTTTGGGTGGTGGAATTAAAGATAGTCTGTGTGTGTTAAAAAAACAAAAAAACAAGAAACTGTACTCTTCTGTGTTTTCCAAATTATTTTTGTCATTGAGCACATAGTAATTTCATAATTAGAAAAAAGAACTTATTTTAAAAGGTGGTGGCAGAGAGACAGATACATCATCTGCTGCTGCAAGACAGCTTGAACACCTGAAGTAAAGAAATAGCAATGGAGTGAGGGTGAGAGTTTTGAAAAGTATTTACAAGGCAGGATCAATAGGTGCTGGAGGATTAACTGAATATTGGTTTGGTAAAAGACTGAGAGATCTAGCTTAAGTAACTTAATAGGACATTGCTGTCATTGATAAGGTCAGAGGACACAGGAAGAGGAGCTCCTTTGGGTGGACAGATAATGTATTAAGCTTTGAACTATGGAGTCTGAGGTACCTGTGGTACATCCTGGTGGCTAGATATGTGGTCAGGGTCTGGTGGCCAGGAAAGTGCTAGGCTAAAATTTCTCCTTGAATACATGTCTTATGTTTGATAACTTAGATTCTAAAAGGCTGGTGGCCAGGCGTGGTGGCTCATGCCTGTAATCCCACAACTTTGGGAGGCCGAGGTGGGCGGATCACGAGGTCAAGAGATCGAGGCCATCCTGGCCAACATGGTGAAACCCTGCCTCTACTAAAAATACAAAAATTAGCTGGGCGTGGTGGTGCGCGCCTATAGTCCCAGCTACTTGGGAGGCTGAGGCAGGAGAATGGCTTGAACCCGGGAGGCGGAGGGTTCAGCGAGCCGAGATCGCGCCTCTGCACTCCAGCCTGGCAACAGAGCAAGACTCCGTCTCAAAAAAAAAAATTTTTTTTCAGAGATTAATGTGGTCAAGGAGTGTCAGCAAGATGACCAATTAGAGTTGCCTGGTGGTTGTCCCCCTCCACCCCAACAGGAAGTGACCAAAACAACAAGCAAACAATGATATTTTGACTGTAGTGATGGAAGAAGTACATTGGATAATACTAGAGGGGCAGCAAAATCCCTGTGGAACATTAAAGCCCAGGATACCACCACAGACAGGGGAGTAAGGCATCCTGCCTCTGCCACACTGTCTTCCCTGCTGGCATTAGCTCAGAGTCAGGGAGGACTTCTTACAGGGAAAAAGTAAGCTGGAGATTCCCAGCAGTCCTCACTGCCACCACAAATGCCAGCAAATCTTGCTACAGGAGAATCTCCCAGTACTCATAGGACCCAAATCTAGTTTGGAGAGTAGCTGGGAATCTGTAAACCTGAACTCTCTCAGAGTAGGATCCCATGTTGGGCACTCCCCACATCTGTAACCTAAGTTGTCACAGCACAGATCATCTCGGAACCAGACCCACTGGTAGACTATGTCCTGCCCTGGGGGCCAGTAGCAACTGACTCTCTCCATCTCTGAGGCCCTGCCATCATTTCACCATGTTCACATGGGTGCTTGCATCACTATAACTGTAGCTGGCTGGATCCTAGGCCAGACAAAATTACTGAGGTGCCAGTGTCTGAACCCAGGTGGCATCCCACCCAACAATGGAACAGGCAAACCTGCACTGTGGTGAAGCCACCAAACAGCTGGTTGGCCTGCTGTGCCCACATCTGGCCTGAGAGCTGGATCAGTGATGGCCCTGCCTCCCCAGAGAGACTACTGCAGAGCCACATAGCTGGCCACACCTGCACATGCCTGAACCCAGTCTTGAAGCCAGCCTGGTTGTGGCTGCTGCCTTCCTGGAGTCTGCCAGGTAGTGTCTCAGACCTCTGCACAAATGTGCCTTTCTGGAGAGTCTGCCAGATAGTGTCTCAGACCTCTGCACGAACATGTACCTGGCCCAACAACCAGCCCAGTGCCACTGCCCCTAGGCTACAGTGTCTGTGATTATTCAAATTCCTGCAGCCTAGGCTATTGAGGCAATCACAGACATTGCTGATGAGAATTACAGTTGAAGAAACTGTACACAGACCATGCTACTAAGTCCACTCAGAACCAAAGCCAACACACGGTACCCAACCAACACCCTAGGACCCACCTACAGGTGGCAGGAGAATCGCTTGAACCCAGGAGGCGGAGGCTGTGGTGAGCCAAGATCGCACCATTGCACTCCAGCCTGGGCAACAAGAGTGAAACTCCGTCTCAAAAAGAAAAAAAAAAAAAAAGAAAAGAAAAAAAAGTCCAGGATCTTGAAGTTATCACTGCTGAATTCTCCTAAATATTTAAAGAACTAAAGAACTAATACTAATTCTCGGCCGGGCACGGTGGCTCATGTCTGTAATCCCAGCACTTTGCGAGGCCAAGGTGGGCAGATCATCTGAGGTCAGGAATTCGAGACCTGCCTGACCAACATGGAGACACCC
The DNA here is from genome assembly GCF_000001405.40 of Homo sapiens. Lineage (NCBI taxonomy): Eukaryota > Metazoa > Chordata > Mammalia > Primates > Hominidae > Homo > Homo sapiens. The sequence goes on from NC_000015.10 coordinate 76,419,549, forward strand.
TGTCTCTACGAAAAATACAAAATTAGCCGGGTGTGGTGGTGCACGCCTGTAATCCCGGCTACTTGGGAGGCTGAGGCAGGAGAATCACTTGAACCTGGGAGGTGGAGGTTGTGGTGAGCCGAGATTGTACCATTGCACTCCAGCCTGGGCAACAAGAGCAAAACTCTGTCTCAAAAAAAAAGAACTAATACTAATTCTCAAACTAAACCTCTCAAAATTAAAGAGGAAGGAACTTATTTTATGAGGCCAGCATTTCTCTGATTTCAAAACCAGACAAACATGTAACAAAAGAAAATTACAAGCCAATATACTTCATGAACACAGATGCAAAAATTCTCAACAAGATACTAACAAACTAAATTCAATAACACATTAAAAAGATCATTCACTGTAATTAGTGGGGCTCATCCCAGGGATGAAAGGATGGTTCAACATATGGAAATCAATAAATGTGATACACCACATGAACAGAAAGAAAGACAAAAACCTTATGATCATTTCAAGAGATACAGAAAAACAATTTGACAAAACTCAACATTCCTTCATTGAAAAAACTCTCAACAAATTCAGTATACAAGGAACATACCTCAACACAATATGTCACTTAAGACAAACCCACAGCTAATGTCATAAGATCAGGAATGAGACGAGGATGCCCACTTTCACCCCTCTATAGATGTTTTTTCCTTTTTTTTTTTTTTTTTTTTTATAGAGATGGGGTCTATGTTGCCTAGGCTGGTCTCAAACTCCTGGGCTCAAGATCCTCTTGCCTTAGTCTCCTGCGCTCCTGAGTAGCTGGGACTACAGATGCACACCACTATGCCTGGCACATGATCTTACATACAGAAAATCCTAAAGACTCCACCAAATAATTCTTAGAATAAGTGAATTCACCAAATTAGCAGGATACAAAAATCAACATACAAAAATCAGTGGTATTTCCATACATTAATAGTGAATGATCTGAAAAAGAATCAAAAGAGCAATTCCATTTACAATAGTAATAATAAAAATAAGATACCTAGGAATAAACTTAACAAGATAAAATATCTCTACGTTGTTAACTATAAGAAGACTTTTTTAAAATTATACTTTAAGTTCTATGGTACATGTGCACAATGTGCAGGTTTGTTACATATGTATACATGCGCCATGTTGGTGTGCTGCACCCGTTAACTCACCATTTACATTCGGTATATCTCCTAATGCTATCCCTCCACGCTCCCCCCACCCCATGACAGGCCCCGGTGTGTGATGTTCCCCTTCCTGTGTCCAAGTGTTCTCATTGTTCAATTCCCACCTATGAGTGAGAACATGCGGTGTTTGGTTTTTTGTCTTTGCAATAGTTTGCTGAGAATGATGGTTTCTAGATTCATCCATGTCCCTACAAAGGACATGAACTCATCCTTTTTTATGGCTGCATAATATTCCATGGTGTATATGTGCCACATTTTCTTAATCCACTCTATCAATGATGTACATCTGGGTTGGTTCCAAGTCTTTGCTATTGTGAATAGTGCCACAATAAACATACGTGTGCATGTGTCTTTATAGCAGCATGATTTATAATCCTTTGGGTATATACCCAGTAATGGGATGGCTGGGTCAAGTGGTATTTCTAGTTCTAGATCCTTGAGGAATTGCCACACTGTCTTCCACAATGGTTGAACTAGTTTACAGTCCCACCAACAGTGTAAAAGTGTTCCTATTTCTCCACATCCTCTCCAGCACCTGCTGTTTCCTGACTTTTTAATGATCGCCATTCTAACTGGTGTGAGATGGTATCTCATTGTGGTTTTGATTTGCATTTCTCTGATGGCCAGTGATGATGAGCATTTTTTCATGTGTCTGTTGGCAGCATAAATGTCTTCTTTTGAGGAGTGTCTGTTCATATCCTTTGCCCACTTTTTGATGGGGTTGTTTGTTTTTTTCTTGTAAATTTGTTTGAGTTCTTTGTAGATTCTGGATATTAGCCCTTTGTCAGATGAGCAGATTGCAAAAATTTTCTCCCATTCTGTAGGTTGCCTGTTTACTCTGATGGTAGTTTCTTTTGCTGTGCAGAAGCTCTTTAGTTTAATTAGATCCCATTTGTCAACTTTGGCTTTTGTTGCCATTGCTTTTGGTGTTTTAGACATGAAGTCCTTGCCCATGCCTATGTCCTGAATGGTATTGCCTAGGTTTTCCTCTAGGGTTTTTATGGTTTTAGGTCTAACATGTAAGTCTTTAATCCATCTTGAATTAAGTTTTGTATAAGGTGTAAGGAAGGGATCCAGTTTCAGCTTTCTACATATGGCTAGCCAGTTTTCCCAGCACCATTTATTAAATAGGGAATCCTTTCCCCATTGCTTGTTTTTGTCAGGTTTGTCAAAGATCAGATAGTTGTAGATGTGTGTTATTATTTCTGAGGGCTCTGTTCTGTTCCATTGGTCTATATCTCTGTTTTGGTACCAGTACCATGCTGTTTTGGTTACTATAGCCTTGTAGTATAGTTTGAAGTCAGGTAGCGTGATGCCTCCAGCTTTGTTCTTTTGGCTTAGGATTGTCTTGGCAATGCGGGCCCTTTTTTGGTTCCACATGAACTTTAAAGTTTTTTCCAATTCTGTGAAGAAAGTCACTGGTAGCTTGATGGGGATGGCATTGAATCTATAAATTACCTTGGGCAGTATGGCCATTTTCACGATATTGATTCTTCCTATCCATAAGCATGGAATGTTCTTTCATTTGTTTGTGTTCTCTTTTATTTCATTGAGCAGTGATTTGTAGTTCTCCTTGAAGAGTTCCTTCACATCCCTTGTAAGTTGGATTCCTAGGTATTTTACTCTCTTTGAAGCAATTGTGAATGGGAGTTCACTCATGAGTTGGCTCTCTGTTTGTCTGTTACTGGAGTATAAGAATGCTTATGATTTTTGCACATTGATTTTGTATCCTGAGACTTTGCTGAAGTTACTTATCAGCTTAAGGAGATTTTGGGCTGAGACAATGGGGTTTTCTAAATATACAATCATGTCATCTGCAAACAGGGACAACTTGACTTCCTCTTTTCCTAATTGAATACCCTTTATTTCCTTCTCCTGCCTGATTGCCCTGGCCAGAACTTCCAACACTATGTTGAATAGGAGTGGTGAGAGGGGGCATCCCTGTCTTGTGCCCGTTTTCAAAGGGAATGCTTCCAGCTTTTGCCCATTCAGTATGATACTGGCTGTGGGTTTGCCATAGATAGCTCTTATTATTTTGAGATACGACCCATCAATACCTAATTTATTGAGAGTTTTTAGCAGGAAGGGTTGTTGAATTTTGTCAAAGGCCTTTTCTGCATCTGTTGAGATAATCATGTGGTTTTTGTCTTTGGTTCTGTTTATATGCTGGATTACATTTATTGATTTGCATATGTTGAACCAGCCTTGCATCCCAGGGATGAAGCCCACTTGATCATGGTGGATAAGCTTTTTGATGTGCTGCTGGATTCGGTTTGCCAGTATTTTATTGAGGATTTTTGCATTGATGTTCATCAGGGATATTGGTCTAAAATTCTCTTTTTTTGTTGTGTCTCTGCCAGGCTTTGGTATCAGGATGATGCTGGCCTCATAAAATGAGTTAGGGAGGATTCCCTCTTTTTGTATTGATTGGAATAGTTTCAGAAGGAATGGTACCTGCTCTCCTTGTACCTCTGGTAGAATTCGGCTGTGAATCCATCTGGTCCTGGACTTTTTTTGGTTCGTAGGCTATTAATTATTGCCTCAATTTCAGAGCCTGTTATTGGTCTATTCAGAGATTCAACTTCTTCCTGGTTTAGTCTTGGAAGGCTGTATGTGTCCAGGAATTTATCCATTTCTTCTAGATTTTCTAGTTTATTTGCATAGAGGTGTTTATAGTATTCTCTGATGGTAGTTTGTATTTCTGTGGGATCAGTGGTGATATCCCGTTCATCATTTTTTATTGTGTCTATTTGATTATTCTCTCTTTTCTTCTTTATTAGTCTTGCTAGCAGTCTGTCAATTTTGTTGATCTTTTCAAAAAACCAGCTCCTGGATTCATTGATTTTTTGAAGGGTTTTTTGTTTCTCCATCTCCTTCAGTTCTGCTCTCATCTTAGTTATTTCTTGCCTTCTGCTAGCTTTTGAATGTGTTTGCTCTTGCTTCTCTAGTTCTTTTAATTGTGATGTTAGGGTGTCAATTTTAGATCTTTCCTGTTTTCTCTTGTGGGCATTCAGTGCTATAAATTTCCCTCTACACACTGCTTTAAATGTGTCCCAGAGATTCTGGTATGTTTTGTCTTTGCTCTCATTGGTTTCAAAGAACATCTTTATTTCTCCCTTCATTTCGTTATTTACCCAGTAGTCATTCAGGAGCAGGTTGTTCAGTTTCTGTGTAGTTGAGCGGTTTTGAGTGAGTTTCTTAATCCTGAGTTCTAGTTTGATTGCACTGTGGTCTGAGAGACAGTTTGTTATAATTTCTGTTCTTCTACATTTGCTAAGGAGTGCCTTACTTCCAACTATGTGGTCAATTTTGGAATAAGTGTGATGTGGTGCTGAGAAGAATGTATATTCTGTTGATTTGGGGTGGAGAGTTCTGTAGATGTCTGTTAGGTCTTCTTGGTGCAGAGCTGAGTTCAATTCCTGGATATCCTTGTTAACTTTGTCTCATTGATCTGTCTAATGTTGATGGTGGGATGTTAAAGTCTCCCATTATTATTGTGTGGGAGTCTAAGTCTCTTTGTAGGTCTCTAAGGACTTGCTTTATGAATCTGGGTGCTCCTGTATTGGGTGCATATATGTTTAGGATAGTTAGCTCTTCTTGTTGAATTGATCCCTTTACCATTATGTAACGGCCTTCTTTGTCTCTTTTGATCTTTGTTGGCTTAAAGTCTGTTTTATCAGAGACTAGGATTGCAACTCCTGCCTTTTTTTGTTTTCCATTTGCTTGGTAGACTTCCCTCCATCCCTTTATTTTGAGCCTATGTGTGTCTCTGCACGTGAGATGGGTCTACTGAATACAGCACATTGATGGGTCTTGACTCTTATCCAATTTGCCAGTCTGTGTCTTTTAATTGGAGCATTTAGCCCGTTTACATTTAAGGTTAATATTGTTATGTGTGAATTTGATCCTGCCATTATGATGTTAGCTGGTTATTTTGCTCGTTAGTTGATGTAGTTTCTTCCTAGCATCAATGGTCTTTACAATTTGGCATGTTTTTGCAGTGGCTGGTCCCGGTTGTTCCTTTCCATGTTTAGTGCTTCCTTCAGGAACTCTTGTAGGGGAGGCCTGGTGGTGACAAAATCGCTCAGCATTTGCTTGTCTGTAAAGGATTTTATTTCTCCTTCACTTATGAAGCTTAGTTTGGCAGGATATGAAATTCTGGGTTGAAAATTCTTTTCTTTAAGAATGTTGAATATTGGCCCCCATTCTCTCCTGGCTTGAAGAGTTTCTGCTGAGAGATCAGCTGTTAGTCTGATGGGCTTCCCTTTGTGGGTAACCTGACCTTTCTCTCTGGCTGCCCTTAACATTCTTCCCTTCATTTCAACTTTGGTGAATCTGACAATTATGTGTCTTGGAGTTGCTCTTCTCGAGGAGTATCTTTGTGGCCGTCTGTATTTCTTGAATTTGAATGTTGGCCTGCCTTGCTAGGTTGGGGAATTTCTCCTGGATAATATCCTGCAGAGTGTTTTCCAACTTGGTTCCATTCTCCCTGTCACTTACAGGTACACCAATCAGACGCAGATTTGGTCTTTTCACATAGTCCCATATTTCTGGGAGGCTTTGTTCATTTCTTTTTACTCTTTTTTCTCTAAACTTCTCTTCTCGCTTCATTTCATTCATTTGATCTTCAATCACTGATACCCTTTCTTCCAGTTGATAGAATCGGCTACTGAAGCTTGTGCATGTGTCACATAGTTCTCGTGCCACGGTTTTCAGCTCCATCAGGTCACTTAAGGACTTGTCTACATTGGTTATTCTAGTTAGCCATTCGTCTAATCTTTTTTCAAGGTTTTTCGCTTTTTTGCAGTGGGTTCGAACTTCCTCCTTTAGCTCTGAGAAGTTTGATTGTCTGAAGCCTTCTTCTCTCAACTTGTTAAAGTCATTCTCCATCCAGCTTTTTTCCGTTGCTGATGAGGAGCTGCGTTCCTTTGGAGGGTGAGAGGTGCTCTGATTTTTAGAATTTTCAGCTTTTCTGCTCTGTTTTTTTCCCATCTTTGTGGTTTTATCCACCTTTAGTCTTTGATGATGGTGACGTACAGATGGGGTTTTGGTGTGGATGTCCTTTGTTTGTTAGTTTTCCTTCTAACAGTCAGGACCCTCAGCTGCAGGTCTGTTGGAGTTTCCTCAGGTCCACTCCAGACCCTGTTTGCCTGGGTATCAGCAGCGGAGGCTGCAGAACAGCGAATATTGCTGAACAGCAAATGTTGCTGCCTGATCGTTCTTCTGGAAGCTTCGTCTCAGAGAGGTACCCGGCTGTGTGAGGTGTCAGTCTGCCCCTACTGGGGGGTGCCTCCCAGTTAGGCTACTCGGGGGTCAGGGACCCACTTGAGGGGGCAGTCTGTCCCTTCTCAGATCTCAAACTACATGCTGGGAGAACCACCACTCATTTCAAAGCTGTCAGACAGGGACATTTAAGTCTGCAGAGGTTTCTGTTGCCTTTTGTTTGGCTGTGCCCTGCCCCCAGAGGTGGAGTCTACAGAGGCAGACAGGCCTCCCTGAGCTGTGGTAGGCTCCACCCAGTTCGAGCTTCCTGGCCGCTTTACCTACTCAAGCCTCAGCAATGGCGGGCACCCCTCCCCCAGCCTCTTTGCTGCCTTGCAGATTGATCTCAGACTGCTGTGCTAGCAATGAGTGAGGCTCCATGGGTGTGGGACCCTCTGAGCCAGGTGCGGGATATAATCTCCTGGTGTGCCATTTGCTCAGTTGGAAATGCAGAAATCACCCGTCTTCTGCGTCGCTCATGCTGGGAGCTGTAGACTGGAGCTGTTCCTATTTGGCCATCTTGGAACTGCCCGAGAATTTTTTTTTATAAAAAGAAAGAGGGCACCAATAAATGGAAAAATATCCTGTGTTCATGGATTAGAATAATTAATATTGTTAAAATGGCTATACTACCCAAAGCAATCTACAGATTTAATGCAATCTCTGTCGGAATACCAATGACATTCTTCACACACAAAAAAAACAATCCTAAAATTCATAGAGAACCAAAACAAAACACAGCCTGAATAGCCAAAGCAATCCTGAGCAAAAAGAACAAAGCTGGAGGCATCATATTAATTGACTTAAAAATGTAGTACAAAACTATAGTTATCAAAACACCATGGGTCTGGTATAAAAACAGATACATAGACCAATGGAACAAAATAAAGAGTCCAGAGATAAATTCATGCACTGACAACCAACTTATTTTTGGTAAAGCTGCCAAGAACATGCAATGGGGAAATGAGAGTCTCTTCAATAAACCGTGCTGGGATAATTGGGTATCTACATGCAGAAGAATGAGACTAGAACCCTACTTCTCACCAATACAAAAACCAACTCAAAATAAGTTAAAAATGTAAATGTAAAACCTGAAACTATGAATGTACTAGAAGAAAACACAGAGGAAATGTTTCACAGATTGAGTCAGGCAAGGAGTTTAAAAATAAGATCTTAAAACCACAATTAACATACCAAAAAAATAGACAAAGGGGATTATATCAAACTAAAATGCTTTTACACAGCAAAGTTAACTAACAGAGTGAAGAGACAACCTGCAGAATGGGAGAAAATATCTGCAAACTATACATCTGATAACGGGTTAATATCTAGAATATATACAAAACTTAAATAACTCAACAGTGAAAAACTAAATAACCCAATTCAAAAAGGGACAAAAGATCTTAATAGACTTTTCTCAGAAGACATACAAATGGCCAACAGGTATACGAAAAAATGCTCAACATCACTAATCATCAAGGAAATGCCAATTAGGACCACAATGAGATACCAGCCCACTCCAGTTAGAATAGTTATTATCAAAAAGACAAAAGAAGATGCTGGGTACAGTCACACATGCTTGTAATCCTAGCACTTTGGGAGGCTGAGGTGGGAGGACTGCTTGAGCCCAGGAATTCAAGACCAGCCTGAAAAACATAATGAGACCCTGTCTCTATAAAAAAAATTAAAAAATTAGCTGGTGGGTCACCTGAGGTCAGGAGTTCTAGACCAGCCTGGCCAACATGGTGAAACCCCATCTGTACTAAAAATACAAAAATTAGCCATGAGTGGTACCAAGTGCCTGTAATCCCAGCTATTCAAGAGCCTGAGGCAGGGGCATCACTTGAACCTGGGTAGCAGAGGTTGCAGTGAGCTGAGATCGCATCACTGAACTCCAGCCTGGGTGACATGAGCAAAACTCCATCTCAAAAAAAAAAAAAAAAATTAGCTGGGTGTGGTTGTTTGCACCTGTAGTCCCATCTATTTGGGAGGCTGATTTTGGAGGATTGCTTGACCCTGGGGGGTTGAGGCTGCAGTGAGCCATAATCATGCCACTGCACTCCAGCCTGGGCAACAGTGTCTCAAAAAACAAAACAAAACAAAACAAAACAGATAAAACAAACATTGGTGAGGATGTAGAGAAAAGGAAACACTTGAACACTGTTGGTGGGATTGTAAACTAGTATAGCCATCATGTAAAAAGTATGGAAATAGAACTACTGTATGATCCAGGAATACCACTGTTGGTTATAAATCCAAAGAAATGAAACCAGCATGTCAAAGAGGTATCTACACTCCCATGTTTATTGCAGCACTATTCAAAATAGCCAAGATATGGAGTCGACCTAAGTGTTCTTCAGTGGATTAAGGGACAAAGTGTGTTATACACACATAATGGAATACTATTTAGCCATAAAAAAGAATGCAATCTTTCTTTTTTACAACATGGATGGACTTGGAGGTTTGTTACAACATGGATGGACCTGGAGGTTTTTATGTTAAGTGAAATAAACCAGGCACAGAAGGACAAATATTGCATGATCTCACTCAAGTGTGTAATCTATAACGAGAAGTTGAAGTTGGTATCCAGAAGCAGAGAGTACACCAGCGGTTACCAGAGGCTGAGGAGGGGCTGGGGGAAGAAGAGAGGAGGAAGAGAGGTTGGTCAATGGGTACAAGGCTACAATTAAATAGGAGGAATAAATTCTGGTGTTCTATTGCATAGTAGAGTGACTACGGTTAACAGTAAAGTGTTGTATATTACAAAATCCCTAGAAGAGAGGCTTCTGAATGTTCTTACCACAAATGACAAATGTATGAGGTTATGAACACAATAGGTATCCTGATCAGATCATTATACTATATATATATATATATATATATATATAAACATCAAAATGTACTCAGTAAGTTTGTATAGTTACTGATATGGTGTAGCAGCGTCCCCATCCAAATCTCATCTTGAATTCCCATGTATTGAGGGAGGGACTTGGTGGGAGGCAATCGAATCATGGGTACAGGTCTTTCCCGTGCTGTTCTCATGATAGAGAATAAGTCTCACGAGATCTGGTGGCTTTTTATAAAAAGGAATTCCCTTGCACAAACTCTCTCTTTGCCTGCCACCATCCACGTAAGTTGTGACTTGCTCCTCCTTGCTTTCCAGCATGATTGTGAGGCCTCCCCAGCCATCTGGAAATTTAAGTCCATTAAACCTCTTTTTCTTTCCAGTCTTGGTTATGTCTTTATCAGCAGTGTGAAAACAGACTAATACAGTAAATTGGTACCAGTAGAGTGGGGCTCTGCTAAAAAGTTCCCTGAAAATGTTGGAAGTGACTTTGGAACTGGGTAACAGGTAAAGGTTGGAACAGTTTGGAGGGCTCAGAAGAAGACAGGAAAATGTGGGAAAGTTTGGAACTTCTTAAGAGACTTGTTGAATGGCTTTGACCAAAAATGCTGATAATGGTAACGACAATGAAATCCAGGCTGAGCTGGTCTCAGATGGCGATGAGGAAATTGTTGGGAACTGGAGCAAAGGTGACTCTTGCTGTGTTTTAGCAAAGAGACTGGCGGCATTTTTCCCCTGCCTTAGAGATTTGTGGAAATTTCAGCTTGAGGGAGATGATTTAGGGTATCTGGCAGAAGAAATTTCTAAGCAGCAAAGCATTCAAGGGGTGACTTGGGTGCTGTTAAAAAGCATTCAATTTTAAAAGGGAAACAGCATAAAAGTTTGGAAAATTTGCAGCCTGACTACGCGATAGAAAAGAAAATCCCATTTTCTGAGGAGATATTCAAGCCGACTGCAGAAATTTGCATAAGTAACAAGGAACTGAATGTTAATCCCCAAGACAATGAGGAAAATGTCGCCAGGGCATGTCAGAGGTCTTCATGGCAGCCCCTCCCATCACAGACCTGGAGGCCTAGGAGGAAAAGATGGTTTAGTGGGGCAGGCTCAGGGCTCCCCTGCTCTGTGCAGTCTAGGGACTTGGTACCTTGACTTCCAGCCACTCTGGCCATGGCTAAAGGGGCCAAGATACAGCTTGGGCTGTTGCTCCAGAGGATGGAAGCCCCAAGCCTTGGCAGCTTCCATGTGGTGTTGAGCCTGCAGGTGCACCGAAGTCAAGAATTGAAGTTTGGGAACCTACACCTAGATTTCACAGGATGTACGGAAATGCCTGGGTGCCTAGGCAGAAGTTTGCTGCAGGGGAGGGGCTGTCATGCAGAACCTCTGCTAGGGCAGTGTGGAAGGGAAATGTGGGGTCAGAGCCCCTACACAGAGTCCCTACTGTGGCACCGCATAGTGGAGCTGTGAGAAGAGGACCACTGTCCTCCAGACCCCAGAATGGTAGATCCATTGACAGCTTGCACCACGTGCCTGGAAAAACTGCAGACACTCAATGCCAGCCCGTGAAAGCAGCCAAGAGAGGGGCTATACCCTACAAAGTCACACAGGCAGAGCCGCCCAACACGATGGGAACCCACCTCTTGCAACAGTGTGACCTGGATGTGAGACATGGAGTCAAAAGAGATCATTTTGGAGCTTTAAGATCTGACTGCCCTGTTGGATTTGGACTGGCATGGGGCCTGTAGCCCCTTTGTTTTGGCCAATTTCCCCTATTTGGAATGGGTATATTTGCCCAATGCCTGTACCTCCATTGCATCTAAGAAGTAACTAACTTGCTTTGGATTTTACAGGCTCACAGGCAGAAGGGACTTGCCTTGACTCAGATGAGATGTTGTACTATGGACTTTTGAGTTAATGCTGAAATAAGTTAAGACTTTGGGGGACTGTTGGGAAGGCATGATTGGTTTTGAAATGTGAGGACATGAGATTTGGGAGGGGCTGGGGTGGAATAATGTGGTTTGGCTGCATCCCCACCCAAACCTCATCTTGAATTCCCATGTGCTTTGGGAGGGACCCGGTGGGAGGTAACTGAATCATGGGGGCAGGTCTTTCCCATGCTGTTCTCGTGATAGTGAATAAGTCTCAAAAGATCTGATGGTTTTACAAAGAGGAGTTCCCCTGCACAAGCTCTCTCTTTGCCTGCCACAACCCATGCAACACATGACTTACTCCTCCTTGTGTTCTGCCATGATTGTGAGGTCTCCCCAGCCATGTGGAACCCTCTTTTTTTCTCAGCCTTGGGTATGTCTTTAACAGTAGTGTAAAAACAGACTAATACAGTTACAATGTGCCAATGAAAAAAATTAAAAATGAAATAAATTCAGATGTCTAATAGTAAAATAAAATTAGTTGGATATGCTGTAAAAGTCTTTTTAAATTTTTGACACATCCTTCTACAGTGTCTGGCACAAAATTAGTATGGGTGGCCATACTTTGAATTGAAAAATATTTCCAAGAATGGCTTAGATGCAGAAACTTGACTGAAACAAATAAAATAATAAGAATAAATACTGTAATGATCTCATGTCTCTTAGATATCTTCCTACCTCTCCTATGCCAGATAAGGGGAAGGAAGGGACAGATGTCAGAATCTGCTCCTGCTCTACTTCAGGGATACAGCCAGAGAACAGCTCCAACGACTGTACTGGAGCCCTTTCTACTCAACTTCACAACTGACAAAAATGCCCAGATTGTAACAGGGAGTGGAGTGAGACTTCTTGTCAGTTCATATCTGGGAAGGTGAGAAGGCAAGTATGAAAATGATTAGCAAAAAAAAAAAAAAAAAAAAAAAAAAAATGCTTTGTTTGCTAAACTAGGCAGATGTGAAATATGGTTTGCAGTTTTACACAGTCCTCACCAAGCCAAATAACAATGCATTATCTGTAAGAAAACAATATTCAACAACAGTGGTTCAAATCAGAGAAAGACTGGCATGGTATTTTTTGAAGCAGTATGGTTGTCAATCATCATTTTTAAGTCACATGAGTTATTTGGTTTGGCAGATTACCACTGCTCCTTCCTAAAGGAGGAAGGTATTAGGGGAAAAATACCTCCTAAAGGAAGGTATTAAAAGAAGGATTTGGTAATTATAATAATGTATGTGAAAATGTACGTATTTCCCCCTGGAAGGCCCACTGGAATTGCAATGAAGCATTTGAATGGATCTTCCGCTTCATCACAGCTAAGGCATGTGGCTAAGTTGTCTGGATGACAAGCATGCAGGGTTGCTGCATCACAGGGTAGCCCAAGGGAGAATGCAGGGACAGAATGACATTCGTCAGCAGAGAGGGCAAATTCTACAACGACCAAAAGGACATGGGGAATTGAATGGGATCAAGCAACTGAGAGAAAGGCCAGGGAGGCTAAAAGTCAAGTGCTGTAAGATAAATGGTTGTGGCCCAAAGGGCCTGGTGCTCTCCAGTAATAAATACACTTGAGGAAAGAGGACAGGCAGATAGAAGGGGTAAGTGAACAAAGTAATCAAGGGTAAGGAAGCTACTGAATGAAACAACTGTTCCCAAGAAAGCACTACAAGAAAGCAGAAGAAATTTATGAACTGCGAAAGAAGCAAATACAGAGGAGTGCATTCTTGTTCTCCTGTTAACCAACCATAAGCTTCAGAGAGCAACAAATTGCATGGATTTGGGGAGCCAGAGATCAGTGCAGAACACAGAAGAGGTGCTGATAGGTGGAACAGGTAATTGATTAACACCAGATGAAACTCTGTTGGGAAATAAAAAATTAACGAGGGTAAATGAGTTCAGATGCCAAAGTAGGAGTAAATTTCCCTGGAGAGAAGGTGACCTTAGAAGGAAACAGGGCTGACCTTGAACAGGTGTCAGAAATTGCCACATTTGTGTAGTGGAAAGCATACAGGTGTTGGGAGTCCAGCTAGACATGAATTCCACTCTCAGCTCTCCTACCTACTTTTAATCTTGTTTATTACATAACCTTGGGCTAAGTACTTAACTTCTCTGAGCAATTTCCTCACCTACAAAGCTTAAGTTAGAAATATTACACTTACAGGGCTGCAAAGCCTCTACTACAATACCTTACACTTAAAGGGGTTACTATACTATACTATAGGTATAACCCTATAAGGTTAACCTACTAGGTGTAAGGTATTATACTATAATGGGTACTCTATAAATGGTAGCTATTATTGTTGTTTTAAGTCTGAACCTAATTTATAACCAGAGATGAACTGAGATAGGGGAATTCTCAGAAATTCCTTCAGTTGGAAAGAGTTGACATCAAGAAACTTGTAAAAGCTCTAGCAGAACACATTCTAACATCACATATCTAAATATCAAGAAAAGCCAGGTGTGGTGACTCACACCTGTAATCCCAGCACTTTGGGAGATGGAGGCGGGTGGGTCATTTGTGGTCAAGAGTTTGAGACCAGCCTGGCAAACATGGTGAAACCTTATCTCTACTAAAAATACAAAAATTAGCCAGGCATGGTGGCATGTGCCTGTAATCCCAGCTACTTGGGAGGCTGAGGCAGAAGAATTGCTTGAACCCAGGAGGCGAAGGTTGCTGTGAGCCAAGGTTGCGCTGCACCACTGCACTCCAGACTGGGTGATAGAAAAAACAACAACAACAACAACAAAAAAACAACCAAGAATGATACCTGAGCTCTACCTATATTGCTACTTAATATTTACCCTTTTGTCCAAAATTTTTGGTTTCACTGAGATAATCATTTTTCCCTATATGTTGAATTTCCTATTTATGTATCACTAATTGTCTATCTTTTTTGTCAAAATGAAATTTCCTGTCAAGAGAGAATTTTCTTTCTCTCTACAAAACTGTTTTAAAAAATCCATTGTGCTCTTCCGTGTTTTCCAAATTGTGTTTATCATTGAGCATGTATTACTTTCATAATTAGGAAAAAGAACTTATTTTTAAAAGGTGGGGGACAGACAGACAGACGTGCTGTCTGCTGCTGCAAAAGAGCCTGAATATCTGAAGTAAAGTATTAATAGCAGCAATGGAGTGAAGGTGATAAATCTGAGAAATATTTACAAGGTATTCTTGGTATTCTCTACCAGGAATGTGTGAATGGCATTGTGAGAACCACTGCCATCACATGGGCCTTGAGATTTAAATTATTTTAATATAGTTTCTTAACAAAGAACAAAGTTTTAAGAACTCTAGCAATTTTACCTGATAAGGTCCTGAACTCGATTGTTAAAAGGATCACCTTGTGAGGGTTTGTTTTTCATTTCCTGTGTTGGTATTTTTGGGGTAGCTGGCTGGCAGTTTCCATCTGGTCGATTGGCAATCAGGCAGCCCAAAACCACAGCACTGACTTTGAGAAGTCCAGTTGTCAAGCCTTCAAAAACTTGTTTATTTGTATTTCTCCCCAAAATAGTATTATTTTCATCTGGAACATAAACCTAGATGAAAAAAAAGTACAGTAAATATGTTTCAATAAAACCACCAAAAATGGGCAGAGACAGTTTAGAACATTTCTGGAATCATAAGTAATTTTGACAATCTAAAATGTTCAAGAGTGTTGGCTCTGAAATCAGACTGCAAGTTCAAATCTGAGCTTTACCCTCAGTACCTGATGTCCCTGGATAAGGTTACTATTTCAAAATTCCAATTTCTCATCTATAAAACAAGGATAATGAGAGTACCTGTATCATAGAATTTTTGTGATTATTAAATGAGCTGATACATATAAAATGCTTAGAACATGCACAGGCATGCTGTAAGTATTCAATACTTAATAAATTATATTAAAAATTTAAATGAACTCAGAAAATAGATAAAATGACAGCACTGTTTCTTATTACAGTGTATTAAAAAAATCTAACCTGAATTCCTCTATCAGGATGAAATTTGCATTTCCTACTACAAAATGGCAAAATAGTTCTTTCCCTAGTACATAATGCCACACTCAGCTCTCTTTGTGTATAGTTTACAAGTAACGTGGTTATTAAACGTTGGAGCTTGGACCATGGCTCTGCAGTGTATGATCTGAGACAAGTTCCTTGCTTTCTGTATCTCCCTAGCTCCCAGGACAACTCTGAAGTTCAACTAAGAAGATGAATGGGACAATATTTGGTAAAATATTAAATTCCACAAATGTACTTACTTGGTGACAACCAGCCTTTGCCTCATTTTCACTGTTTATCTGTATCAGTTCTACCAAAGATAGAGGAATAAATGATCACTTGGATCCAAAAGGGGGATCTTTAGCAAAAACAAGCAACTTATTGGCCAGAACTAGTCACACAGTCCACCCAACCACAAAGGGAGCCAGGAAATGTCATCCTATCATGTACTTGGAAAGAGAGAAAGAATCAGAACATCTGTTAAACAGCACTATCGACTGCATAGTAATAGTTATTGTTTTTTCTATTATGACTATGCAAATATTCACAGCTAATCTACTTAATATTTACCCTTTTGTCCAAAATTTTTGGTTTCACTGAGATAATCATTTTTCCCTATATGTTGAATTTCCTATTTATGTATCACTAATTGTCTATCTTTTTTGTCAAAATGAAATTTCCTGTCAAGTTCATATACATCAGTGATTCCTGATTCTTTTTCCTTCTCCAAAGGAGACATTCTTCCTGAAATCAGCCACCCTCTTTCTCTAACCTAGACTGGTAGCTCTCTAGGCCTACTACACAGCTCTAGGTTAGATGCCCTTATTTCTTGGATCACATGTCTTCCTTTTCTTTCCATACAGTTCTCTCATTTTGGTGTAGGGTCTACTCCACCAACTTCCTAAGAAAGAGTGCATGGGAAGAAACATTTTGAGATTCTGCATGTTTAAAAATATCTTTTATTATCCTTACATTTTATCGATAGTTTGGCTGGATATAGGATTCTTGGTTGGAACCCATATCCTTTAAGTTTTGAAGGATTGCTCCATTGTTTTCCACTTCAAGCATGGCTGTTTAGAAGTCTCTAATTCCTAATACTTCAGTGCACGCCCTGTAGAACTTTGAAACTCCAGAAACTTAGAATCTTCTTATGGCTGATTTCCTGTACCTTGGTATAGATTTTCTTTTATTTATTGTGTGAAAACTCAGTGGTCTTTTCAACTTGAAAGTTTTATGTTTCATTTCTGGGAAAATTTCTTGCATTATTTCTTTGCTAATTTCCTCCCATTCATTTTCTTTGTTGGATTTTTTGTTTTGTTTTGTTTTTTTTGGAGACAGAGTCTCACTCTGTCATCCAGACTGGAGTGCAGTGGCACGATCTCAGCTCTCTGCAACCTCTGCCTCTTGGGTTCAAGCAATTCTCCTGCCTCAGCCTCCTGAGTAGCTGGGATTACAGGTGTGCGTCATTACACCTGGCTAATTTTTGTATTTTCATTAGAGACAGGGTTTCACCATGTTGGCCAGGCTAGTCTTGAATTCCCGACTTCAGGTGATCTGTCCACCTTGGCCTCCCCAAGTGCTGAGACTGCAGGTGTGAGCCACTGCAGCCGGCCTTCTGATGGATTTTGAACCTAGACTGAGCTTCTAATTTGGAAAATACTTTTTCTCTGGCTGTTCATCTTTTTATGTTTTTTCCTGCTTCTTTGGAGACTTCCTTATTTTCTGGTCCTATTACTTTTTTTGTTTCATCAATTATATTTTAAAATTTCAAGAGCTCTTTTTGGCTTTCTATATGTTTTGGTAGTGTCTTGTTTTTATTTCATGGATGCAATATCTTCTCATCTTTGTGAAATTATACTTTTTAAAAGATTTTTTTTTTGTTTCTAACATGGTCTCTGTTTTGTTTGAGGTTTTTCTGTATTTCAAGTTGGAGGCTTTCCTCAAATATGTAGTAATCTTGGGCTTTTTGTTCATATTTAAGATTGATGAATGAATATATCAGTGTATCACAATCTGGATCTAATCAAACAGAAGCTGAATACAAACTTCTGTGTGAGGAGTTTCAATTTGGGTGATTAGGTTGAGACCACACTTTTCTGCTGGGAGATCCCAGCTTTTAATATTTATAAGTCTATTGTCCTGGGACAGTTAATTTCATGACACAGAATGAAATCATATATCCTCCGCAAACCTGGAGTGTATAACATGGTGCCCATTTTCAGAGGTTCACTGGAGAAGGGGGCTCAGTATCTTACTGTTCTGAGAATGTGTTTTCACTAAATCACTTTGTTTTTGTATGGCTGTGCCTGGTTGTCCCCATGTTCTATTTAACTTTGATTGAAACTGGTGTCTTCTCTGAGGGTTGGGCAATGGCAGTCACTTGGCTATACATATAGTAGGTAGGTTCTAAGGCACCCAGGGCACCTAAACTGCCTTTTATTTAGACTTTCAACCAATTCCCCTCTTTGCAGCCCCCGTGCACCCTCATTTTCTGAGATAGCCAGTAACTCTAATTCTTGAGCCCTGCTAGGATTCTGTGGCACAAATTTTCTTCTGGCGTTTTGCTAGTTTGGGCAACTGTCTTTCAATCATGTGCTTTCCAGATTGAAAAAAAAAATACTTGCTTTCCTTTCCTTCCTGTGCTCTTTCTTTGAGGGTTTATAACTTTCATCTATTTACTAGAATATTAGTAAGGCCTCTCGACAGAGAGAATGTAATTTATGTGTTCAACTGGCCATATTCTAAAATTAACTCAATAAATCCTCTAAAATACAACTTTCTTTTTCTTTTACACACTACACAAAGAATATGAGTAATACACTTCTAGGTAATGTCAGGGTTCTTCATTCATCACAAATTTTCATATTCCTTTTTCTCCAACAACCTTGTACTGTTTTTCATCATGAAGTATTTCAAATAAAACACTATGTATGCATGTCATATTTAGCAATCTTTCATTTATCTAGAAGTTTTTTTATCCAGTAACTGGAACTTTTAAAAATACAGTTGAGAGTCAACAGGAAATAAAAAAGACTTCTGAGATAATAAAATTGATGTCATTTATTTAAACACTTGCTCATCTAACATTTGAGTACCTAACACATACATAGTCAAGGGAGCAGACTGATGCTTTGCTCATCCTCAGGCTTTTGTCCAGACCCTAAAGATTCTAATTTCATAAAACTGTAACAAGATGTGGTTTCTTGGTTTATAGAAACAGAAGGAATAATATAAAAAAGAAAAATGGGCCGGGCACAGTGGCTCACGCCTGTAATCCCAGCACTTTGGGAGGCCGAGGTGGGTGGATCACGAGATCAGGAGACAGAGATCATGCTGGTCAACATGGTGAAACCCTGTATCTACTAAAAATACAAAAAATTAGCCAGGCATGGTGGCAGGTGCCTGTAATCCCAGCTCCTCGGGAGGCTGAGGCAGGAGAATTGCTTGAACCCAAGAGGCGGAGGTTGCAGTGAGCCGAGATCGTGCCATTGCACTCCAGTCTGGGCGACTGTGTGAGACTGTCTCAAAAAAAAAAAAAAAAAAAATTTAAGAATATATTTATGGGCTGTTGGGATAATTCTGGGTGAAACATACTAATCTCATTATTTAGAAACTGTAAATGTGGTTTGGGGACCAAATGTTACCTCCTCATCTGCCCCAAGAAAATAAGCTCAATGTAAAGCAAATCAGATATACAGTTTTACACTATTGTTATATTCTCTGCCTACAGCTGACCGGCAACTTTTGATTTTCTGTCTCACTGGGGGCTTTGTGCTTAATTTCACAAACACCATTTTGTCAGTTGCTCATAAAGTAAACACAAATGGAGAAACTTCTATAACAATCTAGCAGTTACACAAAGAATCCTTGTGGCCCTGCACTAGGCAAATCTCCCTTGTCAGGCTTGCTGGGCCAAATCCTAGGATCTCAGGCCCAGGTCTAAAGGCCTTTACTCTACTGAACAGTCCTACTTTCTCACCATGATCTCCTATTTTCCAACAGTCTCACTGAGCCTCACATCCAGTTCAAGCACCGAAGCAAATTTTTTTCATAGAAAATTTCATTTTTTCATTTAGATTGGCCCTTTCATTGTTAAAAACAGTGTTTTTCGCTTGGAACCTTCGGTAAAAGATTTTTTGGTCTGTCTCAAAGGACATTTTATTCAAATGGTCCCAGAAATTCTCCTTGTCCCTTTGTATAGATTTTTCTTTTGCTGGGTTTAAGTTATTTTACAGGAATGTTGTAATAGAAAACCAATGCTTCATCTAGAAAAGAATTTCAAAATTGCCAGAATTAAGGTAAGGAGGGGCTCATCTTCAGTGAGACAAAATGATTTTTTTTTTTTTAAGAAGATAGAGTCTTGCTCTGTCACCCAGGCTAGTGTGCAGTGGTGCAATCTCTGCTCACTGTATTCTCCACCTCCCCAGTTCAAGCAATTCTCATGCTTCACCTTCCCAAGAAGCTGGCATTACAGGTGTGTGCCATCAGGCCCAGCTAATATTTTAGTAGAGATAGGGTTTCGTCATGTTTGCCAGGCTTGTCTCAAACTCCTGGCCTCAAGCAATCCGACCACCTTAGCCTCCCAAAGACCTTCTTGTCTTAAAAATGAGATTTGACAAAAAGAAACTTCAAGGAGAAGGTATCTATACTGTAAATGACATTTTATTCAAAGCAGTATACTGCACTGCTGTCTTATGTCTAGTTAGGTATCACTGTTACTTGCCAGAGGTAAAATAGCTCACTTGTGAGCAGCCTGCTCTTTTGGGACACCTTTAATATGCATGAAATATGCACTTATGTGAGTGAGTTCTGATATTTGCTTATAGAGCAACACTTGAGTTTGAACTTACTTTCAGCACAGCTGCTGGGCCAAGGGCCTGTCCTTTGGGCAATGTGTGCAAGCAACCTCCTCCCTTCCCCCACTCTGCTCTATTACACACCTGACTTACCTGAGTCTGGAACACATTCCATTCTGGGGTGGGTGGTCTGTGGAGGGGCAGGGGAAGGTTACCTTCCCAGCATGCATCAGTGTTTGTAACTACCACCTGCTGGTATGTA
Organism: Homo sapiens; assembly: GCF_000001405.40. Lineage (NCBI taxonomy): Eukaryota > Metazoa > Chordata > Mammalia > Primates > Hominidae > Homo > Homo sapiens. Next base: position 76,439,813 of record NC_000015.10, read on the forward strand.
CCAAGCCTGGCCTGGGAAAGAGAGCTATGTAGCTTTTGGTCCTTCTGAATCTCTCACCCCTCAGGCAGAAATCTAAAACCATGCTTTCTTTTCAAATGGATGAAAGGTATTTCCTTTAGAATATTTCTTTAGAATACACTAGAGTGGTCATTATCTTACTCTTATAATAGCAGCTTATTATACAGTGATTTCATGTACATAATCTTATTGTAAAATTTCCCATTCCCCTCAAAAGATATTTGACCTTTTAAAAATTTGTAGATATTTCATACAGTTTTAGATATAGAAAAAAATCTTAGAATCAAATCTTTTCATTTTATCTTTGGGGAAACCAAGGTCCAGAGGAGAAAAAGACTTCCTTGAGGATACAGAAATCATCAGGGCTGGAATAGATACTGGTGCCGATTCTCTAAACTTATTCCAAAATGAAACCCAATGTTTATAGGACCAAGCCCTGAATCAAAATGTTTTCAGCGAAGTTAAATTAAAAGTCATTATAACTTTTAAAAGCCAAGCATGTATTCTTTTTTCCCATTGCCAAAGTGGTTTCAAATACTTTCAACATTCTTGTTTGCAATACAGAAAGATGCTTTTATTAGTAATAGAAATCTATTGTTCTGTAATGTGATTCCATGAGAGAGAAAATAAAATTAGTAATTACTGGTAATTCTGTACAACTATTTTTTAGTATTCTGAAGATAGGTTTACATATTTTCAAGCTGTACAGTGTATACAGAATGCTCAGAATATGAATTAGGTTCACTGAGAATCAATAAGAGATTGTTTAGAAAACTGTCAAGACAGTGTCAGAGTACAGAAAAAAAAGGCAAAAAACGTGGAAGGGCTCCAGCAGCAGACACAAGTTCTTATATTGTTGGCCTCATTTCCTATACGAAACAGTCACTAAACATGCAACAGTCTTTTTGCCACTGATATTTATAAAACGTGTATGCCCATGTTATATTATGCATAAAAATAGAACTGATGAAAGGTATTTACCTCAACAATTTACATGGCTTGAAAATATAAAAGGAAATCACATAGAAGTGGCTAGTAGTTCCTCACTATTATCTTTTAAAATTATTCCCCTTCTGGTTTTTTTTTTGTTTTTTTTTTTTTTTTTTTTGGGGACGGAGTCTGGCTCTGTCGCCCAGGCTGGGGTGCAGTGGCACGATCTTGGCTCACTGCAAGCTCCGCCTCCCAGGTTCACGCCATTCTCCCACCTCAGCCTCCTGAGTAGCTGGGACTACAGGCACCCGCCACCACGCCCGGCTAATTTTTTGTATTTTTAGTAGAGACGGGGTTTCACCATGTTAGCCAGGATGGTCTCGATCTCCTGACCTCGTGATCCACCCGCCTTGGCCTCCCAAAGTGCTGGGATTACAGGTGTGAGCCACCGTGCCCAGCCTATTCTCCTTCTTTTTATGCCACAAACAATGTTATGACAATATTAAAGAAGACACTGCAATTAATCCTAAATATCATTACCCTTTCTAACATATTTATGCCTTTGAGCCTATATTTATGCAGCCAAAATCCTAACAAGATAAAATGTCAGCAAACTTTATAGTGTATGCCTTAGTGGTCATGATGCTTACAAAAGTCTTCGTTATACATGTTGAATCATATACTTCCTCTGCTCAACACATTCCCTGGTATCTCATTTCCTGCAAACTAAAAGCTCCAAACCTCATGATGCCCAAGGAAGCCCTTCTGATCTATCCTCTACATCCATTCCTCCCCAAATTAATATACTAAGTCAGTCTGTCTCTTGCTCGCATTCTGGTATTTCCTCTGCCTGGAATATCTTTCCCCCAGGTAACCTCATGACTAATTTCTCCACTTCTTCTAGGTCTCTATTCAAATGTCATCTTATCCATAAGTTATGCCAGAGTGTCTTATTTAAAGTAATATTTCTCTCCCCAAACCTATCTTCCCTTTCTTGCTTACTCAACTTTATTTTTCTTCCAGTGCAATAGTTACCTCCTGACATACTGTACATTATTTCCTCTCTCTCTCAGAATATAAGCTCCACGAGAGCGAGACTTTGTCTTGATCACTGCTACAATCCCAGTGCCTACACAACATCAGACATGTAGTAGATGTTCACTAAATATTTTTTAAATGCATGTAGACACTGATTTTCACTAAAAAAAATTCACCAAACCAATAATTGGGATATTTAGAAGGTCCAAGTTAAAGAGAAAACCAGCATTAAATATCTATCTATCTATCTATATATACATGTATATATAGATATAGATATATATAGTATTTAGTCATCCTGGGCAAAGGTGTAAAGTGAATTAAAGGAAGAAAGGAATTTTGCACGCAAAATCCTTCTCTATGCAATATCCTACGTGTTCACCTCTTACTCCTGCTTCAGTTACTGTAGTCTATGAGGTACATCTTTTCTTTTCCCCACCCCCCAAAATAAGTTATGTGCCTCACTGTAATTCCCAAACACCTTGTACATGCTGTGCTTTACTGCAGCACTCATTATACTACATTTTAAATGTCTCTTACTGGTTTGTCCTACTAAACTGTGAGTTACAATTTGTCTCTGTAGTTCCAGTGCCTAAATATTTGTCCAATGAAAGAATGGGTAGGTTTTAGAGGCATTTACATAGCAACTTTGGTGTGTTGGGAGCACTGTCCTGGGAGGCCTGAGTCTCTCTCATTCTATCTCACCTGCTGCTACCAGCATGACTTGTGAGTATCCAGTTCCTTATGTATAAAATGAGGACATTCAGCTTTAATTAATATTTACTGAGAGTCCACTGTAAGATGGCAAGCTAGGTCCCCTTATACATATTTATCCATTAAATGTTTATAGCTACCCTCCAGTATATCTATTATTATGCCTATTATGCAAATGAGAAAACAGAGGCTCAGAAAGGTTAAGCAACTTACACAAGATCTTGAAGTCAGCAAATAATGTAGCAGCTTCTCAAATTCAAAACATCTGACTCCATGTTAGGTGATATACCCTAACACCATTATATCTTTCCTAGTATAAGGATGGACTCAATCTCTGAGACCTCTTTTAAGTCTCAGATTCTGTAGGTCTTTATTTATGAGTATGAAGTTATTCAAGTAATCTCATCTATCTGGAATACAGGCAAAAACCAGGAAATAATTTAAAAAACCAGTGAAAAAGGTGGTGGGGGCATGTGTATTGATGCAAATGAGAAGACAGATAAACAGCGAAAGTTGGGGTAAAAAACACCACCACTGAGGGAATCACCTTCTAAAAATAATGATAGATGGTGGACCTTGATGAATGGAGAAAATCAGAGACTCCCAGAGTTGGAAAGCCTAAAGTTGATTATCTAGTTCATCCTCCCAAACAGTGCAGGGGCTCCTTAATATAAGAGGTCTTCAAAATGTTTGTGAAAAATGTGTATTTTGAAAAAACTATGCATGGATTTCAATTATTTTTGCACCAAAATAAACTTACACCAACTTGTTATAACATGTCTGAAGAGGCTCTAGTTGGAAGCACAAAGAAAGATAAGACATCCATTTGAAAAGATCCCCTTTAAGAGCAAGACGAATTCTGCTAACATTGAAGCAAGAACAAACATCAAATTTATGGTGAAGCTTGGGTGGAAGAATTGTGAAATCACTGGTGTTTTACAAAAAGTTTATGGGGACAATGGCCCAAGGAAATCAGCAGTTTACAAATGGATAACTTGTTTTAAGAAGGGACAACATGATGTTGAAGATGAAGCCTGCACCAGCAGACCATCTACATCAATTTACAAGGAAAGAATTCATTTTGTGCTCTAATTGAAGGTGACTGATGATTAATAGCAGAAACAACAGCTAACACCACAGACTTCTCAACTGGTAGCTTATACAATTCTGACTGAAAAATTAAAGTTGTGCAAACTTTCCACTTGATGAGTGCCGAAACCATTGTGTCCAGCTCAGCTGCAGACAAGAGCACAGCTTTCAATGGAAATTTTAAACAAGGGGGATTAAGATCCTGAAGCACTTCTTGGAAGAACTGCAATAGGACATGGCTTTACCAGTATGATTCTGAAGACAAAGCACAATCAAAGCAATGGCTACCAAGAGGTGGAAATAGCCCAGTCAAAGCAAATGCGGACCAGTCAAGAGCAAAGATCATGGCAACATTTTGGGATGCTCAAGGCATTTTGCTTTTTGACTTTCTGGAGGGTGAAAGAATGATAACATCTGCTCATTATGAGTGCGTTTTGAGAAGGTTAGCCAGAGCATGAGCAGAGTAACACCTGGGAAAGCTTCACCAGAGGGTCCTTTTCCACCACAGCAATACTCCTGCTTATTCTCATCAAATGTAGGCAACTTTTCAAGAGTTTTGATGGGAAATCATTGGGCATCCACCTTTCAGTCCTGATTTGTCTCCTTCTGACTTCTTGTTTCCTAATCTTAAAAAATCTGTAAAGGGCCCCATTTTTCTTCAGTTAATAATGTAAAAAAGATTGCACTGACATGGTTAAATTCCCAGGACCCTTAGTTTTTTAGGGATGAATTAGGTGGCTGGTAGTACCACTTATAAAAGTGTCTTGAACTTGATGGAACTTAAGTTAAAAAAATAAAGTTCACATTTTTTATGTTCATTATGTAATTCAGTTTTTCCACAAGTTTTCCCTCTCTCCTCACTGCTGTAAACTAATCTTTCCCATTTTTAAATAAAATTTTGTTATTTCAGAACCATTTATGTTTAATCTAATTACCTATGTGTTAGGGCTTAAGTCCAACAATTTACCTTTTGTTTATTCTGTTTGTGGTCTGCTCTGCTTCTTGAACCCACACATTTACATCTTTTGCCAAATTTGGGACCATTTCAGCTACTATTTCTTCAAATACTTTTTCATCCCTGTCTTTTTTCTACTTCCATGAATCTGATGACATGAATGTTAGATCCCATGAGTCTGGTGACATGAATGTTAGATTTCTTGTTATGGCTCCATCAGTCCTTAGGTTCTGGTCACTTAAAACATTTTGGTCTGTTTTCTCTGTTGTTCTTCAGATTGGGTAATTTTGATCATTCTAACTTCAAATTCATTGATTCTTTCATCCTTTCTCCCCATTCAGTCATTGGAGCACATTCATTGACTTTTAAAATTTTGGATTATTATAGTTTTCAATTATAGCATTTCACTTGGTTATTCTTTATATCTTCTATTTTATTTCAATAGCTTTAGGGATCAAAGTGGTTTCTGGTCACATGGATGAACTGTATAGTGGTGAAGTCTGGGATTTTTGTGCACCTGTCACCCGAATAGTGTACACTGTACCCATTTCATCCTTTACCCTATTCTCACCTTTTCTCCTCCTGAGTCTCCATTGTTCATTATACCACTCTGTATGCCTTTGCATACCCATAGCTTAGTTTCCACTTGTAAGTGAGAAAATATATCTTCTATTTCTTTGCCGAGACTACTTTTTCATTTGCTTTAAGCATATTTGTAATTGCATGTTGAAGCATTTTTATGGTGGCTGCTTTAAAATCCATGTAAGAATTGTAACATCTGTTGTCTTTTCTCATTCAGGTTGAGATTTTCCTGGTTCTTTCTATGATGAGTGATTTTTAAATTATATTCTGGAAACTTTGTGTATGATAAGACTGTATCTTATTGAAATCTTGTTTTAGAAGACCTCCTCTGACACTGTTCTGATGGGGGGCAGGGAGTGTCACCTCATTACTGTCAGCTGGGGGTGAAGGCTGCCTCATTATCAGGTGAGGGCAGGAATTCAGGCTTCTGAGTTAGCCACCTGGAGATGGCATGTTACTGATATCACCACCTGGAGATGGCATGTTACTTGGTTTCCACAGGAGGGGTTTCCACATGAGGGGATGGGATAGGGCTTGTTACCACAGGAAGCTGGTGAGTCCTGGCATCTCACTTGGCCCCTTCTGGCACCATCCTGGTGACTGGGGAAGGAGAATCTCACTATCTCTCAGTAGGGGTAAAAAATCAGGCTTCCAATACAGTCTCCATGCACCCCGGGTGGAGGTGCATCATTACTGCTGGATGAGGATTAAAATCTCGATTTCCCACTCAGCCTTCTCTAACACCACCAAGGGATGGCGAGAGGGGCGTTGCATGAGTGCTTAACCCTTTCTTAAGACCTCTGATTCTTCCAGAGGTAATATCCACTCTTACTGCACAGGGAATTTTCTTGTAGAAATAGTGGTAGAAGGGGCAGTAGTGATAATAGTAATAGCAGCTAACATTTAGTGGGCACTTAATGTGAGGTTCCATGATAACAGCTCATCTGGATCATTTCACTTAATCGACACAACACTCTCACAAATCATAAATATTGTTATTCCTATATTCAGACAAGAAAACTAGGGTTCAGAGAGGTTAAATCACATCAGGGTCAGGATTTCAATCCAGGCTGTCTCACTTCTGAGCCTGAGTCTTTAACTATTGTAGTATACAATACTGAAAATTAATCAAGGTGACACGTGAAAGTGCTCAAAAATTATAAAGCACTAAACAAGCGTGATGGAAGTTTTATTACTATTTCCAGGGCACTGCAACAAGTGATCATGATTAGATAAATGAAAATCCAGGCTTCAACTGGTGCTAATGAATCATTTAAACATTGTTTCTCATTGCAATAGCTGCCCAAAAGACATGTTTCATAGCAAAAGCTGCACAAGAACCTGGGGAAGTTTTAGAGGTAGAGCTTTAGTGAAATACAAGTATCTATTATTTTCTCATAGGTTGTTTTTGCACATATAGGGAACTGAAATTTCCTTTAATCTCTTCAGGCAAGCTCAATAGAAACTTATAAGGACAGATGTGTTATGGATAATCACTAAGCTTTGCTATCCACTTTATAGGATGGAGATTAACATTCTGGAGAACCCCCTACAGTTTAAAGAGGCAGTTATGTGCATATCCTGAAGTAGACAAATTCATATGAAAAAGGAAATGTATGTCATCCATAATCTCATAATACTGTGAAATATATACAGACAGTCCCCAACTTGCCATGGTTCAACTTATGATTTTTTGACTTTATCATGGTGTGAAAGAGATACGCGTTCAATAGAAACCATACTTCGAGTACCTATACATCCATTCCCTGTTTCACTTTCAGTACATGATTCAATAAATTACATGAGACGTTCAACACTTCATTGTACAACAGACTCTGTTTTAGCTAATTCTGCCCAACTATAAGCTAATGTCAGTGTTTTGAGCACATTTAAGGTGGACTACGCTAAGCCATGATGTTTGTTAGGTCTGGTGTATTAAGGGCTGAAGGTTAAGCTGATCACCAATGGCTAATGATTTAATTGATCATGCCTATGGAATGAAGCTTCCATAAAAACCCAATAGGATAGGGTTTGAAGAGCTTCAGGAGCATGAAACACATGGAGGTTCTTGGAGGGTGGTGCACCTGGAGAGGGTAATCCATGCTTCTTTTCCTCATCCTATAAATCTCTTCATCTGTATCCTTTGTAACATCCTTTGTGATAAACTGGTAAATGTAAGTGTTTCCTTGAGTTCTGTAAGCCACTCTAGCAAATTCATCAAACCCAAGGAAAGGGTCATGGGGAACTCTGATTTATAGTCATTTGGTCAGAAGCACAGGTAAAACAACCTGAGACTTCTGATTGGCATCTGAAGTGGTGGACAGTCTTGTGGGACTGAGCTCTAAACCTGTGGGTATGATGCTACCTTCAAGTAGTCAGAATTGAATTGAAGTAGAGGCTCCCAGCAGGTGTTTGCTGCTGAAGGACTACTTGGCTTGGTGTGTGTGTCGGAAGACCCCTAAACATCTGAGGTCACAAACTCATTTTGTGTTGTGAAAGTATAGCTGAAACTGAGTTTGTTATTCCTATATTCTTAGACACCTATCTCTGAAATAATATTATTATCTGAACTACAAAACACATTAGCTTACAACAATTGCTTTCATTCATTGAACATTTTTTGAATACTATGTCCTCGACTCTGTGATAAACTCAACAGGTGAAGAGGAAAAACATGGTCTTGCCTCCCAGAGTTCACAGGTAAGTAAAATGTAATTCGAATTCCAGGTGATAAGTAAACTCATGGTCTTATGAGGACAGGTGCAAAGTGCAGTGCCTGGGGAAGGTAACCCCTGAGCTGAGTCTCACAGAAAGAGGAAAAACTTAGCCTGCTGGGATGGTGGTGATGTTGGGTAGTGAAGAGGACACATGAGGAAACAGCATGAAAGAAGACAGAAGAGAGTATGTGTGTTCAGGAAGCTGCAGGTTGCTGGAGATAGTTGGACTAGTGGTGTATGAGACTGTCAGATCACACAGGCCCTGCTATACTGAGGGGTTTAGCTCTCAATTCTGAGCATAAGGGGTAAGACAATGAAGGATTCTAAGCTAGAAGTGACATGAAAAGTTTTCATTTTTTGAAAAATGACTCATCACAATATGTAGGCTGCTATGGGAAGGGTTACAATTAACAGCAGGGAAGGAGGCTATTATATTACTTAGAAATGAAAGATGATGGGAAATGGAGAATAATCTAATTGACTGCATATTTAGGGAAAGGGGGAAAGAAGAGTGAAGGGAGGGATGGTTTAACTTTCCTAGGTTTCTGGCTTATATGGTAGAGTTGTTTACCAGGATGGGGAATGCAGTGGGGGAAGCCGATTTTGAGGGAGTATATGCCCAGTTCTGGGCATGCTAAGTTTCAGGGTTTGAAGATGCTGACTTGGGACCATCGGTGTATGAGAAAACAGCTGAAACAAACGGCATGCTGTTTGTTGAAACAAACAAACACAGAAACCCTGTTTATGAAGATTGTACAGTTTGGTAGGAGAAGGGGAGGAAGAAAACTAAAAAGGTATTCTGAGACATATCAACATTTGCAAAATGGCCTAGCAGGAGGAAAGTCCAGAGGGAGATTTTCTACAAACCAAAGGAGGGGAGACTTTCAACTTAGAATCTACTGGTGATCTTGGTGAAAGAACTGAGTGGCATGGTGGTAGAAAAAACCGAACTGAGTGGGTGAATAGTGAATCTGCAGTGTGGAAATGAAAAGAATGGATGCAGACAGCTCTTTAAGAGGTTTGGTTGTGACAGGAAAGGGTGATAAGTATTACCAGAAGCCAGTGAGTTATCATCTCTCTTCTACTGGACAGCACTTAGTGATGTAACACAACAAAGCTTGATAATGCTGACACTTGACAAATGATGGCATAATTTTTGGCAAAGTTTGGACAGAAGCACACACAGGAATGAAAAATACAAACGTGAGTCTTGGGATGGGTAATCTGATCCAACATAGAATCCAGATATTACCAAGTTATTCATAGGCAGCAACAAATGGTCTTCAAAATAATATCATTTATTTTTCTATAAAGGCCTATCAAATATCTACTAAACCATATGTGAAATACATGATTTTAGAAAAAGTTTTGGTCTTACTCTTCCACAATATTCATTTGGGGGAACATATCTCCATAACTGACATTTCTTATTTCATGTAGTAAATCTCAAAGGAGGAAAGAGCATATGTAATTTTAAACATGTACTCTACAGATTTTGATCTGTATTCTATACCTTAGATGAAAGTCTTTGCCCTAGAAAGTCTCTCTGGGGAAGCAATTCAGCTTAATTCAGTAAATATTGGCTTAAGGTGTGGAGGCATAAATACTGAATTTTAGTATGGCTTCCCCACTAACTTTGTATGTGGCCTTGTATGAATGATTTAATCCCTTTGAGTCTGTTTTCTCAACTGTAACTTGAAATAGTTATATGAGATAATCTTTAAGGTTTACAGCTCTTGATATTCTATAATTCTATGACAAGTGGGTACAAGGTTGCTTAATTGGCCCTTATTTCCCTCTATCTGGTGATTTTCAAGGGCATGTATAAAGTTTTCCTCCACGCCTCTTGCACCAGCACTTACCAACTTGTTTCCTCAAATCTCCCTCTGCCTAATTCCTACTGAGGTTTGGCTATCAATACCACTTCCTTAATGAAACTTTCTCCAACTTTCCTTTTAAAGGAATCTCTCCCTCCTCTGACCTCTTGGAACAGCTGATCTTTACTTTGCTTATGACACTTTGTTTTTAACATCCATGTCTTATCTATTCTATTAGACCAGAAGTTGGCGATTATTTTTTTCTGTCAAGGGCCAGACAGTAAATATTTTATGCTTTGCAGGTTATACAGTCTCCATCACAACTACTCAGTTCTACTGTTGTAAGAAGAAAGCAGCCTTATGTAAACAAATGCTGTATTTTAATACAACTTTATTTATAAACAGGTAGTGATTTGGCCTGTGGATCTGAATCTGCTAACCCCTGTGCTACACTGTATCTTGAGAGCAAGCTCCACACCATATTGTCTCTGTATTCCTTGTGATGTCTACTATAGCATATTCTTGTCTGAAAAGGGCACTCAAAAGTGGAAGAAAGTGAATTAAATTACGTTCACTTAAAATATAAGGAAAGCAAATCAATAGCTTTTTTCTTGATGTTATACATATCAAGACACTGAATTAAGAAGGTAGCAGTGTAGTCTGAAAGAACAGATACAAAATTCTATGAAGATGGCGTATTCCTTAAGCTCTCCGGCTTATTTATTCCCCTCAATAATTCAGTTACTGTCTTTACATTGCTGCCTTTTGGAAAGAGTATTTTTTTCCCTTCTAAATCTAGTACAATGAAGTATAAGATGAAGTATATCCTTTACCTAGACTCACCAATTGATAACATTTTGCCACATTTGTAAAAGCATATATATACACATATATATTTTGAGATGGAGTCTTGCTCTGTTGCCCAGGCTGGAGTGCAGTAGCCCAATCTCGGCTCACTGCAACCTCCACCTCCCTGGTTCAAACGATTCTCGTGCCTCAGCCTCCTGAGTAGCTGGGATTACAGGCATGTGCCACCACGCCTGGCTAATTTTTTGTATTTTTAGTAGAGATAGGGTTTTGTCATATTGCCCAGGCTGGTCTCGAACTCCTGGGCTCAGCGATCCATGCACCTTGGCCTCCCAAAGTGTTCGGATTACATGCATGAGCCACTGCACCTGGCCTGTAAACACATATTTAAAAAATACATTTTATTGTAAAATGCACCCATTTGAAGTGTACACTTGGATTAATTTTGACATATACGCGTCTATGTAAGAACCATCATAATCAAGATACAGAACACTTTGATCATCTCCAAAAGTTTCCTTGTGCCCCTTTGAAGTCAATGTTCCCTTTTGCCCCTGTGGGCATAGGCAATCACTGATCTGCTTTGTATTATAAATGACTTTGCATTTTCTAGAATTTCAAATAACTGCAATCACACAGTAGGTAGATTTTTGAATCTGGCTTTCTGCAGTATGAATAATGTTTCCATGAATTCTGAATAATTCATCCATGTTGTATCAATAGTTCATTCCTTTTTATTGCTAAATATTCCACTATGAATATGCCTCAATTTATCAGTTCACCTGTTCGTGGACATGTGTGTTATTTAGGGATTTTACTTATAAATAAGGATGCTAAGATCATTCCTGTACAAGTCTTTTTGTAGAGAAATGTTTTTCATTTTTCTTGGAGAAATAGCTAGGAGTGGGATTGCTGGGATGTAGGGTAAGTGTATGTTTATAAGAAACTGCCAAACTTAAAGCACACTTTATAAAACACAGGAGTTTGTTAAACTATATTGTCAAGGCTTAAGAGAAAGCAAGTTATCTTTCAACGAATGCAACTACATACTGAAGTGTGGTCTATGTTAAGACTTTTGCCACAGTCAGAAACGTTAATGAGACCTAATATTGCTGCTTTTTCCTCTCTAAACAGACTGCTTTAACAGGTAAGAATGAACTGAACAAGAGCAGAGGCCAACCATAAAGAATGCTTTTAGTCCATTTCCCACATCTCATAAAACCCCAAGAGGAGTGGGAAAGGGCACAGAAACAGGAACTTAGCTGTGTGTATGACCTTAGAATGTCTGATATTACTATTTTCTTTCATTTACTGGAAAAGACAGAAGACTTACTGCTTCATGCCTTGCTATATGTAAATACAAACATGACAACACTGGGATGTAAGCTTAAAGAGGGCAGGCTGTGACTGCATTATTATAGGGTATTGGGAAAGGTCTAATCAGGGTTTCTCTGTATTTGCCATTCTAATTTCTACACATACCCCCACACCTGATCCACTTCTATTCTCTTTTCCTCTTCATTTTATCTCCTTCCTTAACCTCCCTCTTCTCTCTGTCTCATTCTTCTTCCAGTTCCTACTATTGTCTTCCTTTTAGTCCCACTATTCCATTTTCTCTCATCTCTCTGCTTTCTGAGTATATGTACACATGTGTATTGTATGAATCTTACCCTTGTTAGGTTTCTTAATTTCAAGATTCTGTTCTCAGTCTTTCAAAACAGCAGTTACCAAGTCTTGTATTTCCAGGCTTGTTAGACACAAAAGAACAGAACTATTCCCTTGCATTGCTGATCCTGGCCTTTGTGCCTTTCAGTTGTAGTAGTCTTTTCCCTGCAGCTATACTGTGAACATTCTACACAAGATACCTGGGATACTATGGGTTTCCCACCTGGCTACTGGGATTGCCCATTTTCCTAAATCTTCATATTAAATAACATCAGCGTTTTGTTCAAATTGGCACAAAGTATACACTGAATAGCTGTCATCCCCTTCGAGGAATTTTCATAGTATGAGTTAGGTGTTTTAGAAATTCCTCTGCAAGGATTTTAAATGTGTTTCAGTGATATAGCTAAACAGTCTACTATGAAAGCTTCACTTTCCTTTCATAAGAACAATCATTTTCCCATAAGGAAGACATTTTAAGTTGAACGCCGTATTTCAGCTCCAAGAAATAAGCCCTAGTTTTAAGTTATTCTGTGTTTCAGCTATTGAGGTCAATGTATGTAGCTGATGGAATCACAAAATTCTTATCAACTCATTCCAGGTTTCCAAAACTTTTATTTTTGTATTTTGTTAAAATATTTGTGTGTTTTTGTGTGCATATAGCCTCAACTATTAGAATAACTGCAAGTATAGTTCAAAGAACTTTTTTTTTTTTTAGAGATAGAGTTGCCCGGGGTAGAATGCACTGGTGCAATTATAGCCTACTGCAACCTCAATCTCTTGGGCCCAAGTGATCCTTCTACTTCAGCCCAGTGAGTGGCTGGGATTACGGGTGTGTGCCACCACACCCAGCTAAATTTTTAAAAAATGTTTGTAGTGATGGGGTCTTGCTATGTTGCCCAGGCTGGTTTCAAACTGCTGGCCTCCAGCGATCCTCCTGCCTCAGCCTCCTGAGTTGCTGGGATTACAGGTGAGAGCTACTGAACCCAGCTAAGAGGACCTTTTTCCCTGAACCTTGTGAGGATACTCACATGATGCCCCATCACCACTAAATACTTTTGTGTATTTCCAATGAAGGGACATTCTCCTACATTACAAGATATTCATCAGTCAGGAAATGAACACTGATTCTTTGTCACCATCTAAACCTCAGAGCCCATTCAAAATTTGCCAGTTGTCCCATTAATGTTGTCTATAGCAAAAGGATCTGGTTCAGAATTGTGTTCTAATTAGTTGTCATGTCTCTTATTACTACCAGTCTAGAAAACTCCTCAGTGACTCCTTGAACTTTCATGATTTTCAAACTTTTGAAGATTACAGGTTATTTTGAGGTATGTCCTAAAATTTAGGTATGTAGGATGTTTCCTCATAATTAGATTCAGATTATATTATCTTTGGCAGAAATATTACAGAAGCAACGCTGTGTTATTTTCATTGCAGCCTATCAGGTAGCAGACAGTTCTGATTTGTGCATAACTGATACTGTTTACTTTGATCATTTGGTAAGGTGGTGTGTGCCAGGTTTTTTCACTAGAAAGTTACTCTTTTACTTTGCAATTAATAACAATTTTGTAGGAATATACTATACTTTGAAATTAGGCAAATATCCTGTTTCTCAACAAACATTCATTCTTCTTGGGAGATGGGTATGGCATAAGTATTTAATAAACAAAATAAATACTTCTCTCTCACTGGTAAAAAGTGGCAGAAAGATACTTGGAGAATGATCCGAGATACAGGTCTTCCTGCTTAAACTGACAGATCAGTTATCATCTGTGTCTATTTAAAATACAGGGCATTATTTTCCAATATGTAGTAGTACAGTAAGTACATTCTTTCCTCATATTTGAAACCTGAGAGACAAGCAAGCATCTGTAGGGAAAGAGCTAAGGCTATGTCCTATTATCACTGACTTAGTATCCTTCACTAGCGGATCCCTACTTATGTCACCGGCTAGAGCTCTCACCACTTAGCACCCATCCCCCTTCCTTTCACTTGGGTTATAAATTTTGCTAAGGATGTTTTTTTTTCTTATTGTTTTCTTAGATGATCACATTACTACTTATCCTTCAGGTCTCAGTTTAGATATTACTTTCTCTAGGAACTTTCCTCTGACCCCTGAAAATCAGCACTGTCCTGACTCATCATAATCCTTAAGAGATATTGTATTTGACCGCTTGTTTGAGCTATCCACTGATCATAAATTCCAAGAAGACTACAACTGTGGCTTTAATTTTTTAAGTAAAATTTAAATAATTTAACGGGAATAATATCAATACATTTAATTTATTTTTGGCTCTTCTACTATCTCATTCCCCATCTCCCTAACCTAGTAACCATTATCATGATTTTGTGTTTATCATTCCCTTGCTTAAACAAAGATTTTATTACATAAATGTGTCCCTAGAGAATATAACGTTTAGTTTTGCTTGCTTTCACACTTTGTAAAAATATCTCATTTTTATAATTCATTGAATTTACTAATATTTTTAGAATTTTGACATCTTGGTTCATGAGAGAGACTGGCTTGTAATTTTTTTTCTTGCACCATCCTTGTCTGGTTTTGTTACCAAGGTTATAGTGGTCTTAAAAAAATGAACTGTGAAGAAATCACACATTTTATCTTCCTGGCATAATTTAACATTGAAATGATCTTGTTCCTGGAACGTTTGCTGGAAGTTGGCCATAGCATTATTTAGGCCTGGTGCTTTTTTTTTTAATAGGTAGATTTTAAATAATTTATTTAATGGTTAAAAAATTATTCAGGCTTTCTATTTCTTCTTGAGTTAGTCTGGTGAGTTATATTTTTCTAGGAATTTAAATTCGTTAAAGCTTTCAAATGCACTGGTATAAAGCTGTTCAAAGTATTTTCTTAACTTTTTAATTATTCCTCAACCTGTAGTTAAATTTCCCATTTTATTCATTATTTGTGCCTCTTCTTTCTTCTTGATCAATTCTAATTTATGAAGCCTAAGTACTTAAGAATTTACCATTTTTAATGGTTTTGCTTTAACTGCATCCCAAACATTTTGATATGCAGTATTTTCATTGTTGTTATTTCCGTTCCTCCAGCTTTACTGGCGTATAGTTGACAAATAAAAATTGTATATACTTCAGGTGTACAACTCGATGTTTTGATTTCACTATTTTTCCATTTTAGGTTTTAAAAACTTGTAGTTTATTGCTCTTGAGTTTATTATGGGAATCTCTAAATTTCTAAATGTATATATGGATCTTTATCTTCATTGGTTTCTACCTTAACTGCATTATATTCAGAACGCACTAATTGTATAATACTTCTATTTAAAGGTATAAACTTTCCTGTAAGCATTGTTTTTTTTAAAGAGCTGGGTCTCGCTATGTTGCCCAGGCTGGAAAGCAGTGGCTATTCACAGGTGTTATCATAATGCACCACAGCTTTGAACTCTTGTGCTCAAGCAATTCTATCTCAGCCTTCTGAGAAGCTGGAATTATAGATGTACACCACCACACCTAGTATTTTTTAACTTTTTTAATTTTTATTTTTTATTTTTATTTTACTTTAAGTTCTGGGATACATGTGCTGAACGTGCAGGTTACATAGGTATACACGTGCCGTGGTGGTTTGCTGCACCTATCAACCTGTCATCAAGGTTTTAAGCCCACATGCATTAGGTTTTTGTCCTAATGCTCTCTCTCCCTTTGCCCCCCAACTCCTGACAGGCCCTGGTGTGTGATGTTCCCCTCCCTGTGTCCATGTAATCTCATTGTTCAACTCCCACTTATGAGTGAGAACATGCCGTGTTTGGTTTTCTCTTACTTTGCTGAAGATGATGGTTTCCAGCTTCATCCATGTCCCTGCAAAGGACATGAACTCAGAATTCTGTTTTATGGCTGCGTAGTATTCCATGGTGTATATGTGCCACATTTTCTTTATCCAGTCTATCATTGATGAGCATTTGGGTTGGTTCCAAGTCTTTGCTATTGTAAATAGTGCTTCAATAAACATATGTGTGCATGTGTCTTTATAGTAGAATGATTTATGATCCTTGGGTTATATACCCAGTGATGGAATTGCTGGGTCAAATGATATTTCTGGTTCTAGATCCTTGGGGAATTGCCACACTTTCTTCCACAATGGTTGAACTAATTTACACTCCCACCTGCAGTGTAAAAGCGTTCCTATTTCTCCACATCCTTGCCAACATCTGTTGTTTCCTGATGCTATATTTTCATTGAAAATACTTTTCAGTTCAAAATATTTTCTCATTTCTTTGTGAATTTGTAGATACATAATATTGAGTTCTAACTTCATCCCACTGTCTTCAGAGGACATATTTTCAATGATTTCAAGCTCTTTAAATGTATTAAAACTGTCTTATGGTCCAGCATATAGTGTATCTTGAACATCCTCAGTATGCTCAGAAAGAATGTGTGTATTCTACAGTTGCTAGGTGCAGTGATCTACAAACATCAATTAGGTCAAAGTGGTTGATAATGGTATTGTTCATATCATGTATATTTTTACTGATTTCTTTGGTCTAGTTATTGTATCAGTTGCTGAAAGAGGTCTGTTAAAATATCCATCTCTGAGAATGGAAATTCTCATATGGAAATTGTTTCTTTCTCCCTTATATTCTGTCAATTTTTGCTTCATGTATTTTGTAGTATACACATTTATGACTGTTATATCTTCCTGTTGATTTGATATCCTATTAATAGGCAATGCCTCTTTGCATACTAATACAGTGATATTAAATTCTACTCTGATATTAATATAGCTACTTCTTATGCTTACTATGTATGTCTTTTTATCCACTTTCAACCTGTATTTATATGGGTTTGGTCTTTATATTTTAAATGCATCTCATGTAGATAGAGCACATGGTTAGGTCTTTTTATCCATTCCAGCAGTTTCTGCCTTGTAACCGGAGGGCTTTACACACTTTTTTTTTTTTTTTAGATGGAGTCTCGCTTGGTCACCCAGGCTGGAGTGCAGTGGCACAATCTTGGCTCGCCGCAACCTCCGCCTCCCGGGTTCAAGTGATTCTCCTGCCTCGGCCTCCCAAGCAGCTGGGACTACAGGTGCCTGCCACCATGCCCAGCTAATTTTTTTGTATTTTTAGTAGAGAAGGGGTTTCACTGTGTTAGCCAGGATGGTCTCGATCTCCTGACCTTGTGATCCGTCGGCCTCGGCCTCCCACAGAGCTGGGATTATAGGCATGAGCCACCACGCACAGCTGGCTTTATACATTTAATTATTGACACATTGGGTTTAGGTCTACTGTTTTATTATTTCTTTTCTGTTTGTCCCCTCTGTGTTTTATTCTCTAATTCCTTTTTTCCTTTCTTCTTTTGGAATATCCTTTTGGAATATCTGAATATATTTTAGAATCCTATTTTAATTTACCATTGGCTTCTAAGTTATTTTGCTAGTGGTTGCTTGAAGGAGTTACAACACACAACCTTAACTTCTCACAGTCTCCTTAAGCTGGTATTGTAGCACTGTGTGTAAAGTGTAGAAAGCTTGTAAGCTCATGGGTTCATTTTCTGTCCTTCCCATTCTCTATATTATAATAATATGCAGTACACTTTACATATGTCATAAACTCACAGAACAAAATGAAAAATTTAACTTTTAAAGTAAAATTTGACTTTTAAAGTAAAATTTTAAAGTAAAATTTAACCATCACATGTATTTTTTAAAATTTTAAAATAAATACAGAGTCTGTTTCCACTGCTCTTTATCATTTCCTGAAGATAGAAATTTTCACTGGGTATCATTTCCCTTCAGCCTGAAGAACTTCCTTTAGCATTTCTAGTAGTGCAGGTCTGTTGTCAACAAATTCTCGGAGGTGTATATATATTTAATATGAAAATGTATTTATTTCACATTTATTCTTGAAGGATATTTTGATGGATATAGAATTCCAGATTGATGTTTGTTTCTTCTTTAAGCACTCTAAAGATGGTCACTGTCTTCTGGCCTCTGCTAAGAAGACATTATATGAATTATTTACCTATATGAAATTTGTCTACTTTCAAGATACTCTCTCTTTATATATTCTCTCACTATATATTCTCCTTATAGATATATATACACACACACACATATACCCACACATACAGACTCCACATACTCCATTGTGTGTGTGTGTGCGTGTATATAAAGGGAAAGAGAGAGAGAAAAATTATATATGTAGAGAGAGAAAATCATATATAGAGAGAGAATATTTTGAAAGTGTATATATACACACACATATATATATATCCACA
Source organism: Homo sapiens (assembly GCF_000001405.40). Lineage (NCBI taxonomy): Eukaryota > Metazoa > Chordata > Mammalia > Primates > Hominidae > Homo > Homo sapiens. Next base: position 76,458,397 of record NC_000015.10, read on the forward strand.
AATACAAACATACACACACACACACACATATATATACACATATATACACACACCCTTTTAGCAGTTTGACTATGATTTGCCTAGCTTGATTTTCTTTGTATTTAGACCTTTTGGAGTTTCTGAGCTTCTCTTTTGTTTCTAGCTTTAAAAACCCAATATATAATATTTGTACATTTCATGGAGTACATGTGGTATTTTGGTCATGTGTAATGATCAAGTCAGGATATTTAGGGCATCTATTACCTCAAGCATTTATCATTTCTAGGTGCTGGGAACATTTCACGACCTGTCTTCCAGCTATTTTGAAATATACAATACACTGTTGTAAACTACGGTCACCCTGCTCTGCTACTGAACACTGGAACTTATTCCTTCTATTTAACTGTATGTTTGTACCCATCAACCAATCTCTCTTTTATCTGCCCCTGTCACCACACACCCTTCCAGGCCTCTAATAATAACTAACTTTCTACTCTCTATCTCCATACGATCAACTTATTTATTTATTTATTCATTGAGACAAGGTTTCATTCTGTTGTCCAAGCTGGGATGCAGTGGCATAATCAAGGCTCACTGCAGCCTTGACCTCCTGGGCTCAAGCAATCCTCTCATCTCAGCCTCCCAGGTAGCTGGGACTACAGGCATGTGCCACCATGCCTGGCAAATTCTTTTTTATTTTTTGTAGAGATGGACTATGTTGCCAAGGCTGGTCTCAAAACTCCTGGGCTCAAGTGACCCTCCTGCCTTGGCCTTCCAAATTGCTGGGATTGCAGGAATGAGCCACTGTGCCTGGCTGAATTAAACTTTTTTTAGCTCCCACATGGGTCAGAACATGTGGTATTTGTCTTTTTGTGCCTCGCTTATTTCACTTGACGTAACGACTTCCAGTTCCATCTACGTTTTTGCAAATGACAGGATGTCATTCTTTTCTATGGCTAAGTAGTATTCCATTATGTGTGTGTGCATATATACATATTCTGTATATATTCTAACTGGAGTAAGATGACATCTCATTGTGATTTTGATTTGCATTCTCTTGATGATTAGTGACGTTCAGCTGTTTTTCATATACCTGTTGGCTATCTGTACATCTTATGTGAAATATCTATTCATGTCTTTTGCTCACTTTTTAATGGAATTATTAGGGTTTTTTTTTTTTGCTGTTGTATACTCTGGATATTAATTGCTTGTTGGATGAATAGTTTGTAAATATTTTCTCCCTTTCAATAGTTTGTCTCTTCACTCTGTTGATTGTTTCCTTTGCTGTGTAAAAGGTTTTTAGTTTAATATAGTCCATTTGTCTATTTTTGTTGCCTGTACTTTTGAGGTCTTAGCTATAAAATCTTTGCCTAGACTAATGTCCAGCAGAGTTTCCCTTATGTTTTCTTCTAGCAGTTTTATAATTTTAGTCTTTTGTTTAGGTCTGTAATTCATTTTGAGTTGATTTTTGTAATGGTGAGAGATAGGGGTCTAGTTTCATTATTCTGCATGTGGTTATCCAGTTTTCCCAGCACCACTTACTAAAGAGGGTGTCCATTCCCCAGTGTATGTTCTTGGCATCTTGTCAAAAATCAGTTGGCTGCAAATAAGTGGATTTATTTCTGGGTTCTCTTTTCTCTTCCATCGATCTGTATGGCTGTTTTTATACCAACATCATGCTGTTTTGGTTACTGTGGCCTTGTAATATATGATTTTTTTTCTGTTTCTATGAAAAATGAAATTGGTGTTTTGATAGGGATTGCACTAAATCTGTAGGTTTCTTTAGGTAGTATAGTCATTTTATTACATTAATTATTCTGATCCATGAGCATGGATATCTTTCCTCGGTCCTCATCAGTTTCTTTCTCAGAGTTTTGTAGTTTTCCTTGTAGATGTCTTTCACCTTTTTGGCTAAATTCATTCCTAAGAATTTTATTTTTATAGCTATTATAGAAGGGATTGCCTTCTTAATTTTTCAGCTATTTCATCATTGGTGTATAGAAATGTTACCGATTTTTATAAGTTGATTTTGTATTCTGCAACTTTACTGAATTCATTCATCAGATCTAAGAGTTTTTTGGTGGAGTCTGGGTTTTTCTAAATATAAGATCATGCCAACTGCAAATGGGGACAATTTAACTTCCTTTTCTGAGCTTCTTGAATCTGCGTATTTATGTCTTTCACTAAAATTGGAAAATATTTTAGCCACTATTTTTTACAAAAAAATGTTCATGTCTCATTCTCTCTTCTCCTTTTGGATATCCAGTGATATGTACGTTACACTGTTTCATACTGTCTCATAAGTCTCTAAGCTCTGTTCCCTTTTAAATTCTCTTTCCATTCTTCAGACTACATTAATTCCTATTGATGTAACTTCAAGTTTAATGACCCTTTCCTCTGTCATCTCCAACCTGCTGTTAAACCCATCTAGTGAATTTTTAACAATTTAAAACTTTTGGTAAGCACTTTTAGGCTTCTCTTAGCTTTCCTTAATGTTAATATCCTACACAACTACAGCACAATTACCAAAACCAGAAAATTAACACTGGCTCAAAACAATGAACTTATCTACAGACCTTATAAGAGTTTTGCCAGTTTCCCCACTAACATTCTTTTTTGCAGTCCAGGATCCAATCCAAGATTCCATAATGAATTGTCATACCTCTTTAGTCTCCTCTAATATGTTTTTCAGTCTTTATATTTGAAATAGCTTTGGTTAGTTATTTTGTAAAATGCCCCTTAATTTTTGGTCTGATGTTTTCTCATAATTTGATGGTGGTTATGCACTTTTGGCAAGAATATCATAGAAGTGATGCTGTGAGCTTGTAAACATGTATTATTATCAGAGGGTACTGACGTTGACATAGCAACATCAGTAGTAGTGATGTTAGTTTTGATAACTTGGTTAAAGTGGTGTCTACCAAGGTTTTCACTGTGAAGTTACTATTACCCAACTTTTTTTTTTTTTTTACAAAAAAGATTATTTTGTGGGAAATTATTTTGAGATTATGCAAATATCCTCTTTCTCATCCTACATTTGTCCACTAATTTTTGCATCCACTGATGATTCTCTCCTGCAATATTTATTACTTTGGTTTTTGCCTAATGGTGATTTTTCTGTTTTTCATCATTCTTTCTCATTTATTAATTCATATAGTAAGTTTTTTATTTCAGGTATTGTATTTTCTAGTTTTTAAATTTCTGTTTGATTCTTTATTATGTTTTTACTTCTGTGATATTTCATATCCTTCATTATCAGCACATTTTTCTTTCTGTCATTGAGCTGAGTCATAAAGTTGTTTTAATATCCTTGTTTGCTAATTCTAACATCTGTGTCATCTCAGGATTGGCCTCTGTTAATTGCCTTAACTCTTGAAAATAATGCACATCTTCTTTCTCTTTATGTCAAGAAATCCCAAACACTGTGAATGCTATGTCATGAAGAATCTGGATTCTGCTATATTTCTCTTACAGGTGTTGATATTTTCTTTTTAAAGTAGCCATTTGACTTTGTTGGACTCAAACTGCAAAACTCTACTAGTGAATAGCAGCTCAAATCCCAGTTTTCTTGTCTTTAGCTGAGTTATACGGAGTTGTCTCATACATGTACAGTATATTCAGAATCATGCAGGTATTTGTAAATACTTAGGGGATATCCCTTTGTAGCTTTTCTCCTCCTGAATATCCTCCTAACATTCTAGCACTTGTCTTTGCCCTGAATTCTGTCCTCTGGTTCTTCAGGATAAAAAGATTGTGGATTTTCTATTGAGTTCTAGCCAGCCCATGTGGCACCAACTGTAGCCTGCCCTCATGCTGAAAGCCATACAACCAGGAAACTTACCCAACGCTGTTCCTTTCTTCCAAGTGACTATTCCCATCAGGATCTGCTTTTCATTGGTCCTTAGTACTTTTCAGGTATTTGTTTTCACATACTTTACTCAGCATTTACATTTGTTGTCTGCAGGAGGGTCAGTCCGATAGGAGCTTATTCATCCATAACTGAAGCAGAACTGGGTCATCTTCTATGATGTGGATTCTTTCAAATTTGATAATACTTGCTTATGGCTTAGTGAATAATTCTTATACATCTTCCATATGTGCTTATAGAGAATATATATTCTCTAATGTTGTACATAGGATTCTATGTGCATTAAACTGTTAATTGTTTTACTGAAACCTTTTACACCTTTAATAATTTTGTTTGCTTTATCTATCAGTATTTGTAAGCAGTGTGACATATTTTTTACACTGATGAAGGTACAAGTGTCAGCTTCTCCCTCAAGTAGTCATTTAATTATTTTAGGTGATAGTGATAATGGTGGTGAGGATACTATTTCATATGAATGTAGTAGAAAGGCAATCTGAGTTAAAATCTGGCCCATGTTCTTTTACCAGCTGAATTCTGAATGTAGCTTTGAGAGTAAAGCTCTATACACACAACATCCCTTAACTGTTCTCACCAACTTTAAAAATGGGCAGTCCGTTAAGTAAAATAATAGAAAGTTAACTTAGGATTTAGGAGACCTGAATTTGCATCCCAGTTATAGTGTTAACAGGCTGTAGAACTTGGGCAAGTATCCAACCCCACATATCTCCCATCCCTCTCCTCTTTTGAAGTCCATTATCCTCATCTATAAAACGAGTGGACTGAAATAGACTACATACTATGAAGACCTCCTCTCCAGTTTTGAAATTCTGTGTCAATAAGACATATGGCACAGGAGACATAAACAGAGTTCACACTTCTGCTGAAGGAAAAGGCAACGTGTCCTAGATATGCTGAGCAAGTACCGTACTATATAGTGAGGAAAGAAGGAAACAAGATGCAACTGGAAGAGTACTGTTACCTGTAGTGTTGAGGGATTTTTGCTCCCATGTAATTAACTATGGAGTCTATGTTCTGGCAACTCAATATAAAGAAACAATGTGGTGAATGGAGAGTTCCAGGCCTTGCTGCTGTAATGAAAATCAACAGGCACCTGGATGGCTCTGCACATGACTAAGTGAAAAACAATCCCCTTGCTGTAAGGTTGCACTTAGATTTCCTTTGTTTGTATCCAGGGCTTTCTTGTCACCTTCTGAAGAGCTCACCAGCAGCCTCTCTGATTCAACAGTATCATATCAATTATTTAAGGTTAGTACATCACTTTTCAATTAACAATCTCCTTGGCTCCCAAAAATACATACACACAATTTATCAGCATATTCATTAAATATTTCATAAGGAACAGGTCACTATGAATTAAAAATAAGACTGCTAATAAAATATTTAATGCCTTTTAAAATGCAATGAAACATCAAGAAATTATAAATCTTTTAATTAAGTGCTTTTTCAGTATATCTTACCAAAGTAATACTATTAAACTTATAAAATTAAAGTCACAAAATTGTTGCTTTGTTTCATTTGTCAACTTAAGAAAATGAGGACACATCAATTTAGCTTATAGGAAGGGAAGTCCTGGTCAGGGACTCAGAAGACCAGGGTCCAGGTCATGGTTCTGCCACTAGGTAGCTCTGTGATCCTTTTCCACATCTCAATTTGCTCATCAGTATATTGGACTGTTTAGATCTTGCCCAACATTAAAAGCTTATCCATCTATTTTCACAGCACTCAGTAGTACTTTCACTGGTCTTTTTTTTTTTTTTTTTTGTAAAAAGACATATAAATTTTCTTTATCAATTTTTAGGTGCATATTACAATATTGTTAACTATATGCACATTGTTGTAAAATGGGTCTCTAGAACTTTTTCATCTCACTTGACTGAAACGCTAAACCTATTAAACAACTCTGCTTCCCCCTCCCCTTGGTCCCTGGCAACCACCATTCTACTTTGTTTCTATGAGGCTGATTCTTTTAGATATGTCATTTAAGTAGAATCATGCAGTATTTCTGTTTTTGTAATTGGCTTATTTCACTTATAGCATCATCAAGGTTTATACATTATAGCATATGACAGAATTCCCTTCTTTTTTAAGGTTGATTAATATTCCATTGTTTGTACAGTTGTCCCTCAGTATACACAGGCGATTGGTTCAGTGCTCCCTGTGTATACCCAAATCTGCATATTCTCAAGTCCTGCAGTCAGCTCTGTGGAAGCTGCATATATGAAAAGTCAGTCCTACATATGTGTGGGTTTTGTATCCCATGGAGACTGCATTTTTGATCCATGTTTGGTTGAAAAAAAAACTATGCATAAATAGACCTATGCAGTTCAAACTTGTAGTGTTTAAGAGTCAATTGTATATGCCACGTTTTCTTTATCCACTCATTTGTTGATGAATATTTAGGTATTTCCACCTCTTGGCTCTTGTGAATAATGCCGAGGTGAACATGGCAGTGCAGATATCTATTCAAGATCCCAATTTTAATTATTTTGAATACGTACCCAGAAGCAGGATTGATGAATCATATGGTAGTTCTCTTTTTAATTTTTTTTAGGAACTTCCATACTTTTTTCCTTAGTGCCTGCACCAAAAGTGCACAACATTTCCAATTTCACCACACTCCTACCAATACTTATTTTCTGATTTGTTTTATAACAGCCATCCTAACAGGCATGAGGTGATATCTCATTGTGGTTTTGATTTGCATTTTCACAGTGATTAGTGATTTTGGTCATCTTTTCATATACGTGTTGTTCAACTGTGTATTTTCTTTGAAGAAATGTCTATTTAAGCCCTTTTCTCATTTTTAATTGATTATCATATATTTTTGCTATTGAGTTGTAGTTCTTTATATATTTGGATATTAACGTCTGACTTATTCCATTTGAGCTGCTATAACAAAATACTGTTATAAACAACAAACAGAAATTTATTTCTCACAGTTCAGGAAGTTAGGAAGTCCTGAGATCAAGATGCTGGCAGAAGTGGTGCTTTCTGGTTCATAGAAGGCGCTTTCCAGCTGTGACCTCACCTGACAGAAGGGGCAAGGCAGCTCTCTGGGGCATCTTTTATAAGGGTTCTGAAAGTATTCATGAGGGCTTTGTCCTCATGATGGAATCACCTTTCAAAGGCTCCTCCTCCTAATGCCATCACAGTGGTGATTAGGTTTCAACATACTAATTCTGGGGATACAAACATTCAGCCCACAGCACCCCTTTATCAGACATACGGTTTACAAATATTTTCTTTCATTCTGTACATTGCCTTTCTGCACTGTTGATTGTGACTCTGATGCGGAAGCTTTTTAGTTTAATGTAATCTCATTTATCTATTTTTGGCTTTTGTTGCCCCTGCTTTGGTGTCATATCTGATAAATCACAGTCAAGATCAATGTTATGAAGGTTTTCCCCTATGTTTTAATTTGGAGTTTTTTTAGTTCAAGTCTTACATTTAAGTGTTTAATCAATTTTGAGTTTATTTTTGTGTATGGTATAAGATAAGGGTCCCATATCATTCTTTTGCATGTGGATATCCAGTTTTTCCAACACAGTTTATTGAAGACTACCTTTTTTCTGCTGTGTATTCCTGGCAATCTTGTCAAAGATCAGTTAATTGGCCCTTTGAATATATCCCTCCACTCCCTTCTGGCCTACAGGGTTTCTGCTGAGAAATATGTTGATAGTCTGATGTGTGTTCCCTAGTACACGACAAGTCACTTTTTTCTTGTTTTCAAAATTCTCTTACTGTCTTTGAGAGTTTGACAATTTTATTATAATGTGTCTTGGTGTGTGTTTATGTTGATCTTATTTGGGGTCCTTTAGTCTTCTTGAATCTGGATGTCCATTTTCTTTCCCAGATTTGGGAAGTTTTGGGTCACTATTTAAGTAAACTTTCTGCCCATTCCTTTCTCTCTTCTTCTTGTGAACTTTCCATAATGTGTATAATGGGTTGGCTTGATGGTATGCCACAAATCCCTTAGGCTTTCATCACTCTTTCTCATTCTTTTTCTTTTTGTTCCTCTGGGTGGATAATGTCAAATAACTTGTCTTGAGTTTGCTGTTTCTCTCTTCTGCTTGACTGAGTCTGCTGTTGAACCCCTATTGTGAATTTTTCAGTGTAGCTATTGTATTCTTCAGTTCCAAAATTGGTTGGTTCTTCTTTTTTTTTTTTTTTTTTTTTTTGTATTTTCTGTCTCTTTGTTGATATTCTCATTTTGCTCATGCATTGTTACCTTGAGCTCATACAGCATCTTTATGAGGGCTATTTTGAATTCTTTGTCAGGTAATTCATGTCTTTGTTTCTTTAGGATTGGTTTGTGAAGATTTATTTTGCTCCTTTCTTTGGGCCATGTTTCCCTGTTTCTTCTACGTCTCGAAAGCTTTGTTGGGATCTGTGCACTTGACAAAAAAAGCCACTTCTTCCAGTCTTTATGAACTGGCTTTTGTAGTATGGAAAACCCTCACTAATGAGCTCAGCTAGGGGTTCTGGGGGCCTCTGAAAACTTTGGGGGGGATACAACTTCTCTAGGCCAATGTATGCAATTTCTCAACTAGAGATGCTTGCTGCTTTCTTATTCAAGTGATCATAATCTCTTCCTTTCTCTGGTATCTGTCTTTAGCACTGTGATATGGTTTGGATTTGCGTCCCTGCCCAGATGTCATGTTGAATTGTAACCTTCAATGTTGGAGGAAGGGCCTGGTGGGAGGTGACTGGATCATGGAGGCAGATTTCCCCCTTGCTGTTCTTGTGATAGTGAGTTTTTACAAGATCAGTTGTTTAAAAGTGTGTAGCATCTCCTCCTTCACTCTCCTCCTCCTTCTCCAGCCATGTAAAATGTACCTGCTTCCCCTTTGTCTTCTGCCATGATTGTAAGTTTCTCAAGGACTGTACAGCCTGCAGAACTGTGAGTCAATTAAACCTCTTTCTTTATAAATTACCCAGTCTCAGGGAGTTCTTTATAGTAGTGTGAAAACAGACTAATACACATTGCACGTTCTCTAGTTTTATGGCAGCAAGCCTCCCTGTTTTTGTTGTTCTCAGCAGCATCCAAAGTATGCTAGCCCCAAGTCAGGCAAGACAGATAGCAATCTCTCAGGCAGCCTTCCAAAAAGCTGGGATATTGTCCACATGCCCCACTCTTCTCTCTCCCTCCCAGAGGAGAAGCTGAGAGTTGGGGTGTCTTTTTTTTTTTTTTTTAAAGACAGGATCTCACTCTGTTGCTGAGACTGCAGTGCAGTGGCACAATCATGGCCCACTGTAGCTTTGAACTCCTTGGTTCAAAGTATTCAAGGTATGATCGAATTAAACTTCTTCCCTCAAATCTTCCCAATTCCCCAAGTCAGAATTTATTCATTCATTCATCAAATACTGAACAAGCACCTATTATGTGCTAGGTACTCTACTAGGTTGTCTGAGCTACGTTGTAGTTCTGATAACATTATAGAACTTCTCATCCCTTCCTATAGTCATTAATATTTGCATATGCAATTTCTTCCTTCCTTAACTGTGTGCTTCTAGAGTGATGGAACTGTGTCCAGTTCACCTCTGTAACCCAGGCATCTGGACAATGCTTTGGAAATAGTAATTAAAATGAAATACAAGAGTGCCAAAACAAACTCCAAGTGGCTAGAAGAAAAATGTCTCCTAAACCATCTGGGTTTGCTAAACATAACCAGAAAGACAACAGTACCTGATGATAATCAGTTGTCTTATAAATAACACCAGATCACAATTAATTAGCTTCTTTTATGCTTTTTTCTATTCTTGTTGGAAAATGTATTGACAACTATTTTTTAATCCCTTATTTAAAGGATACTAATAAGTCAGTGGTCCATATTTCAGTTACATGTACATCAAAACCAGTTAGCAAGAAAAATGAAAATACACTCAAGTGATTTTCAGAAACATAAAAATCACCATCACCAACCACCCCAAACCAGGAAACACTTCCTCCTTCACTCACTGCCACAAACCCAGTTACAGCAACAGTAAGAATTGACAGCGATAAAATAAAGAGCCCAAAAGGAATGAAAAAACTCAGAAAGTGCCATGTATAAGAAAAAAAAGGTTCAAATGTGTTTGGCAAACTAATGTCCCAGGATCCCAGTTCCAAACTAAGCAAAATTCATGGGCAGAATAAACATAGAATGTGGTCAAATCCATTGAGAGATTAAAAGCTTTTCTGAGGTCAAGAAACCTTAGGTTACAACGAAGGTTATTCAAAGGGAACTAGGGCTTTATTATTCAAAGGGAACTAGGCTTTCAAAGAAGAAGAAAATGATCAAGGTACCCACAAGCTCCAGGCCCATGGTTGGTACTTAATAAATGAGAGCTATTATGAGGAGCTGAGAACTAACTCAAATGTCCCTCTTTTGTGATGTCTCAGGGAGGATCACTGAATATCTTTCTCTGTGCTCCCATAGTACTCTATACAGGCTGCTATCATATCATTTACTGTATGTACTAGGGTCCGAATGCTGTGTCCCTCCTAAATTCACATGTTGAAATATAATGTTTAATGTGGTGATATCTGGAGACGGGGCCTGTGGGAGGTAATTTGGTCATAAGGATGGAATCCTCATGAATGGGATTAGTGCCCTTATAAAAAGAGGCCAGAGAATTAGCTTGCACTCTTTTCACCATCTGGGGATAAAGTGACAAGTCAGCAGTTTGAAACCTGGAAGAGGGCCCTCACCATAACCTATGGTGGTACTTTGATCTTGAACTTCCAGACTACAGAATGTGAGAAATAAATTACTGTGTTTATAAGCCATCCAGTCTATGGTATTTTGTAATTGCAGCCTGGACTGAGACAATATGTCATCTATATTATGACATATGACATCTATACATATGCAGAACCAAGATTCTTTCTTTAAGTCTTCTTGTTCATTCCCTCACATTTCAAATGCCATTCTCTTTCATTACTTGTTCTGTTCAAAGTAATGTCTCTTATTCCACTACCAACATAGAATAAGCTTCATGGAGTAAATTCTTCCAGATGATGCAGTATGAAATGATAGGAGAGCATGAAGTTATTTTTTTTCATTCTTGTTTTGAAATAATTTTAAGTAAACAAATATGTTGCAAAAATAGAGCATTCCTTTAACCCAGTGTCCCTTACTGTTAACATCTTACAAAAACATAGTATAATAATTGAAAGGAGGAAATTAACATTGAGCCAATAAAACAGACTATTCTATAGATCTTACTTGAATTTCCAAGTTTTCCCATTGATGTCCTTTTTCTGGTCCAGGATCATACATTACATTTAATTGTTATGTGTCCTTAGTCTCCTCCATTCTGTGACAGTTCCTCACTTTTTCCTTGTCTTTCATGATATTGACGTTTTTGAAAAATATTAGTCAGTTATTGTGCAGAATGTCCCCCAACTTGGGTATGATACACCTAGGTCTGATTCTTGGCTTTCTGACTTAATATCTATGTAGCCTTGGGCAAGTCAACCTCTCTGGGACTCAAGTTTCCTCATCTGTGAAATGGAATAGTAATACTGACTTTAAGAGGCTGCTTTCAAAATTAAATGAAGCAAATATATTAAAATGCCTGGGATATAGGGCCATACAACAAATGTTATCTTTTCTCCTTGTGCTGCCTTTCAAATATTTCTGATAGAATTTTTTTTTTGCTAAAATATCTTACTCATATTTTAATGCCTTATTTTTTTAGACAAAATCATATATAATGTAGCCTTTGATGACTCATTATCATCACTATAAAAAGCCATTGTTGTACTGTGCAACAGTTCCAGATCTGTATTTTTGTTTGCTTTCCCTTATTGCTATTCCCTCTCAATGTCAATATGTCTGACTGTAAGGGCTTCATAATTCCATTTCTGATTTTCAGCTTGTGATGTATCAAAATTCATTTATTCACCCACACATACATACAATGACGTACTGAATCTACTAAGTGCCAGGTCCTATGTTAGAATCTTGGAGATAGTGATAACTTACTTCCTGTCCTCATCGATTTTATGGCTAGTGGGGGAAACTGACAAGAAAATAGTTAAATACAGTTCAGTGTGATCAATTCTATCAGAGATGCTTAAGATCACATAAGAAGTATACTTAACCTGAATCTGGGGAAAGAGTCAGGCTGGGGAAGATCTCATGAAGAAGGTAACATTAAGCCTTGGTAAAGGACTGCAAAATGCATAGGAATTAACCAGATAGAGGCAATAGCTTGTAGTTTAAGGAAGAGTTACTAGAACTGTGTGCTGAGTAAAAGTACATTGGTTCTGAAAAATAAATCTCTTGTGTTATAAACTTGCAGCTTGAGAGCTATTTTGTGCCAATACCTCAGGGGCTTAGAAACTTCACCAGGAAACTCCTGGCGACTGCAGTTGACATACTTAAACCTTTGGCTATTACATTGAGCTTACCTCTTTCAACATCTGTGAACTGAAGTAAAATTTAAGGTGAAAATTGGCTGCTTGTTCCCATTTCAACAATATAACAAGTTTTCTCCTTTCTAACAGAGGAGTTTTCTTTTCTAACATAATCTAAATATCCATCAAAAAGTCCTCTTAAACTGACCCTTTTAACTTAACCTGGCAAGAGAGGTTTTGAGGCTTTCCTAACATTCTTCCTTTCTACAGTACTAATTCCTGTGGCTTTAGAGGTTTGCCTTTGCATCCAACTGATTCCAAAGCCCCAGTCTAACTATGTAAATCTGTAACCTTAGCAAGTGTTATAAGTCTATTATCCATTAAATATTGGAACTTAAAAGAATCCAATGCAAAAATTTCAAATTATTAATAAATTTGTCTGCCAGTCTCTATTCTCACAGTCATCTTCACTTTCTTCTTCTTCTTCTTCTTTTTTTTTTTTTTCATCTGGAGAGTAACTAAGTTGAATTCTTTTAGTTTTCTCCACAGGGACTATTTCTCAAACCTTAACTGCTTCTAACTCAAAGCAATAATATTACATACCGTCAACTGGTGTATCAGGAGGTCCATTAAGAAGGTAATCTTGTTACTAAACAGAACATCACTGCAGTTTTCTGAACAGTTATTGCAGGTGAGGTTGTAAACATTGATTGCATTGCAGAGAGACCTAAAAGAAGGAGAAAAACACCATTTATAAAACCCGAGCAGCTCTTCTTTAAACAATTAAAAATACATAAAATGAATGGTATGAAAGCCAACAGGCATGAGATGGAAGTCACTCTAAAAACCAAGCCAAATACTATTAGGTACAAGGCCCATCAGCTAGATATAAAAGCTTATAATTTTCACCCAAAGCCCAGTGTTCACTGGTACCTAATAACTCTTACTAATTTCTATTAGCTGCAGTTGCAGATAATGGAAACATATTTTACCAGTCTATGACAGTTTCTGAATACTCTAAGACTAGATGTTATCTAGGAACCTTGGTTCTTGAAATAATACCCAGAAAAAAAAGGAAAAGGGCTCTATCAAAGCTTCTGTTGCCAGATCACCTGGTCCGGGATAAGAAAGATCATGGAAGAAGAGAGCACCCATAAGGAGAAACTGGAGGCTCTCCATGTAAGATAAGACCCCGGAGTTCTAGGGAGTCGACATCACACTGCTTGGAGGCGGGGCATGGATGAGTGCCTGAGCAGATGAGGACATCTTTCCCAGAGTGTAAAAACTGGCCTGCGTGGGCCCAGACAGTTTAAGGTCAAACTGATCAAAGAAATGTTTTTCTCTAGGAGGTTAAAAAAATATGCTGAAAAAACTATAAAGCCCCCAGAGCCTGAACAATGTGAAGAAGGGGCAAGAATGACCCCAGCCCGACCAGTCTGCCTGCTGCTGCATTCCTGCATCCATAGCATATGTCCTGCCGCATCACTGCCATGCCCAAGAAAAAGCTGAAGGGGATGCTACAGGCAATAGAGCCAAGGTGAAGAACAAGCCAGAAAGATCCGTAAGGTTGTCTGCTTAACCTGCTCCTCCAAAGCCAGAGCCCAACCCTAAAAAGTCCCCTGCAAAGGAGAGAGAGGAGGTACCCAAAAAGAAAAAGGAAAATGCTGACACTGGCAGGGAGGGGAATAACCCTGCAGAAAATGAAGATGCCAAAACAGACCAGGCACAGAAAGCTGAAGGTGCTGGAGATGCCAAGTGAAGCGTGTGCATTTTTGGTGACTGTGTACTTCTGGTGACTGTATAGTTTGAAATACTATTTTTACGAAGTTTTATAAAAATGCAAAATTTGTTTTACTTTTTTTTACTCCTGCCTCAGCTTCACCAGTAGCTGGAATTACATGAACCTGCCACCATGCACGGCTAATTTTTGTATTTTTAGTAGAGACGGGGTTTCAACATGTTGGCCAGGCTGGTCTCGAGCTCCTGACCTCAGGTGATCCACCCGCCTTGGCCTCTCAAAGTGAACCACCATGCCTGGCCTTGTTTTACTTTTTCAAAGCTATGTTGTTAGCACACAGAACACTTTACTGTTGTATTGTGGGGAAGGGTCATAGGTCACTAATAGAATGTCTCTGATGCTGGATTGATGTGGGGAAAACACCTTTCCCTTCCCATTTTGAGAGACTTCTTGACTCCCAGGAGGAGGGATTCCATGACTCTGAGACATGTAGCCACCTTGGCACAAATCCCTTGTGGTATGAAATAACAAATTAGTTGTTATGTCCTCTTTTCCCTTGTCATCTTCAACATAGACTTAACTCCCTTAAACCCAAACTCTGTTGGGCCCTGACCCTCCAGTAATTGGTTACCAGTGTGTCAGGCAATCAGACTTTCCAGTGGTGCCACTGAGATGGAGCCCCCCAAAAAGAGTAGAGTTTCCATTTCTAGATTGTGGATTTTCAGATTTTCAGATAAATTCTGCCATTTTTATTTCATTTCCTGGAAGTCAGGGTCAGTTCATGAAAAGCTGTTAAACAATATGCTAAAGTTGAAATGTCAACCCTCACTCTAAACTCTCCCTGTTCAGGGCATAAAATGAAGACCTCACTGGGTTTTATAGTGGCTTTCCGATTTTGCTAGTCCATTGAAGAAGGGAGTTTGAAAGTTGTTGTACACCGTTAACGATTATCTGCCCATGTCCTGCCTGAAATACCCTGATTGTTTATGGAAAGTAACTTTAATAAAGCTAGATATAGTTTGGCTTGGAAAAAAATGATATGCAATTGTTTAAAGAAACTTTTAGAGCAACAAGGTCAATGGGCACGACAGATTCCTGGATGTTTTGAATACTGTGACTAAAACCTGCATTGCCTGAGTGACCAACGTTTATTTTGGCCTGTCTGACTAAATCTCCTGCTTAAGTTCTAGGTAAAAATGTTTTGATTTAGTCCCTTACAACCAAGTCTCTAGGACAGTTCTTAAACATGTGATTCACAGACCAGCAGTATTGGGAACTTGTAAGAAATGCAAATTCTCAAGCTCTAACCCAGACCTAGTAAACAGCAGCTCTGGGGATTTTAACAAGTTCTGCAGGTAGTTCTGCCACATATTCAAGTTAGAGAACCACTGCTCTCGGATAGGGGTTCTGTATCTTGACTAAGCATTAGGATCACCTGTAGTTTTATTTTACTTTATTATTATTATTATTTTTTGAGACAGGGTCTCACTCTGTCACCCAGGCTGGAGTGAAGTAGAACAATCTCGGCTCACTGCAACCTCTGACTCCTGGGTTCAAGCTATTCTCCCACCTCAGCCTCCCAAGGAGCTGTAATCCCAAGGATTACACGCGTGTGCCACCACACCCATCAAATTTTTATGTTTTTAGTAGAGACAGGTTTCCTCTTGTTGGCCAGGCTGGTCTCGAATTCCTGGCCTCATGTGATCCACCCACCTCGGCCTCCCAAAGTGTTGAGATTACAGGCGTGAGCCACCATGCCTGGTACCTGCAGATCTTTAAAAATATATGCTTGCCTGAATTCTTCCCTTGGTGGTACTAGTTGGGAAATGGGGTAGGCTCCTGACATCTGAATGTTTCAAAATCTTTATGGGCAATTTTGATGTGCAGCCAGAGTTATTTGTTCATTCAAAAAATATCTAACTTCCTATGATGTTCCAGGTGTTGTGCTAGGTGGATAAGATAGGCAAGTTCTCTGTCCTTATGGAGCTGATGCTCTAGTGGGAGAGAGATGGTGAAGAGAGACCTTGTTATACTTGTAATCATCTGTCTGATATAGCTGTATACTGCTTCACATAACTGATAGGTTCCTGAAAAAAGGGCACAGTAGAATATACTGGTTAAGACTAGAGACATTGGAGTAAGATACTAGTTAGAATCCTACTTCTACCATTCAAGATTTTAGCAAGTTAGTTACTAATTTCACGTAATAGCATCCATTTTTTCACCTATAAAACTGGAATATCTAAACTTTGTATGCCTGTCATGAGAACTGAGATAATAGATGTAAAGTACTTAGGACAGTGCCTGGCACATGATTAAGTACTTAATAAATGGTAGCCCTTATTATGGCTATTAGTCTATTATTTGGGTTATTAATCTTATTATTCTTAATGAATAAGGTATAAATAATATGTTAATAAACAGAATCAAATTAAAGCATGCTACAGATGCTTATTTCCAGGTTAGTAAAGCACAGTGCTTGCCAAATTTTTTCATGGTATGCTGACATAAATGCTGAAAGGACTAAGTTGATGGGAGCCAGAAGGAGACTCATCTGTTTCCAGCCTCACCCAATTTCCCTGAGTAATGAAAAAAAAACCTTGACCCACATCTAACACATTTATGACATATCAGTTGGAGGTTCTATCTAGCAAATTCTCCACAGATGTCAACCAGCACCACTTCATTTATTTGATAACATGTCTAAATTTTCAAGAGTATTTTTCTATTTAATTTAAAAATAATGTGCATTTATGCTGATAAAAATAATTTTAAAAATAATTGTCATAAATCTGGGAAAGAGAACCACAAAGAAATACTAAAATACTATCAAGAGAAAATTTGGTATTTGTACTTCTAGTCTTTTTCCTATTCTTATAAATAAATTTACATTTATTTTTTATCCCATTTTCCCATATCTTAATTAATATATAATAATGAACAGTTCTCCATGACATCTAATATTCTTCTATAACACTAGCCTTTAATTTTTTTTTTTAAGGTGGAGTCTTGCTCTGTTGCCCAGGCTGGAGTGCAGTGGCATGATCTCAGCTCACTGCAACCTCCGCCTCTTGGGTTCAAGCTATTCTCCTGCCTCAGCCTCCCGGGTAACTAGGATTACAGGCACACACCACCACACCCAGCTAATTTTTGTGTTTTTATCACCATGTTGGCCAGGCTGGTCTGGAACTCCTGACCTCAGGTGATCAACCTGCCTTGGCCTCCCAAAGTGCTGGGATTACAGGCGTGAGCCACCATGCCCCATCAGCTTTTAATTTTTAGGAAGAGCAGGGAAATTCTTTCTTCAAATAAAATCTTACTCAGAAGCTTGAACCAAAGAACAGATAAAATCAGAGTTGCTCTGGCTGAAGCAGAAGTTGGAGACCCAGCGACCTACCCTGCTTTCCCCTTTCAAAGACCCTTGAAAGCGTCCTTAGAGGCCTGGGGGTGTGTTCCTTTGTGATACAGTGAAAACTAATGAGCTAAGAAACAAGTAAAATTTAATTTGCTAACTTTTTGAATAGGTGATGATGACCACAGTACAATTATGCCAAAACAAAAAAAGTGCACTATGAAAAGCTTCTCCCTATTACTCATGTCCCCCAGCCTCATCTTAGAAATCATCATGGTTACTGGTTTACATATCCTTCCAGAGACAATCCGAGCATGGAAAGCCTTTTATTCTCCCCTACACAAACAGTATCCTACAAGATTTGGAGGTTGAATGTGAGTCAAAGACATCTTCCTGTGGCTCTTGGTTGTTATTAGCAAGGTTTGGAAACATGAGGCTTTCCTGCAGCAGCATTCTGGGGTCCATTTTCCAGCTTCCTGGGCATCAAAAATCAGTGGCATAAGTTGTGCTAATTTCTCGTCTGTAGCTTCGGGTACACATTCTGTGGTTTCTTGGGTGTAAGAGATAGTTGTTTGTGTGGCATTAGCCACACATTTACTTCCTAACTTGTGCTGGCCTCAGAAGGAGCAGCACCCCTGTGAATTTGTTTGGTATTGTTTCAGGAGTCAATCTAGAAGTCTTACAACAATTTTCTTTTTCCTTCCTTTCCCTTCCTTTCCTTTCTTTTCTTTCTTTCTTTTTGAGACAGGGTACAGGGTGTTGTTCTGTCACCCAGGCTGGAGTGCAGTGGCATGATCATAGCTCAATGCAGCCTGAAACTCCTAGGCTCAAGTGATGCTTCTACCTCAGCCTCCAGAGTAGCTGGATCTACAGGTACACACCACAACACCCAGCTAATTTTTTTTTTTTTTTTTTTTTTTTTTTTGTAGAGACAGAGTCTCACTATGTTGCCCAGGCTGGTCTTGACTTCCTGGCCTCAAGTGATCCCTCCTACCACCTAGGCCTCCCAAAGTGTTGGGATTATAGGCGTTAGCCAACACACCTAGCCGTCCAAGAATTTTCTAAGTACTTAATGTCTTATACTAAGTTCCCTCTCTGAGTAAAATACTTAAACTGAGAAATACTGCATAGTCTTTAAAAGCTAAATAGTTTCTCATCCTGTGGATATAAAAATTTACTTCAATTAATCTCTTACTATTCTGTCCAATTTTCAATGTTATAAAGTTGTTTTAACAACAGTCAGAATTCTTAGTTGCAAGCCATGGTGTTAATGGGGGGGAAGCTCAGGTTGATTTAAATAGAAAGGAAATTAATTGACAGGCTACTTGCGTATATAATAGAATTTGGAAAACTTAGGTGTTGAAGTTACACTTCCAGAACTAATATCCAAAGAACACAACACCAAACTGGTCTGCTGAAAAAAAACCACTGGGCACCATATGAGACAGACTGAACTAACATTGTGACTTTGAAGGCTAGATATAGCTGCCTCAAACTCTCCAAAGAATACAGTTTGAGATGTCTTTGCTTCTTTACTTCATTGCCTTCAGAGTGAAAGTCTAGTGTGGGTATGGTGGATTGTAAAACCTTGGTCACATTCCTGTATCTTAGACACTAAAGACTGGGAAGCAAATACTTGGCACTCTCAGGTTCTATAGTGAGAGAGCCATCTTATATGACTGAGAATTCTGCAAATATATATAGGACAATGGTTGAGATGCTGTGCAGGTTAACAGCACAACCCATGTTTACAACAGCTGCTGAACAAATCATTCTGTACCACTCTGCCTTCTTCCCTAGGATAAATTTCCAATAATGATAATTTGAGTCAAAGAATATGAACATTTTATGAAGCCTTTTGATAGATATTATCAAATTTAAACTGCCCTCCAGAAAAAAAATTGTAATCAATTTATACCCCCAGAAAAATATTTTTTCCATGCTTTCACCAACATTAAATAATCTCATTAAAGCAAATATTTACCAATTTGACAGCTAAATAAAACCGGTATTTTAAAGGTTACATTTCTTTGATTATCAGTATGATTAGAGATTTTTTCCCGTGTTTATTTGCCATGTCTATTTACATTTTCTTGCATTATCACGGTGTGCCTTCTACTCATTTTCTATTGGGGTGTGTTTTCCTTATTTATTTATAAGGCTCTTTACTGATAATATAGATGTTAACCCTTTTGGTCATATTTTAAAAATAACTTTTCCAGTTTATTGCTATCTTAATTTTTTTTTTTAGTTTTTTTTGGTCATAAATAACTTTTACATTTTTATTTGATACAATCTGCCAAACTTTTCCTTTAGGACCTCTGAGATTCCTGTCAGACTTAGAAAGGCCATTCTACTTGAATATTATAAAAATATTCTTTTAAGTTTACTTCTGGTGCTTTTATGAGCTTTGCCTTTGAATTCACAATATAAACTTGATTTAGGCATAAGGGAAAAAGACATTTACTTTCTTATTTTTCTTCAAAATAAAGTTGCTATTTATCATCATCTTTTTGTTAATTGTTCTAGTTTGCTATTTTAAAATTTGGGGAGGAGGTTTTCATCTTTTAAAAATAACTTACTAAGATTATCTCATTATAAATATGACAAATGGTTAATACATATTGTTAATATCTTTTTCCAGCTTAACTTTTATCTTCCATTTTGCTTATGTTATTTTAAAGTTTTTAAAAATATATTGAGACTAAACAATTCTATGTAGTCTAACAATTTTTGTAGTTTTCTTTTTCCTGCTTTTCTTTTTGTGCTTTAAAAATTCTTTCTCACTCTCACTATGAGATGAGGTAATTATTCATTTGTATCACCTTCTAACCATTTGTATTTATTTTCCTTGAATTATCACTGTGTATGGTAATTTTATGGTTTTCTAATTCACTGCTGATTCATTTAGAATTTATTTTGGTGTGTTGTGTGAGACAGGAGCCCGAATTTATTTTTCCCATGAAGAGGTATTAAATAAACCCTCCTTTCTCCACTGGTTTGAAATGCCATCTTTATCAGACTCTAATTGATAACTATCTATCATCGTGTCTATTTCACATTGTTTTGTGTATTGTAGCTTTATAGTAGAGTCAATATATAAAATTGCAGATCTCTAAAGGCTTTTAAAAATATTTCGGGGTATTAAATTAAGAATAATGTGTGGAACATTACAACTCTATTCTATTTTCCCTTTGGTTTTGAACTACATTTATATAACCTTTATTTTTAATTTTTTTGTTTGTTTTATTCAATGGAATTCCTACTACTTGTTTCAAATCTTTTGTGCGTTATCATGAGGCATGAACAAACAACACACGGTATGGGACTAATGTCCTAATGCCCTCTGTGCTTTACATTATATAGAAAAGTCATTTATGGGTAAAGTGTGGAATGTATATCTACATAATCTTAGGCTCACAAAACTCTCCTGAGAAACTTTCACAAAGAAACCACTTTCTGATGAGGAAAAAAAAGGAGGAGGGAACCGAAAAACTCAGGGTCAGGAAAAACTTGTCCTTTCAGTAAAACTTGTTTGAAAGACAACCTCTATTTGAGGAGTACCTGTCTTAGAAAGATCACTCCTTTGAACCCAGCCTGGGTGGTCTACCCAAGCAGCTTTCCCTGTAATTTTAAACTCAAATGACTAGAAGCACGTTTTAACATCAAACAGAAAGCACCAGATTTTCAAAGTATCTTTTGAGAAGACATTAAAAACTTATTGTCCATCCTGTCAAAAGTACCCTGTGGTTGGGGGTTTGAGATAAAGGCTTTCTGCTCCAAAAAATCATGAATATGTGAGTGAATTTTTGTGTCAGTAAGTCTTTTCACTGAAAATGTTTCCTCTCAAAAAACAGAGGATAGGAAAAGCATCATAAAATTGGGTCTTTTGACAATAAGTGCAGGACATATAGAAAAAGGACAGTAATAGAATACAAGTGTAGTACACAGCTAAGACATTATGAAATAGTTAAACAGAAAAGCTCCAGGTGGTTGCCATGTGGGAAGGTTTAATAATATAACTTAGAAAGTACATAGTTTATATTCTTGTGCAGTTTGCAGTGGTTAAGACTTAAAAAAAAACACACACTGTTCACCAAAATCCATTGTCATACACCTGTGTCAAGAGAGCAACCATTTTTAAACAACTGCCAAAGGCAATTTCACAAAATCTACATGGGGGAGGGAGAATGGCTTTAAGTTCTGGCACAGTAAAATTCTGTGCCAAGTAGGGATAGCAAGTACTAGGATCACATAAATATGGCTGCAAAGAGAAACTTGGTGTTTTTATCAATTATCGTTTTGCCCTCAAGTAAGAACAGAATTAGCCTGATACGGATAAATGTAAAAGGACAGATCCTCGCAAAACAAAGAAGATGATTAGCAGTTTATATAGTATTAGTTTGATGAGAACCCTCTAGATTGGACCAGAACACCCAGACCTGGAGTTTTCCAATTCGTTAGGAAAGGGAGAGACAAATGTTAACACCAGAGCCCCAATGCATATGTAATTTACTGAATATCTTTGGTTTGCACTAAGGATTTAATAAATAGCATACAGTTTATATGCATTTAGTCATTCTCAAATTATGCTTTATCTTTATAAAGCTCCAAATTAGTTTCTTTAGATATTATTTAAAAGAATTATGTGAAACTAGGGAGGTCTAACTGTGCTTAGAAGTCTAAGGCCTGAAGTGAACCTAAGTCAGTGCCCCTCTCACAGAATGAGACGTAATCTAGGCCTGGCCCTGCAGGAGTGGCCCACCTGAAAGCACGTACCAATTCTAGAGGCTGAAACTGAGACTTGGGTCAAACCACTGAAAACTATATTCTGTTACATAACCAGCCTAAGTTGCTTCTAGGCAAGATCCTTGTCTCATTCATTCTGTCGGGACCCCTCATACTGTGCAGCACAAAGTCTGGCTGAGCACAAGGATGTCCAATGAAGGGACAACTGTCTTCCTTGTTTAAAACATACAAGAATGTGTAACTGTGGAATATCTTAATACATTAATTAGCCACATTCTCCACTATTCTACTTTTTTTTTTTGAGACGGAGTCTCCCTCTGTCACCCAGGCTGGAGTGCAGTGGTGCGATCTCGGCTCACTGCAAGCTCCGCCTCCCGAGTTCATGCCATTCTCCTGCCTCAGCCTCCCTAGTAGCTGGGACGACAGGCGCCTACCACTATGCCTGGCTAATTTTTTTGTATTTTTAGTAGAGACGGAGTTTCACCGTGTTAGCCAGGATGGTCTCGATCTCCTGACCTTGTGATCCGCCCGGCTCGGCCTCCCAAAGTGCTGGGATTACAGGCATGAGCCACCGCGCCCGGCCCACTATTCTACTTTTTAATGCTGATTTGATCATGAACATTTATTCTCAGCCAATCTGGTTTATTCTCAGCACCAGAGAAATATTTTATTTTTTGTAGCTATCAGGAATAAAATTTGGACCCAACAGAGAGAACTGTGAAGTATCTAAAAGTTTTGAAGTGTATTTATAAAGAAGGAAAATTATTTTAGAACTTGAAAATTAGATTGTGGCTAAATTGCTTTATAAATATGCTGGGAGGCAAGATTAAAACTTATAAAAGTTATTTTATTAAGCTTTCACTGTAAGCAGTTTTAAGAGGAGACATAATCTACTGATTCTGCGTAAAAGCTGAATTATGATGGGATTATATGACTGTTCATTTAACTACTGTTTATTGGGCATCTATTTATGTCTAGGTGCTATGCTAAGTGTAACAGGCAACAATGAAAAAAATTAGATACCTGTCCTGACCTCATACACGCTGCATATATGCATATATATATTTTTTTGTTAAAAAACATTTTTAATGAAATAAAACACAGATACAGAAAATTACACAAAAATATAGCTTAGTTAGTTGTTATAAGGAAAACATCCTTGAAATCACCACTCAGGTCCAGAATTTTGTTACTAAGAAGCTCCAGACATACTTTTCCTCATCCCAATTATAGCCTCTCCTTCCCTGCAAAGTAGCTGCAATTCTGACATTTATAGTCATCACTTACTTGCATTTTATTATGCTTTTATCACCTAAGTGTGTATCTCCAGCACTGTGCCTCCATGGTTAGTCTTACCTACTTTTAACAAAGCCTTTCAAAAATATGTCTGGATATGTCTTTTACATCTCTTTTAATCTGTGAAGTTCCCCTCCATTCCTCTATTTTCCTTACAATTTTGCTGCCTGCATATACATGGTGAAGTTCAAATGTTCCTTTTTCTTCAGCATTTCCTGAAAATTGGAAGTTGGATCCGGAGGCTTGATCAGACTCAGGTTTGACCTCTTTTGGCAAGACTATAGGTGGTGGAGTTCTTTAATCAGCAGGCGCATAATATCTGAATGTCACTTTTTTTTTTCAGGTTAGTAGTCACTGATGATCAATACCTAGAGCCATGAATTCATCAAAGGTTCACTCTTCAAGGGGTACAAAACTGTGATATTCAAATTCTATTATTTTGTTTCAATTTGTTAGATGAAATAATTTATAAGGAGACATTCCCTTCATATATTTGATTGCCTAATGGTATAGCTCCACATAAATGTTTGAGATTTTCCTTTTATTTTTTCAGTTACCAACATAATGGGTTCCCTGTCATGCTTAGAAAGTGACAAGTTAGTTTTTTAGTTTTATCTTAAATATCACTAAAAACTCATGAATTATTAAAGAGCATCTATAAGAAACTGTAGCTAACATCTTATTTAATGATGAAAAACCAGATCTTTCCCCCCAAGATTGGGGACAAGGTTAAGTATGTCCTCTCTCACCACTCCTATATACAGTAAGATAAGAAAAGGAAATACAAGATACATAGATTGGGAAGGAAGAAGTAAAGCTTTACTTGTTTGAAGATGATATGATGGTCTATGTAGGAAGTTCCAAAGATGTGACAAAAAGCCTCCTCGAATGAATAAGCAATTAAAGCAAAGCTGTAGGTCACACCTTGATAAAAGTCAACTGCCATCCTATATATTAGCAATGACAAATTGGAATTTGAAATTAAAAACATGGTATCATTTAAATTAGCACCAAAAAAAAGAGAAATATTCAAGTATAAATCTAACAAATATGTATATACCCTCATTATTCTAGATGAGGGAAAACTATAAAACTCTGATGGATGAAATTAAAGATCTAAATAAATGGAAAGATATTCCATATTCATGGGTAGGAAGACTCAATAATGTTAAGATGTCAGTTCTTCCTGACTTGATCAATGCAATCTCAATCAAAATCCAAGCTAGTTACTCCATTGATACTGATAAACTGATTTTAAAGTTTATATGGAGAGGCAAAAGATCCAGAATAGCCAATATAATATTAAATAAGAAGGATAAAGTTGGAAGACTGACTCTATGTGGCTACTAGTCTTATGATAAAGTTACACTAATCAAGAGAATGTGGTATTGGTGAAAAAAATAGACACATAGATCAATGGAACAGAATAAGGGAGACCAGAATTAGAAGCACACAAATACAGTCAACTGACCTTTGATAAAGGAGCAAAGGCAACCAAACAAAGAACAGTCATTTCAACAAACGGTGCTAGAACAACTGGATATTCACATGCAAAAAAAAAAAAAAAATCAACCTAGATGATTTTATATTTTTCACAAAAGTTAATTCAAGATGGATTATATACCTAAATGTAAATCATAAAACCTTAAAACTTCTAGAGAATACAAAGGAGAAACTCAAAATGATCCTGAGTTTGGTAATGAGTTTTCATATACAATATCAAAAACACACTCCATGAAAGAACAAATTGATAAGTTGGAATTCATTAAAGTTAAAAACACTGCTCTGTGAAAAGCACTGTTAAGAGAACGAAAAGATAAGCCACAAACTAGGAGAAAAATACATGGAAAACACATATCTGATAAAGTATTTGTATCCAGGATATTCAAAGAACTCTTACAACTTAATACGAAGACAAAAAATCTAGTTAAAAAGTGGGCAGAAGATCTAATAGATACATCATCAAAGACACAGTATACAGATTGTAAATAATCATAGAAAAAGATGTTCAATGCTACATGTCATTGAAGGATTACAAATTAAAACAAGATGCCATTATACACCTATTAGGATGGCTAAAATCCAAAGTACTTGACATCAGAAATGCGGGTGAGTATGTGGAGGAACAGGAGCTCACATTCATTACTGGTGGGAATGAAAAATAATAAAGTCACATTGGAAGACAGTTTGGTAGTTCTTTATAAAGCTAAACATAGTCATCATATGATCCAGAATCACATTCCTACACATTTACTCAAATGACTTAAAAACTTATATCTACACAAAAGACTGCACGAGTATTCACAGAAGTTTTATTAATGACTGCCAAAACTTAGAAGCAACTAAGCTATCCTTCAGTAGGTAAATACATAAACAATTGATACACATTCATACAATGGATTATTATTCAGCAATAAAAAGAACTGAGCTATCAAGACACAGAGAGACATGAGGGAACCTTAAATGCATATTGCTAAGTGAATGAAGTCAGTCTAAAAAGGGTACATGTTATATAACTTCAACTGTGTGATATTCTGGAAATGGTAAAACTATACAAACAGTAAAAAGATGAGTGGCTGACCCCATAGAAATACAAGCAGTAGAGAATATTATGAACACATCTATTTACATAAACTAGAAAATCTAGAAGAAATGAAAAAATTCCTGGATACATACACCCTCTCAAAACTGAACCAGGAAAAAAATGGAATCCCTGAACAGACAAATAACAAGCTCTGAAACTGAGGCAGTAATAAATAGCCTACCAACTAAAAAGAGCCCAGGACCAGATGGATGCACAGCTGAATTCTACCAGATGTACAAAGAAGAGCTGGTATTCCTATTGAAACTATTCCAAAAAATTGAGGAGGAGAGACTCCTCCTTAACTCATTCTATGAGGCGAGCATCACCTCATAGAATATGCTGGCAAACTGAATCCAGCAGCACATCAAAAAGCTTATCCACCACAATCAAGTAGGCCTCATCCCCAGGATGCAAGGTTGGCTCAACGTAAGCATATCAATAAATGTGATTCATCACATAAACAGAACTAAAGACAAAAACTACGATTACCTCAATAGATGGAGAAAAGGCTTTTGATAAAGTTCAACATCCATTCATGTTAAAAACCTCAATAAACTAGGTATTGAAGAAACATACCCCAAAATAATAAGAGCCATCTATGACAAACCCACAGCCATCATACTGAATGGGCAAAAGCTGGGAGCATTCCCCTTGAAAACTGGCACAAGACAAGGATGTCCTCTTTCACCACTCCTATTCAACACAGAATTGGAAGTCCTGGCCAGGGCAATCAGGCAAGAGAGAGAAGTAAAGGGCATTCAAATACGAAGAGTGGAAGTACAACTATTTCTGTTTGCAGATGACATGATCCTGCATCTAGAAAACCCCACAGTCTTAGCCCAAAAACTTCTTGAGCTGATAACTTCAGTGAAGTCTCAGGATACAAAAATCAATGTGTAAATATCACCGACAACAGTCAAGCTAAGAGCCAAATCAGGAACATACTCCCATTCACAACTGCCACAAAAAGAATAAAATACCTAAGAATACAGCTAACTAGGGAGGTAAAAGATCTCTACAAGGAGAACTACAAAACACTGCTTAAAGAAACCAAAGATGACACAAACAAATGCAAAAATATTCCATGCTTATGGATAGAAAGACTCAATATCGTTAAAATGGCCATATTGCCCAAAGCAATTTATAGATTTAATGCTATTCCCATTAAATTACCATTGGCATTCTTCACAGAACTACAAAAAACAATTTTAAAATTCATATGGAATCAAAAAAAGAGTCTGAGTAGCCCAGGCAATCCTAAGCAAAGGGAAAAAGCTGGAGGCATCACTCTACTCAACTTCAAACTATACTACAGGGCTACAGTAACCAAAGCAGCATGGTGCTGGTACAAAAACAGACACACAGACCAATGGTACAGAATAGAAAGCCCAGAAATAAGACTGCATACCTACAAACATCTAATCTTTGACACACCTGATAAAAACAAGCAATGGGGAAAAGACTCCCTATTCAATAAACGGTGCTGGGATAACTGGCTAGCCATATGCAGAAGACTGAAACTGGGCCCCTTCCTTACACCACATGCAAAAATTAACTCGAGATGGATTAAAGACTTAAATGTAAAACCGAAAACTATCGGCTGGGTGCAGTGGCTCATGCCTGTAATCTCAGTCCTTTGGGAGGCCGAGGTGGGCAGATCACGAAGTCAGGAGAGCAAGACCATCCTGGCTAACATGGTGAAACCCCGTCTCTACCAAAAATACAAAAAATTAGCTGGGCATGGTGGTGAGCACCTGTAGTTCCAGCTACTTGTGAGGCTGAGGCAGGAGAATGGCATGAACCCGGGAGGCAGAGCTTGCAGTGAGCCGAGATCACGCCACTGCACTCCAGCCTGGGCGACAGAGTGAGACTCTGTCTCAAAAAACAAACAAACAAACAAACAAATACCCAAAAACCAAAAACTATAAAGAACTCTGGAAGACAACCTAGGCAATACGATTCAGGGCATAGGCATGGGCAAAGATTTCATGACAAAGATGCCAAAAGCAATGGCAACAAAAGCAAAAACTGACAAATGGGATCTAATTAAACTAAAGAGCTTCTGCACAGCAAAAGAAACTCAACAGAGTAAGCAGATGACCTACAGAATGGGAGAAAATTTTTGCAAACTATGTAACCGAAAAGGTCTAACATCCATCTATAAGGAACTTAAATCAATTTATAATAAAAAAAAAACCCCATTAAAAAGTAGGCGAAGGACATAATAGACACTTTTCTAAAGATGACATACATGCAGCCAACAATCATATGAAAGAAAGCTCCTCATCACTGATCAAATCAAATCACAATGAGATACCATCTTACACCAGTCAGAATGGCTATGATTAAACAGTCAAGAAATAACAGAGGCTGGCAAGGTTGTGGAGAAAATGGAATGCCTATATACTGTTGGTGGGAGTGTAAATTAGTTCAGCCATTGTGAAAGATAGTGTGGCGATTCCTCAAAGACCCAAAGACAGACATAACATTCAACCCAGCAGTCCCACTATTGGATATACACTCAAAGGAATATAAATTGGTCTATTGGAAAGACACATGCATGCAAATGTTCACTGCAGCACTATTCACAATAACAAAGACATGGAATCAACCTAAATGCCAACGATTGAATTAAGAAAATCTGGTACATGTACACCATGGAATACCATGCAGCCATAAAAAAGAACGAGATCATGTCCTTTGTGGGGATATGGAGGGAGCTGGAGGCCATTACCTTAGCAAACTAACACAGGAGCAGAAAATCAAATACCACATATTCTCACTTGTAAGTGGCAGCTAAATAATGAGAACACATGGACACACAGAGGGGAACAACACACACTGGGGCCTATTGGAGTGTGGAGGTTGGGAGGAAGGAGAGGATCAGGAAAAAAAACTAATGGGTACTAGGCTTAATACCTGGGTGATGAAATAATTTGTACTACAAACCCCCATGACACAAGTTTACATATGTAACAAAATCCATGTTCCCCTGAACTTAAAAGTTTAAAAAACAATCAGTGGCTTCCAGGGGTTGGGTGGGTGGGGAGGAATGAATATATGGAGCACAATGAAGTTTTGGGATAGTAAAACTGTTCTGCATGATACTAAAATGTTAGATACACAACATTATGCATTTGTCAACCCCACAGAACTAGAAAAGGCAAAGAGTGAACCCTAATGTAAACTATGGACTTCAGTTAGTAACAACATATCAATGTTGGTTCATCAACTGTAAAAATATACCACACCAATGCAAGATTTCAAGAATAGGTAAAACTGAGGAGAGGATGGGAAGAGGAAATACCTGGGAACTCAATTTCTGCCCAATTTTTCTGTGAATCTAAAACTACTCTAATAAAGTCTGTTAATTAAAAAAACCTCTAGGATTTAGATATATTTGATAGGTTTTAATCTCCTGCAATTCTTATTCATATCAGAGATCAGGTTGTTCTGCCTTAGGCCCTTGGTATCTTGATCCTTTGACTTAACTCCACTAGTCTTTGAGAACTTTGCTCTAGTTGGGATAACAAGAGGTTTGAGAGTCATTTCCTGCTGCATACTTGGAATCAGCCACTGATTTAATTTGATGGGAAATGATACTTCCAACCTATAATCTGGTCCGAAGGATTCTCAATACTACTGGGGTGGTCAATGTTTCTAGACCTTTAGAATTAATAGATCTAGGAACCTCTCCCCATTCCCACTCTCCCACCCCCAAGATAAAATACCTTCTGAATTTGTAATAATATTTCAAACTCAAATTCCAGACTAAGGGATTTTTTCTTTAATATGTTTTATATAACAGCTCAAGATAAAATACAGCCCAAGATAAAATACCTTCTGAATTTGTAATATTTCAAATTCAAATTCTAGACTAAGGGATTTTTTTCTTTAATATCTTTTATATAACAGTTCTCTCTCTTTTCTTTCACATGGAGAATCCTGGTGCTCAAGGGCACAGAGGATGATAAAATTTGAATACCTACAATTATATAGAATATCTATAATTTGCTTTATGTTATATTACAATACATAACAGTTTCATAATGACAATATTAACAGTACCGCTACCAATAATGATTACTGAAAACAGCTGGAAATGTTTTGGCATATGTCATACTCAGTTTCCACTAATTTTTTTGTCACTAAACTAGTAACATGGTCAGAACATGCCATTTCATATCATACTCTCTCCTTCAATCTTCTTTAGTTTTAGAACTATAAATAACTACATATTTTATGCTCACTACAAGTACTTATGTCAACGTATCTGCAGTCATTTGCTTGTCTGAAGCTTGTTCTCTAGTAAGTTTCTTAGGAAGGGCTTGTGGGACCAATATTCCCTCAATTCTTGCGTGTTGCATCCTGATAACAGTACACTGCCTTTTTTTTTTTTTTTTTTTTTTTTTTTTTGAGACGGAGTCTCTCTCTTTTGCCCAGGCTGGAGTGAAGTGGTGGGATCTTGGTTCACTGCAACCTCTGCCCCCCAGGTTCAAGCGATTCTCCTGCCTCAGCCCAAGTAGCTGAGACTACAAGCGCGCATGACCACACCCAGCTAATTTTTGTATTTTTAGTAGAGATAGGGTTTTGCCATATTGGCCAGGCTGGTCTCGAACTCCTGACCTCAGGTGATCCACCTGTCTCAGCCTCCCAAAGTGCTAGGATTACAGGCGTGAGCCACTGCGCCCAGCCATCTTGCCTTTTATAAGAAAGGATCAGTTTTGTTGGATATGAAGTTCTTGGCACATATATTCTTTTTGAGAGTATTAAAAATGTTACTCAATTTTCTTGTAAAATAAAGCATTGCTATTAAAAAATCTGATATTACATTAATTTCCTTTCCCTTATAAATCATGCATGAGAGGTTGGTGCAAAAGTAATTGTGGTTTTGCCATTAAAAGTAACAGAAAAAAACCACAATTACTTTTGCACCAACCTAATATTATTTTTGCTCTTTTGCTATGTAATTTTAAAAATATAAGTACAATTTATACACAATTAACATTAGCCCTTTTCTTAAAGAGTTTGAACAAATGCATTCAGTTGTGAAACCACCACAATAAAGATACAGTAGATCTACCACCTCCCTAAATTCCCCTTGCTGTCTTCTTTCTAGTCAACTCCTCTCCCAACCCTTGTTTTCTATTCCTGTAGTTTTGCCTTCTTTAGAATGTCATATACATGGAATTGTGCCACATGTAGCTGTTAAGTCTGGCTTTTTTCACTTAGCACAATACATTTGAGATTCATCCATGTTGTTGCATACATCAGTAGTCTGTCCCTCTTTTTAAAATTTTATATTTATTTTATTGTGGTAAAAACACTTAATATGAGATCTACCCACAGCATATTTTTAAGTGTATAATACAATATTGTTAACTTTAGGCACAGTGTTGTAAAATACATCTCTAGCATTTATTCATCTTTTATTACTGAAACTTTATGCCTGTTGATTAGCAACTCCCTATTTTCCCCTCTCCCATGCTCCTGGCAACCATAGTTCTGCTCTCTGCTTCTGTGAATTTAAATATTTTAGATACCTCATATAAACAAAATCATGGAGTATTTGTCCTTGTGTGAATGGCTTTTTTCACTCAACATAATGTCTTCATGGTTCAACCATTATGTCACATATTGCAGGATTTCCTTCTCCTTTAAGGCTAAGTAATATTCCATTGTATGTGTATACATTTTCTTTGTCTACTCATCTGAATGTCAATGGACATTCAAGTTGTTTCCCCCTCCTCAAAATTGTCAATAGTGCTGAAATAAATACAGAAGTGGTAATATCTCTTTGAGATTGTGATTTTAATTCTTTTGGATAAATAACCAGAAATGAGAATGCTGGGTCATACAGTAGTTCTACTTTTAGTTTTTTGAGGAATCTATACTGTTTTCCATAGTGGCTGCACCATTTTGGATTCCAACGAAGAGTGTACAAGGGTCCCAATTTCTCCACATTCTTGTTAACACTTGTTGTGTTTTGTTAACGACCATCCTAATGGGTGTGAGGTGCTATTTCGTTGTGGTTTTGAACTGTATTCCTCTGACAGTTAGGGACATTTAGCATCTTTTCATATATCTTTTGGCCATTTGTATGTCTTCTTTGGACATGTAAAGATATAGTAGATCTATTTAAGTCCTTTGTCCATTTTTTAATTAAGTTGTTAATATTTTTGTTGAGTTGTAAGAATTTCTTACATATTTTGAACTTAACCCTTTCTCTGATATGGTTTGCAAATATTTTCCCATTCTGTAGATTGCCTTTTCATTCTATTGTTTCCTTTGATGTGACAAAGCTTTTTATTTTAATGTGGTCCCATTTGTTTGTTTTTGCTTTTGTGGTCTGTGTTTGGTGTAATATCCATGAATTCACTGTCAAGATCAATATTATAAGGGTCTTCCCCTAAGTCTTCTTTCATTAATTTTAGAATTTCAGGTCTTATGTTTAAGTCTTCAATCCATTTTCAGTTGATTCTTGTGTTAGGGTATAAGATAAGGGTCCAGTTTCATTCTTTTGCCTGTGAATATCCAGTTTTCTCAACACCATTTGTTGAAGATTATCCTTCCTGTGTTGTGTATTCTTGACAATCTTATCAAAGATCAGCTGACTCCATCTGACTTGGTCTCTGTTAATGATGTTTCTCCCTTTAAACCCAATTAAGGACTAGAAGAGGCAGAGAGAGCCCTAGAGCCCAGGCCTTGGTGGTCATTAAGATGTTAAATATTGTGCTGAAAATTTCTGGTGATTTAATCAATAAAGAATAATTTCTAGCTAAAAAAAAATCAGTTGACTGTATATACACAGATTTTTGGACTCTCTGTTCTGCTCCATTGCTCTATATGCCTGTCTTTATGCCAGTACAATACTGTTTCAATTACTGTATCTTCGCATATTTTGAAATCAGGAACTGTTATGACTCCAGCTTTGTTTTTCATTCTCAAGATTGCTGTTACATTTATTGCTGAATAGTATGTCACTGCATAGATGTACCACAGTTTGTTTATTCATTCACCAGTTTTGGGTGATTATGCATAAAACATCCATAAACATTCATTTATAGTTATAAATGATATAAATACATACACAAAAATTATATGTAAGAACATGTATTTTTATTCCTTTGAGGTAACTACCCAGGTGTGGGATTGCTGGATCATACACTAAGTATATGTTTATCTTTTTGAGATAGTTACATACTGTTTCCAAAGTGGCTGTATCATTTTGCATTCCCACAAGTAGTATATGTAGTTCCAACTTCTCTGTGTATGCTCTCCAGCACTTGGTATTACTGGTTTTGTTTTTTTGTTTTCTGTTTTTGAGACAATCTTGTTCTGTTGCCCAGGCTGGAGTGCAGTGGTGTGACCTAAGCTCACTGCAACCCCCGCCTCCTGGGTTTAAGTGATTCTCGTGCCTCAGCCACCTGAGTAGGTGGGATTACAGGCGTTTGCCACCACACCCGGCTAATTTTTGTATTTTTAATAGAGACGGGGTTTCACTATGTTGGCCAGGCTGGTCTTGAACTCTTGGCCTCAAGTTATCTGCCTGTCTTGGCCTCCCAAAGTGTTGGGATTACAGGCGTTAGCCACCGTGCCTGGCTTGTTTTGTTTTTTAAGCAATTCTAATTGACACGTTGAAGTGTCTCACTGTAGTTTTAGTGTGTATTTCTTAATGATGTTGAGAATCTCTTCATGTGCTTACTTGGCATCTTTGTATCTTATTTGGTGAAGTGTCTATTCAAATCTTGTGCACATTTATTAACTGTTTTATTCTGTGATGTATCTATAGCAGCAACATAAAAATATACCCTGATTGATGGAATTAATGAATATAATACTCTCTTCCTCTCCCCAAAGTGAAGAAATCATACTTCTCAGCTTAGAAAACATGTGGAAGGCTTATGATCTTTAAAATTTTAAAACGAGCAAAACCAGATCTCATTTACAAGCACAAATGACAGTATCAGGCATATGTCCTAGTTCATCTCCACAGAAAGTAGAATTACTAGTAAATACATATTATTAAAACAATGAATTTTAAATTATAATTGCTATTTAATTATGTTTATGAATTTATTTATTGTGGCAAGCCTGAAAATTTTTCCAATGGAGTCTCATTTTAGTTATGCTCATTGGGTCTGTTGTACCAAACATATTTTAAATGTATAGTACTCATCAGAATAAAATATATTAAACAGAAATAGAGAAAAATAGTATTTGAGATGAAAAACATATTTGTAAGAAGTCCTACATGTGGACTTGCATATATGGAAATATTTTTAATGTTATTGTTTCAGTGATAAAACTAGAAGATATTAAATTAGTGCAATTAGATGAATAAGTCTTGGTTAATAAGAAAATGTCCTCTCAGCAAGAAGCTTGGGGACTGATAATAAGAAAATGTCCTCTCAGCAAAAAACCTGGGGACAGAAAATTTTAAAATGTAGAGAAAGATTTAAAATCTCTTTAGAGAGATTATTCAGTTTTGACATTTTCGTGACCACAGAGAATTTAGACTTGTAACACAATCTGAGAGTGTTTTTTTTTTTTTTTTTGCAGAAGACAATGGGATGGATATTTGGATCAGAGTATGAGTTGTGGATGAAGAGGGAAAATTTCTCCTACTGGCACTGTGATGACTAGTGCAAACCTACGCTATCTACAATGCCTTCCCTGTCTTGCGGCTCGTTCTTTCTGAAGCCAGAACACTTAGAGTGGGTGGGGATAGTAGGGAGAACCACCATGCTGCAATAGCAAACCAGCTCCAGAGAAGGGTCTTCAAGGGGTGCTAATAATACTTTCTGACAATGAATCTTCACTGTGGGGATATAAATTATATGCATCCTAAACTTGAGTTTGCATCAAGTCAATATAACAATCACAAATGATTATTTCCCTGCACTTCATATCATAAAATATAACATTTTAATAACAACAAAATTAATGTTAAAATTAAACTATTTTCCTAATTATAATGTTGCTTCAGAATAAGGAGTACATAATCTTCAACTAGATGTGTTATTTCAAGGGTTTTTACTTAATTGGTGAATCTGGTCCTAATAGAATAGGCAATTTAATTATTCCACAGAGACATTCTAACTTTAGAAAGGAAATCATATATATTTTAAACACCAATCTAATTAGACTTTCTGTATTTCCTCAAATTAGCCTCTGACTGAGAAAGTGTTATGTTTCAAAGATTACAATAATATATTTAAAAAAGTAGGGTGAGCATCAAATTAGTTCATTAATTTTAAACTCTAGTGCTAGAGCATTATTTTTACTGTTAACATGAATTTGTTAATAACAAGACGACTATGATTAGTAAGTCTGTAGATATGTTCTTAAGTAAGATCTGGTTATGTAATTTTAAATTCACAATTAAACATGTTGCCTCTGGAGAAGACCCCAGGTGGTTTGCAGTGTTAAATAGCAGATTAAAGTTGACACAACTAATTTCTTTAATCTTATTAGTGGTACAACAGCTGTCAACTGTAACCATCTCTATAAAGCCTTTTGAGACATAAACAAAATGCCTCAATATGTCAAATGGAGAAGAGTATTTATCAATCACTATTGCTAATTAGCTTGCAAAATAATTTTTTACTTTTATTGTCTATTGGGGATAATTATTCACTTTTAGTAAACTTTTATCTAAAAATAGATATTTAAAATTATATTAAAATCATCCTGACTAGAAATAAGTGTTTATTAACAATGGATTGTAGTATAAATTTTACCCTAACTGGCTAATACTCTTTTATTAGTGCTTACTGGGGGTCTATGATGTAGCAGACACAGGAGGTGACACATAGGTTCCAGTTCCATGTCTTCATCTGTTACTTATAAGAAGTAAATTCTATGATAAGTTCACTCCACATTTGCTGGCTGATCTGAGCCTTAAAGAGTGTTTATAGCACACAGAAATGTTGTATTTCATTTTTAGACTTCATTGCTGGATCTTACGTGAACATTTCGTCTCACACATACAAACAGCTACATGTGGTTTTTGGTTCACCTTTCTCATGTTCTGTTAGGTCAGTTCCTCTTTGGTTCCTAGTCTGCTAGGTGGGAAAAATGATTCCACAGATAATTTCCTATACCCACATCAATAAACCAGTACAAAAACACCCAAGCCAAAAATCCAAAACCAATCGACTAAACAATATTTCAGTCTTCCAGCAACTCACAGTTTTTTTATATCAATGAAATGATATTTTACTTTTATTAAAATAGTGAAAGTTTTATGTTCATAAATCAGAAAGAAAAGTACAGCTGTCGTCACCCTG
The DNA here is from genome assembly GCF_000001405.40 of Homo sapiens. Classification (NCBI taxonomy): domain Eukaryota; kingdom Metazoa; phylum Chordata; class Mammalia; order Primates; family Hominidae; genus Homo; species Homo sapiens. Next base: position 76,494,620 of record NC_000015.10, read on the forward strand.
CAAACACTAACTTTGTAAGAGATCCAACCAAGAACGCTCATTGACGCAACCTTCGAACCAAATAGTACTTTTTGCTTACTCTTAAATAATTTAATTGTTTTGTTGTGTAGTATAGAATATCTTATTGATTGATAAGATATTCTATCTTATCAATATAGTTGAGAATATCTCTTCTCAACTATGATGTAAGCTCTTTGAAGACAAAACTCATCACAGAAGAAATTCAACAAATACTGGCAGACTGATAATATTTCTCTCTGATGATAGCATGCAGGCAATAAGGTACAGAAGGAAGACCAGAATAGGATGCTCAAACGTAGCTCAGCTAAACTGATGATGGAGGGTAAATCATTCAGTCTTTAAAACCTTTGGTTTCTTCATTTATATAGTGTGATAATGGTGAAAACATGCCAAATACTCTGATTGTTAAATAAATGCAATATGCCTGGCAGCTCTACATGGAAATCAAATGCCTTACCATGGCATAGATGGGTTACATTAAAAAAAATCTCAACACTGTGGCTTTTATCAGAAAATATGAACCCAACACCTACCAGAGCAATTTTTTCTTAATACGTTCACTCTCTAGTATTGACACTGGTAAAACAACAACCCAATCCGGAATGAAGTTTTGCATTTCTCACTGGTGAGGGAGAGAGGAATAAGAGATGATGCAGACCAGGCATGGTGGCTCACGCCTGTAATCCCAGCACTTTGGGAGGACGAGGCAGGTGGATCACCTGAGGTCAGGAGTTTGAAACCAGCCTGGCCAACCTGGTGAGACCCTGTCTCTACTAAAAATACAAAAATTACCCGGGCATGGTGGCATGTGCCTGTAATCCCAGCTACTTGGGAGGCTGAGGCAGGAGAATCGCTTGAACCCAGGAGGCGGAGGTTGCAGTGAGCCGAGATTGTGCCACTGCTCTCCAGCCTGGGCAACAGAGCAAGACTTGGTCTCAAAAAAAAAAAAAAAAAAAAAAAAGAGAGAGAGAGACGATGCAATGCTCTGAAAATGTGCATCTGGTACTTGACTATGTCATTCTTTGGGGTTTGGGGTAGATGAATAATATGGAGATACTTCTTGGTTTTCCAGAGAGGAACAAAACTGCAACTCCAAAATAGCTTTGAAATGATATAAACCAATGATTTTCTTCATTCTGTTCAGCACAGTAAAATGACTTAACTAAGAAAAGATCATTTATATTTTTCAAATGCTGTTTCTTCCTCTTAGCAGTTGAAACTGCACTGTTAAATGTAAATAATAAAGGCATAATATAGTAAAGCTTTATCTTGTAGCTGTAGGATTAAAGTTCTGAGCTGTATTATGCTACCAGGATTTGAGAGGGAGAAAGAGAAAGAAAGCAAAAGAGAGAGACACACACACACACACACACACACACACACACACACACACACACACAGAATGAGAGAGAGATGAAAGGTGGAAGGGGGGAAGGGACAAGAGGGAAGGAAAAAAAGAGGTCTATGTGGGTATGCTCTTATAATCGCATGCCTTCTGAACACCTTAACCTCACTTTCATAATAGGCAACTGGCTTCTAATTTCAGGAAAATCATTGGTGAAATGTTTAAGTTTCTCATTAACAACCTTTTTTTTTTTAATTAAAAAGCTGGACTATAGCCCATTATGATCAAGTCTGAGAGAGTAGGGTCTGAAGAAATACACTTTTCAGTTGTTTGTAAATATAAGACAATGCTCTTGGGTTTCAAATTAAGTGCTCATTATAAAGTTAATGATGAGATAACCAGTCTGGGACACTAAGTCCCCCTAGAAAGTAACATTTGAGAGTTATAAAGAATATGAGCGGTACTGTTATTTGTTCTTACAGAACTTGTATTTTTCTTAAAGAACTATACATGATATATTTTCTTTTCTTTGATTCTGAAGATAAGCTCTTCACTGTAGGTATGTTCTTTTTAAGTGTGTTTACCTTAGGACCTAGGGATAGTAAGTTTAATGAATGTCATTTTCTATATAGATTATCCAAACTGAGGTTGACAGAAAAAAGGAAAGTTCAGTCAGTCCCAGCTTGTAGTAATGGCATTTAACGTTCATAAAGAAATGTACCCTAGAGAGCTTATAGAGTATACTTTCTCTCTTTATTCCTACTTTAAACGGTGGGCATTTATTCATTCTTTTTTGATGTGAAGAATTTTGAAAAACAACTATGAGGACACAAGGAAGGCTCTATAGCAAAGTCAAATATTTTCAAGCCAATCTAGTGTTAAAATAATCTTTACTATATGTATCTGAAAGTATCAGGTTCATTTGGCTGGAAGGAACAAAAATTTACTCAAAATATTTTAAGTAAAAAGAGCCATTTATTGTAAGGCTATTGGGAACTTTCACATAAGTCCAGGAGAAAATGAACAACCATACCTCAAGAGAGCTGGAACAATGCTAGCTCTGTGGACTAGACTGCTTTCATTTCCAGCCCCCTTCTGTCCCATGAAGCAGTTTTGGTCTCCTCTTTTTTTTTTTTTTTCCCAAAACGGCCTTCCTTAGTCCTGTAAAACCTGGAATGCACATAGTCCTGTAATGGCCATCCCAGAAGTGAATCTACATGATTATTCAAATTCAAATACCTAAGAAAAAAAATCACTTGAAGTTCTGCAACTTCCCAAATGCAAATTCCTGAGAAAGAAACTTGACTGAGCCAGTTCAACTTTGTGTATTGGATTATAAATCCTATCTTGCTGGCTGGTCTGTAGATTGGTTGCTCTTGAGTCAGATGACCTCTCTTTAGAGTTTAGTCAGCTATGGCCATTGAGGGGAGCACCACATGGATGGCATAAAACATAGCTGACGAGGCATGGATGTAATGCCTAGAACAAGTAGTATTCATAAAACACTGAAAAAAAGAAGGACACAACAAATAGGAAGGGAGAAGGTGATTATGGCAAGCCAACAAGAAAGAAGAAAAGGTAACAAGGAAGGAAACTCATAGTAAAAACTGTGAGAGTCTAGATTTTGTTGCAAACTGAAGACACAAAGGCAAAGACTTAATAGTAGATGAGTCCCAAAGAGAACAGCCAAATGAGTCAAGAGACTGGAATAAGAAGTAAGCACATGGCCGGGCACGGTGGCTCATGCCTGTAATCCCAGCACTTTGGGAGGCCGAGGTGGGTGGATCATGAGGTCACGAGATCGAGACCAGCCTGACCAACATGGTGAAACCCCATCTCTACTAAAAATAGAAAAATTAGCTGGGTGTGGTGGCACACACCTGTAATCCCAGCTACTCGGGAGGCTGAGGCAGGAGAATTGCTTGAACCTCGGAAACAGAGGTTGCAGTGAGCCGAGATTGTGCCACTGCACTCCAGCCTGGTGATGGAGCGAGACTCCGTCTCAAAAAAAAAAAAAAAAAAAAAAAAAAAAAAATAAGCACATGAGGCCTGGCATCTCAGGAAACTAAGTTGACAGATATTGGCGTATGTAACAAGACATTCCTTTAATGAAGAGTCTTCTGTTATACCACCAGGGTGGCTGTTCCACAAAGGTAACACAGTAGGCTACTACTACTAATATTTAGAGTTTAATATGTCTCATTTTCCGTGACTGTAAGTTCCCTAAGGACAGGGTCTATTTCAAATGGTTTCTAGGTATGGCAATCCCATTCCCATGCCCACAAGTGATCCAAAGAAGGAAAACGCTAGAAAATAGTTTTCTGGGATTAAGGACTGGAAGCCCTAGATTATTTACCTGCTTCTGGAGCACAGTGAGATATCTTCTTTCTATTGTAAGAGGAATTGCATCAGCCTCTACACAACACAAAGAGAGGGAAACAGAAGGCTTTGGAGACAAACCTCAATAAGTCACGGGAGAGCAATTCTGAACATTCTCTCTGCTAACGTTCTCTCTGAACATTCTTTCTGCTATTTGAAAAGAATAAACACTCTTTTAAAGGGGTTATCATAGCTCTGTCAAGTTGTAGTCATACCCCAATGTGACTGCTTCCAACCTTCATCTGGCAGTGAGCCACATACATGGTTGCTGGTGATTGTGAGGAATAAACAACGTAATACGTGCAGAGCATCTAGCACAGTGCTTGGCACCAAGCACACAATAAATGTTAGTTTGTATCTCCTTACCAACTCAAAGGATGAGGTAAATGCAATATTGCCAAGTAAAGTCACAAGTTTTACTTTGGAGAATAAATTTGTGATATCTTGTAAATGATCTTCCTAGTGAACAAAGCTCCATTTCACATCATTCGAATTTTTTTAAAATTATATTTGATGAGTATTGCTTGGTCTGGGTAGCATGGATTTACTATAGGCAGATAAATGCATATACTGTAAAGAAATAAAAAGCAACTTTACTGATCTATTTGATATGAATAACTGGGCATACCTTACAAAAAAGAATTATTTTTCCTATTAGTTTAAAATGGGGCAATCTTATACCTACTGATGTGCTCTTATTCTAAAACTGTGATAAGGACAATGACCTTAAGAATACAGTTCTAGCATACTCTTTGGCCTTTTGAGTAAGCAACAGTCACAGATACATGACATTCAAAAACTCATGGAAGTTTAAAGATAGACTAAAGAAGCCATTGCCTAAAATCCATCTAACAGAGAAGAATAGGATGCTCACACCTAGCTCAGCTAAACTGATGATGGAGGGTAAGTTATTCAGTCTTTAAAACCTTTGGTTTCTTCATTTATATAGTGTGATAATGGTGAAAACATGCCAAATGCTCTGATTGTTAAATAAATGTAATATACCTGACAGCTCTACATGGAAATCAAATGCCAAAATCAGATGGGCCATATTTGGCAAAAATGAGATCAAATTGTAAGTCTATAGAGTCCAGTATTTGATGCGGTATGCCCTTTTACTGCTTTGCTTTCATCTGCTGGAGAAAGAATTCATTCATATAGTCACACAATATTGACTATGATGTCCTATGATTTACAAATAATGTATTTACTATGTCTCATGATCCTAAGGACTTACAATCTACTTGGGGAGATGATGGTACAGCAGACGGAGTACTTGGCAATGCAGCACATAATAAAGTGCTAAGCCGAACTATTCTCTAACCCATTTGATATTTTTTTAAGTGATAAGATGAAGACACAAATGTTCTACAGATCAACTTTAGGGCTGACACAAAGTTAAGGAAAATGAAACTGAATAAGTGGTCACATCAGGATCTTGACAGACTTGGCTAAAATTTACCAAGATGAAGTTTGAATTTAGGGTGAAAAACAGAAATGCCCAATAAAATTAATAGATTATGGCTTCTTAGAAGCCAAAGTGACAAAGACTTAGGGATTTAAAGCTCAGTAATTAGGCAGTATAATATGGAGTCAAAACAATAACTACAACAAAAAACAATGAAAATAACTAAGTGCTTTCTTTGTGCAGGGACTTAAACACATGCACTTTTAATCCTCATAACAGTTCTATAAGGTAGGTATTAGTCTTCCCATTTAATTGAGGCTCTGTTATAACAAGTAGTTTGGCCCAAGGTCATATAGCTAATCAGTAAAAAGCAGAGTTAAGCCTGGATCTGACACTACAGCCTACACATTTTTCACTATACCATGCTGTCTGCTTTGCTTTGTGTTGATGAATGTACTTCTGTATGAAAAACTGTGTCCACAGGGACGATGAAGAGATAAGCAAGGCTGACAGAGAAGAAATAGGCACCTGGTTAGTTCCCCAGCAGAACAACCTAAAGTAGCTCAGAGTTTACTATTTGGCCCCTGGTCCTTGTGTAACTATCAGAAATTATGAATCTTAAGTAAGTAAAAGACAACCTGGGGAAGACTCTTTTTGGTGGCCCAAGAGGTTTGCTGGTTGCCTTGTGAATTATGAACATCTACTGCTGCCTGGAAAGGGCTTGGTGATGTGGAGGGCCAGTTTAGTGCCACCTCTCACTTTAATTACCATTGCTACTAAGTACATATACTACAAACTGGCAACACAAAGTTTTGGTACAGCTGCTTCTAGTCACAGCAGATTCATCTTCTTATTTACGTAACATGGGCCATTCTTTATGCTCAAAGAAAGTGAAAACTCCTATTTATTTTCAAATATTAAAAAGCTATGATGAACCACTATTATTAGTCTAAAGTTTTAAAAAGGCTAGAAGATGTCATTCATTTGTCTGTACTTGTTTTCTGGAATTAAAAGTTTGTAGGTTGGGGAGGCCAAGGTGGGAGGATCATTTGAGGTCAGGAGTTTGAGACCATCCTGGCTAACATCGTGAAACCCTGTCTCTACTAAAAATACAAAAAAAAAGAGCCAGGCATGGTGGCGTGTGCTTGTAATCCCAGTTACTCGGGAGGCTGAGGCACGTGAATCGCTTGAACCCAGGAGGCGCAAGTTACAGTGAGCCGAGATGGCACCACTGCACTCCAGCCTGGGTGACGGAGTAAAACCCTGTCTAAAAAAAAAAAAAAAGTTTGTAGGCAGAATAACATTAGTCTACCCCAAAGGAGATACAAACTGCCTTGTTTCAGGGTGATCTTTCTTGGCACTGAAAACAATTTTATTGGAGTACATTTGTTTAAATGATTGATTTTGTAATAACACATCCTGACCTAAGCCCTTTCAATGATAACTTGAAAATAATTAAAGCAGTTTTATGGCCTTTCCCTGGTTCTGATAAGAGCAAAACAACCTACTGCAGACTCAGAAAGGTTTCAAAAAGTTACATTTCCAGAAGTAGGTATAACTCTCAATTTCATGTAAAAAAAAAAAAAAAAAAGCTTCTGGAAGCAAATATTCATTCACACGAAGTTGCTTAATTATAGGACAAACAAGACATGCAACTACTGACGTACTATGTGAAGTAAAAAGATATGAACAGGATGGTAAGAAAAGAGGACAGGAAGCTGGTTTATCCACTAACAAAGAGTCAGGGCTTCAGAAGCAGTGACACGTAAGGTTTATGGCCATAGGACTCTAGGTTTCAACAGGGTAACTGTTATGAGACAGTGGCTTAAACTTATCAAATCCTCTGCTATTTATCACTGAGAAAAATTAAACAGGATATTCTAAACTAGCCTCCTTAGGTAAAAGCCATGAAATGCCACAGGAGGCAGGAAACAGCAAGGGCTAAGGTGGCAAAAGGTTCATGGAGTTGAGGGGTGGGAACCCGCTAGGGATGGAAAGATTCTGGACAGGCTGAGAACAAAGAAGTGCCCAGGGACTATGGAAAGCCCAAGGCCTGGGCAGGGATTTGTGCAGGAGAGCAACTGGAAGGAAAATGAGAAAGAGTATTTTTTGAAGTAAGCCACTGACTCATGTCCACCAGTATGCTCTTATTCTACATTTAAATCTGAAGTGGTTACAAAATTCCTCTTGCTGTTCTCTGAGTAAACAGCATAACACTCTCCTGGCTTTAATCCTTTAGCCCTGAAAATTGAAGCTGGTTTAGAAAGTAGAGTTATGATATGGAGACTGTGCTGAGGATAGAAGAATCTTAGAGTCAATGCTGGATGCCCACAGCTCTGGGTGCTAGACTCCCTTAATAAGTAGCACTTAGTTGAAAACACAAATCTATTGTGAATAGTGCCACAATAAACATACATGTGTATGTGTCTTTACAGCAGCATGATTTATAATCCTTTGGGTATACAGCCAGTAATGGGATGGCTGGGTCAAATGGTATTTCTAGTTCTAGATCCTTGAGGAATCGCCACACTCTCTCTTGGAACCAACCCAAATGTCCATCAATGATAGACTGGATTAAGAAAAATGTGGCACATATACACCGTGGAATACTATGCAGCCATAAAAAAGGATGAGTTCATGTCCTTTGTAGCGACATAGATGAAGCTGGAAACCATCATTCTCAGCAAACTATCGCAAGGATAGAAAACCAAACACCACATGATCTCACTCATAGGTGGGAATTGAACAATGAGAACACTTGGACACAGGGTGGGGAACATCACACACCGGGGCCTGTCGTGGGGTGGGAGGAGGGGGGAGGGATAGCATTAGGGGATATACCTAATGTAAATGATGAGTTAATGGGTGCAGCACACCAACATGGCACATGTATACATATGTAACAAACCTGCACGTTGTGCACATGTACCCTAGAACTTAAAGTATAATTTAAAAGAAAAGAAAACACAAATCTATTGGCTTAAAGTGAGATGAAGGAACAAGCTCTTAATCCTGACCCTGTGGGTCAGCTAGTGCTGACCAGCTGCAGGGCACTGGTCTGGACTCTCAAGATTCCACAGCTCCTTTGCAAAGGAAGTGTGCTAATTCTTGCTTAGGTCTTTATAGGAACTGTGGACGCCTCTTCCATTTCCTAAACAAGAGGCAGAGATAAGCACCAGAACAACATACTCTGTCACAATGACAATAGCAGCTTTTGGGAAATAGGCATTTAATCCAGGTTACCAATCAGAGAGCTTAGTGTCATGCACGTTGAAGCCTACCAGAAAACAAAACAAAACAAAACAAAACAAAAACAAAACAAAAAACCTCCAGGTGAATTTAAGATGAACAATATAAATTATTAACAGTTATCAAAGCACTCTCCCAAAGAATCAATATCATTTCCTTTCTTATTTCAAATATTTATTATATTTCATTCCTTTCTTCCTTTCTACCTTCCTCCCTGCCAATTAACATACAGTAAGTGAAGATAACCTGCCCAGCAACACCCTGTAAATAAAGTCCATATTGATAAGGAATAGCAACCCTTCTGGGTTATAAAAACCACTATGCATGCTATAACTTGCCTGATGGGGAGCTTTCTGCTCCACAGAAAGATTTCCTGACTTAAAGAATACCTATACCATTCTTCATTAATCTTTGTGAATAGAGGAAAGGAATCCAAATTATCTTTAATGTCAAAAGCTTGTACTTAGAAATATCTCATGTCAGGTAGCTAGCACTGTCTAAACTCTCACTTAACATTTATAATGTAACTTTACATTATAATATACAAATATACACTATAATGAACACTTAACAGTTTACAAAGAGGTCTCATATATGTTATTTCAACCGGTCCCATAGTAGCACCACGAGGTGAATATGATTACATTTATTTTTCCAAATAAGGAAACAGATGCAATGAAATTAAGGCACTCACTCAAATTTTCTTAGCTAGTAGCCTGGCAGAGGTAAAACTAGAACCCATGTTTGTCCTACTCCAAAGCCAATGCTATTTCTTTTTAATACAAATGCCTCTCAGAAAAAAAAGATAACATACTCTTGGAATTTTTTTTCCTGTTGTATCCAATGGACAAATGAAGCATTTACTTTTTTTTTTTTCTTTTTGAGACAGGGTCTTGCTCTGTTGCCCAGACTAGAATGTGGTGATGCAATCATGGTTCACAGCAGCCTTGACCTCCTGGGCTCTAGTGATCCTTCCTTTCTTAGCCTCCTGAGTAGCTGGGACTACAGGTGTGTGCCACTATGCCTGGCTAAATTTGTTAATGTTTTGTAGGGACGGGGTCTCGCTACATTGCCCAGGCTAGCCTTGAACTTCTGGCCTCAAGTGATCCTCCTGCCTTGACCTCCCAAAGTGCTGGGATCATAGATGTGAGCCATTGCGCCCTGCCTAAATGAACTTTTATTAAAACCTCTTATTTAAACTCTGTAAATAAGAGTCTCCACAAAATACCCAGAAACTGCAGACGTTACAACCCAGGAACACAATACTTCTGAAACAACATTGCTGCTATACCCCAGGTGGCCAGGGACTAAAGGGGGACTTAAGAGAACAGGAAAGCAATTTACCGTTAAAGACCAACGTGCAACTCAGTTCCCAGCAATTTGGCTGGGATGCTAGACTATGGCACTCTTCGCCTCTGACTGCTCTTCCTGTATGGTAGGAACTTCTTGCAATTTCACAGCTCAGACTTTTGCTAATGTACTTACTCACCTCTTTTTTCACATGTAACACAGTAAGTTAGCTTTCTGTTACTATTATTTATTTTGCTCAATTTTTGGAAGCAGTTAGAATTGCTCAAGAGTTCATCAATTCTTCTTGATTTCAGATTAGAGCACATCACAGACCAAAGAGATTTCCTTTATAAGGCTTTTTAGGCTCAATTTGAGTTTCGTAAGTGACGTTGAGCACCTCTGTTTTTCTCCCTAATGGGGAGTGTAAGATTTTGGTATTCAACCCTGAATACACATACAATTTTCTTGTGGTTCTCCATATGGAAACCATAGGGCAGAAATGACTCACAAATGAAACGTAAAAAATAGATTAAGAAACTATACTTACTTAGGAGGAATTCTTAAAACTGTGTTCACATTTGTGGCTGGGACTACTGCTTGAAGGATGTGTTCAAGGGCTGTTAATCCACCAGCAGCTTGAAATGCAATCTGATCTGCCACATTCTAGACAGAAATACAAACAGAAGTTAGCCCAATTTCCCAGGCATTAAACTATAACCAAATGATATCTGTAGTCTGAAACATACTGATGGTTCAACTATTCTACAAATATTATTTTATAAATATTTGCTGAATGCTACTCACTGCTAATTGTTTCAGTACTAGGAAATATAGGTCAAAAGGAGTGAGCATAAAACATATGGTTGCTGTCCTCCATGAAGCTTAAAATTGGTAGATGGCAAGCACAGGCAACCAAAGCAAAAATGGACAAGTGGGATCACATCAAGTTAAAAAGCTTCTGCACAGCAAAGGAAACAATCCACCAAGCAAAGAGACAACCCACAGAATGGGAGAAAATATTTACAAACTATCTATCTGACAAGGGATTAACAACCAGAATATATAAGAGCTCAAACAACTCTGTAGGAAAAAATCTAATAATCCAATTTTAAAATGGGCAAAAAATCTGAATAGACATTTCTCAAGAGAAGACATACAGATGGCAAACAGGCATAGGAAAAGGTGCCCAACATCACTGATCATTAGAAAAATGCAAATCAAAACTACAGTGAGATATCATCTCACCCCAGTTAAAATGTCTTTTATCCAAAGACAGGTAGTAACAAATGCTGGTGAGGATGTGGAGAGGGAACTCTCATACACTGTTCGTGGGAATGTAAATTAGTACAATCACTATGGAGAATAGTTTGGAGATTTTTCAAAAAACTAAAAACAGAGCTGCCATATGACCCAGCAATTCCACTGGTAGGTATATGCCCAAAAGAAAGGAGATCCATATATCTAAGAGATATCTGCTCTCCCATATTTACTACAGCACTATTCACAATATAGCCAAGAACTGGAAGCAACCTAAGTGTCCATCAGGAGATGAGTGGATAAAGAAAACGTAGTACATATATGGAATGGAGTACTATTCAGCCATAAAAAGGAATGAGATCCTGTTATTTGCAACAACATAGATGGAAGTGGAGGTCCTTATGTTAAGTGAAATGAGCCAGGTGAAGTAAGACGAACTTCACATGTGCTCACTTATTTGTGGGAGCTAAGCATTAAAACAATTGAACTCATGGAGATAGAGAATGGAAGGATGGGTACCAGAGACTGAGAAGGGTAGTGGGGGGGACGGGGTAATGGGGAAGGAAGTGAGGGTAGTTAATGGGTACAAAACAATAGTCAGAAAGAATAAGACCTAGTACTTGATAGCCCAACAGCGTGAATATAATCAATAATAATTTAATTGTTCATTTACAAATAACTAAAAGAATATAGTTGGATTGTTTGTAACACAAAAAATGAATGCTTTAGGTGATGGATACCCCATTTACTCAGATGTGATTATTAAGCATTGTATGCCTATATCAAAATATCTCATGTATACCATAAATACATATATAAACTATGTACCCACAAAAATTAAAAATTAGAAAAAAAAATGAGTGGCTAGGACCAACACTAATCAGATAGTTATAAATAAGGTGATTTTAATTATAAGTACCTTGAAAGATAAAAGGTTCTCTATGAGAATAATGGGGGAATCAACTATATAATGGGGAAAGGGTCAGGATAGGCTTCTCTGAGAAAATTGAAGTTTTAAGACATGTAAAAGAAAGTGGGAAGAGAAGAAGCACTCCAGGCAAAGGAAAAAAATTATATATACATTTTTAGCAACACTTACTTAAAAATCACATCTTTATCACATTGTAATCTTAATTACCACCTAACAATATAGACTTCCACAAAGATTCCCTCTACTAGAATATTTGTCTTCAGCAATAAAAGATAATCTAATATCTAATCATTTTAGCTGTATCCTTTTTAAAAAATACCATTTCAGCTATTTTGGGAGAACATTAAGTAACAATTTTAGAACTAAACCTATGATTATTTCTATGCAATTTACGATCTGTATATAATTCTTGTGGGAAATAACATTTCCAAGTTATTTGCATTTCTTTGGCATGGGGAAGAGAAGAGTAATTCTATGCTACACTGTATGTTTTTAAGCACAGGTAGAATCAATGCAATATATATGTAAAAAATAAGATAGCAACTTATTGTGACTTGAATTGTGCCCCCCTCAAAATTCATATGTGGAGGTCCCAACCCCTAGTATTTCAGAATATAACTGTATTTGAAGAGAAGATCTTTAAAGTGGTAACTAAGTTAAAAGTGAGGCCGTTAGAGTAGGCTCTGGTCCAATATGACTGGCGTTCTTATAAGAGGAGAAAGAGACACTGGGGTTACACCTGCACAGTCAAGAAGCTACATGAGGACACAGCAAGTGGTGGCCATCCATGAGCCAAGGAGAGAGGTGTCAGGAGAAACCAAACCTGTTGACACCTTGATCTTGGACTTCCAGCATCTAAAACCGAGGGAAAATCAATTTCTGTTGTTTAACCAACCCAGTCTGTGGCACTTTCTTATGGCAGGCCCCAAGCAAACTAATACAACCCCTCTATTACATCACCACCTTATATTTCTTCTAATAGCATTCCACAGCCTTGAAACGCTGAAATACTGAGGTTTTTTTTGAAAAGGGAGTAGGGAGAAGATATTAGTATATATAAGCTCTGTCAAACATATTTGCCTGATTCTCCTGGTGTTCTGAGCATTAATGACGTATCAATTATTGTCTCCAGCACATGTCTAGAGTTTAGCAGTGTAATCAAATGCTTATCTTAATCATTCAATTGCTCTTTGTGCACAATAAAATACATTTTGTGACTATAAGTTCATTGTGAAAGCTAGACGACTCATACACTTAAGATTAAAATTAATAATTTTGTTATTAATGTAAAAATATTTCTTTGCAATAAAACTAACAATCAAAACCTGCAAAATCCAGGTACTTAGTAATTTACTTAATACTGTAATGCTGTTGTTACTGCCTCTGTTTATGCTAGGATGTCAACATATTTAGAATAATAAGCTCTGTATTATCATATAATATACACAAAGAAAAGTGCACTAATCGTAATTGTACAGCTGGATGCATGAAAACAAATTGAACACATTGTGTTACAACTCCAAAATTAAAATACAAAGCTTTATAGTATGCCTTGGTATCCCTTGTGCCCATCTTATTCACTGTCTCTTCCTTGTCCCAAAATGTAAAGGTTATCCTGACTTTTAAACTCATGAATTCATTTTGCCTTCTTTTCATATCTATACCACACTTTACCCAACTGTGTCTAGCTTTTTTTGGTTGATTGCTTATTTCTAAATTCATTCATGTTGCTGCCTGTAGCAGTATTTCATTCATTTTCTTTGCTGTATATTTTCTGGATATTATTCTATATCCACTTATTTAAGTGTTTCACTGCTGGTTGACATTTAGCTTGTTTCTACTTTGACACTTTGGACAACACTCCTTTAAACATTTGTGCACATGTATTTGGCACATGTGATATGCAGCTATATTGGGCATATCTAGGAGTAGAACTGCTGGGTCACAGAGTATGCATAGGTTCAGTTTTAGTAGCTATGGCCAAACAGCTTTCTAAAATATTTCAAACAATGTTTGTGGTATAGTGTTAATTTCAGTTATTCCACATTCTCACTCAAAATTGGTTTTACCAGTCTTTTTAACTTTAGTCATTGTAATGGGTGTGTACTGGCATTTTTTTGAGGTTTTTATTTGCTGTTTCCTGATGACCAGGCAGGTTGAACATCTTATGTTTACTGGCTGTTTGTGATTTTAAAAATTTAATTCAGGTATATCTTATAATAGGGTGAAAGGCTCAGATCTTAAATATACTGTTCAATCAAACTTGACAAATGCTTATCAAGACACATCCATTTCTATCACTCCAGAAAGTTCCCCCATGCTCCTTGTATGGTCAATCCTTCCTCCCTGAAGCGACAACTGATTTGTTTCATAGTACCATAAGTTAGGGTTGTCTACCATAGATTTTCAAATAAGTTAAATCATATAGTATGTATAAATATTTTCTGGATTTAATTTGGTAGGGACTGGCTATCCTACCAGTAGTTGTACACCAAGCCTAGGGAACTATGGAAACATCTCAAGTGTAGGGAAAATGGTAAAGGGTCAAGATGGGGATGTAAACATACACCTCCTTTCTTATATGTAAAACAAATAAGGATTCCAGATAAAATATTTTAAAACATTAAAAATCATAACCATATTAAAAAATAAATGAAACATCTCTGTGAAACAGGGATGGAGAAGCTCCTAGCAATGCATAAGGCAAGGGTCCAATTTTTAGTAGATTCTCAAAAGAACATTTGCTCCTTTAGATTATCCCCTCTTCTTCAGCTTTCACACTGATTCAGCCTCCAAATTCTGAATATTCTACTTCTGTTACACTTCTTGCCTCTTCTATCCATGACTACTGTTGATTACCATGTCAGGACCATGTCTAGTTAGGTTCTCATGGTATCTTGTTTGAGGTATTACAGCAACCTCCTAATTAGTATCTTTGGGTCCAAGCTTACCCTAACCAGCCCATTTGCTAGAGCACTGCTTCCCAAACTCTATCGAATAAAAGCCAATTTTTTGTTTTTAAAATTTTTACTCCATTATAGACTGACACTTTTGTGAAATACAATACAGATGAAGTACTGAACAAATGGGAAAAAATGTACTAAGTAGAAGGCCACATTTTAAAATAGTGTGAAAATAACCACATTGCCAAAGGCACTCTAAAAATTCAATGCTATTCCCATCAAAATGCTACCATCATTCTTCACAGAACTAGAAAAAACAATCCTAAAAATCACATGGAACCAAAAAAGAGCCTGCACAGCCCAAGCAAGACTAAACAAAAAGAACGAATCTGGAGGCATCACATTACCTGATTTCAAACTATACTATAAGGCCACAGTCACCAAAACAGCATGGTACTGGTATAAAAATGGGCACACAGACCAACGGAACAGAACAGAGAACCCAGAAATAAACCCAAATACTTAAGAGCCAACTGGTCTTCAACAAAGCAAACAAAAAACTTAAAGTGGGTAAAGGACACCATATTCAACAAATGGTGCTGGGATAATTGGCAAGCCACATGTAGGAGAATGAAACTGGATCCTCATCTCTCACCTTATACAAAAATCAACTCAAGATGGATCAAGGACTTAAATCTAAGACCTGAAACTATAAAAATTCTAGAAGATAATATCGGAAAAACTCTTCTAGACATTGACTTAGACAAGGATTTCATGACCAAGAACCCAAAAGCAAATGCAATAAAAACAAAGATAAATAGCTGGAATTTAATTAAACTAAAGAGCTTTTGCATGGCAAAAGGAACAGTCAGCAGAATAAACAGACAACTCACAGAGTGGGAGAAAATCTTCACAATCTATACATCCAACAAAGGACTAATATCTAGAGACTACAAGGAACTCAAATTAGCAAGAAAAATTAGCAAACAACAACAACAACAAACAAACAACCCCATCAAAACATAGGCTGAGGATATGAATAGACAATTCTCAAAAGAACATATACAAATGGCCAATAAACATATGAAAAAATGTTCAACATCACTAATAATCAGGGAAATGCAAATCAAAACCACAATGTGATACCACCTTACTCCAGCAAGAATGGCTATTAAAAAAAATAGATGTTGGTGTGGATGCAGTGAAAAGGGAACATTTCTACATTGCTGGTGGGAATGTAAACGAGGAAAACAGTGTGAAGATTCCTTAAAGAACTAAAAGTAGAAGTACCATTTGATCCAGCAATTCCACTACTGGGCATCTACCCAGAGCAAAAGAAGTCATTATGCTAAAAAGATACTTGCTCACGCATGTTTATAGCAGCACAATTCGTGATTGCAAAAATGTGGAACCAACCCAAATGCCCATCAATCAACAAGTGGATAAAGAAACTGGTGCGCGCGTGTGTGTGTGTGTGTGTGTGTGTGCGCGCGCGCACGTATGGAATACTACTCAGCCATTAAAAGGAATGAATTAATGCCATTTGCAGCAGCCTGGATGGGACTGGAGACTATTATTTTAAGTGAAGTAACTCAGGGATGGAAAACCAAACATTGTATGTTCTCACTCATAAGTGGGAGCTAAGCTATGAGGATGCAAAGGCATAAGAATGATACAATGAACTCTGGGGACTCAGGGGGAAAGGGTAGGAAGAGGGTGAGGGATAAAAGACTACAAATTTGGTTCAGTGTATACTGCTGGGGAGATGGGTGCACCAAAATCTCACAAATCACCACTTAAGAACTTACTCATGTAACCAAATATCACCTGTTCCCCAAAAACCTATGGAATAAATAAATAAAATAAAAGAAATAAATAAAATAGTAGATGCAAAAAGACATAAAATTACTCTGTCAACTTGCAAAATTTACTCTTGATTTGTGTATTTATCTCATTATGTTTCATAACAGTGGCCTGGCAATGGCTTATGGACTCCGTTTGAGTAGTCCTGCCTTGGATACACACTGAAGAAATACCCTAAAGAGTAAATGTCATTACATCACTCTTTGCTTAAAACACTCCAGGGACAACTTCTTCACAGTCTACAGAAAGAGATTCACGGACCTCAGAATGATCCCTCTCCAATAGCCTCCTTCCCTGCCAGGATCCTTCCTCTCTTGTAACCAAATTCCTTATATAACCTCTACTTTTTCATGCCTCTGTGCTTTTGCATAAACTGTTCCTTTTCAGGAAGGATGATCCTCTAGTTTTTCATCTTTGTATCTCCACTAAACTCTGAGCTTGCTGATGTCAGAGACCATGTCTGCTTTATCATCATATCCCAACGACTTAGCACAGGGGACTGCACTCAGTAATTGCTCACAATGTTTGCTGAATGAGAAGGAAGGCTGACAAAGATACACTTATTATATATATATATATGTGTGTGTGTGTGTGTGTGTGTGTGTGTATATATATATATATTTTTTTTTTTTTTTGAGATGGAGTCTTGCTCTGTCACCCAGGCTGGGGTGCAATGGCGTGATCTCGGCTCACTGCAACCTCTGCCTCCTGAGTTCAAGTGATTCTTCTACCTCAGCCTCCCGGGTAGCTGGGATTACAGGCACCTGACAACATGCCCGGCTAATTTTTGTATTTTTTTTTTAGTAGAGACGGGGTTTCACCATGTTGGTCAGGCCGGTCTCGAACTCCTGACCTCAGGTGATCCACCCGCCTCGGCCTCCCAAAGTGCTGGGATTACAGGCGTGAGCCACCATGTCCGGCCCCATTATACATGGTTTTAACTGCTAAAACACAAACAATAATTTCTCTAGTATGATTGCAGGATGAAATCCTCCATTCTTGTTACTATGTTTGCCTCACAGAATAGTTTTTCACTGGAAATGAGCTTCATGACCAAAGAATGAGATTCAGTTTTCCAAGACTGAAGGAAATGTTCGCCCTGAACTTCCTTAACAACCATTAAGAAGGGAACTAAACTCTCCTCTCATATTCCATCTTAGTGTAAAGCCTTTAGGTACTGACATCTCTCAACTCAAAAACAGGGCATAGAGTACTTTAAGCCAAGCAGAAACACCGGCTGATCAGTCTGTCGACAGGGAAATCAAGCAGCACCACTGCTATTCCTGCAGACCCTCCACAATGGGAGGAAACTGGGTCAGCACTGCAGAAGTGGAGGGGAAAAGGACTGAGTAAAAGCAGATCATTTTAATGTATACATCTATGCCTTAAAAAAAAACCCTCCAAAAAACCCTCAAAGCCTTTTCTGCAATGCCAACAACATGGATGCGACCTCTTGAAAAACCTAAGACACAAGCTCTAACAGATACTAAACAGGACCAAATAAGCCAATTTCAGGAAGATAAAGGCTATTCAGAGCCAACTTTTTACTAATGTACTATTGGAAACTGAAGTTTCAGTTTATTATTTGCAGCTTTTCCAGAAAAAAAAAAAAAAAGCAAAAAAGCAAAATCAACTGTGAAATTAAAAAATCTCCCAAATCTCCACCTGGAGCTAAGGAAGATTCTGGTTATGTGTACTTCTGGATTAGAGATGCAACAAGCCACCTCGGGACTCTCTTCCATGGAGCATGGCCAGATAGACACACTGCTCAGTATCATCCTAAGTTCTTCATGTCCCACATCAAGCCCTATTCATCCATCACCTCTGCCGTACCTCATGGCCCCATTCTCTCTTGTCTGCAAGCTCCTCAAGAGTGGCATCTGACTCATCTTTGCAGCCCCAGTCCTGGCACAGAGCAGGAATGGTAAATACCTGATAGATTAGTGATGGAACAAAAGAATGAACAAGTGAAAGGACTTATTTCAGACAGTAAAAATGTTCTGTGAGATATGATAGATTAACACAACATAGAGGCATGTTAAATATAACAAGGAGAAATACTGCTCACTGGATTCCATTCCCTAACAGTTTATACATAAAGATGGATGAAACAATCCTGTGATATTAGAGATGATTTCTTCATCTCATGGGGACAGAAAGGGAAAATCAAGCTGTCTCAATGATGAACCAACAAAATATTAAAACTAAGAGAGAAAAAAACCTTCGCAAGCATGTGGCGTTAAATACCTTATATGCAAATCTAAAAAGAAAATAATCCTCATACAAATCTAGGTAGACTTAAAGAACACAGAAAGCTTCCCCATCTCTTGTTCCTCTCTTTTCATACCACACTAACTTCCTGTGCCAATCACTTGGCACTTCTTATACAGTGCTCTGATTACATTTCTGGATGGCTTAATACCATAATAATAAGACTGGATGCTCTTCAGATACACCATTTCATACTTGTCCCTATCCCTCTTAGCATCCAGAAAAAGCAAGTACACTAAAAATCCTTAACCATAATTATCTTCTCCGTTCAAACTGCCACCTTTCCAACTTGTAGTGTTCAAATGCTCTCCCAATCCCTTAAGACCAAGATCAAATGTTGCTTCTTCTGTTAAGTCACTCAGATCCCCTCAACTAAAATCAAAGCTCTCTGTATATTTAGCTGTATTTTTTTGTGTGGCCCTTACCACTTTCTACTTTACGCAAAGTTATTTGTGTCCATGTAGTAGACTGTAAAGCCTATACTCTCCTATGTCTGTGTTCCTACCCAGGGCCAAGCACAGGATGCACACACTGCAGGTATCAAGCAAAGTGTTTTCAGTGACTGAAAATATCTCATTCTAGAAAGGTGAATTCCCGTTTACCCCTTTTCTAATTCTCTGCATTCAGACATATGAAACTGGAAAAAACTTTCACAGAAAGCTTGGTAATTCTGATTTGATTGAGAAAAACATACCTTTAAAGATAAGATGTGTGGCTTCCCTTATGTACCTGGCATAATACCTTAAAAGCTCTGCCTTCCCCTGCTCTCACCCACTGTGAGACTGACAACTGACTAATAGGATTAGTGGCTCCATTCTAATAACCCCACTTAGCTAAAGGCCAGCAAAAAATGACAGTCTCAATCTGAATTACACAGTCAGGGAATCCATCCAATTATTAACTAGAGTAACTGTTATTACCTCTCCCAATCAAAGAAGAGGCAGCTGTTAATCTTTGGCAGCCTGCAAAGGCTAGTGGCCTTTGTACTTGACTTTTCTGTAGACAATAATTATGTTCTTTGTGATCAGGGAGGAAGGCCTTCAAAGCTTTTTAGACAGAGGTGGCAGATGGGGAAAACTGTTTGCGTGTTCATTAGCAGTATAGGCTACATTTGTTCTGAGCATCTGTGGCACCTTAAGACCTGTTTAGAGAAAATACAAGTAGGTTTTGGCAAGTCCATAAATTTAGAACTCAGTAGCCTAATTTATAGAGATGAGAACGTCCTGAAGTGAAAATTTTTATGGTCGTTTTTCCCAATATGGAAAACTTTACTAACACTTAAAAGACATCATTTCCACTTTTCTACTATCCTTGTCTGTTAATGTTAGTTTAAAAGAAGGAAGCACAATGAGATGATGCTCCTTGTTCTGTGTTTTTCCCTTACAAGCTTCCTAACTGCTGGCTTCTTTATATTCCTATAATCTACATAAATATCTATGCTCAGCTTTTCAGCTGTAGGCACTAACACTGATAGTACTAGGTTTTGGGGTCAAGGATGTTACAAGAACAAAAACATACTGTGGGAAGGTGATGCCAAAAACAGTAAAATTATAAGCTACAGTTTGAAGGCTTAGGCGATACAGTAAGTGGGGCTGAGAGGCTAGAAAAGCTTTCTCAGTATCAGAGGAACAATTCCTTTGCGATGCTAATTGGAAGTTGGACTCTTTGGAAGACGCTCCCTGAGGGAGCTGAATTGTGCCATTTCTGACCCATTTGGACTAAGGAAGGAAAGAGCAGAGTGAGTGAGAGAGGGTGAGTGCAGTAACTGAAGGACAGAAGCAGACCACAAGACCTGAGTGGTCTTTCTCTTTCTTTTTAAGCTGTTGGGAGATAGATGACCAAAGATTAGTATGAAGAGTTCATTACTGCAACTATGGTTCCTTTTTTCTTTGCCCCTATATCTCAAGTATCCTGAATGTTTTAAAGTTTGAAGGTAAAAGAAATTTGGGACTATGAGAGCAAAGAAAATTTGCTTTGGGCAAATGGGTTATATAGACAAGAGCCAGTAACATGGACAAACTCTAATGGGTCCAGCAGCTCCCAGGAGGCAGGACCTTAGAGCTCAGAGGCTTTTCTCAGAGGTGGCAATTTCTATTTTCTCTCCATCATAACACTTTTGCTTCTTTACTGATTTTTCTATTTATTTGGTTGTAAACTAAATCATAATGATTATAGTATCTGTTTACTTCATCACAAACTAGATTGCGAGGTCTCTAACAGCTGGAATTATGTTTATATTGCGTCTAGCAAAAAGCAGGTGTTCAATAAATATTTGCTGAATCAAAGAATAAAGTTACAATCAATTTAATTCCTGGGGCTCTGACATCAGAAATTCCCTTAAGAGGAGAGACAGCCCATCAATGAGAAAGAAAAGGCTTAGAATCCCACAGCCTTGGAAAAGTCAAGGTAAGGGTACAAGTAAGCTAGGAACTTTGGAAAACGTTACTGGTCCTTGTCTGTGCTGACAGAGAAGGCAGGCCCTACTGTTAGGCCTGCCTGAAGGGAAAGAGGGAAAGGAGAGACCAGAGATGTGAAGGCCAACCACAGGGCCTTTGTCAATCATCCTGTCTTACTCATCTTGGCATCAGTTTTTTTTGCGTTATTCTTAGGGAAAGTAGTGACCCAGAACTCAGAACTTTCTTTCTTTCTTTTTTTTTTTATATATATTCTTTTAAAAAATTTTTTAAATTATACTTTAAGTTCTGGGATACATGTGCAGAATGTGCAGGTTTGTTACATTGGTATACACATGCCATGGTAGTTTGCTGCACCCATCAACCTGTCACCTACATTTGGTATTTCTCTTAATGCTATCCCTCCCCTAGCACCACCCCCCACCCCACCCCCGCAACTGGCCCCAATGTGTGATGTTTTCCTCCCTGTGTTCTCATTGTTCAATTCCCACTTATGAGTGAAAACATGCAGTGTTTGGTTTTCTGTTATTGTGTTACTTTGCTGAGAATGATGGTTTCCAGCTTCATCCATGTCTCTGTAAAGGACATGAACTCATCCTTTTTTTATGGCTGCATAGTATTCCATGGTATGTATGTGGCACATTTTCTTTATCCAGTCTATCATTGATGGACATTTGGGTTGGTTCCAAGTCTTTGGTATTGTGAATAGTGCTGCAATAAACATATGTGTGCATGTGTCTTTATAGTAGAATGATTTATAATCCTTTGGGTATATACCCAGTAATGGGATTGCTGGTGACCCAGAACTTTCTATATCCTGAGGGACAGAGGGGGAAAGCAATTCTTGGGAGTCAAAACAAACTTAAGGAGGAAACAGGAACCCAAATTTTACTTTTATCAAATTACCATCTTGGAGGGCTACTGAGAGCAACATTTCGAGGGCTTATCATGTAACAGGCCCTGGGCTATCTTCACATATAAGTCCTCACAACAATCCTATGAGGTAGGATTCATTAGCCCCATTATACAGATAAGGAAATCAGTCTTAGAACAATCAGTTACTTGCTCAAATGTACAAAGCTAGAGGTAGCAGAGCTGGGGACTGAGTCTAGGTTTATCTGATTTCTGAGTGTGTAATGGGTTTACACCAAGAGTGCTGTGGGAAAATCTTGCATGTAACTGCAAGTATGCGTTTGACTTTTGGGACCCTTATCTCTAAATAGCCCAAATTTATAAAATCTTGGGCTACTTAGAGCCCAAGATTTTACTATATATACATACACTTTTAAAAATATATTTTTAAAACTTTTTATTTTCAAGTAATTTTAGATTTATAGAAGGGTTGCAAGGATAGTAGAGATTTCCTATATGCCTTAGTCGAGCTTTCCTTTATATTAACATCTTTTTTTTTTTTTTTTAGATGGAGTCTTGCTCTGTCACCCAGGCTGGAGTGCAGTGGTGTGATCTTGACTCACTGCAACCTCTGCCTCCCGGGTTCAAGCCATTCTCCTGCCTCAGCCTCCCAGGTAGCTGGGACTACAGGCATGTGCCACTACACCCGGCTAATTTTTTTGTATTTTTAGTAGAGATGGGGTTTCACATATTGGCCAAGCTGGTCTCAAACTCCTGACCTCAAGTGATCCACCCGCCTCGGCCTCCCAAAGCGCTGGAATTACAAGCGTAAGCCACCGTGCCCAGCCCATATTAACATCTTATATAACCATGGTATGTTTATCAAAACTAAGAAATTATATTGGTAGTATACTTTTAACTAACCTACAGCCTTTATTTTGATTTTCTGTTTTTCTATTGATGTCCTCCTTTTTCTGTTCCAGGATTGAATATAGAATACCACATGCATTTAGCTTAATAATATTTTAAAGATAAGTAAAGTTACTTTTAGGATTAGAGGAGGGATCCCGAGCTTTCTTATATTAGCATTCACTAGCAGCTAAAAAAAAAAATCCTTGAAATAATCCAGACTCAAAGAATATAAAGGAATGTTAAGTTTGACTATCACAAGTAAATAAAAAGGAAATGAAAGAGCTAACTAGATTCTAAGGGACTGAAATATGAGTAGTTCTTTTAACCAGTGGTGCAGTTCTTGAGATTGCCAGGAAATGGGAAGAAATGTGCACACAGCAGGAGGGAAACAGGCCTTGGGTAAGGTGGCAGGAAATGTGGGAAAATGTGGGACCAGGGTTAGAAAAGACTCCAGGTGGCCCAAGATGGGCTCCCTGCAGCTCAAGCCCCAGCTGGCCTTCAATAGTTCCTCAGCCAGGGCATCTTTCAAAACACCTTCCTTCCTGGATATCAGAACTGGAGCTCATCTCTGCAGGCTCTGCTTCCAACTTCAGCAGAGATACTGCTTCAGGCTTTAGAGTACGCCTTTTCCACTTGTGCCATGATAAGATATTTATTGCAATATATATATTTTTTCTTTCCAAGAAGCAGCTGGGGTAAAAGTCTTTAGATGAGGCACAAGGAAAGTCAAGCACAGCTAATTTTAGAGATGATCCTGTTAGCAAGTACTGGGTCTGCTTAATTTAGTCTAAAGGAAACGAAGGGAAGGAAACAGCTAGTGATAGGCAGGGGCAGGGTTTTCTCAGATGGATTATCTGGAGCCTGCTCTCTGGAGCTAGAGACCCTCCTGTTCTCTAGCACCTAAAAGGCTTATGGGAGAAACACAGGAGGCAAAAACATTGCAAAATGTGTTCCTATCAGACTATCTGACACAAAATGCAGTGCAGCAAGGAAGAAGGTAAAGATGAACCACCTTTCAGCACGGGGACTTCAAGGTACCCACATTAATCTATACTTTGATCATGGATGAACAGTGTTTAACATTGTTGAGCTTCTGTTCTCCATCATAATGTCACAAATAATACCTTCTTATATGGAGAACAGTGTGAAAACTTTTTTCAGAATATCTGTTCTTCTTGATTTTGCTAAAGCAAATGTGATCAAGTGTTTACTGAAGAGTTAATATTGCCCCACTGAATTCTAACTTTAGAGCTACTCTGTGCTGCTACTATTAGCTAGTGAGAATAAGACCTTTACTAAAGGTGAACTGAAACATTTAAAAGGCTGCTCATTTACGGCAAACAAAACTCAGAAGAGTCGTTAAGCCTGGAGGACACCCGACCATTAAATAATTTTATGAAAAGGCAAATATAAAATCCCTTCCTATTCATAAGGAGCACTTTTAAGTTCATTCGAAGAGAAATTTGAGGATTAATTTATATTTACACAACGCTTTTAATCTGAAATTTAAAATACATTTAGCTTTAAGTCAGCAGGCAAGTTTATATCCTCACTACACAGGCAAGTGATCATATAGAAAATAAATGTAAAGATCCTAAAAAAAAACTATACCTCTGAAAATATTCATTTGTAAATATTAAATGGCACACAACACCAGGAGGCCTTTTTAGCAGGGAAAGGGAGAAGTAGGGATCTGAGAAAGATAGGCAGGAATGACATATTTTATCAGGGGAATCAGGTAGAAAGACCATTTAAGGTTGTTAACTTTGTGATATAAGTGATTTCAGAATAAGTCTTGTCCTAGCAGCTATAGCCCAGAACATCTACTGTCCACTAGACTATGAGCTCCTTATGGGCATGGACTGTGTATCCACTGTTCAGAAGCTATTACAATAGTGGCTAAGAGCATGGCCTATGAAATAATTCTGCCAGAGTTTGGATCTTAACTCCTCCTCTTATCCTCTTGATGCCTCGGTGTTCTTATTCATATAACAGGGCTAATACTTCCTATCTCAAGTGCTTGTTTAGATGACTGAATAATCTGCATAAATGTTAGTGATGATCATCTTTGAATTCTGTCCCCCAAACTCCTCTAGCTAAATAAGTGCCTAATAAATTTTTATGAAACAAATGTTAGTTCCTACTCTAGAGAGCTCTTCCTTTTTCTAGGCTTCACATTTCATTTCTATTTCATTCAATGCTAAGTGATACTCATAATAGTATACCCTTAATGTTCTTGATGGACATATCCTGGGATCTTTGTAGTATCTTAAAATTGTACTACAGTATAGTTTCTCTCATAAAACCTCTATTTTAGCTAAGAATCTAACTACTCACTCATGTTACTTCCTCAAAGGGGCCTTCTCTAACCTCTAGATTGTGTTTAGTCTTCCTACTATATCCATGAACAACTGTGTATTTCCTCAGTTATAATAGTGATCACTCTTTATTGTAATTATTTGTTTGTCTAGAAGGACAGAGCCTATAGCTATCTTTTGTTTTTTTGTTTTTGTTTTTGTTTTGAGACAAAGTCTCACTCTGTCACCCAAGCTGGAGTGCAGTGGTGTGATCATAGGTCACTGCAGCCTCCACCTCCTGGGCTTAAGTGACCCTCCCAACCCAGCCTTCGAGTAGCTGGGACTACAGGCACATGCCACCACACCTGGCTAGTTTTTGTATTTTTAGTAGAGATGGGGTTTTGCCATATTGCTCAGGCTGGGCTTGAACTCCTGAGCTTAAGTGACCCAACCACCTTGACCTCCCAAAGTCCTGGGATGACAGGCATGAGCCACTGTACCCAGCCTATAGCTGTCTTATCACTGCTGTTTCCCATGTGCTTGGTCCATTTTAAAAAATCACTAACATTTGTTGTACTCATACACACCCCCCACCCCCTCAACAGACAAACACACACATGCCCTCTAAGTACTCTCCTAAGTGCTGCCTTGCAAGAACTGTCTCATATCACAACAGCATGAGGTTGATACAATTACTATTCCCATCTACATGTGGAAACTAAAGCTCAGAGAAAATAAGTAGTTGGCTTATGATTATATAAATAGTAAGTGCTGATCAGGAAGTCAAACCCAGATATGTCTGACTCTAGAATCTGAGCTTTCAAACACCATAGTATATTGCCTCCCTGCATGGTACACACTGAAAAACAAAATTGTTTAATTGAACTAAAATGTCTATAAAGTGAATGCAATTATATAAAGGGTCAGTGGCGGGAAGTTTTCCTAGACAGATGATAGCACTACAGATATAATGAACTAAAAACTTTTAGATTAGAGATAGCTCTATGTTACTCCTGAGAGAAAAGTTACTGAAGCTTTGAAAAGGGTCATTATTCAAGTAGCTAAGAATAAATGGTAAAAGACAGAAAATAAGTACAGAATTCAGGAATTTTAGATTAGCAAGGAATGTGAAAATCATCTCATTTCTTTATGAAAATTAAATACTATTAGATGAGACAAAGATATGCCTTGGAATATATTAGGATGGTCATTTTGGGTATCTGTATACTTACTAGCTTTTTATGGTATATTTTATAACTCACTGTCTTGGATTCATATATAAACAGGCTTTGTTAATATATCAATTCAGCAAACTATCTAGTACCTAGAATATATAAGGAATGTATAGTTGGTGCTTTAGAAGACCAAATCTAAGGTCAGAAAAAAAAACCCCAAATAATTAGGCTCACGACTGTAATCCCAGCACTTTGGGAGGGTGGGGAGAGAGGATCTCTGGAGGCCAGGAGTTCGAGACCAATTTTCATTAGTTAATAAACTGAAGTGATAAGAAGAGTTAGCCCTTCATAGCTGTAGTTCGGTTATCCATTTGTGTCCCTGATGTTACAATTAAGTATCACAATAATACATAAATGATATACCTTATATAAAGCGTATACAAAGCTGTTAACAATATTAACAAAATGGCCTAATTAAAAAACACAACTTGTTGAAATACTGACTTCTACATATTCCTCCCATAATTCCAAAATAGGTCAGCTTAACTCTCATGAAGTATTAATGTCTTTAATAAAAGTGGCACACTGCTTTAAATAAATGTATTAAATTTGTTTAAAAAATCTATTAAATTTGTTTCTATGGCAATGGATGCAAAGTTAGTAGACAAGTCTCTAAAGTCTTCTATCAAATGAACTCAGCAGTCTTATCGCCCTGTGTCCCCAGATACTAGGGTACCAATTTGTTTATCACTGATCTTGAATATAAGGATGTTAATGCATTATTCAGAAATGCATTATACATTTTACTGCTTTTGTAGAGAATTTAATTCAGAGAATGCTTTGTGCCCGCAAGAATTTAGTGTAAATTACACATAAAAAATCATGTAATATGTTTCTGACAAGTGATTTATACGTTCCTATTCATCAAAGTAGACTGTTAGTGTATAATATTATTTCTCATTTACATGGGGAATTCTATTCTGAAAAATCCAAAATGCATTGTTACTAACTTTCATTTTCTAAAAATTGTAAAAACCTATGGAGAATAATAATTTAGGTCAAATTATGAGACAGAGACAGAGAGCAAGTACCCCAGTATAATTTATTCCAATTTGAATTTGGTGGAGAGATACTTCTTCAATCACTATACAATGACTGATTCACCAGTAGGAAGTCAGTTACAAGATTGCTGATTTCAATTCTATCAATAAAGCAATGGTTCATCTTCAAATAATAAACTAATTTTTAAGTTTTATATTTTGAGGAAAAAGTAAAACTGTGATACTCAAATTCTAATTCTGAAGGTCATTTGCACCTACAGCTTGTAGCAAGATGTGAAAAATATGGACTGTACAGAGATTGTTGAAATACATACAAGCATGTGCAAAATGCAAACTTCAGATTTTTACACTAAGACAGAGTAGTAAATAAGTATTTCAACCATAAAGTGTAAATGTTAACAAAATGTTGGGGGATGGGGACATTAGAGGAGTGACGACTAAGGTGTAGAATTTCTTTTTAGGGTAATTAAATGTTCTAAAATTGATTGTGGTCATGGTTGCACAGCTCTGTGACTATACTAAAAGCCACTGAATTGTACAGTTTAAATGGGTGAATTGTAAGTCATAAAATTATGTATAAATAGAGCTGTTAAAAATATTAACAAAATGGTCTAATTAAAAATACAACTTCATGTGATATGTTTCTGACAAGTGATTTATACATTCCTATTCATCAAAATAGACTGTTAGTATATAATGTTATTTCTCATTTACATGGGGAATTCTATTCTGAAAAATCCAAAATGCATTGTTACTACATAAATACATATATAATATATATAAATGTTGGTTCCCTAGATATTCCTCCCATAATTCCAAAATAGGTCAGCTTAACTCTCATGAAGTATTCATGTCTTTAATAAAAGTGGCATATTGCTTATATTGCTTTAACCAATCATGATATATAAAATTCAAATTAGAAGACAATTTTATAAAAATATTTTTTACCTTATAAAGGGGTTCACACTCAGTTAAACTAATTGGAGTTATAAAGTTTTAAATAATAGATGAGAAATATATATTTGCATAAAATGAGGAAGACTTG
Source organism: Homo sapiens (assembly GCF_000001405.40). Classification (NCBI taxonomy): domain Eukaryota; kingdom Metazoa; phylum Chordata; class Mammalia; order Primates; family Hominidae; genus Homo; species Homo sapiens. Next base: position 76,523,293 of record NC_000015.10, read on the forward strand.
AAATCAGGCAAAACTCCATGATACTAAGTTTGGATATGCCACATTTTTGTTTCTCAAACCAGCCAACCCATTTCCAATATTGTGACCACAGAAGTACTGAGCTATGGTTCCCAGGTCAGTCACTGATTGTCCTTTATGTAAATCTGATAGAACCGACTAATAATCAACAAAGAGATTCAGAATCTATTTGCTTTGGAAAAATGAGTAATAATATAAATAACTTTTAGGATCCAAATTCCAAAGGCAATTAAATTACATCCAGGGAATCATTTATTCACTCAATAAACATTTTTGGGCATCCACCCAATGCCAAATACTGAGGTGGGTCTGCTTTAGGAAGACAGTTAAACAACCATAATTGCATAGTACATATTATAACATGAGTACAATCAGAGGGCTCAGAGAGCACAGAAGAGTAATAACGGTTTACTTTTTTTTGAAGAAAATACATACTTTATATATGAAAAATAACTACTGCAGCATGTTTCCATGTATGCTTGGAGAGGATGATATGCTTTCCATTTCAAAGTCCCAGTCAGTAAAAAATGTGCATAAATCAACAACCACCAATCCCAATTGTTGTGTGTAACTTTGGTGACTTCACTTAACCTCTCCTACCTTAGTTTTTTCATACACACCATGAATTCCTGACTTTCCTAAGACTGAAATAACTGTCAGTACTGAAATAAGACTCTTATGTTAAACTATGGTTTAAAGTTCCTTCAAAACATCAACACAATCAGCTTAACACAAATCTTCCTTATCTTGATGGCCCAATTACTCAAATACTTTACTTACTTTACCAGCAAATCTGTAAAAATTCCATAGCTTTGCAAGACAACATGCAGCAGTAAAATACTGTAAAATGCTTTCCTCTTACAGCAAAAGCAAAACAAAAACAAAAATTCAGATATATGAACCAGCCATGCACGCAACATTTCTATGCTCTGTATAGATGGCACTAGTCTACCCTGTGGAGAATGGAGAGCCATGGTAGAAGGCCTTGAGAAGACTAGTGTCTATATAATGAGACAAAAGTGATAATAAGTAGCTATAAGATAAGGCAAAATTTGGTAGGTGTCTGAAGAAAAGTGCAGACAAAGTGTTTCAGAGTTCAAAGAAGAGAAGATCATTACTTCTGGGAAAATATTTTCATTTAAATTACTAGACATTTATGGATGATTCCATTAGAAACAAGATCAATATAAATATAAGTGAATATTTTAAAATATATTCACTTAATATTTACATCTTACTGCATATTTTTGACTCTATATTTTTATGACACTCAGACATAGAAAATGACAGTCCCAAATTCTGCTTAGAAAAGTTCATTCTGTGCTTTAAGATGTTTAAGATAGCTGTTACAGCTTCTGGAGTTGTGTTTTTTTGTTCTGTTTTTTTTTTTTTTTTTTTTTTTTTTTTACCATTCATGTAAAGACTTACCAATACGTAAGAGTGTATGCATGAAATGAAACAAGAATTGAAAGTTAATTTTGAAAGATCTAGGGAATAAATATGAATGGTAGGTTTACATACAGGGAAGATCTAAGTGACCTAACCATTCAAATAATCCATTGTATGCCCCTTAAAATGTGAAAAATTAAACATAATTACTGACCATATTAAAACAGACTAAACTAATACATGATTGTTAGGCATAATTTATTTTTTGGTAAAGCTAGATTTTCTGTATGTATACCTAAAAAATATATAGGCATTCCTTTGTCTGGGTGCCTATTTTAATTAGTCACTGTTAGAATTTTATCCTGTTAAAAGATTTTCACGGGTAGATCAAGTAATTTTATCTTTTTCTTTATGACATCATTAGCCCCATCTTAGGATTTAACTGATTTTGAATTCTTGGTCTAAAACACAAACTTATAATTATGATGTTTTTCCTGCATAGTAATTTTGATTCATAGGATTAGTAACCTATTGAAAATCTTCACTCTCCTAAACTCATATCTATCATAAGGCCCTTAGCATACTTTAACTCCCAATTATATGCCGTCCTACTATGTTATTGTTGTGGACTACAGTGTAATTTTTTTTCTTTTTTAAATATAAATAAAAAAGTAATTTTATTTTAAAAATTTCAACTTTTATTTTAGATACAGGGGGAACATGTGTGGGTTACATGGGAATACTACATGATGCTGAGGTTGAGCCCATCACCCAGGTAGTGAGCACAGTACCCAACAGGTAGTTTTTCAACTTGCTCCCCCTCCCTCCCCTTCTAGTTGTCCCCATTGTCCACTGCTTCCATCTTTATGTCCATATGTGTTCAGTGCTTAGCTCCCACTTATCAGTGAGAACATGTGGTATTTGGTTTTCTGTTCCTGCATTAGTTTGCTCAGGATTATGGCCTTCATGTTGTTGCAAAGGACATGATTTCATTCTTTTTTATGGCTGTGTAGTATTCAATGGTGTATATATACCACATTTTCTTTATTCAATCCACCATGGATGGGCACCTGGGTTGATTCCATGTCTTTACTATTGTGAATAGCACAGCGGTGAACATAAGAGTACATGTGTCTTTTTGGCAGAATGCTTTATTTTCTTTTGGGTATACACCCAAGTAATGGGATTGTTGGGTCAAATGGTAGATCTGTTTTAAGTTCTTCAAGAAATCTCCAGACTGCTTTCCACAGTGGCTGGACTAATTTACGTTCCCACCAACAGAGTAGACGCATTCCTTTTTCTCTCAGCCTTGCCAGCATCTGTGGTTTTTTGACTTAAAAAAGTAGTTGAACATTGTCAATAATTAATAAAATACTCATGTGTTTTTACAATTTCTAGGTTCATCATTTTTATATATCCTATTCCTTCCCTCTGAGCTCATTTTCTTGTTGAAGTATACCTTTTAATTATTTTTAGTGATGACCTGTGGTAACTATATTTCCTTATCTTTGAATATCTGAAAATAGCTTCATTTTGTCTTCATTCTTGAGTGTTTTACTGTGCATAAAATTCTACATGATAATTATGCATTTTGAACATATTGCTGTATTGGTTTTTGGCAGCTCTTATCGCTAAGATGAAGTTTGCTACCAGTCTAACTGTACATTTTACATAATCTGTCTCTACTCTAGTAGTTTAAAGTATTTTCTTCTTCTCTTTGATCTTTTGCAGTTTCACTGTGATGCCTTTATTCAATTCTTGAAAATTATCAGGTGTTTTATGTCAAATAGTGCTAATTCTTCTTTTCTTTCCATTCTCTTCATCCAGAACTCCAAATAAACATCAATGGAGCCCCACAGTTTATACTCTATCATTCTGAACCATTCTTTCACACTTTTTATCTGTTCTTCTGCTATTTTTAAGATATAGTCCTTAATATTAATACTATGACCCAAGCTATTAATTCTACTTCCAGTCTAGATTTTTTTTCCCTGTCAAGTTTATTTTTAATTTCAAAGGTATATTTTTACTTCCTAGAGTTCAGTTTTTAAATCACCTATGATTTCATTTTTGCCTCTTTTTTCATACTTACCTGTTGTTTTCATCTATCTCTTTGAGAATACTAAATATATTTCCTGAAAAATCTTTTTCAAATAGTTTTTTTTTTTATTTTTATTTTTTTAGGGGGGAACGTAGTTTTCTGCTCTTGTCGCCCAGGCTGGAGTGCAGTCGCGCGATCTTGGCTCACTGCAACCTCTACCTCCCGTGTTCAAGCTATTCTCCTGCCTCAGCCTCCCAAGTAGCTCGGATTACAGATGCCCAACACCATGACTGGCTAATTTTTTTTTGTATTTTTAGTAGAGACAGGGTTTCACCATGTTGGCCAGGCTGGTCTCGAACTCCTGACCGCAGATGATCCACCTGCCTCGGCCTCCCAAAGTGGTGGGATTACAGGCGCGAGCCATCACGCCCAACCCAGACAGTTTTATAAAATTAATTTCACCTATAATTTTATCTGTTATAAATTCTTGTTCTATTTTTGAAAGTTATGTCATGGCTTTCTTAATATTTGATTTATGCATGTTTGTAGTTTTGGTTTGCAGGTGCATTTTGGGTGAGAGGCTTTTTGTTTTATTCTGTCTCTTCCTCTATTATTCAGCAGCTTCATAGTTGCTTTCCTTGGGCACCTAGGGCTCCAGGTCATATAAATGGCAATTCAGTGGTTGGAGTTCCAGCACTGATACTGAAGATATTGCAGATACAGTTACTGAGCTGGCAGGTGGCTTGGTTCAATTCTTGGTTGTGAAACTGTGTGCTCTCTCTTCTTCCCTAGGCTTAAAGCTTCCTATTAAGCTGCTGTAATCAGTAGCAATTTTTATTCCACCTCCTTTTAGGAGAAGAAAAGACCCAAGCTCTGACTGTAGGTTGTGAACATAGCTGTTGTATGGGGCATTTAGCCCCCTTTTATTCCAATCCTAGTCACAACAGTCTGCCTCCGGACAAGGAGCACAACAGAATTATGAATGGCTTCTGCTAATTTTACTATTTGGTGTTTATATTCACTCTATTTCTAGTCCATAGAAATCCCAGTTTTGTTTTTGACAGCCTATGTCCTCTTCTGTTTAAAATTTTTTTATTTTTATTTTTTATGTATTTGGAGGAGAAGGATGTGTCAATGTATAAACTTACTGTGTCAAGACAACCCAAAACTTTCCCCAACTATCTGGAAACCTTGTCTTTCCCATTGGCTTACATAACACTTCACTCTGATTTTCCCCACCAGTCTAACATTTATCTTTGTCTTTGGAGGCTCTTCTCTTTTTGCCTTTAAATCAGGGGTCAACAAACTTTTTCTTAAAGAACCAGATAGTAAACAGTACAAGTTTTGCAGGCCAAGAAGCAAAATCAAGGACTTTAGATAAAATGTAATCATTAATAAATGTAAAAGCCATTCTTAGTTGGTGGGCAACTGAAAACAGGCAGTGGGCCAGATTTGGTCCATGGGCTATAGTTTGCCAACCTCTGCCTTAAATAATAATATTCCTTATGTTTTTCTTTTTTTGTCCTGTCTTCTTCATTCTATAGATTATCATCCATTTCTACTGTTTCCTTTACTATATCTAAGCTGATGACCCCAAGCCTGTATCTCGAGTCTAGATCTCTCTTCTAAATCTCATACTTTTACAGATAACTTTCTACCAGGTATCTTACCACCATTTGGATGTCCCATAAGCACATCAACATGTCCAGAGAGGAATCTGTTATTTTTCTTATAAGAAATTAAACCTGATCCTGAATGGCACCACCATCCATACTCCATTTTTAGCTTCTTCCTTTTCCTTACTCTTCACAGCCAATATTGATTTAGTCTCTTAAACACTTTTCAAATGCATTTCTCCAGGTTCAAACAATCCCTATCGTCAGCTTACTTCAGGCTGCCACCATCTCACTTGAATATCCAAAATAGCTTAGAAGGTTTTCTGCTATAGGTTTGCCTTCCTCCAATCTACTCACCACATTGCAGCCTGAAAGATCTTTCCAAAATGCAAACTTTATCACTTCATTCTTCCTTCAGTGGCTCTCACTGTCTTTATCTGACTCATCACTAACCAGTCCCTGATTATCTCTCTAGTCTCATCATTTACCATTCCCAACCTAGCTATGCTCCAGCCATTATGAATGACTGAAGCACCACACTTTCTTCTGTGCTTCTCTGGGTCTTAGCAAGTGCCATTCTCTGAAACACTGTTAAAAACGTCCTACTCATATCTGCCAAATCGTAGCTTCATTGTAACTTAAAAGTCATCTTTGATATTCGTTACTGGATTTATGTGCTCTTATAGAACTTTGTTGTTGTTGTTTGAGACAGGGTGTTGCTCTGCTGCCCATGGGGGAGTGCATAGGCATGATCTCAGCTCACTGCAACCTCTGCCTCTCAGGTTCAAACAATACTTGTGCCTCAGCCTCCCAAGTAGCTGGGATTACAGGCCTGTACCCTCACACCTGGCTAATTTTTTGGTATGTTTAGGAGAGACAGGGTTTTGCCATGTTGCCCAGGGTGATCTCCAATTTCTGGCCTCAAGTGATCCACCCGCCTAAGCCTCCCAAAGTGATGGGAATACAGGTGTGAGCCACCATTCCCCGCCAGAACTTTGTATTTAACTTTTATTCACTGATTGATTCAACAAATGTTTAACAGACAAAAATCTCTACTTCTACTTCTAGGAATATTCTAGTTGGGGAAGAAAGTCATTAGCAATATGGTAGTATGTTAGATGGTCAGATGTAGTCCTTTATTACCCATAAGGACCACAAAGAAAAATAGAGAAGGGGGCCTCTGGGCTGTGGAGGTAGAGGGAGATACAATTTTAAATAGCGTGGTAAGAGAAGGCCTTCTGAGAAGTTGACATTTGAGTAAAGACCTGAAGGAAGTGAGGAAAAAGTCATGCAACTATCTTGAGAAAGAACTTTCAGGCAGAGAGAAGAGTAAGTGCCAAGAGCCTAAGGCAGAAGAAAGCTGACATATCCGAAGAATGGCAAGGGCCATGAGGCTGGAGCAGAGTTAATGAGGAGAGAAAGTAGTGAGAGAATAGGTCATACATGCAAAGAGTCGGGCAAATCTAGAGCTTTCTAGGTGATTGTAAGTACTTTAGCTTTACTCTGAATATGATGAGGAGTCACTGGAGGGTACTGAGTAGGGAAGTGATGTGATCTGACTTATGGATTACTCTGGAGGTTGTATAAAGAGCAGACTGAAAGTAGCAAGGATGGAAGCAAGAAGACCTGTTATTGTACAGCTTATTATATTTTAACCACCTCTCTACTTGACTGAAGGCAGCTATTAGATTGAAGTGTCTTATGAGCAGGGTCTGACACACAGTTTAGGCATTCATATTGCTGGAGGAATGATCTACTTCCTAAGTTCTATTTTGAAAACAGTTTTTAGGAATGCAGGAATGTGCGCTAATGAGAACATACTGCATAATACCGTTACGCCTTTTAGTGGAGAGATGAAATATCCCTCCAAAGTATTAATAACAGGCAGAATATATCACAATAAAATATTCATCCATCAACTAAATTATCTATTTGTTGCAACTTATCCTTATCTTTTAATGACCACATGACTCCTTGGTTTTCAATGAGCAGATGAATCCAGCTATCAGGCATCCAATTTACTTTTTGATTATTGTACCCTTTTGAAAGAGTAGTGTGCACAGTCACCCTGTAAACCATGTTCTGAACCTTTCAAGCCTAAATTATCTAAATGTGGTCTGAGAACGAGAAAAATTTAAAGGCATCATGTACTGGCCTCCACTGTCCCAAATATCTGTTCCAGAGGCACTATGGGAAATTTATTAACCTCTTTGTGGTCACACTTAGGAGGGTCTTGTTCTTCCTATGGTTTTTCCAAACAACTGAATTTGATGATTGTGTATCTGCACAGTTTCTGAGTTTGCACCAGGGAAATGAGAGAACATCTGTTTCCTGTGAATGAGCTATGTCTCTGGAAATTATCACCATCATATATTAATTATGTACAGCACCATGGTTCACAAAACAATTTACAGTGCTGAGGAAGGAAAAAGCGAAAGGAAAGGAAGAGAGAGACAGAGGGAGGGAAGTACGTAGAGATTTTACAAAATCCCCAAGACATATTTCTTATAATCAAAGAACTTTAAAGTTATGTTTGTGTGTATGTGTATATGTAATATATATGTATATATGTATGTATACATATATATGTATATACAGGTATATATGTGTATATATACGTATATATGAATATACACGTGTATATATATATAATCCAAACCACAAAGAGATTAAAAATAAGTTAAAAAACAGTTCTTGATTATATTGATAAAAACAATTATCTAATTGAATATAACAAAAATTTAGGGCAGAAGCCTGTGAATCTCGAATAAAAAAGTTGATTATAAATCAGTTAACCTCCAAGAATACTGGTACTTCTTATGAATATATATTAGCAAAAGTTGAGGACGTAAAGGTCCTGAAGTCAAACCTGCTACAAGCATCTACTAAAGCTGGAAAAGGAAATCAGAAAATCAAACCACTTGGGAACAGATGCTTGTTTTCTTTATCAGTCTGGAAAAACACTCCCTACAAAAACGTATCTGAGACTGAAACATAACTCCTGGTTGTGGCTTCTGAGTATGTGTGAAGACAGTCTCAGTGCTCTCTCCTGAGGAAACTGGGGACAGTTACATCTTGATGGCTGCTCAAGCAAGAGGCAGCAAGATAGAATACCAACTTGCTTTAGTTGGTACATCCTAGTAATTAACTGGCGACAAGCTACCTGTTTTCAAATCATGGTTTACCACTTATTTGCTATGGGAGTGTGGACATGTGCCTCAGTTTCCTCATTTGTAAAATGAGCATAAGAAAAACAAAAGGGATGATGTGAGGATTAAATGTGTAAATATATGTTAAAAAAAAAAAGAATGGTACTTGGCACACAGTGTTAATTATGATTATTAGCCTGCACCTACTTAATGAAATTGCCCAGAGATATTTTATTTCCCAGTGTCTTCCGACTCTGAGTAAAGGTGGCCTTGAGCATCCTATGGAGAGTTAGTGGTCTACTGACCAGTCTTCAGTAAAGTCAATGAGTTGTATGACTGGGTTGTGTCCACATTGTTTCACTCAGCAGATTCCTTTGGCACCAGGGATTGGCAAAGAAGCTAAGATCATCAAAATCCTGCTCTAGCAACAATACACATCTTCTCTGATAGAGATGATTAGAATATAAAGTCTCTCCTACTCCCCACCAGGTATCCTTGCTCTCATCTCAACTTTTTTTAAAAAATATTTTAAAATAGTAGACTTTATATATTTTTTCCCCTTCTTTTCACAGGTGTTGATCATCTCAACGCTTACTGGCCCATGGAAGAACCCTAAAACCTACTGCTTCACAGATAATGAACTTGAGGCTGAATAGTTTTGTCATTCCCCAAGGCACACATCCAGGCACATCTGGTGCAAGAAGCTGAGGCTTATCATTTCTGTGGCAATGCTCTCCCTCATCATAGAGATGACTATGCTGATGGTAAGAATAAATATATAACTAATATTCAAACTCCTTTAACATTACCCCTCCCCTCCCCTCCCCTTCCTTCCTTCCTTTCCTTCCTTCCCTTCCCTTCCTTTTGTTCGTTCATTCTTGAGTCAGGGTCTCGCTACATTGCCCAGGCTGGTGTCAAACTCCCGAGCTCAAATGATCCTCGTGCCTTGGCCTCCCAAAGTGCTGGGATTACAGGCGTGAACCACCATGCCAGGGCTACTTTCCTCTTTCTTTACCATATTTTCTCTCATTCAAGTCTGCAGGCTAATGCTGACTTTTCACTCATCAATTTTTCTATCACTCATTAATTTTTTCAGAAAGTAATCTGAGGGCCTATATTTCTCACTGCAATCTCTATGGCATTAAGGATTAAATTCATCATAAATTTTCTGAAGAAAATTCACCTTAAATGTGGTCTTGAAAATAGCATGCACAGATAGGCAGAGGAAATGAGGGAGTATTACAGAGGTAACATCACAGGGAAATATAGAAAAGATGGATGGTGCAGGCACAATGCAGAAGATGTCGCTTTGATTAACAAGTGATGATGCCTTTGGGAGGTGGGAAGTGAGAGTAACAGCAAGGGAGGGCCATGAATGCTAGGGTTCTACAGCAGGAGAAAGATATCCTCAAATAATTTAACACTTATTTAGCCCTACTATATGCAGAACACTGCTTTGCACTAGTGACACAGGGTTAAATAATTACCTTTTAGAAACTACAGTTTTGTAGGCAAAACAATAAGTAATTATATTATGCAGCAGAAATGATCAATTATTATGCAGCAATGATGTAGCTGGGCAAGGATGTTAAACAGTAAACTGGGAAAAGACTTCCTAAAGGTAGAGATTACTGAGATTAGTTTTGAAGAGTAAGTAGGGGCTGGCTTTGCGGAGTGGGTATTTCAGAAGAGGAAATGGCAGGTAGGCAGTAAAGAAGGAAGTGCACTGTTAAAAATCAAATACGTCAATATTTACATACACTTCATGTGCCACATAACGATGTTTCAGTCAACAATTGGCAGCATATACAACTGTGGTCCCATAAAATTATAATAGTCTATTTTTACTGTATCTTTTCTATGTTTAGATATGTTTAAATACATGAATACTTACCATTGTGTTACAAATGCCTGTAGTATTCAGCATAGTATTCAGTACAGTAACATGCTGTACAGATTTGTACCCTAGGAGCAATAGAGTATACCATATAGCCTATGTGTGAAGCAGGCTATACCATCAAGGTCTGTGTAAGTATACTCTATGATGTTTGCACAACGATGACGCTGCCTAAGGACACATTTCTCAGAATGTCTCCCTATTGTTGAGCAATGCATGAGTGTACATATGTATGATCTATGGACATATCTTAAGCAATGTTAAAATTATTACACATTTCCTTCACTCTTGCTCAGTAAATAATTGAGTAAATGCCTGAAATTGAAACAGTCTTTAACTGGCTGTAATAGTTGACATGACCACTGTGCAAGTAAAGGGCTACTCCTCCTCTGTCTATCTATCAGCACACTTTTCTGATCTAACTTGGTCAGAAGATGCTAGGAAAGAATATCACCACAGAAAACACATTCTACAATGTGAGTTTCCACATTTCACTTTCAGAAGAGGATTATTAACCAAATTAGTAAAATTACCATTTCCATTGCTGGAATAGTTTCTTCTCATCCTTCAGCCACTATGATTGTAAAATATATTTTTTTGAAAAGATTAATTCAGAGCAATATATAGCAACTAGTATAAAAATTCTATGCTATTCATCTTCTCATGCTGCAATTGGTCACTATAGTGAGCAGGCCTGACAGTTTGCAGATTAAAATGTAAACACTGGGCTTGACTCAGTTATGTTGAGGCCAGCCATTTCTGACAGTCTCTACAATGTGATAAACACCGTCTGTCTACAGTTCCCCTGTATTTGAAAGTTACGACAAACATTGTGCTGAAATGTAAACAACTGACATCATGACTAGTGAAGCAGTGGGCTGCAAATTTATCTAAAATCAAGAAAACAAAGATCTTGTTTGACACTAGATAAACCATTAGTGGTCACCAAGGGAGCAGCTTTGGGAGGTCATAAGTGTTGTCATCAGTCTTCAAAAAATATGCACCAAAGATACGGTCACAATTTAGTTGAGGCAAGAGTAAGTAATATGAGAGGCAAAAGGATTAGAAGCCAGTAGAAAAAGGGTAACATTTTCTCTCTAAAGGACAGTTTTAAATTAGAGCACAAATAGAAATCTGTTAACTTTAGTTTCTGGTTTTTCAGTGATTTTACGTGAAAGGGCATGGAATAAAATTTGTAATTATAATTTTCTATAAAATGTAATGAATCCCATTCTTTCATTTCCTCTATTCTATGGGAGATAATTGCTATTGCTCCTTGGTAGAGCTTTCCTGAAAAGTTATAAAAGTCCGATAGGATGAATAGTTCTCTTGAAAACTTCAAGATATCTTTTAAATTAAGAGGACATTACAAATCAAACTCTATTATAATTACAAATTATAAGGTTAAATTCAATTATATTTATAAATTACAAGGTTATAATATTGCTGATTTTTTATGTTTGTCTATAAATGTTTATAATTCCTACATCTTTATTCCTGGGCTAAGAGCTTAATGATGACTTTTAACATAAAGAACAAATATATTTTTATTTCTAAACAATTAAAAATGTTTAAAAATGGAATGGAGGTCACTGCAAAACATGGTAATAAATCTATTAAAAGTCAGAGTCCAAAACAAATGTATACCTTAACGTATACAGAAACATAGGGCTTAACTTGGGCCACAAAAGCATGCTGGAGTTAGACACACTCAGTGGGTCTATAGAAATGAATTTAACATTTATGATTACAGACTGATAATTTTTCATGCCCATGACACAATTTCATGCCCATGACACATTATCATCCTCTGCTAAGAGTATAAGAAATTCTAATTTTGGCCAGGCGTGGTGGCTCACGCCTGTAATCCCAGCACTTTGGGAGGCCGAGGCGGGCGGATCACAAGGTCAGGAGATCGAGACCATCCTGGCTAACACGGTGAGACCCTGTCTCTACTAAAAAAACAAAAATTAGCCAGGCGTGGTGGCGGGCACCTGTAGTCCCAGCTACTCAGGAGGCTGAGGCAGGAGAATGGTGTGAACCCAGGAGGCGGAGGTTGCAGTGAGCTGAGATCTCGCCATTGCACTCCAGCCTGGGCGACAGAGCAAGACTCTGTCTCAAAAAAAAAAAAAAAAAAAAAAAAAAGAAATTCTAATTTTAATCTTTTCTGTAAAGGCCCTTGCAAATGTGAAGTATCACATATTCCACAAACATTTATGGAAAATTTATGTTGCCCAGACAACATACAGGTATTGCTGGCCTACAGGTATTGCTGGCCTACAGAAATGCACCAAGATTTCACTAATGAAATCTTTTCATTCAGGCTCTAGGTTCTGCATAGTCTATATGGGCTAAAGGAGTCTTGTTAAGGTAGATCAGTTACTTATAAAGTGGTCATCAGTTTATGAATCATCTCAGAAATACAGGTATGACAGAAGAGTCACGAGATTTGGGTTCTGGTCTCAGTAGTCATAGGGTCTTAGGAAGGTCTTCCAACTTTGTGGGCCTGTATTATCCCATTTGCTTAAATGAGAGAGTTGACTTAATAACTGTTCATGTTACTTAAATTTTAACATTCTATGGTTTTCTTCCAGTAATTTGTAGGCTCAACATACACTTACTGAGTAAAATTTTAAAACCATTCTGAAAGTATATGTCTTGAAAGGAAAATACATTTCATATCTTACAGAGACTACTTCTATATTTTGCAAGAATGTTTTAACTTCTTGTGTAAATATATGATGCTGAAATACTGAATATCTCATGTATGCAATAAACTTATAATGTCCAATAAAAATGTTTAAAAATATTTTTGGCCAAGTGCGGTGGTGTGTGCCACTCAGCTACTCAGGAGGCTGAGGCAGGAGGCTCACTTCAGCTCAAGAGTTCACATCCAGTCTGGGCAACATAGAGAGACCTTGTCTTTAAAAAAAACACCCAGTATTAAAATAATAAAAATTGGGAAAAAAACCACTTTTGAATCTCAGCTCTGCCACTTGCGGTGTGACCTTGGTCAAATTAGTTAATCTCTCTGTGTCTCACTGTTCTTATTTTAAAAATGAGGACAGCATTATACAGTTAATGGTAATGAGTTATGAGACAATATTACAAAAGTGTTACAAGAGAATAAATGCTAGGGTATTTTTGGTTATTGTTCACTGACAAAACATTTTCCAGCTTTAAAATGCAAACCCACAGCCAATATCATACTGAATGGGCAAAAACTGGAAGCATTCCCTTTGAAAACTGGCACAAGACAGGGATGCCCTCTCTCACCACTCCTATTCAACATAGTGTTGGAAGTTCTGGCCAGGGCAATTAGGCAGGAGAAGGAAATAAAGGGTATTCAATTAGGAAAAGAGGAAGTCAAATTGTCCCTGTTTGCAGATGACATGATTCTATTATCTAGAAAACCCCATTGTCTCAGCCCAAAATCTCCTTAAGCTGATAAGCAACTTCAGCAAAGTCTCAGGATACAAAATCAATGTACAAAAATCACAAGCATTCTTATACACCAATAACAGACAAACAGAGAGCCAAATCATGAGTGAACTCCCATTCACAACTGCTTCAAAGAGAATAAAATACTTAGGAATCCAACTTACAAGGGACGTGAAGGACCTCTTCAAGGAGAACTGCAAACCATTGCTCAATGAAATAAAAGAGGATACAAACAAATGGAAGAACATTCCATGCTCATGGGTAGGAAGAATCAATATCGTGAAAATGGCCATACTGCCCAAGGTAATTTATAGATTCAATGCCATCCCCATCAAGCTACCGATGACTTTCTTCACAGAATTGGAAAAAACTACTTTAAAGTTCATATGGAACCAAAAAAGAGCCCGCATCGCCAAGGCAATCCTAAGCCAAAAGAACAAAGCTGGAGGCATCACGCTACCTGACTTCAAACTATACTGCAAGGCTACAGTAACCAAAACAGCATGGTACTGGTACCAAAACAGAGATACAGATCAATGGAACAGAACAGAGCCCTCAGAAATAACGCTGCTTATCTACAACTATCTGATCTTTGACAAACCTGAGAAAAAGAAGCAATGGGGAAAGGATTCCCTATTTAATAAAAGGTGCTGGGAAAACTGGCTAGCCATATGTAGAAAGCTGAAACTGGATCCCTTCCTTACACCTTATACAAAAATTAATTCAAGATGGATTAAAGACTTAAAGGTTAGACCTAAAACCATAAAAACCCTAGAAGAAAACCTAGGCATTACCATTCAGGACATAGGCATGGGCAAGGACTTCATGTCTAAAACACCAAAAGCAATGGCAACGAAAGCCAAAATTGACAAATGGGATCCAATTAAACTAAAGAGCTTCTGCACAGCAAAACAAACTACCATCAGAGTGAACAGGCAACCTACAAAATGGGAGAAAATTTTTGCAACCTACTCATCTGACAAAGGGCTAATATCCAGAATCTACAATCAACTCAAACAAATTTACGAGAAAAAAAACAACCTCATCAAAAAGTGGGCAAAGGATATGAACAGACACTTCTCAAAAGAAGAGATTTATGCAGCCAAAAGACACATGAAAAAATGCTCATCATCACTGGCCATCAGAGAAATGCAAATCAAAACCACAATGAGATACCATCTCACACCAGTTTGAATGGTGATCATTAAAAAGTCAGGAAACAACAGGTGCTGGAGAGGATGTGGAGAAATAGGAACACTTTTACACTGTTGGTGGGACTGTAAACTAGTTCAACCATTGTGGAAGTCAGTGTGGCGATTCCTCAGGGATCTAGAACTAGAAATACCATTTGACCCAGCCATCCCATTACTGGGTATATACCCAAAGGACTATAAATCATGCTGCTATAAAGACACATGCACATGTATGTTTATTGTGGCACTATTCACAATAGCAAAGACTTGGAACCAACCCAAATGTCCAACAATGATAGACTGGATTAAGAAAATGTGGCACATATACACCATGGAATACTATGCAGCCATAAAAAATGATGAGTTCATGTCCTTTGTAGGGACATGGATGAAATTGGAAATCATCATTCTCAGTAAACTATCGCAAGGACAAAAAACCAAACACTGCATGTTCTCATTCATAGATGGGAATTGAACAATGAGAACACATGGACACAGGAAGGGGAACATCACACTCTGTGGACTGTTGTGGGGTCGGGGAGAGGGGAGGGATAGCATTAGGAGATATAGCTAATGCTAAATGACGAGTTAATGGGTGCAGCACACCAGCATGGCACATGTATACATATGTAACTAATCCTGCACATTGTGCACATGTACCCTAAAACTTAAAGTATAATAATAATTAAAAAAAAAAGAAAAAAATAGTAAAATGCTTTATCGATCATGCCTAGTTTTAGCAAGGATATGTAGAAATGGAACCTGGCAAATTATGATGGGCATATACAATGGTATAGACAGTTATTTGATCTCCACGTCAGCCAAAATGTTGAATTAAGGGACACTTTCCATTCCTCCGAAAAACATGAAGACTGATGCCTGCATCCTAGTGAATGGTCCTGCCTCTAAATGTTATGCTAATCATAAGTAGGTCCTATCTGTTCCTACAGTCATATAAACAAGTTTATATGAATCAACTCTACAATAATTATGTAACTTAACTAAATGCCAAGTAAACTAATGTTGTAAGTAAAAAAAAAAAAAGTTTCAACTAAAAAACTAAGCTGAATGTTTTTGAAAGATTCAATAATAGCAATTGCTATACAAAACTGCAAGCAAATTAGCTGTAGAAAAAACAAGTAAAAGGACTAAGGGGAAAATGTAAAGTTCTAGAGGATTGATAACTAGATTATTTTATGTGCTTGCTTCACTTACAAAAACCTCAAAGTGGAATTTGTAGACAATGTATTATAGGTACGTTTTGTGCAAGTAAACCTAAATAGAACTCCCAAGAAGAGAATCATTCACAAAGAAAAGCCTGGCTCCTACATCAGAATATTGGGGAAGAAATTTACACTTAAAATGTTTTAAGTTAAAACACTTAAGGTATTTAGTAATCATATATTATGATTTACTTGGTTTGGGTTTTGGGCTTAACCAACCAACTCCTGATCCAAATTATTTTGGCTACTTTTTAACACATCTGAAGTTTCTTAAAATCAAAATTTCTTTTTTTTTTTTTTTTTTTGAGACGGAGTCTCACTGTCTCCCAGGCTGGAGTGCTGTGGCATGATCTTGGCTCACTACAGGCTCCGCCCCTTGGGGTTCATGCCATTCTCCTGCCTCAGCCTCCCGAGTAGCTGGGACTACAGGCGCCCGCCACCTCACCCAGCTAATTTTTTGTATTTTTAGTAGAGACGGGGTTTCACCGTGTTAGCCAGGATGGTCTCGATCTCCTGACCTCGTGATCTGCCCGCCTCGGCCTTCCAAAGTGCTGGGATTACAGGCGTGAGCCACTGCGCCTGGCCTAAAATCAAAATTTCAATTCCACATTCAGTAAATCTATCCTGGAAAATAAGTCCAAGTCCATAATGGTATATGTAAAGGGATGCCTACTGAAACACTGAAACAGCAAAATCTCTGAAAACAATTCAAACAAATGTCAATCAATAGGGAAACAGTTAAATAAGTTATTGGTACAACTATTCCATGGAATACTATTCAGTCTTTAAAAATAATTCCCAGGGTGAAGTAAAAGAAGAATTTCTTTTTCACTGCATTTTCTTTTGGATGGTTTAATTTTTAAAAAACCATGTGTGGCCATGTTTTTTAAATTAAAAAATAAATCATGAAGTGGGAGGATTGCTTGAAGCTAGGTGTTCAAGACCAGCCTGGGCAACATAGCAAGACCCTGTCTCTACAAAAAAATAAAAATATTAGATGGGTATGGTGATGCATGCCTGTAGTCCTAGCTACTCAGGAGGCTGAGGCAGGAGAATTGCTTGAGCCCAGGAGTTCAAGGCTGCAGTGAGGTATGTTGTGCCACTGTGCTCCAGCCTGGGCAACAAACCAAGACCCTGTCTCTAAAAAAATTTTCTTTTAAAAATCCAGCTAATCAAAAAAGGATTAGGTAGATCTTCATGTGTTGACATGAGATGTTCATATATACTGCTTAGTGAAAAGAAAAAACTATATATACACGTCTATATTTTTATTTTTTTAATAAAAATATATGAGTGTATATGTATATTTACAGAAATATGCATAGAAAAAGTCTGGAAGAATACATTGTAAGCTGTTAAAATTGTTATGTCTGAGGAGAGAAAAATGAAAGGGTTTTTAACTTATTCTATTTACACATTTCTGTATTGTCTAGTTTTTTTTTACAATGAACATGTATTATAGTAATAATAATTATTATTTTCAAAGGGCCTTGTAAACCTAAATGTAAAATACCGGATTAGCCCAATAAATTATAGTATCCTTATGATAGAATATCATGTGGTTCTGAAAGTCATGTTTGTGGCTGGGTGCAGTGGCTCACACCTGTAATCCCAGGACTTTGGGAGGCTGAGGCGGTTAGATCATGAGGTCAGGAGTTCAAGACCAGCCTGACCAAGATGATGAAACCCCATCTCTAATAAAAATACAAAAATTAGCCGGGCATGGTGATGGGCGCCTGTAATCCCAGCTACTCAGGAGGCTGAGGCAGAGAATTCCTTGAACCCGGGAGGCGGAGGTTGCAGTGAGCCGAGATCATGCCACTGCATTCCAGCCTGAATGACAGGGCAAGACTCCGTCTCAAAAAAAGAAAAAAAAAACCATGTTTGTGAGGAATGATGAGGAAATGTTTATAAGTTATGCATGGTATAACACGTATTAATAGAAAAATAAAATGTTTTATTAAAAAATATATATCTAAATATACACATATACCTTTGAAATATTTGTAGCTGCAATTTAAAAAGTCTTAAGTGGAAATAAGCTGCTCTAATCAACTTTATATTTTCTGAGGACAATTCAGCATCTATCCTAGGCCATTAGCTGAGGAAAATCAATGCAACCAATTCAAACATATTGGAGACTTGTATGGATTTGCTTCTTCTACCCTTCCCCCCACACGATGGTATAGTTTTGTTCTCTTTAGGGGAATTCAATTAACAGTATTAGTCTCTTACTCTGTCGGTGATGGACATCATCGAGATTTTCCTCACCACCCAAAGACATGTAAGATGGGCTTACGGATTCCTTGACTTGCTAGTTAACAGGAGAATTACTGCCCACTTCTATAAATGACTCTATATGCTTCTTGTCATAAACACAGCGACAGCTCCTGAAATCAATCTTTCATGACCTTATTGATTAGGACACTTAGAAATAATGAGACTTCACTGGTGGCAGAGTAATGCCTAGAAAAAGAAAAAAATACTCCAATGAGGGCTTGCCTATTAACACTGCCAAATTTATCTTCCCATGGCCCTTTTCCTATTACAGACACTTACCTAGAAACATATATGATAAAAAGTTAATAATCAATTTTGTAGATCATGTGCTTATAAAAAATACTTGCTTGTAACATTTTTTAAATTAACAAAATAAATTGATTTGAAAACAATTTTTGATCTTCCTAAACTGTCAGATCAGAATATAATTTCTAAATGAGGGGAACCTGAGTTTTTCTGAGAATAACTATAAGATAAAAGCTATTTCGGAAAAATCTGGACATTCTAAAAGGAGAAGCATTGAAAACTGTTCTACTCATCTGACTATTTTCTGCTTATATGACCATATCAAATAATTTTAAAACTAGACAAAACCCTAGATCTAATTCAATCTACTTCTCATATTATAGATAAATTGCAGCCCAGAGAAGGGAAATGACTTGCCAAGTGTTATCAGGGCTGGGATTAGAATCCACAACTCTGGCTGGGGGCAGTGGCTCACACCTGTAATCTCAGCACTTTGGGAGGCTGAGGCAGGCAGATCATTTGAGGTCAGGAGTTAGAGACCAGCCTGGCCAACATGGTGAAGCCCCATGTCTACTAAAAATACAAAAATTAGCTGGATGTGGTGGTGGCCACCTGTAATCCCAGCTACTTGGGAGGCTGAGGCAGGAGAATCGCTTGAACCTGGGAGGCAGAGGTTGCAATGAGCTGAGATCACGTCACTGAACTCCAGCCTGGGCGACAAGAGCGAGACTCCATCTCCATCTCAAAAATAAATAAATAAATAAAAATAAAATAAAATAAAATAAAATAAAATAAAAAAAAGAATCCACAACCCCTACACAAGTTTTGGGATAAGATGATTTTACAACCTTCCTTAAAAAGAGAGGTGTAGGTACAGCTTAGCTTATTAAAGAAAAAGGAAGACTATATAAGAAGAATTTTGCTTTTTTTACTCTTTATATAAGTCTTGGGGTAGCTAAGTCATGGTTATGAAACACAACTGTGTTTTACTTGAAACATAAACTTATAGACATCATGTGCACCCTTTGTACGGTGCCAAGTATGTTACACGTGCTTGATTAATACAGGCATACCTCTGCAGAAAGTTTCCATGCTTAATATTTTCCTCGTAAAATGCCTCTTGGTTTTTAATACTCAAACTTTATAGGACATACTTAGTTCTCAATACAAAGTTTTTCAGTTGTTTAGTATACAGAAAAATATATATATACCCCAAACTCAGTACATTTTTTTAATTTTTAAAAATAATTATGGGTACATAATAGTTGTATATCTCCATAGATTTTAAATAGTATGTATGTTGAATTACATTTCTAATACAGTTTGTAGAATGTCACAATCACATGTAGACATTTTGAAAAAATGCATTGAGTGTCAACAAAGGGGAGGTGTAATATGTTACTGCATGCAAAGGAAACCATTCGCAACTATATGAATTATTTTGATGCTTTAAGCATTTTATATCCTAATATGTATGCTTATTACTTACATATGCATTTTACTGTGTTTTAGTACAGTTTATACAGTTTAGGAAATTGGTTGTAGGTTTAAGGTTGACATGTAATGCAGTTTTTTCTTATTTAAAATACAGGAAGTAGACTCTCAATTAGAATTCTCACACAGAATGGATTCATTTCAGCAATGAATTACTGATGGTAAGAGAAAGATTTTAAGTGTACACTCCGTGGTTTCAAACTGCTGGGCATAGCACTGTGGTTTGCACTGTGGACAGAAGCTGCATGTTACCCCTAACTCCTACCAATGCTGAAATCTGGAAACTAGATATATCTGCTACCCTTACCAAAATGGATTTTTTTGCAGTGCTTTTCTTCCTTACCTCCCTAGACTCTGATACAAAATCTGGCATGGATGCTTCAAAGTGGAGGAACCTATATCATATGCCTGTGCCACAGCTGCAAGATAGGTTGGAAATAAGGTAGGGAATTCCCTAATGCCATGAATGCTGTGACCTCCAACTCATGACCTTGGCTTATGCAATGATTTCTTAGATATGACACCAAAACCATCAGCAAGCAAAATGAAAAACAGATAAACTGACCTTTATCAAAATTAAAACTTATTTGCTTCAAAGACATCATCAAGAAGTGAAAAGACAACCCAGACAATGGGAGGACATATTTGCAGATAACATTTCTAAGGGACTTATATATCCAGAACACAAAAAGGACACCTACAACTCAAATTTTTAGAAAAACCTAGTTTAAAAATGGGTAAAATATTTGAATATATTTTTCAAAAGAAGATACATAAATGGCTGAAATGTATATGAAAAGATACTCAATATCATTAGTCATTAGGGAAATGTAAATCAAAACTATGAGATACCATTTCACACCCACTAGGATGGCTATATTTAAAAAGACAATAACAAGGACGTAGAAAAATGGGAATCTTCTTCACACACTGCTAATGAAAATGTAAAGTGAAACAGGTGCTTTGGAAAAATTTGCCAGTTTCTTGCAAGTTTAGTACAGAATTACCATACAACTTGGCAATTCCATTCCTAGAAATGTACCCTGAAGAAGACATCTGTTCATATAAAAATTTGTACATGAGTAGTTGTGGCAGTATTATTAACAGCCAAAAGCAGAAACAACTCAAATGTCTATCAACAAAATGAAATGTCCTATACAATGGAATACTACTGTATACATACAGTGGACTATTATTCAGCAATAAAAAGTAACAGAATGCGGATACAAGCTATAATGTAGATGAGCCTTGAAATTTATCTAATGTGAAAGAAGCCAGTCACAAAAGACCACATATCGAATAATTTTATTCATATAAAATGTCCAGAATAGACAAATCTATATAGACAGAAAGTAGATTCATGGTTGCCCAGGATTGGGAGGTTAGTGGGAAATGGGGCGTGACTGGCAATGGGTACAGGGTTTCTTTCTGGGGTGATGAAAATCTTCTAAAATTGATTGTGCTGATGGTTGCACAACTCTTTGACTATACCAAAAAACAAAAATTGGATATTTTAAATAGTAACTTGTATGGTATATGAATTAAATCTCTTTAAGGTTGATATATGGAAGATCCCAATTAGCCAAACACTCAATGGTTTTGGTATACACTGATGGTTGTTACCTAGACTCATTACTTCATTAGAGAATTTACAATATAGTGGTGTCATATCTTTATCAGTCTTTCTGAACTGATTAACATCAACTACTTGGCTACCCTGAAATACAACTTATATAAGCAAGGCATGATAAATACTTGGCTTCTTCCCATAACTTACCAATTTTTAGAATAACAACTTAGTACCCTAGAAACCTTCAATGGGGGCCAATGAGATTTTTTTCCTCTTAAATTAACATTATGAATTCACGGATTTTTATATCTTTAATGTGTTTGATGTAAAACCATAGTCATTATTCTTGATGCTCTAATGGTTATTGTGGGCAATGGCAACAACCTCTTTAGGGTAGTTCTTGTGTTCTTTTGACAAGAACTCAGCACTTCATAACTTCCTTGTTAACTGGCACAAGAAAATATCTCTGGCTCATCCTGAACATTCTGTGCTAGAGATGCAACTGCTTGCCCAATGACGCTGGTTCATTTTAAGAAGAATACTTAGGGACCACAATATTGCTACTGGGCTGCCTTATAAAGGTTCCTTTGATGCCGTTATAGTGTACATGGTTAGAAAACAGACATTTTTAGACGAGAAAAATATATCATCAATTCCACCTCTGGCCATTGAGAGTAACTGGGACCAGGCTAAGCTTTCTAATGTCAATAACGAGAACCCTGGATAAAATATATGAAACAACTATTTTTAGACGTTAAGATAATAGCTATCTCAGGACTGTGATGCCTAGGGGAAGGGAAATAAATGATGTGAGCTTCATAATCACCCTGGCTTTTTGAAGACTACTGTGAAGGGAAGGAGATGCAAAGGACAGTGGTCTCAGTAAGTCGAGAAGACAGAAATAAGAGTTCAGGAAGGTGAAGTTAGATGGAATATGTGGAACAGAATACCAGAAAAGATGGAGCAACACAGAGAAATTAACTATAGAAATTTGCCTGGAATTCTATTTAACTCTACTGCTGATATTAAGTCATGCTTGTGTGGATGAAACTCCATAAGGCAAAAAACAGACATAAAAAAAGACATCTCCCATCCCCTAAAAAAATATTCCCAGAGCTCACACAGGGCAGGGAGAAACTGAAGTCCTGATCAGCCAGCGGAAAGTCCTAGCTCAACATCCAGAACGCACAGAAGAAACCCAAAAATAGCTATGCCTTGACAGTAGGACTAAACTAGGCCTAGAGTAAAATTTCAAAACAAGACCCTAAATGGTAGAGTACTGCTTACCAGCAGGTTTAGTACCCTTCCCAGGAAAAATCTACACACCAAGATACACCCCAGGGTAGTGAAAGTATGAAGTACAAATGATGAAAATATAAGACCAGGATGTTTTATGTTATTGAGTACCACTCCTTTTTAAATTAAAAATATTAATTATGAGATATTTCAAATATAAGAAAAAGATAATATAACCAAAATCTATGTACCTACTGTCTACATCTAAAGATGTTTTTTCAACTGTGCTTTTCTAAAAAAAAATTTGTTGCCCAGGCTGGTCTCGAACTCCTAGGCTCAAGGAATCCTCCCACCTTGGCCTCCCAAAGTGCTGTGATTACATGCATTAGCCATCATGTCTGACCATGCTTTATTGTTTTTTAAAAAGAAATAAAACAGAATAGGATTAATACCCCTGCCCCCACCCAATCCCAATTTCCTACATTTCACAGGGGTAAGGACTATCCTAAATTGGTATTTTTCTTTTTGATGCTTTTATACTTCTCTCTCTCTCTCTCCCTCTCTCTCTCTCTGTCTGTCACACACAAATGCATTCTCTCTCTGCTAAGAAGTACAGCATTTCCTTAAGTATTTTCAAGTGTTACATAATGGTAGCACACTGTAAGTAGACTTCTAGAACTTAAGTTTTACGACTTAAAAGTATTTGTCTTGTTTATCATCATATCCTCAGTATCTAGAAAGGTATCTGGCATACAGTGGATAGTTCATTAATGTTTTTTAAATAAATGAGTCAATGACCTGTTCAATGGTATTCTATTCTGTGACAATGCTACAAACTTATCCCCTTCCTTTCTGCCATTTTTCCACTGATGAACATTTAGGTTGTTTTCAGATTTCTGTTATTAAAATGATGATGCAACACACATCCTTGTACAGATCTCACCACATTCAACTACAAAATTTTCTCCAAAGTATAAGCCTAGAAATGGAGATTTTGGGGTTGAATAGGGAATGCACAGCTTCAACTTTACCGGAACTTGCTCTTCAGAGTGGGTTTCCATTTACACTCTCACCAGCAGTGTACAGGTTTCCGTTTCCCCATATGCTTTCCCATATTTAGTATTTTGAACTTTCAATTTTTGCCAAAGAAGTGGGACTAAAATGTTCTTTTAAGTTCATAGACCTCTGATTATTAATGAGATTGAGCACCTATTGAAATATTTATTAGCCACGTGGATTTCTTTTTCTATGGCTTTTCCAGTTTTCTAAGGAGCTGACTTAAAGATTTGTAGGATACTTTTTAATATATTTGTACTAACCCATTTGCCAGTTATATATGTTGTAAATATCTTCTTTATATTCTTTGGTATCCAACTTTGTTTATGCTGCATTACTTTCTGAAGAATTTTTTTAGTTTAATATGATCAATCACACTACCTTAATTAATAGTGATTTCGGGATCTCAAATTCTTTTCTACCTGATATCATAAAATATATTTCTTCTAAATGTTAAAAGTTCTGCTTTTTCACATATAGGTATTTAACTCACTCTGGAGTTAATTTTTGTGTATGGTGTGGTTATTCATTTGCTCACTTACTCTATCCATACATCCACTCATTGATTGATTGATGAGACGGGTCATGTATGTTGTATATATACACATATGCATACACAGGTCAAACCATTTGTGGGCTAATATTTTCCAATAATCTATCTATTTGTACTAATAAAAAACTTTTAATTACTAGAGCTTTAAAAAGTCTTGTTTATTTCTTCTTTAAAATTGGTTTGGTTATTCTCACTCATTTATTTTTCTGAACTTTTAGAATCATTTTGTAATATTCCATGAAAATGTCTATTGCTGTTTTGATTGAATCTTACTTATGATTTAAGTTATGGGGACTTAACAGCTTTATTGTATTGAGTTTATCAAACTATGAGCATCCTGGATCTCCATTTTGTTAAATGTGCTTTCAACAGAATTTTATAATTTTATTCATAAAATCTTATTTCTTTTAGCCCTTTTCCCGTTCAGAAAAAAAAAGTGCAGCTTGCTGCTAGCGCTCATTTAATTTTACATAAACACGCTCTTTGAGGCTGAAGCAAATTAACCTGATTTTCAATGTGAAAATAAAATATAAAAACTGTTTGTGGAGTTACTTCTAAACAGAACATTAGAATTGAATAATCAGAATTGCCTATTTTGGAAAAATCAGCTTCATCAAATGAATCTTGGGCCAACAACTGTTCAAGAATGATGTTACCATCACAAATAGGAATGCCACATTTTCTAGGATTTGACATTTTCGGCGATTAGGAATTACTGTATTTTGTAGATGGAAATACCACTATGAAAAGGAGAATGCTATAAATAGAATGATGTTTTGTTTCCCAAGTTGATATAGTAGAGCAACGTGAAAATAATAATAAAAGCAAGATATTTCGTGGCAAAGTTATCTTGGGGTAAACACTGCATCTGTAAGCGCCACTGGTGAGTATTCTCAAGGCAAATGGGAAAAGGGTTAAAAGATTTATTCTTAGGCATAGTTTTTGTTGCTATTACAACCATCTGATCTTTGACAAACCTGACAAAAACAAGCAATGGGGAAAGGATTCCCTATTTAATAAATGGTGCTTGGAAAACTGGCTAGCCAGATGTAGAAAGCTGAAACTGGATCCCTTCCTTACACCTTATACAAAAATTAATTCAAGATGGACTAAAGACCTAAATGTTAGACCTAAAACCATAAAAACCCTAGAAGAAAACCTAGGCAATACCATTCAGGACATAGGCATGGGCAAGGACTTCATGTCTAAAACACCAAAAGCAATGGCAACAAAAGCCAAAATTGACAAGTGGGATCTAGTTAAACTAAAGAGCTTCTGCACAGCAAAAGAAACTACCATCAGAGTGAACAGGCAACCTACAGAATGGGAGAAAATTTTTGCAATCTACTCATCTGACAAAGGGCTAATATCCAGAATCTACAAAGAACTCAAACAAATTTACAAGAAAAAACCAAACAACCCCATCAAAAAGTGGGCAAAGGATATGAACAGACACTCCTCAAAAGAAGACATTGATGCAAAACCATTGTGGAAGTCAGTGTGGCGATTCCTCAGGGATCTAGAACTGGAAATACCATTTGAGCCAGCAACCCTATTACTGGGTATATACCCGAAGGATTATAAATCATGCTGCTATAAAGACACATGCACACATATGTTTATTGCGGCACTATTCACAACAGCAAAGACTTGGAACCAACCCAAATGTCCAACAATGATAGACCTGATTAAGAAAATATGCACATATACACCATGGAATACTATGCAGCCATAAAAAATGATGAGTTCATGTCCTTTGTAGGGACATGGACGAAGCTGGAAACCATCAAACTATCTCAAAGACAAAAAACCAAACACTGCATGTTGTCACTCATAGGTGGGAACTGAACAATGAGAACACATGGACACAGGAAGGGGAACATCACACTCTGGGGACTGTTGTGGGGTAGGGGGAAGGGGAGGGATAGCATTAGGAGATATACCTAATGTTAAATGACGAGTTAATGGGTGCAGCACACCAACATGGCACATGTATGCATACGTAACTAACCTGCACGTTGTGCACATGTACCCTAAAACTTAAAGTGTAAAAACAAAAAAAAGGATGAGATTAAGGAAACTAGACCCCTATCTCTCATCATATACAAAAATCAACTCAAAATGGATGAAAGATTTAAATATAAGATCTGAAACTCTAAAACTACTAGAAAACATAGGGGAAATGCTTCATGACATTAATGTAAGTAAGGATTTTTTGAAGAGTATCTCAAAAACACAAGTAACAAAAGCAAAATCAGACAAACAGACATCAAGCTAAAAAACTTCTGCATAACAAAGGAAACGGTTAATAGAGGAAGTGGCAACCTAGAGAATGAAAGAAAATAGATGCAAACGCGCTTTTGACATGGGGTTAATAACCAGAATGTATAAGGAACTCAAATAACCCAACAGTAAAAAACAAAACAAAACAAAACAAAACCCAAATAACCCAATTTAAAAATTGACAAAAGATCTGAACAGACATTTCTTCTTTTTTAAATAAAAATTTATTTTAAGTTTCAGGATACATGTGCAGGACATGTAGGTCTGTTACATAGGTAAGTGTGTGCCATGGTGGTTTGCTGTACCTGTCAACCCATCACCTAGGTATTAAGCCCAGCATGCATTAGCTATTTATCCTGATGCTCTCCCTCCCCGACCCCTGACAGGCTCCACTGCATACTGTTCCCCTTCATGTGTCCATGTGTTCTCACTGCTCAGCTTCCACTTATAACTGAGAACATGCGGTGTTTGGTTTTCTGTGCCTATGTTAGTTTGCTGAGGATGATGGCTTCCAGTTCCATCCATGTCCCTGCAAAGGACATGATCTCGTTCCTTTTTATGGCTGCATAGTATTCCATGGTGTTAATGTACCACATTTTCTTTATCCAGTCTATCATTGATGGGCATTTGGGTTGATTCCGTATCTTTTTTATTGCAAATAATGCTGCAATAAACATACGTGTGCATGTATCTTTGTAACAGAATGATTCATATTCCTTTGGTTATATTCCCAGTAATGGGACTGCTGGGTCAAATGGTATTTCTGGTTCTAGATCTTTGAGGAATTGCCACACTGTCTTCCACAATGGTTGAGCTAATTTACATTTCCACCAACAGTGTAAAAGCACCCCTATTTCTCTATAGCCTCACCAGCATCTATTGTTTCTTGACTTTTTAATAATCGCCATTCTGACTGGTATGAGATGTGACATTTCTCAAAAGATGACGTACAAATGGCCAACAGGTATATAAAAAAAATTCTCAACATCACTAATCATCAGGGAAATGCAATCCAAAACTACAAAGAGATATATCCTCTGACCCCATCTAGAATGGCTATTATCAGAAATGCAAAAAATAACAAATGCTAACAGAGATGTAGAGAAATGGGAACACTTTCACACTGTTGGCAGGAACATAAATTAGTAGAGCCATTATGAAAATCAGTATGGAGGTTCTTCAAAAAACTAAAAATAGAACTACTGTATGGCCCAGCAATCCTGCTAGTGGCTACTTATCCAAAGGAAATGAAATCAGTATGTCAAAGAAATATTTGCACTCCTATGTTTATTGCAGTACTATTCAAAATGGCCAAGATATGGAATCAACCTAAGTGTCCATCAATGAATGGATGGATAAAAAACTGAGATGTCTATACATAATGGAATACTATTCAGCCACAAAAAAGAATGAAATCCTGTCATTATGGCAACCTGGATACACTTGGAGGACATTATGTTAAGTGAAATATGCCAGGCAGAGAAAGACAAATACTGTATGACCTCATTCATTTGTGGAATCTAAAAAAACAGATTTCACAGATGTACAGGGTAGAATACTGGCTACTGGGGAGGGTAGCAGAGAGGAGGAGATGAGAAGAGATTGGTCAATGGTTACAAAATTACAGTTAGATACGAGGAATAAGTTCTGGCATTCTATTGCACAGTAGGGTGACCATAGTTAACAATACTCTGTATATCAAAATTAGTAGAAGATTTTGATTGTTCTCATCACAAAGAAACAAGAAATGTTTGAGGTGATGGATATGCTAACTACACTGATTTCATCAGTACACAATATATATACATGTATTAAAATATCACACTGTACCCCCATAAATATGTGCAATTATTATGAGTCAATTATATATAAAATACAACTTCAGCTAGATTTGTCTCTCATGCCTACATGTCTGTTGCTTGGTCAGTTTCCATTGCTCCTCTTTCTTTGGCCTGGGAGGCCTAGTTGGTTCTCCTGTAGCCTCCATAGCCCTGTGACCTGCAGGTTGTAAAGAACAGGAGAGGGAAGCTGGGCATGGTGGCTCATGCCTGTAACGCCAGCAGTTTGGGAGGCTGAGGTAAGAAAATTGTTTGAGCCCAGGAGTTCAGGACCAGCCTGGGCAACAAAAAGAGATCCTGTTTCTACAAATTTAAAAACGAGCCAAGCATGGTAGCACATGCCTGTAGTCCCAGCTATTAGGTGGGCTGAGGCAGGAGGATCCCTTGAGCTCAGAAGTTTGAGGTTGCAGTGAGCTGACTGCGTCACTGCACTCCCACCTGGGCAAGAGAATGAGACCCTATCTCAAAACAAACAAAACAAAATAAGAGAGGAATTCAAGATGGGCAAGTAGACACACCCGGCAGGAGTATTTCCCACTAAAGGACTGCACATCCGCAAGACTGGCACACTCTGAGCAGATCATCGGAGGGAAGGCATTGAGAGTGGATAGATGGAGGATGTGGACACTGGACTGAAGGGGGATGAAGCTGAGAACCCTGCGCAGGGTTGGTCAAACACCGGGACAGGCTCCTGGACCCCAACTGACTCCTGGGAAAAGGTGAGTTGAATAGGTAAGCACTGGCCCCCTCTTGCCATGGACCTTTAGAATTCCTAGCTGCAGGAGAACTCATGACCCCCATGGACACCTGAGTTGGCAGGGACAGCTGCACAGAAAAGTAGCAGAGCAGGACTCCAGCCCATACGCAGTCTAGGGGTTTGCTGCAGGAACTGATGCAGTGCAGCATGGCCAGGGATGTCCATGCCTGCCCCCACCCCCAGCCAGGAACGTCAAGCACTGCTAGATGGCTTTAGCCTTTGAGAGACTGTTTAACCTGAACAGAGCAGGGCAGACTTGCCCATGGTTAGTCCGATCATAGCGCTCGCACTACTTGCTAGACTCTCCAGGGACCCCAGTCTGGCCATGCCTTCTTACTGGGCCGCTTCCAATGTTCAACCAGAGTGCTTCCCAGGGACCCTCATCATAGCTCCTTTGTTGGCAGACCGCTTTTACCTGTTGGAGAACTCCAGCAGATAGGTCCCCAGTCCACTGACAGTCTCTCTCCCATTGAAACTTTCCCTCTGCCGCTTTGCTGGCATGCACTTGCCCACAGCACCCCCCACCCCCTACTGCTATGCTGGCTATGGGTGTGGGTGGACCCTGTCTCCCTTCCCTGGATGGTGCACATATGTGCACACACTCCTCCTCTATCCAACCCAGCTGAGGCACAGGCAGTCCACCACGTAGAGCATGCTGCTGCATTGCAAGTGCCTGTGCAGATGCCAGAACCCAGCCCCTGCTGGCACTCTACCTGTGCCAACTGAGTGTGTATATGGACACCGGTGCCCCTGCCCCTGCCAGCACAAGTACAGGCATAGATGCCAGTACCCCTGTCACCACATGGCCAACACGTGGACACCCCGCAGTGTCACCACAGATGGCGGGAATGTATGTATGGATGTTTCTGCCCCACTCCCACAGGTGTCCCCTACAGCTGATGATGTGCATCTTGCTGTGCCACCACAGTTGCTAGCACACATGAATGAGCACAGATCCCACTGCCACTGCCCCTACAAAGCACTTTGGCTGGCACAACCCGATGGAATACTGGGGCCAGGAGACTAGGGAATACCTAGGCCCCTCCAGCACAGCAGGTTCCTAAACTCAAGGGGATGGAGAACAAAGCCAAGGGCTTGGTCCCAGCCCCCGAGAGTAAGAGCACACAGCCAAGGAGTCCTGAGCTGAGCCTTGGCCCTTTGAAATCTTCCAGAATCAAAGCCAGTCAACAGAACCCACATTATACTACAGTCAAACTCAAAGATCATCAAAAAAGATAAAAACAAAAAAAAACTCATTCAAAGGAGCAACTTCAAAGATTAAAGGAACATCAGCCCACACAGATGAGAAAGAACTAGTGCAAGAATTCTGGCAACTCAAAAAGCCAGAGTGACTTCTTAACTACAAATGACTACATCAGTTCCCTAGCAATGTTTTTTGACCAGGCTCAAACGGCTGAAATGACAGACACAGAATTCAGAATGTAGACAGGAATGAAGACCATCAAGATTCAGGAAAAAGTCAAAATCCAATCCAAGGAATCTAAGGAATACAATAAAACAATACAGGAGCTAAAAGATGAAATGGTCATTTTAAGAAAGAACCAAACTGATCTGATAGAGCTGAAAAATACACTACAAGAATTTCATAAGACAATCGCCAAGTATTAACAGCACAATCAGCCAAGCTGAGGAAAGAATCTCAGAGCTTGGAGACTGGTTCTCCAAAATAACTCAGTGAGACAAAAATAAAGAAAAACCATTAGAGAATGAACAAAACCTCTGAGAAATATGGGATTACATAAAGATACTAAGTCTACAACTCACTGACATCCTTGAAAGAGAGGGAGAGAAAGCAAGCAACCTGGAAAACATATTTGAGAATATCATCCATGAAAATTTCCCCAAACTCTCTAGATAGGAATAAAATTAAAATTCAGGAAATGCTGAGAACCACTGTGAGACAGTATACAAGATGACCATCCCTCAAGACACACAGTCATCAGATTCT
The DNA here is from genome assembly GCF_000001405.40 of Homo sapiens. Classification (NCBI taxonomy): domain Eukaryota; kingdom Metazoa; phylum Chordata; class Mammalia; order Primates; family Hominidae; genus Homo; species Homo sapiens. The sequence goes on from NC_000015.10 coordinate 76,554,542, forward strand.
CCAAGTATAGTATAGTTTGAAGTTGGGTAGTATGATACCTCCAGCTTAAGTTCTTTCTACTTATCATTGCTTTGGCTATTTTTCATGTCTCCAAGGTCGACATAAAATAAAAAAAGAAAGAAACAGAAAAGGCAGCTAGAGAGAAGGGGTAAGGCCACTTACAAAGGGAATCACATCAGGGTAACAGTGAACCTTTCAGCAGAAATCCTACAAGGCAGAAGAGATTGGGGGCCTATATTCAGCATTCTTTTTTTTTTTTTTTTGAGACAGAGTCACCAGGCTGGAGTGCAGTGGTAGTGGCATGATCTCGGCTCACTGCAACTTCTGCCTACGGGGTTCAAGTGATTCTCCTGCCTCAGCCTCCTGATAGCTGGGATTACAGGCACGTGCCAACATGCCCAGCTAATTTTTGTATTTTTAGTAGAGACAGGGTTTTGCCATGTTGGCCAGGCTGGTCTCGAACTCCTGACCTCAAGTGATCCATCCACCTTGGCCTCCCAAAGTGCTAGGATTACAGGTGTGAGCCACTGCACCCAGCCATATATTCAGCATTCTTAAAAAAAACTTCAATAAAGAATTTCATATCCAGCCAAACTAAGCTTCATAAGCCAAAGAGAAATAACATCCTTTTCATATAAGCAAATTCTAAGGGAATTCATTACCAGCAGAACTCCTCTACGAAAGGTCCTTATGGGAGTGCTAAATATAGAAAGGCCATTACCAGCCACCATAAAAACACACTTAAGTACATAGACCACTAACACTACAAAGCAACTCCACAATTGAGTATGCATAATAACTAGCTAACAACAAGATGACAGGATCAAATCTGCCCATATCAATACTAACCTTGAATGGAAATAGGCTACATGCCCCAATTAAAAGGCATAGAGTGGTAAGTTGGATAAAGAAGCATGACCCAACTGCATGCTGTCTTCAAGAGACTCATCTCACATGCAATGACACCCATAGCCTCAAAGAAAAAAAGATGGAGAAAAATCTACCAACCAAGCAAACAGAAAACAGAAGAAAAAGCAGGGGTTGCTTTCTAATTTCAGACAAAGCAGAGTTTAAAACAACAACGATCAAAAAAGACAAAGAAGGGCATACATAATAGTAAAGGATTCAATTCAACAAGAAGACTTAACTATCCTAAATATATATGCACCCAACACAGGAGCACCCAGATTCATGAAACAAGTTCTTAGGAACCTAGAAAGAAACTTACATAATAATGGTGGGAGACTTCAATACACTGCACCACCAGTATTAGACAGATCATTGAGGCAAAGAACTAACAAAGATGTTTGTAACTTGATCTCAACATTTGACCAAATGACCCTAATAGACATGAACAGAACTGTCCTCCCCCAAATAACAGAATATACATTCTTCTCATTTGCACATGGTACATACTGGAAAACTGACCACACAATCAGCCATAAAACAATTCTCAGCAAATTAAAAAATCCCAAAATCATACTGACCATACTCTCAGACCACAGTGCAATAAAGAGAAATGAATACTAGGACGGCCACTGAAAACCATATACATAGTACATGTGCTGCTGAAGCAAGCATAGAAAACCATATAATCACAAGGAAATGAAACAACCTGCTTCTGAACAACTTCTGGCTAAACAATGAAAATAAGGCAGAAATGAAATTCTTTGAAACTAATGAGAACAAAGATACAACATACCAGAATCTGTGCAACACAGTTAAAGCAGTGTAAGAGGGAAGTTTATAGCGTTAACCTACCACCACACCAGAATGAACTAGAAAAACAAGAGCAAATCAACCCAAAAGCTAGGAGAAAACAAGAAATAACAAAATCAGAGCTGAACTGAATGAAATTGAAATCTGAAAAACCATACACAAGATCAGTAAATTCAGAAGTGGGTTCTTTAAAAGAAAAAATACAATTGCTAGATCACTAGCTAGACTAATAAACAAAAACAGAGATGATCCAAATAAATGCAATCTGAAATGGCAATGGGGACATTATCACTAACCCACAGATGTACAAAAAACCCTCAGAAATTATTATGAACACCTCTATGCACACAAACTAGGAAACCTAGAAGAAACAGATAAATTCCTGGAAACATACAACCTCCCAAGATGAACCAGGAAGAAACTGAAAGACTGAACAGACCAATAATGAGTTCTGAAATTGAATCAGTAATAAGCCTATAAACCAAAAAAAAAGCCACAGCAATCAGGCATGAGAAAAAAATAAAAGGCATCCAAATAGGAAGAGAGGAAGTCAAATTATCTCTCTTTGCAGACAATATGCTTCTATATCTAAAAAATCCCACAGTCTGCCCAAAAGCTCCTATGTCTAATAAACACCTTCAAGGAAGTGTCAGGATAAAAGAAAAATCAATGTATAAAAATCAGAGGCATTTTTATACACCAGCAACATCCCACATGAAAGCCAAATCAAGAGTGTAATCCATTCACAATAGCCACAAAAAATATAAAGAATCTAGGAATGTAGTTAAATAGAGAGGTGAAAGATTTCTACAAAGAAATTGACAAAACACTGCTGAAAGCAATCAGAAATGACACAAACAATGGAAGAACATTCCATGCTCATCCACAGGACGAATCAATATTAACATGGCCATACTGCCCAAAGCAATTTGCAGATTCAATGCTATTCCTATCAAAGTACCAATGCCATTCTTCTCAGAATTAAAAAAAAAAATCTATTTTAAAATTCATATGGAACCAAAAAGAGCCCCAATAGCCAAAGCAGTGCTAAGCAAAAAGAACTAAGCTGGAGATATCACATTGCCCAGCTTCAATCTATGCTACAAGGCTATAGTAGCTGATATAGTTTGGCTCTGTGTCTCCACCAAATTTCATGTTGAATTGTAATCCCCAGTGCTGGAGGTGGGGCCTCATAGGAGGTGACTGGATCATGTGGGCTTCTTATGAATGGTTTAGCCCCAAACCTCTTGGTGCTGTCCTTGTGACAGTGAATTCTTGTGAGATCTGTTTGTTTAAAAGTGTGTGGCACTCTCTCTCTCGGCTCCTGCTTTGGCCATGTGAAGTGCCTGCTCCCCCTTTGCCTTCCACCATGACTATAAGTTTCCTGAGGCCTCCCCAGAAGCTGAGCAGATGACAGAATCATGCTTCCAACTAAACCTCTTTTCTGTATCAGTTACCCAGTCTCAGTTATTTCTTTATAACAATGTGAGAACAGACTAATATCATAACCAAAACAGCATGGTACTGGTATAAAAACAGATACATAGACCAATGGAATAGAATAGACAGCCCAGAAATAAAGCTGCTCACCTACAGCCATCTAATCTTTGACAAAGTCAACAATATCAAGCAATGGGTAAAGGATTCCTGTGCAATAAACGGTGCTGTGACAACTGGCTAGCCATATGCAGAAGATTGAAACTGGACGCCTTTCTTACACCATATAAAAAAATCAATTCAAAATGGATTAAAGACTTAAATATATAATCTCAAACTATAAAAACCCTAGAAGAAAACCTAGGACATACCCTTCTGGACATAGACCCTGGCAAAGATTTCACAACTAAGATCACAAAATCAGCTGCAACAAAAACAAAAATTGACAAATGGGATCTAATTAAACTAAAGAGTTTCTGCACAGGAAAAGAAACTATGAACAGAGTAAAAAGACCACCCACAGAATGGGAGATAATATTTGCAAACTATGCATCTAACACAAGTCTAATATCCAGGATCTATAAGGAACTTAACAAATTAACAAACAAAAAAACAAAGAAAAAGTGGGCAAAGGACACAGACAGACACCTCTAAAAGGATAACATATATGTGGACAACAAGCATGTGAAAAATGCTCAACACCACTAACCATTAGAGAAATCCATAGCAATGAGATACCATTGATCTCACTGATCCAAATCAATGAGTTACATGAGACACCATCTCATACAAGTCAGAATGGCTATCATTAAAAAGTCAAAAATGAACAGATGCTGGTGAAGTTGTTGAGAAAAGGGATTGCTTATATACTGTTGGTGGGAAAGTAAGTTAGTTCAGCCACTGTGGAAAGCAGTTGTGATGCTTTCTCAGAGAACTTAGAACTACCATTTGACGCAGAAATCCCATTATTGGGTGTATTCCCAAAGGAATATAAATTGTTCTACCATAAAGACACACGCACATGTATGTTCATCACAGCACTATTCACAATAGCAAAGACATGGACTCAATCCAGGTGCCCATTCACGGTGGACTGGATAAAGAAAATGTGATATATATACACACATACATACACACACACACCATGGAATATTAGCCATAAAAAAGAATGAGATCATGTCTGATATGATTAGGCTTTGTGTCCCCACCCAAATCTCATCTTGAATTGTAATACCCAATATCCCCACGTGTCAAGGGAGAGGCCAGGTGGAGGTAACTGAACCATAGAGGTGGTTTTCCCCAAGCTGTTCTTGTGATAGTGAGTGAGTTCTCATGAGATCTGGTTTTTTTTTTCGGAGATGGAGCCTCGCTCTGTTGCCCAGGCTGGCATGCAGTGGCGTGATCTCAGTTCACTTCAACCTCTGCCTCCCAGGTTCAAGCAATTCTCCTGCCTTAGCCTGCTGAGTAGCTGGGATTATAGGCACCCACCACCACACCCAGCTAATTTTTTTTTTTTTTTTTTTTTTTTTGGTATTTTTAGTAGAGACGGGGTTTCACCATGTTGGCCAGGCTGGTCTCAAACTCCTGACCTCAAGTGATCCACCTGCCTTGGCTTCCCAAAGTGCTGGGATTACAGTTGTGAGCCACTGCACCCGGCCGAGATCTGATGGTTTTATAAGGGGCTCTTTCCCCTTCGCTCAGCACTTCTCCTTCCTGTCGCCTTGTAAATAAGGTGCCTTGCTTCCCCTTTGCCTTCTGCCATGATTGTAAGTTTCCTGAGGCCTCCCCAGCCATATGGAACTGTGAGTCGGTTAAACTCTTTCCTTTATAAATTGCCCAATATGTGGCAGTTCTTTATAGCAGTATGAAACAGACTAATACAATGTCCTTTACAGGAACATGGATGGAACTGGAGGCCATTATCCTAAGTGAACAAATGCAGGAAAAGAAAACCAAATACCACTTCTCATTTGTAAGTGGGAGCTAAATATGAGTACACATGAACACAAAGAAGAGAGCAATGGATACCAAGGCCTACCTGAGGGTGGACCTTGGTAGGAGGTTGAGGACTGAAAAATTACCTGTTGGGTACTACGCTTATTACCTGGGTGATGAAATAACCTGTACACCAAATCCCCATGACACAAAACTTACCTAAGTAACAAACCTGCATATATGCCCCTAAAACTAAAAGTTAAAGAGAAACAACAACTTGTATATGTGTGTGTGTGTGTGTATGTGTGTGTGTATGGGTATGCATATGTTTACTACTTTGTAAAGAAAGTTAAAATAGTTATGCTATTTTGTTAGAAACATCAAATTCCCACACATCAAATATTTATGGTGTCATTCCCACTGAGTTTTATTTTTTTTTTTCTTATTAGCTTTCTGCTATGGTCTTAATGTTTGTGTGCCCCTCTCCAAATTTACATGTAGAAACTTAATCCCCGGTGTGATAGCATTGGGTGTGGGTCCTTTGGGGAAATAATTTAGGAGGTCTCTAATCTTGGAAATGGAATTAGTACCCTTGTGAAGGAGGTTGAAGGGAGTAATCCTATCCTACTTTTCAAAGGAAGAAACTGAAACTTACAAAGGTTAATAAAACCTTGGTGAACTCACACAGCTACTACATGATCTATTTGGAATTTGAATTCAGGCCCGTAACTAGAAAGCCTGTGCTCTTAACAGGTGCATTATATTGTTTCAACACTTGCTGACTGCCTACTGATTGCAATATTTCATTTAATAGCCACACAATTCTTCGGGATGTGCCAAAACCTTATATTTTACTGATAAGGAAACTGACACCCAGAGAAATTAATTAACTTGTCCAGGGTCACACAATAACAAAACAGTAAGTTCTAGGTCCATGCTTTTAACACTGCTCTTAACTGCTTCCCTAAATACCTTCCCAATGATGATCCAAATCCAACCCACATCATCACTTTCAACAATCCTGTTTCTTCATAGTTCCTGGGAATGGAATAGAAAATAAGCTAAATGATTTAATTTATTCTAGAGTACAGTTCTCCAAGTATCCATTTACGACTTTGTAGTATCAAAGAAAAGTGAATTCCCAGGGATGCAGTGCTGGGGGATATACACCTAGCACTAGAAAGAAATACCTTCAAGACTTCTCAATTTTTTCCATATGGCCCATGTTTATCATAACTAGAAAATAATGTATTATATTAAGGAGAAATGAGTTTTCTACCTGCATTAGTTAATACACAGGGTATCTGTCATGGAGTCTACTAATTTAAAAGAACTGAGCTGAACTGAAGACAGCTAGCATCAGGATCCATACACGGGCAATTTCTCTCATTTTTTTTTAGTGTCATTATTTCCGAGAACCCAGACTTACATAAATGTGGTTAAAAACAGTAAGTATTTACTCACTGCGTGAGGCAATCAATCACTAAGGTGAGCTTAGAGTAGAATATAGCCAGAGAGTTAGCATGATGGAATACTATCAGGCTGCTATAAGCAGAAACCTTAATAAGCACATCTGCTTACTGAGAAATAACATCACTCAATGTCACATGTTGGGCCAAAAGAGCTTATAATTTATTTACTTAAAATTAAGATTAAATAATTAATGGTCCTACTTCTGGTTCTCAAATATCATTTTCATGATATTTCTTACCTATTGTAATAATTGACATGCCTGGTTGAAATTTCCTTTAAAAATTATTTTACCATAAAGTATTTTATATACTACCTTTCTTCAAGAGATATTTTTAGTATCTTTTGCACAGGTATGGACAAAAACTTAGGATTATAAAAATTTTTTTTTAATGTTTTTGTTCCCTGAAATGTTTTAATAAAACCGATACTTGAGGGAAGTGTGCTATTTTACCAGCTTTGAGTAACTTTTCTTAGCACTGTTTTAGGGAAGGGTGGTTAATCACAGTATGTAGGTAGAATACAGTTATTAAAACTGGTCTTTTCAATAAACGACACTCAAGAAATTATGCATCTATACGGGCAAGAAAAACAAAATGAAGTCTCTACCTCACTTTTTTTTTTTAGACGGAGTTTCGCTCCTTTTGCCCAGGCTGGAGCGTAATGGCTCAATCTCGGCTCACTGAAACCTTTGCTTCCCTGCAACCTTTGCCTCCTAGTATTAGTTTTTTTTTTTTTTTTTAATTAATATGAGGCAGAGGCCAGGTGCGGGGTGGCTCAGGCCTGTAATCCCAGCACTTTGGGAGGCCAAGGCAGGTGGATCACCTGAGGTCAGGAGTTCGAAACCCACCTGGCCAACATGGTGATCCCCATCTCTACCAAAAATACAAAAAATTAGCTGGGTGTGGTGGCACGTGCCTATAATCCCCCAGATACTCTGGAGGCTGAGGCGGAAGAATCGCTTGAACCTAGGAGGCAGAGGTTGCAGTGAGCTAAGACTGCACCATTGCACTACAGCCTGGGCAACAAGAGCAAAACTTCATCTCAAAAAAAAAAAAAAAAAAAAAATTAATACCAAATGGACAAGAGACTAAAAGTAAAACCTCAAGAATATAGGAGAATATCTTCTTTACTTTGGGATGGGATATTTTAAAAGAAGAGCAAAAACAACCTTTATAAAAGACAATATTGATAAATCTGACATACTAATATTAAGAACTTTTGTTCATCAAAAGAACCAAAAGACAATAAAAACACAGCTCAATAACAGGAGTAGATATGTTTAATACATTTGAATAACCTAGGACTAGTGTCCAGAACACACAGGATATTCTAACAATCAGTAGAAAAACGTGCAAAAGATTTGAACAGGCATGTCACAAAAGAAGAAACCCAAATGGCCAATAAATATGAAAAGGTGCCTCAACCTATCTGCCAAAAAACAAATGTACATTAAAATCTTGGCAAGATAGCACTGTCTACCTACAAAAGTAGCAAAAATCAAAATGTCTGATAATAACAAGCGCTGGAAAGAAAGGAAGCAACAAGACTTTTATATACTGCTGGTAGAAATGCAAATTGGTACAATTTCTTTGGAAAACTATTTAGCATTATCAAGAAAAGATAAAGAGAGACATATGTTATGACCCAGGAACTCTGCTTGCTAGAGAAATTTTTGCACAAATACCAGGATACATGCTTACAGGCACATTTTTCATAAAAATAATCCAAATGTCCATCAACAGTGGAATGGATAAATACCACTGTGACAAATTCATACAATGGCACATTATACAGTAATGGAAATAAAACTGTATAACATAAATTCTCGAAAACATAATTTTGATAGAAGGAAGCCATCAAAATGCAGACAGTAGGATTCCATTTACATGAAGTTCAAAACTAGACATGTTTAACTAACATGTGGTGTTTAGAAACAGACCCTTAAGTGATAAAACCATAAAGAAAAGGAAGTCGCTTCTTAAAAGTCAAATTAATAGTTTATCATAAAATGCAGAGAAAGGAGTGTAATTAGCAAAATAAACAGGAGCGGACAAAAGGGTTCTGGGATGCTGACAATGTCCTATTTCTCAATTAGTAGTCACTGAGGTTTTTGCCTTCATAGTTTTCATTATTTTGTGCAAGTAAGTATCTGTGTACTGTATTACATAAGGCAAGAGGTTTCAAAGATACATTTTTAAATAGTCCAAAAATAGTTAGTTTACATAATAATAGAAAATACCACTGAACGCACAGAAATACAAGCAACAATTGGAGAATATTATGAATACCTCTATGCACATAAACTAGAAAATCTAGAAGTGGATAAATTCCTGGACACATACACCCTCCCAAGACTGAACCAGGAAGACACTGAATTCCTGAACAGATCCATAATGAGCTCTGAAATGGATGCAGTAATAAATAGCCAATCAACCAAAAAAAGCCCAGGATCAGAAGGATTCACAGCTGAAGTCTATCAGGTATACAAAGAAGAGCTAGTACTATTCCTACTGAAACTGTTCCAAAAAATTGAGGAGGGACTCCCCCCCAGTTCATTCTATGAGGTCAGCATTATCCTGATACCAAAACCTGGAAGAGATACAACAAAGAAAACTTGAGGCCAATATCCTTGAAGAACATCAATGCAAAATTCTCAACAAAATACTGGCAATCCAAATCCAGCAACACATCAAAAAGCTTATCCACCATGATGAAGTAGGTCTCATCTCTGGAATGGAAGGTTGGTTCAACATATGCAAATAAATAAATGTGACTCCTCACATAAACAGAATTAAAGACAAAAAACCCCCACATGATTATCTCAATAGAGACAGAGAAGGCTTTTGATAAAATTCAACATCCCTTCATGTTAAAAACTCTCAATAAAGTAGGTATTAAAATAACATACCTCAAAATAATAAGAGCCATCTACGACAAACCCACAGCCAACATCATACTGACTGGGCAAAAGCTGGAAACTTTATCCTTGAAAGCCGGCACAAGACAAGGATGCCTTCTCTCACCACACCTATTCAACATAGTATTGGAAGTCCTGGCCAGGGCAATCAGGCAAGAGAAAAAAATAAAGGACATCCAAATAGAAACGGAGGAAGTCAAACTATCCTTGTTTGCAGATGACACGATCCTATATCTAGAAAACCCCATTGTCTCAGTCCAAAAGCTTAAGCTGATAAACAGCTTCAGCAAAATCTCATGATACAAAATCAATGTGCAAAAATCACTAGCATTCCTACACACCAACAACAGTCAAGCGAAGAGGCAAATGAGGAACAAATTCCCATTCCATATTGCCACAAAAAGAATAAAATACCTAGGAATACAGTCAACTAGGGAGGTAAAAGATCTCTATAAGGAGAACTACAAACCACTGCTCAAAGAAATTAGAGATGATAAAAACAAATGGAAAAACACTCCATGCTCATGGATAAGAAGACTCAATATTGTTAAAATGGCCACACTGCCCAAAGCAATTTATTAGATTCAATGCTATTCCCATTAAACTATCATTGATATTCTTCACAGAACTAAAAAAAGAAAAATTTTTTTTAAATTCATATGGAAGCAGAAAAGAGCCAAAATAGCTAAGGCAATCCAAAATAAAAAGAAGAAAGCTGGAGGCATCATGCTACCCAACTTTAAACTATATTACAGGGCTACGATAACCAAAACAGCATGGTACTGGTACGAAAACAGACACATAGACGAATGGAACAGAATAGAGAGCCCAGAAATAAGGCCACACACCTACAACTATCTGATCTTCGACAAACCTGACAAAAACAAGCAATGGGGAAAGGATTCCCTATTGAATGAATAGTGATGCAATACCTGGCTAGCCATATACAGAAGATTTAAACTGGACCCATTCCTTATACCATGTACAAAAATTAACTCAAGATGGATCAAAGACTTAAATGTAAAATCCGAAACTAAAAACCCTGGAAGACAACCTAGGCAATACCATTCAGGACACAGGCAAAGATCTTATGATGAAGACACCGAAAGCAATTGCAACAAAAGCAAAAACTAACAAATGGTATCTCATTAAACTGAAGAGCTATTGCACAGAAAAAGAAACTATCAAGAGAGTAAACAGATAACCTACAGAATGGGAGAAAACTTTTGCAAACTATGCATCTGACAAAGGCCTAATACCTGGCATCTATAAGGAACTTTTTTTTAATAAGGAACTTAAATTTACAAGATAAAAACCAATAACCCCATTACAAAGTGGGCAAAGGGCAAGAACAGACACTTTTGTAAAGAAGACATACAGGCAGACAACAATCATTTTTTAAAAAGTTCCACATCACTGATCATTAGAGAAATGCAAATCAAAACCACAATAAGATATCATCTCACACAGTCAGAATGGCTATGATTAAAATGTCAAAAAAATAACAGATGCTGGTGAGGTTGTGGAGAAAAAGGAATGCTTATACACTCAGTTTGATGACGTCTGACTACTGCTCACAACTATCTAAGCACCACCCAAAACAAAATACACAACACTTTTTAATCACCCTAGAAATTTCCTTATGCCCCTTTCCAGTAAATTCTCCTTCTCTCAACACCTGCTTTTTGTTGTTTCTTTTTAAAAAATACAAACCATTTATAAGTTAAATCTGTCATATTCATGAAATAACAACTCAATTTTTCTTTATAGTAGTCTTCCAAGGGAAGCTAGCTGAAAAACGTCTGAAAAACATCTTCATTTTACTTTGGGCTATATACTTGTCACCTTTTGACAAAATATGGGTGTCATACCAGCTATATTCAGTTATGTATCAGTTGCAATGAGGAAACAACTATGTAAGCTGAGAACATAGTGAAGGGATCAAAAGAGATTCCTAGTGTTGAATGCTTCCCATTTCTTCAGCTGAAGAATTCCAGCTGAAAATAAGAGAAGCAGAACCACGGGGTTTGGAAGATGGGCAGTGTCTAGCAGGATCTGAACACAGTTTTCTGAATATAATTAGGTTGAAAAAGCTCTTAAGGCTTACTGATTTATCTCTCTGAGCCTAGGCATGTGTTACATAGTCACAACAGTTGGCAAAAAGAGGAAAATGGTAGGGAAGAGTTTCTACCTTTCTACCTTATACAGGTATCGGTGAATGGAATTTTACAAGATAAGTTTTGAAAATACCAAAGCATGGCATGGTTTGCTATAGGTATTATAATGTAAATTGTGATTTCACATATCTCAATTCACTTCAAATCATCAATGCTGCCAGCTATGTGGTTTGCTTATTCAGATTCGAAAGAGTCACAGCTGAATCTCTATTTAAATTTGGCAGGATTCTATAAAGTCAGGAAAGGCAATTGGACAAACTCCATGTCCAATCCATCTGCTTAAACTGTTTACTTATAGTAACAGCATACACATGTCTCATGTTACTGATAAACCACAGAAAAGGTTCTGGGATGCTGTTACTATCCAAACCTAAATGTAATGCTTATCATCACAAAGTAATGAGAAAAGTCAATGCAAATACAGATCGCATTCACTTGGACCAAATTTAATACAATGGTAAGACTAAGGAAAATACTTTTGCACATGTAAGAGTATTTTTTAAACTCTTTTTTGAAATAATTGAACATTTCTTCAATAAAAAAATTTCTTCAATTTTGAAATAACATTTCTTCAATAAAAAATTTCTTTTATTTGGAGCAATTTATTTTACCTTAAATTCTAAAAATTAATTTTATTATTAAACATAAACATACAGAAAAGTCAGAAAAATTAGCAAACATGTATGTACAAGTTAAATAATAATTTTAATTTGAACACTGTGTAACCAGTATCCAGTCAAGAAAAAGAAAACTAGAAGCACTGAAGAAGCCACCTATATGACTCTTTCTGATCACACATCTCACCCTTCTCTCTGAACAATCATGATCCTGATTTTTAGGAAATTTCTTTTTCTATTTTCTTTATAGTTTTACCACCTATGTGTATATTCCAAAACAATATAAGTCCTTTTGTCTTTTCTTGAACTTTATATGACTGGAATTGTAACAGTATATATATTTTTTGGTGACTTGTTTCACTAAAAAGAGTTTGTGAGATATATCCATATTGTTATCCACAGATGTAGTTCATTCATTTTTATGTTGAATAATAGTCCATTATATGAACATACCATAATTTGTATCTCCAGCTGTTGATGGATTCTTGCACTATTTTCCATATGTGGTGATTATAAACAATGCTGCCATTGAACATTTGTGTATATCTTGCCTGGTGGATATATGCATTGCTTTCCATACAGTATATACCTAGAAGTGAAATATGATACACATGTCTACAAATTTAGTAGACAACAGCAGACTGTTTGCTACATGGTAGGCTCAACTTATGTTATCACAAACATTGTCTGTATGTTCCCACTGCTCTAGTTCTTTGCCAATACTTGGTATTTTCAGTCTAATTTTTGTCATTCTGATAAGTGAATCACATTATCACATTGAATTTTTAATTTGAATTGTCCTGATTATTAAAGAGGTTGACTATCTTCACATTTATTTTTTAGCTATTTGGATTTCTTTCAGAATGCCTATCCTCTTGACCATTATCCTACTGGTTTAGTTTGTTTTTGCATTTCATTAATTTGTAGGAATTCCTTCTATACTCTGGATGCCACTCTTTTGTTGATTATATATATGTAAAATATTCTTCCCTTCTATTGCTTGTCTTGCTACCCTCTTCCTGGTGCCTTTTGATGAACAAAAGTTCTTATTTTCAGTGCAGCCCAATTTATCAAGTTTCCCTTTATTGTTAATTTCTTTTGTGTCATTTTCTTGTCCAGGTAAAACTCTGAGGTAAAGAAGAGATTAGTCTATATTATCTTCTAAAAATTAGTTTTTTCTTTTCATATTTAGATCCATCTGGAATCAATTTTTTGTTTATGATGTGAGATAGAAGTAACATTTTTTAAAAAACAAGGATATTGAATCATTATAGCCTTTATTCACTAAATAGAGCACACTTTCCCACAACGTTTTGTGGTGCTTCCTTTTTCCATATGTGCATAGACAAGTACCTCACATGTCATGGATCAAGCATATATATATATATATATATATATATATATATATACAAATGGGACTGTTTATGAATTCAATTATGTTCCATTCTTCTTTTTCTCCGTCTTGTCTCCAATAGAACACTATCCTAATTACTGTGGCTTTATAAAAAGTGTTTATACTTGGTAGAGCAAATCTTCCCATATCGTTCCCTCTCCCTGCGCCACAAGTCTCTCTGTGTCGCCCAGGCTGGAGTGCAGTGGCGCGATCTTGGCTCACTGCAACTTCTGACTCCTGAGTTCGAGTGATTCTCCTGTCTCAGACTCCCAAGTAGCTGTGATTACAGGTGCCCACCACCACACCTGGCTAATTTTTTTTATTTTTAGTAGAGACGGGGTTTCGCCATGTTGGCCAGGCTGGTCTTGAATTCCTGTCATCAAGTGATCCACCCACCTCAGCCTCGCAAAGTGCTGGTCATATTGTTCTTTTTCAACAGGGTTTTGCATACTGTTTCATTGGATCTTTGAAATTCCATATTTTAGAATCTGCGCCTACATATTGTTCTTTAGAAATTCTAAATAGTGTTTTAGAATTTCCAAAGAACAAAGTGTTGGACTTTTAAATGAGATTTCACTGAATCTACAAATAAACTGGGTAGAAAAGAAAAATATACTATAGTGAGTTTTCCAATCCATAAACATTATAGATTTACTCCTAGATATTTAATATTTTGATAATATATAAATATAATTGATTTTTATATACTGCCCATTGTCTAGTACCCTTGTTAATCTAACTTATTTGTGCTATTTATCTGTAAATTATTTTAAATTTTCTATATATAACATATCATTTGCTAACAATGACTATTTCACTTTTTCTCTCAAATCTTACAACTTTTATTTATTTATTTTTCCACTAGTTAGAACCCCCATTTTAAGCAGACGTCTTGACAGTAAATATTTTTGTTGTACACAATTTCAAAGGGAAAATTTTCAACATTTCACCAGTAAATATTATTTTGCTATAATTTTTTTGGTAGATTCAATTTGTCAGATTAAGGAAATTCCATTCTATTCCTGGTTTACTATGAATCTTTATCATTAATTGATGCTGAACTTACCAAACGCTTTCGTTGTGTCTTTTGAGATGATATTTTTCCTTTTCTTCTGTTAATATGATAGATCATAATTTTCCAATGTTAAAGCAAACTTAAATATCTTGAATAAATCCAACTTTGTTGTGATATATTATCCTTATTAGATATTGCATGATTCAGTTTGCTAAAATTTTGTTTAGGAATTCTGAATCCACATTTATGAATGAGATTGGTTTATAATTTTACTTTCTATAGTTTCACTGTGACGTTTGTGAACATGGATTTCTTTTTATTTACCCTGCTTGGGCATCATTGGGCTTCTCGAATCTGTAAATTGATTTGTAAGTTTTGGAAAGTTCTAAATGATTATCACTTCAAATACTTCTCTCTTCTCCTTTTGGAGCTCTAATTATACATAAATTAGACATTTTCATCATATATTATATCCTTTTTATACTCTTCTTTTCATTTTCTATATCTTTTTCTCTCCATGCTCAGTCTGGATTCTTTCTTATGATCTATCTTCCAGTGCTTGCTTTATTCTACTGTTACCTCACCTATAATTTTTGTAATTTTTATTACTAAAATGTTCAGTTTTCAAATTCTGTTTTCTCAAATGTGCTATATATCTTTAAAAATAATTAATATTTATATCTTTGATCATTGTAAGCATAGTTCTGGAGCATCTGTAGGTCTGTTTCTATTGGTTTTTATGCATGTTGTCTTGTCCCTTTGTATGCTTAATTACCTTACTGTGCCAAACACTGCATTTGAAATTTATTTTGTTGAGATAATTTGAGACTTAGGTTGCTATTATCTTTCTCCAAAATAAATTTTCCAATTGCTTCTGTTAGCCACCTGGGGTATTAGCAATTTAGGATCATTTTAATCTTTTTTCAGTGATTTGGATTTTCCCAGCCACCTACATGATTTGAAACTGAGCTGTCTGTGTAATGACTGGTGTACTTCCTGTCTACCCTTTTTCCTTGCACAGTCCTTTAAGATCCCAAACCAAAACATGAGTTTTTTTTGTCATAGTCCCTACCATTGATTGTCCTAGATGCCAACATTTTTTTTTTTCTCACCAGTCCTGCAAACAGTCTCAAAAGTACTAATCAAACTCATGTCCACTTCTTTTTGATCATCAACGGTACCTAGTCCCAAAATGCCAAATTTCTGGATCTTGGCCCAGTAATTATTCACTACTCTGTTTGCAGTTCAGTTTTATTTCATATTTTATCTAGTTTTATTGTCATCAGTGGAAGGACAGTTCTGAATTACCTGTCACTATTGCTAAGTCCAAGTCCATTCCTATAGAAATTTTCAAGCTTACCTTTTATTTCCTCAGAAGATAGCAGGCATAGTTTTATAATCTGTGACTAGTAATAACATAGCCTTGCAGTTCTAGTTTCTGCTTACTTATCATGACTTACTTACTTTCAGGCTTATCTTTTCCCTATGGCTACTTGTCCTTGTAAAATTGTTTAACAGAAACTATCTGAGGCCTAGAATGAAGGTGTCTTCTTCCAATGAGGATTTGTCTTCTCTTCTGCTTGATTCCTAAAGACACTGCAAATCAATCTAGGACAACTTTAAACCCAATTCACCATCTGAAATAATATGGGTGATGTGAATTTGAGCAGCAAATCTATGCCAGGGGTTGGACTATGGGTATAAATTCTGCATTGTGCCAAGGTGCTTTCTTCATAGTCCTGAGGGTGGGATAAGAAGGTTCATGATTATGTGATGGAGTAGGTTAATGTGGTCTTATCTTTATGAAAGGAAAATCGGAAAAATCTCCTATTAGACCTCATACCTAGGCAGCCCTTATACTTTTACTTTCATCACCTTACACGATGACACTTGTAAACCACAACTCACATTTGCCAATCTGGCACATGCTTTTTGGGGCAATTAAGTTATAAGCACAACTTTCTAAATTCTTGCTTTTTCTGTGGACTGGGAATTCCTTAATTACTTCTTAGCTATTTGATGCTTTTAAGAAAACTGCTTTCTTCCCCACCTAGCATTTTCAGTTGTTTTTGTTGGGAGAGTTGATACCCAGTACCCTAGACCAAAGTATGTTAGTAAACAGAAGTGGCTTAAGATTTTTTTTAAAGCATAACACATATAAAAAGCTTACACACTTTTAATTTCTGAATGAAATCAGAAAACCCAAAAAACCAGAAGGAACCTGAAATGCATAGTAAGTACTACAAAACCCAGGTCTCCTCAGTTTCCTGACCCCTTCCATGATAAGAGCGTTACTATACATCACAAGTTTAACCCGTTAGGTCTAAAATAGTTCTCAGAACTTTAGAAAAATTATCTAAAGAAACAGTGTGTCAAGCGATAGTAGAAAGCATCCATGTTTTGAGGTCTAAATTAAGCAAATAAAGACGTCAAGATTCATCTCTCACCATTCCTCCATCAGTGCTTACACTTGCCCAAGTTCCACCATCCTACCTTGTCACTTCTAGACTATCTTCAAATATCCTTCACTGGGTACCTGGCTTTGGCTCTAATGAGTTTGTTACTCCAGGCAGTTTTCCAAACAAAAAGGAATGGCTATTTACAATTCCTAGACTGAAATCATAAATATCATCAGCTGAATTACACTGAAATGTCAGTATTACTCTATGGAAGTCTTCATAAAGTGAGTGTGTGTCTTGGCTAGGTAAAAAGGATTTTAGTTATAAAAGTAGCAAAAGGATCTTATTGTAGGTAAGTCTAAACTCTTAGGTGGTCCTGCAGTGTATACTCTGAGGACAGCTTTACAGCAAGTTTCTGACACAGACCATTTAGACTGGGAGCCAGACAACATTTTTCTTCCCCAAATTATAAGAAATCAGTGGTATTTCAGTAAATTGCCCCTTTGTGAAGGAAATAACTTTAGGTAAATTTTCATACTGAATACTTTCTTATATAGATCATTTTGCCTTTTCCTCAAAAGTTCTATTACTTTAATCTAAAACAATATTCATGAGATAAGATACGTGTAGCAGTGTCTTCAAGCAATTGCCTTTTAATTCAAAGTACTCTATACTTTACAAAAATAATCAGTATATAAATAATTTTTTAAAAGATCAGAGATTTTTCCTAAAGCACATTAAATCTTTAAATACTGCATTCTAGCAAATGTGTGACAAGTACTAGTTTCTGAACCTCTGATATCCTGAAAGGGATGTGTTACACACAAGAACTGACTTTACAGCTCTGCCACAATGCCACACTGAATAGGCTGCTTTCGATTCCTCCAGACGACTGTACTGTCTGATGCCAAAATGTAGTTGAGCACTATCTTGCAAAGTTGGACACTGATATGCCTGAGAACCCCACAATTCCACCATTGAGGCATATGCCCTAGAGTAGAGCAGTGATTCTCAAAATATGGTCCTTGGACTAGCAGCATCAATATGACTTAGGAACTTGTTAGGAATACAAATTCTCCAGACCCACCCTAAACCTACTTAATCAGAAATCCGGGGCAGGAGCTGGGGGCAGCAATCTGTGTTTTAACAAGTTCTCTAGGCAATTCCGATGTAGACGAAAGCCTGAGACTCCCAGCTTTAAAGAAGTTCTTGTTTATTTACTTTGATACAAGAATGAGCAGCACTGTTTGCCCATGCTTGCGTGCACTCTCTCTCTCTCTCTCTCTCTCTCTCTCTCACACACACACACACACACACACACAGAGAAATGTCCACTGTCAGAATAGATTTAAAAATTGTATTAACACAATGAAGGACTTACTCTACAGCAGAGAAAAGCAGTGACAAACAGCTATATTTATAAGGCTAAATAAAACTTAGAACCATAACTTTGACTGAAAAAATAATTGTAGAGGTCTATTGTGCAATATTTTATAAAGGTCAAAGCCAAGTAACATTATTTAACAAAACATTTATGTGATAAAGCAATAAAGCTATTTCTAAAAAACAATGATACACCTTTAATTCTGTACAGTATTCCCTTTAAAGGAATCATGAATGTGGTAAGAAAGGATCATATTGGGAAACACAAATGTAGTGGTAACAATCTTACTCTAAATTGGGTGGTGAGTTCATAGCTGTTCACTGTATTCATATTATTTTTTATTAATATTTCTTTTGTACATATCAAATATTACATTACAACCTTTAAACCCAGAAAACAAAACAAAACAAAAACCCAAAAACTACAGCTAATAAATGAAAATAGCCATTACTTTAAATAGAAAATTAGAAACCACCTAAATATTATACATTATGTAAAATGTGATATGTTCATTCCATTAAAGATTTTTAAAGACATGATAAAGTATTTATGATAAAATAATGTAAAAAAGTCCAATAAAATGTTTGGAAGAAGATACAATAAAATGTTATCAGTTGCTATTACAGGAAGTTTTATTTCTTCTTTGTACGTTTAACATTTTCCTATAGTGAATAATAAATACTTTAAAAATCACTGAGGATATTTAAACTATAATTGAGATATTTAATGATTCTAAGTCATTAAAGAAAACTGCCAAATCTGTTGGAATCAGGGGATATTGGTGTTTTGTAGAAATCTGGTTGTGATTTATGAGGCTTTATAATTCAAAGTTTTCTATTTTCTGCCATAAAGTCATACATCTTTATTATTGTGATTCCTGACAAAATAATTTCAGTTTATTTGTGTGAGGAAAACATGACTGAGGAAACCATGACCTAAAGAGGACTTCAATTAAAAAAAAACCTGAAAATAGCTTCAATTAAACAACTGAAAAGAACAAAAGTAAAAAAAAAAATTCATCTATTATTGACTAGCTTTAAAAAACACAGAAGAAAGGTATATACTGAGTCTGCCTTATAGCTCTATGTACTGTCATAGTGAGAAAGGATCACAAAGATTAAGGTTCAAAAGCCAGATATTAGTTACACACCTCTTTTTCCAGTATTCTAGTGATCTCTCCTAGGGTCCGATCCAAAGCAGACACTTTATTGTTTGCCCATGAGCCACTGTCTTGAACTTGTACTTGTTTTAGAAGATCTTTGGCTAATCGCTGAAGCCTTTAATACCAAATGAAAGGAAAGAATGACATTAATGAAACAGACTATAATCTTCATTTCCCAAAACACTTTGAAACACAAGTTACTTTCAGTATTGGATTTGAAAATGCTTCACAGAGCATCTGAGGGGAGAAAAAACCAGACAACCAATAAAGCTAGTGTTATTTTATATTCATGACCACCAATTCATTCTTCATGGCACAAAACAGAACTAGAGGATAGTATTATCAATCTACAGGATTAGCTAGAGCAATTGATGCCTTTAGTTTCTGTATGATTCTTAAATTAGAACAGAATTAGGAAGGGGGAGAAGGCCAGAGGATGAGAGCAGAGAAAATGAGTATAAGAACCTGAGCAGGTTTTTATATTTTGATTTAAATCTTCGAATATTATTAGCTTTATAAACTCTCAGAATGTTGAACTTCCAAATGTTTGTTTACAGGCAGTTTGGGGATAGTCTGCTACTGCTCATATCATTTACTTAGACGACAGAACATTTATTTAGTTTTCACCAAGAAATACCACATTATACCTAGACTGTAAGAGTCTTCATTCAGATCACTGTGTGCATTACTTCTTTGTGGCCCCTACCTGGTACCTCACTCTTGGAGCAACCCTCCTCTGCTTTCCACTTATTTACTTGAGAATCCACTAATAGATGCTCACCAGATCTCCCCACTTTTCCCCTATATATCATCCCCGTTGCCTTAAATTTTTATCTGTGGTAGATTCCACAGTACATCATTATAATCATTTTCTTGCAAATGTCCTACATTTCCTCTCTGTTGTTCTGTTTTTTACTCTTCTTAGACAAACCCCAGCCGTGGTAATAATGTTTGTTTAGCTCTTACTATGGGCTAGGCACCATTCTCAATGTCTTGCATGCATTAATTTCTTTAGCTGGATTAATGAAAACAACTGGCAGACTTTTCCATTTCTGAACCTGGCAGGGGTGGGGGTGTGGGGGGAGTCAGACCATGCAAAATACTGGTAGGACTACTGATTCAAGATCTTATTAAATCTCCCTAGGGTGTTCATTCTCCCACTATCCACAAAGGTTTGCTTCATACATTCCCCACTCTCTTCAAAAGTCCACCCTTTCCTTTCTCTCTTTTGCTTTCATAAGATGATCCTACATTTCAAAGAGAAAACAGAAGTTATTGGAACAAGAAAATTTTCACTTTCGGCCATAAAATCTACAAGCTTATCTGCATTTCACTCATCTTCTTCTCTGTTCCTCTTATTACAGTCATTCCTTCCAGACAGGACTAATTTCACCACACAGGATGTATGCATGAGTTCTTTCTGGATCTCAAGCTCTCTCTTCTTCCTGTCTCAGGTCTTTCTGCAATGTTCTTCATCTTTTCCTTCTGAAATGCTTCCTCCACTCCCACATTACCTAGAACATTACTATTTATCCCTCAGCTCTTAGCACAAACATTACTTTCTCTGATTTGACTATTTCTTCAAAGCACTCATCATAAGAGAATTAAAAATACTTACTGAACTAACTGTTTAATGTGTGCTTCTCCTATGCAAAGCTTTACAAGGGAATTTCCTGAAGTGATAGAAATATTCTGTGTTTTTACTGTCCAACATGGTGGCTAGAAGCTATTGTATTGAACAGTGCAGAAGCAGAGTATTAACTTCATGAGCGAGGTGCTCGTCTATCTGCTCACTGCTTTATCCTTATCATGTAACATGCTACTTTTACATAAGTACACTCATTAGATATTTAATAAATTCATGTCCTACAGAGAAAACTTCTTCTTTACATTAATTTTAACAATATCCAGACCAAGGATGGTGGTTCATGCTTGTAATCCCAGCACTTTGGGAGGGCAAGGCAGGAGGTTCACTTGAAGCCAGGAATCTGAGATCAGCCTGGGTAACAAGGCAAGACCCAGTTTCTACAAAAAATAAGAAACTATTAGCTGGCAATGGTGGCGTGCACCTGTAGTCCTAGCTACTCAGGAGGTTGAGGTGCGAGGACTGCTTAAGCTCCAGAGTTCCAGACTGCAGTGAGCTTACAACACTGCGCTTCAGCCCGGGCAACAGAGTGAGACCTTCATCTCTAAAAAGAAAAAAACCCAATAACTTCATAGGTTACAAAATACTTTCATGTACATGATCTTATTTAATCCTCTCAACAACACTGTCAATAAGTATTATCCCTATTTGAAAAACGCAAAAACTGATGCAGAGCAAGATAGCCAAATAGAAGCCTTCACAGATGTCCTCCATACAGGAACACCAAATTGAACAACTATCCACATAAAAAAGTACCTTAATAAGAACCGAAAGTTGTGTGAATCACCACAGTACCTGATTTTAACTTCGTATCACTGAAAAAGGCACTGAAGAGACAGGAAAGACAGTCTTGAAATGCTGATGCCACCCCTCCCTCCTACCCTGGCAGCCACCCTGTGGTGCAGACAGAGAGTCTATGCACTTGGGAGACAGGAAGCACAGTGGCAGTGAGACTTTGCCTTGGAAATCAGTGCTAGCCTGTTACAGTGGAAAGCAACAGGACACAATTCAGCTGGCCCCCACAGAGAGAGCATTTATACCAACCTTAGAAAGCGGGGAATCGCCCATCCTAGCACTCGGAACCTGAGTTGCAGGTTAAAGTGTTCTGGGGACCTAAATAAACTTGAAAGGAGGTTTAAGCCACAAGAACTGCAATTCCTGGGCAAGTCCTGGTGTTGTGCTGGGCTCGGAGCCAGTGAACTTGGGAAGAATGTGACCTATGAGACCAGCCAGGGCAGCCAAGGGAGTGTTTGCACCACCCCTCTCTCAACCCCAGGCAGCTCACAACTCTGGTACAGACTCCGTCCCTATGCTTGAGGAGAGGGGAGGGAAGACTAAAGAGGACTCTGTGCCAGGCACAGTGGCTCATACCTATAATCCCAGTGCTTTGGGAGGCTGAGGCAAGCGGATTGCTTGGGCCCAGAAGTTCAAGACCAGCCTGGGCAACATGGTGAAAGCCCGTCTCTAGCAAAAAATACAAAAATTAGCTGGGTGTGGTGGCACACACTTGTAGTCCCACCTACTCAGGAGGCTGAGGAGGCAGGATCAA
This sequence comes from Homo sapiens, assembly GCF_000001405.40. Lineage (NCBI taxonomy): Eukaryota > Metazoa > Chordata > Mammalia > Primates > Hominidae > Homo > Homo sapiens. The sequence goes on from NC_000015.10 coordinate 76,577,364, forward strand.
TTGAGTCTCAAAGATCAAGGCTGCAGTGAGCTATGATCATGCCACTGCGCTCTAGCCTGGGTGAAAAAGCAATACCCTGTTTCAAAAAGAAGAAGAAGAAGGAGAAAAAAAGAGGACTTTGTCTTGCAACTTGGAAACCAGCTCAGCCATAGTAGGACGGAATAACTGGGCAGAATCCTGAGGCTCCCATTCCAGGCCCTAGCTCCTGGATGGTATTTTTAGACATATCCTGGGCAAAAAGGGAATGGGCTACCTTAAAGGGAAAGACCCAGTCCTGGAAGGATTTGTCATCTGCTGACAAAAGACTCCTTGGGCCCTCACGAGTTAGCAGTGGTAGCCAGGAAGCACTCGCCAAGGGCCTTGAGTGAGACTCAGAGACATGATGGCTTCAGATGGGATACAGCCCATTCCCAGCTGTGGTGGCTACGGGGAGAGACTCCTTCTGCTTGAGAAAAGGGGAGGGAAGAGTACGGGAACTTTGTTTTGCAGCTTAGGTATCAGCTTGACCACAGTAGGGCAGAGCAACAAGAGGGTTCTTGAGGTCCCTGATTCCAGGCCTTGGCTCTTGGATGGTATTTCTGCACCTGAACTGGGCCACAGGGAAGCCACTGTCCTGAATGGAAGGCCCAGGCCAGGCAGCATACACCACAAACTGAATGAAGAGCCCTTGGGCCTTGAGTGAACACTGACAGTAGCCAGGCAGTACTCACCATAGGCCTGGGGTGGTGGTGGCCACAGGAAGAGACTCCTATGACTATAGAAAGGGGAGGGAAGAGTGGTAAGGACTTTGTCTTGTGGTTTGGGTGTCAGCTCAACCACAGTAGAACACAGCACCAGGTTGATTCCTAAGGTTTCTGACTCTAGGCCCTGGCTCCTGGATGGCATATCTGGACCTGCTCGGGCCAGGCAGAACTTGCTGCACTGAACGGAAATACATAAGCCTGGCGGGTTTTGCTACCTGCTGATTGCTGAGCCCTAGGGGGACTTGAGCAAACAAAGGTGGTAGCCAGGCAGTGGTTACTGTGCGCCTTGGGCGAGACACAGTAATCTGTGCTTCAGGTCTGACCTAGCACAGGCCCAGTGGTGGGGGCTACAGGGGTGCTTGTGTCAACCCTCATCCAGCTGCAAGCAGCTCAGCACAGAGAGAGAGAGACTCCATTTGTTTGGGAGAAAATAAGGGAAGAGAACAAGAATTTCTGCCTGGTTGTCCAGCAAATTCTTCTGGATCTTATCCAAGACCACCAAGGCAGTACCTCTACGAGTCTATAAGAGCCATAGTGTTACTGGGCTTGGGGTTCCCCCAAATGCAGATATAACTGCAGTGGCCAATAGCTTAGGTTTCAACACCCAAGTCCCTTTGGATACCTGGAAAACATTCCCAAGAAGGATGGGTACAAACAAGCCTACACCATGAAGACTACAATAAATACCTAACTCTTCAATCCCTAGACACCTACAAACACCCAATATGACCTCACCTAATGAACTAAATAAGACACCAGGGACCAATCCTGGAGAAACAGAGATAAGTGACTCTTTCAGGCAGAGAATTCGAAATAGTTGTTTTGATGAAACTCAAATTCAAGATAACACAGAGAAGGAATTCAGAATTCTATCAGATACATTTAGCGAAGAGATAAAAATAATTTAAAATAATCTTTGGGAGGCTGAGGCGGGCAGATCACAAGGACAGGAGATCGAGACAATCCTGGCTAACACGGTGAAACCCTGCCTTGACTAAAAATACAAAAAATTAGCTGGGCATGGTGGCGGGTGCCTGTAATCCCAGCTACTCAGGAGGCTGAGGCAGGAGAATGGCATGAACCTGGGAGGCGGAGCTTGCAGTGAGCTGAGATGGTGCCACTGCACTCCAGCCTGGGTGACAGAGCGAGACTCTGTCTCAAAAAAAAAAAAAAAAAAAAAAAATAGTAACTACAACAACAATGTTTTAAGACATAGTACAAGAAGATATGAATAGAAACAACAAAAAGTGAAAAAGCAGAGGGATGAAGTTAAAATGTAAAGTTTTTATTAGTTTTTTCTTTGCTTGTTTGTTATTTAGTTTTTTTATGCAAGTAGTGTTAAGTTGTCATCAGTTTAAAATAATGGGTTATAAAATATCAATTGCAAGCTTCGTGGTAAACTCAAACCAAAAACCACACAAAAGATTCATAAAAAAAAAAATAAAAAGCAAGAAATGAAAACACATTGCTAAAGAAAAATCACCTTCACTATGAGAAAGAGAGAAAGGAAGAAAAGAAGGAAAAGACCACAAAATAACCAGAAAACAAATAACAAATAAGTCCTTACTTATCAATAACTGGATGTAAATGGAATAAGCTCTCCAATCAAAAGGCATGTAATGGCCGAATGGATTAAAACAAGAAGATCCAACTATTTGTTGCCTACAAGAAACAAATTTCTCCTATAAAGACACACAGACTGAAAATAAAGGGATGGAAAAAGATATTACATGAAAATGGAAACCAAACAAGAGTACAAGTAGCTATACTTATGTCAGAAAAAATACATTTCAAGACAAAACTATAAAGAGAAACAAAGAATGTCATTATACAATAATAAAAGGGTCAATTCAGTAAAACAATATAATAATTATAAATATATATGCACCAAATATTGGAGCACACAGATATGTAAAGCAAATATTATTAGAACTAAAGAGAGAGACAGACCCCAATACAGTAACACCTGGAGACTTCAGCACCCCACTTTTAGCACTGGACAGATCATCCAGACAGAATATCAACAAAGAAACACTGGATTTAATCTACACCATAGACTAAATGAACCTACTAGATATTTACAGAACATTTCATCCAATGGCTGAAGAATACACATTCTTCTCCTTAGCACATGGATCATTCTCATGGACAGTCCAAGTGTTAGACCACAAAATAAGTCTTAAAAAATTCAAAAACCTGAAATTGTATCAATAGTCTTCTCTGACAAAACTAGAATAAAACTAGAAATCAATAAGAGGAATTTTGGAAACTATACGAACACATGGAAATTAAACCACATGGTCCTGAATGACCAGTGGGTTAATGAAGAAGTTGAGAAAAAAATTAATACTTTTCTTGAAACAGCTGTCTGTGTGTGGTGGCTCATGCCTGTAATCCTAGCACTTTGGGAGGCTAAGATAGAAGGCCCCCTTGAAGCCAGGAGCTTGAGGCTAGCCTGGACAGGAAAGCAAGACCCCATCTCCACACATAAAAAAAAATCTTGAAAATATTATAATGGAAACATAACATAACAAGACCTATCAGATACAGTGAAAGCAGTACTAAGAGGAAAGTTTGTACCTATAAGCATTTATATCAAAGAAGTAGAAAAACTTCAAATAAAAAACCTATAGCTACATCTTAAAGAACGAGAAAAGCAAGAGCAATCCAAACCCCAAATTAGAAGAAAAGAAATTATAAAGATCAGAGCAGAAATGAATGAAATTGAAAGAAAATAATACAAAAGATCAGTGAATTGAGAAGTTGGTTTTTTGAAAAGATAAACAAAATCAACAAACCTTTAGTCAGACTAAGAAGAAAAGGACCCAAACAAATAAAATCAGAGATGAAAAAGGAGACATTATAACCAATACCACAGAAATTCAAAGGATCATTAGAGGCTACCATGAGCAACTATATGCCAATAAATTGGAAAGCCTAGAAGAAATAAGTAAATTCCTACACATATACAACCTACCAAGGCTGAACTACGAAGAAATCCAAAATCTGATGAGACCAGTAAACAACTAATGAGATTGAAGCCATAATAAAAAGTCTCCCAACAACAACAACAAAAAAAAGTCCAGGACCTGATGGCTTCACTACTGAGTTTAACCAGATATTTAAAGAAGTAATATCAATCTTATCAATCTTACTCAAACTATTCTAAAAAGTGGAGGAGAAGGGAATATTTTCAAACTCATTCTAGGAGGTTAGTATTATCCTGATACCAAAACCAGACAAAGCACAAAAAGAAAACAATAGGTCAATATCCCTGATGAACACTGATATAAAAATCCTCAACAAAATACAAGCAAATGGAATTCAACAACACATTAAAAAGATCATTCATTGTGACCAAATGAGATTTATCCCAGGGATGCAAGGATGGTTCAACATACGCAAAGCAAACGATGTGATACATCATATCAACAGAATGAAGGACAAAAACGATATAATCATTTCAATTGATGCTGAAAAAGCATTTATTTTTGTTTGGAGACAGAGTCTCGCTCTGTTGCCCAGGCTGGAGTGCAGTGGTGTGATCTCAGCTCACTGCAACCTCTGCCTCCCAAGTTCAAGCCATTCTTGTGCCTCACCTCCTGACTAGCTGGAACTACAGGCTCACACCACCATGCCTGGCTAATTTTTTGTATTTTAGTAGATAAGGGGTTTCACCATGTTGCCCAGGCTGGTCTCGAACTCCTGAGCTCAGGCAATCTGCCAGCCACAGCCTCCCAACATGCCAGGATTACAGGTGTGAGCCACCATGCCTGGCCTGAAAAAGCATTTGATAAAATTCAACATTCATTCATGATAAAAACCCTCAAAAAACTGTGTATAGAAGGAACATACCTCAACACAATAAAAAACATATATGACAGACACAGAGCTAGTATACTGAACAGAGAAATGCTAAAAGCCTTTCCTCTAAGAACTGAAACAAAACAAGGATGCCCACTTTCACTGTTATTTAACATAGTACTGGAAGTCCTACCTAGACCAATTGGACAAGAGAAAGAAATGAAGGGCATCCAAATTGAAAAATAAAAAGTCAAATTATCCTTCTTTGCAGATGATATGATCTCATGTTTGGAAAACCTAAAGACTCCACCAAAAAACTATTAGAACTAATAAACAAATTTAGTAAAACTGTAGGATATAAAATCAACATATGAAAATCATTAGCATTTCTACATCCTGACAGCAAACAATCTGAAAAAGTCAAGAAACTAATCATATTTACAATAGCTTCAAATAAAATGAAATACCTAGAAATTAACCAAAGAAATAAATGATCTCTACAATGAAAACTATACAACACTGATGTAAGAAACTGAAGAAGACACATGAAAAGGCATTCCATGTTGATAGAATGAAAGAATATTGTTAAAATGTCTATATTATATGAAGTAATCTACAGTTTCAATGCAATCTATCAAAATACTAACGAAATAAGTATTTTTCTATTTCACGGAAATTGAAAAAGCAATCTTAAAACTTATATAAAAGTACAGAAGACGCAAAATAGCCAAAGCTATTCTGAGCAAAAAGAACGAAACAGAAGGAATCACACTATCTGACCTCAAAGTATACTACAAAGCTATAGTAACCAAAACAGCATGGTACTTACATAAAGACAGACACATAGTCCAGTGGAATACAATAGAGAATCTAGAAACAAATCCTTACATCTACAGAGAACTCATTTTTGACAATGTCACCAAGAATATACATTGAGGAAAAAACAGTCTCAAGACAGTCTCTTCAATAAATGGTGCCGAGAGAACTGGATATCCATACTCAAAAGAATGAAACTGGTTCCCTATCTCTTGTCATATACAAAAGTCAAATCAAAGAGAATTAAAGACTTAAATCTAAGACCTCAAACTATGAAACTACTACAAGAAGACACTAAAGAAACTCTCCAGTACATTGGACTGAGCAAAAATTTCCTGAGTGTAGGCCAGGTGCAGTGACTCATAACTGTAATCCCAGCACTTTGGGAGGCTAAGGTGGGCGGATCACGAGGTCAGGAGTTTGAGACCAGCCTGGCCAACATAGTGAAACCCTGTCCCTACTAAAAATTAAAAAATTAGCCAGACATGGTGGCACATGCCTCTAGTCCCAGCTACTCGGGAGGCTGAGGCAGGAGAATTGCTTGAACCCGGAAGGCAGAGGTTGTGGTGAGTCGAGATTGAGCCACTGCACTCCAGCCTGAGCAACAGAGTGAGACTCCATCTCAAAAAAAAAAAAAAAAAACTTGAGTGTAATCCCATAAGCATGGATAACCAAAGCAAAAAATGGACAAATGGGATCACATCAAGTTAAAAATCTTCTGCATAGCAGAGGAACGAATCAATAAAGTGAAGAAACAACCCACAGAATGGGAGAAAATATTTACAAACTATCCATCTGACAAAGGTGTAACAACCAGAATATATAAGAGCTGAAAGAGCTCTGTAGGAAAAATATCTGATAATCTAATTAAAAAATGGGCAAAAGATCTGAATAGACATTTCTCAAGAGAAGACATACAAATGGCACACAGGTATATGAAAAGGTGCTCAACATCATTGATAACAGAAAAATGCAAATCAAAACTACAATGAGATATCATCTCACTCCAGTTAAAATGGCTTTTACCCAAAAGGCAATAACAAATGCTGGTGAGGATGTGGAGAAAAGGAAACCCTCATGCACTGTTGGTGGGAATGTATTATAAATTAGTAAAACCACTATGAAGAACAGTTTGGAGGTTTCTCAAAAAACTAGAAACAGAGCTACCATATGATCTAGCAATCCCACTGGTGGGTATATACCCAAAAGAAAAATCAGTATATTGAAGAGGTATCTGTTCTCCCATGTTTATTGCAGCACTATTCATAATAGCCAAGATTTGGAAGCAACCTAAATGTCCATCAAGAGATAAACAGATAAAAAAAATGTAGTATATGTACAGAATGGAATATATCACCAATAAAAAGGAATGAGATCTTGTCATTTGCAACAACACAGGTGGAACTGGAGGTCATTATGTTAAGTGAAATAAACCAGGTGAAATAAGACAAACTTTCCTTGTTTTCACTTATGTTTGGGAGCTAAAAATTAAAACAACTGAATTCATGGAGATAGAGAGTAGATCGATGGTTACCAGAGGCTGGTAAGGGTAGTGGGGAAGTGTGTGTCATTAATAAGTACAAACATATAGTTAGATAGAATGAATAAGACCTAGCATTTGATACCATAACAGAATGACTACAGTCAACAATTTATTGTACATTTTTAAATAACAGAGTATAATTGGATAGTTTGTGACATTAAGAGAGGATAAATGCTTCAGGTGGTGGACATCCCATTTACCCTGATGTGATTATTATGCATTATATACCTGTATCAAAATATATCATGTACCCATAAACATATACACCTACTGTGTGCCCACAAAAATTAAATATAAAAAAATGCAAAATCTAAGGCTCAAGAAAGTTATGTGATCTTCCCAAGGTCACACAGTTGGTAAAATGTACTATGGAACTTGAAACCTAAGCCTTTAATCTTCAAATCTTATGCTTTTGCGTTCTTACCGTATTAGTCAATTTAATTTTTACTTATTTATTTATTTGTAAAAGACAGGGTCTTGCTATGTTGCCCACACTGTTCTTGAACTCCTGGGCTCAAGTGATCCTCCTGCCTCAGCCTCCCAAAGTGCTGGAATTACAGATGTGAGCCCACCATGTCCAGCCTCAATTTAAATAAGAAAGTTCTATTCACAAAAGACTATATTCCCAGAATACAATTTCATCTAAAAATTTATGTAAACGTTAAAATTTTTCAAAGAATACAACAACAAATGCCACTCAAAAAGGCACTGGTGAACTTCAGTTTAAGCCTCAGCTATTTACATGAAGCTTACTTTGATAAGTCAAAGAACAGAAATAGAAACTCTAAAATCAAAAGTACCTATACTTGAATTCTGGCTCCAGCACACACCATGTGTATAAACCCTGGGGAGGTTATTTAACTTCTCTGAATCTCAGTTTCTTCATCTTAAAAGTCAGGATAATATATATTTCTTTTCAGAGCTTTGGGAGGTTAGAAATGATTACTATAATAATCCTGACACCACACACTAAAGTAGACATTCAATAAATGGTCGACTATTATTACTGTTCACTGATAGTATGTCTCAATCTAACAAATGGAAAAAGAGAATATTAAAAATAAAAAAAAAAGTTGAGTAATGGCAGCATACTTCTTTTACCTTCCAATCAAATATGGGCTAGAGTCACATCCAATTAAAGTTACTGACCTTATGTGGAAGATTATTGGCAGTGAACTTCACTGTGTGATAGGTAAGTAGCCACTTCAGCTTTTGGCTAATGTCTGCATACCATGTAACTAAATATGCAGCCATAGCAACAGATATATATGAATCTAGCACTATTCTTAACAAGAATGCTGACATTTGACTGAAAATCAGCAGTACTGAGGGAGGCACAAGGACCATTTTAATTCACAGAATACAAGAGGCTTGTATTTCACCCTGAGGTAAATCAATTCTGAACCTATCCTTCAAGAAAGAATGCCAAATCAAGGGGATGCTTTGGTAATTTGAGCTACACCCCTGTCTCATTCCCTGCCTTCACAGAAGTACAACAAATAAAATAGCCCCTGTAAAGAAAAAAGCACTAGATTTTAATTCATACTATAAATAATTATAGAATGTCAGAGAAGTCAAGCTCTGAGAGCTATATTTTCCTCACAGTGCAAAAACAGGAGCTGCTTAGAGAGTGTAGTTTTTAACAACAGAAAGTTTTATTTGGATTCCTTCTGGCAGATAATTTTTCTAGCATGAAAAGAAGAAGTGAAGGCATTGTATCTCCCAACCTAGGAATATGAGAAGTATCTGTCAGGTAAATGGTTTTGTGAATAATGCTGTAAGATCAATATTTTCTTCTTAAAACTGGAACAAATTTCAGCAACTCTAAGCTCAAGTCTGTCATTGGTAAATATGAAATGTAAAAGTATCTCTCCCAGAATTCCTAACTTTTATCATAGTTAAGTTTGCATGGGGTGGTGGGGTGGTCCACTAGGATCATTTAGAAGATTTGTAAAAGTGTAAAAAAAGATACTTGGTCCATTTAGGAACTAAGATTGTTCTTTAGCATAATGGATAGGAAGACATAAATTAATTAACCTTTCATATCCTCTATTTGGAAGGTACATGGTCTAAATTTAGAGCTATTTTGAGACATTCATATCTGGAATTAATTAAATAAATTTAGGGCTTTATTTAGACATTCAGATCAGGAATTAGCCATTTCCCCAAGAAGCTCTTGTTTCTTTTACTGAGAAAAGATATTTCAAACCCCAAATCAGTGAGCACTAGAGATGCTCTTTGCTACTGAGTTGGGCATTCTTTTCATGCCTCTTCAATGAACAGAGCTAGAAAATAAATAAATGAATGTATATACATATGCATACATATATATGTGTGTATAAATGTGTGTGTGTATATTACATATACAGTTATCCTTGGTATCCGTTTGGGGATGGTTTCACTATCCCCAGATGGATACCAAAATCAGATGCTCAAGTCTACTAAATATCAGGGATATTGGTCTCTTCATCAGGGATATTTGTCTGTAGTTTTCTTTTTTTTTTATGTTCTTTCCTGGTTTTGGTATTAGGGTGATACTGGCTTCATAGAATGATTTAGGGAGGATTCCCTCTTTCTCTATCTCGTGGAATAGTGTCAGTAGAATTGGTACCAATTCTTCTTTGAATGCCTGATAGAATTCAGCTGTGAAACTGTCTGGTCCTGGATTTTTTTTTGTTGTTGTTGATAATTTTTAAATTATCATTAAATCTCACTGCTTGTTATTGGTCTGTTCAGGCTTCCTAATTCTTCCTGATTTAAGCTAGGAGGGTTGTATCTTTTCAGAAATTTATCCATCTCCTCTAGGTTTTCTAGTTTATGAACGTAAAGGTGTTCATAGTACCCTTGAATGATCTTTTGTATTTCTGTGGTGTCAGTTGTAATATCTCCCGTTTTATAATTGAGCTTATTTGGATCTTCCCAATCAATAGAATGGTCTGTTGATTTTATTTATCTTTTCAAAGAATCAGCTTTTTGTTTCATTTATCTGTTGTATTTATTTTTTGGTTTCTATTTCATTTAGTTCTGCTCTGATCTTGGTTATTTCTTTTCTTCTGCTGGGTTTGGGTTTGGTTTGTTCTTGTTTCTCTAGTTCATTGAGGTGTGATCTTAGATTGTCTATTTGTGCTCTTTCAGACTTTTTGATGAAGGCATTTAAGACTATGAACAACTTTCCTCTTTGCTGTATCCCAGAGATTTTGATAGGCTGTGTCACTGTTATTGTTCAGTTCAAAGAATATTTAAATTTCCATCTTGATTTCATTGTTGACCCAATGATCATTCAGGAGCAGGTTATTTAATTTCCATGTATTTGCATGGTTTTGAAAATTCCTTTTGGAGTTGATATCCAATTTTATTCCACTGTGGTCTGACAGAGTACATGATATAATTTCAGTTTTCTTAAATTTATTGAGACTTGTTTTGTGGCCTATCATATGGTCTACATTGGATAAATTTCCATACAACTGATTAATAGAATGTATATTCTGTGGCTGTTGGGTAGAAATATCTGTTAAGTCCCTTTGTTCTAGGATATAGTTTAAATACATGGTTTCCTTGTTGACTTTCTGTCTTGATGACCTGCCTAGTGCTGTCAGTGGAGTACTGAAGTCCCCCACTATTACTGTGCTACTGTCTTTCTCATTTCTTTTTCTTTTCTTTTTTTTTTTTTAAGACAGAGTCTTGCTCTGTCGCCCAGGCTGCAGTGCAGTGGCACAATCTCAGCTCACTGCAAGCTCTGCCTCCCAGGTTCACACCATTCTCCTGCCTCAGCCTCCCGAGTAGCTGGGACTACAAGCGCCCACCACCATGCCTGGCTAATTTTTTGTATTTTTTAGTAGAGACGGGGTTTCACCGTGTTAGCCAGAATGGTCTTGATCTCCTGACCTCGTGATCTGCCTGCCTCAGCCTCCCAAAGTGCTGGGATTACAGGCGTGAGCCACCGCGCCCGGCCCTGTCTCTCTTATTTCTTAGGTAGCAGTAGTTGTTTTATAAATTTGGGAGCTCCAGTGTTAGGTGCATATATGTTTAGGATTGTGATATTTTCCTGTTGTACAACATCTTTCATCATTATATAATGTCCCTCTTTGTCTTTTTCAATCGCTGTTGCTTTGAAGTTTGCTTTGTCTGATATAAGAATAGCTACTCCTATTCGCTTTTGGTTTCCATTTGCATGGAATGTCTTTTTCTACCCCTTTACCTTAAGTTTATGTGAGTCCTTATGAGTTAGGTGAGTCTCTTGAAGTCAGCAGACGCTTGGTTAGTGAATTCTTACCCATTCTGCAATTCTGTATCTTTTGAGTGGAGCATTTAGGCCATTTACATTCAACGTGAGTATTGAGATGTGAGGTACTATCCCATTTGTTGTGCTGTTGGTTGCCTGTATAACTTGTTTGTCTTTAAATTGTATTTTTGTTTTATAGGTCCTGTGAGATTTACGCTTTAAAGAGGTTCTATTTTGATGTGTTTCTAGGATTTGCTTCAAGATTTAGAACTCCTTGGCCAGGTGTGGTGGCTAGTGTGATTTTTGGGGGGGGTGTTAAAGAACCTTGTTTTGCCATATTACCAGAATTGTTTTTCTGGTTCTTTTTCATTTGGGTAGGCTATGTCAGAGGGAAGATCTGGCACTCAAGGCTGCTGTTCAGATTCTTTTGTCCCATGGGCTGTTCCCTTGATGTAGTACTCTCCACCTTTTCCTAGGGATGTGGCTTCCCGAGAGCTGAACTGTAGTGATTGTTCTCTTCTGGATCTAGCCACACAGCAGGACTACCAGGCTCCAGGCTGGTACTGGGGGGTATCTGCACAGATATCTCTAATGTGAACTGTCTTCAGGTCTCCCAGCTGTGGAGATGGCAAGGGAATGAAATGGACTCTGTGAGGGTCCTTAGTTGCAGTCGTTTAATACACTAGTTTTGTGTTGTTTGGTCTCCTGCCAGGAGGTGGCATTTTCAAGAGAGGATCAGCTGTAGTAGTATAAGGGAGGATCTGGCGGTGGGTGGGGCCCAAGAACAGCTAACAGAATATGACCTTTGTCTTCAGCTACCAGGGTGGGTAGTGAAGAACCATCAGGTGAGGGCAGGGTTAGGCATGTCTAAGCTCAGATTCTCCTTGGGTGGGGCTTGCTGCGGCAATGGAGTTATGTTCCCAGGAGGATTATGGCTGCCTCTGCTGTGTCATACATGTTGTCAGGGAAGTGGGGAAAAGCTGACAGCCACAAGCCTTCCCCGGCTCCCATGCAACCCAAAAGGCTGGTGTCACTCCCACTGTGCCCCCTGCAACAGCACTAAGTTTGTTTCCAGGCAGTGGGCAAGCTCAGCTGAGAACATGCCCCAGGCTACCAGCCTCCCAGCTGAGAAAGCAAGGAGGGCTTTCACACCTCCTTGCCTGTTGAGTCTGCACACTGGATTCATGCTCTCCCTCAAGTTCTGGCCAGGAGACTTCGCGTTTGGTTGGAATTGTTACAAAGTTCTGCTGGAGGTTTCCTTCTCCCTGTGGTCTTTTCCCAGTTCCTCTGGCAGCCCTCTGGAAGGACCCCTGTGAGACAAGTCAAAAATGGCTTCCCTGGGGATGCAGAGAGCCCACAGGGTTTCTGCCGTGGCCTCCTCTACCCCTGTATTTCATGCTGCTCTCTAAATTGACTCAGCTCCAGGTAAGGTCAAATCCTTCTTCCACGATCTGGAACTTCAGGTTCCCCTGTGTGTGTTTGGGGGTGGACCATCCTCCTTTCCCACTTTCACAATTTGGGCACTCACAGTATTTGGACTGTCTCCCAGTGGATCGTAGGAGCAATCCACTTCCTTCAGAGGGTCTGTGGATTCTCTCGGCTTTGCTGGTATATTCCTGCAGTAGTTCTTGGAGCAAAAGTTCAACAGTGCAAGTCTCCACACACACTGCTCTGTCTGTCCAAGTGGGAACTGCAATTTAGTCCCGCCTCCTATCTGCCATTTTCGAGTGTGACTAGATAGAATGTTATAAGTTGGAAATGGAGGCTTGGATGAAAATTAAGTCTGATTTTTAACTCATGAACTAAAATACAAGTTTATATATTTGAATAAGCAGCCTATGAAAACATGGAAAATGTATTTTTTTCAATAGCATCCTATTTAAGGGAAAGAGAATGTCATAACTGTTGGCAGAGTGTAAATACACTATAAAAAATTACAAGGTTCTATTAAAATCAGAATGCACATAGACTTTGGCCCAAAAAATTTCATTTCTAAGCAAGACTGGGTACATAATTTGCATGGCTATTATTAAAAAGACAAAAAAACAGATGTTGATGGGGATGCAGAAAAAAGGGAATGCCTATATAATGTTGGTGGGAATGTAAATTAGCACAACCTCTATGGAAAACAGAATGAATATTTCTCAAAGAACTACAAATGGAACTGCCATTTGATCCAGCAATCCCACTACTGGATGTCTACCCCAAGGAAAAGAAATCATTTTATCAAAAAGATACCTGCACTTGTATGTTTATCACAGTTTATTCGATATAGGAAAGATATGGAATCAACCTAAGTGTCCATCAACAGATGACTGGATAAAGAAAATGTGATACATACACACAAGGAAATACTATTCAGTCATTTAAAAAATGAAATCATGTATGTTTGCAGCAACATGAGTGGAACTGAAGGCCATTATTTTAAGTGAAATAATTCAGAAACAGACAAATACTGCATCTTCTTTCTTCTAAGTGGGAGCTAAATAATGTGTACACATGGACATAGAGTGTGGACTGATAAACAATGAAGACTCATAACTGCAGGCGAGGTGGTGAATGATGAGAATGACTTAATGGGTATAATGTACATTTTATCAGTGATGGATACACTAAAAGCCCAGACTACACCACTATGAAATATATCTTTGTAACAAAGTTGCACTTGTACCTCAACCCTTAAATTTATACAAATTAAAAAAAAGAAAAAGAAAAATGCAGGGTCCTTCATTCAAATGTATTAACAATTTCAAGACAGCAATAGTCGACTTAAACCAGGGTGGAACCCTTCCGAGTGCAGGCTGCACGCCCAGGAGGACAGTTTGGTTTTCTGCCCTGCAAAATTACATATATACAATGTCATATAAATAAAGTTCTTGTCTGTGGCAATAACAAAAACAATGGAAAGGGGAAAAATATATGTGGACAACAATAGAGTAATTCTTGAATATATTACAGAATATTCTTTTAATATATCTACATATTTTTGAGACAGGGTCTCGCTCTGTTGCCCAGGTTGGAGTGCAGAGGTGCAATCATGGCTCACTACAGCCTCAACCTCTTGGGCTCAAGTGAGTCTCCCACCTCAGCTTTCTGAGTAGCTGGGATTACTGGCACATGTCACCATGTCTGGCTACTTTTTGCATTTTTTTTGTAGAATACTCAAACAATAGAATACTATGTATCACTACTAAAGTAAAAAAGTACACAAAATATTAACAGTAAAAAGCAAGTTGCCAATCAAAATATATATATAAGTTTCTACAAAGAAAGATTAAAAATATAGGCTGGGCCGCAGTGGCACATGCCCATAATCCCAGTACTTTGGGAGGCCAAAGTGGGTGGATTGCTTTACCTCAGCAGTTTGAGACCAGCCTGGGCAACATGGCAAAACCCCATATCTACAAAAAATACAAAAATTATCCAGACAGGGTGGCGCATGCCTGTAGTCCCAGCTACTTGGGGGGCTGAGGTGGGCAGACTGCCTGAGCCTGGTAGGCTGAGGCTGCAGTGAGCTGATATTGCACCATTGCACACTACCCTCGGCAACAGAGTGAGATCATGTGTCTCAAAAAATGTATATCTATCTATCTATCTACCTACCTACAGATTATATATATAATATCTATGTTATATATATAGAGAGATATATAGGTAATATATAGGTTATATAGGTTCTACATATAGGTATATAAAAATAGGTAATACTTAGGAATGAAATTAAAATATTTTTAAAATGGCATCTTAGAGGAAAGGAAGATATTTTAGAAATAAAGAGGCATTTCAATTATGACTTTATGTAATTGTTAAAGCAGAGTTAGGCCAACTACAGCCCACAGCCCACTGCTCAAATAAAATGTTATTTGAATATGGTCACACAAATTGATTTATGTATTCTCTGTGACTCCCTTATGCTACAAAGATAGACAGTTGAATAAGTGAGACTCACAAAGCCTAAAATATAGACCCTCACTTTAGGCCCACAAACCCTAAAATATTTACAACCTGGTCCTTTCTAAAAAAATGTTTGGTGGCTGGCAAGATGGCCAAAAGGAACAGCTCCATTCTGCAGCTCCCAGCGAGATCAACGCAGAAGGCAGGTGATTTCTGCATTTCCAACTGAGGTACCTGGCTCATCTCACTGGGACTGGTTAGACAGTGGGCGCAGCCCATGGAGGGTCAGCCAAAGCAGGGTGAGGTGTTGCCTCACCTGGGACGCGCAAGGGTTTGGGGAACTCCCTCCCCTAGCCAAGGGAAGCCTTGAGGGACTGTGCCTTGAGGAATGGTGCACTCCAGCCCAGATACTATGCTTTTCCTAAGGTCTTTGCAACCCGCAGACCAGGAGATTCCCTTGGGTGCCTATGCCACCAGGGCCCTGGGTTTCAAGCACAAAACTGGGTGGACTTTTGGGCAGACACCGAGCTAGCTGCAGGAGTATTTTTTTATACCCCAGTGGCACCTGGAACACCACCGAGACAGAACCATTCATTACCCTGGAAAGGGGGCTGAAGCCAGGGAGCGAACTCGTCTTGCTCAGCAGATCCCACCCCCACAGAGGCCAGCAAGCTAATATCCACTGGCTTGAAATTCTTGCTGCCAGCACAGCAGTCTGAAGTCGACCTGGGAAGCTTGAGCTTGGTGTGGGGAGGGGTGCCTGCCATTACTGAGGCTTGCGTAGGCAATTTTCCCCTCACAGGGTAAACAAAGCCACTGGGAAGTTCGAGCTGGGTGGAGGCATCATAGCTCCGCAAAGCTGCTATAGCCAGACTGCCTCTCTAGACTCCTCCTCTCTGGCCAGGGCATATCTGAAAGAAAGGCAGCAGCCCCAGTCAGGGGCTTATAGATAAAACTCCCATCTCCCTGGGGCAGAGCACCTGGGGGAAGGGGCGGCTGTGGGCACAGCTTCAGGAGACTTAAACATTCCAGCCTGCTGACTCTGAAGAGAGCAGCGGATCTCCTAGCACAGTGCTCGAGCTCAAATAAAGGACAGACTGCCACCTCAAGTGGGTCCCTGATCCCCATGCCTCCTGACTGGGAGACACCTCCCAGCAAGGGGTCAACAAACACCTCATACGGGAGAGCTCTGGCTGGGATCTGGTGGGTGCCCCTCTGAGACAAAGCCTCCAGAGGAAAAAACAGACAGCAATCTTTGCTGTTCTGCAGCATCCACTGGTGATACCGAGGCAAACAGGATCTGGAGTGGACCTCCAGCAAACTCCAGCAGACCTGAAGTACAGGGGCCTGATTGTTAGAAGAAAAACTGACAGACAGAAAGGAATAGCATCAACAGCAACAAAAAGGACATCCACACAGAAACCCCATCCGAAGGTCACCAACATCAAAGACCAAAGGTAGATAAATCCAGGAAGATGAGGAAAAACCAGCACAAAAAGGCTGAAAATTCCAAACACCAGAAGGCCTCTTCTCCTCCAAAGGATCACAGCTCCTTGCCAGCAAGGGAATAAAACTGGATGGAGAATGAGTTTGACAAATTAACAGAAGTAGGCTTCAGAAGGTGGGTAATAACAAACTCCTCTGAGCTAAAGGAGCATGATATAACCGAATGCAAGGAAGCTAAGAACCTTGAAAAAAGGTTAGAGGAATTGCTAACTAGAATAACCAGTTTAGAGAAGAACATAAATGATCTGATGGAGCTGAAAAACACAACACGAGAACTTCGTGAAGCATACACAAGGATCAATAGCTGAATCAACCAAGCGGAAGAAAGGATATCAGAGACTGAAGATCAACTTAATGATATAAAGCATGAAGACAAGATTAGAGAAAAAAGAATAGAAAGGAATGAACAAAGCCCCCAAGAAATACGGGAATATGTGAAAAGAACACAACTACGTTTGATTGGTGTGCCTGAAAGTGACTGGGAGAATGGAACCAAGTTGGAAAACACTCTGCAGGATATTATCCAGGAGAACTTCCCCAACCTAGCAAGAAAGGCCAACACTGAAATTCAGGAATTACAGAGAATGCCCCAGAGATACTCCTCGAGAAGAGCAACCCCAAGACACATAATCATCAGATTCACCAAGGTTGAAATGAAGGAAAACATGTTAAGGGCAGCCAGAGAGAAAGGTCGGGTTATCCACAAAGGGAAGCCCATCAGACTAACAGCGGATCTCTCTGCAGAAACTCTACAAGCCAGAAGAGAGTAGGGGCCAATACTCAACATTATTAAAGAAAAGAATTTTCAACCCAGAATTTCAAATCCAGCCAAATTAAGCTTCATAAGCAAAGGAGAAATAAAATCCTTTACAGACAAGTAAATGCTGAGCGATTTTGTCACCACCAGGCCTGCCTTACAAGAGCTCCTGAAGGAAGAACTAAATATGGAAAGGAACAACCGGTACCAGCCACTGCAAAAACATATTAAACTGTAAAGACCATCAACACTACGAAGAAATTGAATCAACTAACCGGCAAGACAACCAGCTAGAATAATAATGACAGGATGAAATTCACACATAACAATATTAACCTTAAACGTAAATGGGCTAAATGCCCTAATTAGAAGACACAGACTGGCAAATTGGATAAAGAGTCAAGAACCATTAGTGTGCTGTATTCAGGAGGCCCATCTCACAAGCAAAGACAAAAATAGGCACAAAATAAAGGGATGGAGGAAGATCCATGAAGCAAATGAAAAGCAAAAGAAAAGCAGGGGTTGCAGTCCTAGTCTCTGATAAAACAGACCTTTAGCCAACAAAGATCAAAAGAGACAAAGAAGGGCATTACATAATGGTAAAGGGATCAATGCAACAAGAAGAGTTAACTATCCTAAATATATACGGACCCAGATACATAAAGCAAGTTCTTAGAGACGTACAAAGAGACTTAGACCCCCATACAATAATAGTGGGAGACTTTAACACCCCACTGTCAATATTAGACAGATCAACGAGGCAGAAAATTAACAAGGATATTCAGGACTTGAACTTGGCTCTGGACTAAGTGGACCAAATAGACATCTACAGAACTCTCCACCCCAAATCAATAGAATATACATTCTTCTCAGTACCACATCGCATTTATTCTAAAATTGACCACATAATTGGAAATAAAACACTCCTCAGCAAATGCAAAAGAACAGAAATCATAACAAACAGTCTCTCAGACCACAGCACAACCAAATTAGAACTCAGGATTAAGAAACTCACTCAAAACTGCACAACTACATGGAAACTGAACAAACTGCTCCTGAATGACTACTGGTTACATAACAAAATTAAGGCAGAAATAATAAGTTCTTTGAAACCAATGGGAAGAAATACAAAATGTTCCAGAATCTCTGGGACACTGCCAAAGCAGAGTTTAGAGGGAAATTTATAGCACTAAATGCCCACAGGAGAAAGCAGGAAAGATCTAAAATCAACACCCTAACATCACAATTAGAAGAACTGAGAAGCAAGAGCAAACAAATTCAAAAGCTAGCAGAAGAAATAACTAGGATCAGAGCAGAACTGAAGGAGATACAGACACGAAAAACCCTTCAAAAAATCAGTGAATCCAGGAGCTGGTTTTTTGAAAAGATTAACAACATAGATGGACCACTAGCCAGACTAATAAAGAAGAAAAGAGAGAAGAATCAAATAGGCACAATAAACAATGACAAAGAAAAGATCACCACTTATCCCACAGAAATACAAACTACCATCAGAGAATACTATAAACACCTCTATGCAAATAAACTAGAAAATCTAGAAGAAATGGATAACTTCCTGGACACATACAGCCTCCCAAGATGAAACCAGGAAGAAGAATCCCTGAACAGACCAATAAGAAGTTCTGAAATTGAGGCAGTAATTAATAGCCTACCAACCAAAAAAAAAAAAAAAAGCCCAGGACCAGATGGATTCATAGCCAAATTCTACCAGAGGTACAAAGAGGAACTGGTACCATTCCTTTTAAAACTACTTCAAACAATAGAAAAAGACGGACTCCTCCCTAACTCATTTTATGAGGCCAGCATCATCCTGATACCAAAACTCAGCAGAGACACAACAAAAAAAGAAAATTTCAGGCCAATATCCCTGTTGAACACCGATGTGAAAATCCTCAATAAAATACTGGCAAACCAAATCTGGCAGCACATTAAAAAGCTTATCTACCATGATCAAGTCGGCTTCATCCCTGGGATGCAAGGCTGGTTCAACATACACAAATCAATACTATCCATCACATAAACAGAACCAACGAGAAAAACCACAAGATTATCTCAATAGATGCAGAAAAGGCCTTCGATAAAATTCAAAACCCTTCATGCTAAAAACTCTCAATAAAGTAGGTATTGATGGAATGTATCTCAAAATAATAAGAGCTATTTATGACAAACCCACAGCCAACATCATACTGAATGGGCAAAAGCTGGAAGCATTCCCTCTGAAAACCGGCAAAGACAAGGATGCCCTCTCTCACCACTCCTATTCAACATAGTATTGGAAGTTCTGGCCAGGACAATCAGGCAAGAGAAAGAAATAAAGAGTATTCAAATAGGAAGAGAGGAAGTCAAATTGTCTCTGTTTATAGATGACATGACTGTATATTTAGAAAACCCCATCGTCTAAGCCCCAAATCTCCTTAAGCTGATAAGCAACTTCAGCAAAGTCTCAGGATATAAAATCAGTGTGCAAAAATCACAAGCATTCCTATACACCAATAATGGACAGAGAGTCAAATCATGAGTGAACTCCCATTCACAATTGCTACAAAGAGAATAAAATACCTAGCAAAACAACTTACACGGGATGTGAAGGACCTCTTCAAGGAGAACTACAAACCACTACTCCACAAAATAAAAGAGGACACAAACAAATGAAAAACATTCCATGCTAATGGATAGGAAGAATCAAATCATGAAAATGGCCACACTGCCAAAAGTAATTTACAGATTCAGTGGTATCCCCATCAACCTACCATTGACTTTCTTCACAGAATTAGAAAAAACTACTTTAAATTTCATATGGAACCAAAAAAGAGCCTGTACAGCCAAGAGAATCCTAAGCAAAAAGAACAAAGCTGGAGGCATCACACTACCTGACTTCAAACTATACAAGGCTACAGTAACCAAAACAGCATGGTACTAGTACCAAAACAGATATATAGACCAACAGAACAGAACAGAGCCCTCAGAAATAATGCCACACATCTACAACCATCTGATCTTTGACAAACCTGACAAAAACAAGAAATAGGGAAAGGATTCCCTATTTAATTAATGGTGTTGAGAAAACTGGCTAGCCATATGTAGAGAACTGAAATTGGACCCCTTCCTTACACCTTACACAAAAATTAACTCATGATGGATTAAAGACTTAAACATAAGGCCTAAAATCATAAAAACCCTAGAAGAAAACCTAGGCAATACCATTCAGGACATAGGCATGGGCAAAGACTTCATGACTAAAATATCAAAAGCTATGGCAATAAAAGACAAAATTGACAAATGAGATGTAATTAAACTAAAGAGCTTCTGCATAGCAGAAGAAACTATCAACAGAGTGAACAGGGAACCTACAGAATGGGAGAAAATTTTTGCAATCTATCCATCTGACAAAGGGCTAATATCCAGAATCTACAAGGAACTTAAAACAAATGTACAAGAAAAAAAAAACAACCCCATCAAAAAGTGGGTGATGGATATGAACAGACACTTCTCAAAAGAAGACATTTATGCGGCCAACAAACATGAAAAAAGGCTCATCATCAATGGTCATTAAAGAAATGCAAATCAAAACCACAATGAGATACCGTCTCACGCCAGTTAGAATGGTGACCATTAAAAAGTCAGGAAACAACGAATGCTAGAGGGGATGTGGAGAAATAGGAACACTTTTTACACTGTTGGTGACAGTGTAAATTAGTTCAACCATTGTGGAAGACAGTGTGGCAATTTCTCAAAGATGTAGAACTAGAAATGCCATTTGACCCAGCAATCCCATCACTGGGTACATACCCAAAGGATTATAAATCATTCTACTATAAAGACACATGCACACGTATGTTTATTGCAGCACTTTTCACAATAGCAAAGACTTGGAACCAACCCAAATGCCCATCAATGATAGACTGGATAAAGAAAATGTGGCATATATACACCATGGAATACTATATAGCCATAAAAAAGGATGAGTTCATGTCCTTTACAGGGACATAGATGAAGCTGGAAACCGTCATTCTCTGCAAACTAACACAGGAACAGAAAACCAAACACCACATGTTCTCACTCATAAGTGGGAGGTGAACAATGAGAACACGTGGACACAGGGAAGGAAACATCACACACCGGGGCCTGTTGGGGTTAGGGGGATAGAGGAGGGATAGCATTAGGAGAACTACCTAATGTAGATGACGGGTTGATGGGTGCAGCATGGCACATGTATACCTACGTAACCTGTATGTTCTGCACATTTATCCCAGAAATTAAAGTATAATTAAAAAAAAAAAACTTTTGCCAGGACCCAGTTTCTAGCGGTAATAAAATGAATATGTATTAAGCATAAGGTTACCTGCTAGATTTTAAAAAAATAATAAAAATATACACAAGTATATAGATATCTACAATTCAATAATAAAAAAAGATAATTCACCAAAAATGGCAAAATATCTGAATAGACACTTGCCATAAGAAGAAATAAATGGCTTATACATACATGAGAGGACACTCAACACCATTAGGATTATCATGGAAACTCTAAATAAAATTTAAAAATGCCACTACATACCCATCTGAATGCCTAAAATTAAAAAGATTGACAACGTCAAATATTACCAAGGATATGAAACAGGAACTCTCACACATTGTTGGAAAGTAGGTAAAATGGTAATAATACTTTGAAAAAACGGTCTCGTGGTTTCTTATAAACCTAAACATACACATATCAAAGGACTTTGCACATTCATGCCTAGGTGTTCACCCAATAGAAATGAAAACTTATATCCAAAATTTATTTCCAAAAAGTAGAAAGAGCCCAAGTATCCATCATTAGTGGAATACACAAACAAATCAAGGCTACATTTACTCATAGGAGTACTGTCCAGCAATAAAAAGGAATGAATTGATAAACACAACATGGGTGAAACACAAAAACATGCTGAATGAAAGAAGGCTTATACAAAAGAGTACATACTATTTGATTTCATTTATAGCAAGCTCTACAACAGATGATTCTCATCTGTGGTGAAAGACAAGCTCTACAACAGGTGATTCTAATCAGTGATGAAAGAAAATCAGAATAGTGGTTGCCTCTTGGGTGGGAGTAAAGGGATTCACCAAGGACATATAATAACCTTCTGGGATGATGATACTGTGCAAATTTTGAGAGGTGTTTAAAATACTCAGTGTCTGCATTTGTCAAAATTTATCAAATGTCACCCTTAAGATCTGCGCATTTTGTTACATGTAAATTTTACCTCAAAACAAACACACAAACAAGGATAAATAATGAACTTGAGTTAATAACATGCATGTTGAAATACTGGAGGAGGAATATACTGATGTATGCAATTTACTTTCATGCATCAAAATCTGATGGATTGATAATGGATAAAGGGATGGAAAGATGAATAAATGTGATTAAGTATAGTAAATAATTACAGAATATATGTAGAGGATACATAAGTTTCCACAGTAAAATTCTTTCCAACTTTTCTGAATTTTTGAAAAATTTCATGCTAGAAAAACTACAGAAATATCTATTATGATATTCACACTTTGTACCAAACAGATAACATACTTTTCAAAAAATAAGGAATAGTTACAATTAGTAAACTGTATTAAAAAAGAAGATCCCAAATCCCAAAGGCAGAAATCACTGAACAACATATAAACTTAAAATTAAGCAAAACTAATAGAAAAATAGCATACTTGGAAAGTGTGTGTATATGTGTGTGTGTGTGTGTGTGTGTGTGTGTGTGTGTGTGTGTGTATACATATACATATATATATATATTTTTTTTTTTTTGAGATGAAGTCTCGCTCTTGTCACCCAGGCTGGAGTGCAATGGCACCATCTCTACCCACTGCAACCTCCGCCTCCCAGGTTCAAGCAATTATCCTGCCTCAGCCTCCCGAGTAGCTGGGATTACAGGCACCTGTCACCATGCCTGGCTAATTTTTGTATTTTTAGTAGAGACAGGGTTTCCCCATTTTGGCCATACTGGTCTTGAACTCCTGACCTCAGACGATCTGCCCACCTCGGCCTCCCAAAGTGCTGGGATTACAGGCGTGAGCCACTGCGCCCCACCCAGAAAGTATTTTTTTAAAATAATTCTAAATCACTCTTGGATTCAGAATAAAATACCAATTATGTGGAGATGAATAAAAACAAAAACACTCTCTATGAAAACACAGTAAGAAGGATAAAAGAAGAAATGAAGTCAAAGTGAAAACAAAACAGAAAACAAAAAGATCGAATCTATACATTTTAAAGCAATTTTTGGAAAGGACCAATAAAAAACAACCTCTGAAAAGTTTACTCAAAAAACAACAACAGAAGAAATTTCTAATACTAGCAACAAAAACCGAAGAAAAAATGTATTGAGAATTAAAGAAAATGTTAATGTGGATACACAGAATAGAAATTGAAAATTATGCTTTTTATTTAAAAAGTAATGGTAGTAGACAATATTCTAAAATAAGAATAATGGTGTTCTATCATGAATGGGTGATGGATGTTGTCAAACATTTTTTCTCCATCTAATGATACGTATGTGAGTTTTCTTATTTAGCCTGGTTATTTGATGGTTTTAAATTAGCAATTTATATGATTACATATTCTCTCCTTTCTTAGCACATCAATTACAGTCATATGCTGTATAAGGATGTTTCAGTCAATGACAGACTGCATATATGACAGTGGTCCCAAAAGATTATAATACTGCATTTTTACTGTATCTTTCCTATGTTTAGTTATGTTTAAATACACAAATATTTATCATTTTGTTACAATTGCCTGTAGTATTCATTACAGTAACATGGCATACATGTTTGTAGCCTAAGAGCTATAGGCCATATCATATAGCTTAAATGTATAGTAGGCTACACCATCTGGGTTTGTGTATGTATACTCTGATGTTCAAACAATGATGAAATTGCCTAAGGACACATCTCTCAGAACATATTTTCATTGTTAAGTGATGTATGACTGTATATTTCTTATTTTTAGTAGTTGCAAACTAAAAGTTTGCAGTATAGATTTATAATTATTCCAAGTCCAGTTTCAAATAATGCTATACTGCTTCACAGGTAGTGCTGTGAAATACCTTATAATAACAAAATATTCCTCATTTTTCCTTCCTATCCCTTCTATCACTGCTGTCATTCATTTCACATAGAAATAAATATACAGTCATCCCTTGGTATATGTGTGAGATTGGTTCCAGGAACCCCATGTAAAGCAAAATCTGCACATATTCAAGTCCTGCAGTCGGCCCCTTGGAATCTGCAAATACGAAAAGTCAGCCCTCCATATCCATGAGTTTTATATCCTGAGAATACTACATTTTCAATCCGTGTTTGGTTGAAAACATCTGCATATCATTGGGCTTGGGTAGTTCAAACCCATGCTGTCTAAGGGTCAACTGTACATACACACATAAGCATACATAATAGAAAACACTGTTGCTATTATTATTTTGAACAAACTGTTATCTGTTAAATTAACAATAAGAAAAATGTTATTTTATCTATGTTTATTCGTTCTTCAAAATTATTCCTTTTGTTATACAGATCTGAGTTTCTGATCTGTATCATTTAACTTCTCTCTGAAGAACTTCTTTTAACATTTCCTGCAAGGCAAGTCTAATAGCAACAATTCCCTCAATTTAGTTTATCTGAAAAAGTTTTTATTTCTTCATTTTTGAAGTATAACTTTGCACAGTACAGAATTCTAGGTTGGTGAGTTTTTTTCTAATCTTTGCTCCCATATAGGTAAGGTGTTTCTTTCCCCTTTGGTCTTTCAGGATTTTTCATTTCTCTTTGATTTACTGCAATTTGAATATCATACGCTCACAGGTAGAATTTTTTGTTTTTGTTTTTTGGGGGAAGCATTTATCTTGCTTGGTATTCTCCTATTCTCTAAACTTCCTGGATCTAGGATTTGGTGTCTGTCACTAATTTGGGGAAAATTCTCAGTCATGATTGTTTCAAATACTGCTTTTGTTCCTCCTCACTTTCTTTTCCCTTCTGGTATCCCAATTACATGTACGTTATACCTTTTTGCAGTTGTCCCACAGTTTCAGATATTCTGTTCACTTTCTCCCCAGTCTTCTTTAAATTGTTTTTCAATTTTGGAAGTTACTATTGTCATATCCTCAAGCTGAGATTATTTCCTCAGCTATCTGGTCTACTAATCAGCCTATCAATAGCACTGTTCACTTTTGTTACCATGTTTTCAAATTCTGGCATTTCTTTTTTTTTTTTTTAATTTGAGCTCATTTATTGGTTCAGAATTTACTAAGACAGCAAGAAAACTTTTTTTTTTTTTTTGGTTTGGATCCTCAATAGTTTTTATTTTATTTATTTATTTACTTAATTTTATTATTATTATACTTTAAGTTTTAGGGTACATGTGCACAACGTGCAGGTTAGTTACATATGTATACATGTGCCACGTTGGTGTGCTGCACCCATTAACTCGTCATTTAGCATTAGGTATATCTCCTAATGATATCCCTCCCCCTTCCTCCCACCCCACAACAGTCCCCAGAGTGTGATGTTCCCCTTCCTGTGTCCATGTGTTCTCATTGTTCAATTCCCACCTATGAGCGAGAACATGCGGTGTTTTTTTGTCCTTGCGATAGTTTGCTGAGAATGATGATTTCCAATTTCATCCATGTCCCTACAAAGGACATGAACTCATCATTTTTTATGGCTGCATAGTATTCCATGGTGTATATGTGCCACGTTTTCTTAATCCAGTCTATGGTTCTTGGACATTTAGGTTGGTTCCAAGTCTTTGCTATTGTGAATAGTGCTGCTATAAACATATGTGTGCATGTGTCTTTACAGCAGCATGATTTATAATCCTTTGGGTATGTACCCAGTGATGGGATGGCTGGGTCAAATGGTTTTCTAGTTCTAGATCCCTGAGGAATCACCACACTGACTTCCACAATGGTTGAACTAGTTTGCAGTCCCACTCACAGTGTAAAAGTGTTCCTATTTCTCCACATCCTCTCCAGCACCTGTTGTTTCCTGACTTTTTAATGATCGCCATTCTAACTGGTGTGAGATGGTATCTCATTGTGGTTTTGATTTGCATTTCTCTGATGGACAGTGATGATGAGCATTTTTTCATGTGTCTGTTGGCTGCATAAATGTCTTCTTTTGAGAAGTATCTGTTCATATCCTTTGCCCACTTTTTGATGGGGTTGTTTTTTTTCTTGTAAATTTGAGTTCATTGTAGATTCTGGATATTAGCCCTTTGTCAGATGAGTAGGTTGCAAAAATCTTCTCCCATTCTGTAGGTTGCCTGTTCAGTCTGATGGTAGTTTCTTTTGCTGTGCAGAAGCTCTTTAGTTTAATTAGATCCCATTTGTCAATTTTGGCTTTTGTTGCCATTGCTTTTGGTGTTTTAGACATGAAGTCCTTGCCCATGCCTATGTCCTGAATGGTATTGCCTAGGTTTTCTTCTAGGGTTTTTATGGTTTTAGGTCTAACCTTTAAGTCTTTAATCCATCTTGAATTAATTTTTGTATAAGGTGTAAGGAAGGGATCCAGTTTCAGCTTTCTACATATGGCTAGCCAGTTTGCCCAGCACCATTTATTAAATAGGGAATCCTTTCCCTATTGCTTGTTTTTGTCAGGTTTGTCAAAGATCAGATAGCTGTAGATATGCGGCATTATTTCTGAGGGCTCTGTTCTGTTCCATTGGTCTATATCTCTGTTTCGGTACCAGTACCATGCTGTTTTGGTTACTGTAGCCTTGTAGTATAGTTTGAAGTCAGGTAAGCGGGATGCCTCCAGCTTCGTTCTTTTGCCTTAGGATTGACTTGGCGATGCGGGCTCTTTTTTGGTTCCATATGAACTTTAAAGTAGTTTTTTCTGATTCTGTGAAGAAAGTCATTGGTAGCTTGATGGGGATGGCATTGAATCTATAAATTACCTTGGGCAGTATGGCCATTTTCGTGATATTGATTCTTCTTACCCATGAGCATGGAATGTTCTTCCATTTGTCTGTATCCTCCTTTATTTCACTGAGCAGTGGTTTGTAGTTCTCCTTGAAGAGGTCCTTCACATCCCTTGTAAGTTGGATTCCTAGGTATTTTATTCTCTTTGAAGCAATTGTGAATGGGAGTTCACTCATGATTTGGCTCTCTGTTTGTCTGTTATTGGTGTATAAAAATGCTTGTGATTTTTGCACATTTATTTTGTATCCTGAGACTTTGCTGAAGTTGCTTATCAGCTTAAGGAGATTTTGGGCTGAGACGATGGGGTTTTCTAAATATACAATCATGTCATCTGCAAACAGGGACAACTTGACTTCCTCTTTTCCTAATTGAATACCATTTCCTTCTCCTGCCTGATTGCCCTGGCC
Organism: Homo sapiens; assembly: GCF_000001405.40. Taxonomy (NCBI): domain Eukaryota; kingdom Metazoa; phylum Chordata; class Mammalia; order Primates; family Hominidae; genus Homo; species Homo sapiens. Next base: position 76,605,042 of record NC_000015.10, read on the forward strand.
AGAATTTCCAACACTATGTTGAATAGGAGTGGTGAGAGGGGGCATCCCTGTCTTGTGCCCGTTTTCAAAGGGAATGCTTCCAGTTTTTGCTCATTCCGTATGATATTGGCTGTGGGTTTGCCATAGATAGCTCTTATTATTTTGAGATACGACCCATCAATACCTAACTTATTGAAAGTTTTTAGCAGGAAGGGTTGTTGAATTTTGTCAAAGGCCTTTTCTGCATCTATTGAGATAATCATGTGGTTTTTGTCTTTGGTTCTGTTTATATGCTGGATTATGTTTATTGATTTGCGTATGTTGAACCAGCCTTGCATCCCAGGGATGAATCCCACTTGATCGTGGTGGATAAGCTTTTTGATGTGCTGCTGGATTCGGTTTGCCAGTATTTTATTGAGGATTTTTGCATCAATGTTCATCAAGAATATTGGTCTAAAATTCTCTTTTTTGGTTGTGTCTCTGCCAGGCTTTGGTATCAGGTTGATACTGGCCTCATAAAATGAGTTAGGGAGGATTCCCTCTTTTTCTATTGATTGCAGTAGTTTCAGAAGGAATGGTAGCAGCTCCTCTTTGTACCTCTGGTAGAATTCGGCTGTGAATCCATCTAGTCCTGGACTTTCTTTGGTTGGTAAGCTATTAATTATTGCCTCAATTTCAGAGCCTGTTATTAGTCTATTCAGAGATTCAGCTTCTTCCTGGTTTAGTCTTGGGAGGATGTATGTGTCGATGAATTTATCCATTTCTTCTAGATTTTCTAGTTTATTTGCATAGAGATGTTTATAGTATTCTCTGATGGTAGTTTGTATTTCTGTGGGATAGGTGGTGATATCCCCTTTATCTTTTTTTATTGCGTCTATTTGATTCTTCTCTCTTTTCTTCATTAGTCTTGCTAGCGGTCTATCAATTTTGCTGATCTTTTCGAAAAACCAGCTCCTGGATTCATTGATTTTTTGAAGGGTTTTTTGTGTCTCTATTTCCTTCAGTTCTGCAATGATCTTAGTTATTTCTTGCCTTCTGCTAGCTTTTGAATGTGGTTGCCCTTGCTTCTCTAGTTCTTTTAATTGTGATGTTAGGGTGTCAATTTTAGATCTTTCCTGCTTTCTCTTGTGGGCATTTAGTGCTATGAATTTCCCTCTACACACTGCTTTGAATGTGTCCCAGAGATTTTGGTATGTTGTGTCTTTGTTCTCATTGGTTTCAAAGAACATCTTTATTTCTGCCTTCATTTCATTATTTACCCAGTAGTCATTCAGGAGCAGGTTGTTCAGTTTCCATGTAGTTGAGCGGTTTTGAGTGAGTTTCTTAACCCTGAGTTCTAGTTTGACTGCACTGTGGCCTGAGAGTTTGTTATAATTTCTGTTCTTTTACATTTGCTGAAGAGTGCTTTACTTCCAACTATGTGGTCAATTTGGGGTAGGTGTGGTGTGGTGCTGAAAAGAATGTATATTCTGTTGATTTGGGGTGGAGAGTTCTGTAGATGTCTATTAGGTCCACTTGGTGCAGAGCTGAGTTCAATTCCTGGATATCCTTGTTAACTTTCTGTCTTGTTGATCTGTCTAATGTTGACAGTGGGGGGTTAAAGTCTCCCATTATTATTGTGTGGGAGTCTAAGTCTCTTTGTAGGTCTCTAAGGGCTTGCTTTATGAATCTGGGTGCTCCTGTATTGGGTGCATATATATTTAGGATAGTTAGCTCTTCTTGTTGAATTGATCCCTTTACCATTATGTAATGGCCTTCTTTGTCTCTTTTGATCTTTGTTGGTTTAAAGTCTGTTTTATCAGAGACTAGGATTGCAACTCCTGCCTTTTTTTGTTTTCCATTTGCTTGGTAGATCTTCTTCCATCCCTTTATTTTGAGCCTATGTGTATCTCTGCACGTGAGATGGGTTTCCTGAATACAGCACACTGATGAGTCTTGACTCTTTATCCAATTTGCCAGTCTGTGTCTTTTAATTGGAGCATTTAGCCCATTTACATCTAAAGTTAATATTGTTATGTGTGAATTTGATCCTGTCATTATGATGTTAGCTGGTTATTTTGCTCGTTAGTTGATGCAGTTTCTTCCTAGCCTTGATGGTCTTTACAATTTGGCATGTTTTTGCAGTGGCTGGTACTGGTTGTTCCTTTCCATGTTTAGTGCTTCCTTCAGGAGCTCTTTTAGGGCAGGCCTGGTGGTGACAAAATCTCTCAGCATTTACTTGTCTGTAAAGTATTTTATTTCTCCTTCACTTATGAAGCTTAGTTTGGCTGGATATGAAATTCTGGGTTGAAAATTCTTTTCTTTAACAATGTTGAATACTGGCCCCCACTCTCTTCTGGCTTGTAGAGTTTCTGCTGAGAGATCAGCTGTTCATCTGATGGGCTTCCCTTTGTGGGTAACCTGACCTTTGTCTCTGGCTGCTCTTAACATTTTTTCCTTCATTTCAACTTTGGTGAATCTGACAATTTTGTGTCTTGGAGTTGCTCTTCTTGAGGATTATCTTTGTGGCATTCTCTGTATTTCCTGGATTTGAATGGTGGCCTGCCTTGCTAGATTGGGGAAGTTCTCCTGGATAATATCCTGCAGAGTGTTTTCCAACTTGGTTCCATTCTCCCCGTCACTTTCAGGTACACCAATCAGACGCAGATTTGGTCTTTTCACATAGTCCCATATTTCTTGGAAGCTTTGTTCATTTCTTTTTACTCTTTTTTCTCTAAACTTCCCTTCTCGCTTCATTTCATTCATTTTGTCTTCCATCGCTGATACCCTTTCTTCCAGTTGATCGCATCGGCTACTGAGGCTTCTGCATTCGTCACGTAGCTCTTGTGCCTTGGTTTTCAGCTCCATCAGGTCCTCTAAGGACTTCTCTGCACTGGTTATTCTGGTTATCCATTCGTCTAATTTTTTTTCAAAGCTTTTAACTTCTTTGCCATTGGTTCGAATTTCCTCCTGTAGCTCAGAGTAGTTTGATCGTCTGAAGCCTTCTTCTCTCAACTCGTCAAAGTCATTCTCTGTCCAGCTTTGCTCTGTTGCTGGTGAGGAGTTGCGTTCCTTTGCAGGAGGAGAGGCGCTCTGATTTTTAGAGTTTCCAGTTTTTCTGCTGTTTTTTTTCCCCATCTTTGTGGTTTTATCTACCTTTGGTCTTTGATGATGGTGACGTACAGATGGGTTTTTGGTGTGGATGTTCTTTCTGTTTGTTAGTTTTCCTTCTAACAGACAGGACCCTCAGCTGCAGGTCTGTTAGAGTTTGCTAGAGGTCCACTCCAGACACTGTTTGCCTGGGTATCAGCAGCGGTGGCTGCAGAACAGCGGATTTTGGTGAACCGCAAATGCTGCTGCCTGATCGTTCCTCTGGAAGTTTTGTCTCAGAGGAGTACCCGGTCGTGTAAGGTGTCAATCTGCCCCTACTGGGGGATGCCTCCCAGTTAGGCTACTCGGGGGTCAGGGACCCACTTGAGGAGGCAGTCTGCCCGTTCTCAGATCTCAAGTTGCGTGCTGGGAGAACCACTACTCTCTTTAAAGCTGCCAGAGAGGGACATTTAAGTCTGCAGAGGTTACTGCTATCTTTTTGTTTGTCTGTGCCCTGCCCCCAGAGGTGGAGCCTACAGAGGCAGGCAGGCCTCCTTGAGCTGTGGTGGGCTCTACCCAGTTCGAGATTCCCGGCCGCTTTGTTTACCTAATCAAACAACTAATTCGGCAATGGCGGGCGCCCCTCCCCCAGCCTCACTGCTGCCTTGCAGTTTGGTCTCGGACTGCTGTGCTAGCAATGAGTGAGACTCCGTTGGGGTAGGACCCTCTGAGCCAGGTGAGGGATATAATCTCCTGGTGTGCCGTTTTTTAAGCCCGTTGGAAAAGCGCAGTATTAGGGTGGGAGTGACCCGATTTTCCAGGTGCCGTCTGTCACCCCTTTCTTTGACTAGGAAAGGGAATTCCCTGACCCCTTGTGCTTCCTGGGTGAGGCGATGCCTCGCCCTGCTTCGGCTCGCGCACAGTGCGCTGTGCCTACCGTCCTGCCCCTACTGTCTGGCACTCCCCATTGAGATGAACCCGGTACCTCAGTTGGAAATGCAGAAATCATCCGTCTTCTGCGTCGCTCATGCTGGTAGCTGTAGACTGGAGCTGTTCCTATTCGGCCATCTTGGCTCCTCCCTGGCATTTCTTTTTTATTGTTTCTTAGAATATTGGGCTGGGCACAATGGCTCTCACCTATAATCCCAGTGCCTTGGGAGGCTGAGGCAAGAGGACTGCTTGAGGCCAGGAGCTCAAGATCAGCCTGGGCAACAATACAGTGAGATCTTTTCTCTTAAAAAAAAAAAAAAAATGCTGGGCATGGTGGCGTGTGCCTGTAGTCCTAACTACCGAGGAGGCTGAGTTGGGAGTTGCCTGAACCCAGGTGGCTGAGGTTACAGTAAGCTATGATCATGCCACTGCACTTCAGCCTGGGCAACAGAATGAGACCTTTGATTAAAAGGTGTCACTTAAAAAAAAAATTATCTCCCAGCTTATATTATCCATCTGTCATTGCATGTTGCCCACTTTTTCATTAATGCCCTAGCATACTATTCATAGTTATTTAAATTTCTGATCTGGTAATTCCAACATTTCTGCTGTATCTGACTCTGAATCTGATGCTAGTTCAGTCTCCTCAAATTGCATGTTTTGACTTTTAGTATATCCTGTCAGATTTTTGAAAGATGGACATGATGTACTAGGTAAATGGAACTATGGTAGTATATCAGCCTTTAGTAAAATCATGGTAAGAGGTGAAAGGAGGGTAAATGTTCTATAATTCTATGATTAGGTCTCACTATTTTGGTAAGCCTGTGCAGCTGGACTGTGACTTTAACCAGTACTTCTTTTTTTTTCCCCCTTATGTGGAAGAGCATGGCTAATGAGCATAAGAGTTGGGTTTTCCCATTTCACCAGGTAGAATTGGCTATGATAAAACCCCAGAAGGTTAGGCTCTGGTGAAATAGTTTTTTCTTTCCTGAGGGCAGGGCTTGGTAAAAACGGAATGCTCTGACATATTACAAAATAATTACTTTTCCCCTCCCATGATGCCACTGTGGTGCTCAGTGGCCTACTCTACAGAGGACCCCAAGAGCCTCTGCAACTGAGAAAACCAGTGCCAGCATAGCACTGTGCGCCCACTCCCAGCTTTCAACATCACTGACCCCACAGTTTATGTCTTCCCAAACCCCAGCTGCATGAGTCACCCACCATCCTCTAAACCCTAATGTCACCCCAGCCAGCTACCACCATGCATGTCCCTCAAGAAACCAAGCATGACTATCACACAAGTCCACAATCAACCCCAGACCTCAGGCAAAATAGAAAGCTTTCCTCCAAGATTAGGAATAAGGCAAGGATGCCTACTATCACCACTGCTATTGAGCACAGTTCTGGAACTCCTAACCAGAGCAATTAAGCAAGAAAAATAAATAAAATGCATCCAATTTGGAAAAGAAGTAAAATGACTGGATATGACAAAATCACACACAAAGAAAACCGTAAAGATTCTACAAAAAAATCCTGATAGTATTAATATACAAATTCAGTAAAGTTGCAGAATACAAAATCAACATACAAAAGTCACTAAGATTTCTATGTATAAACAACAAACTATCTAAAAGGGAAATTGGAATAACAATTCCATTTACATTAACAAGAAAAACAAAAAATTACTTAGTAATTAACTAAAAAGGTGAAAGACTTATACACTGAAAATTATAAAACACTGATTAAGGAAATTTAAAAAGACATAAATAAATAGATACCCCATGTTAATGGATTGGAATAATATTGTTAAATTGGCCATAATACCCAAAGTGATCTACATATGCAGTGAAATCCCTATCAAAATTCCAAAAGCATTTCTACAGAAATACAAATAACAATTCTAAAATACAAATGGAACAACAATACTCCCCAAATAGTTAAAGCAATCTTGAGCAAAAAGAACAGAACTGAAGGCATCACACTTCCTGACTTTAAATTATATTATAAAACTAATCAAAACATAAGATAGTGGCATAAAAATAGACCTATAGACCAATAGAATAGAATACAGAATCCATAAATAAGCCCACACATTCACAGTCAATTGATCTTTGACAAGGGCACCAAGAACATGCAATGGAGAAAGAATAGTCTCTTCAACAAATGGTGTTAGGAAAATGGAGTATCCTTATGCAAAAAAATGAAATCGAACACCAGTCTCAAACAATATAGAAAAAAACTCAAAACAGATAAAAAATGTAAGACTCGAAACTATAAAAGTCTTAGAAGAAAACATAAGAAAAAAATGAAAAAGAAATTGATAAATTCCTGGACACATACACCTTTTCAAGACTAAACAAGAAAGAAACGGAATCTCTGAACAAACCAATAATGAGTTCTGAAATTGAGGCAGTAACAGCCTACCACCCAAAAAAAAGCCCAGGACCAGAAGGATTCACAGCTGAAGTCTAACAGATGTACAAAGAAGAGCTGGTACTATTCCTACTGCAACTATTGCAAAAAATTGAGGAGGAGGGACTCCACCTTAACAGATCCTATAAGGCCAGTATTATCTTGATGCCAAAACCTGGCAGATACAACAAAAAAAGAAAGCTTCAGGCAAACATCCATGATGAACACTGATGTGTTCATCATCAATTTGGAAAAATCCAAAATGAAATACTGGGTAAACCAAATCCAGTAGCACATCAAAAAGCTTATCTACCATGATTAAGTAGGCTTCAACCCCAGGATGCAAGGTTGGTTCAACCAAGCAAATCAATAAATATTATTCATCACATAAACAGAACTAAAGACAAAAACCACATGATTATCTCAATAGGTGCAGAAATGGCTTTTGATAAAATTTAACATCCATTCATGTTAAAAACTCTCAATAAACTAGGTATTGGAGGAATATACCTCAAAATAATAAGAGCCATCTATAACAAACCCACAGCCAACATTGCACTAAACAGGCAAAACCTGGAAGCATATCCCTTGAAAGCCGGCACAAGACAAGAATGCCCTCTCTCACCACTCCTATTCAACATAGTACTGGAAGTTCTGGCTAGGGCAATCAGGCAAGAGAAATAAATAAACGGTATTCAAACAGGAATAGAGGAGAAAATCAAACTATCCCTGTTTGCAGATAACATGATCCTGTATTTAGAAAATCCCAGTCTCAGCCCAAAAAGCTGCTGCTGCTGCTGCTGCTTCTTTTTTGCTTTTTTTTGAGACAGGGTTTCACTCTGGTTGCCCAGGCTGGGGTGCAGTAGTGCAATTTCGGCTCACTGCAGCCTGGACCTCCCAGGCTCAGGTGATTCTCCCACCTCAGCCTCCCGAGTAGCTGAACTACAGGTGAAAGCCACCATGTCTGGCTAATTTTTTTGTATTTTTAGTAGAGAAAGGGTTTTGCTATGTTGCCCAGGATGGTCTTGAACTGAACTCAACCAATCCGCCTGTTGTGTCCTACCAGAGTGTTGTGATTACAGGCATGAGGCACTGTGCCCAACCCTCCAAAAGCTTCTTGAGCTGAAAAACAGCTTCACCAAAGTCTCAGGATACAAAATCAATGTGCAAAAATCACTGGCATTCCTATACACCAACAGTCAAGCTGAGTGCCAAATCAGGAACTAACTCCCATTCCATACTGCCACAAAAAGAATAAAATACCTAGGAATACAGCTAATTAGAGAGGTAAAATATCTCTACAAGGAGAACTGCAAACCACTGCTCAAAGAAATCAGAGATGACACAAACAAATGGAAAAACACTCCATGCTCATGGATAGGAAGACTCAATATCATTAAAATGGCCATACTGCTCAAAGCAGTTTACTAAATTCAATGCTATTCCCATTAAACTACCATTGATATTCTTCACAGAACTATAAAAAACTATTTTAAAATTCATATGGAATCAAAAAAGAGCCCAAATAGCCAAGGCAATCCTAAGCGAAAAGAATAGCATGGGAGGCATCAAGCTACCTGACTTCAAACTATACTACAGGGCTACAGTAACCAAAACAGCATGGTACTGGTACAATACAGACACATAGACCAATGGAACAGAATAGAGCGCCCAGAAATAAAGCCACACACTTACAACTATCTGATCTTCAACAAACCTGACAAAAGCAAGCAATGGGAAAAGGATTCCCTATTCAATAAATGGTGTGGGGATAACTGGCTAGCCATATGCAGAAGACTGAAACTGGACCTTTTCCTTATACCATGTACAAAAATTAACTCAAGATGGATTAAAGATTTAAATGTAAAACCCAAAACTATAAAAACCCTAGAAGACAACCTAGGCAATACCATTTGGGACACAGGCATGGGCAAAGATTTCATGACGAAGACACCAAAAGCACTTGCAACAAAAGCAAACACTGACAAATGGTATCTCATTAAACTAAAGGGCTTCTGAACAGCAAAAGAAACTATCAACAGGGTAAACAGACAAACTACAGAATGGGAGAAAATTCTTGAAAACTATGCATCTAACAAAATACCTGGCATCTATAGGGAACTTAAATTTACAAGAAAAAACAACCCGATTAAAAAGTGGGCAAAGGATATGAACAGACACTTTTCTAAAGAAGATACACATATGGCCAAAAATCATATGAAAAAAAGTTCCACATCACTGATCACTAGAGAAATGCAAATCAAAACCATAATGAGATATCATGTCATACCAGTTAAAATGGCTACGATTTAAAAGTCAAAAAATCACAGATGCTGGCAAGGTTGTAGAGAAAAAGAAATGCTTACACACTGTTGGTGGGAGTGTAAATTAGTTCGGCCATTGTGGAAGACAGTGTGGTGATTCCTCAAAGGGCCTAAAGACAGAAATACCATTCAACCCAGCAATCCCATTACTGGACATATATCCAAAGGAATATAAAGATACATGCACACACATATGTTCATCACAGCACTATTCACAGTAACAAAGACATGGAATCAATTTAAATGCCCACAAATGATAGACTGGATAAAGAAAATGTGGTATGTATACACCATGGAATATAATACAGCCATAAGAAGGAATGAGATCATGTCCTGTGCAGGGACATGAATGGTGCTGCGGGCCATTACCCTTAGCAAACTAACACAGGAAGAGAAAACCAAATATCACATGTTCTCATTTATAAGTGGGAGCTAAATGATGAGAACTCATAGACACATAGAGGGGAACAACATACCTTGGGGCCTTTTGGAGGATGGAGGGTGGGAGGAGGGAGAAGACCAAGAAAAATAACTAAGGAGTCTCAATACTTGGGTGATAAAATATTCTGTACAACAAATCCCCATGGCACAAGTTTACTACCTATGTAACAAATCTGCACTTGTAACCCTGAACTTAAAAGTTAAAAAACAAATAACAAAAACAAAAACAAACAAATGAAGACTCAATAGATTCACAAAGATAGATGTCATACAATGTGTATTCTCTGACCACAACAGGATGAAGTTAGAAATTTGTAACAAAAAAACAAACCTGAAAAATTCACAAATTTGTGAAAAATAACGCATTTTTACACAATCAATGAATCACAAAAGTAGTCAAAGAAAAATCAGAAAATACAGACAAATGAAAATGAAAGCACAACATATCAAAATGCATGAGACACAGTGAAAGAAGGGGGACATTTATAAACATTTATATTTAACAAAGTAGAAAAGGAAGAAAAATCTAAACCCAAAGCTTTATTATTTCCTTCAGAAAGAATAATAAAGACTAGTACAGGGATAAATGAAACAGAATTTTTTAAAATAGAGAAAAATCAATGAAACCAACAGCTGGTTCTTCCATAAGACAAACTAAACTGACAAACCTTTAGCTAGATTGACTATGAAAAGATACTAATTGCTAAATTCAGAAATGAAAGTGGGCACATTACTACTGATCTTACTACTTATGAATACATAAGAAGGATTCAAAGAGAGTACTATTAACAACTGTATGGCACTAAATTGGATAACCTACACAAAACAGACCACTTCCTAGAAACCCAAAATATGCCAAAATCTAATGATGAAGAAATAGAAGACCTAAAAGACATACAATTAAGTAGATCAGTAATCAAAATCTCTCGTTGAAGAAAAGCCTTGGACTTGATGGATTCACTGGTGAATTCTACCAAGCATTTAAAGAAGATGTAATAGCACTTTGGGAGGCTGAGGGGGGGCGGATTGCTTGAGCCCAGGAGTTCAAAAGCAGCCTGGGCTACGTGGTAAGACCCCCTCCCTACAAAAAATTACAAAAATTATCCGAGTTGGTGGCACACTCCTGTAGTCCCAAGCTACTTGGGAGGCTGAAGTGGGAGGATCCTTTGAACCCGGGAGGCAGAGATTGCAGTGAGCTGAGATCGCGCCACTGCACTCTAGCTTGGCAACAGAGCAAGAGTCCATCTCAAAAACAAATGTGTCTGTATGTGTATATATACATACACACACACACAGACACACACACACACACACACACACACACACACACACACACAAATGAGGCCAGGCACGGTGGCTCACACCTGTAATCCCAGCACTTTGGGACACCGAGGTAGGCAGATCACGAGGTCAGGAGATTGAGACCATCCTGGCTAACATGGTGAAACCCCATCTCTACTAAAAATACAAAAAACTAGCTGGGCACGGTGGCACACACCTGTAATCCCAGCTACTCGAGAGGCAGAGGCAGGAGAATTACTTGAACCCGGGAGCTGGAGGTTGCAGTGAGGTGAGATCCCACCATTGCACTCCAGCCTGGGTAACAGAGCGAGATTCCATCTCAAAAAAAAAAAAAAAAAGAATATACAAATGTCCAAAAAGCACACGAAAAGATGTCCAACATCACTAATCGTTAGGTAAATGCAATCCGAAACTAAAATGAGATACTATCTCAACTATATGGATGGCTACTATCAAAAAAAGCAGAAAATAACAAGTACTGGTGAGGACATGGAGATATTGTTACTCTTGTGCAGAGCTGGTGAGAATGTAAAAAATGGTATAGCTACTGTGGAAAACAGTGTGCTGGTTCCTCAATATATTAATATTAAAAATAGATTTGCCATATGATCTAGCAATTCTACTTCTGGATATATACAGAAAATAATTAAAAACAGGGACTCAAAGAGATATTTGTATACCCATGTTCACAGCAGCATTATTCATAATTGCTAAACAGTGGAAGCAATCCAAATGTCTAATGACAGATTAATGGATAAGCAACACATATAGTGGAGTATTATTCAGCCCTAAAAAGGATGAATATTCTTATCCTTGGTGCAACATGGATAAATCTTGAGGATATTATGATAAATGAAATAAGCCTATCACAAAAAGACAAATACTGTATATTTACACTTAACATGAGTTACCCAGAGTAGTCAAAATCATAATAATAGAAAGTAGAATGGTGGTTGCCAAGTGCTAGGAACAGGAGGTATGGGAAATTATTGTTTAATGGGTATAGTTATAGTTTTATAAGATGAAAATAGTTCTGGAGATGGATGATGTAATAGCTACACAACAATATGAATGTATTTAATATCATTAAACTGTATTAATAATGAGTAAGATAGTAAATTTTGCTATATGTATTTCATCACCATTTTAAAAAATGAAAAAAAGTACAGTCGTAGCCATCTATGTCTCCTAAATATAGTATAGATATGAAGTACTGATGACTTAATTTGCTTTCCTTGTTGATATATATAGTTTTTAGGAAGATGTATATGGAAATTTGAATTTAAGTAGCATTACTACCTTTTTGGGCCTCTATCATTTTAATGTAAAAAGCTCATACTGTATCAAAATTACAAGTTTTCAATCATCATAAGCATTTCCTCACAGCATTAAAATGTCTATAAACATAATTTTTAAAAATCCAATTAAGTAGTTTGGAATTTCAAAAGTAAAACAAATTGGGCACTTTTAACTTCCTTTTCCTTGTATTATCTGATCATATCCAATATTTTCTCCTACTGATGAATGATCTTGCTCATATTAATTTATACAAGGTATTGATTTATATATTACATGAGCTCTTTATCATTTTTGTTGTAAATATTTCCACCCCTCTTTTTTCTTTATGGTATTTAACCAAGCATAAAGTTTTCACTTTGATATAGTCAAAGTCATCCGTCTTTTCTTCTCTGACTCCTGTGTCTAGAAGTTTATTTAGAAGGGACTTTGACATTTCCTCTGTTTTCTTCTAGTGTTTTTACAGTTTCATGTTTTTATCTTTACATCTTTGATTAATCAGTAATTTAACTGCTAGAGTAAGGAGTGAAAAGAGTATTCATCAGCATTTACTGGCTAATCTATCCTTTCCCTAATGACTTGGAATTCCACCTTTGTCGTTGCATCAGTAATTACTTGCTGTGAAACAAACTGCCTCAAAACTCAGTATCTTCAAACAACTATCTATTTGCTCCCTGCAGTTTGACCTGGGCTCAGCTAGATAATTCTTCTCGTCTCACCTAACATAACCAGCTAGGTGATAACTGGTCCTGGATGGCCTTAATCCCTTGCCTAGGGTTTTCAGAAGGGACAGCCAGGACAACTGAGCCTGTCCCTTCATGTGATTTCTCACTCACAAGGAGGCTGACCCAGGCTTCCTTACATGGCAGTTACTGAAGAATAAGAAAGTGAGGGCGAGAACAGAAACCATAGACCCGTGAGGCTAAGGCTTGGAAGTCACATATCACTTCTACAGCTTTCAATGGGCCAAAACAAGTCACAGGTCCAGAAGTTCAAGAGGAAGGGAAACAGAGTCCACTTCTTGATAGGAGAAACAGCAAAGTTCTACTGCAAAGGGGCATGTATTCAGAAATGGCTCAACTTCTTCTGGCCATCTTTTGCAAATACTGTATACCACAGTCATATATTAAATTTCCTCAAGTATTTAGATGTATTTCTAGACTGTTTTAAAAAATCTCTTCCAGCTGGGCATGATGGCTCACACCTATAATCCCAGCACTTCGGGAGGCCAAGGCGGGTGGATCACTTGAGGTCAGGAGATCGAGACCAGTCTGACCAACCCTGGTGAAACCCCGTCTCTACTAAAAACATAAAAATTAGCCGGGTGTGGTAGCAGGTGTCTGTGATCCCAGCTACTAGGGAGGCTGAGGCACGAGAACCACTTGAACCCGGGAGGAAGAGGTTGCAGTGAGTCGAGATCACGCCACTACATTCCAGCCTGGGTGATAGAGTGAGACTCTGTCTCAAAAAACAAAAACAAAAACAAAAGAACACTCTTCCAACAATTTGTATTTTTATTCATGTGTGAGTGCAGCTTTAAAATTTTATTAAATATCCATTAGCTGAGTCCTATCTCATATTCCTTCTTTCAAAAATTTTTCCTAGAAATTCTCAGACATTTCTATATTCTCTTTAGAATGATTTTAGATCTATGAAAAAAAGGTTGCTATTTTACAGGAATTACATTACATTTGTAGGAATATTTACAGCAAACTTACTGTCCTGTGTCTTTTATCCAAGAGTATGATTTGTCTTTCCATTTATAAAAGTCTTTTATATCTCTTGTTAGCTTTTTTTTCACAAGTAGAACATTATTATTTATTATTTTCTCTTCTGTGACACGATTATTCATTACAATCCAAATTAACAGAATTGCTAAATATTAAAATATTACAAAATTGATTTAAAATTGTATCAACTTATTACTTGAGAGTTTTAAAAGTAAATATGTATTTCAAAAATTATATAATGAGCACATGAAGCCTGTTTTAAGCAATGTTTACAAAAATGAGAAAGAAAGTGATATACAAATGACAAATTCTCCTTAAATGGCCTTTATTATTATTTTGAGATGGAGCCTTGCTCTATTGCCTGGGCTGCAGTATAGTGGCACGATCTCAGCTCACTGCAACCTCCACCTCCCGGGTTCGAGCGATTCTCCTGCCTCAGCCTCCTGAGTAGCTGGGATTACAGGTGCACACCACTATGCCCAGCTAGTTTTTGTATTTTTAGTAAAGATGGGGTTCTGCCATGATGGTCAGGCTGGTCTTGAACTCCTGATCTCAAGTGATCCACCTGCCTCACATTCCCAAAGTGCTGGGATTATGGATGTGAGCTACCGCACCCAGCCGTGTTTCTATTACTATAAACTAGTTTGCATTTTCTACTACTTGATATAAATGGAATCACAGACTATGTACTTTTTATGCTCCAGCTTCTTTCACTCAGATAATTATTTCAGTATTTATCCTTTTTGTTGTGTGTTTATTCTTTATTACTAAGTAATACCCCATTGTATGAACCTATACATTCATCTTTTGATAAATATTTGAGTTATTTCCAGTTTGGAGCTATTATTACAATTAAAATGGCTGCAATATATACAAGTCTTTATGTGGGCACATGCTTTCATTTCATTTGGGTATATTCCTAAGAGTGGAATGGCGGGGAGTATGTTTAGCTTTTTAAGAGAATGCCAAACTATTTTTCCAAGGTAGTTGTATCATTTTATATTCCCATCTTTTAGAGAGAGCTAATTTGTTTTATGCATTCTCTGCAATTATTTTTTCTTTCTTTTTTTTATTATTATTATACTTTAAGTTTTAGGGTACATGTGCACAATGTGCAGGTTAGTTACATATGTATACATGTGCCATGCTGGTGTGCTGCAGCCATTAACTTGTCATTTAGCATTAGGTATATCTCCTAATGCTATCCTGTTAGCTTTTTAAGATTTTCTTTTAATAGATCCTTCACATTTCCTCTTAAGTTTACTCTTAAAGGTCGGGCACGATGGCTCATGCCTGTAATCCTAGCACTTTGGGAGGCTAAGGTGAGCAGACTGCCTGAGCGCAGGAGTTCGAGACCAGCCTGGGCAACAAGGTAAAATTGTCTCTACTAAAATATAAAAAATTAGCTGGGCATGATGGCACTTACCTGTAGTCCCAGCTAGGTGGGAGGCTGAGGCACAAGAATTGCCCGAACCTGGGAGGCAGAGGTTGCAGTGAGCCTAGATCATGCCACTGCCTTCCAGACTGGGCGACAGAGCGAGACTCTGTCTTCAAAAAATATATATATATAAGTTTTCTCTTAAATATTTTACTTCTTTTTATTGCTATTGTAAATATATTTATATTTTCTAAGTGGTTATTGCAAAGAAAAGCTATTAATTTTTGTATGCTAGATATGCTGTTGTGTAGCTTCAGGCAAGTTACCCTCTCTAGAGCTTAGTTTCCCTAATTAACCTCATAGAATTATTGTCAGGAATGAGTTAGCACACATAGAGTCTAGCATAAGGTAATGGCTCAGTAAATGTTACCTATTATTGTTATTATATTAATTTGGTAATCCACCATCCTACTGAATTGATTTCTCTTGTTGCTTCTACTAGTTCTGCACTCCATTCTCCTGATATACAGTATTTGTGATATACAGCATCTTCCTAATCTTGATAATTTTCTTACTTCTTTAATGTTTTATATGGATTTATCTTTTTATTACAATGCCTAATACTTTCAGAACAATAATAAATAAAAGTAGTAAGCTGACTGGTATCTTTTGACAGGCAAGAATATTTCTACTGTAAATGCAAATAATGGCTACATTAACATTCTATAGCATATGTACACCAACAAGTGGTTATGGATATTCCTCAACTTGGGGCACTTAAATTGTTTCTTGACTTTTTCACTGTTAAAAGTACCAGTAAAAGAGTCATCTATGCAAAATTAATGCAGGAACAGAAAACCAAACACCGCATGTTCTCACTTATAAGGGGGAGTTGAACAAGGAGAACACATAAACTTAGGGAGGGGAACAACACATGCTGGGGCCTGTCGAGGGGGGACAAGAGGAGGGAGAGCATCAAGACAAATAGCTAATGCATGCTGGGCTTAATACCTAGGTGATGGGTTGACAGGTACAGCAAACCACCATGACACGTTTACCTATGTAACAAACCTGCACATCCTGCACATGTACTGCAGAACTTAAAATTAAAAAAAAATTTTTAAAAGAGTCATCTATGTATATAAATATCTGAGCACATTTTGCGCTATTCCACTGAGCAGGCTTAGGTCTGAATAGGACTTCCTAAACTGCTAATGCACACTGCTTTTCAACAAGACCATACTAGTCTGTACTCCCTTCAATAGTGTTTCTAAGTACTTTTCTCACTGCAGCTCTACTGACAGTATTTTTAAGAGAAACAAAATGATGATGCCTTTGTTTACCTAGCTATTATTTAATTACATTTACACCTCAATGGTGAAGTCTAAATTCTCATCTAAAATCTCATGAGAATTAGCATTAGAGAACTCTAATTCTCTTTACGGACTGGCCCGAGGAACAATCCTTAAAGAGATCTCCTCAGAGCAAGCACCAGCACAGCCTTGCTTTGCCAGAACCTGATCTGTTAGAACAGGGATTCTCAACCTTGGTACTATTAACATTTTGGATGAGACAGTTCTTTGTGAGGGTTGTCTTATACACTGAATAATATATAGCAGAATCCTTGGCCTCCACCCACTTGATGCTAGCAGCCCCAAGTTGTGCTCACAAGAACTGTGCCCAGACATGGCCAAATATCCTCAGCCAACTCTCCTCTAGTTGGATACTACTGTGTTAAGAGAATGCTGTTCTAGAAATTAGAATCAAAGAACCTTATTACAGACATAACATGATGGTTGAGATACACTTTTGTTACAGGCATAGACTGAAGAAAAGGAGAACTAAAATGTGGAATACTCACTTTGCTTTATAAGGTGAATCAGAGCCAGAATTTTTGGTTTCCATTAAACTCTCATATTCCTTAGCCCTGAAGAGAAAAAAAGTTTTAACACAGTTATTTCACTGCTAATTTTTATAATAAACCAAAATGTTGGCTGTATTTTTCCCCTATTAAATATAACACTAAGCCTATTAAATCTGGTGATTGAAGTGGCTGACTACCTATGTACCTCAAGAGTTATACAATGAAAAGATAAATACAGGTAAATAATAATACAAAAAAAGTCATTTAATTTTAGAAATAACTAAAAAGACAGTGGAAATAACGTGACCAGACTCTCAAAGATGTGTTTTGTTTTTGTTTTTTATACTGACTAAATACCAAAGGTTCAGAAAAATTTGAGATACTTCTCTGCCCCTTTCTAACTAGGCTCCGGCTTGCCTAAACTAGTAGGTGACAGTCATCAAGCTAGTCACTGATCTAAGACAGTTCTCACTATAGCAATCCATTGTTGACTTAATTTGTACATTTCTCTTTTTGGAGAAAAAAAAGAGGAAAATGCCAATTTAAATGTTAACTGCTCATCCAAAGGATCCTGTTGTCAAAGAATTCATCCAGTGATCTACGAAAAAATTACCCACAATGTAAAACAATCTAGAGAACAATGACAGGTGAAAAAAAAAATACTCCTACCTAAAAAAGTGAGAAAAATGCAAATTACAATAGCCCTAATGAGGAAAAAAGCAAACTAGACAGATGATGCATTGGAATAAAGAAATATCTAAATTGGAATAAAATAAAAAAGTACATATTTTTTCAACCTAAGTATGCTCATTGCCATCAGCCTAAATATTAAGATTTTTATAAATATAAAGATTTTTACAAATATAAACATTTTGCATGTCAAAATGCAGAAATAACTACTTGGTAGCTACAAGTAATTGTGACCTCATCTGAAAGGTGGGAAAAGTAACAATTATGCATGGTGGAGTATGTTCCAAGCATTGTGCTGGCTGCTGTACATTCAATAATATCACAAGTATCTAAAAATTCAATATGGTATTATCCCTATGATATAATTTAGATATTTGTCCCCTCCACATCTCATGTGGAAATGCGATCCCCAATGTTGGAAGTCGGGCCCAATGAAAGGTGGCTGGATCACAGGGGTGGATCTCTCATTAACAGCCAGGTGCCCTCCCTATAGGAGTGAATAATAATGAGTGCATGTGACATCCAGTTGTTTAAGAGTGTGGCACCTCACCCCGTGAGCATTTTTTATGTCTCTTGGCTGACTGTATGTCTTCTTTTGAGAAGTGTCTGTTCATGTCCTTTGCCCACCTTTTAATGGCTTTATTTGGTTTTTGCTTATTCAATTGTCTAAGTTCCTTATAGATTCTGGATATTAAACCTTTGGATGCATAGTTTGTGAAATACTTTCTCCCATTCTGTAGGTTATCTGTTCACTCCATTGACAGTTTCTTTTGCTGAGCAGAAGCTCTTTAATTAGGTCCCACTTGTCAGTTTTTGTGTTTACTACAATTGCTTTTGAGGACTTAGTCATAAATTCATTGCCAAGGCCATTGTCTAGAATGGTATTCCCTAGGCTTTCTTCTAGGAATTTTATAGTTTAGAGGTCTTACCTTTAAATCTTTCATTCATCTTGAGTTAACTTTTGTATATGATGAAATGTAGGGGTCTAATTTATTTCTTCTGCATATGGCTAGCCAGTTATCTCAGCACCATTTATTAAATGGGGAGTCCTTTCTTCATTGCTTATTTTTGTCAGCTTTACCAAGGATCAGATGGCTATAGGTGTGCTGCATTATTTCTGGGTTCTCTGTTCTGTTCCATTGGTCTTACGTGTCTGCTTTTGTACCAGTACCATGCTCTCTTGGTTACTGTAGACTTATAGTATAGTTTGAAATTGGGTAATGTGATGCCTCCCATTTTGCTCTTTTTGCTTAGGATTGCTTTGGCTCTTCAGGCTCTTTTATGGCTCCATATGCATTTCAGAATAGCTTTTCATAATTTTGTAAAAAGTGACATTGATAAACAAAGACCATATGATCATCTCAATAGATGCAGAAGAAGTTTTCAATAAAATCCAACATCCCTTCATGATAAAAAACCCTCAACAGACTAGAATTGAAGGAACATACCTCAAAATAATAAAAGCCATCTATGGCAGCCCCACAGCCAATACCATAGTTGATGGGCCAAAGCTGGAAGCATTTCCCTGAAGAACAGGAACAACACAAGGATGTCCACTCTCACCACTCCTATTCAACATATTTTAAGTCCTAGCCAGAGCAATCAGCAAGAGAATAAAAGGCATTCAAACAGGAAAATAAGTCAAATTATCTCTCTTCACTGACAATATGATTCTATACCTAGAAAACTCTAAAGACTCTGCCAAAAGGCTCCTAGAACCGATAGACGACTTCAGTAAAGTTTCAGGATACAAAATCAATGTACAAAATCAGTAGCATTTCTATACACCGATAACATTGAAGGTGAGAGCCAAATCAAGAATATAATCCCATTTACAATGGCCACACATACACAAAAATAAGATACCTAGGAATACATTTAAACCAAGGAAGTGAAAGATCTCTACAAGGAGGACTACAAAACATTACTGAAATAAATCATATATGATACAAATAAATGAAAAAACATTCCATAGGGGCTCATGGATTGGAAGAATCAATATCATTAAAATGGCTGCCCAAAGTAACCTGCAGATTCAATGCTATTCCTATTAAGTTACCTTTCATTTTTTCTTCACCTTCTGGGACACTGCAAATTTGAGTATTTTGTCACCTTATGATGTTGCATATGTCACATATGCTGTTTTTCAGTTGTAAACAGCATCAGTGGTGTCTGTGATTTCCTCAGTGATTTATAGTAGGGTTGTTAGTGAAGGTTCTGGTGAAGTTTTGCTGGGGATGGGGACACCTCAAGCCCCAGTAGTGGCAGCAGTGGGCCAAATGTACTTGTTTTTAGGCTCCACAGTGACAAACACTGATACCGGCGTTAGCAGGTCCAGGTGAGCTGATTCTTGGGCCTACAGGCAGCTTGCTCTGGTGACAGGGGTTGCAACAATGGGCTAGTGAGGAAGGTGGGTTCTGGGGCCATGGTAAGGGCAATGGCAGTAGCATTGGCAGGAATAACCTCTGGATCCCAAATAGTTCACTCTCATGTTGTTGGTGGTAGCCTTCATGGGCTGGCAGTCTAATCCCCAGGCTTGCAGGTGGATGAACCCCCACGGTGATGGCAATGACAGGTTGGGTGGGCTTTCCCTTAAGCCCCCAGAGAGAGTACTCGGGTACCAACAGCGGTGGACTGGGCTGGGCAGTCCCCAGGCCCCTGGGCAACATGCTTGGTTACTGGGGGTGTGGAGATGAGCTGGGTGGATCTGTCATCAGGCACTCTGGTGGTATGTGTAGGTGCTAGCTTTGGTAGGCCAGCATGGGGTAATACTCAGGCCTAAGGCAGAATGCTTGGGTGGGCATGGCAGTGGATGCACTGGAGCCCCACTACTAGGGAGAATGAGGTTGCTCTCAGCAGCACCCATATGCAGAGGCAGCTGGGAAGCATGCACATTGCTTGTGCTTTGGCCCCAGGTTCAGCGGCCCACAGGGGTGGCTGCTGTTGGCAGGGAAGTTCATTCTTGGACGTATGAAGATGTTACAGTGGCCTCACCGCTAGGGGCAGTAGGGTCTTTGACAATGGCTCTCACTTCATCCCTGGAGGCAGTAGCCAACTCTGGTGCTGGCTGAGGGTGGGGAATGTCAACGGGGTTTGAGTTATGGAAATGCAGAAGCTGTTGGACCCCTGGGCAGAATGTAGCTCTGGTAGGAGGCAGACTCTGATTGTGGCACCTTTCTGTAGCTGCTCAGGGCTCAGGAGTATGTGAGGCCCAAGCATGGACTCCCTCTCTGGAACAATACCTTTATATGGTCTCCAAGTAGCTTCTTATGTTAGTTGCAGGGGCTTTCCCGTGGCTAGACGCAGGAGTCCACGGTGGGAATGTGGACTGCTGGGGATCACGCACTTCTTTCCCCACACTGGGGAGCCTCTCCAGGCTCCCAGCTGATCGCAGAAGAAAAGGCTACCTCACTTTCCTCTCCTATCTGGCTTTAGGTCAGGGTGTCCAATCTTTTGGCTTCCCTGGCCACAACGGAAGAAGAAGAACTGTCTGGGGCCACACACAGAATACACTAACAGTAACGAGAGCTGATGAGCTTTAAAAAAATCACCAAAAAAATCTCATAATGCTTTAAGAAAGTTTGCGAATTTGTGTTGGGCCGCATTCAAAGCCATCCTGGGCCACATGCGGCCTGCAGGATGTGCACTAGACAAGCTTGCTTTAGGTGTCTCCTGTCACTTCTCGGTTGAATGCCAATATTCTTAGATGATCTGTTCAAAGCGTGATTATCTACTCACTATTTTGGTTCTTTGTTGTGGAGGAGGCACACACTAGATGCCTCTAGTCAACCATCCGGAAGCACCTCCCATTTGATTCACTTTTAGCATTCAATTAAATATTTATTTCCAGTTTGACTCTGTATAAACTATAGTATGGGAGGGGGATACAAAGAGGTATATACATAATGAGAATATTCAAGAAACTTAGTCTGCAGAAGGAAGAAGATGACATAACAGCATAAAAAGATACATAATTCCAGCCACGTTCGGTGGCTCACGCCTGTAATCCTAGCACTTTGAGAGGCTGAGGCGGGTGGATCACTTGAGGTCAGGAGTTCAAGACCAGCCTGGCCAACATGGCAAATCCCTGTCTCTACTAAAAATACAAAAATTAGCTGGGTGTGGTGGCGCACGCCTGTAATCCCAGCTAATTAGGTGGCTGAAGCATGAGAATCGCTTGAACCTGGGAGGCGGAGGTTGCAATAAGCCAAGATTACACCACTGCACTCCAGCCTGGATGACAGAGAGAGATTCTGTCTCAAACAAACAAACAAAAAACATAATTCTATGGGGCAGAGTAAGTGACAGGTAAGTAATGTGATATGTTCACTTCCAGCTGTTTCCTGAAGGAAATGGAATGTGTACGCTCTTAAAAGTCAGGTGGTCTCCAAATACAAAGGAAATGGCATTATTACCAGAGAAAATTGAGTAAACAATGCTGAACGTAGGAAAAATACAAGTTATGCTTAGAACATTGTGGAGACCCATTTGGTCAGAGCAAAAGATTAAAATGTGAGAATAGCAAGAGATAAGGTTGAAAGAATCCTTTCAAATATACTGTCACAATTATAATCTGATGATTTGGTTTTCAGATGCTTGTCTACTTTGGTAAGATTAAAAATTTCATTGGTGTAGTGTTGTACACTGCATTTGTTCATTATTAATCTCAATATCATCTTGGTTATACTCCCTCTCAGTCATAATGTGGGATATATGTATGCTCCATTTTATTTTTTATTAGCTGTTTTGCTAACAAATCTTCTTGTTTTATTAAAAAAAGAGGCTATTTTACAAATCTCAGAAATTAAACCTCTATTTTTTTTATCTTTATAAAAAATAGTATATTGTAAGTGTCACCTGTGTATTTGTTAAATAAAACTAAGTAAATCCATGAATCTTTTTTTCCATGGGGGTGCACCTATCAATCCATCACCTAGGTATTAAGCCCAGCATGCGTTAGCTATTTTTCCTAATGCTCTCCCACCCCGAACCACACCCCCTGACAGGCCCCATTGTGTGTTGTTCCCCTCCCTGTGTCCATGTGTTCTCATTGTTCAGCTCCCACTTGTAACTGAGAGCATGTGGTATTTGGTTTTCTGTTCCTGTGTTAGTTTGCTGAGGATAATAGCTTCCAGGTCCATTCATGTCCCTACAAAGAACATGATCTCATTCCTTTTTATGGCTGCATAGTATTCCATGGTGTATATGTCCCACATTTTCTTTATCCAGTTTATCGTTGATGGGCATTTGGGTTGATTCCATGTCTTTTTTATTGTGAATAGTGCTGTAATGAACATACGCACACATGTACCTTTGTAACAATGATTTTTATTCCTTTGGGTATATACCTAGTAATGAGATTGCTGGGTAAAATGGTATTTCTGGTTCTAGATCTTTAAGGAATCACCACAGTCTTTCACAATGGTTGAACTAATTTACATTCCCACCAACAGTGTAAAAGCACTCCTATTTCTCCACAACCTCACTAGCCTCTGTTGTTTCTTGACTTTTTAATAATTGCCATTCTGACCGGCATGAGATGGTATCTCATTGTGGTTTTGATTTACATTTCTCTAATGATCAGTGATGTTGAGCTTTTCTTCATATGTTTGTTGGCCGCATGAATGTCTTCTTTTGAGAAGTGTCTGTTCATGTCCTTGGCCCACTTTTTAATGGGGTTTTCTTTCTTGTAAGTTTAAGTTCCTTTTAGATTCTGGATATTAGGCCTTAATTAGATGCATAGATTGCAAAAATTTTCTCCCATTCTGTAGGTTGCCTGTTTGCTCTGATAGTTTCTTTTGCTGTGCAGAGGCTCTTTCGTTTAATTAGATCTCATTTGTCAACTTTTTCTTCTGTTGCAATTGCTTTTGGCAATTTCATCATGAAATCTTTGCCCGTGCCTATGTCCCTAATGGTACTACTGAGGTTGTCTTCCAGTTTTTATAGTTTTGGGTTTTACATTTAAGTCTTTAATCCATCTTGATTTAACTTTTGTATGTGGTATAAGGAAAAGGTCCAGTTTCAATCTTCTGCATATGGCTAGCCAGTTATTCCATCACTATTCATTGAATAGGGAATCCTTTCCCCATTGCTTTTGTCAGGCTTGTCAAAGATCAGATAGTTGTAGGTGTGTGGCCTTATTTCTGGGCTCTGTATTCTGTTCCATTGGTCTAGGTGCCTGTTTATGTACCAGTACCACGCTATTTTGGTTACTGTAGCCCTATAATATAGTTTGAAGTTGGGTAGCGCGATGTCTCCAGCTTTGTTCTTTTAGCTTATGATTGTCTTGGCTATACAAGCTCTTTTTTGGATCCATATGAATTTTAAAATAGTTTATTCTAATTCTGTGAAGAATGTCAATGATAGTTTAATGGGAATAGCTTTGAAACTATAAATTATTTTGGGCACTATGGCCATTTGAACAATACTGGTTCTTCCTATCTGTGAGCATTCAATGTTTTTCCATTTGTTTGTGTCTGCTCTGATTTCTTTGGGCAGTGGTTTGTAATTCTCCTTGAAGAGGTCCTTCACTTCCCTTGTTAGCTGTATTCCTAGTATTTTATTCTCTTTGGAGAACTTGTGAATTGCAGTTCATCCATGATTTGGCTCTCTGCCTAATGTTGGTGTATAGGAACGCTTGTAACTTTTGCACATTGATTTTGTATCGTGAGACTTTGCTTATCAGCTTAAGAAGCTTTTGGGCTGAGACAATGGGGTTTTCTAGATATAGGATCATGTCATCTGCGAACAAAGACACTTTGACTTCCTCTCTTCCTATTTGAATACACTTTATTTTTTTCTCTTGCCTGACGGCCCTGGCCAGAACTTCTAAAACTATGTTGAATAGGAGTGGTGAGAGAAGCCATCCTTGTCTTGGGCCAGTTTTTGAGGGGAATGCTTCCAGCTTTTGCCCATTCAGTATGATATTGGCTGTGGGTTTGTCATAAATGGCTCTTATTATTATTGAAGTATGTTCCTTCAATACCGAGTTTATTGAGAGTTTTTGACATGAAGGGATATTGAATTTTATCAACGGCCTTTTCTGTGTCTATTGAGATAATCATGTGGTTTTTGTCTTTAGATCTGTTTATGTGATGAATTATGTTTACTGATTTGCATATGTTGAAGCAGCCTTGCATCCCAGGGATGAAGCCAACTTGATTGTGGTGGATAAGCTTTTTCATGTGCTGCTGTATTCAGTTTGCCAGTATTTATTGAGAATCATTGCATTGATGTTCATCAGGGATATTAGCTGAAGTTTTCTTTTTTTGTTGTATCTGCGCCAGGTTTTGGTATCAGGATGGTGCTGGCCTCATAGAATGAGTTAGGGAGAAGTCCCTCCCTTTCAATTTTTTGGAATAGTTTCAATAGGAATAGTACCAGCTCTTCTTTGAACTTCTGGTAGAATTCAGCTATAAATCCATCTGGTCTTGGGCTTTTCTTTTGGTTGGTAGGCTATTTATCACCTGCCTCAATTTCAGAACTTGTTATTCGTCTATTCAGGGATTCAACTTCTTCCTAGTTCAGTCTTGGGAGGGTGTTTATGTCCAGGAATTTATCCATTTCTTCTAGATATTCTAGTTTACTTGCATAGAGGTATTTATAGTATTCTCTGATGGTGGGGTCTATACAGTATATAGTACTGTGGAAACACAGTATTCTCTATTTCTGTGGGGTCATTGGTGATATCCCATTTATTATTTTTTATTGTGTCTACTTGATTCTTCTCTATTTTCTTCTTTATTAGTCTAGCTAGCTGTCTATCTACTTTATCCATTTTTTCAAAAAACCAGCCCCTGGATTCACTGAGTTTTTGAAGGATTTTTCACATCTCTATCTCCTTCAGTTCTGCTCTGAGCTTGGTTATTTCTTTTCTTCTCCTAGCTTTGGGGTTTGTTTGCTCTTGGTTCTCTAGTTCTTTTAGTTGTAATGTTAAGGTGCTGATTTGAGATCTTTCTAGGTTTTTGATGTGGGTATTTAGCGCTATAAATTTGCCTCTTAACATTGCTTTAGCTGTGTCCCAGAGATTCTGGCACGTTGTCTCTTTGTTCTCATTGGTTTCAAATAATTTCTTAACTTCTGCCTTAATTTCATTATTTACCCAAGAGTCATTCAGGAGTAGGTTGTTAAATTTCCATGTAGTTGTGTGGTTTTGCGTGGGTTTCTTAATCTTGAGTTCTAATTTGATTGCGCTGTGGTCTGAGAGACCGTTATTATTTCAGTTCTTCTGCATTTGCTGAGGAGTGATTTATTTCCAATTATGTGATCAATTTTAGAGTAAGTGCAATGAAGCACCAAGAAGAATGTATATTCTGTTGTTTTGGGGTAGAGAATTCTGTGGATATCTATCAGGTCCACTTGATCCAGAGCTGAGTTCAAGTCCTGAACATTTTTATTAATTTTCTGTCTTGATGATCTGTCTGATATTGACAGTGGAGTGTTAAAGTCTCCCACTGCTATTGTGTGGGAGTCTAAGTCTCTCTGTAGGTCTCTAAGAACTTGTTTTATGAATCTGGGTACTCCTATACTGGGTGTATAGATATTTAGGACAGTTAGGTCTTCTTGTTGAATTGACTCATTTATCATTATGTAATGCCCTTGTCTTTTTTTATTTTTATTGGTTTAAAGTCTGTTTTGTCAGAAACTAAGATTGCAACCCCTGCTTTTTTGTTTTCCATTTGCTTGGTAAATTTTCCTCCATTCTTTTATTTTCGGTCTATGTGTGTCTTTGCATGTGAGATGGAGCTTTTGAATGCAGCACACTGATGGATCTTGACTCTTTATCCAGCTCGCCGTTCTGTGTCTTTTAATTTGGGCATTCAGCCCATTTACACTTAAGGTTAATATTGTTATGTGTGGATTTGATCCTGTCATCACAATGCTTACTGGCTATTTTGCAGACTTCTTTATGTAGTTGCTTCATAATGTCACTGGTCTGTGTATGTCAGCGTGTTTTTGTAGTGGCTGGTAACGTTCTTTCCTTTTCATATTTAGTGCTTCCTTCAGGAGCTCTTGCAAGGCAGGCCTGGTGGTGACAAATTCCCTCAGCATTTGCTTGTATGAAAAAGATTTTACTTCTCCTTCACTAATGAAGTTTAGTTTGGCCGGATATGAAATTTTAGGTTGGATTTTCTTTAAGAATGATGAATACTGACCCCCAATCTTTTCTGGCTTGTAGGGTTTCTGCTGAGATGTCTGCTGTTAGTCTGATGGGCTTCCCTTTACAGGTGACTTGGCCTTTCTCTCTGGCTGCCCTTAACATATTTTCCTTTACTCTGACCTTGGAGAATGTGAAGATTATACGTCTTGGGGTTGATCTTCTTGAGAAGTATCTTACTGGGGTTCTTTGGTTGTCATGAATGTGAATATTGGCCTGTCTTGCTAGGTTGGAGAAGTTCTCCAGGATGATATCCTAAAGTGTGTTTTCCAACTTGGTTCCATTCTCCCCATCTCTTTCAGTTACCCCTATCAGTCACAGGTTTGGCCTTTTAACAGTCCCATAGTTCTCAGAGGTTTTGTTTGTTCCTTTTCTTTCTTTTTTCTCTAATCTTGTCTGCCTGCCTTATTTCAGGAAGACAGTCTTCAAGTTCTGATATCCTTTCTTCCCCTTGATCTATTTGGCGACTGATACTTGTGTTTGCATTGTGACGTTCTCGTGTTGTGTTTTTCAGCTCCATCAGGTCATTTACATTCCTCTCTAACTGGTTATTCTGGGTAACAGCTCCGGTAACGGTTTTTTGTTTGTTTGTTTGAGACAGAGTCTCACTCTGTCGCCCAGGCTGGAGTGCAGTGGCACAATCTCAGCTCACTGCAACCTCCACCTGCTGGGTTCAAACAACTCACTTGCCTCAGCCTCCTGAGCAGCTGGGACTACAGGTGCCTGCCATCAAGCCCGGCTTTCTTTTTTTTTGTATTTTTAGTAGAGATGGGGTTTCACAGTGTCAGCCAGGATGGTCTCAATCTCCTGACTTTGTGATCCACCCACCTCGGTCTCCCAAAGTGCTGGGATTACAGGCATGAGCCACTACACCCAGCCAGCTCCTGTAATGTTTTATCATGATTCTTAGCTTCTTTGCAATGAGTCAGAACATACTCCTTTAGCTCAGCAAAGTTCATTATTACCCATCTTCTGAAGCCTACTTCTGTCAATTCATCCGTCTCAGCTTCAGCCCAGTTCTGTGCCCTTGCTGGAGACGTGTTGTGATCATTTGGAGGAGAAGAGGCACTCTGGCTTTCTGAGTTTTCAGCATTTTTGCATTGATTCTTTCTCATCTTCATGGATTTATTTCCTTTGATCTCTGAGGCTGCTGACTTTTTTTTTTTTTTTTTTTTTTGAGACGGAATCTTGCTCTGTCACCCAGGCTGGAGTGCAGTGGCACAATCTCAGCTCACTGCAGCCTCCACACCTCCCAGGTTCCAGCAATTCTCCTGCCTCAGCCTCCTGGTTAGCTGGGATTACAGGCATGCACCACCACACCCGGCTCAATTTTGTATTTTTAATAGAGACAGGGTTTCACCATATTGGCCAGGCTGGTCTCGAACTCCTGACCGCAGGTGATCCGCCTGCCTCGGCCTCCCAAAGTGCTGGCTGGGATTATAGGTGTAAGCCACCGTGCCCAGCCTGCTGCTGACCTTTAAATGGGGTTTTTGTGGGGTCTTTTTCATTGATGTTGTTGTTGCTCTTGCTTTCTATTTGTCTTTTCACAGTCAGGTCCCTCTTCTGTAGGGCTGCTGCCATTTGCTGGGGATCTACTCCAGACGCTATTTCCCTGGGTCCTTCCCACTCCTGGAATTATCACCAGTGGACGCTGCCGAACAACAAAGATGGCAGCCTGCTCCTTCCTCTGGGAGCTCTGACCCAGAGGGGCACCAACCTGATGCCAGCTGGAACACTCCTGTATGAGGTGTCTGGCGAACTCTATTGGGACATCTCACTCAGTCAGGAGGAACGGGATCAGGGTCTTGCTTAAATAAGCAGTCTGGCTGCCCCTTGGCAGAGCAGGTGTGCTACATTAGGGGGAATCCCCCTCATCCGGGCTGCCCTGACTCACCAGAGCCAGCAGGCAGAAAACATTAAGACTGCTGATCCACCATACTGCAGGCACCCCTCCTCCTAGGGGCTCCTCTCAGGGATATCAGAGTTCTGTCCATAAACACCTGGCTGGGGATGCTGCAATTCCCACAGGGAGGCCTTGCCTGGTGAGGAGGAGTGGATTGGGGTCCTGCTTAAAGAAGCAGTCTGGCCACAAACTATCCCAGCCACTGTGCTGCACTGTGGGGAATTGCTCCCTGTCCAAAATGCCCAGTCTTACTGGCACCTGCAGCAGGGGAAAACAGCTGACTGGAGCCACAGTGATGGTGGTCACCCCTCTCCGCCCGGAACTTGGTCTTTAGGGCAGTCTCCAGCCTGCTGAACTGGTGGGTATTCCAAGCCAGTCATTTTAGCTTATAGGGAGTTGGGGCCCACTGAGGGCGGCCACTTTGGTCCCTGGCTTCAGCCCCCTTCCCATGGAGTGGATGGATCTCCTGCCTCACTTGAGTTCCCAGAGCCACAGTATGCAAAAACTCCCGTGTCTCAGTGCCTACTCGAGCAGCCGCCCACCTGAGCAGCTGCCATGATTCTGCACAGCTCTGTGCTTGGCACCCAAGGCCCTGGTGGCGTGGGCTCATGAGGGGACCTCCTTATCCACAGGTTACAAGGATCTGTGGGAAAAGCATGGTTTTCAGGGAGGAGTAGCATAGTCCCTCACTGCCTCCCTTGCCTGGGGGAGGGAGCTCCCTTTGCCCTATGCAGCTCCCAGGTAGACCCTCACTCCACCCTGCTTTTCCCCACTCTCCATGGGTCATGCCAACTGCCTCGTCAGTCCCAATGAGAGAATCTTGGTACTTCAATTGAAGATGCAGAATTCTTGCCATTTTCATCCTTCTTGGTGGGAGCTGCAGAGTGGAGCTGTTTCTATTCAGCCATCTTGGCTGCCCCCTTCTATATAAATTTTAGCATTAGCTTGTTCATTTCTACAAAAGAGGCTATTGGAATTTTGACAGGGATTACACTGAAGCTGTATACCAATTTTGGGAGTATCACCATCTCAAAAATATTAAGTCTTCTAAAGCATGAAACACAGAATGTCTTTCAATTTTTCAGGTCTTCTTTAAATTCTCTTAATAACGTTTGTAGTTTCCAACATACAAGTCTTACACCACTCTGGTTAAATGTATTATTAATTACTTTATTCTTTTAGATGCCATTGCCAAATGTAATTGCTTTCTTAATTTCATTTTTGGATTGCTCATTGTTTGTATATAGAAATATGACCTATTTTTGTATGTTGATCTTGTTTCTTGAAACTTTGCCAAATTCCTTTATTAGCACAGTAAAATTGGGTGTGGGTATTTGTGTGTGTGTGTGTGTGTGTATTATTTATGATACTGTAAGTACAGTAAGTCCTCAATGTAGTAGATAGGTTCTTGAAACTGCAATTTTAACAAGGTATAGCAAAACTAATTTTAACATAGGCTAATTAATATTAACAAGAATAAGGTTGCTATGGTATGTTTCTGGTCACAAAATCATCACCAAACTTCTAAATAAAGACTGAAACGTTTCTAATATTAAACACTGAAATAAATCTGAGCTCTATATACATTTAAGAAAAATTAATGAAAACAAGGTAATTATTTACCCAATTATTCCAGTTCAGGGTCTCTGGAGCCTATCAAAGTCTATAGGCCAGAACCTATCCCAGCAGCTCAGGGTACAAGCCATAACCAATCCTAGACAGGACATCACTTCATCATGGGGTGCACTCAAATACATATCTACATTCACTCATACTGGTATAATTTAGACATGCCAATTAACCTAATGTGCACATCTTTGAGATGTGGGAGGAAACCAGAGTACAGGGAAAAAACCCATGCAGACACAGGGAGAATGTGGAAATTCAACATAGACAGTGGCCCTGGCCAGGAATTGATTTTTTTTTCCTCATGAATGTTATAATGAAACAACATTATTTGAGGACGTGCTGTTTTAAGACGTCATCTTAAAATAGAAATAGTTTCATATCTTCCTTGCCAATTTGGATACTTCTTACTAGTTTTTCTTGCCTATGTGCCACTAGAAATTCTATTACAACAAGGCGAGAAGTGGCAAGAGTGGACTTTCATGTCTTCTTCCTGATCTTAGGGGGAAAGCTTTCATTCTTTTGCCACTGAGTATGGCTGTCAGCTGTGAGATTTTCCTAATTATCCTTTACCAGATTAAGAAAGTTGCCTTCTAGTCCTAGTTTGTTGGGTGTGTTTATCACAAAAGGTCGGATTTTGTTAAATACTTTTTCTGCATGAACTGAGTTGATCATGGTTTATGTTCCCCTTCATTCTATTAATATGGTATATTATATTGTGTGACTTTTTTCTATGTCAACTACCCCTGAATTCTTGGAATAAATCCCATTTGGTGATGATATATAATCTTTAAATATGCTGCTGCATTCCTAAAATATTTTCTTGAGGAATACTGCACCTATATTCATAAGGGACATTGGTCTGAAGATTTTATTTCTTGTGTTGTCTTTATGTGGCATTAGTAGCAGTGTTATGCTGATTTTGTAAAATGAGTTAGGGCAGGTCTACTAGTGACAAACAATTCAGTTACTGTTTATCAGGGAATGTAGTAATTTCTCCTTCTTTTGTGAAGGAAAGCTTTGCCAAATATAGAATTCTTGGTTAACAGGGCTGAAAAAAATTCTTTCAGCACACTGAGTGTGTCATCTCATTGCCAAGTGGCCTCCATCATCTCCAGTGAGAAATCAGCAGTTAACCATACTAAGGATCCCTTATATGTGAAGCTTTACTTCTCTTTTGCTTTCACAAAGCCCTTATTCCCTAGAGATCTCTATTTCTGGCCTTTCTCTCTAAGCTTTTTGGTTAGTCTACTGTTGACCCCAACTGTTCTCCCTTTCCCTGGGAAATAGTGACTAAGTACATTTACCTTTAAATTAAAAAAAAAAAAAAATCTCTCAGGTGGCCTCCTCAGCCCTAGGAGAATTCTGAGTTAGGTAAAAATAAAAACAAATCACCTGACCCAGTCCTTCAGGGAGCCATCAGACAGGGCAAAACAGACAATTACAATTCTTTGAGAATATGGTCTGTTATGTTGCCTCTAAAAGTAGATATCTGTACCAGGAATACAGGCTGTTGTCTTCAAGGCTGCTGTTGAGGTGGAGAGTAAGGTATGAGACCAAGATAAGTTAAAATGCCACAAAACTCTCCTACTGATATTCAGTTAAATTTACTTGATTAAGCATTTTCTTGATTTCAGTGGCCTTTTGATTACTTTCCAGAGTTCCAAAAAAATTGGTTCTCACAGTTTTTGCCAATTAACTATATTGTGGAGGTACGAACTTTGGTGGTTCCCTACCATACCATTTTAACTGACATAATTTAGGATTTCTGTTTTTTTCCATGAGAAATCTTTATAATTATAAGGAAAGATAACTTTAGCATTATTCCTGCCATTTTATTTTAAAAAAAAACAGCTTTGAGATAAAATTCATACACTATATAATCCATCCATTTAAAATGTATAATATAATGTTTTTGAGTATATACATAAGGCTATGCAGCCACCACCACCACCACCACCACCTAACTTTAGAACATTTTTCTCCTCCTGAATAAAACCCTGTAGCCATTTACAGTCAATCCTGACTCCATTCCTTCTGATCCCATCTCTACACACCACTAATCTACTACCTCTATAAAATTTTTGTTTGAATATGTCTTCAATTCTTGAGGGTATATATCTAAGAGCAGAATTACTGGATCATATAGAAATCCTATGTTTAACTTTTTGAGGAACTGCCAAACTGTTTTCCCAAGCAGATGCACCACTTTACATTCCTACTATCAAAATATAAAGGTTCCAATTTCTCTACATTCTTGTTACCGTCTTTTTAAATATACTCATCCAGCTGGGTGCAGTGGCTCACCACCTGTAACACTTTGGGCAGCCAAGAAGGGAGGATCAGGAGTTTGAGACCAGCCTGGGCAAAACAGTGAGACCCCCCCATCTCTACACACAAAATTTTTTTTTTAATTAGCCAGGTATGGTGGTGCGTGCCTGTAGTCCTAGCTTCTTGGGAGGCTGAGGCAGGAGGATTGCTTAAGCCAAGTTGTTCAAGATTACAGTGAACTATGATGGCAACACTGCATACCAGCCTGGCTAACAGAGTGAAACCCTATCTCTACAATATATATGTGATTATATATATATATATATATATGTGTGTGTGTGTGTGTGTGTGTGTGTGTGTGTGTGTGTGTGTGTGTGTGTGTGTGTATGTATATATATATTCCACCCATCCTAGTTGTTGTAAAGCAGAATCCTATTATGAACTTGATTTAGATTTCCCTGATGACTAATTAGACTGAGTGTCTTTTCAATAACATACTGCTCATTTGTATGTCTTCTTTGGAGAAATGTCTATTCCCTCTTTGGAGAAATGTCAATTCCTTTGCCCATCTGTTACTGAGTTGTATTTTTATTACTGAGCTGCAAGAATTATTTATATATTCTGGACATAAATCCTTCATTACCAATATCTTTTACAAATATCTTCTCTCATTCTGTGGGTTGTCTTTTTGCTTTCTTGATGGGATCTTTTGAAGCACATAATCTTAATTTTGATTTAATCCAATTTATGTTTTTGTTGCTTGCCATTTTGTTTTGTGATTTCTGTTCAGTAAGGTCATCTTTTTCTTTTTCTTTAATTTCATTTATTGATCAAATCTTTTATGCTGTTTTCTTTATCTAAGTTGCTCTCAACCAAGAGTTCACAATTTTAACAACAATAAATATTGACACTTTTATTTTTCCCTTTCTGATTCTTACATTTCCCCCTCAATCTTATCAAATTGACTACAATATCCAGTTTAGTATAAAATAGACATGGCAGTGGCAGACACATTCTGTCTTGTCTTAAAAGGGAATGCTTTCAATAGTTCATCACTAAGTATGATATGTCCTCTAAGGTTTTGGTTGATATCTTTTACCAGATTGAGGAGGTTTCCCTCAATAATCTCACTCTGTTAAGAGGTTTTTCTGTTGAACAGATGTATGTTTTTTCTAAATCTAATGAGAAAATTAAAATTTTTCTTCATAAATATTTTCTATTAATGTGGTGAATTATACTGATTGATTTTCAAATAGTCAACCAATCTTATGTTCCAATAAATACAAAATGAGATTTTCTTCAAGTATATAAACTATGTCGAGAATGACAAATTATTGGTCATTGCTGTATTTTAAAAATAGGAACACTTATGTATTTGGCTGTTTCCTTTGAAAATATTCCTAGTGTGGTTCTAAATTCTCATACAGCATTTAATATGTGATAAGCACTTTACATGAATTAATTTATTTAATTTTCATAATAAACCTGCAAGTTAGGCAACCATTTTACAGATGAGGAAACTGAGACACTAACAGGTTAAGAAGCTTGCTCAAGGTTACATGACATAGATGGATTCAAACCTAGTGTATTTAGATCTAGAGTCTAAATAGAAAATGCCTGTCTTGTTTTTAAAAACAGAAAGGAAGAATAAATAGGAGAAAAACAGGGTTCTTTTGCCAGAAAGAGACACTTTATATGCTGGAATAAAGAGGCTGATCACATACTGAAATTTCACTTTTAACAGAATTGAGTCAAACCTATACCTATAATTAATATGGAAGGACTGTGTTAGTTCAGAAGGAACTGTGTTATTTAATTCTTCTCACTACGCCATTGTTGATTGGGCTCCTAAAGGTCATATTACTAATGATTGCTCTCAGGGTCACAGAGATTGTCAACATTTTCTCTACGATATTACTTATCAAAAAAGTAGTGACAACCCTCCCCTATTATATCATAGATTTAACTCCTTTTTTCCTCTTCAGTGGAAAGGCGCAGGGATTGCCCCTCCAAAGCCAAGGCTTGTTGCTCCCCACTGAAGACCTGAACATTCAGAATTATGGAGATTAACTATAGCTATGACTGGTATGAGAGTTGGGGCTGGAGAGAGTGTTATAAGTAAATCTACTTGTCACCTTGAAAACTAAGACAACAGATTGATTTACACTACTATTTACACACAGCCAAAAATATCACTATGGCAATCATCAAAAGGTCAATTCAAAGATGGGATAGTAAAGATTATGAGGACTTACACCCCGCCCCGTTGCTAATGTCCCCCCACCACCTCTCATACAACCTATTCCCCCCAACCCCACATTCACAAAAAAGAATACCATCCCAAAATATATATACTATCTTTATGGAGTCCAACAAAACTATACCACTTAAAAGTTGTGTTAAACCACCATATATGTTATTAGTAGGAAAGATGCATATTAGTTCAAAAACCAACATAATTACCTGTGTTAATTGTTACTTGTATACTTGTATTGACTCATCCTTTAATCAATATCATAGTATTTTAATAGTCAGAGCCAGAGAAGGTATTTGGCTCCCTGTAGCCATACATAGGCCTTGGGAATCTTCCCCTTCTATCCATGTTATTAATAATATTCTACAAAAAATTCTCAAAAGGAGTAAACGATTTATTTTTATATTAATTGCAA
The DNA here is from genome assembly GCF_000001405.40 of Homo sapiens. NCBI lineage: Eukaryota > Metazoa > Chordata > Mammalia > Primates > Hominidae > Homo > Homo sapiens. The sequence goes on from NC_000015.10 coordinate 76,640,083, forward strand.
TAATAATGGGCTTGATTGCTGTTACTGTGACCGCTGCTACTGCTGGAGTTGCATTACATAAATCTATTCAAACTGTTCATTTTGTGGATAAATGGCAAAAATTCTACTCGGATGTGGAATTCTCAGTCAAGTATTGATCAAAAATTGGCCAATCAAATTAATGATCTGAGACAAACTGTTATATGGATGGGAGATAGAATTATGAGTTTAGAACATAGATTACAAATGCAATGTGACTGGAATACTTCTGATTTTTGTATAACTCCGTTTCAATATAATGAGTCTGTTCACAATTGGGAATCAGTAAAACGCTATTTACAAGGAAGTGAAGATAATTTAAGTTTAGACATAAGCAAGCTAAAAGAACAGATTTTTGAGGCCTCTCAAGCACACTTAACTGCTTACCTGGTGCTGAAGTTTTAGATGGTATCTCTAAGGGGTTATCTAATCTCAACCCCATTCAATGGGTAAAATCTTTGGGAGGATCCACTATCATTAATTTTATTCTGTGTATAATTTGTGCTATTGGTTTATTGTCCATATGTAAAATTGGAAAAAATATTCTTCAATCCAATCGTGATCAGTGCCAAGCTATGACTGTTATGGTTCATTTAAATCAGAGAAAAGGGGGAGATGTAGGGAGACCCCCTGAAACTATTGCTACGGAATAAAAGATGAAATGCTCCTGATTACTGTAAATACAAAGTTGCATGCAGGATTGTGTAAAGACAATGCCAGGTTGGACTGCCAGAATAAGCCAACAGCACGTGATGTGCTTTCCCCTGCAGAGAGCCTATGAATGGACGTGCAGTCAGGGAGGTTTCACATCACCAAGATGCCTATCCCAGAAAAGCAGATGTTCATAGCTCTGGGAATGGAATGTGACCCTTGTGGAGAGCCTATAAACGGAAGCATGAGGGGCGCCTGTCCATATGGATAAGATAGGGCTATAAACACCCTCATCTTGCCATGGCTCTTCTAGGCCTCTTTAGGGTTAGGGCATACTCCCTTCTGAGAATTTCTGGTCTAACCGGTTGTCTAGCTTCATGTCCTGTTTCTATGGATTGTCTGTAACCAGCTTTTGCTGCAACTGTTACTGCTGATTAATATTTTGCTAATCATAGGTTATGGAAAGACTGTGTTTCTGTTTTAAGGCTCTGTTAGAAATTACTGATGCACACACTATATTGTAAATTCTTATCTCTGTATACTGTACTTCTGCATACAGATGTTATGTTAAAGAATTACTTCATCCCCATGTGACCATCTCACCTCATAATCAAATGACCCTAAATCCCTCACTAACCTACTCCCGCCCTCACTAAACTTAATAATAAATGCTGGTATATCCAGTGCATTGTTGGCACCACGGGACCACAAGGCGATGACCCCCTGGACCCAGCTTTCACTATCTTGTATGTGTCTATTATTTCTCAATCTGCTGATCCGCCTGGGAACAAAGAGAGAGCCCCGATGCATTGCGGGCTGCTGGCCAGATCCCGCAATACCAAAATATCTAAATATAAATTATTTTCAAATTCTTGCTTAACTAAATACTCTCTCAAGATAAACAGGAACTTGGCTAATTGCTCACCCAGCAGGAACAAGAAAAGGAGGCACTGGGGGTCAAAGTAATTATCACCCAGCATAAAACAAAATTTGCATTTGGTAACACCATATGGAATAAGATGCAGCATGATAAAACTGGAGAGTTAGGCAAGAAAGAAGGACAAGGAAAATGGACAGCCTTTTTTGAGTTGATCATCATCATTATCATCATCAATACTTTTAAATGACTTTGTCTAAATGAAGAACAACATGTTGTCACTGAATATGGACACTAAAGACACAGACAGACTTGATTTTAATTCTACCAATTAATAGCTATGAAGTTTTAGTCAGGTTAGTTCTATGAACCTCAGTGTTGTCATCCCTAAAATAAGCAGGATGATGTTAACCTCCCAGAATTATGATAAGGAATCAATTAGAAAATGGTTAAAAATATGCTACTCAGACAAAAATCAAATAAATATTAGCTCTCTTTACTGCGAAATGTTATAAAGCCCCAAATACAATCTATATTCAGATGTCAATGTACAAACTTCATATACCAAGACAATTATACTTGATACCTTGATTATCCACGTTTTCTTTATCTTCTAATCTATCCTAAATTTTCCTACACTTTATTTTTTGACTGTTAATAATGATTATTTTAAAAGCTTATTGATGCTGCTTGTTCCATATACTTCAAGGCAGCTACATTACACATAATATTTAGCAACTGGGAAGGATTACTCAGTAGTTTAAAACTAGTAGAAAGTTAAAAGTACAATTTTTATTTTTATTCTTCAATTTAATTTTTGAATAATCAATATATCATCCAAATATTAATATTACATTAAAATGTATCTTGATTACTTTTTCCTCATAATTTCATCTACAGTACACTGTAATATAAGCTTTTATCACTTCATACCTGGATCAGTAAAATAACCTGCTATTCACCATGTTCTCAACCTTCTAATATTACCAGCAACGCACAGATGGCAAATTTTCCCAAATGACCCATTTCCTGATGTTATTCCTTTTATTATCTATAGTATAGTGGTTCCTTTCCAAGAAATCTGCATTCAAGATTCCTTATTTTGACCCTATTCTACTTTTTCAACTTTACATTCTTTGACATCATCAGTTATATTGTATATGTTTGGACTTTTAGACTCCAGTTTGAGACATTTTGAGATTTTTTCTAAGATTTTTGAGACATTTTCACCATTTAGGGTACTACCACTAGGGGGTAGTAGAGCTTGATTAACACCAGCACATATCCAAAAGGTAGGGTTAGGAGGAAATTATTTCTTTTACAAAAATAGGTTTCAATTAAAAAAGATAAGCAGACATTGAACAGGTTTACAAATTGATGCACTATCTACCAGTTGCTCTGGGATATCCCCTGGAGAGTTTGAACTGGCTTACTATAGCCACAGGCACATCACCTCTATCTGTGCCCCCTAGCTGAGTCAAGGATATCTGCATACATGCTACATGCTCTAGGGTCAGGGTCACCATCAATTTCTTCCTGTCTCCCTCCCTCACATCAGGACATCCACAGAATCTATTTCAGATTAGTTTCTCCAATCCATCTCCTTCCACATGCCTGTGCCAAACATTTTGGCATTTAACTTTGATCTTTACTGAACACTGTTCAATAAGGATCAAACTTGAACTACTGTTCAACGACTGTTGAACTACTTCCTCACATGAATAACTTACTTCATGTGAGGAAGTGTGGGTCTTTAGAAAGTCATCATTCTGGCCAGGCATGGTGGCTAACGCCTGTAATCCCAGCACTTTAGGAGGCCAAGGCGGGTGTATCACTTGAGGTCAGGAGTTCAAGACCAGCCTGGCCAACATGGTGAAACCCCGTCTCTACTAAAAATACAAAAATTAGCCAGGCATGGTGGCACGCACCTGTAGTCCCAGCTACTCGGGAGGCTGTGGCAGGAGAATCGCTTGAACTCGGGAGGCAGAGGTTGTAGTGAGCTGAGACTGTGCCACTGCACTCCGGCCCAGGTGACAGGGCGAAACTCTGTCTTTAAAAAACAAACAAACAAAAAGTCATTCTTTGTTAACCTAAGCTATCCTCATTTGTAACACGAGGGAATAAAAACTAGCTAAATTTTTAGGGTCTCCTAACTATAAGAGTTCATGATTTTAATTTCCTATAAACAGTAGGCATATAAAATTGCTAGTAAGAGCTTACCAAAATATAGATTCCTCCCCTAAAACCAAGTGAATCAGAAATCAATAGGCTGAAGGACCACGAATCTACCTTTTAAAAATGATTCCAGATGATTGTGATGCAGGATCTGATCTGATGAAGAACTATAGTTTGAAAATCACTACCATGTTTCATGATTTGATTCATATTAAGACAGTAATTATTATCAACTCAAAGAATAATTAGTATTCTTTGAGTTCTTTCTCATGGACTAGGCCGGCAGTTTTTAAGAGTATGATCTGGCCCCAGGGGTCAGACAGAGTCTTTAGAAGGTATATACGATCAAAACTTTTTCATTCTCATTCTCTTACAAGCACACAGTAGAGCTGAGGCTACATGGAATTTAATATTAAAACAGATTGAATACAGAAGCAGCTGTGAGAATTCAGCTGTCTTTATTAAGCTGGACATTAATTTGCAAAAAGGTAAAATAATGTGACTCTTCTCATTAATCTTTTTGTTTTGGGAAAGTTGTTTATATAAAAATGTGTTATTCATGTGAACAAATAATGATTTTATATTATTTCTAAATGCTTGATAAATTTTCTAAAGAATTTCTTACTTTTCATTTCTAACATGATAAATGTTAATAAATATACCCATATAACAAAGGATATTTGAGGTCCTCAATAATTTTTACAAATGTAAAAACCTAAAAGTCTGAGAACTGCTTTCATACATACAGTACACTCTTGAGTCTTCACTAATTTTTATGACCATAAAAACAAAAAAAAAAAATCTGAGAACTGCTTTACACATGTTATCAAAGCCTGTATCAAAGAGCTTCAACAATTCCCCACAATACCCAGTATAAAACCTAAACTACTTATAGGCATCTGAGCACAGTCCTACTTTAAAATTTTTGTAATTGCCTTGCTCTACTTTATTTTTTTATACAAAGATATCACAGCTCCATTAAAGCAAAATATGCACATATATAAACAGAAGAAAACCATTTTCCTAATTCCATTGCCAAATATACCCTCCCAGACACATACTCATGCTTCTGTTTTCTTTTAGTCTTTTTCTCTGTGCACAATGTGAATTTTTAACAGTAGCCTTATTCTATCTAGTTAGCCCTCTGTAACCATAGGTTCCGTATCCACACAGTCAACCAACTGTGGATCAAAAATATTTGTGGAAACAAACTGCAATGTTATGTCTGTATTGAAAACATACATATTTTTTCCTTGGCATTATTCCCTAAACAATACATATAACAACTATTTACATAGCATATGCACTGCATTACATATTATAAGTAATCTAGAGATGATTCAAAATATATAGGAGGATGTGTGTAAGTTATATGCAAATAGTGCACCATTTTTCATCAGGGACTTGAACATCCCTGGATTTTGGTATCTGCAGGGGGTCCTAGAACCAAATGAGGGATGACTATATATAAAATGTGTGATTTATCCATTTTCACCTGATACATTCGTAAGCATATGCCCATTTTACATATTCTTCTACAAATATGTGCCATAATTTACTTGATTATCTCTTTATTAGTTACCTAAACTTTTATCCTAGTTTTTACTCTTATGAATACCAATACAATGAACAGTCATAGACTACTTGCATTTTGCTCATAATCATAAATATTCCATCTTAGCACAATACCTGAGGCATAATAAGAGCTCAGTAAAGATCAGCCTTTTTTTTTTTTGGTTTGTATGTATTTATTCTTATTATCATCGTCATTATTATAAACAGTCTTTCCTGACTGCCCCAGTCATACCTAAGTTTATCCTCCCTGGAATTAACCTAATACTTATTTGTACCTTTCTTTTGTTACTGTGGACACTGCCTCATAAAAGGGTTATTTATATACATCATTTACTTCTCTTAATATATTGTAAATGAGAAGGTTAGAAATCATGTTCTATACACTTTTGTATGCTGATAAGTATTTAAATGTGTTGAATGAATTCCTTAAGATCACAAAGTAAATAACCAAATATTTTTTAAAAACACACGAATGGGTGTTAAAAATATTTAAAAATTAGATTTAACATTAGATTTCACCTCAAAGTTCTGTCAGAATCCTGTAATATTTGTTAAAACTTATGTCTTTCCCTGCCTCTCCTCTGTTCAACTTAGGTATCCTACTCCACGGTCAGGCTCTCTGGTCAATTCTAACACAAAAATTGACGCTATGTCAATTCTTGTACCAATGTAAATTTAACACAGACCTGTGTGTTTATCCATATCTAAATTTATATCTAAATATCCACGAAGGATTGGTTCCAGGATCCCCATGGATACCAAAATCTGCAAATGCTCAAGTCCCTTATATAAAAAGACATAGTACAGTTAGCCCTCCATATCTGCAGGCTCCGCACGTGGAACCCACAGATACTAAGGGTTAACTCTGAATGTAGATACACAAACACACACACGCACCCCCCATCCTCTCATTCCTCTCTCTGCCCCATTTCAGAATATGTTCTTGATAGTCAATTATTGTTAAAAATAGGAAGTCTATTAGCCTAGTGATTACCACTGGACACTGAAGCTGATGTCCAAGCTGCTAATACTGCAGACAGAGGTCCAGCTATTATACAGTGAAAAACTATGAATTCCCATGCTGCTCTTTCAGCTCTCTCTCCTCTCCTATTTCTACCTCTACACAAACTGCAGCTCAATGGCAATATATTACACAAATCTAGTTCCTTTATCTTCATCCTTCTGTACAAAAACACAGTCCAATGATTAGAACTTTATTGCCTATCTTGCTTTTCTTAGTCCTCTTTGCCAAACTATGAATTCTTTCAACCTAAATTGCAGCAGCAAAGTTCTGACTCACAGCGACTCCTTTTCCAAATTAAATCTGCCTATCAAAACTTTCAAGCAACCACATGTACTCTCACAGTTCTTCATCACATATAGGTTATATAGGTCCCTACTAATTAATTTTAGAACACATATCCAGTTTAAAATATATGCTAGTTCTGGCTTTGCCTGTAGAACATTTCCCTCATCCCACTGCTTGGAGAAAAATCAAGTATCTTTAGTTTTAATTCATCTTGAGTCAGGTCCTAAAAGCATTATCTTCACTACCTGTATCATGAAACCTGGGGCAGACCATCATGCCTTGAGCCTGAATTCCAATTTATGATAGTAATATGCAATTTGTTTCTCCCTTCTTAAAAGGCCAAAGAAATCTTAGTGATAAGAACCACAAAGCTCACAATCCAATCTCATCTAATTCTTCCACAAATTTTTACTGGACACCTACCATGTGCAGAAAACTAAAAACAAAAATCCTCTTGAAATTTATATCCTAGTAGGAGAAAGCTAATGTGTAAATATATAAACAGTTGAAATACACAGTACTTTAGATGATGGTTAAGTGCATTGGTAAAAAATTAAGTTGGGAAAAGAGACGGTTGAAGTGGAGGTTATTATTTTATTAAGGCCTTGACAATTTTTGCTTCCAGCCATGATTGAGTAACTAGTATCATATTGTCCTTTCTACTACAAGCAACTTAGAAATTCTTAAATATATGATTTTTTTTCATGTATGGACAACTGTCAGCACAGGACTGGAATCCCTCAGAAAAAGAAAGCAAGTGAAATAAGTCCTATGATTGTCTCACCCTTTGTGCCTGAAGGCACTTTCCAGATAGCTACATATCGGGGAAGGGTTAAGTAACCAAAACAGAGCATACATGTAAGTCTGAGCTAAGAAAAAGTTGGAATTTGTGGGGCAGAGTAGCAGAGTGAAAAGATGTATGCAGAGAAGGTCTACAAATCTTCAGAGAGGCCCCACTGAGTCTCTGGCCATGTTAATCTGCTGAATGAGCAGGCAAGAATCTCCAAAACTGGGGAAAAAATAACTATCCAGGAACTGTAAGCTGAACAAGAACAATTACTGGAGCTTTCATAAAGCTGGGAAATGTTTGCATTTCAGCTGTCATATTTGAGGATACTCATTGAACATCCTAGTCATTCTGTAGAGAGTTCACAAAGGACATACCTTAGAAGGAGGAACAATAGAGCCCTAGGATTAAAGGTTACTCTATGTCAAACAAAGTTTAAAACCGTATTTTCAGAGACAAAAGCAAACGTACAAGTTTAAAAAATGCATTACAGAATTAAATTCTACATTCTCTTAAAGAAAACAATAAAACCCAGACATAGAGCAATGTAGCATTTATACTGTCCAATATATGAAAAAAATAAAATACTAATAACAAAATTACTAAGCATAAAAGGCAGAAAATATAAGCCATACTCGGAGAAAAATCAGCGTGAAAAGGAATGACAGATATAATGGACTTCAAGTCAATTCATAAACATATTAAATGAAAACATAAAAAAAAAAACAAGAAATATCGAGAAACTGAAACTATAAAATCAACCAAATGGAACTCCTGGAGATGAAAAATATAACACATGAAATAAAAACGTCACTGGATGATTTTAAAAGCAAATGAGACACAGTAGAAAAAAAAGATCACATAGGACACAGAACTATCTAAACTAGAGAGAAAAAAGACTGACCTATGGGACAATATAAAATGTTCTGTATTAAGTACAACTGGAATCAGAAAATAGAAGAAAAATAGACTGAGGCAGAAAAAACTTTTTCAAGAAACAATGGCTAAAATTTATCCAAATTTGGGGTAAAATATAAACTCACAGATTCAAAAAGCTAAATGAATATCAAACAGAATAAACACAAAGGAAACCATAACAAGAAGTGTTCCCAACCTGCCTGGGCAGCACAGTGATAGAGGAGCTAGAAAGAAATTATTTAGGCAGATAGTAAGAATAAGGAAGTCCTCAGTAACATTTCCTTTTAATAAAAAAGCAGCCCCAAAATCATTTACTTTCTAAGAAAAAGCAGCCTGACAAATCCAGCTGCAGGAGTAGATAAGCAAGCTGGAAGCTTGCATAGGTAAATGCTGAAAGCTGTGCCAATAGGGAAAAAAGTACCTGGTGGCCAGGCATGTTCAACATGGAGGTTCCCTCTTCCCTTTTCTTTGTCACCACATGTGCAGTAAGGCAGGCAACATGGCACCAGCCAGGTAGAGACCCTATCTGCATAATAAAAGATTAGGGTGGGATAGCCAGCTTCTTCACACTTTGCAAACAGCACACCTGGTCCAACCAATCTCTTGCGCCCTTTGTAAATCAGACACCGCCTCCTCAAGCTTGTCAATAAAACTCCATGCATTCCTCCATGAAACCAGAAGACCCACTCGAGCGCCCCTCTCTTTCTGCAGGAGAGAGAGCTGTTCTCCTTTCTCTTTCTTTTGTCTATTAAACCTCTGTACTTAAACTCACTCCTTGTGTGTGTCCATGTCCTTAGTTTTCTTGGCATGAGGCAACAAGCCTCGAGTATTTACCCTAGACAATGACGTCACTTCAATAGTCAGACTCAGTCTCTAAAAGAATTTAAAAAGTAGCTGAGCATGGTGGCATGCCTGTAGTACCAGCCACTCAGGAGGCTGGGATGGGAGGATCACTTGAGCCTGAGAAGTTGAGGCTACAATGAGCTGGGATCATGCCACTGCATTCCAGCCTAGGCGACCGAATGAGACAATCCCCCTGCTCCCCACCACCACCCCCAAAAAAAAACAGCAACAACAAACAAATCAGAAAACCATACCAAGGCACATTATAACAAAATTACTTAAAACCATGATATGGAAAAAAATATATATATATGCATTTTTAATATTTATATTAAATAGTTTCTATTTATATTTTTTACATATAAAAATATATACAGCAGAAAAGAAAAAATAAGAAACATCAGATACAGTAAAAAAGAAAAAAAGGAATGTGTGTTCTCTGCTGATCAGAAACAACCAAAGCCATTAAAAAAACACAATAACATGTTTAAGAGATGAAAGAAAAAAAATGTCATAACAGAACTCTACATCCATTAAAAATTTCATTCAAAAATAAAGGTTAAATAGACGTTTTCAGGCAAACAAATGCTAAGAAAACCTACTGTCAGTAGACCTGAACTATTAAAAACATTAAAGGAAGTTATTCAGATGAAAGAAAATGACACCACATAAAAATTCAGAACTACATGAAGAAGCAAAGAGCATAACAAATGGTTTCTTAAATTATTTAAAAGATAACTGAAAGATTGGAACAAAATTAAAATGCAGGATTTGTTACATGAAGAAGTAAAATGTATGATAACAGTAACACAAAAGGCAGAGGAAAGGAAGATGGACGCATAAATTGTTGCAAGGTTCTACAATAGTAACTGAAATACTATAATATTATTTGAAGGCATACTGTGATGGTTAAAAGATACATATTTGAAACTGAGCAAACACTAAAAATAAAAAGTGGTAGAGCTAATAAATCAATGAAGAGACAAATGTCCAGACTAGGTGAAAAAAGGAGATTCAATTACATGATTATAATAGTTACACATTAAATATAAAGAGACATAGTTAAAATTTACAAGGAAAAGAAAGGAAAAAGATACTATGCAAAAAACAAATTTTAAAAAATAGAAATAATGCTATTAATATTACACAGAGTAGGTTTTAGGATAAAGAGAATTAGAAGAAGATATGAAGAAGGAAAATTGATAATGGGAAAGGGAACAATTTGTCAAGAATATATACTTCTAAATTTGTATATATATCTAATAACAAAGTTTCAAAATTTGAAGAAAAACTGGAAAAAACCTGAAGGAAGAAAATTTTTTAAACATAATAATGATTGAAAATGTGGACATTCTTTTTGAAGAAACAAATGGAACAATATCAGAGAGACAATACTACAGATAGAACATTACAGAATATTCTAACAGTACTAACCACATAGACCTAACTGACATAGAAAGTACACCTATAATAAGCACAATATAAGTGCATTTCAAGTAAATAAGCAATATTGTCCAAGGCAGACCAGTTGCTGAGAAATACAACAAATCTTAATATTTTTAAAGGGAATGAAATTATACACAGTATCTTCTCTGACCACAGAAAATTAAATCAACACTTAAAGACAAAAAGATATCTGGAAAGTTCAAATGTTTGGAAATTCAACAAAACACTTCTAAGTAATCAATAGGTCAAAGAAATTAAAAGTCAAATTAGAAATATTTTGAACTATATCAAAATAATACAACATATTAAAATATGTTGAATGTAGGTTAAGTAGGTATTAGAGGGAAAGTGATAGCTATAATTACATATATTATAAAAAAAGAGCTTTCAAATCAATAATCTCAGAGGCCACCTTAAGAAATCAGGGGAAAAGAAAATATAAATATGAAGTAAATACAAGTAAAAAATAATAAAGAACATGAAATAAAAACGAACAAACAAAAATCAAATGCAGCAAAAATTTGTTATTTCAAAAGATTAACAAAATTGATAAATTCTAGACCAGAGATCGGGGGGAACGAAGGAAGAAAAGACAAATTAAAATTTTCAGTAATGAAAGAGAGGATGTCACTAAAAAGCATACAGGAATTAAAAGAAAAATAATGCAATTTTCTTCAATGCAAGCACACAATCTTCCTAACTCAATGCAAGCACAAGATTGAATTATTTTTCTTTCCTGATTGCTCTGGCTAGGACTTCTAGTACTGCGTGGAATAGGAGTAGTGAGAGTGAGCATACTTGTCATGTTTTAAAATTGCATTTTTTCAATGCAAGCACACAATCTTCCTAATTCAATCCAAGCACAAGACTGAATTAGGAAGAGATTGAAATCATGAATAAAGCAGTATCAATGTAGAAATTAAATTAGTAACAAAGAACCTACCAACCAAAAAAAAAAAAAAAAACCCTTGACCAGATAGATTCACAGCCAAATTCTACCAGACATACAAAGAAGAAATGACACCAATCCTACTAAAACTATTCCCAAAAAGCTGGAGATGAGAGACCTCTCCCTATCTCATTCTATGAAGCTAGAATCAGACTGACACCAGAATTTGGCAGAGGCACAATGGAAAAAAAAAAAAAAAACTTCAGACTAACATCCCTCACAAACACAGATGCAAAAATCCTCAACAAAATACTAGCAAATAAAATCCAGCAGCACATTAAAAAGTTAACACACCACAAATCAAGTAAGCTTTATTCCTGAGATGTAAGGCTGGTTCAATCAGCAACTCAATAAATGTGATTCACCACATAAACAGAATCAAAAGCAAATTCCATATAACCATCTAAATAGATGCAGTGGAAGCATTTGATAAAATCCAACACCCCTTCATGATGAAAACTTTCAACAGATTAGGCATCAAAGAAACATAACTAAAAATAAGGCCAGGCATGAGGGCTCACGTGAGCCTGTAATCCCAGCACTTTGGAAGGCTGAGGCAGGTGGATCACTTGAGGTCATGAGTTCGAGACCAGCCTGGCCAACATGGCGAACGCTGTGTCTCTGCTAAAAAAAAAAAAAAAAAATATATATATATATATATATATATATATATATATATACACACACACACACACACACACATACACATATATACACACACACACACACACACACACACACATATATATATATATATATATATATATATATAGCACTTTGGAAGGCTGAGGCAGGTGGATCACTTGAGGTCAGAAGTTCGAAACCAGCCTGGCCAACATGGTGAACCCCGTGTCTTTGCTAAATATATATATATATATTTACATACATACACACACACACACACACACACACACACACACACACACACACATTAGCCGGGTGTGGTGGCAGGTGCCTGTTATCCCAGCTACTCGGGAGGCTGAGGCAGGAGAATCACTTAGAGCGGGGAGGCAGAGGTTTCAGTGAGCCAAGATCGTACCATTGCACTCCAGCCTGGGCGACAGAGGGAGATTCTGTCTCAAAAAATAATAATAATGATAATAGTAAGAGCTATCTACGATAAACCCACAGCCAACATCATACTGAAGGTGCAAAAGCTAGAACCATTCTGCTTGGATCTGGAACAAGACAAGGACTCCCACTCTCACCACTCCTATCCAACACAGAACTAGAAGTCCTAGCCAGGGCAATCAGGAAAGAGAAAGAAATAAAAGGTATCTAAATAGGAAAAGAAATCAAACTACCTCTCTTTGCTGACAATATGATTCTACACCTAGGAAATCATAAAGACTCTGACAAAGGGCTCCTAGAATTGATAAATGACATTAGTAAAGTTTCGGAATACAAAATCAATGAACAGAAATCAGTAGCATTGCTAACAACATCTAGGCTGAGCGTAAAATCAAGAACACAATCTCATTCATAATAGCCACACGAAAAATGAAATACCTAAGAATATAGCTGACCAAGGAGGAGAAAGACTTCTAAAAGAACAACTACAAAACTGCCGAAAAAAAATTACAGATTACACAAACAAATGGAAAAACATTCCATGCTCATGGATTGGAAGAGTCAATAGGGTAAAAATGGCTATACTGCCCAAAGCAATTTACAGATATAATGCTATTCATATCAAACTGCCAATGTCATTCTTCACAAAATTAGAAAAAATGATTCTAAAATTCATATGGAACCAAAAAAGAGCCCAAATAACAACAGCAATCCTAAGCAAAAGAATAAAGCCGGAGAATCACACTACCCAACTTCAAGCTATACTATAAAGCCACAGTAAACAAAATAACTTGGTATTGGTACAAAAACTGACACATAGACCAACTGAACAGAAAACTCAGAAATAAAGCCACACATCTGCAACCATCTCATCTTCAACAAGGGAGATAAAAACAAGCAATTGGAAAAGAATTCCCCATTCGATAAATGGTGGTGGAATAACTGAATAGCCATATGCAGAAGATTGAAGCTGGACCCCTACTTTTCACCAGATACAAAAATTGACTCAAGTGAATTAAAGATTGAAAAGTACCTCAAGCTACAAAAATTCTAGAAGACAACCTAGCAAATATTTTTCCCAACATCACCACTGGCAAATAATTTCTGGCTAAGTCCCTAAAAGCAATTGCAACAAAAACAAGAATAAGCAACAAGTGGGACATAATTAAACTAAAGAGATTCTGCACATCAAAATAAACTATCAGCCGAGCAAAGAGACAACAAACAGAATGGGAGAAGATATTCAGAAACTATGCATCCAACAAAGGCCTAATATCTAGAATCTACAGAGAACTTAAACAAATCAACAAAGAAAATAACCCATTAAAAACTGGACAAAAGACATGAACAGACACTTCTCAAAAGAAGATATATAAGTGGCCAAGAAACATGAAAAAATGCTCAGCATCACTAATAATCAGAGAAATGCAAATCAAAACCACAATGAGCCCAGCACTTTGGGAGGCCAAGGCGGGCTGATCACGAGGTCAGGAGATCAAGACCATCCTGGCTAACACGGTAAAACTCTGTCTCTACTAAAACTACGAAAACAAAAAATTAGCCGGGCATGGTGGTGGGCGCCTGTAGTCCCAGCTACTCGGGAGGCTGAGGCAGGAGAATGGCGTGAACCCGGGAGGCGGAGCTTGCAGTGAGCCGAGATCACACCACTGCACTCCAGCCTGGGTGACAGAGCGAGACTCCGTCTCAAAACAAAACCACAATGAGATACCATCTCATACCACTAACAATGCTATTACCACAAAGTCAAATAACAACAGATTCTGGTGAGGCTACCGAGAAAAGAGAATGCTTACAAAGGGAATGTAAATTAGTTCAACCACTGTGGAAAGCAGTCTGAAGATTTCTCAAAGAACTTAAAACAGGGCTACCATTCGACCCAGCAATTCCATTACTGGGTATATACCCCAAATAAAATAATCATTCTACAAAAAAGACATTTGCAGAAATCTGGAAGTGGTTGCCAAGGCCACCAGGCAGCAAATATGAGTGGGACAAGTCCCTGACTCAGGCATCCTGCTTTCCCTGGCCTGGCTCACCAGGTCCTACCAAGGTGGCTTACTCTTTTACAATTTTGGGTCTGGTTGCAGGGGGCCTGAATGCCATTAGCTAACAAAGCTGGTGGAGTGAATCCACTTCATACCATGATCAAACCTCCAAGGGCAGCAAAGAAGCTAAAAGGAAAAAGGATAGCAACTTCAAAGATTAAAGAAACAACATCTCACAGAGCTGAGAAAGAACTAGTGCAAGAACTACGGTATCTCAAAGCCAGAGTATCTTCTTACCTCAAAACAACAGCACTAATTCTTAACAACAGCAATGATTCTTAACCAGGCTGAAATGACAGACACAGAATTCAGAAGATGAAAAGGAATGAAGATCATCAAGATTCAGGAGAAAGTGTGAACTGAATCCAATGATTCTAAGGAATACAACAAAATAATACAGGAGCTGAGAGACAAAACAGTCATTTTAAGAAAGAACCAAACTGATCTGATACAGGCAAAAAACTCACTTTGAGAATTTCATAATAAAATTTCAAGAATTAAGAGCAGAATCAACCAAGCTGAGGAAAAAAATCTCAGATCATGAAGACTAGTTTTCCAAATTAAATCAGACAAACATAAAGAAAAAAGAAGAAGGAACAAAACCTCTGAGAAATATGGGATTATGTAAAGAGACCAAATCTATGACTCATTGATCTCCCTGAAAGAGAAGGAGAGAAAAAGCAAGCAACCTGGAAAGCATATTTGAGGACATCATCCATGAAAATTTCCCCAAACTCTAGAGAGGATAACATTCGAATTCAAGAAACTCAGAGAACCCCTGTGAGATACTACACAAGACAACTATGTGCAAGACATACAGTCATCAGACTCTCCACAATCAAAGTGAAAGGAAGAATTATCCATGATGAACATGCGTACAAAAATCCTCAAGAGAGAAGGGGCAGTCACCCACAAAGTAAACTCATCAGGCTAACAGTGGATCTTTCAGCAGAAACACTATAAGGCAGAAGAGATTGGACGCTTATATTCAGCATTATTAAAAGAAATTCCAACCAAGGACTTTAAATCTAGAAAAACTAAGCTTCATAAGGGAAGGAGAAATAAGATCCTTTTCAGACAAGCAAATGCTAAGGGAATTCATTACCACAGACTTGCCTTAAAAAAGGTCCTTAAGAGATAGTGGAAATAGAAAAGATTATCATGGCCCACAAAAACAAACAAACAAAGACACTTAAGTATGTAGGCCACTAACACTATAAAGCAACTGCACAATCAAGTCTGCATAATAACCAGCTAACAACGTGACAGGATCAGATCTGCATGTATCAATATTAACTTTAAATGTAAATGAAAATAATGCCCTCAATTAAAAGGTGGAGTGGCAAGGTGGATGAAGATGCAAGACCCAACCATATGTTGTCTTCAATGGACCCATCTCACAAGCAGTGATAGCCACAGGTTCAAAGTAAAGGGATGGAGAAAAATCTAACAAACAGGAAACAGAAAAAAGCAGGGGTTGCTACCGTAATTCCAGAAAAAAATAGAATTTAAATCCACAACAAACCAGACAAAGAAGAGCATTACATAATAGTAAAGGATTCAATTCAACAAGAAGACCTAACTATACTAAACATGTATGCACCAAACACAGGAGCACATAGATTCATAAAACAAGTTCTTATAAACTTATGAAAAGACTTAGAAAACCACATAATAATAGTGGGAGACTTCAGTACCCCACTGACAGCATTAAACAGACTACTGAGGCAGAAAACTAACAATGATATTCGGGGCCTGAACTTGACACTTCATTAAATGGACCTAATGATATCTAGAGAACTCTCCACCCCAAAACAACATAATACACATTCTTCTCATCTGCACAAGGCACATGGTCTAAATCACCCACACAGTGAGCCATAAAACAATTCTCAACAAATTCAAAAACCCAAAATCATACCAACTACAATCTCAGACCACAGCACCACAGAAGTAGGTATCAATTCTAAGAAGAGTGCTTAAAACCATACAATGAAATGGAAATTAAACAACCTGCTCCCAAATGACTTTGGAGTAAACAATAAAATTAAAGCAGAAATCAAGAAATTATTTGAAACTAATGAGAAAAAAAGATATGACATACCAGAATCTCTGGGACACAGCTAAAGCAGTGTTAAGCGGGAAGTTTATAGTGCTAAACTACCACATCAAAATCTTAGAAAGATCTCAAATTAACAGCCTAACATCACATCCAGATGAAGTAGAGGAAGAGGAACCCAACCCCAAAGCTAGTGGAAGACAAGAAATAATCAAAATCAGAGCTCAACTGAAGAAAACTGAGATGAGAAAAAATCATGCAAATGACCAACAAATCCAAGAGTTGATTTTTTTGACAGACAAAGTAAGACTGATAGACCACTAGCTAGACTAATAAAGAAAAAAAGACATAAGATCCAAATAAGCACAATCAGAAATGCCTAAGGGAACATTAATACCAGCCCTACAGAAATGTAAAACATCCCTCAGAGACTATTACAAACACCTCTATGCATACAAACTAGAAAATCTAGAAGAAATTGATAAATTCCTGGAAACATACAACCTTTCAAGATTGAATGAGGAAGAAATTGCAATCCTAAAAAGCCCAATAACTAGGACTGAAACTGAATCAGTAATAAAAAGCCTATGAACCAGAAAAAGCCCAGGACCAGATTTAGAGCCAGATTCCACCAAATGTATAAAGAAGAGCTGGTACTATTACTATTGAAACTATTCCAAATAATGAGGAGGAGGGACACTTTAACTCATTCTATGAGCCAAGCATCATTCTGATATCAAAATCTGGCAGAGACACAACAACAAAAAAAAAAAAAAAGAAAGAAAGAAAGAAAAAAGAACACAGGCCATTATTCATGATGACATGCATACAAAAATCCTCAAGAAAATGCTAGCAAACTAAACCCAGCAACACATCAAAAAACTAACCCACTATGATCAAATAGACTTTATCCCTGGGACATAAGGTTGGTCAACAAACACAAATCAATATATAGGATTCATCTATACACAAAACTAAAAACAAAAATCATATGATCGTCTAAATAGATGCAGGAAAGGCTTTCAATAAAATTCAACATCGCTTCATGTTAAAAACCTTCAACAAACTAGGCAGAAAAGGAATATGCCTCAAAATAATTAGAACTGTATATGTCAAACACACAGCCAATATCATACTGAACAGGCAAAAGCTGGAAGCACTGCCCTTGAGAAATGGAACAAAACAGGATTCCCACTATCACCACTCCTATTCAGCATAGTACTGGAAATCCTAACCAGAGCAATCAGGCAAAATAATGAATAAAAGGCATCCAAATAGGAAGAGAGGAAGTCAAACTATCTCTATTAGCTGACGATATGATACTATCCCTAGAAAACCCCATAGTTTCTACCCCAAAATTCCTAGATCTGATAAAAAACTTCAGTACCATTTCAGGATATAAAATCAATGTACAAAAATCAGTGGCATTTCTACACACCAACATCCAAGCTGAGGGCCAATTCAAGAATGCAATCCCATTCACAATAGCCACAAAAAAGAATGAAATACCTAGAAATACAGCTAACCATGGAGTTGAAAAATGTCTACAACAAGAATTACAAAACACTGCTCAAAGAAATCAGAGATGACATAAACAAAGGCAAAAATATTCCATGCTCATGGAGAGAAAGAATCTATTGTTAACATGGCCATACTGCTCAAAGCAATTTATAGATTCAATTCTATTCCCATCAAACTAACAATGATATTCTTAACAAAATTAGAAAAAAATTATTTAAAAACTCATACGGAACCAAAAAAGAGCCCCAGTAGCCAGAGCAATCCTACGTAAAAGAACAAAGCTGAAGACATCACATTACCCACATTACCCAACTTCATACTATACCTTACAAGGCCATGAACCAAAACAGCATGGTACTGGTATAAAAACAGAAACATAGATGAATGGAACAGTAAAGAGAGTGCAGAAAAAATGCCGCACACCTGCAGCCATCTCATCTTTGACAAAGTTGACAAGAACAAGCAGTGGGGAAAGGAATTTCTATTCATTAAATGGTGCTGGGGTAATTGGCTAGCCATATGCAGAAGCTAAAACTGAACCTCTTATTTACACCATTTACAATAATCAACTCAAGATGGATTAAATAACTTAAATGTGAAACATCAAACTATAAAAACCCTAGAAGATAGCCTAGAAAATACCATTCTGGAAACAGGACCTGGTAAATATTTCATGATGAAGAAGCCAAAAACAATTGCAACAACAACAACAAACAATTGACAAATGAGACCTATTTAAAATAAAGAGTTTCCACACAAGTAAAGAAAATATTACCAGAGTAAACAGCCAACCTACATACTGGGAGAAAATATTTGCAAACCATGAATCTGACAAAGGTTTAATATTCAGAACCTATAAGGAACTTAAACAAATTTACAAGCAAAAAACCAATCTCATTAAAAAGTGGGCAAAGAATATTACAGACACACTTTTTTTTTTAAAGTCAGGGTCTTGCTCTGTTGCCCAGGCTGGAGTATAGTGGTACAATCACAGCTCACTGCAGTCTCGACCTCCCAGGCTCAAGTGATCCTCTTGCCTCAGTCTTCTGAGAAGCTGGGACCACAGGGGATGCCACTATGCACTGCTAACTTTTTCATTTTTTGTAGAAACAGGGTCTTGCTATATTGTCCAGGCTGATGTCAAACTCCTGGCCTAAAACAATCCTCCTGCCACAGCCTCCCAAAGTGTTGGGATTGTAGGCGCGAGCCACCACACCCAACCGGAACAGACACATTTTTAAGAAGACAAACACATGGTCAACAAGCATATGAAAGAATGTTTAACATCACTATTCATTAGAGAAATGGAAATCAAAACCATAATTAGATATCATCTTATACTAGTCAGAATGGTTATTATTTAAAAAGTCAAAAAATAAATGCTGGCGAGGCTGTGGAAAACAGGGAATGCTTATATACTGTTGGTGAGGGAATGCTCATATATTGTTGGTGGGAATGTAAATTATTCCGTTATTGTGCAGAGCAGTCTGTAGATTTCTCAAAGAACACAGAACAACCATTTGACCCAGCAATTCCATTATTGGGTATATACCCATAGGAATATAAATCTTTCTACCATAAAGACACATGTATGTCTGTGTTCATTGCAGCACTATTCATAATGGCAGACATGGAATCAACCTAAATGCCTATCAATGGGAGAGTGGACAAAGAAAATGGGGTACATATGTATCATGGAATACTATGCACCTATAAAAAAGAATGAGGTTGCATGCTTTGCAGCAATATGGATGAAGCTGGAGGTCATTATTCTAAGCAAACTAATGCAGGAACAGAAAACCAAATACTACATGTTCTCATAAGTGGGAGTGAAACACTGAATACACATGGATACAAAGAAGGAAACATCAGACACTGGGGCCTACTTGAGGATGGAGGGTGCAAGGATGTTGAAGATAAAAAAACAACCTATTGGTTACTATGCTTATTACCTGGATGACAAAATAATCTATACAGCAAATATCCTGTGACATGCAATTAACCTATGCAGTAAAGCTGCCCAAATACCCCTGAACCTAAAATAAAAATTTAAAACAATAATAAACAAATAATTTAAAAGGTGTGCTCCCCTCTTCTCTAGGGGGAAAAAAAGGCATACACTCATGTGGTCATCAAGGCAGTATTTACAATAGCAAAAACATGGTTTTAGGTTGTCTATGGGAACATGGAACATAGATCTATGATGAAAACTCTCAAGAAACTAAGAATAGAAGAAAGCTTCCTCAATCTGATAAAGGACATCTAAAAAAATAAAAACAAAAACAAACTACAGTTAACATCATCCCTTAATGGTGAAAAACTGCTTTCTCCCTAACAACAGGATCAAGGCTTCTGTTCTGTATTTTACTGAGGGTACAAGACAGTGTAGTATGATAGTAAAAACAGTATACAAATTGGAAAGTAAGAAACAAAACTTTTCACTCCCAGATACCATGTTCATGTACATTAAAAATCTTATAAATTTACCAAAAAAACTAATTAGAGCTTATAAGTCAATTTGGCAATGTCCCAGAATATAAGGTTAATACGCAAAAAAAAAACTGTTTCTATAAACTAGCAAGAAATAAGTAAAAATGAAAACAAAATAACGTTTTAAATGATATTCCATGTGTAACACTTATACACTAAAAATCACAAAACATTACTGAAATTTTATGAAGAAGCTCTAAGGAAATGCAGAGAATATACCATAATCATGAACTGGAAGACCCAATACAATACTATCACAATGTCAGTTATTGCCAAGCTGAGCTATAGCTTCAATGCAATCCTAATCAAAATCCCAACAGGCTTTCTTATTTTAGAAAGTAAAAAACTAACTTAAATGTAAAACCCAAAACTCAAAACCATAAAAACCCTAGAAGAAAATAGAGGCAGTACCTTTCAGGATACAGGCATGGGCAAAGATTTTATGATGAAATCGCCAAAAGCAACTGCAACAAAAGCTAAAATTGACAAATGAGATCTAATTAAACTAAAGAGCTTCTGCATAGCAAAACAAACTATCATAAGAGCAAACAGGCAACCTACAGAATGGGAGAAAAATTTTTCAATCTACCCATCTGACAAAGGTCTAATATCCATAATTTACAAGGAACTTAAACAAATTTACAAGAAAATAAAAACAACCTCATCAAAAAGTGGGCCAAGGACATGAACAGACACTTCTCAAAAGAAGATATTTATGCGGCCAGCAAACATATATTAAAAAAAGGTCAACATCAGTGATCATTAGAGAAATGCAAATCAAAACCACAATGAGATACCATCTCATGCCGGTCAGAATAGCGATTACTAATAAGTCAAGAAAAAAACAATGCTGGGGAGGCTGTGAAGAAATAGGAATGCTTTTACACTGTTGGTGGAAATGTAAATTAGTTCAACCATTGTGGAAGACAGTGTGGCGATTCCTCAAGGATCTAGAACCAGAAACACCATTTGATCTAGCAATCCCATTACTGGGTATATACCCAAAGTAATATAAATCATTGTATTATAAAGATACATGGACACTTATGTTTGTTGCAGCACTATTCACAATAACAAAGACATGGAACCAACCCAAATGCCCATCAATGATAGACTGAATAAAGAAAATGTGGTACATATACACCATGGAATACTATACAGTCATAAAAAGGAATGAGATCAGGTCCTTTGCAGGGACATGGATGAAGCTAGAAGCCATCATCCTCAGCGAACTAATGCAGGAACTGAAAACCAAACACTGCATGTTCTCACTCGTAAGTGGGAGCTGAACAATGAGAACACATGGACACAGGGAGGGGAACAACACATACAGGGGTCTGTCAGGGGTCGAGAGGAAAGAAAGCATCAGGACAAATAGCTAATGTATGCTGGACTTAATATCTAGATGATGGGTTGATAGTTGCAGCAAACCACCATGGCACATGTTTACCTATGTAACAAACCTGCACATTCTGCACGTGTATCCTGGGACTTATAGTAAAATAAAATAAAAATAAAATAAAATCAGTTACAATAACAACAACAAAAGAAAGTAAAAAACTGATCCTACTATTTATATAAAAATTGCACAGTCCTGAGATAAGCAAAACAAGCTCAAAAAAGAAAACATTGAAGGACTTCTACTTTATTTGAAGACTTTCTACAAAGCTATAGAAATCAAGAGAGTTTAAAGATAAATTTATCAATGAAATAGAACTGAACTGAGAGTCCAGAAATATATTTAAACTAATAGGGCAGATTTACATTTTTATCAAGGTTTCAAAATAGAAACTTAGACATCAATGGAATGCAATAGAGTCCAGAACAGAATCACACATATATGATAGATTTTTTTAAATCAAGGTGCTAAGCCATATGGAAAAGAAAAATCTTTTCAAAAATGGTAGTAGAGCAGGCTATCTATAGAAAAATAAACCTGGACCCATACTTTATATCATGCCTACTAATTTATTTTAAATGGACTATAAGCCTAAATGCAAAAGCTAAAATTACAAATGTTCTAGAAAAAAATATGATAGAGTATCTTTTGACCTCTGGGCAGGCAAAGATCTCTTAGACACACCCAGAAAGCACTAGACATAAAAGAAAAATACTGATAAAGCATATATCATTAAAATAAAAAAAATTTGCTTATCAAAAGCTATTATAAAGAAAATGTATATGTAAGCTCCAGAATGAGAGAAAAGACATCTCAATACATACATCTGTCTGATAACTTGCAGTCAGAATATATAAATGACTAATAAAATGACAGCCCATTTTTTTAAATTGGGACACTTCATAAAGGAAAATACTGAACAGTTTTAGAGGATATGAAAAGATGATCAATATATGTGTTAGTCACTGGGGAAATGCAAATTAGAACAACGAGATACCACTACATTCCCACTAGAACTAAACTAAAATTTTAAAAACTAGTAATACCAAATATTGGCAAGAATGTGAAGGACCTGGAATTCTCACGGATTGCTAATGGGAGTATAAAATGGCACAACTACTATGGAAAACAGTTTGACAATTCTACTTGTAGGTATTTACCGAAGAGAAATAAAAATATTTGTTCACCCAAAGACTTTAAAGGAGCTTTATTTATAAATGTCCCAGATTGGAAACCTAAATGTCTATCAGTAGAATGTGGTATATCCATACAATGGATATAGTCAGCAATAAAAAGGGAAGAAATTACATATACACATCAACACAGATAAACCTCAAAAACAGTATAATCAGTTAAAAAAAAAAAGCCAGCTGCAAAAGAGTGGATGTCATTTGTATAAATTTCTAGAACTGGAAAAAGTAATCTCCAGTTATAGAAAGCATACCAGCGGTTGCCTCAGGCCAGGAGTGGTGGGAGACTGACTGCAAAGAGGAACAAAGAACTTTATGGGGAAATGAAAATGTTCTATATCTTGATAGGGGTATGGATTGTATGACTGTCTAGATTTTTCAAAACTCAAATGGTGTATTTTTGACATCGCCACATTGCACTTAAATAAATCATACATCAATGAAAAAAGTCAATAGATACAGTTAGTATGCATAGAATGGACACAGATGGCAAAATATTAGAAGATAAAACTATTTTTCCTATGGTTATTTACATTTTTAAGATTTTCCTTAAACAAAGCATTAGTTACATTTAAAAAAAAAGGCCCTCAAAAGCAGTTTCATTGATAAGGTGACATTTGATCAAAGACCTGAAGGAAGCAAGGAAGCCAGCTGTATGGATGTATGTGAGAAGAACCTTCTAGGAAGAGGAAACCTGAACTATAAAATCCTTGAGGTTTTGACAAGAGCAGCGACAGGCTGTGACTTACATTTTAGCAGGTCTGTTGTGGCTGCAGTGTTTAGAATATACAAGGGCAGAAACAAGACTAGTCAGAAGGCTACTATAACAATCCAGGTAAGAGCTGACTGAAGCTTTGGATCAGGGGAAAGCAGTGAAGTTAGAGAGACGTTGTCAAATTCTGAATATATTTTTAAAGCAAAGCTAACATTTGCAGTTAGATTGGATGTGAGGTGTAGGAGAAAGACAGATCAAGGATGACTTTAATGGTTTTGGCCTAAGCAACTAGAATAAAGTATTCATTTGCTGATATAGAGAAGACTATGAAATGAGGTAGGTTTTTGTGGCAAGAAGAAAGAGCAGGTTTGTTTTGGACATACTAAGTTTGAGTAAAGCTGAAGATATAAAATTGGTAGTCATTGGCAAGTAGAGGTATTTATAGCCGCAGAACCAGGGAGCTCACCAAGAGAATGTGAACATTAAAAATAGACAGGTTCAAAAAACAGGCCCTTAAAACATTCAAAAGTATCAAGAGGTCTGCAAGTTCTCAGGATAAACTAGAAATGAAGGTCAGTAATGCTCTAAAATACACCGTAAAACTATTCTGAGAAATCTGGACTAACTTCAAAAACTAAAATCAAAAAAGCCTTTTCTATTCTTTGATTAAATGAGCACTCTGAAGTTATCATTGATTATGTAAATTGAAATAGACACCTAGATTGATCATTATCTAAACACTGAAACTACAGAGAGATAACTGCACTGTTCACTATTATTGTACGTTCTATATTCCTATAATCCCATGGGTCAAGCTTCTCCATCTTTGAGACACTTAGTAGTAAAAGTATACGGACATATTCAGAATAGTTGCCCTTGAATAGCAAAGGATTATCTGCTAAAGCAGAGCTATCTCTGTGTCCTCGAACCGGACTCATCCGTCATCAGATGACACTCAAAGCTTGTGAGGTAATGATGTACTACACAGCTGTCTGATCTTCAGATGACACTTTGGAGGCTGATGATAAACTACAGGTCTGACAACTCACTTTCCATTTTAAGATATTTCTTGAACTTTTTCTTGTTGTGACAGGCAACCAAATTGATTAAGCCTAGTCATGGGATTTGACACTACAGCCAGTAGACTTCTATTTGTTGATTGCTATTGATTTTCTTTGATACTTCATTTAAAAATCAATAGTTGGAAAGAAAAATAGGCTTGGTTTACACATACTTAAACATACTATTGTATGCTGGAGGAGGCACAAGTTTGGCAGAGCTTTGGCATCCAATTATAAGAAGAGCTCTTAACAGGTGAAAGCAAGGGCTTTAGATCGATATGCAGTTTTCTTTCTCAATCAAGGAAAGTGGCTATAAATTAGGCTCATCAGTGTTATTTCCAAGGCTTTCATGAAGCAAACAACTTTAAACTTTTTTTGTCTTCCTTGGATTTACATTAAAAGATACATCACTAAAAGTTTTTCTTTTGCTTTTAAGGGTATTTAAGGTACCTGAAGTTCATCCGGGCTTTTATCTTTTTGGCTTTTTTTTTATTTTTTTGCCGCTCTTCTCCATCTTTCAAAGCTTCTGCTGGAGCTGTACTTTCAACCACAATGTCAATAATGTACTTCTTCAAGGAAAGATGCTCCTGCAAGATAAATAAATAAAATAATAATAATGAGGATGATCATTTAAATATAATATAGGATTGCTATAGACTACAGTGAGTTTAAGACATTTGATGAAACTAAAAGTAATCTCCGTAATACACTGGTTTCTACAATTGTTATGGAAAACGTTGAAGAAACTGTTTTACTTAAGGATTTTACATCACTGACTTCACTTCATTGCATATCAATTGTGCCAATGCTAAGGCTACATGGACATAAACCCTACCAAGATATCACACAAGTAGAGTAGGAAAGGTAAAATATATTCACAAAACTATAATATCATCTATAATACCAAGCCAATCAGAGATTTAGAGTGCCGTTAAGAACCCGAAGAGGGAAACAAGATCACTGTTCACTAGGCGGAAGAGGGGGAAACTTCAGCAAGGAAGCACCATATCTGCTATCCCTTGAAGAAAGGATAAAATGTGAACATACGGATATTAGGTAAGTATATTTGGCCTGTGAGTAGGGTGAGGCTGCAGGAAGGAAAAAGAAGGTCATCTCAGAAAACACATCCTAGAGATGAGAAAGTGGAATGTGGGTATCCACAGCAAAACTTTGGTTCAGCAAGAGCACATAGTGTTTGGTCAAGTTCCCCTCCTTATCCATCTTAGATTTTATGGCCTATCACTATAATCATTCTGTTGCCTGTGCTCAACTCTTTTCCCCCTTTCTTCTTTCATACATGCATGGCAAAATCCCAATCCTAAATCCAACTCTCTCCCTATTCTGAGCCTATGTCTGAAGCAGATTAATGTGGCTATAATTACAAACTTTAAATTTATGAAATTACACCTCAAGTGGCCTCTAGTATTCCCAGGCAGTCAAGCAACTTTACATTAGTTAATCTACACACTTGCCTTGCTAAAAATTATTTTAGACTCTCTCCTTAAATCTCCAATATCCGTCATCTCCTAACCCCATCTCTCAGTTCATGACTATGTTTATTTGATTAAGGAAAACAGCATTATTCAGACGAGAGCTTCCACACACTCCCACAGCTAAATGTATCAAACAATGTGCATATGTGCCCGTACACTCTCTTCCCTCCTGTTATAATATATGAACACCTGTTCCTATCTAAGAGCAAGTCCTCCAAATATAAACTGGATCCCATTCCTTGTCTCGCATTTTTATGGTTATTTCTCCTCTTATCTACATCATCAGTTTTCCCGTTTCTACTTAAATCATCTCAAAAGGATTCTTGTTTGTATGTCTCTGATCAGCTACTATCCTTTTGTACCAAAATTTGTTGAAACAAGTGTATTTTGCCTCTACTTCCTTAGCTCTCATTCGCTCCCAAACTCATTTTAGTCCAGCTTTTGCCCTTACCACCCTTACCAATCTACAAATTTTCCTTGTCAAGGTCAGTAACGCCAGTGGCCAATGTTCAGTTCTTATCTGTTTCTTGCAACCTTAGTCCTACAGATAATTTCCTCCTACCTGAGACTCCTTCACTAGGTTTCCTGACATCACATTGTCCTTCTAACTCATTGGCTGCTCCTTCTAAGTCTTCTTTGCTAGGTCCTTTTCCTCTTCTTGACCTCTAAATGTTGAAGCATCCCAGAGCTATACTCAGAGCTTTCTTCTTCTCTATCCAAACTCACTCACCTAATGCAGTAACTTGAAGTATTACTCATACATAGAAAATTCTCAAATTTTTATCTCTAGTTCTGACCTCTCTCCTGAACTCCATTCACCTGCATAAAAATGTCTCCTCGAATTGCCTGAAACCAGGAGGTGGAGGTTGCAGTGAGCCGAGATGGTGCCATTGCACTCCAGCCTGGGCAACAAGAGCGAGACTCAGTCTCAAAAAAAAAAAAAAAAAAAAAAAAAAAAAAAAAAAAACGCTCCTCAGCCAGAACAGCAGCTCAACACCTGTAATCCCAAAACTTTGGGAAGCCAAGGTGGGAGGATCACTTGAGGGCAAGAGTTCGAGACCAGCCTGGCCAACATGGTAGAATCCCGTCTCTACTAAAAATACAAAAATTAGCCGGGCATGGTGGTATATGCCTGTACATACCTGTAATCCCAGCTACCTGGGAGGCTGAGGCAGAAGAACTGCTTGAACCCAGAAGGCAGAGGTTGCAATGAGCCAAGATCGTGCCACTGCACTCCAGCCTGGGCAACAAGGCAAGACTGTCTTTAAAAAAAAAACAAAAAAAAGTCTCCTCAAAATCTCCAGTTAGGTGGAACATTTCCACAATCAGCATTTCGAAAATAACACGTCTACAACAAAACTCTTATGTTCTTTATATACATCAAATTGTTCTTCTGAAAGTGTTCTCTATTTGAGTAAACGGTACCATCATTTGCATAATTGCTCACATCCAATACATCAGCAAATCCTATCAGTTCTCTTTTCATATATATCCCCAATTCAACCACTTATCCCTACCACCACCACCTGCTCTAAGTCATTTATATTACTGCAATAGCCTCTTAACTGGTCTCACAGTTTCTAATTTGACCCCATAGGTCTTTTCTCTATAAAAATGGCCACTTATTTTTTTAAAACAACAGTCAAATCACATCATTCCTTTTATCAAAACTTACATTCTCATCACACTTAGGGTAAATCCAAATTTCTCACCATGACCTACAAGGCTGAGTCATTGATCTCTCTGATCTCATCTACCATTCTCTTCTTTCTTCACTAAAACTACATCCACAGTGGTCCTCTTGTTGTTCCCCACATTCATCAGAAACTTTACTGCCTCAGGGCTCTATATATGTTGTTCCCTTAGCCAAGAATATTCTCTTGGGTATTTACGTGGTCTTGACCAAAGTGAATGCTCAGTCTTAACATACACCCTCTATTATTTGTCATCTCCTTATTTCTTCATAGTCATATCACTGCCTAACATTACATAATCATTTTCAATTTCCATCCTCAAACATAAGTTTCCCAAGGGCAATGACTTTGTCTGTTTTGTTCACTGATGTTTCTATGCCTAGAACTGTGCCTGGCATATGGCAAGCACTCAGTAAGTATGTGTTAGATAAATAAAAAGAGAGTCAATGTAATAACAACTAATAATAGTATTTTTCAGCCCTTATTACACAAGATACATTGAGCTAAGTACTTTATATAATATCATTCATCTCGTCCTTACAACGATACTTAGAAAAAACTTAGAAGGTATATATTTTTATTATCCTCATTTTAACTATGAGAAAACTTGGACACAAAGCTAACTTTTTCAAAGTTAGAAGGCCAAAACCATGACTGAGTGACACTGCAGCTAGTAAAGTGACAGAGCCTAAATTTAAACCCAGACAGTGTGATTAGGGAATCCACATTCTTGACTACTACCTTAGAGATATGGCTGGAAATAGGTCTGAGCTACAGAGTTGTGCTCACTTTCCAAATTATGAACCTACCAACAAAAAACAAGCAGCAGCAACAACAACAACAACAACAAAAACCCACAGACAAATGAAGAAAGTATTCTCTCACTGTAGAATATTTTCTTTGATAAACTAGGCCTATGGTATACTATACCTTTATACAGTAGCACTAACATAAAGCAATGATTTAAGTAGTAAGTACACACATACAAAAAAACTTAAAACAAATAACCCAGGTCTTTCTTTTCAAAGAAAGAAAACAGCGAGTGGCAGGGAGGAGAAAACCCTCTTCCCATTATCTCCCAAAGACATATGGAACAAAGCAAGTCATATATGAAAGCACCATCCATACTACCATTTATTGAACACTTATTATGTGATTAGCAAAGGACTGAATCAATTACATACATTATTTCCTATCATCTTCACAATCCCATAAAGCAGGTGGTAGTATGTTTACATTTCACAGATGGTTAACAAACACAGATGTTTACTGATGCAAATCTCAAAGAAGTTTGGTATAATGCCCATGGTCACAAAGCTCAAGATCAAAACCACGACTGGCTGACTTTACAAGATCAAGGTTTTTTATTACTCCACATTCCCTCCCGCCATGCTGCTCATGCAGGCTAGTCTCCGACATGTGATTTGATCACTACACTGAGGAAAAGAAATATTCTAAATGATATCTTCAGTTTTGTGAAAGATCCAAATTATACAATTTTCAGTTGTATATAAATGTTATTTACATATCTAACAGAAACCACTCAGGAAACTTATACACAAATGCAGTCACTAAACAAAAAAACTTGGACTCTATCCAGAACTATCAAGAATCATATCTTTATTATAGACAACGCCTTTACACACATATTCACATACAAAACCACATACATCAGGCATTCATATTAATGTTAATGTTTTTAAAATCTCAAACCAGAGACAAATGAGCATGTTTTTGTTTGACTTAATAGTAAACTTTTTCTTAACACAAAAATGTGTTCATTATACAAAATATATATAAATAAAAATTAAAATATTTCTAATACCTAGAAAAAAACTGTTTTGAAGTATATTCTTCCAGACATTGTTCTTTGCACATATAGTTTTTTAAAAATAGGTTCTCCCATTTATGAAATTTTTAAATTTGCTATATTTGATATAAATATATATTCCTTCCATTAAATAATAATTCTACAACATAAGCTAACAGATGTAAGCTATTCCATTTCATGAATATACCTATTTTGAGTAATGCCTTATTGTTAGACATGTGGATAATTTTTAATTTTTCAATGTCATAAGTAGTGCAACAAAATATTCCTATAGTTCAAATTTAAACAAATAGTCAATTATTCCTTTATGATCAAATCACAGAAATGAAAAACCTGGGCCACAGATTATACATATTTTTAAGACTTTTGATAACTATTCTCAAATTGAACAATCAAAATGGGAATTAATTTATGTCCCCGCAAGTGGTTTGCCAGTATGTGGTGTTCCTGTTTTGTTTCTAAATCTCTGGATTAGTTAACTGAAATATTGGTATTAGTATGCTTGACCATTTGTCTGCATTTTGTTTTCTGTGACTTAGGATGTTTCTTCTGTCCAGTTTTCTATAAATACATTTCAAGTCTTTACATATTACCTTTTAATGGTTTGCATTATGCTTTTGCTTCTTCTAAGAGAGAGATCACCTTTTGATGATAAAAGAGTAAAAATCATCTATCTGTCCATTAAAATAATTACAGTGTTATACAGGAAGAAAGTTTTGACATGGTTTCTGAAGATGGAAAGCATGTAAAAAGAAGCTTTTTCAACACTGAGGGAGTGGTTTAGTAAATTATGGTATATTTCTATGAAGAAGTAATAGTCATTAAAATCCTTATTAAAGGTTTGGTGCAGGGGCTCATATCTGTAATCCCAGCACTTTGGGAGGCAGAGGCGGGTGGATCGTCGAGCCCAGGAGTTCGAGATCAACCTGGGCAACATGGAAAAACCCCATCTTCACAAAATATTAGCAGGACATCATGGGCATGCACCTGCGGTCCCAGCTCCATGGGAGGCTGAGGTGGGAGGATCACCTGAGTCTGGGAAGTTGAGGCAACAGTGAGCCGTGATTGCACCACTGCATTCCAGTCTGGGCAACAGATTGAGATTATAAAAGAAAATTCTGAGAAGATGGTGGCAGTGGTAGCAGAATTTTGAACTCTCTGAATCTCCATATACAAACATAAAGAGCAATTAGATATTAAAGTAAAACCCATGAAAAATATTTACAACCATACTAAGTGACAAGGTATTCCCACAACCTCCAAATAGAAGTGAGTGTGGTGGCTCATGCCTGTAATCCCAGCACTGTGGGAGGCCGAGGTGGGCAGATCACAAGGTCAGGAGATTGAGACCATCCTGGCTAACACGGTGAAACGCCGTCTCTACTAAAAATACAAAAAAATTAGCCGGGAGTGATGGCAGGTGCCTGTAGTCCCAGCTACTCTGGAGGCTGAGGCAGGAGAATGGTGTGAACCCGGGAGGCGGAGCTTGCAGTGAGTCGAGATCGCACCACTGCACTCCAGCCTGGGAGACAGAGCGAGACTCCGTTTAAAAAAAAAAAAAGAAGTGAGGGTGGACAAACTACCATCAGAGAAGTAGCGTTTCAGTGTCTGCAGGAGAAATTAGGGGGAAACATCAGGATGAATAATGAGTATCAGAACATAAGAACCCTAAAAAAGGAACAGTTACTCACTGGAGAGTTAACAGGCTAATTTGAGAACAGCATTTGAAAGTGAGAGGGGCTCTGGCGACTTCAATAGGAGGTGAGTAAATGGTCCTTGCATTAAGAAGGTCTGATCTGACTAGTGGAGGGCAGCCCTTATGACTCTGGAAATGAGCCACCAGGGATCCCTTCCAGGAGAAACTGCTGGGAAAGGAATTTAAATTGTACAAACTAGGGATAATAGAGACAAAGGGGAAAACAATGCCTAGCTAAAAGCAGAACAGGAAAACAGAACCAGGAAACTTCAGAACTCAAGCCACTACATTTTTCACAAAAATTGTATAAGAGGGATCTCTATGAAGTTAGAATGGCTATCCTAAAACATGTCCTTCTAAAAGTTTCATAAAACTAATTCCATGTAAAAATTTGCAAGAGAAAATTATCAAGGTCAAATGCCAAAGTTATCAGAAGAAAACAAATAAGCTGAATAGCAACCTTACAAACAACAACAAATCACATCAAAAACATGTATGCACAGGTCAAAATGTAACTTTCTATTTCAAAATAAGCTGAAACACACACAAAAAATGATATAAGGCATGAGAGAACAACAGAAATCACTATCTTAAAAACTCAATAATTAGGTCTTAAAACTCAAAAAAAGATTGCAATGAAAGAAATCATTTAAGGAATAAAAACAAAACAGAAGATGTATAAGAGTAAATAAACACAACAAATAATGCCTCAAAATGTAAATAAAAAGGATACAATTTTTTAATAAAAAATGATTTCAAAGTAAGTGGAAATACTGCAAGAGGACAAAGATGAGATCCAGATAATAGGAGTTCTTGACAAAGTAAATCAAAGCAAGAGAAAAGATCAAATATTAAAAACTTTAATCCAATAAAACTTTCAAGAATATAAAAAGAATCGCTTCTCAGCCTTTTGGCTAAGATCAAGTGAAGAATATAAATACTGAAAGAGTACACAATACACTCGAAAATACTGACCTAGAAAGGGCTAATACTGACATATCTTATTAAAATTTCTGAGCCTTAAATAAAAAGAAAATTTATTTCAGC
Organism: Homo sapiens; assembly: GCF_000001405.40. NCBI lineage: Eukaryota > Metazoa > Chordata > Mammalia > Primates > Hominidae > Homo > Homo sapiens. The sequence continues at coordinate 76,672,964 of NC_000015.10, forward strand.
ATTTAGGGGGAAAAAAAACAAGTCACTTACAAGGAAAAAAACTGGATTATCATCAGCCTTTTTGACAGCAACATTTTATGCCAAAAGAAAATAATGTATTTAGCATTTTCAAGAAAGAAATATAAGCTAAAGATTTTCTATCTAGTAAAATTAACTTTCAAGCAAGAAAAGCACAAATTATTATCAACATTTTCAAAACCTAGAGAATATTATTATCACAAACCTTTCTGAGGAATCTACATGATTCCTCAGAACATGCCTTAGAAAAGAAAAATGACAGGAGAGACATGGACAAGGACTACTGGTGAACACTGCATACATACTTACAGAACTGAGACTAAACTAGGGATAAAAGCTAAAGAATCCAGTATATAATGCTGGTGTCTCAGATTTATCATCGTGTTACTATTTTTAAAAGATGGGGAGAATGGGGAAAACATATGAAAAGAAATTTAAACTGTTCTTGGTAATTACACTGATGGTGGTACTATTAGTAATGTTATTCTAAGACTGTTCCATGTGTTGGGCAGGATAGAGTAAATATGGTTATATTATAATTCTATCATCTCTTCTGTCCTTGAGAACCTGATATTTGGTATGGAAGAAAAGAGATACAGGATGCAATGCAGAGGAGGCTGAACAGACACACACATATACACGTATTTCATTTCTTCATTTCCTAATTCTGTTCACAATGATCAACCCAGTAGCAATGAGCATCTCTGATTATGGTCTTGAAATATCATTTCCCAGTAAAAGTAAGCAGAGTTTCTTACCAAAATGGCTGATAATAAGTCTAACACCTTGTCAAACTGGGTAGCAAGGCAACTATCAAATTTGACTGGGCTCATGTCAAAAGGACTTGAAAACAAACTCTAAAAGACTCTCACTGAACAAAAGATGGCATAATTTGAGATTCAAACAGGAAAACTACAAATCACTGAAACCCATTAAAAACATTTAAATCCATCAATTCATAATTTATCTATACACACACACACACACACACACACACACACACACACACCCCAATCAGATAACTTTGGAGGATAATAGGAAACCAGTTCATTATCTTGAAAACTGGTAAATAATAAAAAATGTGTACTGACTTACACACATATTTACAAACTGTACTCAGTAGCCAAATAGTAGATGAGGGAACCATTTCTTTATAAATGTATTACAAATAATAAATGAAAATGAAATGCAGAACTGGAATATCCCCATATCTATTAATTAGTGGATCTAGGTACTAAGCGTCAATAGCTGATACGTCAATACCACAAAAATAAAAAACAATCAAACATTATGTTCATCTTGATGAAAGAACTCAACACCAATTATAGTCTTACCAAATGGATCAAACCTGAGTCTAAGACTCTAGGTTCATGTGTCTATAAGGGAGGAAATAAAGAGGACAAAGAAATATTGCACTGCACCAGACTCCATAGTAATAGAGCTTTATAGCAAGTCACATAAGTCTTTCACTATGAACTGAATTTCCAGTCCTTCCTGTAGCTTGAGGTGACCATGTGACTGAGTACTCATCAATGGAAAATGAATGCATACTCGGTGTTTTAAGGTCCATTTACTCTTCCCCTTCTGCAAATTCCAACAGAAAAGAGCCTGTAACAACAGCTCTAATCATGAAGGGAGGGCATACCTGAAGAGATGGTAAAGACAGAAGATGGGTCCCTGAAAAAATATGTCACATAAAGCGACCCTGAAAACCTACTCTGCTTACCTCAGAACTGTACTGTAAAAAATAAATTTCTATGTTCTTAAAATCACTGTATTTTGGTGCTTCTATAGCAGCTTAGACCTTTCCCTAATACAATTATGCAGCAAAGTTTTATACATAATATATATTTTGTGTGTATTTATATGTATACATTGGCACGCATAAAGTAACATAAGAAAAGGCAAAAATTAAAATTTCTCACTAGATGATTGTGACAAGTTTTAAATTTCCTCTTTTATAAGAAGCATGTGTTACTTTCGGAAGCAGAAAGAAAACCTCCATAAAAAATAGCCATAATGAAATGTTACCTGGAATTGACTTCAAGATAGTACTTATGGAGAGCGGATGGAATGCCAATGAGGCAGGATTTACCACAAGTTTATCACTGCAAGGTTGTGTGATGAGTAAGTGGAGGTTCATCATACTATTCTGTCAACTATTATGTATGTTTTAAATTCACCATAATAGTTTACAAAAGAGTCATTTTGTAGAGAAAAATAATATATACATATAAATCTTAAAATTCCATGTTTGGCTTGCCAAATAAGTAGATGAAATTATAATATTTATATCTCTCAAGCATCTAAGACCTGAACTTAAAACGAAATTAACACATTTGTGCACTATTCAAGTGCTGAAAGCATATACTGTACTGCAAGTTTGAAATCTGTTATAAGGATAGGAGAAAACAATCTTCTGCAGAAAAGTAAAATTAATAAGGATATGCTTTACTGAAAGAAGAGGTGATATATTTGTATTGACCTCATCACTTTCCTTGCTTGGTTCTCTTATGTCTGAGGCTATGGAACAGGACAAAATTTAACTGGCAATTACAGAATGATGCAGAAGCTGAACCTTCTAAGTAACAATGCTGACAAAAAACGGTCAGGCTCTGCTTTCTGGAGCTACTTTGAAGTGAAGGTTCTAATGCCCTTCCCATAATTCCATAGCCAAATCTGCCATGATACGAAGTACACTAACAGGATCCATATACTAACTTGTAGGTTCTGAAATTACTCTTGCTACTCTAGGTCCAGAATCCAATACACTTGAACGCTTCTGTATTTGGGCATGCAGCACTCTTCAATCTATCCTCAGGGGTGGGTAGTCCATTCCATGAAACTGGTTTTTTTTTTTTGAGATGGAGTCCCACTCTATCACCCAGGCTGGACTGCAGTGGCGTGATCTCAGCTTACTACAACCTCCACCTCCTGGGTTCAAGTGATTCTCCTGCCTCAGCCTCCCGAGTAGCTGGGATTACAGGCGCCCGCCACCATGCCTGGCTAATTTTTGTATTTTTAGTAGAGATGGGGTTTTGCCATGTTGGCCAGGCTGGTCTCGAACTCCTGACCTCAGGTGATCCACCCACCTCGGCCTTCCAAAGTGCCGAGATTACAGGCGTGAGCCACTGTGCCCGGCTGAAACTGGGTTTCTTAATTTCTTCTTCTCCCTACTCATTGCTTGAGATTCCTGCTGTGATTTGAACTCTGCTCAGAACCTTAGAATGCAACCTTTGGGCCCTGAGCCTTGATGGCATCCTTTCTTAACACCCCACTTCCTTCACCCAGCCTGCACTGGCTGGGATCAGAAAAACACAGAAATTTTACCTCCTTTTATTTCAAATGCTGTTCGCTTCAAGTCATCTATAGCTCCAGCCATCAAAAAGATGGAGGTCTTTGGATACTGGTATACCTGCCTCTGTTCTACATAGTCACATTTCATAACAATCTACCTTGCTAAACAGTCAACTAGTCTTATACCCCAGTCTACCTAATATTTAGTAAGTGATCAGTCAAAAAAAGGTACTTTAAATAATTTTATTTCTGAAAAATTGCCATAATGAAATAGAGATGTACAAAAAGATTTCTCTATAAAGATATTCACTGCAGTGAGATTTACAACAAAATATCAGCAGTAAGAAATTGATTACATAAATTATGGCACATGCATTGAGATGATACTATATAAATTTAATTTTAAACAATATTAATTATATTAAAATTTTCATTGTATAATGTTAAATAGAAATTCTGGATTCAAATCTATGCAATGCAGTTTATATATAAATGTGTGAGTTTTATATATTTGGGCATAAAAAGAAGAAAATAATTAGATCAAAATGTTAATACAGCAGGCATTACTTTGTTTTTGCTTCAATTTTCTACAATAAATATATATTAATATGTACTTTATTATAAATATTATAAATAATGTTATTAAGGAAATGGAAGAAAAAGCAGTATCTTTCAAGTAAAGAGGGTCAATTTGCATAAGGTTATAGTTGTTGTACAATATCTGTTGTATAGACATCACTTATCTTTTTGTATCTATTCTCAAAGCTAATTACTATGTCACAGGCACAAGTAAAAGCAAAGATATACCCTGTGAGACACAGTAGATAAGACTGACTTACTCATTTTCAAAATGTGAATCACAATAAAAATCTTCCCAAAAGGTGCCTGGATCTCCTTCCTTCCTAATATAATTTTTAAAATGTGACTTCTAGCCTCACTGAATCCTGCATAATACAATTCCTATCTCCTACTAAGAGAATCAGAAATGAGTCTTAGTTGACCATATTTCATACTGTTAATTCTAATTAAGCCTTAATAGGGACACTGTTTTTATTTTAGGTATAGAAAAGCAGCTTGATGCAGTAGAAGGAGCACTAAACTGTGAGTCAAGAGATCCACACCAAGATAAAGTCTGCAACTCATGACTGACTGACTTCTCTAGGCATCAGTTTCCTAATTAGTAAAATTAAGGGATTAGATAATAAATTATAAAGTCCTCCTTCCCTAATATTCTAAAAATCAATGTAACAAGCCCAAAAGCTAATTAATGGTGGCTAATTCCACACACACAATAAAATTTTAAGTCTAGTTTTTAAGTCACACTGTAAAATTTTAAACAACACTGCTATAGTTTAAAATAATAATAATGTACATAAAGAAACTAATACGTATGCAGACATGATCTCATCAAAGTTTACACCCTTCTTATTCTTTTAATTACCTTTTATGGCATACTAGACCAAAGCTCTGGTTTTCCTAACATAATTTACCGTATTCTATGAAATAATTCATACTCAGGTTTATGACCTTGATAGTCTATCAGACTCCTCCTAAGGGTTCCCATATTTCCTATTTTTTAAGAGACATGGGGAAAAAAACTGACCAATAGGTTCATGATCTTTGGAAAAGAATAAAAGTTCTAAAAATAGAATAGGCAGGAAATATAAATGACACAACACAGAATTTCATTAAGCTGCCATTTTTAGAGTTCTGTCAAGTGTTGTCTCAAACACATTCCATAAAATGTGGCACAATGAAGCAAATAATCTCCTTCCCATTATTTTAAATATTATAATAGAATTTAGAATATTCAAAGATACTTTTCTTCCTAGATCAAATGGATTTAAATGTACACTTTGAAAAAAAGGATCCAAAGCTTAATTACAGTAATACAAATTTTTTTATTAGAAAATCAGAGTTTTTCAAAAAAAATTCAATGTCTTGCTTAAAGGCTTATTTCTTTAAAGTTTATTTTTAAGACCAGGGTGGAAACCAAGTTACAAATCTAAATACATAAAAAATTAGTGCAACGGTTTTCACATGTCATTTGGAAAAAAATTTCCTCTCAGTCTCAGCCTACATTTTATCAACTTTGGAATCTAAAATCCAGTTTTACCAGTTAACTGAAAAATCCATTTTTTTTCCTCACATTTAAAAAATATTATTAAGTATACCACCGCTTTAAGCCTGCCCAGCACGACAACAAATAAGATAAATAGGAAGCATTTATAATACTCCCTCACTGCCTTCTACCCAAATTGGGAAGGGGTGAGGGACTGAAGGGTTAAAACTTATATTTCTTGTTTCTCTGGATGATGAAGAGGGTGAGAGAAGTAAAAGGTGAGGAAGGTATAGGAGGGCAGGAAAGAGATCAAGGTACCTGGAAGAGAAAGAAGAAGAAGGAAAATTGGGAGAACAAGACAGAGAAACAGATAAAAGAGGGAAAAATAAAGGAACACTCACCTAAAAACAAAGGGCATTTTTAGACAGCACTTTATCACATATTTTATATAGCATCCCCATAGATACAGCATACTGAAGATAATAAGTTAGGGTTTTAGCTCAATTCACTAACATTTAATTCAAAACCTACTATGTATCAAGGACTTATGCTAACTGCTTAAGTTAAGGAGGAATGATTCTCTGGGGGCCAGAGTTTTATTCAGACTAAGACCAAAGGAATCTGTAGTAAACTGTTCTTTTCATAGATGATCACTCATCCAAGAAAACATTCCAACAGATTATGTTCCAGAAAGTACACAGAGGAACTCTTTAAAGCTGATTTGTAATTACGAATGTCTTGGATGGCATTAGGCATATCAAATAAAGTATCCACAGACAGTATTCAAACACTATTCAAAAATGAAGACAACAATATAGAAAAATTACTTAATTCATATAAAAATGAGTGTGTTTAGAGATTCAAGAAACTGTGAAATTTGTCAGAGGTGGGCTCACATGACATCTTTTACCTATGTTTCCCTAGCACCTGGCCTAATAGAGATTACACAAGCAAGTGCTCAAGAAATGCTTTTAAAAATAAAAGAAAAAGACTGACAGTTCCATTATATTTAAGTTTAAAATTCTGTCAAACAGTAAATTTGAGAAAATCTGAAAATCTGAAATGCAATGCATTTTTATCATTTATGCATCATTTATTATTTATGCATCATTTGTGACTACATCACTTTAAACATATATGGCAATGACAACTTCTGAAAATAAATATGTCATTTTAATTATACAAAAGATTCAACTCTGCTAAGGTCCCTTTCCACAGATGTAGGATATACTTATATTTTTATCAGTTACAATTTATTTATTATATTGTTTAAAGTGACAGATGAGAAAAATAAAGCTAATGAAATACTGTGAAACAGACACCATGCAAAAGAGAAAAGCCATCCACTGATAAGGATGACAGTTCACCATCTGTCCCCTCACCACTCAGTGACAATTACAAATACTCCATCAGTTTTCTGGTAGGTGGCAATGATGAATGAGGTAAACCCTTCTTTTGCAGATTCTGATGTTCCTTTCTGATCTAATCTGAGGTTTAACAGACAACTCAAAGGAAAGCCCACAGTTCAAAAAGGTTATTAATTTATCATGCTGTGAAGAATAAGAAACGTCTGAGCTCAATATTGCAACAAGGAATGATTCAGTTGTACTGAACCATGCCTTGTAATGAAAGGTGTTTTCTCAGAATTCTCAGATTTCAAATACAGCAACTTGACTAGTAACAGGCTTCATCCTTAGAAAATATTTTAGTAATAGAGTAACAGTAATACCATATATCACAAATAACATCAATCTTTCAAACCAAGATCAAAGGGAAGATAATGCTCAGAGCCAGAAGTCCTTAGTTTCGAGTAGCTTCCACAGCCATAGGTGACAAGGGCTTGAGGGTGTCAGCAGCTTCATCACAGTGCTGTTAACTTCTAAATACTGACCAAAAAAATGCATGCAAATATACAATACATAGGTTAAAAGTAGAATGACAGAAAATGATATACCATCCTAACACAACAGAAAAGAAAGCTGAAATGGCTATATTAATATTAAACCAGGTAAATTTCAGAGCAAAGAATATGCACAGGGACAAAGTAGGTCATTTCATGATGATGATGATGATAATAATAATAATAATAATAATAATAATAATAATAATAATACAGGGGCCAATTAAGAAAACCTAACAATCCTTAGCATTTGCTATACCTTGGATGCTTGTCCACTCCAAATTTCATATTAAAATTTGATCCCTAATGTTGGAGGTGGGGCATACTGGGAAGTTATTGGGTGATGGGGGTGGATGCCTTATGATTAGATAAAGGCCCTTCCTTGGTGGAGCGGTGAGTCCTTCCTCTATTAGTTCCCATGAGAGCTGCTGGTTAAAAAGAGCCTAGAACCTCCCTCTTCACTCTCTTGCTTCCTCTCTCACCATGTGATCTCTGCATGCACCAGCTCCTCTTCACTTTCTGACATGAGTGGAAGCACCCTGAGGACCTCACTATGTGCTCAATCTTAAACCTTCCAGCTAGCAGAACTGTCAGCTAAAGAGATGTCTTTTCTTTATAAATTAACCAGCCTCAGGTGTTCTTCTGAAGCAACACAAAAACATACTAAGACACATTTATATAGCTAATAATACAATTGAAGACTACATGAAGACAAACACACAATTAAAATCAGAGATTTCAATATCCTCTCTCAAAAACTGGTGAGACAAGAGAAAAATCAGCAAGGATATAGTAGATGAGGAAAGTTTTGAGGTGATAAATTTGTTCACTATCTTGATCATGGTGATGGTTCCATGGTGTTATGTATATGCCAAAATTAATTAAATTGTACACTTAAAAATCAGGGTAAGAAATGTATGATAGTTATACCTCAAAGCTCTCTACTGTAATACACATTTCTAAGAAAAATCTATTCCTAACCCTATAAACAAAAGGAGAACTTACCCAATTTTCAAATTTCCTACAGTAAGAAACATTGTAAAATAAAATAATTATGCATATTACAATACTATTAAATACTGTGTCCACTTAAAAACAAATCCTCAACTAAAAGATAAATACTATAAGACTAGTTTAACAGAAGAAAATCCAGGCACAAGCTATCTGTAAGAGACCCATCTAAGACCAAAGGGGATACAAAACAGTGTAGTGGCCAAGATGGCCAACTGGATGCAGCCAGGAGGAACATCTATCACCCAGTGATTGGGACATGGAGGTGACTGGCATACTCTGAGTAGACTGTCAGGGGGAAGCAGCGAGAGTGAACAGAAGCAGAATGCAGATGCTGGGATGAAGAGGGAGGAAGCTGGAAACACGGCATGGGGATACTGAGAACCAGGACTGGTTCTTGGCACCCAAAAATTCTGGGGAAGAGATGAGTTGAGGAGGCAAGGAGTGGCCTCTTCTCTCCACAGATCCCTGGAATCCTAGCAGCAGAAGACATCACAACTACCACAGACACTTATGCTAACAGGGAGAGCTGCTTAGAGGGGCGGTAGGGGCAAGACTCCAGCCTGTTGAAGCCTAGAGGATTTGGTGTGGGAACGTCTGCAGTAGAGCCTGGCAATGACTGACCATCCCCCAAGGCTCACCATGCTCCTCTAGGAGATTTTAGCCTTAGAGTGATTGTCAGACCTGGACAGGGCAAAGTGGTCTTGCCCATGAGACACAGGCAGTCCCATCTGGGCACCGCCCTGTATGCTAGCCTCTCCTGCAGCCCCAGCATGACTGCACCACTTGGAGCTCTGCCTCAGATGCCCAACCAGGGTGCCGCTGGGGCTCTTCATATGTTCTTTGTCAAGACACTTCATCTGACCATCAGAGAGCTCCGTTAGACTGGGCCCTGTGGAAATGTACCAGCCTACCGACAACCTTCCCCAGGCACTTTGCCAGCATGCAGAAGCCCATGGCCACATACCCACATCTGTGACAGTGCACTCACATGGACAGAGCTCACCTCCCTTCCCCCCCCCACCCCACAGTGTACGTGTGAGCATGCAGACTGCTGTGCCACTGCTGCTGGCACAAGCACACCCCAATGATGCCCCCAGCTGAAAGGGAGGTACCCAGCTGTGCCATCATTGCCAGTTTGAATGTGCACACAGACATTGGCGGCCCCATGCCCATCAACACCCTGCCACTGCAAGCGCGAGTGCAAACACAAATGCTGGAAATCCTGCCCCACCCCTGCTGGCACAAGCACAAGCAGGAAGGCCACAGTCCAGCTCCCACTGCTACGCCACCATAGCCAACATGAGTATACCCCAAAACAGTGCGGCATTTGCTGACACATACAAGTGAGCATAGATCCCAAGGCACCACCTCGAAAAAGCACTTTAGCTGGTACCACCCATTAGAGTGTTGTGGTCAGTAGACCAGAAATACTTCAGCCCCTCCAGGAAAGCAGGTTCCTAACCTCAAGGGGCCAGAAAACAAAGCAGAGGGCTGGATACTAGCCCCCCAGAGTTACAGCACACAGCCTAGGAGTACTTAGTTGAGCTCTGGCCCCCTAAAATTTTCCAAAAATGAAGTCAGCCAACTGAGCCCACCTTATAACACAATGAAACCCCAAGGGCACCAAATAAGATTAAAAACAAAACGACCCCATCCAAAGCACAGCAACTTCAAAAACTGAAGGAACATCAGCCCACATACATGAGAAAGAATAAGATCTGTGGCAACTCAAAAAGCCAGAATGTCTTCTTACCTCAAAAGTACCATATTAGTTCCCCGGGAATGGTTCTTAACCAGGCTGAAATGGCTGAAATGACAGACATAGAATTCAGAATATGGATAGGAACATCCATTGTGGAGATTCAGGAGGCAGTCAAAACCCAACCCAAGTATCTAAGAAATACGATGAAACAATGCAGGAGTTAAAAAATGAAACACTCATTTTATGAAAAAAAAAATTGATCTGATAGAGCTGAAAAACTCACTTCGAGAATCTCATAACACAATCACAAATATTAACAGCAGAATTGACCAAGCTGAGGAAAGAATCTCAGGTCACAAAGACTGGTTCTCCGAATTAACTCAGTCAAACAAAATAAAGAAAAAAGAATAAAGAAAAATGACCAAAACCTCTGAGAAATATGGGATTATGTAACAAGACCAAATCAATGATGCCATGGCATCCCTGAAAGACAAGGAGAAAAAGCATGCAAATATGGAAAATATATCTGAGGGTTATCATCCATGAAAATTTCCCTGACCATGCTAGAAAGGCCATAATTCAACTTCAGAAAACACAGAGAACCCTGCACAATACTATACAAGATGGCCATCCCCAAAACACAGAGTCATCAGGTTTCCCAAGGTCGAAATGAAAGAAAAAAAAATGTTAAAGGTAGCTAGAAAGAAGGCACAGATCACTTACAAAAGGAACCCCTATCAAGCTAACAGCAAACTGTTTAGCAGAAACCTTACAAGACAGAAGACACTGTAGGGGGTGGGGGGGTCTACATTCAGCATTCTTAAAGAAAAAGAAATTCCAACCAAGAATTTCATATTGCAGAGTTGGGCGGGGTGGCTCACACCTATAATCCTAGCAACTCGGGAGGCTGAGGCAGGAGGACTGACTGAGGCCAAGAGTTGGAGTTCAGCCTTGTAATGGAGCAAGACCACGTTTCTAAAAATTAAAAAGAATTTCACATGCAGCCCAACTAAGCTTCAAAAGCAAAGGAAAAATAAGACCCTTTTCAGACAAACAAATGCTAAGGGAATTCATTACCACAGACCTGCCTTATAAGAGGTCCTTAAGGGAGTGATAAATATGAATAGGAAAGATGGCTACCAGCCTCCACAAAAACACACTTAACTATATAGACCACCGACACTATAAAGCAGCCAGGCAATCAAGTCTGCATAATAACCAACTAACACCATGATGACAGGATCAAATCTACACATACGAATATTAACTCTGAATGGTATAAATGTCCCAATTAAAAGGCACAGAGTGGCAAGCTGGATAAAAAAGCAAGACCCAATTACATGCTATCTTCAAGACACCCATCTCACATGCAATGACACCCATATGCTCAATGTAAAGGGATAGAGAAAAATCTACTGCTGGAGGTGATGGATACCCCAATTACTCTGATTTGGTCATTACACATTGTATGCCTGTATCAAAACATCACATGTACACCACAATTATATTCAACTATTACATACCCATAGTAATTGAAAATTTAAAAATTAAATAAATTTTAAGATATTAAAAATAAAAAAAACCTTAGGGAAGACTAAAAATAAAAGGATACTCAAACAGTATTATGACTAAGAAAGGGCTATAACTACAAATGAGGTAGAGACTTAAAAGATACAAGAATGCTATCAATAACTACATGAAAATATGTTTAAAACAGTATAAAAATAAATTTCTAGAAAACTCTTAACTTTGCAGAAGAGACTAAAAGGGAAATATTTAAATACATTAGTAATTATTAATAATACTAAAGGTTGTTTAAGAATCTTCCAACCAAGAAAGGACCAGGACCAGATGAATTTTCAAGGAATTTCTTTCAAAATTTCAAAGAAAAGACAATCCTGGTATTGTACAAATCTTCCAGAAAATAGAAAAAAAAGAGTTCCTAACTTATTGTATGAGAATAATCCTGATAACCAAAGATGACGCAAAAAAGGAAAAATTATAAAACTCTATCAACTCATAAATTTATATGCTATAGTAGTGAACAGAATATTAGCAAAGAATACATAAAAAAGATAATATACCAGTAATGAATTAGGGTTATTCCAGCTTAGCAAAAACAGTTTAATATTAGGAAATAAATATGTCACTATACTAAAAGATTAAACAACAAATCCATAAGCCAATATTTAGAAATTAGAAAAAGAAGCTTCCTTAACTGAAAAGACTAGTTATTACACACCTAAAGCAAACATCGTTTTAAGTGAGAAAACTTTAGAATCATACTCTTTAAAATCAGGTATGAGACAGAATGCCACCGCTACATGTGTTCACCATTGTACTATGGATATGAGCCAATGTGATTTAAAAAAAAAAAAGTAAATTTGAGTTATAAACAATGCAAATACACAATACAACCTTATTATTTGTAGTGTGATTATTTACATAGAAACCTCAATCTACAGACAAGTTACTGGAAATAAGAGTTTAACAAGAGGGCTAAATATGAGCTTGATATGCAAAATCACTTGCATTTCTATAGAGCAACAAACTAACAGGTAAAAAATACCGCCAGGGGGAATTATAAAACCTAATTTAGTAACGAATATTCTTAAAGGCCTAATTGAAATGTAATAATATGGCATTCACAAATAAGAAGAATATCAGGAAGATGTGAATTATTTCCCAAATGATCTGATTTAAAACAATTCTCAACAGTTTTTGATAGAACTTGACAATTTAATTCTAAAATGTATAAGGATGAGTAAAAGGACAAGAAGCCACAAAAAAGATCTTGTTCTCCTGTGTAGGACAACAAGTTTCTTAAGTAAGATAACATGATAATGGAGCAGACAAACGAGGATAGGGAATCCAGAAACAGTTCATGCATGCATGAAATGTAGCATAAAACAGAGGTGACATGAGATGGTGAAAGAAGAGTCCAATAAAAGGAGCTGTAAAAAATAATTCTAAGTGGATTGAAGATTTAAATGTCAAAAACAAAACTTCAAAACACTTAATGGAAAATGCAGGTGAACCACTTTTATAACGTAAGATAGAGAAGATTTTTGAAGTAGAACACAAAAAGTACTATCTATAAAGGACAATATTGATAAATTTGATTGTTGAAATTAATATTTTTCCTAATAGATATAAGAATATGAAAATCTAAGTTAAAAACTGTTATAGATATTTCCAATATACATAACTAATAAAAAACTAGTAACAATTTGTGAAAAAAGCCTAAAAATAAAAAGGAAAAGTAAACAACCCAATAGAACTCAACAGAAAAGGGGCAGAACAGCCACAGACATTCTACAGAACAGAAAATACTTACCTAAAACATGAAGAAATGTTTTATGTCATTAATGATCATGCAAATAAAAATCAAGCCTATAATGAAATATCACTTTACACCTACTTGATTGGCAAATGTTAAAAACCCATATAATGCCAAGAGTTGTGGAGAATGTAAATCTATAACTCTTATACGTCACTGGTAAGAGTGCAAATTGGTGCAACCAATTAGAAAAACAGTATAGGATCATCTCTAAAATTGAACATTTATATACCATACTACTCAGCATTCCACCCTTAGGTATATACCCAAGGAAAACTCTTATACATGTACAAGTGGTATGTATAGGAATGTTAACACCAACACTACTTACAAATCAGAAACTTAAAAACAACATAAACACCAATCAAAAGGATAGTAAATAAATCGTGTATAATCACAAAACAGTACAGCAACCAAAACCAACAAACTAAAGCTCTTCATAGTAATTGGATGAATATAAGCATTATAATACTGAAGGAAAAAGCACAAGTCCCTAAAGATTACATACAGCAAGGTATTCTTTTTGTAAAGCAATAAACAACCAAAATAAAAGTATACATTTTAGGAATAGACCTACATTCAAAAAAATCAAAATATAAATTATGAATGGGACAAGAGGGAAGAGGATCTATCAAGCAACATTAACCAAAACTAGGTTTGCATATTAATACCAGACAAAAATAATATTCAAGGAGAAAGGCATTAAATAGGAAAGAGGAATGCTTCATATTCTTAAAAGGTAAACTTCACCAGTAAAAGAGATATAAAAAGTTATGACTGTGATGATAAATCTTTGGAATACATAAATAGCAAATATTGATTTTAAAAATACAAGGAGATGTGAAGAAATAACAATAATAGCATATTGGCATTCTTTCCATTTTGAGTAAAGGATTTAAATGAACAAAAACCAATCGGATAAAAAAGTAAGATTTACATGATAATTAAGACATTTGATCTAATATATGTTATATATACCCAGAGAGAAAAGAGATTACTCTTAAAATGTTACAATATATTAAACTACAAAGAAAAATTAATAAACTCCTCAAAGTGGAACTTATATAAGCCATATTCTCTTACCATTATCCGATAAAAGTAAAAATTAAAAATCAAAGAATAGTCCTCATATTGGCAACATATACTCTTTTTTAAAATTATTATACTTTAAGTTTGGGGTACATATGCAGAACATGCAGGTTTGTTACACAGGTATACACACGCCATGGTGGCTTGCTGCCCCCATCAACCCATGATCTACATTAGGTATTTCTCCTAATACTATCCCTCCCCTAGCACCCCATCCCCAACAGGCCCCGGTGCGTGATGTTCCCCTTCTTGTGTCCAGGTGTTCTCGTTGTTCAGCTCCCACTTATGAGTGAGAACATGCGGTGTTTGGTTTTCTGTTCTTGTGTTGGTTTGCTGAGAATGATGGTTTCCAGCTTCATCCATGTCCCTGCAAAGGACATGAACTCATCCTTTTTTATGGCTGCATAATATTCCATGGTGTGCATATGCCACCTTTTCTTTATCCAGTCTATCACTGATGAGCACTTGGGTTGGTTCCAAGTATTTGCTATTGTGAACAGTGCTGCAATAAACATACATGTACATGTGTCTTTATAGTACAATGTTTTATAATCCTTTGGGTATATACCCAGTAATGGGATGGTTGGGTCAAATAGTATTCCTAGTTCTAGACCCTTGAGGAATCGCCACACTGTCTTCTGCAATGGTTGAACTAATTTACACTCCCACCAACAGCGTAAAAGCACTCCTATTTCTCCACATCCTCTCCAACATCTGTTGTTTCCTGACTTTAATAATCACCATTCTAACTGGCGTGAGATGGGATCTCACTGTGGTTTTGATTTGCATTTCTCTAATGACCAGTGATGATGAGCTTTTCATCATATGTTTGTTGGCTGCATAAATGTCTTCTTTTGAGAAGTGTCTGTTCATATCCTCCGCCCACTTTTTGATGGGGTTGTTTTCTTCCTGTAAACGTGTTTAAGTTATTTGTAGATTCTGGATATTAGCCCTTTGTCATATGGATAGATTGCAAAAATTTTCTCCCATTCTGTAGGTTGCCTGTTTACTCTGATGGTAGTTTCTTTTGCTGTGCAGAAGCTCTTTGGTTTAATTAGATCCCATTTGTCAATCTTGGCTTTTGTTGCCATTGCTTTTGGTGTTTTAGTCATGAATTCTTTGCCCATGCCTATGTCCTAAATGGTATTGCCTAGGTTTTCTTCTACAATTTTTATGGTTTTCTTATTTTTAAGTCTTTAATTCATCTTGAGTTAATTTTTGCGTAAGGTGTAAGGAAAGGGTGCACTTTCAATTTTCTGCATATGGCTAGCCAGTTTTCCCAACACCATTTATTAACTAGGGAATCCTCTCCCCATTGCTTGTTTTTGTCAGGTTTGTCTAAGATCGGATGGTTGTGTGGTGTTATTTCTGAGGCCTCTGTTCTGTTCCATTGGTCTATATATCTGTTTTGGTACCAGTACCATGCTGTTTTGGTTACTGTAGCCTTAAATGCCTCTCTTTTTTTTTTTTTTTTTTTTTTTGAGACAGAGTCTTGCTCTGTCGTCCAGGCTGGAGTGCCCTGGCACGATCTCGGCTCACTGCAATCTCCACCTCCTGGGTTCACGCCATTCTCCTGCCTCAGCCTCCAGAGTAGCTGGGACTACAGGTGCTCGTCACCACGGCCAGCTAATTTTTTGTATTTTTAGTAGAGACAGGGTTTCACCATGTTAGCCAGGATGGTCTCGATCTCCTGACCTAGTGATCCGCCCGCCTCAGCCTTTCAAAGTGCTGGGATTACAGGCATGAGCCACCGCACCCAGCCCAAATGCCTCTTTCTTAAAAAGGAAAAAAAATGAAAATCAAACTGTCCTCAATTAAAGGAAATATGTGGCATTAAATAACATGTCTTAAAACAAGAACAAATAAAAACAAATTAATCATTCAACTGAGACGGGGTAGAGGGAAGGAGAGAGAAAGAGACTGAAAAAAGGTAAAAAGAAGAAAAATTTTAAAAACCATTAGCAAGTTTGATTAAGGCAAAAACAAAGTGTAAAATACTGAAATCAGAAAACAGAAAACAGATTTTAATGATTTTAAAGAGGCTACTTACTATGTGTATATTTTATTAAAATAAATTAGAAAATCTAATCTAAGACAGTAATTTTCTAAAAAAATATCAATTATTGACTCAAGAACACCTGGAAAATCTTAAGAGACAATGAATATAGAAGAAACTGATATGGTAGAGAAAAGCCTCCCCCTAAAAATGGCTTCTAAACCTGAGGGCCTAGAAGTAGCAACACCTCAGTTAATAATGAGCACTCCTTATATCTAGGTCTTGTTTTCTAAATGTTATCCTTGAAAACAAAAAAAAAAACAGAGCTCCTTGGAGAAGTGGCTGATTCTAGGGCTAGAAAAGGAAGAATACCAGAGAAGGCTGCTGCTTACAAGATTATAAAATGCCAGTAAAGAGGTGTCCAAAAAAAACTAAACAGGGCAACATCAAAAAGACACAAAAACTAACTGAAAGAGCTCCTAATCACCAAAGCTGGAACAGTATTAGCAATAAGATAATGTAGTACTAGAATATAACTCAAAGTAAAAAAAAAAAAAGTCCATCTGATATAAAAAATGAATAAATAAATATGGGCAAACCTTCCTTACCAGAAGAATTCCAAAAATTTTATATAGATAGTCCTCCTCTGGAAGCTGAAACCTAATCCCTCCCACAGGTATCCCAACCCCTTGAAACCTCCTTCCAAGATATGGAAAAAAAAAATAGTCACTTCACAGTGAAGAAACATTGCAAACACTACTGTGGCAAGAAATAAGTTATAATTGTATGTATCTCTGATATGATGTGGCATAAAGGACATTTAAACTCTATGGTATTCCCACCAAATATATATAACCCCAGGGTAATCATGAGAAAAAAAAATCTATAAATATACTTCAAGTCATCAGGCGAACCCAAATGAGAGACATTCTGCAAAATGCCTCACCCAGCACTCCTCAAAACCGATAGGGCCATGAAAAACAAGAAAAGATTGAGAAACTGTCACAAACCAGAGAGTACCAAGGGGACATAGTGACTAAATGAAATGTATAGTCCTAGATAAAATCCTGAAATAGAAAAAGAACAGTATTGGAAATACTAATGAAATCCAAATAAAGTCTGGTGTTTAGTTATATTAATGTACCACTGTTTATTAATTTTAACAAATTTAACTCATGTACCATGGTAATATAAGATATAAATAACAGGGGAAACTGTGCAAAGGGTATATAGAAATTCTACTATCTTTACAGCTTTTTTGTAAACCTAAAATTATTCTAAAATAAAGTTCACTAGAAAAGAAAAGAACATCAGGTCTAGATAGTTTATAAGTAAGTCTACCAAATCTTTAAGAAAAAGACTATGTTAGAGAAACTGCTCCAGAACACAGATAAGGCTGGAAAGAGCCCTTATTTACTTATGTCTATTATGAACTTCATATTAAGTCCAGAAAATGAGACTAGAAAAAGTAAAACTATAGACGAAGTTCATATAGGAAAAAAGGATATGAATAAAAAACTTCTAAGTGAAATATGAACACAGTGAACCCAAAATATTATATCTTTGAAGAGGTATTTCCACTGGAATCAAAAGCAAGGGAAAAAAGAGGGCTCTTGATCTTGTTTTCACTACTCCTTTTCAACATTGCAATGAGGTCCTAGTCAATGCAATAAAAACAAAAGCACGTATTAAAAAAGTAAAAATATTAGAAAATACCTTACAAACTGTCACTATTTTTGGACCAAATAATTAGTAAATCAGCCAAAAAAATCCAATAGAATAAAAATGCTCAGTGGACAGACACAAAATCAATACACAGAAATGTACAGATTTACTTTGATATAATTGGAAAAAAATTATTAAAATTAAATTATTAAAGAAATTTTCAATACTTAATTGAAGAAAACCGTAAACTTTACTCAATGACACATACACACAAATGCAAGACATGACTAGACAAACATTCAAGTCCCTGGAAGGAAAAAAATCAATATTTAAATAATGTCTGCTCTTAAGGATAATTTAATCTACAATTTTAAAACAATCTCAATCAAAATTCAAACGGTTATTTTTGAACTGAACAACTTAACTGCAAAGGCGATACACAAATTGAAAAATAGAGAAATATGGCAATTTTGAAAAAGAATAAAGAGGAATGAACTTACTGTATTAGGAATGGAAGCAAGACGATAGAGAATAATATCTAATCAATAAATTCTTGGAATATAAAATTGTCAAGCTATAATTCTACCCCCAGTGAAAACCCCATTTACAAACAAAAGCACAATTTTAGATAAGCAAAAATCAGATTTCCCCACCAGGAGATTCTCACTAACCCAAATGATGGGTACAAAGAAATTTGTTCTATTGTTATTCTATGAATAGTTTACATACATCCTAGACACTCTTCTGTACACATGATATCACCAAAACTCTTAAAAGTGTAAAAGACGTATCAAACAGATACTAAATAAATGAAACCCAGCTTATCTATATTACTGTCAAACAAAACAGACTTTAAGAAAACTTTTTGAAGTTAGATAAAATGTCCCAATTTGTTTTATGAATGGATTATGAGCTTGATTTTAAAACCAGAAAGTGACAGCAGAAAAAAGAAAAAACTATTCACCTACTGCATTTCTTATACTAAAAAGAGTCACTTTCCATAGTAAAAGGCTGGAAATTGAGAAGATACACAATTCTAAACTTGTATGCAGTTAATAACATAGCCTCAAAATAAAAAGCAGCAGACAAAAATCAGCATAGATACAGAATACTGCAATGGTCAGGTTTTGTAAATGTTCCTTATACCTTAAGAGAATGTGTTTTTTCGAGTTATCCATTTGATCAAGCATATTAATTATACCAAAGAAATTAGAAAATGAGTGGAAGTGAGTAATAATGGAAATCGTTTGTATCAAACAGGATACAGAAAAATCAGAAATTAATATTTTAAGTACTTCCATTAAGTACTGAAAGTTAATGAGCCACGTATTCACCTTAGGAGTTAGAAAAATAACATGAAGGCTGGGCGTGGTGGCTCTTGCCTGTAATCCCAGTACTTTGGGAGGCTGAGGCTGGTGGATCACATGAGGCCAGGATTTTGAGACCAGCCCGGCCAAAGTGGTGAAACCTCATCTCTATTAAAAATACAAAACTTAGCTGAATATGGAGGTGCATGTCTGTAATCCCAGCTACTTGGGAGGTTAAGGCATGAGAATCACTTGAACCCAGGAGGCAGAGGTTGCAGTGAGCCAAGATCATACCACTGCACTCCAGCCTGGGTGACAGAGCAAGATTCTGTTTCAAAAAAAGAAAAAAAAAAAAAAAAGGAAAAGGAAAAGGAAAGGAAAGGAAAGGACAGGAAATGAAAGGAAGAAAAATAACATCAAAATTCCAAGAAAGAGGTAAAAAGGAAAAAAAAAGTCAAATAATGGACATTAACAAAATAAAAAATAAAGCGACAATAGACAAGATCAATAAAACCAAAATTCAAATTTTAGGAAATAAAAACTTTTGACAAGGATAATCATGAAAAAAATGAAATGATCAAGAAAAAATAGAATATTGCAATATTCTGTATCTATGCTGATTTTTGTCTGCTGCTTCTTTCAATTACCGATTGAGAGGGTTACAAATTTCCCAGTATGATAGATTTATCTCTTCTTGTTGCTCTGTCAATTTTTGCTACATTTATTTTAAGGCTATGTTATTAACAGCATTACAGTTACAGGTAAAACTGAGATTGCATAAAATATCTAGAATACCCCAAAAAACTTCTGCCAAGACATTTAGAAATTTAGGGAAAAAACTAGATCCTTTCCTAGAAAATGAAAATTTACCCAAACACACACAGTAAATCATAGAAAATTTAAATACACTGAAAGAAATGAATTGCTAATTTAAAGTAAGACCAACCTATTTGGATGGCTGCTATTAAAAAATTGAAAATAACAAGTGTTGGCAAGGATGTGGAGAAATTGGAATCCTTGTACATTGCTGGTAGGAATGTAAACACCTCATTAGCTGTGGAAAATTGTAGGGCATTCCTCAAAAAATTAAACACAGAATCATCATATGATCCAGAAATCCACTTCTGGGTATATACTAAGAAAACTGAAAGCAAGGACTCAAACAAATATTTGTATAACCCATGTTCATAGCATCATTATCTGCAATAACCAAAAGGTGAAAGAGGCCCATGTGTCTACCAACAGATGAATGGCTATACAAAATATAGTATACACAATTGAATATGATTAAATATAATGGAATATTATTCAGCCCTTTAAAAAAAGAAATTCTGATATATACAACACGAATGAATCTTGAGAACATTACACTAAGTGAAATAAGCCAGTCACAAACATGACAAATACTGTATGATTCCACTTATATGGGGTTCATAGAGACAGAAATTAGAATAGTGATCACCAGGGTCTGGAGGGAGGAGGGAATGGAAAGTTAATGTTTAATAGGCACAGAGTTTCAGATGTTCAAGATAAAAAGAGTTCTGTGGATTAACAGTGGTGATGGTAGCATAAGAATGTGAATGAACTTAATGCCACTAAACTATAATATATACTTAAAAAGGGTTAAGACGGTAACTATCGCTTTGTATTTTACTTTGAAATCAGGAAGTGTAATGCCTCCAGCTTTGTTTTTTCTCAGGATTGCTGTGGCTACTCAGGTTTTTTTTTTTGTGATTCCATACAAATTTTAGGAGGTTTTTTCTATTTCTATTAAAAATGTCATTGAAATTTTGATGGGGATTACATTGAATCTATAGATTGCTTTGGAGAGTATGGACACTTTAACAATATTAATTCTTCCAATCCATGAACACAGGATATCTTCATTTATTTGTATCTTCTTCAGTTTCTTTCATCAGTATCTTACAGTTTTCAGTGAAAAGACTTTTTACCTCCTTGGGTGAATTTATTCCAAAATATTCTACTTTTTGATGTGATTATGAATGAGATAATTTTATTAATTTCTTTTTCAGAAAGTTCATTGTTAGTGTATAGAAACATAACTAATTGTGGTAATCACTACATAGAGTATGCATTAATATACAAATCATTATGTTGTGTACATTGAATGTGTACAATTGAATATACACAATTTCTGTAAACTATACCTCAATAAAGTTGGAAAAATAGTTAAGATGGCACATTTTAAGTTATGTGTATTTTACCACAAAAAAAGACAGAAAACAAATTTTCCCAAAAAACACATACCAGGAACTTTCCATACAATTTTATAGACACATTAAACAAAACCTTTAAGGAAGAGACAATTTCTATTTTATGCAACATGTTCCCAGGAATAAAAATACAACAGGAAAATCTAGTCAGTTTATATATGAAGATGATACAATCTTAAGAAAGAAAAATCATAAGATATTTTAACAACAAATTTAACTATGTACTTTTAAAATCATGACCAAATTGTTAAATATTAATATAGACAAGCTATTAATGTAACATATCACATGAATAAATTGAAAAAAGCAATTTTGCAATTTTGCCCAAAAAATACTTTTTGCTGTAAAGGAAAAAACCAATCATAAGATGGAGAAAAAGTTCAACACAAATTAATAACGATTTATTATTTTTAAGATCTTATAAAATTAGAGAAAGGACCTTCTTTAAGATATTTATAAAAACCTATAAATTGATCAAATTAAAACTGCAAATTAGAAAGTAACAGGGTAAAACAAAGTCTTAATTTCATTCAGCTTAAAATGCCAAGTTACTAAATTAGCTACTAGTGTAACTCTAAGGTCACTTTGCACTCCGAATTTTATACCTTGACTAACATAGCTAAAAATCTGTTAAGAGTCAACTTAATTCTTACTTCTTCTGTTTTGAGTTAATTCTAAAACTCTAAAAAGCAAGCTTGTATTCTTTCCTTTATAAAAATTATTTGTGGCCAGGCACAGTGGCTCATACCTGTAATCCCAGCATTTTGGGAGGCCAAGGCAGGTAGATCACCTGAGATCAAGAGTTCGAGACCAGCCTGGCTGACATGGTAAAACGCCATCTCTACCAAAAAATACAAAAATTAGCAGGGTGAGGTGGTAGGCGCCTGTAGTCCCAGCTACTTGGGAGGCTGAGACAGAAGAATTGCTTGAACCCAGGAGGCAGAGGTTGCAGTGAGCCGAGATCAAGCCAATGCACTCCAGCCTGGATGACGGAGCAAGACTCCGTCTCAAAAAAAAAAAAGAAAAAAGAAAAAAAACTGTTTAATTAAATATTTTTCCTTGACCTAATAAGTGGAATCTAAAAATTTTCCTTGAACTAAATGAAGATCAATAAATCAGCCACAGATATAGAGCCACATATTCTCTGCACATCCAAGTTACAGTGTGAAAACTTAGAATATATAAATTAATAATAAGCTATATATGTGTGTGCATTATATACTGAATACACATACATTTACACACACACACACACCCCATAAAATTCTTCCCATACTATTAAGGAGAAAATCAAGTCAATGGAAGCTATGCCTTAAAAGAAAGTGTAATATGTTTTAAAATCATTTCTCAAATTGTCTTAAACTTACCAACCCTACTGAGGTATTAGATGGGAAAAAAACCAGAAGATTTATTTTAAATTACTTCTAGTTTGTTCATTTGACTTGATTTCCTGTTGAAAGGCAAATAAGATGTTTCATAATGTGATTATAAAATGACAGTGAATACTTCTTCTACAAAGGCAAGCAAGGTAAGGAAATAAATGGGTCTATATGGAATTATCTTTTATTTCCCAGACTACCATAATTCTGGCAAACATCTTGCCACTTCTTCTTTTGATCTCAATGCCAGGCGCACCCTGGCCAAGACAGTCAGCTTACATTTCATTAAATACAGTGATGTCTTTATATTTTTGCTAATTTAAAATTTCTTTATTTTCCTAGTTTAAAATTTATTTTCTCTTCAATCACCTAATTGGCATATATTGTCCATGGAAACTAATAATGTAATTTGTAAAGTCACATATGGTTGTAAACATCCAATAAATTACAGTTAATTTAAGATCCTTCATGAAGGTCCCATTCATACCTTTCAGGAGTCAAATGAAAATTAACTATTTTTTTTTCTATAAGTATACAAGGTAACAAACAGAGCTTGTACAATGTACATGCTTTTAAAGCTAATGAATCTCACAAACATAGAAATATATTGATTTAAAATGGAAAAAAAACCTTTTAAATTCATTCTACATGCTTGCTACATGCTTGCTACTTCAAGCAACTTCTAGAAAAGATACTATCAGCTTCTTTAGATAGTGTGAAAACAGGACCACAAAGATATCAAGTACTAAAAATAATACTTCATTGATTTATTTAGCAATGCATGTAAAAAGTTAAATTTTAGAATGTATTTAAAACTACTACCCATTTTTGACTTTTAAAAATCACTTTTTTAATCATTTGAATTCTAAGATGAATGAGGAAACAAATCAAACATAAACTTCAAACACAGTCCATTTTGTTAAGTCTCAAGAAACAGTAGAAAAATGTCCCAGTCAAATTACAATAAAAACACAAAACAATAAAGCCTTCTTACTCAGCAGCTACCTACTATGTTTAACAGGCTTAAAACAAAATGTGTCAAAGATCAAGAGTAAGTTATCTGAGATGTTAAGTTCATAAGGTCAAAGGTACAATTTTATTAGGTCAGAGGTAATATAAATAAAATCTTACATGTCAAAGAAGAAAGGTCACAGACAAGGTGTATATAATATAAAGACATCATAGATGACAAGTAATAACTTTAAGTAGAACAAGTATGTTTACTATAGATACCCTCTACTGATTAAAAAAATGAAACTTCCATGAGAGTAGTAGAAAATAACCTTTTTATATCACATAATTCATATGCTATATTATACACTTGTTTTCAGGAAGAAGAGGCTATAACCAAGAATAACAACATGAATTAAGTTAGAACTTTAAGAAAATTTAATTCCTTCAAACTGAAACAGTACACAAAATGAACACACCAATCAAATCTCAAACCATAATGGCTAAACATAAGACTGCTATGGCTACAAAAATTAGATAATATTGCACATTTTTCTTCCGAAGTGCGTGAATCCTATTATTTCCTTCTAACCTTTTCTCACTGAAATAAAAACATGCGAAATTTATATTTCAGTTTACATAATACCATATTCCAGAAAAATTGTTAAGTTTTTTTTGTAAATTAAATAATATTTTTAGCTGTTTTATTAATGGAAATTAATTACAAATAATTTTTTTTGAGATCGAGTCTCACTCTTGTCGCCCAGGCTAGAGTGCAATGGCACAATCTCAGCTCACTGCAACCTCCGGCTTCTGTGTTCAAGCAATTCTCCTGCCTCAGCCTCTGAAGTAGCTGGAATTACAGGCGCGCGTCACCATGCCCAGCTAATTTTTGTATATTTAGTAGAGACAGGGTTTCACCATGTCGGCCAGGCTGGTCTCGAACTCCCGACCTCAGGTGATCCACCCACCTCAGCCTCCCAAAATGCTGGGATTACAGGCGTGAGCCACCGCGCCTGGCCACAAATAATTTTTATAAAGGAAAGAATATCCTTTACAATGGGAATTATTACAAGTAATTGAGGCAATTAAGGATTTTTTTAAAAGTAGAGTACACAAAACATGACTATAGTTCTTAACAGAAAATTCAAGTAGAAAATGGGGGTAATCATGAAAGATTTAAGTAATAAAGAACTCCATACTATTCTCTCTTAAACTACTCATACGATTTGAGTAAAAGGCAGAAAATTATTTGAGGCAAACTAGATTATTAGTTCCATGTTCCATTTCATTTGTATTAAAAGCACTTAGAATTTACGAAGGTGAAATTGAGAGTTCTACTCCCATGATACCTTCGAGCCACTCTGTATAAACTTTTCATTTTGATTCAACTCAATGGACATTTATAAATAACCTTAACTATATGTCAAGCATTATATCAAACATGAATATGCAAGGCTCAAACACTGGAGACTTTTAATTATAGCTACCGTGAACTGGCTTGTACTGGACTAATCTAATGCCAAAAGTTGTACAAAATACCCAAAGCAACTATTTGAAGGGAACAAAAGCCAACATAGACAGGACTTGAATGACTATGATGCCTAAAAAAATGCAAGCACATAAAATTAGCTGTACATTCATTCTGGATACTTCCTTCAGGGTTTATGCCAATTTTTGGCATGGGAGAACAGTGCAAGCAGACAGTACCAGTCTTAGTGAGCTGAGGAGACAGAATTTGAAGTTTAGAGCCATCAAAGTGGTTAAAACTTGAGGAGCAAAATTCTTCCAAGTTAAAAAATCACAAAAAAAGTGAGCTCAGACTGGGCTATATTTTTGGTTCCATATGAATTTTAGAATAGTTTTTTCTAATTCTGTGAAGAATGTCATTGGTAGTTTGATAGGAATAGCATTGAATCTGCAAATTGCTTTGGGCCATATGCCCATGTTAACAATACTGACTCTTCCTATCCATGAGCATGGAACATTTTTGCATTTGTTTGTGTTATCTCTGGTATCTTTGAGTAGTGTTTTGTAATTCTCATCTGTAGACATCTTTCACCTTCCTGTTTAGCTGGATTCCCAGATTTTTTATTCTTTTTGTAGCTATTTTGAATGAGACTGAGTTCTTGATTTGGGTCTCAGCTTTGATGTTGTTGCTGTGTAGAAACGCTACTGATTTTTCTACATTCATTTTGTGTCCTGAAACTTCACTGAAGTTGTTTATCAGATCTAGGAGCTCTGGAGCAGACCCTTTTAGGTTTTCCAGGTATAGAATTATATAATCTGCAAAGGGAGATGGTTTCACTTTTTTCATGCTATTTGGATGCCTCTGATTCTTTCTCTTGCCTGACTGCTCTGGCTAGGCCTTCCAGTACTATGTTGAATAGGAGTGGCGAGAGTGGGAATCCTTGTCTCGTTCCAGTTCTCAAGGGGAATGCTTCTAGCTTTTGCCCCTCCACTATGATGTTGGCTGTGGGGTTGTCATAGATGGCTCTTCTTATTTTGAGCTATGTTCCTTCAATTCTTAGTTTGTTGAGGGTTTTTAACATGAAAGGATGTTCCTTTCATCTTCGAAATTGCTGTCCTTTGGATGAGGCTTTTTGTTTTTATATTCTTTGATGCCCTTGAGGGTTTGACTGCAGTATACACTGCACGTTCAGTGAACTGGCTCTGCTTCTGGATGATTTCAGCAGCGCTGGACTGCATGCCCTGGGGGACTGAGACCAGGCCCATGGCTTTGCTCTTAGGCACCTCAAAGTTAAGCACTTGCTGCGCTGGAGTGGCTAAGGTGTTCCTGGTCCGCTGGCAACAACACTTCAATGGCGGGCGCTGGCAAAATCACTTCATCAACATGGTGGTATCAGGTTCAAGTGCACAGGCTAGCAGTCACAGGTTCCACATGCACGCAGTTGCAGCTGGCAGAGTGTGAACAGTATTCGCACACTGGTGATGGCAGGGCAATGGCAACGGAGTCCATACCTGCACCGGTGCCAGTAGCAGCATGGTGGCAAAGTCCATGCAGCTGCCAGAAAGTGGTGGGGAGAGGCTGTGGGTAGTTGCACGCCAGCAGGGGCCCATCCACAGAAGCTCTCCGATGGTCAGGCAGGGTCTCCTGGGGTAGGAGCTACGGTGGCAGCCACCTGGAAGCACCTCGTTTGGGCATCCAAGTCCGCACTGCAAGAAGGCATGGCCAGGCAAGGACCCTGAGAGATGCCATCAGACCAGAGTGCTCGGATTACACTGGCCCTGTCCCACTGTCAAGACAGCCCTGCTGTGTGCAGGTCTGACGGACAATAATGGCCAAAGCCACCTAGAGGAACACAGTGAGACTTGAGGGTTGAGCATCTCTGGCTGCCCTCCACAGCAGCTGTTCCTGTGTCAAACCCTCTGGACTCTTCACAAGCTGGACTCCAGTCCCTGCCACCTCTCCAAGCAATTCTCCCTGACAGCTCAAATGTCCGTGGGGGTCATGGGGTCTCCTGCAGCTAGGATTCCAGAGGTCCGTGGTGAGAGTGGACCACTCCTTGCTTAGTTAGCCACCTCTTCCTCAGGAGAGAGTCCTGGTGCTCTACAAAGCCAGGCAACATTCCCTGCTTTCTCTTGCAGCTTCAGCCCAGGGTGTGCCTTCCCTTCCTCTACTCTCAATGCCTTCCTTAGGAAGATCTGCTCAGAGTGTGCCAGCCTTCTTGATGGTCTGGTCTCTCAGTGGGAGATGCTCTTCCTGGCTGCATCTAGTCAGCCATCTTGGCTCTTCCTGTTTCCCCTTCTTTTAACAAGTCATTAAATAAAATACTATTCAACTACAGACATGTTCCTGATGCTACACAGGAGGGCACTGACATAAAGCTAAGAAGAATAACTACAGCTTCACATAAACAATAGGGATCACTTTCACAAGCTTAAGCATGAATGTATGAAGTCAGGCAGAAAAGAATACATACTGTATGATAACATTTGTATGAAATTTAAGAACAGGCAACACTAAATAATGATACAAAAATTCACAGTAGTTAACTTTTGGGGACATAAGTAGGAGGGGGCATAAGAGGAGCCCAAAGGGTACAACAAATGATCTATATTATGATCTGGGTGGTTTTATATCAGTTTATACATATGTAAAAATTCATCAGCTATATACTTGAGATTTATGCTCTTGACTAATGAATGCCATACCTAAAAAAAAAAAAAAGTTCAATATACACATGCACCTACATAAAGGTACCTGCCCTCAAAGAACCCACAATAACTTTTCCTGGACAGCTTGAGTTGCTTAACAAATATGAATTTCTTATTCTTGAGTAGTTTTAAAAATTTACTATAATAAATAGGACAATAAATTCATAGATTAGCTATATCATCCAAGTTTCAAAAAGAGTTAAATGAAAAATATTCATATACATATTTATACAAATCTAAATTCCATGTTGACAATAATTATGTGTGAAGAAATAATGAATTTCCAAAAGCTTCTAAATGGTATACTGATCCAAAATTATCCTCTTAAGTGAAATTTATGTGGTTAACTGTTTTCCAAGAATGTGGCATGTCATTGAGTGATTATTTTCCTGCATTATTAAAATATCAATATACCATAACATTTCCTTATACTGAAATTATGTAAATAACAGCATTAAATTCTTTT
Source organism: Homo sapiens (assembly GCF_000001405.40). Classification (NCBI taxonomy): domain Eukaryota; kingdom Metazoa; phylum Chordata; class Mammalia; order Primates; family Hominidae; genus Homo; species Homo sapiens. The sequence goes on from NC_000015.10 coordinate 76,701,563, forward strand.
TTCTATCTTTCTTGTTAAATTAATATATACACTAAAATAATGACACATTTGTACACTATATTGTAGTAGCTATTAAGTGCTAAATATAGTTTTAAATAATCATAGAAATAAATACAAACACGGAATTCTTTATAATAAAACAGCACATATTGGGTACTCAATAAACAATTGTAAATGAACAAAAATAAAGTTTACCACTTCTTCATCTGACAGTTCACGCCCCTGGATGCTGGTATTCTCTCTCACGGCTTGCTGGTGTTTTCTCCCTTTAACATGGCTAAAAAGATATACCTCTGAAGAGATCTGAAAGCACAAAATCAAAGCAATGTAATCAATATAACATTATATGAATTTTAAACACTACACATTCAGTCCAGTATATGATATGTGAGTTGAGATCCACCTAGTATTTACATATTAGTCTTAAAAATAGTTTCCTCAGAACATAATTCTGAGAATCCTCTAGAAGGCAAATGGTTAAAAAAAAAGACTTGGGAGGCTGAGGCAGGAATATCGCCGGAACCTGGGAGGCGGAGGTTGCAGTGAGCTGAGATCGTGCCACTGCACTCCAGCTTGGGTGACAAAGCGATACTCCATCTCAAAACAAAACAAAACAAAAAAAAGACATGTTACAGCCAGCCTAAGAGGAAATTATTTCCTCTAAGTTTGAAGGTTCAAGTCTCAGCAGTGAAAATGTTGCTTTTTTTTTAGATCTAATACCCCAAAAATACTGACTTGGGCTATCACATTAAGCAGGTAATCATCCATTTTAATAGTAACTATATTCTTGAGCACTTTTACTGCTATTCCAAAATGCTGATGTTATTTGTACCACTTTTCATTCAGAATCATGAAAGAAATCCAGGTCACTCAGCAGATGCCTTAGCATGAGTTTTATTTTTTGAAACAGAGTCTTGCTTTGTCACCCAGGATGGAGTGCAGTGGCATGATCTTGGCTCACTGCAACCTCCACCTCCTGGGTTCAAAGGATTCTCATGCCTCAGCCTCCCGAGTACCTGGGATTACAGACATGCACCACCATGCCCAGCTAATTTTTTGTATTTTTAGTAGAGACAGGGTTTCACCATGTTGGAAAGGCTGGTTTTGCACTCTTGGCCTGAAGTGATCCGCCCACCTCAGTCTCCTAAAGTGCTGAAATTACAGGTGTGAGCTGCCACATCTCGCCTGCCTTAGCGTGAGTTTTAAAAGACTGCAAGAATATATTTCCATGGTTTCATAAACTTTAGTAGTAAACTATATCATTACAATATTGATATAACAACCTACCAGGACATTGCAGAGAGAACACTGCTTCTTTCTTTCATAAGGGGTCAGTTTGGGGGCATAATCAGTATTTGCATGTCGCCCACTGCTTAGCTCAGCAGCTTTTTCTTTTCTTTGTTCAATCTGTTCCATGTGCCTTCGAATACTTTCATCATGCTGTAGATGAAGTCAAAGTGCAAGAATTTCAAAAATTATTCAAATTATGGTGAGAAATTGGAAAAATAATATTTCCATTAAAACTTCAAAAATAATAGAATGTCGTTTCTATGACAACTTACACACTGAAGACAAAGCTTTACACAAAGCCCTTTAATATCACCCACATGAACAGTAATGTTTATTAAAGTGTGCTCCAGGAGATATTAACAAGTGTTTTACAGAACAGGTTCCATGGTCAAATAAATTTGGAAAACAGCAAGCTAAAACTAAACAGGTTTTTAATGTAGAACTTTACAGAACCTCCAGTACGTCACTGTGATATATGACTCAATGCACCTAGCTTTTAGTAGGCATCAACTTACAAATTATTTGCCAATAACACATTTTTGAGAACCACTTCCTGGAACCCACCATGGGAAATGTTAACCTACGGGTAAAGCATATGCTTATCCATACAGCAGGCAAGGCCCATCATGACCAAACCTATAACCTACTCCATTTTTATACCTCCAGTGACAATCCTGGGGGAAAAAACGCTATTTCAGACCTTTGTCCTTATACTCATCTATTTGATATGGCTAGAATGGCATCGCACCTACCTATCCATTTTACTCATCCTCCTTTCAAGATCCAGCTCAGGAAGTGTTCTTTAAAATCACTTCCTGACCTCTGACACTCCTCATATTAGACTAAGTGTCCTCTTCTGTGCTTCCACAGCATTTCATGTATGCCTCTCTTTATGTGGAGGTTATGTACTTAGCATCTGAATTTAAAGTAAATGAAGAGTTTCTTAAAAATCAGAACCATGCCTTATCTCTGCATTCCCCTGCCTACCACAAGGCTCAATAAATACCTGCTACAATAAATTTAAACGCATGATAGATTTCTAGGACTATACAAATAGTAAAATACAGTCTTCTACCTTAGGGGTTTTACTATCTCTGTGAGGAGCCAGCATGTAAATAACTGTGATATAATATGAAACATTCATACTGTTAGAGACTGCCTATGGTTGTAGTAATGCTAAAAATTTTCTAGAAAGTATCAGTTTATCATAATCTCCCAAGCTATAATTATACAATTCATAAGCACTGAAATCAAGTGAAGCAAATTATAAGAAACATCTTTTACTTTACTTTTGAGTGATTAAAACCTATGAATATAAGAAGCCTACCTCTAATGCCTTCAAGTCATTAGTAAATTGCTTAGTAAAAACAGGAAATGTTAGATGAGTAGGTTGCGAGAATTTTCTCCCATTTTGTAGGTTGCCTGTTCACTCTGATGGTAGTTTCTTTTGCTGTGCAGAAGCTCTTTAGTTTAATTAGATCCCATATGTCAATTTTGGCTTTTGTGGCCATTGCTTTTGGTGTTTTAGACATGAAGTCCTTGCCCATGCCTATGTCCTGAATGGTAATGCCTAGGTTTTCTTCTAGGGTTTTTACCGTTTTAGGTCTAATGTTTAAGTCTTTAATCCATCTTGCATTAATTTTTGTATAAGGTGTAAGGAAGGGATCCAGTTTCAGCTTTCTACATATGTCTAGCCAGTTTTCCCAGCACCATTTATTAAATAGGGAAATCCTTTCCCCATTGCTTGTTTTTCTCAGGTTTGTCAAAGATCAGATAGTTTCGCAACCTGCTCATCTGACAAAGGGCTAATATCCAGAATCTACAATGAACTCAAACAAATTTACAAGAAAAAATCAAACAACCCCATCAAAGAGTGGGCGAAGGATATGAACAGACCCTTCTCAAAAGAAGACATTTATGCAGCCAAAAGACACATGAAAAAATGCTCATCATCACTCTCCATCAGAGAAATGCAAATCAAAACCACAATGAGATACCATCTCACACCAGTTAGAATGGCGATCATTAAAAAGTCAGGAAACAACAGGTGCTGGAGAGGATGTGGAGAAACAGGAACACTTTTACACTGTTGGTGGGACTGTAAACTAGTTTGACCATTGTGGAAGTCAGTGTGGCGATTCCTCAGGGATCTAGAACTAGAAATACCATTTGACCCAGCCATCCCATTACTGAGTATATACCCAAAGGACTATAAATCATGCCGCTATAAAGACACATGCACACATATGTTTATTGCGGCACTATTCACAATAGCAAAGACTTGGAACCAACCCAAATGTCCAACATTGATAGACTGGATTAAGAAAATGTGGCACATATATACCATGGAATGCTATGCAGCCATAAAAAAAATGATGAGTTCATGTCCTTTGTAGGGACATGGGTGAAATTGGAAATCATCATTCTCAGTAAACTATTGCAAGGACAAAAAACCAAACACCGCATGTTCTCACTCATAGATGGGAATTGAACAATGAGAACACATGGACACAGGAAGGGGAACATCACACTCTGGGGACTGTTTTGGGGTGGGGGGAGGGGAGAGGGATATCATTAGGAGATATACCTAATGCTAAATGACAAATTAATGGGTGCAGCACACCAGCATGGCACATGTATATATATGTAACTAACCTGCACATTGTGCACATGTACCCTAAAACTTAAAGTATAATTAAAAAAAAAAAGGACACAAGAAGATGGCTTTTAGGATGGTTAAAAAAAAACAATGTAAATACACTTAACATGACTGAACTGTGTAAGAAAAAATATTAAAGATTCTAAATTAAAAAGAAAAAAAACAGGAAATGTTAAACTTCCTTAAATTTTTTTTCCTCAATGGCCCTACCATATCAAAGTAAACTTAGTTTCCAGGTACTAAGTTAGAAATGATTGTAGCAAAATCATATAAGCTTTGTTGTGCAAAGATTAAGAATACAAATTAATTCAATTTTTTTCCTACAAAATTTTGATCTCATGCTCCACTGTAAGCTCTAAAATTTCAAATTAAAAATATATAATATCCTTACCTTGAGCTGAATTTTTTTCTGTAACTCTTCCATAGCTTCTTGTTGAGCAGCTGTGAGTGCTGCCAATCGTTCTTCCCTGTCTCTGTAAGAAGACAGTAAAAATTATAAACTCAACTGCTTAAAGTAACAAATCTCATGAGACTCAAAAATACAATTAGGACACATAGGGTCATATAGTCTAAAGGGCTACTTTTTTAAAATATTCTTCTTAAAGTGCCTACTAAGTCTCAGGTATATTGCTAATTAAATATTTGGGAAACAATAGAGATTATCAGTTATGAAATGGGTTTCTGGACCCAGGCATGGCTTTAAATATTAGCTCAAAGACTGTCATTTAAATATGGCATGTTGAAAACTATATTTATCTCTATTCCCTTCCAAAAACTCAATTAAACCATTAAAAGGAATAGAAAAGGCATAAACTCAAAAAGACAAAGTAGAAGAGGAAATAATCACAAAAAATGGACATCAATATTTCAAAAGCTGAGAAGCAATCCTGAGAAAGCTGAAATCTAAGCTTTCAGAAGGAAACTAATAAGCAAGGTGATTCTACTAGCAAAATTCCATAGAAGCTCAGAAATTGAAGAAACTATAAACTTATGAAGGAAGAGATAAAGGTTGAGGATAAAAATCAGCAGACTGGGAAGGCCTTAAAATACAGCAGATCTCCAAATCTTCCCATGCCGGCAGAAGGTGAAGAGATTACTCCCTAGAGGGTCTGAACAAAAAGACCTGCATTCAGGACAGAAGGCAAATTGGAGGTGAGATAATATACTGAAAACAGGAAGTTTAAGTGAAAATCTACATACAGAAATGGTGAGACAAGTAGCATCTTTCTACTTTTTAACTCACACAGCATGCATAGCCAGCTTTACATACCACTCCCCTCATGTATCCCAGAATTTAAAGTACAATAAATTAAAATAAATAAATAAATAAAAAGAAACAAACTGTTGATACACACATACACACACACACAAAGAAATGTATAAATATATTTTCTCTTTTATTCGCCTAGTTCTCTTAAACATATACAACTGTATAAAGAAATAATTATAAGACTATTGTTTCATTTATGACATATATATGTAAGATATGTGAAAACAGTAACACAAGGGGAAGAGGACATAGAACTTTGGTACAAAGTTGTTCCATTTTAACAAAATTAATTTAGTTTTATCCTGAAGTAGAATATAGTAAGTCGATGAATACTATAATCCAAAAAGCAACTATTAAAGTAACTAAAATAATTTTTTAAAAAACAATGAAAATAATACAACAAAAAGTGGTGGTTTAATAAGAACAAAAGGTAAAGGAGAACAAAAAAGACTTGAGACATAGAAAACAAATATCAAAATGGCGGACATAAATTCAGTCATACCAATAATTACATCAAATGAGAATCGACTAAACATTCCAATCAAAAGGCAGAAATGAGCAAACCAGATAGAAAAGCAAAACCCAACTATATACAGCCTACAAGAGACAGATCTGAGACACAAAAACACAAAAAGGATGAAAATATAAGAACAGAAGACATACCATGTGAATAGTAGATACGGCTATATTTACAACAGAGACAATTTGACATTAATACAAGAAATATTTTTTAAAAATTAAAGAGGAATATTTTATAATGAATCAATACCTCAGTAAGGCAAAACAATTATAAATTACATGAAACTAGCAGTACACCAAAATACATGAAGCCAAAATGTCAAAACTAAACAAGAAATACACAGTTCAACTTATATTTGGAGATTTTGATAATTTTGTCTCAAGAATTTACAGAACTACAGAGAAAATCAGCAGTATACAGAAGACCAGACAACAATATCAATTACCTTTACCTAACTGACATTTAGAGAACACTCCATCCAACAACAGCAGAATGCACATACTTTCGAAGAGCACAAAGAACATTCACTAGTAATGTCCACATCATAAATTATAGCTCAATAAATGTAAAAGCAATAAAATCATACAAAGTACATTCTTCAACCACAAACGACTGCATTATAGATCAACAATAGGAAGAAATTTGTGATATCCCCAAATATTTGGAAACTAAGTAACATGCTTCTAAATAGCCCATGAATCAAATAAGAACTATTACAAAATATAGTTGTCGCTCAGTATCCAAGGGGGATTGGTTCTAGGACACCCCCCCACCATACCAAAATCTGAGGATGTTCAAATCCCTTATAAAAAAATGGCATAGTATTTGCACAAAAGCTATGAACATTCTCCCATATATTTTAAATCATCCCTAGATTACTTATAATACCTAATACAATATGAATGTTATACAAGTAGTTGTTATACTGTACTTTTGGTATTTGTATTATTCTTATCACTGTTTTGGGGTTGTCTTCCCGAATATTTTTGACCCATGGTTGACTGAATCTGCAGATGTGGAACCTCTGGATAGAAAGAGCCAAATGTATTTTGAATGGAAATAAAAATACAGTATATCAAAATTGATGAGAGGTGCTTAAAGATATGCTAAGAAAAAAAGTATACCTTTAAATATTTATATTAGAAATGCAGGGAGGGTGGGGCAGGAAAAAAAAAGAAAAAACAAAAAAGAAAAAAGATTAAATACATACATAAATGTAAAAATAGTTTCAAATCAATCAACTAAGCTTCAACCTCATAAAGAAAAGAAGGCAAAGCTAATCAAACCCAAAGTAAGCAGAAGGAAATAAATGATAAACATCAAAGCAAAAGTCAATGAAGCAAAAACCAGAAACACAACATAGAAATGCAATGAAACCAAAGGTTAGTTCTTTGGAAAGAGCGACAAAATACATAAACCTTTAGCTAGACTAATAAGAAAGAAAATTGACATAAATTTCCAAAATTAAGAATGAAAAGAGGAGGCTGGGCACGATGACTCACACCTGTAATCCCAGCACTTTGGGAGGCCAAGGCAGGCAGATCACTTGAGGTCAGGAGTTCAAGACCAGCCTGGCCAACATGGTGGAACCCTGTCTCTACTAAAAATACAAAAATCAGCCAGGAGTGGTGACACATGCCTATCATCCCAGCTACTTGGCAGGCCAAGGCATGAGAATCTCTTGAACCTGGTAGGGGGAGATTATGGTGAGCTGAGAGCGCACCACTGCACTCCAGCCTGGGCAACAGAAAAGAAAAGAAAAAAGAGTGAAGGAGAGATATCACTATAAATCATGCTCAAAATACTTATAAAACAATTACAAACAACTTTATTTTATTTATTTATTTATGAGATGGAGTCTTGCTCTGTTGCCAGGCTGGAATGCAGTAGCGCAATCTCGACTCACTGCAACCTCCACCTCCAGGGTTCAAGCGATTCTCCTGCCTCAGCCTCCCAAGTAGCTGGGACTACAGGCACGTGCCACCATGCACGCCCAGCTAATTTTTGCATTTTTAGTAGAGATGGGGTTTCACCATGTTGGCCAGGATGGTCTCCATCTCTTGACCTCATGATCCACACGCCTTGGCCTCCCAAAGTGCTGGGATTACAGACATGAGCCACCGCACTCTGCCAAGAACTTTATAACAAGTAGATCACTTAAGACGAAAAAGACAAATTCCTAGGAAGACATTAATTATCAAAGCTGACTCCAGAAGATGTGAAAAATCTCAATAGACCAAAAACAAGGGGAAAAAAACTTAACTGGTAATTTGAAATATTCCCCCAAAGAAAAACCCAAGCCTGATGGCTTTACTGGTAAATTCCCCCAAACATTTAGAAAGAAATAATACCTATCTTATGCAAATGATTTCTCAAATAGAGCAGGAAACATTCTGTAAGGCCAGAATTGCCATAACACAAAAGCCAGACAAAAACATCACAAGAAAACTACAGATAAATACCCCTCATGAACATGCCCTTGGCAAGAAGCCACCAACAAATAAAAACTATTGTATATCATGACAAAGTGGGAATTAACCCAAGAATGCAAGGTTATCTTAATATCCAAAAATTAATGTAACATACCATATTAATAAAGAGTAAAACCCACAGTCATCTTAATGGACCCACAAAAAGATGGATTTCACCAAATTCAAAGTCCATTCATGTTAAAGGCTCTCAACAAACTAGAAACAGAAAGAAACTTCCTCAATCTATGAAGAGACTTTATCAAAAATCTACAGCAAGTATCACACATAGTAGTGAAAGATCGAACGCTTTCCCACTAAGATTGAGAACAAAACAAGGACACCCAACATCACAACTTCCATTGAACATTACATAGAAGGAGCAATCCAGTGCAAGAGGGCAAAAAGAAAACAAAGAAATTAAAGGCATCCACATTAGAAATAAAGAAGTAAAACAAACTTTATTCACAGATGCCATAAGCCTTTATGTATAAAAAGTACTAAAGAACCAAAATAATAATAATAAAAAACCTATCCAAACTAATACAGACAGTCCCCAACTTATAATCGTTCAACTTATGGCTTTTTGAGTTTATGATGAGTTTATAAGGACTTAACTCCATCATAAGTTGAGGAACATCTGTAAGAAAGTTTAACAAGGTCATTAAAAACAGAGTTGTAGAATGAAATAAATTAAAATCTACTGTATTTCTACATACTAGCAAGAAAAATCCAAAAATGAACCAAAGAAAACAATTCCATTTACAGCAGCTTTAAAGAGTACTTAGAAATAAATTTTAAAAAGAACTGCAAGACCTATACGCAAAAAACTACAAAACCTTGTTGTCAGAAATTAAAGGAGATCTAAACAGAGAGAAACATCATATTCATGGATTGTAATATAAAATATTGTAAAGATGTCAATCTCCCTAAACTGACCTATAGATTCAATGCACTTCCTATCAGAATCCTGCAGAAACTGATAAGCTGAACCTAAAATTTATATGGAAAGGCAACTTTGAAAAAGAACAAAGAAGTTGGAGTATTTATACTAATTTCAAAATATGCTATAAAACTACAGTAATTAAAACTGTAGTACTGTCACAAGAACAGACATATAGATATCAATATAACAGAATGGAGTCTAGAATATATCATTGCATCAATGATCAATTGATCTTTAACAGATGGTAAGGCAGTTCAGTGGGGAAAGGATAACCTTTTCAATAAACAATGTTATAACTAGATATCTATATGCAAACAAATAAATTTACAAAAGTTAAAAAGAATTACAGAACTAAATGCTAAGTGCTAACTGAAACATTTCTTGAAGTAAACACAGAAGAAACTTTTTGTGGTTTCTTTTTGTGTTAGGCAACAATTTCTTAGATATGAAAACCATTGTATATAAAATGAAAATTTGATATACTGGACATCATCAAAATTAAAAACTCACATTCTTCAAAGACACTATTTAAAATCTGAAAAGATAAGCCATAGATTGTAAGTCATACACTTCACAAAGAATGTATATCCAGAACATATAAAGAATTCTTACAACTCATTAACAAAATGACCCAAATGAAAAATGAGCACAAGCTTTGACATTTCACCAGAGAAGACATATGAACAGCTAATAAGCACACTGACAACATGTTCAACAGCACCAGTCATTAGAGAAATGAAAATTAAAATAATGAAATACGACCACACACCAACAAGAAAGAACTTGTATATTTAAAAAACTGATCCACCAAATGGTGTCAAGGGTTGTGAAGGAACTGAAACTCTCATGTGCTGCTGATGGCTATGTAAAATGAACAAACACTATGAAAAAATAGTTTTTAATGATTGCCATTCTAACTGGTGTGAGATGGTATCTCATTGTGGTTTTGATTTGCATTTCTTTGATGGCCAGTGATGATGAGCACTTTTTCATGTGGTTTTTGGCCGCATAAATGTCTTCTTTTGAGAAGTGTCTGTTCATATCCTCCCCCCATTTTTTGATGGGGTTGTTTGTTTTTTTCCTGTAAATTTGTTTGAGTTCATTGTAGATTCTGGATATTAGCCCTTTGTCAGATGAGTAGGTTGCAAAAATTTTCTCCCATTCTGTAGGTTGCCTGTTCACTCTGATGGCAGTTTCTTTTGCTGTGCAGAAGGTCTTTAGTTTAATTAGATCCCATTTGTCAATTTTGGCTTTTGTTGCCATTGCTTTTGGTGTTTTAGACATGAAGTCCTTGCCCATGCCTATGTCCTGAATGGTAATGCCTAGGTTTTCTTCTAGGGTTTTTATGGTTTTAGGTCTGATATTTAAGTCCTTAATCCATCTTGAATTAATTTTTGTATAAGGTGTAAGGAAGGGATCCAGTTTCAGCTTTCTACATATGGCTAGACAGTTTTCCCAGCACCTTTTATTAAATAGGGAATCCTTTCCCCATTGCTTCTTTTTCTCAGGTTTGTCAAAGATCAGGTAGTTGTAGATATGCGGCGTTATTTATGAGGGCTCTGTTCTGTTCCATTGATCTATATCTCTGTTGTGGTACCAGTACCATGCTGTTTTGGTTATCATAGCCTTGTAGTATAGTTTGAAGTCAGGTAGTGTGATGCCTCCAGCTTTGTTCTTTTGGCTTAGGATTGACTTGGCGATGCGGGCTCTTTTTTGGTTCCATATGAACTTTAAAGTAGTTTTTTCCAATTCTGTGAAGAAAGTCATCGGTAGCTTGATGGGGATGGCACTGAATCTATAAATTACCTTGGGCAGTATGGCCATTTTCACGATATTGATTCTTCCTACCCATGAGCATGGAATGTTCTTCCATTTGTTTGTATCCTCTTTTATTTCATTGAGCAGTGGTTTGCAGTTCTCCTTGAAGAGGTCCTTCACATCCCTTGTAAGTTGGATTCCTAGGTATTTTATTCTCTTTGAAGCAATTGTGAATGGGAGTTCACTCATGATTTTGCTCTCTGTTTGTCTGTTATTGGTGTATAAGAATGCTTGTGATTTTTGTACATTGATTTTGTATCCTGAGACTTTGCTGAAGTTGCTTATCAGCTTAAGGAGATTTTGGGCTGAGACGATGGGGTTTTCTAGATATACAATCATGTCATCTGCAAACAGGGACAATTTGATTTCCTCTTTTCCTAATTGAATGCCCTTTATTTCCTTCTCCAGTCTGACTGCCCTGGCCAGAACTTCCAACACTATGTTGAATAGGAGTGGTGAGAGAGGGCATCCCTGTCTTGTGCCAGTTTTCAAAGGGAATGCTTCCAGTTTTTGCCCATTCAGTATGATATTGGCTGTGGGTTTGTCATAGATAGCTCTTATTATTTTGAGATACGTACCATCAATACAGGAAACAACAGGTGCTGGAGAGGATGTGGAGAAATAGGAACACTTTTACACTGTTGGTGGGACTGTAAACTAGTTCAACCATTGTGGAAGTCAGTGTGGCGATTCCTCAGGCATCTAGAACTAGAAATACCATTTGACCCAGCCATCCCATTACTGAGTATATACCCAAAGGACTATAAATCATGCTGCTATAAAGACACATGCACACATATGTTTATTGCGGCACTATTCACAATAGCAAAGACTTGGAACCAACCCAAATGTCCAACATTGATAGACTGGACTAAGAAAATGTGGCACATATACACCATGGAATACTATGCAGCCATAAAAAATGATGAGTTCATGTCCTTTGTAGGGACATGGATGAAATTGGAAATCATCATTCTCAGCAAACTATCGCAAGGACAAAAAACCAAACACCGCATGTTCTTACTCATAGGTGGGAAATGAACAATGAGAACACATGGACACAGGAAGGGGAACATCACACTCTGGGGACTGTTGTGGGGTGGGGGGAGAGGGGAGGGATAGCATTAGGAGATATACCTAATGCTAAATGACGAGTTAGTGGGTGCAGCACACCAGCATGGCACATGTATACATATGTAACTAACCTGCACATTGTGCACATGTACCCTAAAACTTAAAGTATAATAATAATAAAATAAATTTTAAAAAAAGTAAAGAAAAAATAGTTTTAAGTTTCCTAAAAAGTTTGATATACATCTACTCTACAACCCAGCCATTCCTCTCCTAGTTATTTACTCAAGAGAAGCAAAAGTGAATGGCCACAAAAAGACTCATATGCAAACATCCATATCAGCTTTATCTGTAATAGCCAAAAAAACTGGAGATAATCCAAATGTCTCAAAGAGGTAAAAGGACTGTAATTTGCATGACATATACACAAATACTACTCAGCAATTTTTTTTTTAAAAGAGCAAGCCACAGATACACACAACATGGAGGAATCTCAAAAAAATAGTGCAGAGTAAAAGATGACAGACAAGAGAGAAAGTAAATCAGTGGCTGTGTTGGGCTGAGGATAGAGAAAAGAGAAATGGATTACCAAGCAGCATGAAATATTTGGGCGGGGTGGTGATGGATATATTATCTTGATTGTGCAGATAGTTTCACAATGGTTACATATGTGAAAACTCATCAAATTGTACACTTTAGTAAGTGCTCAGTTATACCACAATAAAGTTGTGAAAAAAAATTTAACTGTTAATTTCAATTTCAAGCAAGGTTGTGGAGCATCTGAATACAGAAACCATTACATTACTAAACAATTTGGTGGTATCTACTTAAGTTGAATATTTGCATGCCCTGGGCCCCAGCAATTCCATTCCTAGGCATATACTAGACTACAGTGTAAAAAATGTGATTACCATTCTAGTAGTAGTAGTGGTAGTAGTAGTAGTAGTAGTAGTAGTAGTAGCAGTAGTAGTAGTAGTGATTTGGAGGGACATAAAAGGGGCTTTTGGGGAGCTGATGATGTTCTCTTTCTTGGCCAGGTAGTCACATGGGTGAGATGACAATTCATCAAGATGTACACTTAGATTTGTGTATTTTTGTTTGTTATAATTCATAAAAAATGTTTACTGTTTTTAAAAATATATGGCTTACTCCTCAGGTTAAAAACCTTGAAAATTAGTTAACCACATCCAACAATAATTTATATCGGTAAATTGCGAAAATACATCAAATTGAAGTGGAGCTTATCCCAGAAATGCAAGCCTGATTTAACATTAGAAAAATCAATCAACTAATTACCACATTAACGGATTAAAGGAGAAATTTTATAGAATTATTTCCATATTAAAAAAAACACATAAAAAGCACTTGAAAAACTCAACATCCACCCAGCAGCATGACATCCCCCAGCTGAACTGCTGCTATACCCTACCACAAACGGCCAAGCTACTACAGAGGTGTTGAATTCTAGTTGTTAGCGCACCCTCCTCTTAAACTGAACAGAAGTGGCATCCCACTCATTGGAGACCTCAGGCCTCTGGCACACAGAAACAGTTGATACCTCCCCCAGACCACATACACCCCCGCCAATACTACTGGTGAGACAGCACCTCACACTTCCAGGAGCTCTGAGCCTCTGGCACACCAAAGTAATTGCACCCCCAGCACCACAGCTGATGCAGTACCCCCACCCCGGCCCAGGGATCCAAAGGCTCTACTGACCCAAGTAGCTATGCCTTCTGGGGCTGACCAGATATGGCAACTTGCCTTCCAGGGATTCAGAAGCTCGGCTGAGCTGTGAAACCCTGTGTTCTAGGCCAAAGAGACACAGTGCCCCATCTGCCTAGAACTGGACTAGTCCCCCTACATTTCAATCTGCTGAGGTACCCTACCTCTCCAAGGAGTGGTTATTGCTGCATTGTTCCCTACCCCACAGGGCCCAAGATACAGCTGTATCTTGCCATTCCTGGCTCCTTGTTGCCACTGGACCCAGCCTCATAGAGCCTGGGCTATTATACCAAGTCAGGGTCCCAAGTGACCACCACATGCTCCTCATCACCCACAGCCTGAGCTACCATGTTACCCAGTTGGTTCTGGATCCCAAATGGCAACTGTTCACTGCTCACCAGGGACTGAGTCTCCAGAGACCCCTTCTTCCCCAGAATCATGCCAGTGCCTCACCCTGCCCCCCAAGGTCAGAAGCATGCCTACATCCCAGCCCCCTGGGCCCAAGCTGCTAGGGTATGCCCCACAGAAACAAACACTGTGTAGTGGGAGAACTGAATCCACTCATGCCTTGGAAAGTGAACCTGTGCCTGAAGTCCCAGGTGCTACAGTAGTTTCACAAGACCCTAAGCCCAGAAACTTGGCTCCACAGCTGCTCTGAGCTCCTGTGCCCTAAAACCCAGTGCTGCTGTGGCTGCCTGTGAACAATGTCAGACCTGATACCAAAAGAGATCCCCTCAATGAAGATTCCCTACTTTGGGGAAGACAAGAACAGGAAGACCCCTACAACCTTTGCCCTAATAACCTCAGCAGCCAACATCACTGACACAGACTCCTACAGCCCAGACCACTAAGGCACTCACAGTCTTCACTGACACTGATCACAACTAAGAAGCTGCATGATAACTACACCATTGCACCCACACAGAAGCAGAGCCACTGTGTCCTACACCCAAGCGGTACCCTCAGGCCCATCTTCAAGTGAAAGTCATCCCCTTCCCACTCTGTAAAGTTGGAAAGATATGACTGCACTATCAGATGTACAAACATCATGGCAGGGTCACAAGAAACATGAAAAAGCAAGGAAATATGAAACCACTAAAAGGAACACAATAACTCTCCAGTAACTGACCCCAAAGAAACAGAAATCTACAAATTTTCTAAAAAGGAATTCAAAATAATGAACAAAGGAAACTCAGTGAAACATAAGAGAATAAAAACAGACCATTCAATGAAATTAGAAAAATAAATCATGATCTGAATGAGAAATTCAATAAAGGAGATATCATTTAAAAAATCTCAATAAAAATCTTAAGAGCTGAAGAATTCAATGAAATAAAAAATACCACAGAGGGTTCAACAGCAGACTAGATCAAGCAGAAGAAAGAACCTTGAAGGTTTCTGAAATGACTCAGAAGAGAAGAAAAAGAAAAAAGAATGAAGAGAGCCTATGGGACACCACTAAGCAAACAAATATTCACATTGTAGGAATCCCAAAGGGGGAAGAAACAGAAAAGGTTTATATAAATAAAATAATTGGTAAAAACTTCCTAAATCTTGGGACTTAGGAAGAGAGAGAGATCTACATACAAGTCAATGAAGCTCAAAGATCTCAGATAAACTTTAGAAGGTTCTCTCCAAGGTACACTATAATCAAACTGGCAAAAGTGAAAAGACAATGAAATAGTTTTAAAAACAGCAAGAGAAAACTGTCTAGTCACATATAAGGGGATGTCCATCAGAGTATCATTGGACTTTTCTGCAGAAACCTTACAAGCCTGGAGAATGGGATGACATATTCAAAATGATGAAAGGGAAAAAAAAAAAAAAAAAACCTGCCGGCTAAGAATACTATACCAAGGAAAACTATCCTTCAGAAATGAAGGAGAAATAAAGTCTTCCCCAGACAAATAAAAGTTGAAGGAATTCACTGACACTAGACCTGTGTTACATGAAATGCTTCTTCGAGGAGAAAGAAAATTATAATAATTACCACCATGGATACACATAAAGTATAAGACTCACTGGTAGAGATAAATACTTAGTCAAATCAGAATACTTCGAAACTGTAAGTGTGGTATGTAAACCACACGTATCTCTATTATGAAGGCTAAAGTCAAAATAGTCAAAAACAACAAAAGTTACAATAAGTTTTTAAGGAATACATAATATAAAAAGATGAATATTTTGACATCAAAAACGTAACTTGTGGGATGGACAGTAAAAGTCTAGTTTTTGTATGTGCCAGAAATTGTTATCAACTTAAAACAGCTGATAACAACTTAACAGTTGTTAAGTGTAACAGTATAAGATGTTTGGATAAGCTCATAGTAACCACAAAACAAAAAACTATAGCAAATATACAAATAATAAAGAGATCATTATTTAATGATAAAGGGGTCAGTTCATCAATGGGATGTAACAATTGTAAATATATATGCACCTAACATTGGAGCACTAAAACTATAAAGCAAATATTAATGGACATGAAGGGAGAAATAGATAGCAATATAATAATATAAGGGACTTCAATACCCCACTGTCAACAATAGATAAACTAGAGAGAAAATAAATACTAGACTTAATTGTACTTTGACCAAATGGACCTAATATACATAGGCAGAACATCCCATCAAAAGCAATACATTTTTTTCTAGTCCACATGGATCATTATCCAGGATAGGCCATATGTTAAACCACAAAACAAGTCGTCTTAACAAATTTAAGAAGATTCAAATTGTACCTATTGTTGTTTCAGATCACTATGATATAAAACTAGAAATCAATAAAATGAATCCTGAAAATTTCATAAATAAATGGCAATTAAATAACATGCTCCAAAATAAGTCATGAGTTAAAGAAGAAATCAAAAAGGAAATTAAAAAATATCTTGGGACAAACAACAATAGAAACGCAACACAGCAAAATCTATGGGTTGCAGCAAAAGCAGTTGTAAGAGGGAAGTTTATAGTTTCTGCATAGCAAAGAAAAAAATCAATAAAACATCAGCCTAAGGAATGGGGCAAAATATTTAGTCCATATATCTAATAGAGAGTTAATATCCAAAATATAAAGAACTAGGCTAGCCACGGTGGCTCATGCCTGTAATCCCAGCACTTTGGGAGGCAAAAGCGGGCGGATCACTTGAGGTCAGGAGTTCGAAAATCAGCCACGCATGGTGGCACACACCTATAATCCCAGCTACTCGGGTGGCTGAAGCACAAGAATCACTTGAACCTGGGAAGTGGAGGCTGCAGTGAGCCAAAATCATGCCACTTCACTCCAGCCTGGACAAGAGAACAAGATTCTGTCTCAAAAAGGAAAAAAAAAACAAAAACAAAAAACAAGAAAAATATATATATTTAAAAAAACCTCATACAACTCAATAGTAGAAAAACAAACTGATTTTAAAATGGGTAAAGAATCGCCATAGACATTTCTCCAAAGAAGTCATAGTCAGTAGATATATGGAAAGGTGATGTACACCATTAATCATCAGAGAAATGAACATTAAAACCATTATGAAATACTAACTCACACCCATTAGATGACTATTATCAAAAGGTCAAAAAACAAATGTTGGTGAGGGTATGGAGAAAAGGGAACTCTTTTACACTGTTGTTGAGAGTGTGGCTTGGTACAGCCATCTGGAAAACAGGATGGAGGTTTCTAAAGAAATTTAAAATAGAACTACCATAGGACCCAGCTGATCCCTCTTCTGGCAATATACCCAAAGGAAATGGAATCACCACCTCATAAAGATATTTGCACTTCCATGTTTCCTATGGCATTATTCATAATAGCCAAGATATGAAAGGAAACTAAGTGTCCATCAAAGAAACAATGATAAAGAAACTGTAGTATACATACCATTTAGCCCTAAAAGGAACAAGACATTGTCATTTGCCACAATATGGATGAGCCTAGAGAACAATATCCTAAGTAAAATGAGCCACACATGGAAAGAAAAATATTGCATGATCTCACTTATATGTGAAATCTTAAAAAAAATTCAATTATACAGAGATAGAAAACAAGGTATTAGTTATCACGGGTGTGCATAAGAGGGAGAGGGCAGAAAAGAGGAGACGTAGATCAGAGGATACAAAACTGCAGATATGTAAGATGAACAAGTCTAGAGATCTAATGTACAACAGGAGGGCTATAGGTAATAAAATTGTACAGTACTGGGATTTGTGATAAATGAGATTTTAGTTGCCCTTGCCACTAAAACAAATAAAATGGGTAACTATGTGAGAAGATAGATATGTTAGTTCGCTTCACTATAGTAAACCTTTTACTATCTATATGTACACTACAACATTATGATGTATACCTTAAATAAACAACAAATAAAAACTATTTTTTAAAAAACCTAAGGCAGATATCTTTAATAGTTAATTGTGGAACCCATTCCTTATAAATAAGATGCCCACTAACGAAACAAAAGGCATAAAGATGAGGAAAAAAATCCCAACTATATATTGGTAGATTATATGTTTATTTACGTAGAAAACGCTAAAAAAAATCTAAGATTAATTATTAGAATGCTTAACAGAATTTATTGTGGTTGCTGAAACAAAATAAATGGTATTTCTTTTTTTTTTTAATTATTATTACACTTTAAGTTTTAGGGTACATGTGCACAACGTGCAGGTTTGTTACATATGTATACATGTGCCATGTTGGTGTGCTGCACCCATTAACTCATCATTTAGCATTAGGTATATCTCCTAATGCTATACTTCCCCCCTCCCCCCACCCCACAACAGTCCCCAGTGTGTGATGTTCCCCTTCCTGTGTCCATGCGTTCTCATTATTCAATTCCCACCTATGAGTGAGAACATGTGGTGTTCGGTTTTTTGTCCTTGCGATAGTTTGCTGAGAATGATGGTTTACAGCTTCATTCTGTCCCTACAAAGGACATGAACTCATCATTTTTTATGGCTGCATAGTATTCCATGGTGTATATGTGCCACATTTTCTTAATCCAGTCTATCATTGTTGGACATTTGGGTTGGTTCCAAGTCTTTGCTATTGTGGATAGTGCCACAATAAACATACATGTGAATGTGTCTTTATAGCAGCATGATTTATAATCCTTTGGGTATATACCCAGTAATGGGACGACTGGGTCAAATGGTATTTCTAGTTCTAGATCCCTGAGGAATCACCACACTGACTTCCACAATGGTTGAACTAGTTTACAGTCCCACCAACAGTGTAAAAGTGTTCCTATTTCTCCACATCCTCTCCAGCACCTGCTGTTTCCTGACTTTTTAATGATCGCCATTCTAACTGGTGTGAGATGGTATCTCATTGTGGTTTTGATTTGCATTTCTCTGATGGAGAGTGATGATGAGCACTTTTTCATGTGGTTCTTGGCTGCATAAATGTCTTCTTTTGAGAAGTGTCTGTTCATATCCTTTGCCCACTTTTTGATGGGGTTGTTTTTTTCCTGTAAATTTGTTTGAGTTCATTGTAGATTCTGGATATTAGCCCTTTGTCAGATGAGTAGGTTGCAAAAATTTTCTCCCATTCTGTAGGTTGCCTGTTCACTCTGATGGTGGTTTCTTTTGCTGTGCAGAAGGTCTTTAGTTTAATTAGATCCCATTTGTCAATTTTGGCTTTTGTTGCCATTGCTTTTGGTGTTTTAGACATGAAGTCCTTGCCCATGCCTATGTCCTGAATGGTAATGCCTAGGTTTTCTTCTAGGGTTTTTATGGTTTTAGGTCTAACCTTTAAGTCTTTAATCCATCTTGAATTAATTTTTGTATAAGGTGTAAGGAAGGGATCCAGTTTCAGCTTTCTACATATGGCTAGCCAGTTTGCCCAGCACCTTTTATTAAATAGGGAATCCTTTCCCCATTGCTTCTTTTTCTCAGGTTTGTCAAAGATCAGGTAGTTGTAGATATGCGGCATTATTTCTGAGGGCTCTGTTCTGTTCCATTGGTCTATAACTCTGTTTTGGTACCAGTACCATGCTGTTTTGGTTACTGTAGCCTTGTAGTATAGTTTGAAGTCAGGTAGTGTGATGCCTCCAGCTTTGTTCTTTTGGCTTAGGATTGACTTGGCGATGCGGGCTCTTTTTTGGTTCCATATGAACTTTAAAGTAGTTTTTTCCAATTCTGTGAAGAAAGTCATTGGCAGCTTGATGGGGATGGCATTGAATCTATAAATTACCTTGGGCAGTATGGCCATTTTCACGATATTGATTCTTCCTACCCATGAGCATGGAATGTTCTTCCATTTGTTTGTGTCCTCTTTTATTTCATTGAGCAGTGGTTTGTAGTTCTCCTTGAAGAGGTCCTTCACGTCCCTTGTAAGGTGGATTCCTAGGTATTTTATTCTCTTTGAAGCAATTGTGAATGGGAGTTCACTCATGATTTGGCTCTCTGTTTGTCTGTTATTGGTGTATAAGAATGCTTGTGATTTTTGTACACTGATTTTGTATCCTGAGACTTTGCTGAAGTTGCTTATCAGCTTAAGGAGATTTTGGGCTGAGACGATGGGGTTTTCTAGATATACAATCATGTCATCGGCAAACAGGGACAATTTGACTTCCCCTTTTCCTAATTGAATGCCCTTTATTTCCTTCTCCTGTCTGACTGCCCTGGCCAGAACTTCCAACACTATGTTGAATAGGAGTGGTGAGAGAGGGCATCCCTGTCTTGTGCCAGTTTTCAAAGGGAATGCTTCCGGTTTTTGTCCATTCACTATGATTTTGGCTGTGGGTTTTCAATAGATAGCTCTTATTATTTTGAGATTTGTCCCATCAATACCTAATTTATTGAGAATTTTTAGCATGAAGGGTTGTTGAATTTTGTCAAAGGCCTTTTCTGCATCTATTGAGATAATCATGTGGTTTTTGTCTTTGGTTCTGTTTATATGCTGGATTACGTTTATTGATTTGCGTATGTTGAACCAGCCTTGCATCCCAGGGATGAAGCCCACTTGATCATGGTGGATAAGCTTTTCGATGTGTTGCTGGATTCGGTTTGCCAGTATTTTATTGAGGATTTTTGCATCAATGTTCATCAAGGATATTGGTCTAAAATTCTCTTTTTTGGTTGTGTCTCTCCTAGGCTTTGGTATCAGGATGATGCTGGCCTCATAAAATGAGTTAGAGAGGATTCCCTCTTTTTCTATTGATTGCAATAGTTTCAGAAGGAATGGTACCAGCTCCTCCTTGTACCTCTGGTAGAATTCGGCTGTGAATCCGTCTGGTCCTGGACTTTCTTTGGTTGGTAAGCTATTAATTATTGCCTCAATTTCAGAGCCTGTTATTGGTCTATTCAGAGATTCAACTTCTTCCTGGTTAAGTCTTGGGAGGGTGTATGTGTCAAGGAATTTATCCATTTCTTCTAGATTTTCTAGTTTATTTGCATAGAGGTGTTTATAGTATTCTCTGATGGTAGTTTGTATTTCTGTGGGATCGGTGGTGATATCTCCTTTGTCATTTTTTATTATGCCTATTTGATTCTTCTCTCTTTTCTTCTTTATTAGTCTTGCTAGCAGTCTATCGATTTTGCTGATCTTTTAAAAAAACAGGCTCCTGGATTCATTGATTTTTTGAAGGGTTTTTTTGTGTCTCTATTTCCTTCAGTTCTGCTCTGATCTTAGTTATTTCTTGCCTTCTGCTAGCTTTTGAATGTGTTTGCTCTTGCTTCTCTGGTTCTTTTAATTGTGATGTTAGGGTGTCAATTTTAGATCTTTCCTGCTTTCTCTTGTGGGTATTTAGGGCTATAAATTTCCCTCTACACACTGCTTTGAATGTGTCCCAGAGATTTTGGTATGTTGTGTCTTTGTTCTCGTTGGTTTCAAAGAACATCTTTATTTCTGCCTTCATTTCATTATTTACCCAGTAGTCATTCAGGAGCCGGTTGTTCAGTTTCCATGAAGTTTAGCAGTTTTGAGTGAGTTTCTTAATCCTGAGTTCTAGTTTGATTGCACTGTGGTCTGAGAGACAGTTTGTTATAATTTCTCTTCTTTTACATTTGCTGAGGAGTGTTTTACTTCCAACTATGTGGTCAATTTTGGAATAGGTGTGGTGTGGTGTGCTGAAAAGAATGTATATTGTGTTGATTTGGGGTGGAGAGTTCTGTAGATGTCTATTAGGTCTGCTTGGTGCAGAGCTGAGTTCAATTCCTGGATATCCTTGTTAACTTTCTGTCTCATTGATCTGTCTAATGTTGACAGTGGGGTGTTAAAGTCTCCCATTATTATTGTGTGGAAGTCTAAGTCTCTTTGTAGGTCTCTAAGGACTTGCTTTATGAATCTGGGTGCTCCTGTATTGGGTGCATGTATATTTAGGATAGTTAGTTCTTGTTGAATTGATCCCTTTACCATTATGTAATGGCCTTGTCTCTTTTGATCTTTGTTGGTTTAAAGTCTGTTTTATCAGAGACTAGGATTGCAACCCCTGCCTTTTATTGTTTTCCATTTGCCTGGTAGATCTTCCTTCATCCCTTTTTTGTGAGCCTATGTGTGCCTCTGCACATGAGATGGGGTTCCTGAATACAGCACACTGATGGGTCTTGACTCTATCCAATTTGCCAGTCTGTGACTTTTAATTGGAGCATTTAGCCCATTTACATTTAAGGTTAGTATTGTTACGTGTGAATTTGATCCTGTCATTATAATGTTAGCTGGTTATTTTGCTCATTAGTTGATGCAGTTTCTTCCTAGCCTTGATGGTCTTTACAATTTGACATGTTTTTGCAGTGGGTGGTACCGGTTGTTCCTTTCCATGTTTAGTGCTTCCTTCAGGAGCTCTTTTAGGGCAGGCCTGGTAGTGACAAAATCTCTCAGTCTTTGCTTGTTTGTAAAGCAAAGACTTATTTCTCCTTCACTTATGAAGCTTAGTTTGGCTGGATATGAAATACTGGGTTGAAAATTCTTTTCTTTAAGAATGTTGAATATTGGCCCCCATTCTCTTCTGGCTTATAGAGTTTCTGCCGAGAGATCAGCTGTTAGTCTGATGGGCTTCCCTTTGTGGCTAACCCAACCTTTCTCTCTGGCTGCCCTTAACATTTTTTCCTTCATTTCAACTTCGGTGAATCTGACAATTATGTGTCTTGGAGTTGCTCTTCTCAAGGAGTATCTTTGTGGCATTCTCTGTATTTCCTGAATTTGAATGTTGGCCTGCCTTGCTGGATTGGGGAAGTTCTGCTGGATAATATCCTGCAGAGTGTTTTCCAACTTGCTTCCATTCTCCCTGTCACTTTCAGGTACACCAATGAGACGTAGATTTGGTCTTTTCACATAGTCCCATATTTCTTGGAGGCTTTGTGTGTTTCTTTTTATTCTTTTTTCTCTAAACTTCTCTTCACGCTTCATTTCATTCATTTCGTCTTCCATCACTGATACCCTTTCTTCCCGTTGATCACATTAGTTACTGAGTCTTGTGCATTTGTCACGTAGTTCTCGTGCCATGGTTTTCAGCTCTATCAGGTCCTTTAAGGACTTCTCTGCATTGGTTATTCTAGTTATCCATTCGTCTAATTTTTTTTCAAAGTTTTTAACTTCTTTGCCATTGGTTCGAACTTCCTCCTTTAGCTCAGAGTAGTCCGCTGTTCTGAAGCCTTCTTCTCTCAACGCGTCAAAGTCATTCTCCGTCCAGCTTTGTTCTGTTGCTGGTGAGGAGCTGCATTCCTCAGTTGGAAATGCAGAAATCACCCATCTTCTGCGTTGCTCACACTGGGAGCTGTAGACTGGAGCTGTTCCTATTCGGTCATCTTCTCTCCACCCCCCAATAAATGGTATTTCTAAACACCAGCAACATACAAATTTTAAAAGCACTTAAGAGATTCTATTTATAATTGTATAACAGGATAAAATAGTAACTAAAAAATATCATAAAATGTGTACAAAAAATAAAATACTTAGGAATAAACATAACAAGATGAGAAAAACAGATGCAATGAAAACTACAAAACATTGTTGAAAGGAACTGAAGACACAAATAAATGGAAAGACATCATGTTTTCATGGACTGAAAAACTCAACACTGTTAAATTAAGATGGCCATATTGGCTGCCTCATCCTTTACAAGCAGCCCACCCTGAATTCTCTCTCTTAGTGTATACATTAAAAAAAAAAAGCCATACTTCCCAAAACAATCTATAGATTGAATGCAATCCCTATCAAAATCCCAATGACTTCTTTTTTACAAAAATTAAAAAATGCACATGAATCTCAAAGGATCCTCAAGCCAAAACAATCTTGAAAAGAACAAAGAGGCTCACATATCCTGATTTCAAAACTTACTACAAAACTACAGTAATCAAAACAGTATGGACTACCATAAAAACAGACATGTATATAGTCCAATGAAACAGAACAGTGAGCCAAGAAATACAGCCATTGTATGTAAGTCAAATAATTTCAACAAAGATGACAAAACCATTCAATAGAGAAAGGACAGTCTTTTCAACAAGAAGTGATGGGAAAACTGAGTATGTGCAAAAGAATGAAGTTGAACCCTTACCTTATACGATATACAAAAATTAACTAAAACTATCCAAGATCTAAACATAAGACCTAAAAGTATAAAAATGTTACAAGAAAATCCAGGGAGAAAACTTCACAACATTGGATTTGGCTATGATTTATTGAATATGACAAAAAAAAAGTAAAGGCAACAAAAACAACAACAACAAAAATAGAGAAATTGAACTATGTCCAAATTTAAAACTTTTGTTCTTCAATAGACAATATCAACAAAATGAAAAGTCAACCTACAGAATGGGAGAAAATATCAGTAAATTCTATCTTTGATAAAGGGTTAATGTCTAGAATATATATATATATATATATATATATATATAAAAAACTCTATAACCCAACAAGAAAATAACCAGATTAAAAAATAGGCAAAGGACCTAAGTGGTAACCTGTCCCCAAAAATATAAAGAAATGGCCAATAAGCACATGAAAAGATGCTTAAGGTCACTAATCACTAGGGAAATGCAAATCAAAACCAGAATGAGATGCCACTTCACACTCTTCAATAAGGCTATTTTTAGAAAAACAAAATAACAAGCATTGGTGAGGATGTGGAACCCTTGTGCAATGCTGCTGAGAACATAAAAATGGTACAGCTGCTATGAAAAACAGTAGGGTTCTCTTCAAAAAAAAACCAATAAAATTAGTATATGATCCAACCACTTCACTCTTGGAATTAAAAAGCAGAGACTAAAACATACATTTGTAACACCCGTGTTTATAGCAGCATTATTCACAATAGTCAAAAGGTAGAAGCAACTCAAGTTGCTTCAACAAAGAAATGAATAAATAAAATGTGGTATTATACATACAATGAAATACTATTCAGTCTTAAAAAGGAAGAAAATCCTGACACATGCTACAACATGGATGAAACTTGAAGACATTAGGATAAGTCACAAAAGGACAAATACCGTATGATTCCACTTATATAAGATCCCTAAAGCAGTCACATTCATAGAAACAGAAAGTAGCATGACGATTGTCAGAGGCAAGTGGGGGTATGGAATGGAGAGAATAGGGAGTTACTACTTAGTAGATAGAACACTTCAGTCTCGGAAACTGAAAAAATTTCTGGGTACAGATGGTGGTGATAGTTTCATAAAAATATCAATGTACTCAAGGCCACTGGACTGTAAACTTAAAAATGATTAAAATGATAAATTTCATGCTATTTATATTTTTTGCCACAATAGAAAAGCATACAAAAATCCTTTATAGAAAAAAAAATTTCTACTTGGCTTGAACATGTAAGTTTGATGAAAGGATATAAAGATGTTCTGAAAGACCTAAATCAGTAGAAAAACATTTAGTAGCATGCTCATAAATTAAAATATTCAACATAAAAATATCAATCTTAACACCTGAATTTATAGATTCAATGCAATTCCAATCAAAATTTTATAGTTTATTTTTAAATATAGAACTGAGCAAGCTGATTCTAAAACTAACACAGACATGAAATAGGGCCAGGACAGTCCTAATAAAAAATAAGGTGAAGGATAGTTCCAGACACCAACAATTATTATAAAGCTTTGATAACTAAGGCAGATGACAAACAAATTCATCACTGGACCAGAACACAACAGTCCACGAGCAGACCCACACATATATAAAAACTTGGCTTATGTTAGAAAGCCTTGCAGATCAGTAGGGAAAAAATGCATTTTTCAATAAAGTATGCTAGAATAATTGGGTATCCACATGGAGAAAATGAAGTAAGACTCCTACCTCTAAATACACAATAAAACCAATTGCAGATAGATAAAGACTATAAAAGATAAAACTATAAAATTTTGAAGAATGTCTTATGACTTAGGATAGAAAAAGATTTCATAAATAAGACCAAAAGGCATAAATTATAGTTTGTTCAGTTCTACTAAACTGCAACCAAGAGTTATGCTAATCAAAAAACATCATAAAGAAAGAAAAAAGGTAAGACACAACCTATAGGTATATTTGCAATATATGTAACTAACAAAGACTTAGTATCTAGTAAAGATAATCCCTAAACATCAATAAGAAAAAAAAGACCCCAATACAGGAATGAACAAAAATTTGAATAGGCACTTTGCATAAAAAAACCCTGAACAGCTCATAAACATGTGAAAAA
This sequence comes from Homo sapiens, assembly GCF_000001405.40. NCBI lineage: Eukaryota > Metazoa > Chordata > Mammalia > Primates > Hominidae > Homo > Homo sapiens. The sequence continues at coordinate 76,727,946 of NC_000015.10, forward strand.
GTTGTTCAGCCTTATTATTAATCAGGGACAAGTAGAAAAGCAAATTAAAACCACAAAGAGCTATCTTTTCACATCTACCAACTTCGCTATAATTCAGAAGTCACAAAATATCACGTCAGTAAGGTCACACCAATAAAAGGGACTTAGGCTTGGCCAATTATATGTTTTTTCCTGTGTCTTTAAATCTTAAACAAGTGATTAAAACTAAGGGATAATTGAAGGTCATACATCATAATCAGAGTGGCAACATGCTGACCAGACTATTTCCATCAAAAAAAAAAAAAAAAAAATCCACTGCTGTGACTCTTGTGATCTAGACTTTCATGTCTGACAGAACATTTCCAAACTTGGTCCTCTAACCTTTTACTAATTATGCCCTCAGTATCTTCCCCAAAAGTCTCTTTTGCTGAAGCCATCCAGAATCAAATTATATATTTTTTGATTTGAGTGTGGTGGTACACACCTGTAGTCCAAGCTACTCAGGAGGGTGAGGTGGGAGGATCACTTGAGTCAGAGAGTTCAAGATCAACCTGGGGAACATCGCAAAACCTCATCTCAAAAAAACTCTACATGACAGTAAATGGCTTTAAGACCTCAACTTGAATATTCACTCAGTGCAAAATGTTCATCAAGATAGCAAATGAGATACCTAGCTCTTTCCCGGGCTGCATCCTCACGGGCTTTTTCCTTTTCTTGCCTCTGTTGTTCAATTCGGGCTTCTTGTTCTTTCCTCTTCATTAACAATTCTTCTACACGGGCCTGCCGCTCTGCCTCTAGAGCTCTCTTGCGTTCCTAATGTTAGAAATATTTGTTTCCAATATTAGAATTATGTGTAAAATAAAAATGATTCAAAGTAATATACCTTTCACCAAACTTACATGTTCAAGCCAAGTAGAAACATGGGCTTGCCACTAGGTACTCTGCTTCTTAAAGTTTAAACAAAAATCAAATAGCAATGATATCTGGTTTCTGAAAGTCATTTACCAGTGTTACACATAATTCAGTAAAGACTTGCTTTTTTATACAAACACTGTGTTATACTTGTTTTGTGGGAACTTGTGATGGTTAATCAGCTGCCAGCGAGGCTAGAATATAAAGCAGGCAGAAAAATATGAAAAGAGAGACTGGCCTAGCCTACCAGCCTACATCCTTCAGCCGTGCTGGATGCTTCCTGCCCTCAAACATCAGACTCCAAGTTCTTCAGTTTTGGAACTCGGACTGGCTCTCCTTACTCCTCAGCTTGTAGACACTCTGTTGTGGGACCTTGTGATTGTGTGAGTTAATACTTAATAAACTCATATATATATATGTTTTATATATATATACACACACACACATATATATACACATACACACACACACACACACACACACACACACATATACATATATATCCTATTAGTTCTGTACCTCTAGAGAACTCTGACTAATACAGAACTTAATATATGTTTTCTGATTAATCACTTCTAAAGCCTTGTGTTAATATATGGTTATAGAAACACCTGAATATGATGAAAAAACCATAGTTAATAGATTTTATTTCTGAACTAAGCTTTCATGATGGAATTAAGTAAAGACAGTTTGTGAGAAGGAGAAAGAGGTAATACAATAGAGCACAGTGGGTGTAAGAGTGGATATCGGGTCAGATTCCCTGGTTTTGTTTCCTGACCCCATTATTCACTAGCACAGTGGCTCTGGGCTACTTAGTTACATTCTCTGTGCCTTACTTTTCTAGAAGATAAATAATAATATGTATTTCTTAGGATATTATAAAGCACAGATGAGCTAATATATGAAAAGCACTTACCATAGGGCCTGGCATATATAAAATTCTAAATAATTATCATCATCATCATCATCAAGCCAGAAGATAAATCATGAAAACTGGGTAACTTCAACATGAAATATTTGTCACTAACATGTTCCTCATCTTATTGATATGTTTCTCTGAATCCATACCCATTCCCCAGATAGCACTCACAACCTCTCGGTAGCCTCTCCTCTATAATTAATGGAATACATTGATCTAGGCTCTAGTACCTACTACTTACATAACCTTGGGCAAAGTACTTCACCTTAAAGAGCCTCAGTTGATTGTGAGATGTAAATTATTAATTACAGGTAAGTTCTCAGCATAGAGTTTAGCCATAGTAAGGGCTCAGTAAAAGATAGCAGAAAAAAAATAACAAAGCAATTTCTGTTCAGGGAACACAAAAGAGAGATTTGAACATTTCTAATAGTTAACTGAGCGCACAATAGTAACTTCATCTCCACAACAAGCTCTATCTGCCCCAGGGAAAGAAAGCCTTTTAAAAATAGCCAAAAGGATCTCTATTTCTTTCTTTTTTTTTTGAGGGGGTAGGTGGTATAAGAAGAGGGTAAACTGGGAATTGGAGGGAATGCCCTTATTTGAGGAGGACATAACAGGCACACTGCAGACTGTTGGAGTCATGCAATTAGATTTTAAAATATATCCTTTACTGTCTGAGCATACTATTCATGAAATAGTTGTAGCTATTTCTCATGACTAATCAAGAATAATATGTGGAAACTTGGTTAGCCAAAAAAAATCAAAAACTCTTAAGAGTAAAAACAATCAAATCTGGCACAGAAAATTTTCTCCATTAAAAAAAAAGTGAATAAAAAAATTCCTCTTATAGTCCAATTTTTCTGAAGTTTAAAAATTCCATATTATATCTGAAAACACATGTTTCACAACAAAATACAAAGAGCTTAGGCATTAAATATAAATAATTAAAGCAGAATTTTTCATTTCATATTTTATTAATATAAGACCAAAGGCTTGAGGAATGTAATTTTTTAAATCCTAAACTGATCTTATAAAATATGTATTATGTAAAAATAATTACTGCAGGTATGTGCAATGTAGCCAAGTGTACACTTGTAAACATAATGTCAACTTGCTGACTGTTTTAATGGATATCAGACCAACTCCAACATTGTATGAAAAGAGATAACTGGACGTAAAAAGTTACTCAACCTATTAATTTCCATTTTTAATAACTTGAAAAGAGAACTGGTAGCCATACAGCTAATGAGTAAAATTCAGCTACCATTTCCCAATCTGAAATTTAAATTCCCGAAAGACAGGAAACTTTGTACCTCATAAAGCACCCTGCAAAGGGTAGGGATTTCTAAATATCTGTTTAATAAATGAAGCATGACTTTATAAAATAATATACACTATGAATCTATATAGCCACAAGGAAAGAATTAAAACTTACAGCAAAGGAATTAGAAATATAACTAATTCTTAAGCCTACAGAAGAACCTCTCAGACCCCTTCATATCTCAGCCAGGGAGGTGTTTAAGGCAGCCTAAGAAAGGATTCTGTAGCTCCTCTTTATGCCTACAATTCAAATGATTAGGACAAAAGGACAAAGCAGGATAAGTAAAAAAGAAAAAATTGAGCTTATAATTAATCAATAAAGAATATACATACCAATAACAGCAAACTGAGAATATATGATGGCAGCACTTGGTATTTTACTTACAAGAAATGAGAATCACAATTGCCTTTAATAGTCCATGAGAATGCTTCAAGAGTAAAAATAAAATGGATGGAGGGTCTCTGAAATTCTGTATTAGGTTAGGATCTTACCATTATTGTATTTACAGAATACTTGGCACTAGTGCCTGTACAGCAAGTAATGATTACACATTTTTAAAATTTTAATGTTATACATGTTATCTACCAGTGGATTTTTCTGACTATCTATCTCAGTATATCTCAAGCATATGTAGACAGGTTTAAAATCTTTCACTGAAATTAAATCCATAGGAAACTTCAGCACTTTTAAAAACAAAAATAATTCTAAAGAGCCAAAACAATTCTTAAAGTGTTGGTTGGTGGAGGAAATTCCCTACTAGTTTAGTAAACTGTTTTCCTTTAAGTTTTAATGAATGTTAAAAATTGTGAAGTGAGAGTCATCATTTTTAAACGAAAGATAACTGTTATATTTCAAATCTGCAAAATGCAGAGTAAGGAACCAAAGATGTCTATTTAAAAATATACACTACTACTCATGTACTTCACCTAGTTGAAGCTGATGATTCTATTGCTATGATTACAGTCTGCTGATGAAAGAACTGATGACCGTAACTGAAAGAGAACACACTATCTTTTAGAAAATAGACTTTATGTTTCTAGAGTGCCATATTGAACCATGCACCTTTGGGAACAAACACTAGGTTACTCCATTTGGGGTCCTCAGCAACTAGCTTTAAATCTAAAATATGTGTGGGCGGCAAGCCACCCAGGTGCCAAGGCAAGAGACCGAGGGCATGAGCTGTTCCAGTATAATAAAATATACAAAATAAGAATAGTTATACTAGATATAGATCACAGATATGATTATATATGAATATCATTAATCATTAGTTTGTAGCAATTACTCTTTATTCCAATATTATAATAATCCTTGCTCTACAATCATAACCTAGGAAAAACCAGGCCATACAGAGATAGGAGCTGAGGGGACATAGTGAGAAGTGACCAGAAGACAAGAGTGAGAGCCTTCTGTTATGCCCAGACAGGGCCACCAGAGGGCTGCTTGGTCTAGTGGTAACGCCAGCGTCTGGGAAGATGCTCATTGCCAAGCGGACCGTGGTCTAGCGGTAGCATCAGTGTCAAGGAAAAACACCCACTACTTAGCAGACCGGGAAAGGGACTCTCCCTTTCCCCCGGGGAGTTTAGAGAAGACTCTACTCCTCCACCTCTTGTGCCCGCAGTTATCCTGAGGCCTAACCGTCTCCCTGTGATGCTGTGCTTCAGTGGTCACGCTCCTAGTCCACTTTCATGTTCCATCCTGTACACTTGGCTCTGCCTTTTAGAAAGCAGTAGCAAATTAGTGAAAGTACTAAAAGTCTCTGATATGCAGAAATAATGGCGTAAGCTGTCTCTCTCTCTCCTCTCTCTCTCTGCCTCAGCTGCCAGGCAGGGAAGGGCCTCCTGTCCAGTGGACATGTGACCCACTTGACCTTACGTATCATTGGAGATGGCTCACACGCCTTACCCTGCCCGTTTGTCTTGTATCCAATAAATATCAGCACAGCCTGGCATTCAGGGCCACTACCGGTCTCCACGTCTTGGTGGTAGTGGTCCCCCCAGGCCCAGCTGTCTTTTATTTCTTTGTCTTATGTCTTTATTTCTACAATCTCCCATCTCCGCACATGGGGAGAAAAACCCACCGACCCTGCGGGGCTGGACCCTACAAATATGACAGGTGCTCAAGCAATGTTTGCTGAATAAAAAAATCCTACCTGCACAGCTTCATCACGTGCTTGCTTTTCTTCCTGTCTTCTCTGACGCTCTTCCTGTAGCTCATTAAGCCTCTGTTCATATTCCTTCAATTTTGATAAAACATCATGACGTTTATTCTGGGCTTCAAGGGTATTTATAAAGGCAATTTCATTTACCTTTAAAAAAACAAAGAAGGTAAGGTTCAGATCAAGTTAATTCTAGGGCACATTACAAAAATAAGAAATCTAACAACAGTCAGGCTGGGCGTGGTGGTTCACGCCTGTGATCCTAGCACTTTGGGAGGCTGAGGAAGGCGGATCACCTGAAGTTGGGAGTTCGAGACCAGCCTAGCCAATATGGTGAAACCCCATCTCTACTAAAAAAAAAAAAGAAAAAATAGCCAGGCGTGGTGGCAGGTGCCTGTAATCCCAGCTACTCGGGAGGCAGAGGCAGGAGAATTGCTGGAACCCAGGAGCCAGAGGTTGCAGTGAGCCAAGATCGTGCCACTGCACTCCAGCCTGGGTGACAGAACAAGACTCCATATCAAAAAAGAAAGAAAGAAAGAAAGAAATCTAACAACAGTCTTTATATAATAACATGAACCAGTGGTAAGGCATGGAACAAAAAAAAAATGAAGGAATTATTGGTCTTTTCTTTCAATATTTACCTCAAAATGGATAATAATCCAGTGTGTATAAAAAATCCACAGGCCTTAGAAAGAAGTGATTTAGAGGCCTGCCACTGAAAACATTTTTAAGTGAAGAAACAATTTTAAATTCTTATACAGACCATCTTACAAAGTTCTACTTAATAACAGTGTAATTTGCAACTATACAAATTACACAAACATTGAAATAGGTATGCTCACGTTATTCTAATGAGTTTGAAAGGACAAAATGTAAAATAAACAACAAATTACTTTTCTTCAACATATAATGAATGAGTGACAATTAGATACAAGGTACTGAACTATACATTGCATCCTTAACTTCACATATATTGATCCTTAATAGTCAAGTTTTGCTAGAAAGTACAGATATTATGAGTAAAGGATAGCTAATGATAAAGCTCAAAAATCAGGTAGGATCAACCCTCTCATTCTTGAAAGCCAGAGCGGAGGGTATGCTACAGTTAAAATGGTAGAGTGAAGTAGGGAAGTGAACACTAGAGACAACTGTCTTTGACAGCCACAGACTACAGGAATCCATGCTGGATGGAACAAAACCTACGTTAAGATATTTTATAAATCTCAGAAAAGTTTGAATACAGATCCAACTAAGCTTTCCCAATCTCCATGCCATGATACCACTTTCATAAGCACTTTAATAAGTAGATTAATCACAGAAACATCCTTCAAACTGTACTGAACGTACTCAAAATACAAGATAGGCCAGGTGTGGTGGCTACGCCTGTAATGCCAGCACTTTGGGAGGCTGAGGCGGGTGGATCACAAGGTCAGGAGTGCAAGCTAGCCTGGCCAAGATGGTGAAACCCCGTCTCTACTAAATATACAAAAATTAGCCGGATGTGGTGGCAGGCACCTAATCCCAGCTACTCAGGAGGCTGAGGCAGAGAACTGCTTGAACCCGGGAGGTAGGGGTTGTAGTGAACCAAGATCGCACCACTGCACTGCACTCCAGCCTGGGCGACAAAGTGAGATTCCATCTCTCTCTCTCTATATATATATATATGATAAACAAGTATGCTCAAGGAAACTTTATTCAGACTATATCATAAACATAATCAAAATGAAAGAAAAAGTAATGGGACCTAATACACTAAGCAAAATTTTTACAATAAAATAAAACTCACAAGGGAAAGAGTATGCAAAAGTCAGATTAAACAACTCAACCTTGGCAGGGTGCAGTGGCTCATGCCTGTAATCCCAGCACGTTAGGAGGGCCGGGCAGGAGGATTGCTTGAGCCCAGGAGTTCAAGATCAGCCTGAGCAATGTAAAATGACTATCTCTATTAAATATAAATATATACAGATAGATAGATATAGATATATATATTTAGCCAGGTGTGGTGGCATGCAACTATAGTCCTAATTACTTGGGAGGCTGAGGTGAGAGGATTGCTTGAACCCAGGAGTTAGAGGCTGCAGTGAGCCATGATCGCGCCACTAAACTCCAGTTTGGGCAACAGAGTGAGACCCTGTCTCATTTAAAAGAACAGCAACAATTTGGAAGAAAATAATAACCTGTGGTCAGGCACGGTGACTCACACCTATAATCCCAGTACTTTGGGAGGCCGAGACAGGCAGATTGCCTGAGCTCAGGAGTTTGAGACCAGCCTGGCCAACACAGTGAAACCTCATCTCTACTAAAATACAAAAAAAAAATTAGCTGGGCGTGGCAGCATGCCCCTGTAATCCCAGCTACTTTGGAGGCTGAGGCAGGAGAATCGCTTGAACATGGGAGATGGAGGTTGCAGTGAGCCAAGATTGTGCCACTGCACTCCAGCCTAGGCAACAGAGACTCCGTCTCAAAAAAAAAAAAAAAAGAAAGAAAAAAAGATAAGAAAAGAAAATAACCTAACAAACAGCAGAAAATTCATTAGACAAACTTGGTAGCACTGAAGAATTTGACAAAAACATGAATTTAAAGAAGCAAAGGAAAGATGATAAAACAACATACAGTAGTATGTCCTTATCCACAGGGAATACATTCCAAGACCCCTGGTGGATGCCTCAAATCACAGACAGTACCTATATAGTCAGCCCTCCATATCTGTGGGTTCTGCATCCATGGATTCAATCAACCATAGATAAAAAATGTTTTTTAATGGGTGATTGTGTTTGTACTGAACATGTACAGGCATACCTCAAAGATATTACAAGTTTGGTTCCAGCCCACCACAATAAACTGAGTATCGCAATAAAGGAAGTCACATGAATTATCAAATTTCCCAATGCATATAAGTTATTTTTACACAATACTATGGCCTATTAATTGTGCAACAGCATTATGTCTAAATAAACAATGTACGCACCTTAATTCTAAAACACTTTTTCTAAAAAATGCTAATGAACATTCGAGCCATTAGCAAGTTATAATCTTTTTTTCTGGTGGAGAGTCTTGCACTGATGTTGATGGCTGCTGACTGATCAGGGTGGTGGTTGCTGAAGGTTGAAGTGGCTGTGGCAATTTCTTAAAATAGGACAACAACGAAGTTTGCCACATTGATGGACTCTTCCTTTCCTCAAAGATTTCTCTGTAGTATGTGATGCTGTTTGATAGCATTTTACCCATAGTAGAGTTTCTTTCAAAATTGGAGTCAATGCTCTCAAAACCCTGTTACTGCTTTATCAATTAATTTTATGGAATATTCTAAATAATTTGTTATTTCAACAATGTTCACAGTATCTTCACCAGGAGTAGTTTCCATCTCAAGAAACCACATTATTTGCTCATTCATAAGAAATAACTTGGATGTGAGGGGGATCTGGCTGTAACATCTGTCACCCCATTGATCGCCAGGGTTGATTCAGCTGATCTGGCTGGCTAAGCGGGTGTCCCCTTCCTCCCTCACCGCTCCATGTGCGTCCCTCCTGAAGCTGCATGCTCGGTCAAAGAGGATGACCATCCCTGATAGAGGAGGACTGGTCTTTGATCAAGGAATATGAGTAGCTGTGCTCCCCTGCTAGAATCTCCAAACAAGTTCTCAAGAGGTATCTCGTTTATTTAATTTTTGTCATAAGACTGCAGCAATTCAGTCACATCAGCAGGCTCACTTCTAATTCTCATACTCTTGCTGTTTTCACCACATTTGCAGTTGCTTCCTTAACTGTCCTCTTGAACCACCAAAAATCATCTGTGAGGGCTGGAATCAATGTCTTCCAAATTCCTGTTAATGTTGATATTTTGACTTCCTCCCATGAATCACAAATGTTCTTAATGCCATCTAAAATGGTGAGTCCTTTCCAGAAAGTCTTAATTTCCTTTGCCCAGATCCATCAGAGGAATCACTATCTATGGCAGCTATAGCTTTATAAAATGTATTTTTTAAAAACTAAGATTTGAAAGTTGAAATTACTCCTTGATCCATGGACTGCAGAGTGGATGTTACGTTAGCAGGCACGAAAACACTATTCATCTCCTTGTGCTCTCTCCATCAGGGCTCTTGAGTAACCAGTGCATTGTCAGTAAGCAGTAAAATTTTGAAGAGTCTTCTTTTCTGAGGTGGAGGTCTCAACAGTGGATTTAAAATATTCAGTAAACAATGCTATAAACAGATGTGCTGTCACGCCAGCTTTGTTGTTCCATTTATAGAGTATAGACAGAATAGATTTAGCCTAATTCTTAAAGGGCCTAGAATTTTCACAATGGTTAAGGAGCATTGGCTTCAACTTGAAGTCACCAGCTGCATTAGCTCCTAATAAGTGAGTCAGCCTTGACTTTGAAGATTTGAAGCCAAGCTCTGAATTCTCTATAGCTATGAAAGTCCTAGATGGCATCTTCTTCCAAGAGAAGGTTCTTTCATCTGCATTGCAAATCTCTTGTTTGGTGCAGCAGTCTTCATCAATTATCTTAGCTAGATCTTCCTTCAGCTTCTACGTCAGCACTTATTGCCTTACCTTGCACTTTTATGTTATTGAGACGGCTTCCTTCCTCAAACCTCAAGAATCAACCTCTGCTATCTTCAAACTTTTCTTCTGCAGCTTCCATACCTCTCTTAAACTTCACAGAATTGGAAGTAGTCGGGATCTTACTCTGGATTAGGCTTTGGCTTAACGGAATGTTGTGGCTGGTTTGATCTTCTATCCAGACCACTCGAACTTTCACCATATCAGCAATAACCTGTTGTGCTTTCTTATCATTCATATGTTTACTGAAGTAACACATTTAATCTTTCTCAAAACTTTTCCTTTGCATTTACAACCTGACTGACTAGCATAAGAGGCCTAGCTTTCAGTTTATCCCAGCTTTATTTTTTTCTTTTTGTTTTTCAAGACTGGGTTTCACATCACCCAGGCTGGAGTGCAGTGGCTCACTGCAGCCTCACACTCCTGAGCTCAAGTGATTCGTTCACATCAGCCTCTTGAGTGGATGGGACGATAAGCATGTGCGACCACATCTGGCTAATTTTTAAAATGTTTTGGTAGAGATGGGGTCTTGCTAAGTTGCACAGGCTCTAGCCCAGTTTTTGACAAGCCTTCCTCAATAAGCATTATCATTTCCAGCTTTTGATTTAAAGTGAAAGATGTAAAACTCTTCTTTCACTTGAAGACTTAGAGGCCACTCGTGAACCCGGGAGGCGAAGCTTGCAGTGAGCCGACATCACGCCACTGCACTCCATCCAGCCTAAGCAACAAAGCGAGACTCTGTCTCAAAAAAAAAAAAAGACTTAGGAGGACACTGTATGGTTATCGATTAATAACCAATTAGCCTAATATCAATGCTGCTGTGTCTCAGGGAATAAGGAGGCCTGAGGATAAGAAATGGGGGAATGGCCAGGTCAGTGGAGCAGTCAGAACACACAAAACATTTATCAATTAAGTTTGCTGTCATATATGAGTGTGGCTCATGGCACCCCAAAACAATTACAATAGTAACTCCAAAGATCACTTATCACAGATCACCATAATAAATATAATAATTAAAAAATCTAAAATATTATGAGTCACCAAAGTATAACACAAAGACATGAAGTGAGCACGTGTTGTTGGAAAAAATGGCAAAAATAAAGACTTTGCTTGATGCAGGATTGACACAAACATTCAATTTTTTAAAACTCAGTAAGTATCTTTGAAGCCCAATAAAGTGAAGCAGAATAAAACAATGCATGCCTGTACAGACATTTTTTCTTGTCTTTAACCCCTAAATAATACAGTAGAATAACTATTGCACAGTATCTACATTGTATTAGGTATAAGTAATCTAGAGGTGATTTAAAGTATACAGGAGGATGTGCATAAGTTATATGCAAATACTATATCATTTTATACATGGGATTTGAGCAACCATCAATTTTTGTATCTTCAAGAGGCCCTGAAACCAATCCTCCACAGATACTGAGGGATGACTACATACATTGTACAAATTTATTTTTCCTTCTTCACAATGTCACAAATAGAAGATTCATTCTTACCACTGATTTCAGTAACCTCAGCATAAGATTTCTTTCCTTTCCTTAGTAAGTTGAGAACTTTCACGCTTTCATTTAAAGGAAGCACTTTACAACTTCTGTTTGGCATATCCAAATTGCTAGCATCACTCTTCTTGTGCTTTGGGACCATTAAATAAAATAAAGGTTATGTGAACACAAGCACTGTGATACCATGACACTCCACCTGATAACCAAGATGGCTACTAACACACCAATGAGCAGATAGCATATACGGCATGGATATACTGGACAAAGGAATGATTTACGTCCGGGACATAACTATACAAGATTTCACCATGGTACTCACAACAGTACACAATCTGAAACTTATGAATTGTTTATTTCTAGATTTTCCATTTCCTATTTTTGGACTGTGATTGACGAGGGTAGATGAAACCACAAAGACCAAAACTGCAATTAAGGGAGGACTACTGTCTTATTTGATAAAGGTGATTCGTGAGCTAAGGAAACAAACAGAGTACAAAAGTAACACTATCACAGAATTACTTAAATTAGAAAATGCATGGTACAGAACAGATAGTGTAAAAACCAACCCCAAATAATGGGCCAGGCACAGCTGCTCACATCTGTAATCCCAATGCTATGGGAGGCCAAAGCAGGAGGATCACTTGTGACCAGGAGTTCGAGACCAGCCTGGGCAACATAGCAAGACCTCCATCTCTACAAATTTAAAAAATAAGTCAAATTTTGTGGCACATGCCTATAGTCCCAGCCACTCAAAAGACTGACTCAGTAAGATCACTTGAGACCAGGAGTTCAAGGCTGTAGTGAACTATGATCATGCCACTGCACTTCAGCCTGGGTGATAAGAGTGACACCCTGTCTCTACTTAAATTACTTCTAGAGGAAAAACTTTTGATAATCACAGTTATTGTAGATTTTTACAGTGAAGATGAATAGATAATAAGCCTTGAATACAGAGAACATGACAAAATGACCTAATATAAAGATAAAGATAAACAGTATCTATGTAGCTAAGAAAGGCAACAGAAAATATTCCAACATAAAATACAGGAAATGTTTAAAGATTAAGAGAGCTTACATTACTTCATAAAAAATTGACTCAGAACATCACCATCAAGAATATCCTTATTAAATCATAAAACATTAAGAAAGAACAATAATTTTTCAAGCTTCCATGCAGTAAATGTAAGTCACCTACAAGAAAGAAAATTCAGTGTAGACTCGGCCTTCCCCACAGAAATAACTAAGATAATGGAATAATGTCTTGAAGTTCTGAAGGAGAGATATTGTGAATCATAAATATGATCTCAAACCAACATATAATTCAGGTAGAAATGCCACAGGCCTAAAATATGTAAGAACTCAAGGGACAGAGCATATATGAGCTTTTCCTAGAAAAAAGTTTTTTTCTTAATAAAATCCAGCAAACCAAAAGATAAAACAACTCATAAATGAAGAATTGGTAAGCAATGAGTCGATTTACATATATAAGGAAAACTAAACTGAGGAATTTAAAGTTACAGAGGAAAACATAAATTTGATCAACTTTAACAAGAGAAAAATAATAAAACTATGAATAATTATTGTGGAAAGATTAGGATGATATACGAGTGCTAATTTTCTCATCTCTTTTTAGCAAGGGTTCCCTAAAAATGTTCAGAAATTAAAATGAAATTGAATAAATACAACTCCAAACTCTCAATACGTTTCATATTTTATTATCTCAAAAAATTCTTATGAGAATGAATTCTTGTGATTAACACGATAAACTCAAGAATTTCCTCAATTTCACTTCCATTTCATCTCCTTCCCTTAAAATGGAACTAAAATAAAGATTAATACATCTTACTACGAAGTATCATGTATAGCATAATTCTATTTTATAAGATTATCCATTCATGCAATCTGAATATAATAATAGGAAAATGTCTGAAACAGTGTCTACCTAATGTTAATGGTGGCTATTTCTGAGGGTGGGATTGAGTTTCCTTTGCTATGTTGCTTAAATTCTTCAAAATAAAAATGAATCACTTTTAAAATAAAAATATGGCCACTATTTTAAATACAATATAATATTAAAGAAATCTAGAGTAATGGATTTATACTTAGGCTTGAAGACCATAAAAAGTCCCTGAAGGTTTTTGGCCTGAGAGGCATTACAATACCCTCCAGAAAGATTAATCTGGAGGGAGGAGGAACAAAAGGGAAGAATATCAACTGTAAATATTTAGGAGGGAGATAAAAATAAACTGGTGGCAGCTGCAATGGAAAATGTAGCTGCCTACAGAGTTAGAGAACTGCAGGTGTATGTATACATAGGACTCCAAAGAAGATGTCAGAAAAAATCAGCCTATCTTTCTGGCTGATACACAAAAAGTTGTCAAGAAGAGATTAAAAAGAAAAGTGAAATGAAGTAAATGAATACAAGTTTTCCAAATCTAGGTTAATGGGTGACTAGTTATTATTATCATTATCTGAAATATGGAATTCAGTAAAGCAGTTGGTTTGGGATAAAGGAGATGGTGAGCTGATGAGTTCCACTCAATACAAGCACCAAACAATAGGCAATTGAGTCTAGAGCTCAGTTGAAGGTAGGGCTAAAGATTCAGATTTAGAAATCACTGCAGAGAAGACACTGAAGCAATGGTAGTGACTGTGATACTAAAAAAGAAGAGTAAGTGAAGTGAAACTTCATTTTTCAGTTACGTTTAACTAACAAAATAAAGAAGGGAAGACAGTAAAGGATTGGTTAGAGAGTAGAGAGAAAATTAAGATAGTGCAGAAGTTTTCTAGAAAAAGATGCCTGATGGTGTTCATATGAAGTGACTCAGAAAAGTCTTTTAAACTCAGTGAAAACAGAGAAATATTCTCAAAGGCAAATATAGTTGCAGAAAGGGGAAAATCATATAAGGAATTAAGGAAGACATGGGTGATCGGTATTAGAAACAAGCTCAGGCCACTATTTCTCAGAAATTTGGGGATTTACAAAAGTACAAAATAGGTAATCTATAAAACAGGTGTACAAAAGTAGGTAATCTAGAGGAAGAAAGCAAAGGACCAGGCACAAGAATTTAACTGATAAAAAAAAACAATTCCAAGAGCAGCAAAGGGGACAAAAATAGGACCCACAGCACAAGGAATAAGAAACAGGTGTCTTTTCCTAAAAAAAAAAAAAAAAAAAAAAAAAAAAGAATAAAAATAAACAGCAGTTATTGCTAGACATGCTGCAACTGAAAATGAGTCAATGAGACCATCAAGAAACTGAAAATGAAAGTCAATATTAGACTATTAAATAATGGACTATGATCTAATATAAAATCAGGTTTTGAATAACTCAGGCTGCAATATTAATCACCATCAACAGAATACTAGCTAACTTATTTTCAATCACCAATCTACCTAAGAAAGAACTAAAGGATTTGAAATGGCCATTAATTTATCCCAAGGACTCATAAAAAGCATACATGGAAAAAAAACATCTTGAGTATGTAACAGGACTAAAATGGTACATGGTCTCAAGGAAAGTACACTTATAGTAAAATTTAAATTAAAAAAATTACTGGATTATTAGTACTTTTTGATTAGTAACAGAACAACAGAAATACATGAGACTTCAGAAAAAAATAAGTAGAACATTTCTTCTATAATTCTAATATTTTACTAAGTGCTTTTGTTATAACAAAGATGACATTAACTGCTTCACAACATGCATAATCTAACTTAATACTTACAATAATTGACATGTAGGTAAAATTATTCCAATTTTAAAGATGAACAAATAGGCTCAGAGAGGTAAAATAATACCTAAGGATATTCAGCTACTAAGTGGTGGAGTCAGAACCGAAGTCCAAGTTTATCTAACTCAAGAGACTTCGGTCGTCACTATGATAATAAAAATACTTTTGAATAAGGAAAAAAATACCATGTCTATTTTCTTTGTAGAAATGGAATACATGTCCAGACAGGATTTCACAGTTTATTGAACTGAAAATGGTGACAACTGAGAGCACCAACAGGTGGGCAAGTGGTAGCAAGGTTTTAAAACAGTATTTACATTAGCAAGAATTTTAGTACAGACTCTTAATTCACTTATCATGAATTATTCTGCCAAAAGGGTACTGAAACTGATAAGCTGTTCTGGCAAGGTTTCAGGATATAAAAATCAATGTACAAAAATCAGTAGCATTTCTATCCACCAATAATGCCCAGGAAAACAGTCAAATCAAGAACACAATACCATACAAAATAGCCAAAGAAAATGGAATACCTAGGAAAATACAGCTAACCAAAGAGGTGAAAGAACTGAACAAGGAGAATGACAGAACACTGCTGAAAAAAATCAGAGATGACACAAACAGAAAAACATCCCATGTGCATGTATTAGAAGAATCAGTATCATTAAAATCGCCATAAGCAATTTACAGATTTGATGCTATCCTATCAAACCACCAGTGGCATTCTTCACAAAATTAGAAAAAAAACTATTCTAAAATTCGTATGGAACCAAAAAAGTGCCCCAATAGCCAAAGCAATAGTAAGCAAAAGGAACAAAGCTTGAGGCATCACATTACCCGACTTCCAACTATGCCACAAGGCTACAGTAAACAAAACAGCATGGTACTGGTACAAAACAGACACACAGACCAATGGAACAGAACAGAAAATTCAGAAATAAAGCTGCACATCTACAACCATCTGATCTTCAACAAGGTCAACAAAAACAAGCAATGGGAAAAGGACTCCTTCTTCAATAAATGGCACTAGGATAACTGGTTAACTATATGCAGAACAACAAAACTAGACCCTTACTTTTAACTACATACAAAAATTGACTTAAGATGGATTAAAGATTTAAATGTAAGGCCTCAAACTATAAAAATCCTAGAAGAAAACCTAGGAAATACCCTTCTTGACATCTGCTTGACAAGTCAATTTTGGCTGTATCTCCAAAAGTAATTGGAACAAAAACAAAAGTTGACAAGTAGGGCCTAATTAAGCTAAAAATCTTCTGCACAGCCAAAGAAACTATCAACAGAGTAAAAAGACAACCTACAGAATGGGAGACAATATTTGCAAACAATGCATCTAACAAAGTCTAATATCCAGGATATATAAGGAACTTAAATCAACAAGCAAAAAAACAAATAACCCCATTTTTAAAAATGAGCAAAAGACATGAATTGACATTTCTCAAAAGACATACAAGTGTCCAACTAACATGAAAAAATTCTTAGCATCATTAAGCATCAGAGAAATACAAATCAAAATCACAATGAGATACCATCTCACACCAGTCAGAATGGCTATTATTAAAAAGTTAAAAAACAAGAGATGCTGGCAAGGCTACAGAGAAAAGGGAACGCTTATACACTGTTGGTGGGAATGTAAATTAGTTCAGCCACTGTGGAACGCAGTGTGGCAATTTCTGAAAGAACTTAAAACACAGCTACCATTTGACCCAGCAATTCCATTACTGGGGATATACCCATTGGAAAACAAATTATTATACCAAAAAGACATGTGCAGTCATATGTTCATTGCCATGCTATTCACAATAGCAAAGACATGGAATCAACCCAGGAGTCCATCAATAGTGCCTATCGATAGACTGGATTAAAAAAAATGTGGTACATATACAACATGGAATACTACGCAACCAAAAGAAGAATGAAATTGTATCCTTTGCAGCAACATAGATGGAACTGAAGGCCATAATCCTAAGTGAATTAATGCAGGAACAGTAAACCAAATTTTCTCATTTGTAAGTGGGAGCTAAACAATAAGCACATATGGACATAAACATGGGAACAATAGATACTGCAGACTACTCGAAGTAGAGAGGGAAGGGAGAGAAGGTTAAAAACTACCTAGTGACCTGTAATCCCAGCACTTTGGGAGTCCGAGGTGGGTGGATCACCTGAGGTTAGGAGTTCAAGACCAGCCTGGCCAAAATGGTGAAACCTCGTCTCTACTAAAAAATAAAAAAATAAAAAAATTAGCCAGGCGTGGTGGCGTGTGCTTGTAATCTCAGCTACTCGGGAGGCTGAGGCGGGAGAATGGCTTGAACCCGGGAGGCAGCTGTGTCAGTGAGCTGAGATTGCACCACTGCACTCCAGCCTGGGTGACAGAGTGAGACTCCATCTCAAAAAACAAAACAAAACAAAACAAAGCAAAACAAATTTGCCTATGGAGTACTATGCTCATTACTAGGGTACAATATATCCATGTAACAAACCTGCACATGTACCCCATGTATCCAAAATAAAAGTTGGAATTTTAAGAAAAAGAATTAAAAGAACTATAAATGGTAGCTGATCTCCTCATGTAAAGATAGCCAGGAGTTGACCATCCATCTCTATGGAAATTATTTAAACTGTGATAAATAATTAGCTTAATTTGCTTATAAAAGTCACTTTGGCTTAATAAAATCATATTGAAAGTAAGTATATCAAGCAATTAGACAAGTCAAAATGTATGTAAGTCATATGACAAAATATCACAAAATGAGAATACTAAAGTAATAAGTACAGTGATAAAATCAAAGCCTTTGGAACCAGAAAGATCTGGATTTAATTCTGCCTTTCTGATCATCAATAATCTACCTTCAGACTGTCCCTCGAAAACAAAAAGATAAAAATACTAATAATACATAGATCAGAAATTCCACTTCCAGCCATAAGTAACAGGATGAGATTTACCCTTGCACTTTAAACAACAAAATTGGACAAATATACAAAATATCTAAATTCAATTAATGTAATACACCAGATCAATAGAACAGGGACAAAAAATATAGTGTAACAGCAATAGATGGAGAAGAAGCATTTGACAAAATCCAATATCCCTTCATAATAAAAATACTCAACAAACGATGAATAAAAATGAACTTCCTTGACCTGATAAAGGACATATAGTTGTCCCTCAGTATCCATGGGGGATTGATTCCAGGATCCACCATGGATACCAAAATCCATAGATGCTGAAGTCCCTTACAGTTGATCCTCTGCATTCACGGATTCAATCACCTATTGATTAAGCTGCAGGTGGTTGAATCTGCACATGCAGAACCCACAGATACCAAGGCTCAACTGTATATGAAAACTCTACACTTAACATCATACTTGATGAAAGATTAAATACATCTAGGAAGATAAGGAATAACAAATGGATGTCTACTCTCACTACTTCTATTCAACAATATACTATAGGTTCTAGCCAGAGCAATTAAACAAGAAAAAGAAATCAAAGACATCCAACTGGAAAGCAAAAGCAAAACAAACTATATTTGCAGACTATGTGATCTTGTTTATGAAGAATCCAAAAGAATTCACTAAAAAGCTATTAAAACTAATGAAGGAGTTCAAACAAGATTACAAGACATAAGATCAATATATAAAAATTGATTGTGTGTCTACACATTAGCAATGAATAATCAAAAATGAAATTAAGATAACAATATCATTTATAATTGCATCCAAAAGAACACTTACAAATAAATTTAAACAAAGCAGTGAAATACTTGTATGTTAAAAACAAAACAATGCTGAAAGAAATTAAAGAAGACAAATAAACAGAAGGAAATTCCACGTTCATAAATGAGAAGACTAATATTGTTAAGATGGTAATACTACTCAAAAGGATATAAAGATATGTAATCCCTAACAAAACGCCAACAGGCTTTTTTGCAGATACGAAAAACCAAACCTCAATTCACATGGAATGGCAAGGTACACTACATTGGTACATCATGTTTGGTGGGGACAGGGATAACAAAGTTGGAGGACTCACTGTTCCCATTTCAAAGCTTACTAAAAAGCTACAGTAATCAAAATAGTGTGGTACTGGCATAAGGACAGACATACAGACTGCAATGGTTTGGCTGTCTGTCCCTTCAAACCACATGTTGAAATGTGATCTGGCCAGGCATGGTGGCTCACACCTGTAATCCCAGCACTTTGGGAGACCAAGGTGGGCAGATCACAAGGTCAAGAGATCAAGACCATCCTGGCCAAAATGGTGAAACTCCATCTCTACTAAAAATACAAACATTAGCTGGGTGTGGTGGCGTGCACCAGTAGTCCCAGCTACTCAGGAGGCTGAGGCAGGAGAATCGCCTGGACCCAGGAGGCAGAGGTTGCAGTGAGCCAAGACCACACCACTGCACTCCAGCCTGGGGACAGAGTGAGACTCTGTCTCAAAAATATATATATATATGTAATCAATATGTGAAACACTAATTGCCAATGTTGGAGGTAGAGGCCTAATGGGAAGTGTTTGGGTCATGGGAACAGATCCCTCATGAATAGATTAATGCCCTCAGGGGAGAGGGGTGAGTTCTGCTATATTAGTTCCTGCAAAAGTTCCCTCAAGAGCTGGTTGTTTCCAAGAGTGTGGTACCTCCCTCCTCTCTTACTGCCTCCTCTTTCACGATGTGATCTGCACATGCTGGCTCTCCTTCACCTTCTGCCATCAGTGAAGTCAGCCTGAGGCCCTCACCAAAAGTAGATGATGGTGCCATGCTTCTTGTACAGCCTACAGAATAGTGAGCTAAATAAACCTCTTTTCTTTATAAATTACCCAGCCTCAAGTATTCCTTTATAGCAACACAAATGGGCTGAAACAGACCAATGAGAGGGTCTGTCTCTTCAACAAACGGTGCTGGGAAATATGGATATTCTTTTTTTTTTTTTCCTTTTTTTTTTTGAGACGGAGTTTCGCTCTTGTTGCCCAGGCTGGAGTACAATGGCGTGATCTTGGCTCACAGCAACCTCCGCCTCCCGGGTTCAAGCCATTCTCCTGCCTCAGCCTCCGGAGTAGCTGGGATTACAGGCATGCGCCACCATGCCGCGCTAATTTTGTATTTTTAGTAGAGACGGGGTTTCTCCATGTTGGTGAGGCTGGTCTCGAACTCTGGACCTCAGGTGATCTGCCCACCTCGGCCTCCCAAAGTGCTGGGATTACAGGCGTGAGCCACCGCGCCTGGCCGAAATATGGATATTCTTATGCAAAAGAATTAAGTTGAACCCCTACCACAGATCATACACAAAAATTAACTCAAAATGTCTTTACAATTTAAATATAAAAATCTAAAATCACAAAATCTTAGAAGAAAACAAAGAGGTAAATCTTCATGATCTTGGATTTGATAATTATTTCTTAGCACCAAAAACTAAGCAACAAAAAAAGAGAAATACACTGGAATTTGACAACATTAAAAACTTTTATGAAAAGAACATTATCAAGAAAGTGAAAAGGCAACTTGCAAAATTAAAGAAAATATTTGCAAATCACAAGTTTCATAAGGATCTAGTATCCAGAACATACAAGGAACTCGTATAACTGAACAACAAAAAGACAAACTGCCCAGGTAAAATGTGAGCAAAGGATTTTGAACAGAGATTTTTTCCAAGAAGATATACAAATGGCCAAAAAGTACATGAAAAGATGCTCTACAGTATTAGTCTTTGGGGAAATAGATAAATTTCTTGAGTGACACAAATTATATAATAGAAACAGATAATAGGAATAGCTCTATGTAAATTAAAGCAATAAAACTTTTAGGCAAAAATCTTCCCACAAAGAAAACCCCAGACCCAGATAGCTTCCTTGGTAGATTTTACAAGAAAAAAAAAATTAAACAATAAATTGTATCAATTCTACACAAACAACTCTAAAAAAATTGAAGATGATAGAACCCTTCCTAAATCACTTTACAAAGCCAGCATATCCTGTTACCAAAACCAAAGACATTACAAGAAAAGAAACTACAGAACACCCTCGGTCATGAACACTGATGCAAAAATTCCTAAAATTTTAGCAAATCAAATTCACCAATACACAAAAATGATAATATACTATGAATACATAAGGTTTATCTCAGAAATGCACGGTTGGTTTAATATTTGAAAATCAAGCAGTGAAATTCATCATTAAAAAAAAAATTTAATGGTATCTTAATTGACAAAACACCATGTGAACAATTTTAAAGTCCAATCATGGTAAAGATTTTCAGTAAACTAAGACTAGAAAGAAATTTCCTCAATTTGATAACAAACATCTATGAAATGTCTATAGCTAATATTGTACTTAATGGTGAAGAGTAAATGCTTTTCCCCTGAGACTGGGAACAAGAAAAGATGTCAGCTCTCTTCACAACTACTCAACACTGCAGTAGTCCCAGCTATTGCAATAAAAGGAGATAAAAAATAAAAAACATACAGACTGGAAAGAAAGAAATAACAATAGACCTAATAAGTGAGTTTACTAGCAAGGTTGTAAAACACAAGGTACATATACAGAAATCAACTGCATTGCTATGTATTAGCAATCAACAGAAAAAAATTAAAACAAAATATCATTGAATATACCATCAAACATATGAACTACAGATAAATTTCACAAAACAGATGCAAAGGCCAGAATCTAAATAAATTGAGATATATGTCATGTTCATGGAAAGAAATGCTCAATATCATTAAGATGTCAATTCTCCTCCAAATTAATCCATAAATTCAATGCAAACCCAATTTAAACCCAGATAGGCTTTAAAAAATATTTTTGTAGAAATTCAAAAGCTGATCCTGTAACTTATATGGAATACAAAGGATCTAAAATAGCCAAAATAGCTCAGAAAAAAAACAACAAAGCTTATGGACTTGTACTTCCTGATTTCAATTTATTATAAAGGTACAACAATCAAGATAGAGTGGTACTGGTATAAAAACAGGCACAAGAGATAAAGTAAACAGAATCAAGTTAGAAAGAAAACTCACATATTCATGGCCAATTCATTTTCAACAATGTTATTAAAGCAATTCAATGTAAAAAGAACAGTCTTAAACAACTGGTGCTGGAACAGTACATATCCATATGAAAAAAAAAAATCTCAACCCTAACTCATAATACAGACAAGTACAAAACCTACAAAGACTAAATCAAAAAAATTTAGAAAATATGAATAGACTTACAACTAGTAAGGACATTGATCAGTAATTTAGAAATCTCCTAAGAAAATCCCTGGACCTGATGGCTTTATGGGTGAATTCTATCAAACACTTAAAGAACTGACACCAATCCTTCTCAAACTCCAAACAATTGAAGAGGAGGGAATACATCCTAACTCATTCTATCGGGCCAGCATTACCCTGATACCAAAACCAGACAGAAACTACAAGGAAAAAACTATAGACCAATATCCTTTATCAATATTAATGCAAAAACTCTCAACAAAATACTAGTGAAGCATATTAAAAGGATTATACACCATGACCAAGTGGGATTTATTCCTGGAATGGTACAACATATGAAAACTGGCCAATGTAACATTACACATTAACAGAATTAAAGAGGAAAAAAACACACAGTCTCAACTGATGCAGAAGAAAACATTTGACAATTCAACATCTTTCATGATAAAAAACAACAAACTAGGAACAGAACAAACTCAAAAGCTATGTATGAAAAAACCTCAACAAATATCATATTCAATGGTAAAAGACTGAAAGCTTTTACTCTGATATCAGGATCAAGATAAAGATACCTGCTTTCACCACTTTTATTTAAGGTAGCACCAGAAGTTCAAGCCAGAAAAATTAGGAAAGTAAAAGAAATAGTGCCCAAATTTAGAAAGTAGTAAGATTATCTTTGTTCACAGATGATATGAACTTATATGTAGAAAACACTTACAGATTCCACCAAAAAAAATTGTTAGAAGTAGTAAAAATTCAGTAAAGAAGCAGGATACAAAGTCAACACACAAAAATCAATTGCATTTCTATACACTAACAAGGAACAATCTGAAAAGGAGATCATGAAAACAACTCCATTAACAATAGCACCAAAAATAATAAAATACTTAGTAATTAACCATGGAGGCAAAAGACACATACAATAAAAACTATAAAACATTATTGAAAAATTAAAGACAACACAAATAAATAAAAAATTATCCCATGATCATAAACCAGAACACTTAATATTGTTAAGATATCAACAATACACAAAGTGATGTACAGATTCAATGCAATCTTTACCAAAATTCCAATGATGACTCTGCAGAAACAGAAAAGTCCACCCTAAAATTCATATGGAATCTCAAGGGACCCCAAATAACCAAAACAATTTTGAAAAAGAACAACAAAATTGGATGACTCCCACTTCCTAATTTCAAAACTTACAACAAAACTACAATCATGAAAACAGTATAGTACTAGCACTAAAACAGACATATAGACCTATGGAATAGAACACGGGGCTAAGAAATAGACCCTCACAGATATAGTCAAATAATTTTTGACAAGGGTGCCAAGATAATTTAATGGACAAAGAAAAGCCTTTTCAGCAAATGGTAATGGGAAAACTCGACAGCCACATGGCAAAAAATCAAGCTAAACCTTTACCTAACACCACATACTGAAATTAACTCGAAATGGATCAATTACCTAAATATAAGATCTAAAGCTATAAAACTCTTAGAAGAAGACACAGGATCAAAGTGTCACGACACTAGATTTTGCAATGATTTATTGGATATGACACCAAAGTCACAGGCAACAAAAGAAAAAAACAGACAAATTGGACTTTGTGAAAATTAAAACATTTTGCATGTCAAAAGATGCTACTGTCAAAGTAAAAATGCAACCCACAGAATGGGAGAAAACGTTTGCAAATCATATCTTTGATTTAAAACAAATTGATATCAAGAATATATACAGAAGTCTTAAAACTCCACAATAAAAAAAAAAAACTCAATTCAAGAATGTGAAAAGGATTTGAACAGACATTTCTCCAAGAGGATATACAAATGGCCAATAAGCACATGAAAAGATGCTCAACATCACTAATCATTAGAGAAATGCAAATCAAAACTACAACGAGATACCAAATAACACACATCAGAATGACTACTATCACAAAAACAAAATGATGGGAGTTAGAGAGGATATGGAATAACTGGAACCCTTGTGCACTACTGATGGGAATATAAAAATGGTGAACTACATGTAGAAAACAGCATGGTGATTCCTCAAAAAATTAAAAATAGAATTACTGTATGATCCAGCCTTTCCAATTCTGGGTATATACCCAAAAGAATTCAAAGCAGGAACTGGAGAGTTATTTGTACACCCATATTTACAACAGCACTGTTCACAATAGCTAAAATGTAGTAATAACTCAAATGTCCATTGAGGTATGAATGGATAAGCAAAATGTGGTACATACATACAATGGAAAATTACTCAGCCTGAAAAGGGAAGGAAATTCTAACATATGCTATAACACTGAAGACCTTATGCTAAATGAAATAAGCCAGTCACAAAAGGATAAAATTACACCATATCATTCCATTTACAAGAGGTACTTACAGTAGTCAAAATCATAGATCTAGAAAGTAGAATGATGATTGCCAGGGGCTGGGGGTGAGAATGAGGAGTTACTGTTTAATGAGTATAGAGTTTCAGTTTTACAAGATGAAAAAGAGTAATGAAGATACATGGTGGTGATGACTGCATAACATGAATGCATTAAAACCACTGAATTGTATACTTAACAATGATTCAGATGATAAATTTTACATTATGTTTTTCCCACAAAAAAAATAGGAAAAAAATTAGACTCTATACATGTATTTAAAAAAAATGACTCAAATTAAAATGTGTAACTGTGTCAAGTGCTGGTCAGAATATGGCACAACTAGAACTCTCATTCACTGCTGGTAGGAATGTAAAATATTTAACTAGTATGGAAAACCATGTGTAAAACTTAAACATGAACCTATTGTAAGATGCTATACACCAATCCACTCCTAGGTTTTTATAAAATAAAAATGAAAGTACACATCTGCACAAAGATGTATACATGAATTGCCACAGCAGCTATATTTGTAATAGAAAAAAACTGGAAAGAAAACACATGTCCATCAACAAGTGACTGGGTTAACAAATTATGGTATTTCCATACGTAAAGAAATGGAATGACCCAGCAATGAAAAGAAAGGAGCTATTCACACACACAACAGGATGGATGAAGTTCAAAGTAACTGTTATGAGGGAAAGCCAGAGAAAACAATAGATACTGTATGATTCCATGCACATAAGTTCTAGAAAAAGCAAACATCTATACTGATAGAAAGCAGATCAGTAATTAGATAATAGAGTTGAATGAAGGAATGAATTACAAAGAGGAATTGTGTATTATGTTCATTGTACTGATAGTTTCAAGGATATATACATGTCAAAACTCATCAAATGGAATACTTTACATATGTGCTGCTTATTCTCTATCAATTATACCTTTACAGGGTTGTAAAAATAATAATAGATGGCTCATAGAATTATCAAAGGGATAAAATATTGCACCTGGTAAGTTTTAAATGAGTGTGTAAAATGCTGTTATTCTACAACAGAATAAACATTGGATAAACATTATCTTCTATTACTATTATATAACAATTCAAAAAAGTACTTGGGTAATTAAGTCAACATTTAAAGCTCTTATGATATACCTTAGCTTCTTCTTCTTGTGCTTTTTTCACAATTGCTTGTAACTGCACTTCTCGCTTAAACTCAGCATGAAGTAATTTTTCTTCCATCATCCTGCGTCGTTGATCTAGCAATTCTTCCTTCCACTTCCGGACATCCTTCTCCTACGTATAGTGAATCATCACATCCTTAATTTCAATATATACAATCATTTAAAAGAAGTACAAACAAGTAAATGGCTTATGAAATATAAACTCTAAGCGTGGAAAAATGTGCAGCAACATGACTAACAATTAAGGACACAGACTATGAAGCCAGACTACCTGAATTCATAATCTACATTGGCCACTTACTAGCTGCATAATCTAGACAACTTTTTTAGCCTATGTCTCAGTTTCCTTACCTATAAACAGGAAATAAAAATAACATTACCTAACTCACAGGATTATTTGAAGGTTCATAAAACTCTCAGAACAGTGGCTTAGACATGCCTCTACAGAAATATTTGCTATTATTCTTGTACTGTTACCATGAGTATGTTTAAAATGAATATAGTGTATAATTCTTGTCCTTATAAATGTTAACATCTCTATGATGTAACCCACATTCAAGAAAAATAAGTAATTTTATCCTAGAAACTGAAAAATGACATCTAACAAATCACATTATTTGCATAAGAAACATTCTCTGAAGGAACAGAGAGGGTTTCACCTACAAAAAAAGATAGATGTAGTAATTGCTATTTGATGTTATTTTAAGAAATTAACCCTTAAAACTTTAATTCCTTAAAACAATCTCAAACAGAAGAAGCAAAAGCTTGTTCTGTGCTCCAGGAAATAAGATTCAGCACCAATGAAAATAAATTATAGAAAATCAGAAGATGGGTCAATATGAGTGGAAAAAACCTAACATTTTAATTGTTTTTTTCTCTCAATAATTGTGTTGAACCATCCAAAAAAGTATGATACAAAAATAGCACTATACTAAGAGCCAGATGACATGTCCTTAAAGCCTTAGCTCTGCAAATTATTGGTTGTGTAACACTAGAAACAACACTTAGCCTCTCCTAGATTGTTTTTACTTCTATAAAATGAGGTTCAGTACCTGCCCTGTGTACATCATAGAGTTATTGTGGTGATCTGATGATATTACTCATGTGAAACAGTGTTGAAAACAATAATCCATCATACAAATGGAAGATGAAAGTTGCCATTAAAATTAATTGAAGGGATACCTACATTGATGAGAAAATAACCAGAAAACATCTAAAGTCTTGTATACTTTCACTAATCTATGATTTTCTTGCATGAATACTTGGAGATCATATTTAGATAAAAGAAAATACACTATAATTTTGCTGGCATTAAAAAACACAGTAAGAGAAGAACTGTGATTGTGTTAGAGCACTTCTCTTAAGCTAAAATTAAAATAATACATTGACTCTTGCAGAACCCCACAAGAGACTGCTTTTCATATCAAATCTATTCATCTAATGACAAATTCTTGAGATTCAAGTAAAAAGAAAAATCAAAGAATTTTCTTACAGTCCTAGTCAACTTTACTACTGTATTCAACAGAATCGTGTGCTACCTAACGCATTTTTATGAACATTCAGATTATGTGGTCCAACTATTTCTCCCAAATTTAAATCACACACTAAAAGTAATCCAAATAATATGCTTAACCCATGCATATTTATATTCCTTTCTAATACCAGAAGGTAACGAAAGAGTTCACCTGTAATTACAATATAGTGGCCATATATCTTTCAACATGCTGTGTTAGGTACTTGTAGTATGGAGCCTCTGAGATGGTGCCCACTAATCTAAGCCACCTGGTTTTAAGATCCTTATGTAATCT
The DNA here is from genome assembly GCF_000001405.40 of Homo sapiens. Classification (NCBI taxonomy): domain Eukaryota; kingdom Metazoa; phylum Chordata; class Mammalia; order Primates; family Hominidae; genus Homo; species Homo sapiens. The sequence goes on from NC_000015.10 coordinate 76,755,645, forward strand.
CCTCCCATATTGTATCAGGACTGTGACCAAAAGAATACAGCAAAAGTGATGTTATAAAACTCAGCACAACTTCATTTTATCAACTCTCTTAGGTACTTTTTCCTTTCTCTCCCCCACTCTTTCTCTGATTTTCTATGGAGAAATCACTGGCCATGTCATGAAGACACTTGGGCTGTAGAAAGGTATACTTGGCAAGAAAGTGAGGTTTCTGGCCCACAGCCAAAGGGGAACGAAGGCCAGCAAATAACTGCACAAATGAGTATGGAAGTGGATCCTCCAGACCCAGATGACTATGACCTGACTGATAGCTTAACTAAAAATTCATCAGGCCAGGAGCAGTGGCTCACGCCTGTAATCCCAGTATTTGGGAGGCAGATAACTTCAGGTCCGGAGTTCGAGACCAGCCTGGCCAACATGGTGAAACCTCGTCTCTACCAAAAATATAAAAAATTAGCCAGGTGTGGTGGTGCACGCCTATAATCCCAGATACTCAAGAGGCTGAGGCAGGAGAATCGCTTGAACTCGGGAGGTGGAGGCTGCAGTGAGCCGAGATTGTGCCACAGCACTCCAGCCTGGGCGACAGAGCCAGACTCCGTCTCAAAAAAAAAAAAAAAAAAAAAAAATCATCAAAGACCCAGGGCAAGAATGATGGCCAGGTATGATGGCTCATGCCTGGAATTCCAGTGCTTTAGAAGGCCGAGGTTAAAGGATTGCTTGATGCCAGGAATTTGAGACCAGTCTGGGCAACATGGCAAGACCCTGTCTCTACAAAAAAATTAAAAATTTAACCAGGCAAGATGGCATGTGCCTGTAATCTTGGTTACTCAGCAGGTTGAGGCAGGAGGATGGCTTGAGCCCAGAAGTTCTAGGCTGCAGTGAGCTATGCTGCATCACTGCACTCCATGCTGGGAGACAGAGCAAGTCCCTGACTCTAAAAAAAAAACAATAGAAGAATCATTATGCAATTCCTGGTTGCCTTTTTCACAGAAAAATGTGAGCTGATAAATGTTTGCTGTTTTAAGCTACATTTTTCTGTCATTTATAATACAGCATAGATAACACAGTACTCAGTTATAAGAGTGACTGTATATTAAACAACATCCAACCTAGCACTGTTACTATTTTACATGCTTGCCTCATTTAAGCATCACAACAGGTTAATAATTATAATTGTCATTTTTCAGAAAAAGAAACTGAAATACAATAATGTTAAGTAACTTGCTCAGGGAATCATAGCTTATTATATGATAAAATCAAGATTTAAACTTGGTTGGCTATCTCCAGAGCCCATGTTATTTCCACTTACCGCAATGATCAATAGTTATTCTGCTCTAAATACACAGACTCTCTTCTGTAAATATAATTAGTGCCCCACCCACTTACCCAAACTTGATCATCTTTCCCTGATGTTGAAAATAATGGTTTTCCTCTTCTAATCAGTTTATATCCCATTACATTCATAGACTTTCTAATGAAGGAATATCTTTGAATTCCAGGAATAAACCCAATGTTTCCTATGTTTTCAGGTATTTTGTTTTTTGTTAACTACAGTCATGATGTTGTACATTACCTCACCAGAAATTATTAATCTTGCATAAGTCAAACTGTTGTACCCTTTGACCAATATCACTCCATCTCCCCTCTCTGCTTCTATGAATGTGACTTTTTCCCATATTCCACATAGAAGTGAGATCATGCAGCATTTCTCTCTCTCATTTCACTTAGCTTAATATCCTCTAGCTCCATCCACGTTGTCACAAATGTCAAAATTTCATTCTTCTTAAGGCTAGATAATATTCTGTTTTATATATACACACACACACACACACACACACTCAAATATATACCATATTTTTCTCATTTGTCAGCAGACATTTAGGTTGTTTCCATATCTTGGCTATTACGAATAATGTTACAGTGAACATGGGTGCACAGGTATCTCTTTTTGATCCAGATTTCAATTCCTTTGGATATATACCCAGAAGAAGAACTGCTGATCGTATGACAGGCTCTATTTTAATTTTTTGAGGAAATTCCATATTGCTTACTATAATGGTTATACTAATTTACATTCCTACCAACAGCATACAAGGGTTCCATTTTCTCCACATCCTCCCCAATACTTGCCTCTTGTCATTTTGATAATAGCCATCCTAACAAGTGTCAGGTGATATTTCACTCAAGTTCGATTTCCATTTCCCCTGATCATTATAGATGCTGAGCACCTTTCCATGTACCTGTTAGCCTTTTGGATTTCTCCTTTTGAGAAGTGTCTCTTTAAGTCCTTTGCCCATTTTTGAGTCAGGCTGTTTTCTTGCCATTGAGTTGTGTGAGTACTTCAAATATTTTAGATATTAATGCCTTATCTATTTTTTACAAATATTTTCCCATTCCATAGCTGTCTTTTCATTTTGATAATTTTTTCATTTGCTCTATAGGTTTTTAATTTGATATAATTCCACGTGTCTAATTTTGCTTTTGTTGACTGTGTTTTTCTGTCATATTCAAAAAATTATCACCAAGATCAATAAGGTTTTTCTGCAAGTTTTTTTCTAAAAGTTATATGGTTTCAGATTTTATGTTTAAGCCTTTAATCCATTTTGAGTTGATTTTTATGCATGGTGTAAGATAAGCATCCAATTTCAATCTTTTTCACGTGGATACCCAGTATTCCCAATACCCTTTGTTGAAAAGATTATGCTTTCCCCATTGTATGTTCTCAGCATCCTTGTCAAAGACCAGTTGCCCATAATTGCATAGGTTTATTTCTGGGTTTTCTATTAAGTTCCATTGGTCTGTGTGTATGTTTGTATGCTAGTGCCAAATTGTTTTGATTACTATACTTTTATAATAAAATTTAAAGTTAGAAAGTGTTATGACTATAGCCTTTGCTCTTCTTGCTCAAGATGACTTTCAATCTTTGGGGTCTTTTGGAGCTCCATATGAATTTTAGGACTGTTTCTCTATTTCTCTAAAAACAAATGGTTGGGATTTTGACAGAGATTGCACTGAAATTGTAGATCACTTAAGGCTGTATGGACACTCTAAAAATATTAATTCTTCTAATCCATGAACAGGGATATCTTTCTATTTACTTGCTGCTTTAAATTTTCTTTCATAAATTTATAATTTTCACTATACAAGTGATTCAACTCCCTGCTTAAGTTAATTCCTAAGTATTTTATTCTTTTTGTTGCTAATATAAAGAAAACTGTATCCTTAATTTCTCTCTCATATAGTTCATGGTTAGTGTATGAAAACCCCACTGATTCTTAAGCATGTTGATTTTGTATCTCTAAACGTTACTGAATTCATATATTATTTCTCAAAGTTTTTTGTGGAATCTTTAAGGTTTTCTATATTTATGATGTTATCTACAAATAGATAATTTTACTTCTTTCCCTTCCCATATAATGCATTCATTTCTTCTTCTTGCTTTTCCCAGTATTTCTAGTACTATGTTGGAGAGAAATGGTAAAAGTGGGCATACTTGCCTTTTACCAAATCATAGAGAAAAAGCTTTCAGTTTTTCCCAATTATGATGTTAACTGTGGGTTGTTCATATATGGGCGGTCTTAGTCTGTTTTGTGTTGCTATAACAGAATATCAGAAACTAGGTAATTTATTAAAAAAAGAACTTTATTTATCGTATAATAGTTCTGGAGACTGGAAGTCCAATATCAAGGTGGTGGCATCTGATAAGGTTCTTCTTACTAAATCAACCCTGGAGGAAAGGAAGAGGGCAAAGGGTGGCATGGGCACTATGGGGAGCTGAATCCAACCTTTTATAAGGCACCCACTCCTGCAATAAGAACCCACTTCCACAATAATGGTATCAATCCATTCATAAGAGCAGAGGCAATATAACCTAATCTCCTCCTAAAGAACCCACCTCTTAATATTGTTACAATAGCAATTAAACTTCATTATGTGTCTTGGAAGGAATAAACATTAAAACAACAGCATTGGCCTATATTGTGTGGAGTAAAGTTCCTTCTATACCTAGTATGTTGAGGGTTTTTTCATGAAAGGATATTGAACTTTGTCAAGTGTTTATCCTGCATCTGTTGAAATATTAGTGTGTTTTTTGTCTTTCATTGTATTCATGTAGTATATTGCATTTATAGATTTTAGTATATTTCACCATACTTACATTCCAGAGATAAATACCACTCAATCATGGTATGATTGTAGATGTATTCTTGAATTTGGTTTGCCAGTATTTTAAAGAGGATTTCTGCATCTATGTTCATCTGGAATACCGGTCTGTAGTTTTCCCCTTTCTTGTGTTTCTATCTAGATTTGGAATCAGAGTGATGCTGGCCTCATAATACAAGTTTGGGAGTTGTAAGAGATAGGAAAAACTAAATTGTTTTTCCTACTCTCACATACAACACAATAACAATTCTGTTCACCAAGATTTTTATGGGGTTTTTCTCACACTGACCACTTCTCTGATGCCAGCTAGCTGTCATATAATTCAATCCAATTCTGACATTATCTACCTGGTCCCGCAGATTAGGGGCTCAGTCCCACAAGACTGCCCCCACAACTTCAGATGCTAATCACAAGTCCCAAGTTCTGACCCATACTTCTGACAAACCAGCTATAAAATTGGGGTTCTCACAACTGTCTCCTCAAGTTTGATTAATTTGCTAGAGTGGCCCACAGAACTAAAGGAAACACTTTACTTACTATTGCCAATTTATTACAAAGGAACTTTTAAAGGATGCAGATAAACAGCCAGATGGAAAAGATGCCTAAGGCAAAGTGTGAAGAAGGGACACGAAACTTACATGCCCTCTCCAGGTGTGCCACCTTCACATGTTTAACAACCCAGAAGCTCCCCAAAGTCTGTTCTTAGGATTTTTCATGGAAGCTTCATTACAGAGGCATGATCTATTAAATCACTGGCTTTGGCAATCAACCAAACCTGGAGGTTGAAGTTCTGGTAGCCAGCACCAATTCTGAGGCTATTCAGGACACTACCAAGAGTACCCTTATTACAACAAAAGATGCTCCTATCACTCAGCAAAGCCCAAGGCATTTAGGAACTCTGTTTCAGATGCTCTTATCACTCAAGAAATTACAAAGATCATAGAAGTTATCTGTTGGGAACCAGGGTCAAAGATCACATATTGGAAAAACAATATTATCCTAGTGCTTCTATCTACCAGAGTTTTAGGAGCTCTATGTCAGGAACCAGGGGCAGAGACCAATATAATATTTCTTATTTCACAAAAGTGTTCCCTCTTCTTTTATTTTTCAGAAAATTTCAAGAAAGGTTGGTACTACTTCTCCTTTATATGTTTCATAGAATTGATCAGTGAAGCCATCTGGCCCTAGGCTTTTTTTGTTGGTTTTTGATTACTGATTCAATCTCTGTATTTGTTATTGGTCTGTTTAGGCTCTTTATTTCTTCTTGATTCAGTCATGTTGGGTTGTATATTTCTAGGAATTTATCCACTTCTTCTAAGGTTATCCAATTTGGTGCCATAGAATTATTGATAATAGTTCTTTATGATCCTTTTTGTTTCTCTGTTATCCATTGTAATGACTCTACTTTCGTTTCTAATTTATTTGAGTCTTTTTTTCTTAGACTAGCTAAGAGTTTGATTTTTTTCTTTCCAACAAACCACCGTTTTGTTGATTTTTTCCCATCGTTTTTCTCTTTTGCATTTCAATTATTTCTGCTCTAATCGTTATTTCTTTCCATACAGTAACTTTGGGGTTAGTTTTGTTTCTTCTTTTTCTAGTTCTGTGAGTTAGAAAACTAGTGTAGGCATTTATTACTATAAACTTCCCTCAGAGTCTTGTTTTGCTACATCTCACAAATTTTAGTGAGTTATATTTGTTTTCATTTGCTTCAAGGCATTATTTAAATTCCCCTTTATTTCCTTTTACCAAATAGTTGTTCAACTGTATGTTTAGTTTTCACATTTTTGCTAATTTTCCTATTTTCTGTTATTGATTTCTAGATTCATTCCACTGCGGTCTAAAAGATATTGGTATGATTTCCATCTTCTTAAATTTCTAAAGACTTGTGTTGTGACCTAACACATGATCTATTCTGAAGAACGTTTCATGCGCACTTGAGAAGGATGAGTATTCTGCTGATTTGGGGGTAGAAAATCCTGTACATATTTCTTAGGCACATTTAGCGTATACTGTTGTAATTCAGCTGTTTCATTACTGATTTTCTACCTGGATATTCTATCCATTATTGAGAGTGGACCACTGAAGTCTCCTACTGTTATTGTATTGCTGCCAATTTCTCCCTTCAGATTTGTATTTGTTTTATATATTTATGTGTTAGGTTGCTGGGTGCAAATATATTTAAATTGTTGTATCCTCCTGTTAAACTGAATCTTTTATCATTATTTAATGGCCTTCTTCCTCTCTAGGGACACTTCTTGTCCTAAAGTCTGTTTTGTCTAAGTTTAGCCACTTCTGCTCTCTTTTGGTTACAATTTACATGGAATAAGATATTCCTTCGTGTTCAGCCAAGTCTGTTCAAGGCAGCATATGGTTGGGTATGTCTTTTTTTAATTCACTGAGCCACTCTATGCCCTTTGATTGGGGAGTTTAATCCATTTACACTTGAAGTAATATTAACAGTAAGTACAGATTTATTACTGCCATTTTGCTACTTATTTTCTCTTTGTTCTGCAGGCTTTTGTTCCTTACTCTATTGCTATCTTCATTTGTTATTTGATTGTGGGCTTTTTTTTTTTTTTCTAATGGTTTGGTTTGATTTCTCTTTAGCATTTGTGTATTTACAATAGGTTTGCCCTTGTGGTTACAACTGTCTACTTTAATTTGATGTCTACTTTAATTTAATTTGAATTTAATTTAAATTCAATGGCCTACAAAACTCTGCACTTTTACCTACCATTACACTATGTGTTTTTGAAGTCAGAGTTTACTATTTTTCATACAGTGAATCCATTATCAATTTTTTGTCATTATACTTACCCTTAATACCTTTTTGTCTTTTAAGTCCCCTCCCCCACTCTACCTTAGTAACAGGATGCGGCTCTATTTCCCAGGCTGCAGTGCAATGGTGCAATCCTAGCTCACTGCAGCCTCAAACTCCCAGGTTCAAGCGATCCTTCTGCATCAGCCTCCCAGGTAGCTGGGACTACAGGTGCCTACCACCATAACTGATAATTTTTTTGTTGTTCCTTATTTTTGTAGAGATAAAGTCTTGCTATGTCGTCCAGGCTGGTGTGAGACACCTGGCCTCATGTGATCCTCCCACCTCAGCCTCCTAAAGTACTGGGATTACAAGTGTGAGTCACCACACACAGCCTTCTTTAAAGTTTTATATTGGGGTTACCAGTTATTTCTGTACCACCCTTACAGTATTATGTTATTCTATATTTGACTGTACATTTACTCCTGAGCTTTACATACTTTCCTTCATACGCTTTTACATTGGTGTTTATCATTTTTTCTATTCCATTTAAAGAACTCCATTAGCATTTCTTCTCAGGCAAGCCTAGTGATGACAAACTCCCTCAATTTTCATGTGTCTGGGAAAGACTTTATCTCCTTTCCATTTTTAAGGATAGCTTTCCAGGGTATAGTAATCATGGCTGGCAGGGTTTTGTTTTTTTCTTTCAGTACTTTGAATGTAACATCCCATTATCTCCTAGCCTGGAAGATTCATGTTGAGAAATTCACTGATCATTTCTGGGGTGGGGGGTGGTGGGGGGGCAGGTTTCCCTTGTATGAGATGAGTTGCCTTTCTCTTGCAGCTTTCAAAATTCTGTCTCTTGAGTTTTGACAATTTAATTATAATAAGTCTTGATGTAGACTTCTTTAACTGTTGTGGGGTTCTATGAGCTTGAGTCTGGATATCTGTTTTGTTCTCCATATTTAGGAAGTTTTGGGTTATTTCTTTAAAAAAAAAAAGGCTTTCTGCCTGCTTCTCTTCAATCCCTATAATGCATATATTCATTCAATGACAGTGTCCCATAAATCCCAGAGGCTTCCTTCATTTTTTTCATTCTTTTCTCTCCTCTTACTGGGTAATTCCAAATGACCTGTTTTCAAGTTCTCTTGATTCTTTCTTCTGCTTCACTGAGTCTGTTGCTGAAGCTCTCTACTGCATTTTCTAGTTTCTTCAGTGTATTCTTCACCTCTAGAATTTGTTTGGTTCTTTCTCACGGCTTCACTTTCTTGATGTTCTCATTTTGTTTTTATGTTGTTTTCCTGATTTTGTTACATTATTTATCTGTGTTCTCTCACCGTTCACTGACCTTCAACAGTTATTTTGAATATTTTGTCAGGGACTTCATGGATCTTCATTTGTTTGGGTTGCTTGCTGGATATTTATTGTGTTCTCTTGGTGGTATCAAGTTTTCCTGATTTTTCATGTTCTTTGTATCCTTGCATTGCTGTCTATGCACTTAAAGAAGCAGTCACCTTCTCCAGTCTTTATGGACTGGCTTCAGAAAGGATAGTCAATTGCTCAGATGGGAGCAATGACTTGTGGGGAATGCAGGAGCATACTGTTGCACTAAGCCTACTGGCACACAGAGTGCCAAAGTGCGGGGAAGTACAACAACTCTTGGTTTATATGTATGCATTGGCGTGGCAGCTCAGGGAGCTAGAGTTGGCAATATCAGTAACAGGGCAGTCCTCAGCTCCAAAAGCTACAGGGTGTAGGCAGTGGCTGCCAGCAGCACCTCTGTGTTAAGAAGTGAGCATCCCTGGTAGGTGGGAGCCAAGGCAGGTCGTGGCAGAGGCCAGGTGGAGTTTGGTTGCAGGCATACATGTGGCAATGGGGGCCATGGCCAGCTGTGGCCATGTGTGTGCATGGCTATTTGGCCCACTGCATATGGACATGGATTGACAACAACTGTGGGACAGGGCAGTAGCTTGCATTCCTCTAGCTGAAGGAGTTGGCTGCAGATACATAAACAGAAGTAAAAACCAGAGCCAAGAGCAAGGACCAGGGCTGGCCATGGGCAAACACACTACAAACTGATAGTCTTAGGCTCCAAATTGTCCTACCAGGTCATTCTACACTTTAGACAAACCTCCCCAAGGAAACCCTCCAATGAAAACGGCAAAAGTAGAGCTTTAATAATCCACGCAAACCCTGCAAAATATCAATTTACTAGATAATTTGAAAATGACGATTTTTTAATAGTTAACCTTCTTGGATTCAATAGATTAAAATGCTTTTATTTCCTAGCAAATCTAATTATTTTTATGGTTATTTTAGCTTCTCTCAGACCAGAAGTAGAGTTGAAAATAAGCCCAGCAACTTCAGACTATCATAATTTCCTAAAAAATAAAAACTCACCCTTTCTAACAATTTCTGAAGCTTCAATGTTTTCTCTTCGCGTAACTTTTCCCTTAGCTGCTGTGCTTTCATTTGTTTTTCTTCATGTTTCTTCTTAGATTCTGCAATTGTTCTATTAATACAAACAAATGGACAAGAGACATGAAATGTTTACATGATAAGGCCAGAAAAAGTGTTCTTTAGACTTCATAGTTCTTAAAGTATACAAAACTAATTTTGGCCCAACATTTCGGGAAAGCTTTGTTACTTTTCAATGGATCTGAAACTGTCCTGAAGTAATGTGTCCAAAAATGCCACGTAGCAATTTTATTTAACAGTCAAGAGTGGCTAGTTTCCTTGCTGTGAACCATTTCAAATTAATTTTCAAATGCCAGACCTTTTACGAGAGGGTGAAGAAAGTTTTTCATGCATGTGAATTCCATGCCCTGGAGGTCTAGCAGGTTCTTCTTCTACAATGTCCCCCCAGGATGTATTTTGGCGCCAAGACTCACGAGCTGTTCAGAAAAAAATACTATTATTGTTTAGCCACATAGGTCTATAAAACATTTGAGAACAAACTTTTGAACACTGTACTACACACCCAATATGCATATACACAATACCTTCATAATCTGCAAGGACATCGTTCCAGTCCATGGACATACCACAGAAAGAAACACTCCCACTGCCCATGCTGGCCTAAAATGTAATAAGGGAAGTTGAAAATCAAATCTTTGAACACAATTACAACTTTAGAAAATGAACTATACATGAAAATGTCCTACCTATTGTTAATATATTCTATTTAACCAACAGTTGAAAACCAGGAAAAAGGTACCTACCAGTACAATCAAAATAATTGCCAAGTTAAAATACTACAGCCTATTCATTTTAAGAGCCTAGCAGCCATTAACAGCAGAGACAAATGAAGTAAATTTAAGAAATATATTGGCCTTATCCTATTACTACATAAATGCTAACATATAAAAAGCAAATATTGAAGAATTGAAGATTGTTTGGCATTAAAATTTAATAAACCAATATGTAAAACATTTAAAGTTATTTTATTCTTTAACAAATTCCCATCATTAACATATATATCCTAAGCACTTAGTAACAGAAGGTAGTGTATCATTTGCTCATTTATTTATTTATTTATTTATTTATTTATTTTTAAGATGGAGTCTCACTCTGTCGCCCAGGCTGGAGTGCAGTGGCACGATCTCAGCTCACTGCAACCTCCGCCTCCCGGGTTCAAACTATTCTCCTGCCTCAGCCTCCCAAGTAGCTGGGACTACAGGCACCTGCCACCACGCCCAGCTAATTTTTGTATTTTTAGTAGAGATGGGGTTTCATCATATTGGCCAGGCTGGTCTCGAACTCCTCACCTTGTGATCCACCTGATTCGGCCTCCCAAAGTGCTAGGATTACAGGCATGAGCCACCACACCCAGCCTACTTTTTGTTAATAGAATACAAAAGTAAAATACCTTAGCTTCATCTTCACTTTCTATAAATTATAATCTCAGTAATGTGGAGTTCTTACTTTATGTCAGACTCAATTTTTTAACTTTTTTTTAATAGAGACGGGGTTTTGCTATGTTGCCCAGGCTGGTCTCGAACTCCTATCCTTGACCAATCCTACCGCCTTGGCCTCCCAAAGTGCTGGGATTACAGGCATGTGGCACCACAACCGGCCCAGACTCAATTTCTTGACTGGTAAAATAACAATAACAACTTCTAACTTGTCAACTGTATCATACATGAAAATAGTAATGGTAAAGTGCTAACAAAAGATTTGCTATTGTTTATTGTGTAAGTCTAAATCACCCTGAGAATAATAGTTATGATTACTGAACATGATTTTTAAATAAATAATTCTAAATAGGACTAGATGGACTCCAAGTCTTTCTGGCCCAGATAATTTTGTTTCTAAATATAAATTTTGAATAGTTATGTTAAAAAGTCTAAAAGCTCACAGAAAAATCACTGTCGTTGTCAGTTTCAATGTTAATATCATTGTTTTCTTCAGCTTCAATTTCTCTAGTTAACTGTTCTTCTTCAGCAATAGCACTAGCAATGGCTTCTTCATTGGCCTTTTCTAGACGATCTGCTAGCTCTTCTTTTTTAGCAAGGACTTCTGCCATGGACTATAAAGTTAAAAACACATAAACAAAAAGAAAAATGATCACTTGACTGGAAAGTAATCATTTTTTATGTTCTAACATGAACTCAACAGTATACATAAAATTGTATTGATCTAGAATCATAAAAGCTGGGGTTCCATACAGGCTCATCCACTTACTAGCTGTGTGCCTTAGAAGCTTCTAAAAACCAAGAACCTACTTGGTATTCCATAAAATGGAACAATAATCAATGACTTGCCTTATTTACCAGACAGCTACGTATGAGAAACTGTGAAATTATATAAATAACAGGTAGTGTGAATTTCATTTGAGTGCCAAAATTCAAAACAATTATAGATTGAATATACTCATTAAATATAAAACCGAAATAGTATACTATAATGGGAACATGGAAAGAATATATGCTGTACTGGTGATGATGCTTTCTGAACATACATACACCTAACTTTAAAAAATGCACTGCAAATAATAAAAATATACATGAGATTCATTAATTAATAAATCCTCATGAGAAGCTAAAGATGTATACTAGAAACCCTAAATCAAACACTGAAATAACAAAACAAACATGTGGTTAATAAGCCATCAAAGGTGATAAAATGAAATTATTAAAAAATTAAAAATGGAAGGAAGAACACAAGTCAGAGAAAACAAATAGTAAAATGGTGGATTTAAACAAACTATGTCAATAATTATATTACATGTAAATGTTAACATGTAATAGGCAGAGATTATCAAACTGGATAAAAAATAAGACTGAGCTATATGTTTCCTAGAAGGAAAAAAACAGATTACAAGTAAAAGGTCTATGCTAATTAAAAGAAAGCTGAAGTATTAACATCAGACACAGATTTCAGTGCAAAAAATATCACCAGGAATAAAGAAGACCAATTTATAATAATAAAAGGGTCAATTCATCAAGACGACAAAACAGTCCTAAATGTTTATAGACCTAACAGAACTTCAAAATATATAAGGCAAAAACCTATAGAAATGCAAAAAAATATAAACCTAATGAGAATGTAAAATGATGCAACCACTTTGGAAAGCAGTCTGACAGTTGCTCAAATGGTTAAACATAGAGTTCATATAACCCAACAATTCCACTCCTAGATATATATCCAGGAGAAATAAAAAATGTGCCCACACAAAAACTGTTATGCAAATACTTAAAGCAGTGCTATTCATAATAGCACAGTGGAAACAACCTAAATGTCCATCAACTGATGAATAAATAAAATGTGGTATATTCATTCATTCAGTGGACTATACTATTTGATCACAAAAAAGAACAAAGTACTGAGACAAACTAAGACATGAATGAACCTCTAAAATATGCTAAGAAGTCAGTCACAAATGACCACATATTGCATTTCATTTCTATGAAATGTCTAAAATAGGCAAAATTATATAGAGAGAAAGCAGTGCAGTGGCAGGTGTGGGAGGAGTGAAAGGGAGTAACTGCTAATGGGCACTGGGTTTTCTTTTTAGAGTGATGAAAGAGTGCTAAAGCTGATTATGGAGAATATACTAAAAAACAACAGTAAACTTCAAACAGATGGATTGTATTATACGTAAATTATGATCTCAATACAGTCGTTAGAAAAGAAATAGATCCACAGTTACAGTCAGTGATTTCAGTACCCCTCTTTCAACTGACAGAAAAAGTAACCAAAAAACTAGCAAGGATATAGAAGACCTGAACAATACTATCAACAAAATTGATCTAGGTATTTTCTCAAAAAAAAAAAAAAATATATATATACATGTTCACATAAAGTTGTACACAAAAACGTTCGTGGCATCTTTATTCATTAAAGAAAGATGTAATTCAAATGTCTTTGGGCAAGTGAATGAACAAACATTGTGTTACATGGATAAATCTCAAAATAAATATGTTGAGTGAAAGAAGTCAAGCAAAGCTTACACAATTCAATTTATATAAAACTATCATCAGAGTGAACAGGCAACCTACAGAATGGAGAAAATTTTTGCAATCTACCCATCTGACAAAGGGTTAATATCCAGAATCTATAAAGAACTTAAACAAATTTACAAGAAAAAAACAAACAACCTGGCCAGGCGTGGTGGCTCACACCTGTATCCCAGCACTTTGGGAGGCCGAGGCGGGTGGATCACGAGGTCAGGATATCGAGACCAGCCTGGCTAACATGGTGAAACCCCGTTTCTACTAAAAAATACAAAAAATTAGCCAGGCGTGGTGGCAAGCGCCTGTAGTCCCAGCTACTCGGGAGGCTGAGGCAGGAGAATGGCGTGAACCTGGGAGGTGGAGCTTGCAGTGAGCCAAGACTGCACTACTGCACTCTGGCCTGGGGGACACAGTGAGACTCTGTCTCAAAAAAAAAAAAAAAAAAAAAGAGAGTGAAAGAAAAAAACAACCCCATCAAAAAGTGGGCAAAGGATATGAACAGACATTTCTCAAAAGAAGACATTTGTGCAGCCAACAGACACATGAAAAAATTTTCATCATCCTGCTCATCAGAGAAATGCAAATCAAAACCACATAAGATACCATCTCACACCAGTTAGAACGGCGATCATTAAAAAGTCAGGAAACAACAGATGCTGGAGAGGATGTGGAGAAATAGGAATGCTTTTACACTGTTGGTGGGAGTGTAAATTAGTTCAACTATTGTGGAAGACTTGGTGGGAGTGTAAATTAGTTCAACTATTGTGGAAGACAGTGTGGTGATTCCTTAAGGATCTAGAACTAGAAATACCATTTGACCCAGCGATCCCATTACTGGGCATATACCCAAAGGATTATAAATCATTCTACGATAAAGACACACGCACACGTATGTTTATTGCAGCACTATTCACAATAGTAAAGACTTGGAACCAACCCAAATGTCCATCAATGATAGACTGGATTAAGAAAATGTGGCACATATATACCAGGGAATACTATGCAGCCATAAAAAAGGATGAGTTCATGTCCTTTGCAGGGACATGGATGAAGCTGGAAACCATCATTCTAAGCAAACTATCACAAGGACAGAAAACCAAACACCACATGTTCTGACTCATAGGTGGGAGTTGAACAATGAGAACACATGGACACAGGGCGGGGAACATCACATACCTGGGCTGGTCAGGGGGTGGGGGGCTGGGGGAGGGATAGCATTAGGAAAAATACCTAAAGTAAATGACGAGTTGATGGGTGCAGCAAACCAACATGGCACATGTATACCTATGTAACAAACCTGTACATTGTGCACATGTACCCTAGAATTTAAAGTATAATTTTAAAAAAAAAAGAAAGAAAAGAAAAAACAGTTGTCTCATCACTACAGGAATTCTCTGTAACTCTCCACTTGGGAACTAAACAATAAGGTGCTTATCACCTTATCACCCTTGGTTTGTCAAAACAAAACAAAAAGTATTCTTAACACCTCTAAGAATACACTAATATCCACATTAAAGCAGAATTTATTTTCTTTCAAGTATGCAAATTTGACCCTCAAAATAACCAAAAGGGTTTATGACTCTGCAAGTTTATATATGTGATGAAAATAAAAATAATGAGGTCAGAATTTTTAATTATTTCATGCTTATTTAAGGATGAGAGTTTTCCTCTTTTAAAATTTGATTCTCACAGAATCAAACTGAAAAATATACAATTTGATATACAACTGCTAAAACAAAATAAATGACCAAATTCCACCCCATACAATAAACTCACTACTTATTTGAGCATAATTATGTTCAACATTTAGAAATGTTCATTACTAAAAGACACAAGATGAAAATCAATTGTTCTACCTTATTAAAAGAATCTAAACATTTGTTTTTTGTATTACTATAACCTTTTCCTTTTTACCCTTAAACAACCAATATCAAGTTTCATCTCTACTGTTATTATCCCTATAAAATGTATAATTTTACCTAATACCATGTGTTGTTAAGATCTGTCAGCATTAGGCATTAAATTTTAGAAGAAATTATAGTCCACAGCAGCCTTTAAAAAGTAAAAATTAAGTAATTTTTCACAGCTTTTTATATGTGCCTATTTCTTTGGAAAGCTAGTTTTTAAACAAAGTTAGCATGATTTATTCTGGATTATCCCCAGGTCAAGTATCCTAATACTAAAATGAGCAAAAGGAAGAGATGGGTAGAAATATGTTATCATCCAAAACCATAAATCTATAAATAATCACAAATCAATGCATTTTTAGAGATTCTGGAATAGGGATGGTAAATAAATTTCATCTTAAAGACCAACTCCAAGCAAATGATAGTGGCTGTCTAAAGTACTCTGTTAAGAAAGTTTTTAAAACTAAGTCTAGCAGACACCATTTCCCATCTATCAGAATGCTAGATGTAGCATAGAAGACTTTATTGTTACTAGTTTAGATTCTTAATTCTGGGCTAAGAGCATTTGATCAAATCACATACAAACCAAATGATTTTGAACAAGTCACTTAACTCTCACAATCTCACTTTCTTCCTCTAAAAAATAAGAATCTTAACTATATCAAAAGTTTACCAAAATAATAAAATGTTAAAATGAAATAAATATATAAAAATGCTTTAAAAAGTATAAATCATACAAGTTATTATTATTGGGGTTTATGCTTCTTAAATATACTCAGAATTCTGATAAGTTGTTCTTACCAAGTTAGCAGCACTCACATTTGAAATATCTGAAGGGTCCATTTCATTTTCTATCCTTGCTTTCTCTGCTGGAAATTTTTCTTCATTTACTTGTAAAGGAGGTGTACCAGCTTGCAGCATAACTGAAACACACTCTGTATCAATGTGGACAGCAGATATTTCAGAAGTTCGAACATAATTGTCTCGAATACTGCCAGAATTCTTCACATCATCCAATGTACTCACTGTGAACTAACAAAACGTAGAGAATGAATCAGAGATAATTAAAAAATACCAACTATTCCACTTTAGAAGAAGAGATGATTTTGCTTAACCTATTAACTATGAAGAAGAAGAGGTACTTGACTGGATGACAGAAAATTTACTCATCTTTTTTGTATGTTTCAAGTGTAACAAAAGGACAGGGACCATTAAGCACAAATTTTACTTGCATGCCTACTATGTACTGGGCACTATCCAAAGTTTTCTAAGAAATTAAGCAATTTATATTGTAATTTTCTTGTAGTAGGCCAATTTGTGATGAGTATTTTGTATCCTTCGCAAATGAAATCTAGTCACAAGTATGAGGCATTCATTCACTGTATTATACTCATACAACCAAAAGTATTTACATGGTCTTTTGCAAAGACTGTCTAATATCAAATGAGGACATTCAGTACTTTTGAAAAAATCCTGAAACCAATTTTTACAACAATATATTTGGAGGGCATTTTACACAAAAATATAAAACTTATTCTCTTCAGATAATATTAACATGATCTCAAAGTATCTTTGTTAAAAATTCATATGGTACATGAACCCAATTCTCCGATCTGAAAGAGAAAAGCATGACCTAAGGGTGAAGATTGAAAGCATGTAGTGTCTCATTATGACATTCATACACTTTAGATTTAGATATCTTCCCTATTGTCCTTTAGGAATATTTAATAACAAACCAACAGAAATGTAAATACAATATAAAAAGCAAACAGTGGCTTAGGCTAAATACATACCCATTTTTTAAAAACCTTCCAATTTAGCAGAGTCAAGCCTTTATTTTTACTTTGGACAGAGAAGAGAAACAATAGTACTGTGTTTTCCAATGATACTCTAAGTCAAAGAACTAAAATCTAAAATTATGAATTTAAAACTCCCATCACTTCTTAAATAAACATTAGATAAATGCTGCAGTGGCCATAAACCTCCCCCCAGTTTGATTAATTATTTATACAAATATCAAACTTGGCTAAGTCTCATAAACTACTTTAAAAATTCTACTATTGGTCAGAACTTAAAGTGTCCCAAAGTGTTGATTTTAGCATAAGCCTTATTTAAAGGATATAACATTGTTTATACTGCTATCAACATTATTTATATGTCAGTCGCCATGGTTTATAATCTTCTTGGCAATATTTATATTAGCATTACTTATGTGTACACTACTCAATCCCACTTATTAAAAAACTCAGTATCATTTTTATAACAAAATCAAAGCTAAAATATGAAGTAAAGACATTAATATGCTAATTCCATCTTTAGAATGACAGTGAAGAAAACAAATATCATTAACTTGGCTGCCATCAGCAGTGAACTTTTATACTGAAAAATTTTAGCAATAGTTTACTTGTCAAAAAGTTCTATGTACAGATTATTCCTGAAATCTCAATAGCATATAGGTTTATTCACTACACACATTGCATAATTTTTATACTAAGTTATATTTTTAGCTGAACACAGCAAAAATGCTAGCTGTTGGTTAAGTATTATAAAAAGTAGTTTATTCACTAAGTATCTCTAATGCAGCTTACAACACTAAAGAGTTTCTTAAAGTTACATCCAACAAATGTATACCAATTACTTCCTATGCGTTTAGGACTCTTCCATATTGTTAGAAATTAAAAAGCAACATAAAATACTGCCCAAAAGGAATCTGCAATCTCACACAGGCATAAAACCAATACACATTAAAGAGTTTATAGATCGGAAACAATGTTAAGAGTCATTCTCATCAGTAAAGGAAGATAAGGAATTTGAGGAGCATTTCCAGCTGAAAAAATCCTACAGGTAAAAAGAGAAAGAATTTTAAAAAGCAGATATTATTCTGGACCAAAGATATTACAACCATTTTACAACTGATCTATTTAGTTCCTGTAGTATGATATTTAAAAAAAAGCTCCTATTTTTCATTAGTCATTTTACATAAAATTACACCAACGGAACTGAACCTTTATATAAACAAATACCTTAAAGTATAAACTAGTTCATCAAATAAGTAAAATAAACATCAACTCAACTCACAGAACAAATACTGGGAATATTAACTTTAAGGAATTATGTTAAATATTATTAGCAAATTACACTCAATTTTCAGTAAGTAGAATAAGTTCAAATTTTAACACTGCAAATGAGGCACAAAGACATCACCTTAACCAAGTACTCAAAGTTAATAACAAACCTAACCAAACTGATACCATATGCCTCTAGATGTGACACTAAGGACAATCACTTTATTCCTACCAAAAATGCATAAGCTAAATTGAATTATGGACAAAGGACAATGTACAAAAAAAAAACCCTACAATGTATTCTTCAAAACTATTAATGTCATGAAAGACAAAGACAGGTGGAGGAACTATATCCAATGAAAGATATTAAAGAAACATACCAAATGAACTGAGTAATTCCACACTGGATCCTGGAGGAAATTCTATTTAAAAAAATTATTGGGAAAACTAAAACACTTTAAATATAGACTATAAATTAAATAATACATAGATATCAAATTCTCCAAATTTTATAATTGTAATGTGGTTATATAAATAAATGTCTTTGTTCTTTGGAGATCCATGCTCTAGGATTTAAAGGTGAATGCTTATGATGTTTGCACATTACTCTCAAATGTTAAGCATTTAACATGTATGTGTAATATGTAACAAGAGAAAAGAAAAAATGTGGCAAATGTTAATTTGTGAATGTAGGTGAACAGTATGGGAGGAGTTCGTTGTTCTATTCTTGCCACTTTTCTGTAGGTCTATAGACCTGAAAATTTTCACAGTAAGTTAAAAAATGAAGTACAAAACTAAGACATTCCAGTACACATGTACACATACACCTTTGAAAAAGACAGTAAAAGGATTTTCAGAATGTACTACCTGGGTTTTTTCGGCAAGAGGATGGTCACAAGAGTGTAATGAGTCTTTGGGATGAGATTCTATAGTATTAGAAGTTCCATCTCCAACAAATTGACCTTTCTGTATGCTTTCATCAGGTAAAAGACATACATTTTCTTTATCACTGTCATCCTTTGATCTTGTGGCTTCTGTTGCCAATGAAACTTTTGGCATCACTGCTGTTGATCGAGAACGAATAGGCCTTCCTCTCTGAACGGTCTCCCATCCTTCAGCATCTTTCCGTTCTATGCAATTAAAGTAAAAAACAAATCAAGATTTATTTAGATGATAAAAATATTTGGAAACTCATAGAATAAAAACATTTTCCAATTTAATTCCCAACAAATATAACTAATATACAAACATGAGAGTATTATACAAAATGTATATTTGTATATACATATTTAAATAAATGTATGTATAATTATTCCTACTTTACAAATGACAAAACTGAAATTCAGATTAAGGCTGACCTAAGGCCAGTGAGTAATAATAAATATTTAAATAGTGAATACTATGTGTGAGTACTGTTTTAAGTGCTTTATATATTATATCTCTTTTAATCTTCACAATAATCCTATAAGATCAGTATTATCATACCCATTTAAGCAATGAGGAAACTGAGACAAAGAGAAATTAAGTAATTTATCCCAGATCACGCACAGAGTAAAGGTAATGCCAAAATTCTAGTCTAGGTACATTGGTTCTGGTGTCCATCCCAACGGCCATATAAAAACTGTCTCTTCATCTTTCAGAATCCAAACATCTACCTCCAAAGTCTGAGTTCTTTCCTCCATCCCAGCATCAACAGCATACCTTGATTTAAATAAACTATTTTTAGGATAAAATTATAGGATATTAATTGATAGCACCCAGAGGATCTAGTCTAATATTTCACCACATATACATGGAAACTAAGGGCCTACGTTCAAAGCCACACCAAAATAGCCTAAAAAAAATCACAAAAAATAGCCTAAAATAAATAAGAATCTTTCTCTAAAATATGACAATGTTGAGGTATTTATATGTATAGTGGTGCTTATAGCCCCAATTGTAAATTTTTATTGGCTAATTACAGTCTTTCAAAGCTAATATAAAGAATTCCAGTTCTGGCCAAAATGAAGTAACCATTCCTTCATTTCGGGCCCTCCATCTTACAATTAAAAACCCTAGATAAAACACTGGAAGACTCTGAGAGATAGACTACAGTAGACTGCCTTGGGATTTAGGGGACTTGAAAAGTAGCAAACTGGTGAGTTCCATGGGTTTCCTTACTGCCTCCTATGTATTCCAGACAGGATGCTTCAACAGTCTCCAAAAACATCAATAGGCAAAGACAAAATAGGCATCAAGAAATGCCTCTTTTGCCAAGACAAAGCACAGAAAAAAGGGTGGCCTAACAAAACAGAAAATCTCTTTAGCAATATCCACTCTACTGCAGCCAAACACCAATGGAACCCCTGTTCCCCATGGTTTCAGTAGGGGTAAACTGGGAGCTTAACTTCCATCTCCCACCTAACAGAAATAGATGATACTCCAATTCCCCTATCCAAGTAGCATCAGTAGGGCCCAATAGTGAACAAAGTCTCCTCTCACTAGCTCTCACCCTCACCCAGTATCAGCAAGGCCCTATAGAAAGCTGAGCTTCTGCTATCACCAGCATCAATGAGGCAGAAAAAGTAGTGGGAGGCAGAAAAAGTAGTGGGGGGCAGATTTGTTTGACACTGGGATTCCCCCTTTCCTTTTCCTTATGTCAGCAGAACCCAGCAGGGAGCCAGGATCCCACCCCAACCTACAGTAACAAGGTGATATGAGTCACTCCTGCTTCCACTTCTCCCCTCCTTAGTGTGAGGGTGGCCAAGCAGGGAGCTGAGCTTATAAAACCGGTAGGAGGAAAGGAAGTGATGCAAGTTGGTTTGATACTTTTGCTGCAAAGGTATCACAAGACCAAGAACAATCTCAGAACCTGTGAGACAATATTTGAGTTACTAGAGTTCAAGAAGGAGAGTATAGGAAAAAGAAATACTTTTCAATACTGAAAAAGTATTGAAAAAATAATGGCTGAAAAATTCCTAAATTTAGTGAAACAGAGAAAACTATGAATTCAAGAAAGTAAGTGAATCCCAAATATGATAAACCCAAAAAAGTCCATAGTAAGACACATCATAATTAAAGCTCTCAAAACTAAAGACAAAGAAAAATCATAATTAAACCTCTGAAAACTAAATACACACAAAAAAATATTGAAAGCAGTCAGAAGACATATTACCTATAGAGAAACACCAATTCAAATTACAGCAGATTCCTCATCTGAAACAATGGAAGCCAAGAGGAAGTGGCACATTTATCAAGGGACTGAAAGAACTGCCCATTGTGAATTTTATTAATATATGTGGTGAACATATCCTTCAGAATGAAAGGAAAATAAAGGCATTCACAGATAAAAGAAAAACTAAGAGAATAAATCACTAGCAAAACTACCTTTAATAAATGGCTAAAGAAAGTTCCCAAAAGAGAAATGAAATTTAACGAAAGAAGGTTTGAGGCCAGGGGTGGTGGCACATGCCTGTAATCCCAGCACTTTAGGAGGCCAAGGGGGGTGGATCACCTGAGGTCAGAAGTTAATGACCAGCCTAACATGGTGAAACCCCATCTCTACTAAATACAAAAAAATTAGCAGACATGGTGGCACATGCCTGTAATCCGAGCTACTTGGGAGACTGAGACAGAAGAATCGCTTGGACCTGGGATGTGGAGGTTGCAGTGAGCTGAGATCGCACCATGGCATTCCAGCCTGGGCAACAAGAGCAAAACTCCATCTCAAAAAAGTAAATAAATAAATAAATATTCAAAGAAGGTTTGAAATTTCAAAAAGGAAAGAACATTGCAATGGTTAAAAATGGAGGTAAATACAAGTTGCTCCTCAACTTACAATGTGGTCACA
This sequence comes from Homo sapiens, assembly GCF_000001405.40. Lineage (NCBI taxonomy): Eukaryota > Metazoa > Chordata > Mammalia > Primates > Hominidae > Homo > Homo sapiens. The sequence continues at coordinate 76,777,817 of NC_000015.10, forward strand.
ACCTGATAAACTCATACACAGTAAGTTTGAAATATCAAATCAAAAATGGATTTAATACACTTACCCTACCAAACATAACTAGCCTAGACTACCTTAAATATGCTGAGAACACTAAGAGCCTACAGTTGGGCAAAATCATCTAATACAAAGCCTATTTTATAATAGAGTGTTAAATAACTCATGTAATTTAATGAATACTATACTGATAGTGAAAAACACTTTCAGCTGTTGGGTAAGATTCAGCATGGATACTCAAAATATAGTTTCTATTGAATGCATATTGCTATCACAGCATCATAAAGTTGAAAAGTCATAAGTTGGGACTCATATGTATAATTATCCTTCTCATGAATTTTCTGAATCATCTTTCATAGTAATGCAAAATTGTATCACCAACTGAAGTAGTGCTCGATGTATACAGATAAAATATTTGAGATAATTATATTTTAAAAATGGAGAGAGTTAAGGAAACCAATTAAAAGGTAAGGTTTCTAAATTTCACTCACAGTGGTGTATGCCAATATCAGTAAACTGTGATAAATTACGTATGTATAATGTTATACCTAAAGTAACCACTAAGGAACCTATACAAATCAATATTGTTTAAAATACTATGAGTAAATCAAAAGAGAATCAAAAAAACTTTCAAGTACCCCATAGACAGGCAAGAAATGCAAAGCAGTTCAGAGACAGAAAACATAAATAATAAAATGAACAGATTTATCAATAATTACCTTAAATGTAAATGTTCTAAATATCCAAATTAAATCACACAGGCTGGGACTCCATAAACTCTTTAATTATTTAAACACATAAGTGTGAGTGTATGTGTGTGTGTGTGTGTGTGTGTATGTATATACATATATACTTATATACCTATAGTTTAAGTATGTTTTTAAGTATTAGTTTAAGTACATTTTTAAGTATACACATATGTATGTGTGGTCAAGCAGGGAGCTCAGCTTACAAAACCAGTACATAAGTATATACTTAGATATGCATATACTTAAAAATACACTTAAACTATATGTTATCTAAAAGCAACTCATCTAAATACAAAACACAGGTAGGCTGAAAGTAAAAGAACAGAAAAGATATGCCATGCAAACATTAATAAATCAGGAGAGGGTAAGTAATAGAGAATCCTGAACAAAGAAAATTACTAAGGACAAAAAATATATTGGATAATGATAAAAAGTATCATTCCATAATGAACACAAAACATTATAGGATATAGGATATAGGATACATTCCTAAATGTACAAATACCAAACAAATGAAACTGAAGATACATTGTGGAAAAACAGCAACTGACAGAACTATTGACAGAAAATCAGCAAATGTATTAATATAAAAGAAATGAATAAGATCAACCAACAGAAAATGACATATATACAAAAATCTATCCAACAACAGTGAAAAAAAATTTCAAATGCTCACAGAACATTAACCATGATAAACCATATCTGAGGCATAAAATAAACTTCTACAAGTATAAAATAACTGACATCACACAAAGTATGTTCACAATAGGAATTAAACAGGAACATTACTACAGATCTTCCACCCATTAAAAGTATAAGAAAGGAATACTACAAACAACTTTATGCCAATAAATTCAATGACATGGAATAAATGGATCAATCCCACCAAAACCACTAGCTACTAAAATTCAACAAAGATAAAATAGACAATCTGGATAGCCCCGTAACTGTTAAAGAAACTCAATATACAATTTAAAAGAAAGAAGTTTCTCTCAACCCAGATGGTTTCTCTGGCAAATTCAACTAAAAACTTTTTAAAAGATTCACACTAGTTCTATGCAAGCTATTCCATAAAATAGAAGATAAGGAAATACATTTCAAGTTATGCAAAGCTAATATTGTTACTCTGTTAAAAAAAAAAAATTACACAGTACAAAAAAATTAAATGACTTACCAAAATCTCTCATGAACTGAGACGCAAACATTTTCAACAAAATAATAGTATATGAAATATACCAATATATAAACAATTATAAGCTATGACCAAGTGAAATTTATTTCAGATATGCCATCCCAGTTCACCATTCAAAAACCAATCAACGGGGGATCTTCGACCAACATGGGTGAATAGGAACAGCTCCAGTCTGCAGCTCCCAGCGTGATCGACGCAGAAGAAAGGATTTCTGCATTTCCAACTGAGGTACCTGGTTCATCTCATTGTGACTGGTTGGACAGGAGGCGCCCACAAAAGGCGAGCCAAAGCAGGGCTGGGTGCCGCCTCACCCAGGAAATACAAGGGATCCAGGGATTTCCCTTTCCTAGCCAAGGCAAGCCGTGACAGACTGTACCTGGAAAAACAGGAAACTCCCAACCAAATACTGCGCTTTTCCCATGGTCTTAGCAACTGGAAGACCAGGAGATTCTCTCCCGCGCCTGGCTCAGCAGGTCTCACGCCCATGGAGCCTCACTCACTGCTAGCGCAGCAGTCTGAGATCCACCTGTGAGGCTACAGTCGGGCAGGGGGAGGGGCATCCGCCATTGCTGAGGCTTGAGGAGGTAAACAAAGTGGCCGGGAAGCTCGAACCAGGTGGAGACCACAGCAGCTCAGCAAGGCCTACTGCCTCTATAGACTCCACCTCTGTGGCCAGAGCATAGCTGAACAAAAGGCAGCAGAAACTTCTGCAGACTTAGACGTCCAGGTTTGACAGCTCTAAAGAGAGTAGTGGTTCTCCCAGCATGGCATTTGAGCTCAGAGAACAGACAGACTGCCTCCTCAAGTGGGTCCCTAACGCCCAAGTAGCCTAACTGGAAGATACCTCCCTGTAGGGGCCAACAGACACCTCATGCAGGTGAGTGCCCTTCTGGGACAAAGCTTCCAGAGGAAGGATCAGGCAGCAATACTTGCTGTTCTGCAACCTCCACTGGTGATACCCAGGCAAACAGGTTCTGGAGGGGACTTCCAGCAAACTCCAACAGACCTGCAGCTGAGGGACTTGACTGTCAGAAGGAAAACTAACAAACACAAAGGAATAGCATCAACATCAACAAAAAGGACATCTACACCAAAACCCCATCTGTAGGTCACCAACATCAAGGATCAAAGGTAGATAAAACCACAAAGATGGGGAGAAACCAGAGCAGAAAAGCTGAAAATTCTAAAAACCAGAGCGCCTCTTCTCCTCCAAAGGATCACAGCTCCCCGCCAGCAATGGAACAAAGCTGGATGGAGGATGACTTTGACGAGTTGACAGAAGTAGGCTTCAGAAGGCCAGTAATAACAAACTTCTCCAAACTAAAGGAGCATGTTCTAACCCAACATAAGGAAGCTAAAAAACATTGAAAAAAGGTTCCACGAATGCCTAACTAGAATGAACAGTGGAGAGAAGACTTTAAATGACCTGATAGAACTGAAAACCGTGGCAAGAGAACTTCGTGATGCATGCACAAGCTTCAATAGCGGATTCGATCAAGTGGAAGAAAGGATATCAGTGATTGAAGATCGAATTAATAAAACGAAAGGAGAAGACAAGATTAGAGAAAAAAGAGTAAAAAGAAACGAACAAAGCCTCCAAGAAATATGGGACTATGTGAAAAGACCAAATTTACGTATGACTGGTGTACGTGAAAGAGATGGGGAGAATGGAACCAAGTTGGAAAACACTCTTCAGGATATTATCCAGGAGAACTTCCCCAACCTAGCAAGACAGGCCAACATTCAACTTCAGGAACTACAGAGAATACCATGAACATACTCCTTGAGAAGAGAAACCCCAAGACACATAATTGTCAGATTCATCAAGGTTGAAATGAAGGAAAAAGTGTTAAGGGCAGCCAGAGAGAAAGGTAGGGTTACCCACAAAGGGAAGCCCATCAGACTAACAGTGGATCTCTCGACAGAAACCCTACAATCCAGAAGACAGTGGGGGCCAATATTCAACATTATTAAACAAAAAATTTTCAACCCAGAATTTCATATCCAGCCAAACTAAGCTTCATAAGTGAAGGAGAAATAAAATACTTCACAGACAAGCAAATGCTGAGAGATTTTCTCACCACCAGGCCTGCCCTAAAAGAGCTCCTGAAGGAAGAACTAAACATGGAAAAGAACAACCAGTACCAGCCACTGCAAAAACATACCAAATGGTAAAGACCATGGATACTAGGAAGAAACTGCATCAATTCACGGGCAAAATAACCAGTTAACATCATAATGACAGGATCAAATTCACACATAATAATATTAACCTTAAATATAAATGTGCTAAATGCCCCAATTAAAAGACACAGACTGGCAAATTGGACAGAGTCAAGACCCATCAGTGTGCTGTATGCAGGAGACCCATCTCATGTGCAGAGACACACACAGGCTCAAAATAAAGGGATGGAGGAAAATCTACCAAGCAAATGGAAAGCAAAAAAAAACAGGGGTTGCAATCCTAGTCTCTGATAAAACAGACTTTAAACCAACAAAGATCAAAAGAGACAAAGAAGGCCATTACATACTAGTAAAGGGATCAATTCAACAAGAAGAGCTAACTATCCTAAATATATATGCACCCAATACACTCAGATTCATAAAGCAAGTCTTTAGAGACCTACAAAGAGACTTAGACTCCCACACAATAATAATGGGAGACTTTAATACCCCACTATCCACATTAGACAGATCAATGAGACAGAAGGTTAGCAAAGATATCCATGACTTGAACTCAGCTCTGCACCAAGCCGACCTAATAGACATCTACAGAACTCTCCAACCCAAATCAACAGAATATACATTCTTCTCAGCACCACATAGCACTTATTCTAAAACTGACCACATAATTGGAAGTAAAGCACTCCTCAGCAAATGTAAAAGGATAAAAATCACAACAAACTGTCTCTCAGACCACAGTTCAATCAAACTAGAACTCAGGATTAAGAAACTCACTCAAAACCTCACAACTACATGGAAACAGAACAACCTGCTCCTGAATGACTACTGGGTAAATAACGAAATAAAGGCAGAAATAAAGATGTTCTTTGAAACCAAGCAGAACAAAGACACGACGTACCAGAATCCCTGGGACACATTTAAAGCAGTGTGTAAAGGGAAAGTTATAGCACTAAATGCCCACAAGAGAAAGCAGGAAAGATCTAAAATTGACACCCTAACATCTCAATTAAAAGAACTAGAGAAGCAAGAGCAAACACATTCAAAAGCTAGCAGAAGTCAAGAAATAACTAAGATCAGAGCAGAACTGAAGGGGACAGAGACACAAAAAATCCTTCAAAAAATACATGAATCCAAGAGGTGTTTTTTTTGAAAAGATCAACCAAATTGATAGACCACTAGCAAGACTAACAAAGAAGAAAAGAGAGAAGAATCAAATAGACACAATAAAAAATGATAAAGGGGATATCACCACAGATCCCAAAGAAATACAAACTACCATCAGAGAATACTACAAACACCTCTACACAAATAAACTAGAAAATCTAGAAGAAATGGATAAATTCCTGGACACATACACCCTCCCAAGACTAAACTGGGAAGAAATCGAATCTCTGAATAGACCAACAGCAGGTTCTGAAATTGAGGCAATAATTAATAGCCTACCAACCAACAAAAACCCAAGACCAGACAGATTCACAGCCAACTTCTACCAGAGGTACAAATAGGAGATGGTATCATTCCTTTTGAAACTATTCCAATCAATAGAAAAAAAGGGAATCCTCCCTAACTCATTTTATGAGGCCAGCATCATCCAGATATGAAAGCCTGACAGAGACACAAAAACAAAAAAAGAGAATTTTAGACCAATCTCCCTGATGGACATTGATGCGAAAATCCTCAATAAAATACTGGCAAACCGAATCCAGCAGCACATCAAAAAGCTTATCCACCACCATCAAGTTGGCTTCATCCCTGGGATGCAAGGCTGGTTCAACATACACAAATCAATAAATGTAATCCATTATATAAACAGAAAAAAAGACAAAAACCGCAATTATCTCAATAGATACAGAAAAGGCCTTTGACAAAATTCAACAGCACTTCATGCTAAAAACTCTCAATAAACTAGGTATTGATGGGATGTATCTCAAAATAATAAGAGCTATTTATGACAAACACACAGGCAATATCTCACTGAATGGGCAAAAACTGGAAGCATTCCCTTTGAAAACGGGCACAAGACAAGGATGCTCTTTCTCACCACTCCTCTTCAACACAGTGTTGGAAGTTCTGGCCAGGGCAATCAGGCAAGAGAAAGAAATAAAGGGTATTCAATTAGGAAAAGAGGAAGTCAAATTGTCCCTGTTTGCAGATGACATGATTGTATATTTAAAAAACCCATCGTCTCTGCCCAAAATCTCCTTAACCTGATAAGCAACTTCAGCAAAGCCTCAGGATATAAAATCAAGGTGCGAAAACCACAGGCATTCCCTATACACCAATAACAGACAAACAGAGAGCCAAATCATGAGTGAACTCCCATTCACAATTGCTTCAAAGAGAATAAAATACCTAGGAAACCAACTTACAAGGGACGTGAAGGATCTCTTCAAGGAGAACCACAAACCACTATTCAACAAAATAAAAGAGGACACAAACAAATGGAAGAATATTCCATGCTCATGGACAGGAAGAATCAATATTGTGAAAATGGCCATACTGCCCAAGGTAATTTACAGACTCAATGCCATCCCCATCAAGCTACCAATGACTTTCTTTACAGAATTGGAAAAAACTACTTTAAAGTTCATATGGAACCAAGAAAGAGCCCGCATTGTCAAGACAATCCTACGCAAAAAGAACAAAGCTGAAGGCAACACACTACCTGACTTCAAACTATACTACAAGGCTACAGTAACCAAAACAGCATGGTACCAGTACCAAAACAGATATATAGACCAATGGAACAGAACAGAGGCCTCAGAAATAACACCACACATCTACAACCATCTGACCTTTGACAAACCTGACAAAAACAAGAAAAAGGATTCCCTATTTCATAAACGGTGCTGGGAAAACTGGCTCGCCATGTGTAGAAAGCTGAAACTGGATCTCTTCCTTACACCTTATACAAAAATTAATTCAAGATGGATTAAAGACTTAAATGTTAGACCTAAAACCATAAAAACTCTAGAAGAAAACCTAGGCAATACCATTCAGGACATAAGCATGGGCAAAGACTTCATGACTAAAACACCAAAAGCAATGGTAACAAAAGCCAAAATTGACAAATGGGATCTACTTAAACTAAAGAGCTTCTGCAGAGCAGAGCAAACTACCGTCAGAGTGAACAGGCATCCTACAGAATGGGAGAGAATTTTTGCAATCTACTCATCTGACAAAGGGCTAATATCTAGAATCTACAAAGAACTTAAACAAATTTACAAGAAAAAAACAACCCCATCAAAAAGTGGGCAAAGGATATGAACACAGACACTTCTCAAAAGAAAACATTTATTCAGCCAACAGGCACATGAAGAAATGCTCATCATCACTGATCATCAGAGAAATGCAAATCAAAACCACATAAGATACCGTCTCACACCAGTTAGAATGGCAATCATTAAAAAGTCAGGAAACAACAGATGCTGGCAAGGACATGGAAAAACAGGAATGCTTTTACACTGTTGGTGGGAGTGTAAATTAGTTCAACCACTGTGGAAGACAGTGTGGCGATTCCTCAAGAATCTAGAACTAGAAATACCACTTGCCCAGCAATCCCATTACTGGGTATATACCCAAAGGATTAGAAATCATGCTATTATAAAGACATATGCACACGTATGTTTATTGTGGCACTATTCACAATAGAAAAGACTTGGAATCAATCTAAATGTCAATCAATGATAGACTGGATTAAGAAAATGTGGCACATACACACCACGGAATACTATGCAGCCATAAAAAAGGATGAGTTCATGTCCTTTGTAAGGACATGGATGAAGCTGGAAACCATCATTCTCAGCAAACTATCACAAGGACAGAAACCAAACACTGCATGTTCTCACTCATAGGTGGGAACTGAACAACGCGAACACCTGGACACAGGGTGGGGAACATCACACACTGGGGCCTGTCGTGGGGTGAGGGACTGTGGGAGGGATAGCATTAGGAAAAATACCTAATGCAAATGACAAGTTGATGGGTGCAGTACACCAACATGGCACATGTATACCTGTGTAACAAACCTGCATGTTGTGCACATGTACCCTAGAACTAAAAGTATAATAATATTTAAAAAAAATCAATGGGCTGAGTACGGTGGCTCATGCCTGTAATCCCAGCACTTTGGGAGACCTAGGTGGGCGGATCACAAGGTGAGGAGTTTGAGACTAGCCTGGCCAACATGGTGAAACCACGTGTCTACTAAAGACACAAAAATTAGCTGGGCGTGGTGGTGCGTGCCTGTTATCCCAGCTACTCGGGAGGCTGAGGCAGGAGAATCACTTGAACCCAAGAGGCAGAGGTTGCAGTGAGCTGAGATCATACCATTGCACTCCAGCCTGGGTGACAGGGCAAGACTCTGTCTCAAAAAAAAAAAAAAAAAAATCAATCAATGTAATTCACCACTGTCAATAGGCTAAACAACAAAAATCATCAGATCATATCAACTGATACAGGAAAAGCATTTCACAAAATCCAACATCCACTCATAATAAAAATTTGCATTAAATCATAATAGATGGTAACTTCCTCAACTTGATAAAGAACATCCATAAAAATACCTACAGCTAACATAATACTTAGTGGTGCAAAACTGCTTTCCTCCCAGATCTGGAACAAGGGAAAGGTGTCTCCTATCACCATGCTTATTCAATAGCTTGTTCAATATAGTACTGAACATTCTAGACAGTGCCACAAAAAACAAAACAAAACAAAATCATAGGAAAAAAGACATACAGACAGGAAAGGAGGAAATAAAACTGTCCCTATTTTTAGATGACATAATAGAAAATCCCAGAGAATACACATAAAAACTCCAAGAATTATATGGGTTCAGTAAAGTTGCAGGATACAAGACCAACACTCTAAATGTCCATTGCATTTCTATATACTAATAAATGTGTGGAAATTAAATTTAAAACTTATAATCGCAAAAAGAAAATGAAATAGTTATAAGTCCAACAAAAAAGTACAGAATGTCTATCTTGAAAATTATAAAATGCTGATGAAAGAAACAGAAGAAGGCCTAAAGAAATAGAGGGACATTCCATGTTCATAGGCTGCAAGATTCAGCATAGTAAAGATACTCTCTCTAAATTGATTAACTCTCTCTAAATTGATCCATCATTGTAATTGTTCTATAAACTCCCAGTAACATTTTTGATGTAAATAAGTTCATTCCAAAAATGTATATAGAAAGACAAAGGACCTAAAATAGCTAAAAACAATTTTGAAAAAGAAAAGAAGCAATCACTCTACCCAATATTAAGGCTTACCACAGAGTTAATCAAGTCAGTATAGAATTGATGGAACAAAAAACATATGAAACACAATATAGAACCCAGAAATACACCCACGCTTATATGGCCAGCTAATTTTTTATAAAATTGCAAATGCAATTCAACAGAGAAAGAAAAGAATTTTTCTTTTATTTATTTATTTTTAGACAAGGTCTCACTCTCTCCCCAAGGCTGGAATGCGGCGATCCTCCAGAGCAGCTGGGACCACAAACACATGCCACCACGCCCAGCTAATTTTTTATTTTTAGTAAAGGCAAGGTCTCACTATGTTGCCCAGGCTGGATGTGAACCTCTAGACTCAAGCAATCCTCCTGGGTTGGCCTCCCATAGTGCTGGGATTACAGGTGAGCCACCAAGCCTGGCCAAGAATTTTCAACAAACTGGTGGAGTAAATGGACATCCATAGGCAAAAAACGAACCTTCACTTAAAACGCACACTTTATACAAAAATTAACTTAAAATGGATCACAGATTTAGTAATAAAATTTTAAACTATCAACTTCCAGGCAATGTAAGAGAAAAACCTTCAGAATCTATGGGTAGACAATGAATTCTTAGACTTGATGACAAAAGTATGATCTATTAAAAAAAAACTAATCAATCATACTTCATCAAAATTGAAACTTCTGCTGTGCAAAACACCCTGTGAAGAAAAGGACAGACTGGTAGAAAATATCCAACACAACACGAGTGTCTAGAATACACAGAGAACTCTCAAAACTGAACTGTATTATTACAAACAGTTCAAGTAGAAAATAGGCAAAGACATGAGCAAACATTTCACTGAAGAAGATATACAATGGGCAAATAAGCCCATCATGTTCAACATCATTAGTCATTAAAGAAATGCAAATTAAAACCACAATGCACATATAAAAATAGCTAAAACAAAATTCTCTGGTAACACCAAAACACCACACGGCCGTGGAGAATGTGGGGTTACGGGATAGCAAAAAGTGTATGGAATTTCTTTATGAGGTGAAGAAAATGTTATAAAATTGACTGTTGTGATAGTTGTACATTATGTGTGAATATACTAAAAACCAATGAACTATATACTTTAAACAAGTAAACTACATGTTATGTGAATTGTATCTCAATAAAGCTGGTATAAAAAATGAACAGAAAAGAGACAATTTTTGAGGTTTATTTTTGTAAAACTGAAAATCTATATTATTATGAAAACAAAATAAATCTGTATATCATAGAACAGTGTGTCATACCATCACATGAATCACTAAAGGTAAAAAAATTTTATTTTCAGGAGAAAACAAAACCCAAAATGCTCATTCTTGTAACTGGTATATTAATTCATTACCCTGTTTTTGAAAATACAAAACTGTATGTTCGTATGTTGTATGTTTATTTTAAAATAAATATTATCAGACAGAAACTATAATATTTTACTTCATAGATACGGACTTTGAAATCTCTAAGTAAAAGTATGTTTACATCTGTTTTGTGAATTTTTAAAGTGCTTTATTATGAAAGTTCTCAAATACACAATATAGAGAAAACAGTATAATGAACCCCATGTTCCAATAATCCAGCTTCAACAATTATCAACATTTTGTCCCTCTCTATTTTTATTTTTTTTGAGACTGGTCTCGCTATGTTGCCCAGACTAGTACCCATAGGCTCAAGCAATCCTCCTACCTCAGCCTTCTGAGTAGCTGGGACTACAGAACTACAGCTACCCGGCCCAATTTCTGACATTCTTTTTTCAATCCATTCCCCTTCCCCATTATTTTTTCTGAAATAATTTAAAGCAAATACATTTCTCTTGTAATTGTTTAGTATGTATCTTTGTAAGAATATAAATAGGCATTTTCTTAAAAATATAACATTATGAAACTGAAAAATAATGCCTTAAATTATATAATATCCAGTCTGTGTTCAATTTTCATCTGTTTAATGTTATTAAAATTCAGCACATATAATACATTTATGCTTTATCCTTTAAATACATATAATGTAAATTAAAACAAAAATCGTAAGATGAATCATATAAAAACCACACATACCAAGAGGAAAAAAATAAATTATAAAATTAAGCATTTAACAAAAGATCTCAGTTTCCAGTTAACTGGCTCACCCTTAGAAGCACTATGCCTACTCATTTTACTTTTTAAAGGAAAGAAAAACACCTTTATTTGAAAGCTTCCTTATAGAAAGAAATGCTGCTTAAAATTGGACCTAATCTTTTAACCAATAAAATTGCCAACACAATCATATAATTTTTTAATTGAATTAATATTTAAAGCAGTCAAGAGAGGAGTATATCAAACTAGGAACTATAACTTAGGTCTCTTTAAAACTGAGAAATTAGTTACAGACAAATTATATTTTTAATAAACCTTCAGTGCAAACTATATTTAAAAATTATTCCCATAATAAAGAATGTTTAAGAACAGCAAATCATGCAATTAAACTGTCAGAGAACTTCTAAATAATTACAAGGTTAGGACAGAGTACACAAAACTAAAAATTACATTTCATTTCATAGTTTTTACACTTGTACAATTTTTAAAATTTTACAAATGTCATTAAGAACGTTGTACTAAATTCAAGTCAATATAACCAGTAACTGATGTGCACCTGGAATAATCCCAATCTTACTGTGAAATATTATTTTTATCACTGTATTTAATTCAATAATATTTTGTTTAAAATATTTACATCAATGGGGCCGGGCGCGGTGGCTCACGCCTGTAATCCCAGCACTTTGGGAGGCTGAGGCGGGCGGATCACGAGGTCAGGAGATTGAGACCATCCTGGCTAACACGGTGAAACCCCGTCTCTACTAAAAAATATAAAAAAAATTAGCCAGGCGTGGTGGCGGGCGCCTGTAATCCCAGCTACTGAGGAGGCTGAGGCAGGAGAATGGTGTGAACCCAGGAGGCGGAGCTTGCAGTGAGCTGAGATTGCACCACTGCACTCCAGCCTGGGAGACAGAGCAAGACTCCATCTCAAAAAAAAAAAAAAATGTACATCAATGTTCAAGAGATAATGTTTTAATTTCCTTGTTAGATTTTGATATTAAGGTTACATTGGCAACATTAAAACATGGTCCTCTTTTTTATCCTCAGGAAGAGTTTCTATAAGATTCACGTTATTTTTACCTTAAAAGTTTGGAAGAAGTAACACGTGAAGCCATCTTGACCTGGAATGTTCTTCATGAAAAAATTTTTAGTTACAAACTCACACTTTTTAAAAATACTTCTAAGTTCTCTTCAAGTTTTTATATTTCTTACAATGCAAATTTTAACTTGTGTTTTTCAAGGAATGTCAATCCTTTTGTTTTTCCAAATTTAGTATATAATACTCATAAAAATCCTCATCTTTTTAATATTTGTGGTATCTCTAGCAATATCCTCTATTTGATTCCTGCTATTACTCCTTGTGTCTTCTTTTTCTTGATCAATACTGTATAACAATCACTTCTTGGTCTTTTGGCTAAGATCAAGTACAGTAGTAATATGTAACTAGTGGTCTGTTAATTCTACTGGTCTATTTAAAAGAACCACTTTTTGGCTTCTTTTATTTTCTCTATTCTCACCTATAGTTTATTTCATTCTATAGTCCTTGGGTTTAACTTGCTTTTCTTTTCTAACTTCGTGAAATGAACAAAGAGTGAATTTTAGCTTTTCTTCTTTTCCAATGTGTACAATTGAGGCTAGAAATTTTCCTCAAAGCCTAGCTTTACCTTAATCTCACAAGTTGTTAAATGTTCATTTTTATTCAATTCACTTTTTCTAATTTTCATTGTGGTATCATCTCTGACTCGATGAGTTATCTAAAAGCAAATTCCAAAATTCCCAAAATTTGGGCATTATCTAACTATATTCTTTGTAAATTGATTTCTAATTTAATCCCACTGTGATCAGCAACAAACAGAATCATTTAAATCACCTGAAATTTGTTAAGACATGTCTAATGACCCAGCATGTTTCAATTTTGGTAAATGTTCCATATGTGCTTGATTATGTATTTGGACTTACAGTTATAGCCACAGTGAAGGAGCTTGTGCTAAAATTTGCCCTCTTCCTGCCAAAAACAACTATAAAAAATTAAACAGCATTGAAAAGCAGCCGATGTGGCAAATTTAAAGGAACTACAATTCCTGAGAAGAGAGAAGGACAACGAGATCAGATGAGTGAATGTGGATTCACTACAGCATTTTCTCCTAAAACACCTGGAATTTAGGGTGCAGGGGAAGTGAGTCCTGGCAGAAACCAGCATTCCCAGCCAACTGAAACAGATATTAGAATTCAGAGAATCTAAAGCAACTGGAACTTCGGGGCAAAAATCTTAGAGGGGGTGGGAAAGTACTGCAGGGAATTGAGTCAAAAAATCTTCAATTAATCTCTCCTTAAGAAGTCTGACAACTGCTAAAAAAAAAAAACTTTGCATATACAGGGCAAGACTCCAAGAAACCTAGCAGAAAGCAGCAGCTGAGAAGCTAATGAGCTAAGCTGATATTGTAGCAACTGTATAGTGCTGAGGAAAAAATTTTAAATTCAGGAATGCAGTGGCCTTGGCGAACATTCTAGCTTTTCATTTGAGACCCCAAAAGGCATAAGGACTAATTAAAACACATCAAACTTAATAAAATCTCAAACCAAACCAAAGGTCACCCAAGTCCTCCCAAAGGGAGATGGAGAACAAATGATTGGTTTTTTTTTGTCTTGCAACATGATAGTGAACAAGCAGATCACCCTCTCCTTTGGGAGGGGACTTGGGTGATCTGCTTGTTCTCTATCATCTTGCCAGACAAAAAAAAAAACCAATAATTTTAGCTGGAGGCTCTATAATCTTTAATACACAGTGTTAAGACTGTGAGTGATGCTTAAAAAAAAAAGGTCAAATAATTGTAAAACTCCAAAAAAAATGATTTTAAAGTACACCCACAGGAAATTCAGATATAAAGGTAATATTGAGGACTTTCATCCTCACTTCTTCCTCCAGCCCTCTTCTCCCATTGAACTTCCAAGCTTCCAGATTAAGAAAATTCACACTCAAGGAATACTTTCAAATCTGATATAGATCATGAGATACAGGTCTTCAAGGCTGATACTATAATTGAGTGAGTCACTGGCAGTCTTGGGAGACTGGCAATCTAAAGTTAGATTGTGGGCTCTGGTAGATTGTTCACAAAGATGGGTGCCATCAATTTCTCCCATCCCAGTGCTTACATGCCACTCCCATTGTTGAGTGGTGGAGACTGTTCACCCTCCCTTGAATCTCTGGTTGGCCCTGTGACTTCATATGATCAATTGAATATGGTAAGTGATGTTCTATAACTTCCCAACTAAGGACTTAGAAGCCTTGCAGCTTTCATTCTCTCCTTGTTGGAAGCCAGATGACATTTAAAGAAGCCCAGGAAATATCACTGAATAATGAGAGACCATGTGAAGAGAAAGAGGCTGTAAGAAGAACTTGGGTTTCTTAGCCAAAGCCAGTACCAAGCCTTCAATCATGTGATGACATCATGTTGGATACTTTAGTTTCAGCTCAACTGTCATAGCTGACACCATGTGGAAAAGAAAAGAGCCACTCCACTGAGCACTGCTCAGATTTCTGACTCAAACAATTATGTGGAAATAAAATGGTAACTGTTTTAAGTAGCTAAGTTTTGGGCTTGCTACATAGAAATAGATATTGGGAGTATTCAGTTGTGCCTCCTCTTTTTAGCACAGGATTCAGCTAGCTCACTCCGTATGTTTGTCAGTTACCACCATCTTTCTCCTTTCTAACTTCCAAAAACTTGTTCATATCATCTCTTCTCCCGTCTCTTTTTCCTTAAGTCCAATTTCTAAATCATTTTATACCATTTTAGCTGGGTTTGGGGAAGAGAACATTAAATGCATGTGGTCACTCTATCATCTTTAACTAGAATTATTTTTTATAACACAAAAATTACAAACTTCAGTTCTATAGCTACTGTTATTATATATTACTTGAAGTATACACCTGTGATATTGCAAAATATATATTTGGTCTTCATCTCAAGTCTCCTGGCATGCAACTCCTAAAATCTTTGGAATTCCCAAAATGATGTGTCTTTTTGTATGCTAATGAGTTGACAAGTGGCTGGCAGCCCCTAGGTGGCTTCAGGATGGAAGCTGGTCACTGGAAACAACAAGGCAGTATTAGAACACTGGGACTTTCAGCCCCAACTCCTCAGCCTTCAGGGAGGGAGAAAGGAAAGGAGCTGAAGGTTAGGTTGCTTGCCAATGGTTTAATCAATCATGCCTAGATAATGAAGTTTCTATAAAAACCTTTTTTAAAAACAGGGTTAGGGAATGTCTGGATAGCTGAACACTTGAAGGTTCCTAGAGGGTTGTGTGCCTGGAGAAGGCATGGAAGCTCTTCTTCCCTTTCCATTTAGCTTGCCCTAGGCATCTCTTCATCTGTATCCTTAGTAATATTCTTTATAATAAACTGATAAATGTGTTTCCCTGACTTCTGTGAGCCACTCTAGCAAATTAATCAAATCCAAGAAGTAGGTAGTCGGAATCCTGATTTATAGCTAGTTGGTCAGAGCACAGGTAAAATAACCTGAGGCTTGTTACTGGCATCAGAAGTGGGAGGCAGTCTTGTGGGGTTGAGCCCTCAACCTGTGGGATCTGACACTATCTACAGCTCCACAGCGTCAGAATTAAATTGAATTCGAGGACAACCAGCTGGTGTCTGCTGCAGAACTGATTGATTGGTTGTTGGTGGGGAGAAATCCCCACATACTTCATGGTGATCAGAGGTCACAGAAGTCTTCTGTGTTAATTGCTGTGGCATGAGAGCAGAGGAAAAACAGTTTGCTTTTCCCACAGAATGGCATAACTCGCTGTGTATAACACTGCACTGAAACCCCAAAACTGAAGACGAAACTGGTCCAAAATAAAATTTCCCAATACATTAATAAGAGTTACCATAAGTATAGATATAATCAAGATCTATTATTTCACCTCAACTAGGTGAGTTATTCATGAATAATCTGAAGTGGACTGCTTTAAACGAAACTGTGATATGTATTAATACCATGATTCCTTTAAGTTTTTTGCAATTTTGATTTTTACAACACATTTCTCTTAGAATCTTTCAAGATACAGAAACTACGTTTTCTGATTGTGTATTTTCCTACCTCTTCCTAAAAGAAGTCTTGCCTACAGTCAATTGTCTACTACTAAGTTAGTATGAAGAGGGGCAATATATTGAAGTAAGCCAACACAACTTACTGAGAAAAAAATGAAAAAACACAAAACACATCCATAACACAAAGACAGCAATGTCTTTTGTTATGTGCAATAAAACATTTCTTTCTGAACCGAAAAGTTCCAATGGCATCTTCCACTGAAGAAAACAGAAAGCAGTGTCTGAAGTTCTCTTGAACTCATGAAACAAAACTCATTATTACCTATTATCATTCTAAAATCCCAGCCTCTGTGGATGTATAAAAATCCACTTGGGACTTCTACATAAAAAGATGTTTACATAAAACATCTATATAATTCTTATGGGATAAAATTGTTCTAGGTGGGCCCTCATAATAATCCCTCTTCTAATTATTTGTATTCCTTATTCTGATGGTATAGAAAATGGATGTGTGAGCAAAGATAAACACAGAATATTATTTTGCAGTACAAAATAACAATCAAGTATTGAACAGCTGAAGTAGTAACATGCTACTTAAAAGTGAATTCTGCCTAGACTAAATTAGGCTTTTTTGTTCCTACCTGAAGTCAAAAGAATTCTAAAGGATCTTATAATGAATAAACAAAAGACCTCATTCTCTTTAAAGTTTACACATGGCAAACCTGAAACTAGAATGATCTCCATAAGCTATCTACAGTGCTGAAAAGTAGTTTTGCTCGGCTTTTAAGATAATTTTATGTTTTAATTATGGTAAATTAATATTACGTATGTTGTACAAAAAGATAAATAGGACCAATTTTAAACAAAATAAGTATCTCTATATATCCACCTGTTTACTACACAAAATGGCTAATTCGAAGTCACTTGCCATTTTTGCGTGAGGCCTTCTGCACTGTCATTGGTGGGCAAGACTGGGCGGGTGTTATTTCTGAAGAAGCAGTAGAGCCTGTATGATGAGCCTTTACCTTGTCAGCCCAACTGACACCTGTGGGAGCCAGACGAGGAGCTGGCACTGTGCCAGTTGAACCTCTATGGAGAAAAATAAACACATTTAATAAATTAAATATAAAAGAAAAACTTCTGAATATATGCTAAATGTATTTAAAATTTAAATTATGCATATGAATATCCACATATATAGAATAATAATCTGCCACGGCAATTTAAGGTAACTATATTTATAAATTTATCTTGATCTAATACTTCATTAAGTTTATATAGTATAACATATGGGAATAAACAGAAAAGGATAAAAGCCCTCAGTTGTTTAAAAGAAAATTTCACTTAAATGAGGAAGCTTTTAAAAAATTATGCATAGGTACCTTAAAGTTTTCATTTTCACTTATGTGTTTTAATAATACAAATATTGGCCAGGCACAGTGGCTCACACCTGTAGTCCCAGCACCCTGGGAAGCCAAGGCAGGTGGATCACTTGAGGCCAAGAGTTCAAAACCAGCCTGGCCAACATGGTGAAATCCTGTCTCTACTAAATAACAAAAATTAGCTGGGCGCGGTGGTGTGCACCTGTAATCCCAGCTACTCGAGAGACTGAGGCATGAGAATTGCTTGAGCCCAGGAGGCAGAGGTTGTAGTGAGCCAAGACTGCACGACTGCACTCCAGCCTGGGTGACAGAGTGAGACTCCATCTCAATTTAAAAAAAGAAAAAGACATAAATATGCATTAATTCGTCAATCTTGATAAAGACACTACTAAAAGAGGCTTTTTCTTTGTGTACATTTCTTACATGAACCAAAAGCATGATGCCTCACTGACAACATCTAAATTTGGTTCCTTTAAAGTGGAGTGAAAATTCAGTGATGTCTATTATATAATTTAATGCACAATTCTCCTTAACCTTAATAATATTTTCCCCAAATTTTTATAGTTATCCTGTGTACTCCTCATTTGACAGCAACTTTACCAGTTCCCTTTATCAAAGCTTCCAAAAATTTATCTTAGTTTTCACAAAAACAATGACTCTTTTTACACTCATATTTTAATGGTCTACTTAATATTTAAATTATGAGTTAAAATAATGAAAACAATTCACATAAGCCAAGTTTGGTAACTAACAACACATTTGAAGTAAATATATAACTCAACCAGCAGAAGCAGAAGTGAGTAGATATACAAAATGTAGTCTATGAGCCAAAATTGTTCCTCAAGCTGAAACAGTGTGTTCTACGATGATAATGAAGACTGAATTAACCCAATGACACAGTTACGTGCAGATCAATATAAGAACTTTTACCACACACGAATTAACGGCTTTGAGTGTTACAATAAACCATACACTATACAATACTCTGAACCACACACCAATGAAGTGCATTACAGGGCAAGTTTCCTTAAAATGGTGCTTGAATATATAAATATTTGTTTTCATTTGCATATATATCTTTTCCCTACTCCACTACGGTTCAATTATTAAATGGTTCCAAAGCCCATCAACCTTTAAAGGCAATACTACCTAATAACTCCATAAAGGAACTTGAAAGCAAAAGTTAGATTCTATTAAACAAACACTTCATCAGCTTTTACTAAATGCCATACAGTGCCAGGCACTTAGAATACAGAGATACGGCAGTAATCTTGCCTCAAAGAAGGTCCTAGTATAAGTACAAAAAAATAGACATTAAAAGAAAGAGTATAAGACATTGCAAATGTAACAATAAAACTGTATCCAAGGTTGAGCAGTAACAAGAGGTGAAAGCTATTAACTGTGACATGAAGTTAGGAGATAAAAAGCAGTCAAGAAAGGTCAGGTTTTAACAGAAAAAAGAAAACTGACCAAGCAAACTACTTACCAACCCTTCCATTAAACATCAGATGTTAACATTCACTCTAAAGAAGTAGAGTCCAAAACAACTTAGTCTTAAAAACAATTTTTTTGTTTGTGCGAAACAAATGTGACAATTTTTTAAAATAATACAACTACCAGAGATTGAAATACCATTTGAAGCAAACAAAGAGCTGACCAAAAAACTTAAAAGGAAAAGCTCAAGAATGAGACATCCATGGGAGGCTTTGAAAAGTTCTAGCAAATTCCTGAAAATCAAGAAGGCCACACACATATGCAGGTTGTGTGCATACCTAGGAAATATTTGAGAGGACCCTAATCTCTTACCTATGACTGGCCTTGAGGCTCTAAGAAAGGAGGAACTGACAAGCAAAGGCAGTTATAAACTGCCAGAGCATTCAAAGTATGTCCCAACAGACAGACAGAACCAGGTGAGAACTAAGAGATTTATTGGCTCAAGGTATTTAAGGAAACCTCTGTCAAATCGTTAGGTGATGTTGACAAAACATACTGTTGTATAGCTACATACAACATACATCAACATACACTCATGTTGTGTGTACCCATGAAACAAAATATACAGACGTCACAGAATGAGTTAAGTGTAGCACTAAACTAACAGTAACAACAACAGTCACAGTTAACAATCCTGGAGAGAGTAGCTATCTGATCTCCAAAGATGTCACATTTTATCATTTAAAATGCCTACTTTTCAACCAAAAAAAAAAAAAAATCAGATGATGTGCCAATAAACAGGAAAGTATGGCCCATTCACAAGAAGAGCAGCAACAGGAAGCCCGGACATTGGGCTTACTAGACAAAGACTTTAAATCAGCTATTAACTACATTTAAAGAACATCAAAGTGGCCAGGCACAGTAGCTTGTACCTGTAATCCTAGCACATTGGGAGCCCAAGGAGGGTGGATCACTTGAGGTCAGGAATTTGAGACCAGCCTAGCCAACATGGCAAAACCCTGTCTCTACCAAAAATACAAAAATTAGCTGGGCATGGTGGCATGCGCCTATAATTCCAGCTACTCAGGAGGCTAAGGCACGAGAATCGCTTGAACCCAGGAGGTAGACATCGCAGTAAGCCAAGATCACGTCACTCTACTCCAGCCTGGGCAACAGAGCAAGACTATATCTTAAAAAAAAAAAAAAAGAAAAGAAAAAGAAAAAGAAAAAATGAACAGATCCTCAAATGGGACAGCATCAAGAGTACAAACGTGTACAGTGGAATTTTCAAAGGAGAGAAGAGAGAGAAAGGGGCAGAAAAAAAAACATTTAAAGGAATAATGGGCAAAAACTTCCCAAATTTGATTAAAAACATTAAATACATATCCAAGAGACTCAACAAACTCCAAGTATGATAATCTCAGAGAGCCACACTTAGATATATCATAGTCAGAGGATCAAAAGCCAAAGACAGACAATCTTGAAAGAATCAAGAGAGAAGTGATGGATCACATTCAAGGATCCTCAATAACAGCTGATTTCCCATCAGAAACCATAGCAGCCAGAAGGCAGTAAGGAAACATAAAGTGCTGAAAGAAAGGATTATTAACCAAGAATTCTACATACTACAAAACTGCCCTTCAAAAACTGAAAGATAAATTAAGACAAACACCGAGAACATCTGTTCCTAACAGACCTGTCCAACAAGAAATACTAAAGGGAGTCCAGGCTCAAACAAAAGGACAATAGATAGTAACTCGAATCTGTATGAAGAAATGAAGACTCCAGTAAAGGACTAGAAAAGAAAACTATACAGGTAACCACAAAAGACAATATAAATGTAGTTTTTGTTTGTAGCTCTTTTCTTCTCCTGATTAAAGAGACAATGGCAAAAAACAGTAATTTTAAAACTGTGTTGAGCTTGTAATATATAAATAATGTAATTTGTATGACAATAACACAATGTATGATATGTATTAATATACAGATCTATTGCAAAGGAAATTGTTAATTCATGTTATATAATATTTGGCATAAAATATGTGAGTTTTAATCTTTGAATTACTATTTATGATTGAATATATTCCATGTCCTAAAAGCTAAACTATAATCTCCTGGAATTTTTTTTTTTTTTTTGAGACGGAGTCTCACTCTGCTGCCCAGGCTGGAGTACAGTGGCGTGATATTGGCTCACTGCAACCTCCACCCGCCCCCGCCCCCAAATAGCTGGGATTACAGGCACATGCCACGACACATGGCTAATTTTTGTATTTTTAGTAGAGATGGGGTTTTGCCATTTTTGCCAGGCTGGTCTCAAACCCCTGACCTCAAGTGATCCTCCCACCTCGGCTCCCCAAAGTGCTGGGATTACAGGTGTTTTTACTTTTTATATAGACAATTTCAAACATATCCACAATGCAGGAAGACAGGTCCCTTGGTAAACCCAGCTCTTCCCTCTCTGGCTTGCAATTTTCAGGCAAAACGTACCAAGAATGCAACATCTTGAAATAAGAAGGAACTGCCCACGACGGCCCAGGCTTTGTCCTTATCCCTGTAGAAGAGGATGCCTGCAACGCTTGCACTCAATAACCTAAGTGACATCGGTGTATAAAATCCAGAGCAGGGTGCTTTTGGGGTCTTTTGGCTGTGGTAATAAATGGAGCTCACACAAATGAAACTCCATTCCCCTGGTTAGCTTTCCTGAGTCCCAGGGAACTATCTTGCCATGGATCCTAGGCTTCTGTTGATCCTTGCTGCCTATCTGTGAGTAACAACATTGCTTTACCTAACTTGTGCAAGTCAGCATATGACTCACCAAACTCCTCCAGTGGCAACAGGGTTTATGCAAAACCTTCCATCAGATCTAGGAACCTTAGCAGAAATTGATGAGATGTTTAGAATCCTCCCCGGGATTGCTAACCAACACACAGTGTTCCCCTCCTGTGTCAGAACCTGTATACAGTATTCTGCATAACATATACATGGATATTTTTATAGTAGAATATCAGAATCATAATACTATAATAACTAAGAAAATAATTTAATGCAAGTCTTAGTAGTTTTTTCTTAGTTCATCTCACCCAAAATTTAAGCTTCGTCGAGCATTTGATGTTACATTTATTCTATCTGTTGATGGACTTGGAATCACATGGCGTCCCGGAGACATCTTCTTTACTTCCCATGCCAATGATGTTGGTCTGCGAATTCAATATATAAACCAGATTAAATTAACAGAGAAAAGGGAGAAACAAATAATCTTTTCTCTTGGTTGTTAGTGGCTGAAAAAATAATCCTACTTTTCAACAACAACAACAAAAAGTCACAACATGTGCAAATGTTCCCCTAGAGCATTGCTTACCAGAAAGTTACCATACTATCAGTGAGAAATCATAGTTGATAAACGGTTCAGGATTTTCTACCGACTGCAGCACAGCAACACTACTCCAATTACCTCAAAAAGGTCATGGGGTTACAGGGATATGAGATACGCTACTTACGATTTATAAGCTTCCAAATGCCCAGCTAAAAAAATGTTTAAAAGGCAATGATACTACTTCAATCTACTTGTCTCTGATGTCCTGGAGAGTTTGTGAAACATGTATCAAGAGAAAGAATACGGTAAGGGTTAAATGAAGAGTAGGAAAATATAAAATGTCCTTCCTCTACCTCTTAATCACTCACGAGAGTAGGATTTCACTGCTCTTTGCTGGGAAAGCTAAGAAACATAACTTAACGTCTACTCCTCCTCCTTCCTTGGCACCACAACCAATTGGCTTACAGGATGCATAACATGCCCTCAATCAGATCCCCATAACTCCTGTGGGTATCCCTGTGTCTTACTCTCCATTTCCTTTCAATCTTGCCAACTGTTGATATCTGTTTTTAAAAATTTCACTGGCAAATAGTATTTCATTGTCTTTGTTTTTTAAATTATACGTTTATTATCATTACTAGTGAAACTGAACTTTTTAACCAACCATCTGAATTTCTTCATTTGCGATTCACATGTTGGTATCTTTCCTTCATTTTTTCCACTGGGATTTGCACCATTTTCTGATTAATTTGAAATAGTTTACTACTACTCTTATGGCTACAAATCCATTGGCATTGGTGATACAACTATTTTGCCTTTAGTTTTTCCTTTTTAGTTGGAAACATTTGTTCTCTTCCTATTTAATCAGTGTATCAATATTTTTCTTTGTGGTGTCTGCCTGTGTCTTACAAAGTCCTCACACGCAAAACAAATATATAAATATTTACCTATATTTTCTTCTTTAAACATATACAACTTCAGTTTTTACATTTAAATCTCCAGGCTAGCCAAAATAAATTTTGATGCATGATTTGAAGAATGCAAGATGGATAATGCCATCTATAGAGCACTTTAAGACTGCTTTCCATATATAAGTGCTGTCTCATGAGGCAAAGAAGAGAAATGCTGATAACTGGCAAAAGTAAAAGGGATGCCTCAGCCAGGCATGGTGGCCCATTCCTGTAATCCCAGCACTTTGGGAGGCCAAGGAGGGCAGATCACTCGAGGTCAGGAGTTCGAGATCAGCCTAGCCAACATGGTGAAGCCCTATGTCTACTAAAAATACAAAAATTAGCTGGGCGTGGTGGCGGGTGCCTGTAATCCCAGCTACTTGGGAAGCTGAGGCTTAAAAGTGGAAGGTGGAGGTTGCAGCGAGCCAAGATGGCACCACTGCACTCCAGCCTGGGTTAAAGAGTAAGACTCTGTCTCCAAGGAAAAAAAAAAAAGGGATGCCTCAGGTATATTTTTGAACCACAGTGCCAAGAGAGGAATGGTAACCACTCTGTTAAGCTTGGGTTTGGCTTATGTAACTTTTCCAATACAATCCTCAACACAGCCACCAATAGGTAACTGAATTTTGCAAGCACAAAAAAAAAAATTTTTTTTTAATGCATTGGTGATTACATTACAGACCTTTGGATACAACAAACAAACTCAATCAAGTTAAATAAAAAAATGAAAAGAAAAAGAAAATAAAGATTTATTGTAAGGATATAAACTGTACAAGGTCAAAGACATCCAAAAGTTGGGGGAGACTAGAATCAGGGCTCATGAGGATTAGACCCGGTATAGGCTCTCAAAGGCCACATAATTTCTGTTTCTCTCTGTAAATCTATTCCCTTTTTTTTCCCAACCTATTTTACTCTGCTTATTGTCACAAAGACAATACAGCCACAAGTCCCAAATCAGCATGATGATCTCTTAGCTTGGTTCAACCCAGTGAAAGAATGAAACCCCAGATCCAATCACCTATTACCAACGTAAGGGTAAAATTGCTTAGTACAAACAAAGACATTTAGGCCTGACCCACCCAGGGACTGTGGATGAAGTAGGCACTGAAAAACCATCAAAAATTTTACTGTGAGAAACAAAAATGTTAAAAGGATCAACCTATCTTAGTTTCCCTAGATTTGGTTTCCCGGGAATCCAGCCCTTCTGGATTTCTCCCTTGGAATTCCTTTACCCTACTGGTTCTGACTGCCTGTAGGGCTGACACATCAGGATGAGATAAAAGATGCCTTTTTTACTGGATAGTTTCACCCACTAAGATTGAACCAAGATTAAATCCAAAGCAAAGAGGCAGGATAGGCCTATTTGCTTGGCAGGAGGCGGGGGGAAGCAGCCTTGTAGCTCCATATGACTTGGCAAGTTTACCAGAGTTTAGGAATTACTTAGATGTCTAAACTAAACTGCTCTTTTGCCTTTGTACAGAACCAAAATAATACTAAGTCCATTTGATTATCTATTTCTAGAGTATCTAATTCTCCCTACTGTTACTACCTTAATCTGAGTAGCCATCATCTCTAAACTACATTGCTATATGTCAACCTTCCCACATGGCAGCCAAAATGATCTTTTAAAAACATAAATCTGATATGTCACTTCCCTACTTTAAAACCCTTTATTGGCTCAAAGTCAAATCTAAATCCCTTATTATTTCTACTGAGCTCTACACAATGTGGTCCTAGCCTAGCTCTCTAGGCTCATCTCATGCTACTCTCCCCTTGTTCTTTTCACTCCTGCCCTACTAAATTCCTTGATTACACTGTGCTCCCTTTCACTTCAAAGATATCACACATGCTGTTAGCATTATCTCGAATTACTCTTTTCTCTTTGTCTAACTCCTACTTAACAATTCTGTCTCAATTTAAATGTCACCTCCTCAGGAAGCCTTCCTAGACTTAGCAAACTGGTTAAGAGTGTTTTTTCTTATACTGACAGAGAAAGCTGTATTTCTTCTTGATGACACTTGGCACATTTATACTTACTTAACATCAGTCTTTCCTGTTAGAAATGCACTTAGTCCATTCAGGCTGCTACAACAAAATACCTTATGACTGGGTAATTTATAAACAACAATAAGAAATTTATTTCTCATAGTTCTGGATGCTGGGAAGTACAAAATCAAGGTGCCAGCAGATTCAACGTCTGATATGAGCCCTGTTCCTTATAAAGATCATCTTTCAGCTGTGTCTTCACATGGTGGAGGGGTAACAGCTCCCACTTCTTTTATATGTCACTAATCCCACTCATAAGGGCTCCACCTTCCCAACTTAACTACCTCCTAAAGCCCCCACCTCTTAATACTATCACATTGGTGATTAAATTTCAACATATGAATTTTGGGAAGGCACATTCAGGCCACAGCATGTACTATGTACTTCATGAAGGCAGGGACTGCATCTGTCCTCTTGACCACAACAGTCACAGAGCTTGGCACACAGCATTCAGATACTCTGTGGTGATTCCAAATGAATCCTTCTAAAGGAGCTTTGATCTCGTATTATTCCCCTAATCAAAAATCATCAATTTTCCTCATTGCCTAATACATTAAGAAGAAATACTGTATCTTTCCCTACTACTTTGACTTCACACATGTCCTACACTTACATAGCTGTTTAAATTTATTCCCTTCACCGAAATGGCCAACCAGCTGGTAAAATCCATCCCATCCATGAAACACTTCTTCCGCATCCTCCTGAAATCTTCCCTGATCTATCCTCCAAAAGAGATTTGTCCTTATCTGAAGAACCGTAATAGTTTTTTGTACTAAGTTCTATTTTTATCACACTCAGTCTATAAATTCCATGAGTGGTAAATGTGTCACATTCAAAAATTAAATCTCTGTACTGAATAAAGTGATAATACCCAATTAATACCCACTGATAATTACCCAATAAATATTTGTTATTTAATTGAATGAGAAATGCAGCACCTGACTTTTAGATTTTTACAAGTTTCAACTCAATATGAGGTTAAGTTTATTGTCCGTTTCAGTGATTGCTATTGAAACTGCTGGATGATAGGAAGATTGAGACCAGAGAGCTCATTACCTGCTTTGAGCATCTGTCTTCTCTAGCTTTTCCTGAAGCTGAATCCAGTCAATCAATGCTTTGAAATCTCTTACATAGTTATCCAGCATCATTAGCACCTCCTAAAAGAAACAAAACAAAAAAAAATTAAATTCCAGTCTGAGACTAAAAACTTTGAAGAAAAAAAAGAGTGAACAACTTAAGAATTAGTAGTTTTTACATTATACTCTTCAATGAAAAAGCTGCGTAAGTTACAGATTTTTTTTTTCATTCTGTTTGGTAAGATAATAAGAAATATAATAGGTTGAAAGTCTAAAGACCAAGAAATGATATTGATGTTCCTTCTCAAAACCTCCCCCAATAGCCATCCTTTCAACCTTTTTATTATGAATTTTAACATATAGAAAAGTACACTAAACATAAATCCAGCTGCACACTTGTAGTCCCAGTCACTCCAGAGGCTGAGGCAGGAGAATTGCTTAAGTCCAGGAGTTCAAGACCAACCTGGGCAAGATAATAAGATGCCATCTTTAAATAACAATATTATTAAAAATTAACAATGTTTTTCAAGGTTCAACCACCTGGTAGCGTGTATCAGTACTTCATTTCTTTTTATGGCTGAATGACTGCATGAATATAGTATATTTGTTTATTCATTTATCATTTGATAAATATTTGGGTTGTTTCTACTGTTTATTATGAATACTGCTGCTATAAAACTTTGTATCCAGGTTTTTCTGTGAACATGTTTTCAATTCTCTTGGGTATATACTTAGAAGTGGATTTGCTGAGTCATATGATAACTCTAAGTTTAAAGTTAACTACCAAACTTTTCTCCACAGCTGCTGCATCATTTTACATTCCCAGCAGCAATTTATGAGAGTTCCATATTCTTCACATCTTTGCCAAAACTTGCTGCTTTCTGACTTTTTTATCCTAGTCATCCTAAATGAGTGTGAAGTGCTATCATTGGGGGTTATGTGCATTTCTCCGATGACTAATAACTTTGTGCCTCTTTTCATGTACATTAGACATTTGTTTACCTTTTTTTTTTTTTTTTTTTTTGGAGACGGAGTCTCGCTCTGTCACCCAGGCTGGAGTGCAGTGGCGTGATCTCAGCATCGCGGCTCACTGCAACCTCCACCTCCCAGGTTCAAACGATTCTCCTGCCTCAGCCTCCCAAGTAGCTGGGATTACAGGCACGTGCCACCATGCCCAGCTAATTTTTTCTGTTTTTAGTAGAGACGGGGTTTCACTGTGTTAGCCAGGATGGTCTCAATCTCCTGACCTCGTGATCCACCTGCTTCGGCCTCCCAAAGTGCTGGGATTACAGGTGTGATCCACCGTGCCCAGCCGACATTTGTATATCTTAAAAGAAATGTCTATTCAAATCCTTTGCCCTTTTTTACTGAGTTATTTGTCCTTTTTATTGTTGAGCTATAAAGTTCTTTATATATTCTAGGTATTAGACCTTCATCAACCATATGGCTGACAAACATCTTGTCCCATTATGTGGGTGATTTTTCCATTTGATAGTATCCTTTGACACACACAAGTTTTTAATTTTGATAAAGTTCAATTTATTTTTTCTCTGGCTTTGGGTGTCATAGTCCAAGGTCACAAAGATGTATATGTTTTCTTCAAAGAGTGTTATACTTTCAGCTCTTACATTTAGGCTTTAAACTGTATTCAGTTAATATCTGTATACAGTGTGAGGTAAAAATCCAAATTCATTTGTTGCACACAGATATCCTGGTGTCCTAACACCACTGTTGAAAATACTATTCTTTCCCTCATTAAATGGTTCTGGCACTCATGTCAAAAATCAAATTCATACATAGACGTATGAATTTATTCCAAGGATTTCAAATCTATTTCATTGATCCATATATCTATCCTACTGCCAGTACCACAGAATTTGATTATTGTGGTTTTGTACTAAGTTTTAAATTCAGGGGGTCTAGGTCCTCAAACGTTGTTCTTTTTCAGGATTGTCTTGGCTATTCTACATACTTTGCATCCCCATATGAATTTAAGATCCACTTGTCCATTTCTGCCAAAAAGGGGGAAGGGAGCAATTGGAATGTTCATAGGTATTGCATTGAATCTGGGTATCACTTTGGGAAATACAGCCATCTTAACACTATGAAGTCTTCTGTTCATGAATTCTGAATATCTTTTCCTTTAATTAGGTTTCTCTTATTTCTTACAATGATTTTTCGTAGTTTCTTTCAATTATATTTTATAGTTTGTGTGTACATCTTACACTACTTTAAATTTATGCCTAAATATTTTATTGTTTTTGATGTTATTTTAATGTAACTGCTTTCTTAATTTCATTTTTGGATTGTTTACTCCTAGTGTATAAAAATACAACTGATTTTTGAGTGTCCATCTTGTATCCTATAATCTTGCTAAACTTGTTTATTAGCTCTAATAATTGGGGGGCAGGTGTCTTTAAGGGTTCTTTATATATAGAATCATGTCATCTGCAAGTACAGTTTTACTTCTTCCTTTCCATCTAGATGTTTTCTATTATGTTTTCTTGTCTAATTGCCCTGGCTAGAACCTTTAGTACAATATTGTGTGTAAGTGGCAAGAAAAGACATCACTCTCTTGTTCCTGATCTTACCCAACGGGAAAGCTTTCAGTCTTTCACCATTAAGCATGACATTAACTGTGGATTTTTCATAGATACTCTTTATCAGGTTAAGGAATTTCCCTATTGAATGTTTTTATCATGAAATGGTATTGGCTTTTGTCAAATGCCTTTTCTGCACCAACTGAGATAATCTGTGATCTTTTTCCATTCATTCTATTAATACATTCTATTATGTTTATTGATTTTCATATGCTCAACCACTCTTACCTTCCTGGACTAAATCCCACTGGGTCATGATGTTATAGACCTTTTTATGTGCTGCTAGATTTGGTTTGCTATTACTCTGTTGAGAATTTTTATGTCTGTATTTGTAAAAAATATTGCTTAACTAACATTATTTATTTTTTTTATTTTTTATTTTTTACTTTTTTTATTATACTTTAAGTTTTAGGGTACATGTGCACATTGTGCAGGTTAGTTACATATGTATACATGTGCCATGCTGGTGCACTGCACCCACTAACTCGTCATCTAGCATTAGGTATATCTCCCAATGCTATCCCTCCCCCCTCCCCCCACCCCATAACAGTCCCCAGAATGTGATATTAACTAACATTAATTTTAACTTCAATGTTTAGAAGAATTCACTCGAAAAATCGCTAAAGTTGGGAATTATTTGGGTGATGGATATTTTTAATTATAAACTCAGTTGCCAGTTATAAAGCTATGTAGGTTTTCAATTTCTTATGTCCGTTTTTATTGTTTTCCTAAGAATTAATACTTTTTGTGTAAATTTTCATTTTACAAAAGGAATCCCAGTTCTCCCACTACATGTGGTCCAACTTCACAAATAGCGTCCCAACTTCTATGATTCCCAACAGAATTTTAGATACCTACATCACCTAGCTGACAGCAGAAGGGACTCAGTATTCTGAGTCTCCTGGGATCCCAGAGAATAAAGAGGTGATTTTCAACAGGTGTGTGAGCACTTCCAGCAGCTAACCTCCTGGGCACAGGAAAGAGAAAAAGGGCCAAAACTACTAGCCCCCAGTTTCTCCACAGAAAGGGTTTGTCTGCATACTTTTCCAGCTGCAGCCTGAGGGTTTGGGCTTATAACTAGCCTGCATCCGGAAGCCAGTGGAGCAGGTAAACAACAGACCTCCAGAAGCCTCAAGGGGCTTATGGGTACCTGCTGCCCCTTTTCCCCTTGCCTTGCTCCAGCAATAAAACTAGGTTTGCAGATTTTCCCTGAAAGGAGTTTACATGTACATGGCATGCCCCAATTTTCACAGCTCCCACCCAAAGGACTGGCTCCTAAATCACCTAGCCCTGGGAGTTGATGAGGCTCTGCATCTGTGAATCTCGCTAAACTATAAAGAGCAAAGAGCTGCTTTTTAAACAGGTAGGGCTCCAGCAGATCTCCTCCCAAGGTCAGCGCTGAGCTAAAAAGCACAAACTCCCGACTCCCAATTTCTCCCTCAAGGAAACTGACTACACACCTAATGTCCTGACTTCTCCAGCTGCTACCTGAAACTGCAGGAAATTAGCAGTCTTCTGGGACCATAAATGTGCATGTGGGGACTATCCACAACTTCACCTGCTGGCATGCTCCAGAGATAAAGTGAAGTCTCCAGTTAACCTGCCTATCTCCAAGAGCATATAGATTACGCATCTGCCAGGCCCCTGGGAGCAACAAAGTACAAAGCAATGGGTCAAAAGACTGTGCAGTCTGAACAAGAATATGGCATCACTGCAGATCCTCTCCCCAGCTTAATGTAAAGAAAATGAGAGAAAAATTCCAGCTCCTAGCTTCTCCCTGAGAAATAAGAAACTGGAACACATATTTAATACCTCAACTTTTCCAGCTGGATCTTGAGAGATGGGTTTCTAACTTGCTTGTCTCAGGATACTAACAGGACTTGGCATACCCTAATCTGGGGACCACTAAGAACAAAGACTGCAGTTTAGATCAGCACAAAGGTTTGAGGGGCACCTAGAATAACTAGCTGAGCTGACAGGTAAGATCCATCTCCTACAGAAGGCCAGTATGACAAGACTAGGAAAGGCAGTTGCCTCACCTAATGCACAGAAACAAACACTAAGGGTCAAAGAAAATGAAGAAACAGGTATACAAGTTCCAAATAAAAGAGCAAGATAAACCTCCAGAAACTGATCCTAATGAACTGCCAATATGTGACTTATCACATAGAGAATTCAAAAGAACAGTCATAAAGAAGTTCGCCAAGGTCAGAAGGAGTAATGCATAAAACTAGCTAAAAATTTCTGCCAAGAGACAGAAAATACAAAAAGTACCAAACAGAGATCATATAGCTGAAGAATATAATACTCAACTAAAAATTTTAATATAGGGGTTAAACAGCAGACTAGATTAAGCAGAAAAAGGATCAGGAACTCTAAGACAGGTCATCAGAAATCATTTAAGATGAGGAATAAAAGGAAAAAATGACAAAGAGTAAAGAAAGCTAAAGGGACTTACAGAGCAGCATGAAGCAGAAGTAAATATGCATTATTGGAGTTAGAAAAGAAGAAGAGAAAGTGACAGAAGGCTTATTCAAAGAAATGATGGCTGAAAACTTCCCAAACCTGGGTGAGGAACTAGAAATCAAAATCAAAATCCAGAAAGCCCAAATAACTAGACGAATCCAGAGATATCTACACTGAGACACATTATAATCAAATTGTCAAAAGTTAAAGACAAAGACAGACTTATGAAGACAGTAAAACAAAAGTTACTTATTACACACACAGGGGCCCCCATAACACTATCAGTAGATTTTTTAGCAGAACTTTGCAACCCATAAAGGCTGAAGTGATAAATTCAAAGTACTGAACGAAAAAGAAAGTGTCAGCCAAGAAAATTATACCCAGAAAATCTGGCCTTCAAAAATTAATTAGTGATAAAGACTTCCAAAGACAAACAAAAGCTGACGGAGTTAATCACTACTATACTTGATTTACAAGAAAAGCTAAAAAAGTTGTTCACATTGAAACAAAAATAAACTAAATAGCAACATGAAAGCATAAGTAAGCAATTCATTGGAAAACAAAATATATAAAGAATAAAAGAACATTTTATGACTATAACAGTGGTGGGCATATCAATTATAATCCTATTATAAAAGATAAGAGATAAAAGTATTAAAAACAATTATAACTAAATTTAAATTATGTTAATGGGCACAATATAAATAATTATAAATTGTGACATCAATACTATTTATAATGTGGGAGCAAGAGACATAAAAGGAGAGACTTCTTGAATGCAAGGGAAGTCAAGGTGTTATCAGCTTAAAATAGATCATTATAACAATAAAATATTTTACATAAGCACCCTGGTAACCACAAAGAAAATGCCTAAACAAATTACACAAAAGAAAGAGGAAGGAATCAAAATCTAGCAATACAAAAAAAAAAAACCACACACACACACACACACACACACAAAAGAAGAGAGCAAGTGAGAAAAACAAGGACAAAAATATCATAAGACAAACACAAAACAGTTAATTAAAAGGTAGTAATAAATCCTTATCAATAATTATTTTAAATGTAAACAAACTAAACTCCCTGATAAAAAATACAGTGTGACTAAATTATTTGGGGTTAAATAATGGTCAAAAATAATGGTTAAAAAACAAACTATATGCTAGCTACAAGAACCCCCTTAAGATTCAAGAACACAAAGAGACAAAGTGAAAAGATGGAAAAAGATATTGTAAGCAAATGGAAACCAAAAGAAAGTAGAAATGACTAAATTATCAAAGTAGAATGTAAGGAAAAAACTGTCTCCAGAGAAATGAAGGTCCTTACGTAACAATAAAAGGATCAATTCAACAGGAAGACACAACAATTTTAAGTATATTTGCACCTAACATCAAAGCACTTAAAATAATAAAGCAAATACTGATGGATCTGAAAGAAGAAATTGACTGCAATTCAATAATAGAAGACTGCAATGTCTCACTTTCAATAATAGATAGAATTTACAAAAAAAAAAAAAAAGACAACGAAACAATACAAACCAAATAAACTTAACAAACATAGAATTAGCAGGAAAATACACATTTTTCTCAAGTGCACACATATTTTTCAGGGCAGATCACAAAACAAGTTAGGTCTCAAAAAAGTCTTAACAAATTAAAATCATACCAAGTATGTTTTCCAACCGCAATTGAATGAAACTAGAAATCAGTAATAGCAAGAACAAAAAAAAGGCAGTGAGGAGTCACAGAAACATGGAAATTAAATGAGACACTCTTGAACCAATGGGGCAAAGAAGAAACCAAAAGAAAAGTTTTAAAATATCTTGAGACAAATAAAAAGAGAACTTACAAAAATATGTGATGCAGCAAAGCAGTATAAAAAGGAGGTTTGGGCCAGGCGCGGTGGCTCATGCCTGTAATCCCAGCAGTTTGGGAGGCCAAGGCTGGTGGATCACCTGAAGTCGGGAGTTCAAGACCAGCCTGATCAACATGGAGAAACCCCTCACTACTAAAAATACAAAATTAGTTGGGGTGCTGGCACATGCCTGTAATCCCAGCTACTCAGGAGGCTGAGGCAGGAGAATCGCTTGAACCCAGGAGGTGGAGGTTGCGGTGAGCTGAGATCACGCCATTGCACTCCAGCCTGGGCAACAAGAGTGAAACTCTGCCTCAAAAAATAAAAAATAAAAAAATAAAAAAAATAAAATAAAAAAGGGAAAACAAAACAAAACAAAAAAGTAAAAAGGAGGCTTGTAGCTATAAATACCTATATTGAAGAAGAAATATCTCAAATAAACAACCTAACTTTACAACTCAAGAAACTAGGAAAAAAACAAACTAAACCCAAAGTTAGCAGAAGGAAGAAAATAATAAAGATAACAATAGAAATAAATCAAATATAGAAAAACATCAATAGCCGGGCATGGTGGCTCATTCCTGTAATCCTAACACTTTGGGAGGCCGAGGCAGGCAGATCACTTGAGGTCAGGAGTTCGAGACCAACCTGACCAGTATGGTGAAACCCTGTCTCTATTAAAAACACAAAACTTAGCCAGGTGTGGTGGCAGGTACCTGTAATCCCAGCTACTCAGGAGGCTGAGGTGGGCGAATCATTTGAATCTGGGAGGCAGAAGTTGCAGTGAGCCAAGATTGTGCCACTGCACCCCAGCCTGGGTGACAAAGCGAGACTCCGTCTCAAGAAAAAAAAAACAAAAAACAAAAATTAGCTGGACATGGTGGCATGCGCCTGTAATTCCAGCTATTTGGGAGGCTGAGCACAAAAATCACTTGAACCTGGGAGGCAGAGGGTGCAGTGAGCCACGACTATGCAACTGCACTCCAGCCTGGGTGACGGAGTGAGACTCTGAAAAAAAAAAAAAAAAAGAAAGAAAGAAAGAAAGACAGACATCAATAAAACAAAGAGTTGGTTGTATTTTTTAAAATGGCAAAACCTTAGGGTGAAAAAAAGAGATGACTCATCGGAAACATAAAGAGGGACAATACAACAGACGCCTTGAAAATATAAAAGATCATAAAAGTTGATTATGAACAATTATATACCAATACATATATAACCTAAGGAAACAGTATGTTCCTAGAAACATACAACATGCCAAAGCTGAATTAAGAAGAAACAGAAAGCCTAAACATGCCAGTAACAAAATGACTGAAATAGTATCAAAAACTTCCCAATGAAGAAAAGTCCAAAACCAGATATCTTCAGAGCCGAATTCTACCAAACATTCAAAAAAATTAGTATAAATCCTTCTTAAATACTTCCAGAAAAAAAAAAATAGTAAAGGGAAGAGTTTCAATTTCATACATGAGATCAATTTCATCCTGATATCAAAGTCAGAAAAAGATAACACAAAAAATGATGAATATACACACAAAAATGCTCAATACTAGGGAACCAAATTCAACAATACATCAAAAAGATAATATACCATAACCAAGTGAGATGAATCCCTGAGCTGCAAGGATGGTTCAATACATGCAAATCAATCAATGAGATACAACACATTAGCACAATGATAGGCAAGAAAGCATATAATCATCTCAACAGACACAGAAAAAGCATCTGGCAGACAGAGTTCAATATCCTTTCACTAAAAAAAAAAAAAAAAAAAAAAAAAAAACAACTCAACAAAATAGGTATAGAAGGAAATTTCCTCAATATAGTAGAAGTCATGTATGAAAAACGAACAGCTAACATCATAATCAACAGTGATCAATATCAACATAATAACACTTTTCATCTAAGATCTAGTACCAGGCAAGGATGCCCACTCTGGCCACTTCTAGTCAATGTAGTACTGAAAGTACTAGCAAGAGCAATCGGACCAAAAAAAAAAGAGAAAGAAACAAAAGGCATTCAAATCAGAAATAATGAAGTAAAATTATCCATGGTTGCATTTGAATTGATTCTATATGCAGGAAAATGCTACAGGTGTCACATACACACAAAAAAAGGTCAGAACTTCTAAATGAAAAGTAGCAGGATACAAAAATCAACATTCAAAAAATCTGTTGAACTTCTTTGCATCAATAACAATCTATGTTAAAAAGAAATTTTCAAAATCCTATTTATAATAGCACCAAAAGAATCAAATACTTAGGAATAAATATAATATAACCAAGGAAGTGCAAGATCTGTACACTGAAAACTATAAAACATTGATTAAAGAAACTGAAGCAGATGCAAATAAACAGAAAGCTATTCCATGTTTATGGGTTGTAAAAATTAATACTGTTAAAACATTCATACAGGCTGGGTGCAGTCGCTCACACCCGTAATCCTAGCACTTTGGGAGGCCAAGGTGGGCAGATTACTTGAGGTCAGGGGTTCGAGATCCGCCTGGCCAACATGGTGAAACCCCGTCTCTACTAAAATTACAAAAATTAGCTGGGCATGGTGGCAGGTGCCTATAATCCCACATACCCGGGAGGCTGAGGCAGAAGAATTGTTTGAACCCGGGAGGCAGAGGCTGCTGTGAGCCGAGATTACGCCACCGCGCTCCAGCCTGGGCGTCAAAGCGAGACTCCATCTCAAAAAAAAAAATTCATACTATCCAAAGTGACATGCTCAATGCAATCACTACCAAATTGTACTGGCATTTTTCACAGAAA
Source organism: Homo sapiens (assembly GCF_000001405.40). Classification (NCBI taxonomy): domain Eukaryota; kingdom Metazoa; phylum Chordata; class Mammalia; order Primates; family Hominidae; genus Homo; species Homo sapiens. The sequence continues at coordinate 76,814,247 of NC_000015.10, forward strand.
TAGAAAAAACAATGCTAAAATTTGTATGGAACTACAAAAAACTTTAAATAGCCAAAACAATGTGGAGAGAGAAAAATTAAATTGGAGGCATCACATTTCCTGACTGTAGATTACACTACAAATCAACAGTAATCTAAACTGTAATGACAGGCATACAGACAGACATGAAGACCAACAGAACAACGAAATGTAACAGAAAGCCCAGAAATAAACTCAAGCATATGTGGTCAACTAATTTTCAACAAGACCACCAAAAAAACACAATGAGAAAAGGATAAACTCTTCAATAGTGTTGGGAAAACTGAATAACCACATGTAAAAGAAGGAACTAGACCCTTATCTTACACCATACGCAAAAATAAACTCAAAATGCATTAAAGATGTAAACATGAGACCTGAAACTATAAAACTTCTAGAAGAAAACAAAAGGAAAAGTTCCTTAATAGTGACCTCAAGCAATAATTTTTTTGGTATCACACCAAAAATTCATGCAACAAAAGCGAAAATATCCAAGTGAGACTACATCAAAATAAAAACTTTCCTACAAATAAAAAGAAGACATTTAACAGAATGAAAAAGCAGGCTACAGACTGAGAAAAATATTTGGAAACTCTGTATATGATAAGGGGTTAATATCCAAACTATATAAGGAACTCACACAATTCAATAACAGGAAACAAATAACAGATTTAAAAATGGGCAAAGAATCTGAAGAAGTTTTTTTCCAAAGAAAACATAAAAATGGCTAATAAGCATAAGAAAAAGTGCTCAACATCAGTAATCATCATGGAAATGCAAATTAAAACAAAAAAAAAATCACCTCACATCTGTTAGAAGAGCTATTATCAAAAAGATAAGAGATAATAACAACTGTTGGCCAGGGTGTGAAGAAAACCCTTGTACACTATTTGTGGAAATGTAAACTGGTATAACCATTATGGAAAACAGTATGAAAGTTTCTCAAAAAATTAAAAATACAACTACCATATGACCCAAAAATCCCTCTTCTGAGTAGATAGCCAAAGAAAATGAAATCAGCACCTCATGGAGACATCTGCACTCCTATGTTTATTTGCAGCATTATTCACAATAGCCAAGATATGGAAACAACCTTAAGTGTCCATCAATGGATAAATGGGTAAAGAAATTGTGGTGTATATATACACACACATACATACAGTCAAGCATCACTTAACAACAGAGATATACTGAGAAATGCATTGTTAGGCAATTTCATCATTGTGCGACCATCAGAGTGTACTTACAAAAACCTGGATGGTACAGCCTACTACACACCTACGTTATATGGCATGGCCTATTGCTCCTAGGCTACAAACCTGTATGGCAGGAACCTGACCCGCACAACAGGAGGTGAGCAGTGGGCCAGTAAACATTACCACCTGAGCTCCACCTCCTGTCAGATCAGGAGCAGCATTAGATTCTCATAGGAGCACAAACCCTATTGTGAGCGGCACATGTGAAGGATCTAGGTTGAGTGCTCCTTAGGACAGTCTAATGCCTGATCATCTGAGGTGGAACAGTTTCATCCTGAAACTACCCCTGCCACACCGACCCCAGTCCGTTGAAACATTGTCTTCCACAAAAACAGTCCCTGGTGCCAAAAAGGTTGAGGACTACTGCTGTATAGCATGTTACTATACTGAATACTACAGGCCAAGAGTAACACAATGTTAAGTATCTGTGCATCTAAACACAGAAAATCTACAGTAAAAATACGTTGCAAAATATTTTTAAAATGATAAACCTGTAGCATTTACCATGAATGGAGTTTACAGGACTGAAAGTTGCTCTGGGTAAGGGAGGGTGAGGGAGGGAGTAAAGGAGAGAATGGTAAGTGAAGGCCTAGGACATTAGTGTATGCTGCTGAGACTTTATAAACTACATATTTAGACTACACAAAATCCATACAAAAATTTTCTGTCTTCCTAATAAATTAACCTTAGCTTACTACAATCTTTTTACTTTATAAACCTTTTAGTATTTTTTAAACTCTGACATTTGTAGTAACACTTAGCTTAAAACACAAACACATTGTACAATTGTACAAAATTATCTTTATAACCTCATTCTATAAGCTTTTTCCTATCTAACATTTTTTTTCCTTTTTAACTTTTGTTAAAAATGAAGACACGAACACACACATTAGCCTAGGCCTACCCAGGATCAGGATCTTCCACCTCCACATATTGTCCCACTGCAAGGTCTTCAAGAGCAAGAAAATAACATGTATGGGAGCTATCATCTCCTGATGACAATGCTTTATCCTGGAATACCACCTAAGGACCTGCCAAAGGCTGTTTTACAGTTAGCTTTCTTTTTGTTAAGCAGAAGGAATACATTCTAAAATAACAATAAATAGTATAAAAATACATAAGCCAGTAACATAATTTTTTTTTTTTTTTTGAGATGGAGTCTCGCTCTGTTGCCCAGGCTGGAGTGCAGTGGCGCTATCTCGGCTCACTGCAAGCTCCACCTCCCAGGTTCACACCAGTCTCCTGCCTCAGCCTCCCGAGTAGCTGGGACTACAGGCGCCCGCCACAATGCCCAGCTAATTTTTTTTGTATTTTTGTATTTTTAGTACAGACGGTGTTAGCCAGGATGGTCTCGATCTCCTGACCTTGTGATCCACCCGCCTTGGCCTCCCAAAGTGCTGGGATTACAGGCGTGAGCCACCGTGCCTGGCTGCCAGTAACATAATTTATTATCATCATCATCAAGTACTGTGTACTGTACACAACTGTATGCACTATACTTCCATGCAACTGGTAGCACCATAGGCTTGTTTCTATCAGCATCATCACAAACACTGAGTAATATATTGTGCTACAACATTATGACAGCTATGACATCACTAGGTGACAAGAATCTTTCTGGTCCATTATAATCTTATGAACCACCATTGTAGGTCAGCTGTTGATTGAAACACTGTTATGCAGCACATGACTGTACAATGAAATATTATTCCACCTTTAAAAAGGAGATCCTGACATTTGCAACAATATGAATAAACCTCAAGGACATTGTGCTATGTGAAATAAGCCAGACCTACAAAGAAAAATAGTGTATGATCTCATTTATATATATATAATCTAAACAAAGTCGAATACGTAGAAAGAAAGGGACAATCAGTGGTTGGTTAACAAGGTCAGGGGGAGGAAGGAAATAGGGAGATGTAGATTAAAGGATACAAACTTCTAATTACGTAGGATGAACAGGTCTACAAATCTAATATACAGCATGAGGGCACTAGTTAATGATAACGTATTGTATACTAAAAATTCACTAAAAGAGTAGTTTTGTTACTCTTACCACACACACAAAAAGGTAACTATGTGAGGTGATAGGTTCATTTGCTAGACTGCAGTAATCATTTCACTACATATATGTATGTCAAAACATGTTATAAATCTCAAATATATATAACAAATATATATGTAAATAAACAGAATACCATTTACATTAACACCCCAAAATATGAAATACTTAGGTATAAAACTAACAAAATATGTATAAGATCTATATTAGGAAAACAACAAAACTCTGATAAAAAAAATTAGAAAACTAAGTAAATGGAAAGATAATCCATGGATAGGATGACTCAATATTGTCAAAATGTCAATCAGTTCTTTCAAACCTGATTTATAAATTCAATGCAATCTCAATCAAAATCCCAGCAAGTTAAGCTGATTCTAAAGTTTACAGCAGAAGCAAAAGACTCAGTAGAGCCAATACAATTTTGAAGAACAAAGCTGGTGGACTAACACTACCCAATGTCAAGAAATACTAAAAAGCTATAGTAATCAAGACAGGGTGGTACTAGGATAAAAGACCAACAGGTCAATGGAACAGAACAAAGAGCTCAGAAACAGACCCACATAAATATAATCAACTGATCTTTGACTAACGTACAAAGCCAATACAAGGGAACAAAGATTGTTTTTCAACACATGATGCTAGAATAAATGGGACATCACATGCAAAAACTAATGAATCTAGACACAGAACTTATAATCTTCACAAAAATTAACTCAAATTGGATCCTAGACCCAACTGTAAAATACAAAACTATACAACTCCTAAAGTATAACTTGCAGGGAAAAAACCTAGATGGTCTTGGATGCAACAATGAATTGTTAGATACAACACCAAAGGCACAGTCCATGAATGAAAAAATTGATAAGCTGGACCTCATTAAAATCAAAAACTTCTGCTCTGCAAAAAACAATATTGAGAGAATAAGACAAGCCACAGACAGGGAGAAAATATTTGCAAAAGACATACAAGAGACACTGTTATCCAAAACATACAAAAAACTCTTAAAACTCAACAATAAGGGGGGTGGAGCCAAGATGGCCAAATAGGAACAGCTCCAGTCTACAGCTCCCAGCGTGAGCGACGCAGAAGATGGGTGATTTCTGCATTTCCAACTGAGGTACCAGGTTCATCTCACTGGGGAGTGCCAGACAGTGGGTGCAGGACAGTGGGTGCAGCGCACCGTGCGTGAGCCAAAGCAGGGCAAGGCATTGCCTCACCAGGGAAGCCCAAGGGGTCAGGGAATTCCCTTTCCTAGTCAAAGAAAGGGGTGACAGACGGCACCTGGAAAATCGGGTCATCCCACGCTAATACTGTGCTTTTCCAACAGGCTTAACAAACGGCACACCAGGAGATTATATCCCGCACATGGCTCGGAGGGTCCTACGCCCACGGAGCCTCCCTCATTGCTAGCACAGCAGTCGGAGATCAAACTGCAAGGCGGCAGCGAGGCAGGGGGAGGAGCACCCACCATTGCCAAGACTTGAGTAGGTAAACAAAGCGGCCAGGAAGCTCGAACTGGGTGGAGCCCACCACTGCTCAAGGAGGCCTGCCTGCCTCTGTGGGCTCCACATCTGGGGGCAGGGCACAGACAAACAAAAAGCAGCAGTAGCCTCTGCAGACTTTAATGTCCCTCTCTGACAGCTTTGAAGACAGTAGTGGTTCTCCCAGCATGCAGCTTGAGATCTGAGAACAGGCAGACTGCCTCCTCAAGTGGGTCCCTGATCCCCAAGTAGCCTAACTGGGAGCCACCCCCCAGTAGGGGCAGACTGACACCTCACATGGCTGGGTACTCCTCTGAGACAAAACTTCCAGAGGAACGATCAGGCAGCAGCATTTGCAGTTCACCAATATCCTCTGTTCTGCAGCCACTGCTGCTGATACCCAGGCAAACAGGGTCTGGAATGGACCTCCAGCAAACTCCAACAGACCTGCAGCTGAGGGTCCTGAATGTTAGAAGGAAAACTAACAAACAGAAAGGACATCCACATCAAAAACCCATCTGTACGTCATCATCATCAAAGACCAAAGGTAGATAAACCACAAAGATAGGGAAAAAACAGAGTAGAAAAACCGGAAACTCTAAAAATCAGAGCGCCTCTCCTCCTCCAAAGGAACGCAGCTCCTCACCAGCACAGAACAAAGCTGGACGGAGAATGACTTTGACCAGTTGAGAGAGGAAGGCTTTTGCACAGCAAAAGAAACCACCATCAGAGTGAACAGGCAACCTACAAAATGGGAGAAAATTTTTGCAAGCTACTCATCTGACAAAGAGCTAATATCCAGAATCTACAATGAACCCAAACAAATTTACAAGAAAAAAACAACCCCATCAAAAAGTGGGCAAAGGATATGAGCAGACATTTCTCAAAAGAAGACATTTATGCAGCCAAAAGACACATGAAAAAATGCTCATCATCACTGGACATCAGAGAAATGCAAATCAAAACCACAATGAGATACCATCTCACACCAGTTTGAATGGTGATCATTAAAAAGTCAGGAAACAACAGGTGCTGGAGAGGATGTGGAGAAATAGGAACACTTTTACACTGTTGGTGGGACGGTAAACTAGTTCAACCATTGTGGAAGTCGGTGTGGCGATTCCTCAGGGATCTAGAACTAGAAATACCATTTGACCCAGCCATCCCATTACTGGGTATATACCCAAAGGACTATAAATCATGCTGCTATAAAGACACATGCACATGTATGTTTATTGCGGCACTATTCACAATAGCAAAGACTTGGAACCAACCCAAATGTCCAACAAGGATAGACTGGATTAAGAAAATGTGGCACATATACACCATGGAATACTATGCAGCCACAAAAAATGATGAGTTCATATCCTTTGTAGGGACATGGATGAAGCTGGAAACCATCATTCTCAGCAAACTATCGCAAGGACAAAAAACCAAACACCACGTGTTCTCACTCATAGGTGGGAATTGAACAATGAGAACATAAGGACACAGGAAGGGGAACATCACACACTGGGGACTGTTGTGGGTTGGGGGGAGGGGGGAGGGATAGCATCAGGAGATACACCTAATGCTAAATGACAAGTTAATGGGTGCAGCACACCAACATGGCACATGTATACATATGTAACAAACCTGCACGTTGTGCACATGTACCCTAAAACTTAAAGTATAATAATAATAAAATTTTTTAAAAAAGAAAAAAAAAACTCAACAATAAGAAAAATAATTTGATTAAATAATAAGCCAAAGTCCTTAACAGACACTTCACCAAAGAAGATATACAAATGGAAAATAAACATATGAAAACATGCTCCACATCATAAGTCATCAGGGAAATGCAGATTAAAGTAACAATGAGATATTATTACACTCCTATTAGAATGACCAAAATCCAGAAAACTGACAACAGCAAATGCTGATGAGGATGTAGAGCAATGGGAACACTCATTTATTGCTAGTGGGAATGCATAATGGTACAGCTACTTTGGAAGACAGTGTGGCAGTTTCTTACAAAACTAAACGTTCTCTTACCATGTGATCCAGCAACTGCACTCCTAGTAAATACCCAAAGCCATTTAAAAACTTACATCCACACAAAAAGCTGCACACAGCTGTGTATAGCAGCTTTATTCATAATTGACAAAACTTGGAAGCCACCAAGACGTTCTTCAGTACATGAATGAATAAACAAACTGTGGTACATCCAGAAAATGAAATATTGCTCACGGCTAAGAAGAATGATCTATCAAAGTATTTTAAAATATGGCAGGGGCCAAGTAAGGTGGCTCACGCCTATAATCCCAGCACTTTGGGAGGCCAGGGCCGAGAAATCACTTGAGCGCAGGAGTTGGAGACAAGCCTGAGGAACATGGCAAAACTCCATCTCTACAAAAAAAATACAGAAAATTAGCCAGGCATAGTGGTGCGTGCCTGTAGTCCCAGCTACTAGAGAGGCTGAGGTTGGGGGGGATCACTTGAGCCTGGGAAGTTGAGGCTGCAGTGATCTCTGATCAAGCCACTACACTCCAGCCTGGGTGACAGGGCGAGACCTTCTCTCAAAACAAAACAAAACACCACAGTGGGGCCGGGCACGGTGGCTCACACCCGTAATCAAAGCACTTTGGGAGGCTGAGGTAGCAGGACTGCTTGAGCCCAGGAGCGAGACTTCATCCCTACTAAAAAATTTTTAAAAATTAGTCAGGCATGGTGACGCATGACTGTAGTCCCAGCTACTCAGGAGGCTGAGGTGGGAGAATTTCTTGAACCCAGGAATTTGAAGCCAGCTTGGGCAACACAGTAAGACCTCATCTCTAAAAAAAAAGGTAAGAAATAAAAGTAGAGGTTACATACTGTATGATTCCAACTATACAACATTCTGAAAAAAGCAAAACTAGAGAGAGTAAAAAGATCAGTGGCTGCTGGGGTTAGGGGTGGGGGACTGGGGAAGAATTAACAGGCAGAGCACAGGGGATTTTTAGGGCAATGAAACTACTCTGCATATTATTAAAATAGCAAATACATGTCATCATACATTGGTCCAAAATCATAGAACGTATAAGACCAAGAGCAAACATAAATGTAAACTATGGACTTGGGAATGATAATGATTTGTCAACACAGGCTCATCAATTGTAACAAATATACCACTCAGGTGTATGATATTGATAATGGAGGAGGCTATGCATGTATGGGGGCAGGGGTTATATGGAAAATCTCTACCTTCCTCTTAATTTTGTTGTGAACCTAAAATTGGTCTTAAAAAAATAAAGTCATAAAAAAAAGAAAGAAAAAGAAGGAAATATGTTTAAAAAAGTAAATGTTCAAAGTTTTACCAACATTTCTTAAGCAGCTAATACAAAGCTAAATAAATAAAGGCAACTCTGCACAACTTAAAACCAGTTTTCAATCATATGATGGGTTATCTGCCTTCTGTTACCAAATACAACATTTCCACTGACACTGAACTTCCAAAGATAAATTTTAAATTGTCTGGATCTGACAGAAAATCATATTCAAATCAGCTTAACTAGGACATATAGATCATCTGTGCCTACTGCACCATTCACAATGATTACCATTGCTGTCTTCTAATTGTCTCCTTTAAATAACCCAAAATTATATTATTGTGACAATACACTCTACACACTTGGCAAAGATAAATTTTTGGTACTGATCACTGATGCATCTAAATGGAAATTAAAATTTTATGGAAGAAAAGACTGTTAAAGCACAGGCCACTAAAATCTAATCACTCCACTCCTCAGGAAGAAGAAATTGATATCAAATGTGACTGTGTGTATGTATTACTACAACAGTCAAAGCTGTCATTTAATTGCATTTAAAAAACTTTAAAATGTATTTGCTTTACCAGTCTCATACCATTCTCACTTTGCCATAAAGATATACCAGTCTCACCTTACTATAAAGATAACTTCCCAATACTCTCATAAAATGACAATCAGAAAATGTCAAGCAGCTATAAAAATGATCATTTGTATTATAAATGCATTATTTTTCTATAGCTTAGTCTGATTTTGTATTATCAGTCACACTCAAAAACCTCAAAAATATTTTTCACTTATAAGTGTTTTTAAACATAGATATACTTTGGGCTGGGCGCTGTGGCTCATGCCTGTAATCCCAACACCTTGGGAGGCTGAGGTAGCTGGATCATGTGAGGTCAGGAGTTTGAGACCAGCCCGGCCAACATGGTGAAACTCCATCTCTACTAAAAATACAAAAAATGAGCCAAGCATGGTGGCAGGCCCCTGTAATCCCAGCTACTCGGGAGGCTAAGGCATGATTATTGCTTGAACTTGGGAGGCGGAGGTTCCAGTGAGCCCAGATCACACCACTGCACTCCAGCCTGGGCAACAAGAGCAAAACTCTGTCTCAAAATAAAATATAATAAAATAAATAAATTAAAATAAAAATACAATAAATAAAAATAAAATTAAATAAACAAACATACATATACTTTGGAACTCAGACCCAAGACTAATAATGAATATATGCCAAATTATTCACAAATGAAATACAGTACCACCCTTACCTTAGTCATAAAAGTTACATTCTACTTTAAAACAACCTTCTGAACAAAGAAGTACTGCTTATTTCCTTTCAGAAGTAATCCTTGGTGCCAAAAAACTGTTAATAAAAGTCTTCTACAATCAAGAAAAGGACAAATGTAAAAATTTAGTTGGCTTCCTTCCCTCAATTCTACTAATATAATTCAAATTTTTTAATCAAATTCATTTGACTTAAATCACCTACATTAAGGTACAAAAAGACAACTCAGAATAATTTACTTCAGAAGTTTTCTACTGATTTCTTTTTGGAAAAAAAAAAAAAACTAACTAACTCTGAAGGGGCAAGAATATAAGCCGCTATACTTCAGAAATTTGTTGGCAAAGAGAAAGTATATTTGGTGGCTTACACAGCCTATTTCAAGGAATGTTTAACTCAATGTTATCAAAAATGATCAGAGTGGTACCACGCAGCTGTAATCCGAGTCATGTTTTACGAACAAGGGAATACAAACAAGACAAGCAGCTGGAGCAACCTCATAGTCACTGATGCACATCTTTCTCCTCAAAGCTATGAAGGCCATTTTGTCAAGCAGGATGAAACAGAACAAAAGTGGCTCTGAAAGTAATGTTATAGGCATTCAGATAACTCCATATAGATGTACAGCTAAAATTACCAATTAGTTTACCAATTGGCTGCAACGGATTTGATTGGTTTGTAATTAATTCTAGTTACTGGCGCACAGAGCAGGAAGGTTGGCGCCATCCCTTTGTCCTCCTGACACACAATACTAGTGCACAGGCCCTTGGGCCCACGACATCAATACAGCCCTCCAATTCAGCTACAGGAATTAGCACAGTGGAGTACTCCCATAGTGATAAAGGGCTAGAAACATGCACTGCATGAGAAGTCAGTGACAAAAGGGAACCTTTATGAAAAAAAATGAGCTTTACCAAAATGAAAACGAGTTTCTTAAAACATTATTTTTTAAGAACATCTTATCTAGTTTTTTGAATGTTACTACTGGAATAAATAGTTCAACAGGGAAATCATCTAAAAGCAAAACATCAAGTAAACCATTTGCAAAACTGTCAATATCATTCACAATCTTCAGTTTTCAATCACTCATTTTTTTAAAATATCTCTCCTAAATTTTTAATATAATCTATTTGCAAAAAGAATACTTAATATCTTCACCAACCAAAACCTTACAAATTAAAATCTGCTAATGGAAGCCATTCTCCTTTATAATTTAAACCTTACCTGCATCTTTGTGGGTAAATAAAATTTGTAGTTGCCTGGGTAGTGATACAAATATTTTACTGCAATTCCTAATCAATTTTTATCTCAACTCACTTGCAAGTTGGCTTGACTAGATGCTTCTAATAGTATTTCCCACTAAGAAAAATCAGAGACCTACTGCCACTAAGAATAAATAGACAAAAATGCTAAGTTATAAAGCTCAAAATCAATACACTCAAATTCAAATCCCTCATAGATGCCTGCACAGTTACCTCCAAAAAACTGCTTCAAGATCTTTCTTTTGCCTGGAATATTCTCCCAATACCAATTATATGCTTTTATTCAGCCTCAAGGATCTTCAGCCCTCATCTAGTCCAACCTCTTCATTTATGAACACAAAGGTTGAATACAATTTGGTGATTTTTTTTTTAAATCACACAACTAGCTTAGAGGACACACTAACATGACTGTTAACTGATGATAGCTCCTATTCTCCCTTTAACAGCCAGCACAAATACCACAAATACAAACTCTTCTATGATCCTACAGCCAGAAGTTACCTCTCCTCCTACGGGCCGTATCAAGTATAATAACTAATGTCAATGGATATTCAAGTCCATAAGTGCTATAAAAACAAAAGTCCTTTCTCTTTCAAACCATATTTGTCCATAGTAACACATCTCACTTTCTAAGTTATTAGTCAAAAAAAATGTTATTCTTAAAATATTTACCTTCATTGAGACAAACATGCACAGAGGAGCAAAATTTATTCCAAAATTGTAAATTGACTATCTTTTCTCCACAGTGATCAAATCTCAAATCATTTCAATAACCCAGAATAATAAAAAACAGAATCATAACCTTTCCTACTACACCTAGTGGTCTGGGCACCAAGAAGATCTGTTTTTTCTTTTGTTTTGTTTTTTTGAGACAGAGTCTCGCTCTGTTGCCCAGGCTGGAGTACAGTGAGGTGACCTCGTCTCACTGCAACCTCTCCCTCCTGGGTTTAAGCAATTCTCCTGACTCAGCCTCCCAAGTAGCTGGGACTATAGACGCACACCACCACGCCCAGCTAATTTTTGTATTTTTAGTAGAAACGGGGTTTCACCATATTGGTCAGGCTGGTCTCGAACTCCTGACCTTAGGTGATCCACCCACATCGGCCTCCCAAAAGTGCTGGGATTACAGGCGTGAGCCTCCGTGCCTGGCCACAAAAAGATCTGTTTTCTATGTTGCAGTCATTATCTGAAAAATTTCTATCATTTCAAATAGTTAAAAAAATTTTCAATTAAAAAATGGAATTATCTCAAAGACTTGGAACCAACCCAAATGTCCAACAATGATAGACTGGATTAAGAAAATGTGGCACATATACACCATGGAATACTATGCAGTCATAAAAAATGATGAGTTCATGTCCTTTGTAGGGACATGGATGAAATTGGAAATCATCATTCTCAGTAAACTATCGCAAGAACAAAAAACCAAACACCGCATATTCTCACTCATAGGTGGGAACTGAACAATGAGAACACATGGACACAGGAAGGGGAACATCACACTCTGAGGACTGTTGTGGGGTGGGGGGAGGGGGGAGGGATAGCATTGGGAGATATACCTAATGCTAGATGACGAGTGAGTGGGTGCAGCGCACCAGCATGTCACATGTATACATATGTAACTAACCTGCACATTGTGCACATGTACCCTAAAACTTTAAGTATAATAATAATTAAAAAAAAAAAAAAACGGAATTATCTCAATAAAAAGTGCAAATAACCCAAGTCGACATCCATAGAAGGAGGAGCATGGATGTTCCCTCCTAAAACAAAGTCTTTAAATAAATTATAAAAGGAAAAAACTGTGGCATTTAAATCAACATGATGTGTTTGATGTAAGGCATTTTTGTTATACTTCACCCAAAACAGTGCATGTTGTAATATTCATTAAATGTGGTTGAATAAAATATAAGTCCACTTGTGTTTCCAGTCCTTAGCTCTGAGGCTAACTTGTTATGTAATTTCTAACACATAATTTAGTTTTACAGCTTCCCATCAGTAAGATAAAATGGCTAGATTATATGATTTTTAAGATCACATTCAGATCTCATGATTCATTTTTCAGTTTCATATTCTGCTCTATTTTGGTTTCTATTACCAATCACATACATGATTTTCATTCTTTTTTTTCTGACAAAGCGAAGTTGTAATGTGTCTAAATCGTAATGAATTAGACAAAAAAAAGTAAGGTGGAACTGGATTTCACCCTCCAGTTACTATTCTTCCACCAAATTGACTTGAACAAATGTCCACTTCCCAACATCCCATTTCTCTTTCTTTCCATTTCCTCTCTTTGTCTAAAAGCTACAGATGACTGCTACTGAGATTAAGTCCAACAAAATCTCAGGGCTGAGGTTATTTCATCCTGTTGCATTATGCCAGTTCCCAAATGAGACACTAATTCATTTTTTAAAAATACGTCTCCACTTGGAATCCCATAGCCTGTGGACTCGGTCCTGAGGACTCAGCTTTCTCAAGCTCTTCTGTAGTGAGTATACAGGCAGCTTAGCACTAATTATAACATAACCAAAAAAGTCAACTAAGACCATACAGTAGGAGGTTTTAAAAGCCAAAATGATTAGTCTACTGTGGATTCAGAAGCCTATAGAGATAGAATTGATCCAAGTTTTACAGCAGGAAAGTAATATGAAGGACTATAAAAAGAAAAAAACTAGAGGAGGACACACCAAAAAGATAACACTTCATCGGAGAGTAATAAGAGTCTTCAAAAATCAGTATCTTGACAGTAGGAAAGAGGGAAGGAGCTTGTGAATGGAAAAAAAAATGCAAAAGATGAATGGATAGGAACTTTGTAGTCAACAAAATATAGAACACAGGTGACTAGAAAAATGGTGGTTCCATCAACAAAAATAAATCAGGAAGAAATAGTTGAAAAATCAAAGTATGGTATAAATTGGTATAATACCTATGTCTAGAAACTAGGCTAACATAACTAGGAACTTATCCCAGTGCTATGGTTTGAATATTTGTCTCTTAAAAACTCATGTTGAAATTTAATCCTCAATTGTGGCAGTACTGAGAGGCATGGCTTTAAGGGATAATTGGGCCATGAGGGCTCTGCTCTCATGAAAGGTTTAATGGGTTAATGGATTCATGAATTAGCATGGGAATGAGACTGGTGCATTTATTAAGAGGAGAAAGAGAGGCCTGAGCTAGTAGGCTCAGCCCCCTCACCATGTGATGTCCTATGTTGTCTTGGGACTCTGCAGAGAGTCCCCACCAGCAAGAAGGCCCAAACCAGATAAAGCCTGTCTATAACTATGAGAAATAAATTTCTTATCTTTATAAAGATAAGATTTGTATATATTTATATAATATATAATTATTTTATAAATTACCCAGTTTCTAGTATTCTGTTATAAGCAATAGAAAACAGACTGAGACAACCAGACAAGTCAAATTTGACTAACCCAACAGTAGTTATGATATGGTAATTACAGTCTCAAGTTATTCCATTATTCAACATACCCAAAAGGAAAAAAATCAATGCTCTATCATATTGATGATAATGTATATGAAAACTAGATATAAGGAACAAAGATCTGTCAACTCAGAAATTGTCAATAAAGTGTCATGTTAAACAGAGTAAAAAATGACAGCTATCTATCTCTACAACTTAAACACTCATAAAACAATGCTTTAGTAAATGTTACATATACAGGAGAAATTACTTATTTAACCAATCAAACAGTAAAATTTTACTGTGAAGACTACAATGCATGAAACACAACAGGGAATATGCAGAATAAGGCTAAGAAGAAAAGATACAGATACAGATGAAGAAACGATGGCTATTAATGTAAGACAATGGTGAGGTAACAGAAGCCAACTCCCATAAATGCAGAAGTGAACTCTTAGCCTTCTATCCTTGTCCTGAATCTCATGTTCTCTGTAACAAATTTCAATTCCTGAGCTAAAGTATAACAGGCAAATCAAAACGATAAGATTATAACATTAATATCAGACAAAACAGAATTCACAGTGAAAAGCATTTAAGGGCCAGGCTGGATCAAATGATCCAGCAATCCCACTACTGGGTATTTACCCAAAGGAAACGAAGTCCTTGTATGATAAGGACACATCATGCACATGCATGTTTATAGCAGCACAATTCACAATTTCAAAAATTTGAAACCAACCTAAATATCCATCAACCAACAAGTGGACAAAAAAAATGTATATATACACCATGAAATACTACTCAGCCATAAAACAGAATGAAATAATGACCTTTGCAGCACTGTGGATGGAGTTGGAGGCCATTATTCTAAGTGAAGTAACTCAAGAATGGAAAACCAAATATTTTATGTTCTTACTTACAAGTGGAAGCTAAGCTATGAGGCTGTGCAATGGCATAAAGAATGATATAATGGATTCTGGGGACTCAGGAAAGGTGGGAGGGGACACAAGAGATAAAAGACTACATAACACTATTGACAGATCAAGGAGATTCAGAAAACTAGTATTTGGAGAATCTAAATATTAATTTCAAAAATATAAATGTAAACCTAACACTATCTATAGAGAATCCATGTTACTCACTCCTCCATGTCCAAGGAGTATTTGTAAATACTTAGCATCACTATCAGGCTTCTCTTATAATCATTTCCTTCCCCATCAGCTTAGGTTCCATGGCCCATTACTCCAACTACTCTCTTACCCTCTTCAACTCCTTTTACTCTATTGAAATCCCAATGCATCTGCTTGAAGAACATTAGCGCAAGATTAATCCATATACCCACCATCTTTGTACCTTTTTAGCATATGACTGGCTGCTAACAATCACTGGGGGAATTAAGAATCACACAACTATGAAGACTAACGTCAGTGCAACTGTGTATGAAGTCTCATGGCTTCACACACCCATTCAACACGTATTTACTGGGCATTTCCTATGATCCAGTGCCAGTACCAAGTACTGAAGATGGAGGGGTAAACAATACAGTGTTGTTTCTATCCTCATGGAGCTTAGTGTCTAGAAAGGGAGACAGATATTAAACAACTAAATATATAATTATTTCATTTCAACCGTGATATATATTTCCAAAGAGAAGCATATACACTATAAGAGCATATCATAGTCTGAAACGTAAGTTAGGCTCCCCTGGGAAAGTGACACTTAGGCTGAAATGTAAATTATGAATAGGAGTTAAGTAAAAGAAATGAGTAAGAAGGTGTTGGGCAAGGAGAAGGAGGGAAGAGTGTTCTGGGCGGAAAAATTAGAACATGGAAAGGCCAGGAAACATGCAAGGACATGATATGGTTACAGAACCAAAGGAAGTCTGATTTACATGGGGCAGAAGGGAGGGGACAAAAGTGGTGTGAAATGAAGAATTCATAGATCAAGTCACTCAAGATCCTTAACATCACCATGTTAAGGATTCTGATGCCCAGAGTAAAGAAAAACCGTTGAACAACTACAATCAAAGTAATGAGAGAGACATATTTGTCATTTTCTAAGTAGCAATCTGCCTGCAGTGTGGAGAATCAATTAGAAGGATGCAGGGAGTCCTGTTAGAAGGCTTCACTTGTAATCTAAGCATTTTATGACAGCTTGGACTAGGATGGTAGCAGTAGAGTGAGAGATGTGAATGGACTGGAAAGAATTAGGAGGTAATTCTGAAAGGAATTAATCCATTGGATAGTGAGTGGTTTTGTGAGGTGAGGGGAGGAACAAAGGACGTCTCCCAGGTCTCAAGCACAAACACCTGGGGGTAAAAGTAGTATGTGTCATTCAAGGAAGAGAAACACATCAGGTTTGAGGTGGGAAGGAGATATCATGAACTTTGTTTTACCGGTTTAAAATGTTGTGAGACAGAAGAGCCAAAATGGCCAACTAGACGTAGCCAGGAAGAAGAGCTTCACCCACCAAGAAAGATCAAAACATCAAGTAGACTGGCACACTCCAAGCAGATCTTTGTAAAGAAGGCATTGAGAGTGGATAGAGGGAGAAGACAGATCCTGGGGCTGAAGGGGAAGGAAGCTGGGAACCCCGAACAGGGTTGCCAAGCACCGTGACCCATTCCTGGCCCAAAGTGGCTCCTATGGAAGGGGTAAGTAAAACAGGCATGGAGTGGTCCACCCTCACCAAAGACCTGCAGGAGCCCCTCATGACCTCCACAGGCATTTGAGATGGCAGGGAGAACTGCCTGGGGAGTTGGCAGAGAAAGAACTCCAAACTGCATGGAGCCCAGAGGGTTAGGCATGGGGACAGCTACTATGGAGCATGGCCATGGGCTCCCATTCCCCAAGGCTTGCCATACTCCTATAGGTAGGGGTTTGGCCTTTCTTAGCTGCCAGACCAGGAGAGGGCAGGGCTGTCTTGCCTGCAGTACAGGGCCAGTCTGATCTAAATGCTCCCATTTGCTGGCCTCTTTCAGGGTCCCTCCCTGGCCACACACACTCGCAACACAGCCACAGTGGCCCCACTGAAATGCTTGTCAGTGGCCACTACCATAACTCTTTCCCAGCCCCCACCCTCCCATAGGAGTGCTTTTGTAGACAGGACCCTGCCGGCACACACACACCCACAACATCCCCTTGTCAGCATGCATGTGCATGAGGACCCACCACCACTATGCACATCCACAGGGCCCCCATTGTTCTGTTGGTGTACACCAACCCCTCCCCCTCAATCACCCCATTGGTGAGTACTCACCTATGGCATCCCCCACCACCCTACTGGTGCGCAATCACCTGTGGTTGCCCCACCGCCGCACTGGTACACACTCACCCACAATGCCCCCGCACCACCACCACAGCATACTCTCCCATGACCCCTTCCATCACCCCACCGGAGCATATTTGCTAGCAGCCTGTCAGAATGTGGTTGTCAGCTGACTGGGAGTACCTCGGTCCCTCAAGTGCAGCAGGTGCTTGACCTCTAGGGACCAGAGAACAAAGCTGCAGGCCTAGTTCCAGCCCCCCAGGGTTAGAGTCCACAGCACAGGAGTGCTGTGCTGAGGCTTGGTGGCCTGAAAGCATTCAGAAATGAAGCCAACTGACTAAACCCAAATTATACCACAGTCAAACCCTCAAGGGCATCAAAGAATATAAGAGCAAAAGTCTCTATCCAAAGAACAGCAACTTCAAAAATTAAAAGAACATCACCACACACAGATGAGAAAGAGCCAGCACAAAAATTCTGGCAATTCTCAAACCAGAGTATCTTCTTATCTCCAAATAACTGCACTAGCTCCTCAGCAATGGTTCTTAACCAGACTGAGATGGCTGAAATGAAAGACCTACAACTCAGAATCTGGATGGGAAGGAAACTCCAGAAGACATAGGAGAAGGCTGAAAACCAACGCAAGGTAAACAGTGACACTATCTATGAGTTGAAATACAACATAGCCATTTTAAGAAAGAACCAAACTGAACTTCTGGAAATGAAAAATTCACTACAGGAATTTCACAATACAATTGGAAGAATTAATAAGAGAATACATGAAGCTGAGGAAAGAATCTCAGAGGTCAAAGACTGCTCTTTCAAATCAGTGCAAGCATATAAAGAAAAAGGAATTTTAAAAAATGAACAAAACCTCTGAGAAATATGTGATAATGTAAAGAGAACAAACCTCTAACACACTGGCATTCCTGAACGAGTCAGAGATAGAGCAGGCAATTTGGAAAACATATTTGAGGAATTATACGGTTGGATCGGTGTCTCCTCCCAAATCTCAAGTTCAATTGTAATCCCCAGTGCTGGAGGGCCTAGTGGGAGGTGACTGAATCATGAGGGTGAATCCTTTATGAACGGCTTAGCACCATCCCTTTGGTGCTGTCCTCATGACAGAGTTCTCACGAGATCTGGTTGCTTAAAGTGTGTGGCACCTCCCCCTCGCTCTTGGTCCTGTTCCTGCCATGTAAGATGCCTGCTGCTCCCGTTTTGCCTTCTGCCATGAGTAAAAGCTCCCTGAGGCCTCCCCAGAAACAGATGCTGGATGCTTCCCGTACAGCCTGTGGAACCATTAGCCAGTTAAATCTCTTTTCTTTATAAACTACCAAGTCTCAGGTATTTTTTCATAGCAGTGTAAAAATGAACTAATACTCAGAAACTGTCCATGAAAATTTCCCCAACCTCACTAGACACATCAACATGCAAATTCAGGGAACTGCAAGATACTATATAAGACAACCATCCCCCAGACACATAATTATCAGATTCTCCAAGGTCAATGCAGAAGAAAAAACCTTAAAGGCAGCTACAGAGAAGGGGCAAGTCACCTACAAAGGGAAACTCATCAGGCTTACAGCAGACCTTTCAGCAGAAACCCTACAAGCCAGAAGAGATTGGGAGCTTATATTCACTATCCTTAATGAAAATAAATTCCAACCAAGAATTTCATATCCAGCCAAACTAAGCTTCATAAGCAAAGGAGAAATAAAATCCTTTTGACACAAGCAAATGCTAAGGGAATTTGTTACCATCAGACCTGCCTTAAAAGAGGTCCCTAAGGGAGTGCTAAACATGAAAATGAAAAAACAATAAGTGCCACCATAAGAGCCCACTGACACGAAAAAGCAACTATACAATCAAGTCGACATAAGAATCAACCAGCTAACAACATGATAATAGGATTAATGCATCACATATCAATATTGACCTTGAATATAAATGGGCTAAACATTCCACTTAAAAGGCACAGAGTGGTGAGCTGGATAAAGAAGCAAGACCCAACTGTAGGCTGCCTTCAAAAGACGCATCTCACATGCAATGACAACCACAGACTCAAAGTAAAGGGATGCAGAAAGATTTATCAAGCAAACAGAAAACAAAAAAAACAGGAGTTGTCGTTATTTCAGACAAAACAGATTTTCAACCAACCATGATCAAAAAGGACAAAGAAGAGTATTACATATTGATAAAGGGTTCAATTCAACAAGAAGATTTAACTGTCTTAAACATATATGTACCCAACATTAGAGCACCTAGATTCATGACATAAGTTCTCAGAGACCTATGAAGAGACTTAGATAACCACACATAACAATAGAAGATTTCAACACCCCACTGACAGTGTTAGACCGATCAAGGTAGAAAATTAACAAAGATATTAAGGACCTAAATTGACACTTGATCAAATGGACTTAACAGGTATCTACAGAATACTCCACCCAATGACAAATGAATATAAATTCTTCTCATCTACACACAGCACATACTCTAAGATGAACCACACACTCAGCCATAAAGCAATTTTCAACAAATTCAAAGTGAAATATACAAACTACACCCTCAGACCACAGTGCAATAAAAACAGAAATCTATAATAAGATCTCTCAAAAACATACAATTACATGGAAATTAAGCAACCTGCTCATGAGTCATTTTTGGATAAGCAATGAAATTAAGATAGAAATCAAAAAATTCTTTGAAACTAATAAAAACAAAGAAACAACATAAGAGCATCTCTTGGACACAGCTACAGCAATAGTAAGAGGAAAGTTTATAGCACTAAATGCATACATCAAGAAGTTAGAAAGATCTAAAATTAACAACTTAACATCATACCTAGAGGAAGTCAAAGAAAAAACACACGGGCAAACCAACCCCAAAACTAGCAAAAGAAAATAAATAACCAAACTCCGAGCTGAACTGAACACTGACGGGCAAGGATACTCACCACCATACTAATAAGGAAGAGCTGAACTGAACAACATTGAGACATGAAAATCCATTCAAAATATCAATGAAGAAAAGTTGGTTCTTAGAAAAAAATAAACAAAGTTGATAGACAGCTAGGTAGATTAATAAAGAAAAAAAGATTGAAATAAACACAATTGGCAATGACAAAGTTCACATTACCACCAACCCCACAGAAATACAAAAAACCCTCAGAGACTATTAGAGACACTTCTGTGCATACCAACTGGAAAACCTAAAAGAAACGGATAAATTTCTGGAAACATACAACCTGCCAAGACTGAACCCAAAAGAAACTGAAATCCTGAATAAACCAATAATGAGTTCTGAAATGGAATCATTAAGAAAAAACCTAAAAACCAAAAAAATCCCTGAACCAGACAGATTCACAGCGGAATTCCATCAGATATACAAAGAAGAGCTAATAAGAATTCTACTAAAAGTGTTCCCAAAAATTGGATGTTGGCAGAGACGCAACATCCAAAGGCTCCTAGAACTGATAAATGAAACTTCATTAAAGTTTCAGAATACAAAATCAATATACAAAAACCAGTAGCATTTCTATACACCAATAACATCCAACCTGAGAACCAAATCAAGAACACAATCCCATTCACAATAGCCACACACACACACACAAATAAAATGTCTAGGAATAAATTAAACCAGAAAAGCTCAGGCCAATATCCCTGATGAACACAGATTTAAAAAAAAAGAAAGAAAAACAAAACTGAACAATATACTAGCAAACAGAATCAAGCAGCACATCAAAAAGTTAATTCACCATGATCAAGTAGGCTTTATTCCTGAGATGTAAGGTTGGTTCACACATGCAAGTCAATAAATGTGATCCACCACATAAACAGAACTAAAAACAAAAACCACATGAGCATCTCAACAGACACAGAAAAGGCTTTCAATAAAATTCAACATCACTTCATGTTAAAAACCCTCAACAAACTAGGTATAAAGATAACATAACTGAAAATAATAAGAGCCATCTATGACACTCTCATAGCTAACATCATACTGAATGGGCAAATGCTGAAACTATTCCCCTTGAAAACCAGAACAAGACAAGGATTCCCACCTCACCATTCCTATTCAATGCAGTAGTGGAAATCCTAGCCAGAACAATCAGGTGAGAGAATAAAATAAAAGGCATCCAAATAGGAAGAGAGGAAGTCAAGCTGTCTCTGCAGACAATATGATTCTATACCTAGAAAACCTTATAGTCTCTGTCCAAAGGCTCCCAGAAGTGTTAAGTTTCAGGACACAAAATCAATGTACAAAAATCAGTAGCATTTCTATACACCAGTAACGTTCAACCTGAGAACCAAATCAAGAACACATTTCCATTCACATTAGCCACAAAAAAAAAAAAAAAAAAAAATCCAGAAATAAATTTCACCAGGGAGGTGAAAGACCCCTACAATGAGAATTACAAAACAATGATGAAAGAAATCAGAGATGACACAAACAAATGGAAACATATTCCATGCTCATGGATAGGAAGAATCAATACTGATCAAATTGCTATACTGCCCAAAGCAATTTACAGATTCAATGCCAAACTACCAACTACCAATTCCAAACTACCAACTACCAATGCCAATTCCTAACTACCAATGTCATTTTTCACAGAATTCAAAAAAACTATTCTAAACCTCATGTGGAACCAAAAAAGAGCCCCAATAGCCAAAGCAATCCTAAGCAAAAAGAACAAAGCTGGAGGCAGAACACTACTCCACTCAAACCATACTACAAGGCCATAGTAACCAAAATAGCATGGTACAAAAATCAGATACATATAACAATGAAACTAGTTAGGGAACCCAGAAATAAAGCCACACACCTACAAACATCATATCTTCAAAAAGTCAACAATAACAAGCAATGAATAAAGGATTCCTTATTCAATAAATGGTGCTGGGATAACTAGCTAGCCATATGCAGAAGACTGAAACTGGACCACTTCCTTTCACCATATATAAAAATCAACTCAAAATGGATTTAAAAAGTAATTGTAGGCTGGGCACGGTGGCTCACACCTGTAAATCCCAGCACTCTGGGAGGCTGAGGTGGGAGGATCACGAGGTCAGGAGATTGAGACCATTCTGGCTAACATGGTGAAACCCCGTCTCTACTAAAAAATACAAAAAATTAGCCGGGCGTGGTGGCAGGCACCCGTAGTCCCAGCTACTCGGGAGGCTGAGGCAGGAGAATGGCATGAACCCAGGAGGCACAGCTTGTAGTGAGCCGAGATCTCACCATTGCACTCCAGCCTGGGCAACAGAGAGAGACTCCATCTCAATGAAAAAGAAAGAAAGAAAAGAAAAGTAATTGTAAAGCCTCAAATTATAAAAACCATAGAAGAAAACCTAGAAGATACCATTCTGGATATATGTCTTGGCAACAATTTCATAACAAAATCCCCAAAAGCAATTGCAACAAAAACAAAAATAAAAAATAGACAAGTGGGACATAATTAAACTAAACATCTTCTGTACAGCAAAAGAAACAATTAACAAAGTAAACAGACAACCCACAAGATGGGAGAAAACATTCACAAACTATGCATCTGACAAAGGTCCAATATCTAGAATCTATAAGGAATTTAAATCAACAAGCAAAAAACAAACAGCCCCAATTAAAAAATGGGCAAAGGACATGGACACTTCTCAAACAAAGACATAACACAGCCAACGAGCATATAAAAAATGCTGTATCAGTCTGCTCTCACACTACTAATAAAGACATACTTGAGACTGGCTAATTTATAAAGGAGAGGTTTAACTGACTCAGTTCAGCATAACTGGGGAGGCCTCAGAAAACTTATGATCATGGTGGAAGGGGAAGTAAACATGTCCTTCTTCCATGTGGCAGCAGCAAGGAGAAGTGTGGAGCAAAAGGGGGAAAAGCCCCTTATAAAACCATCAGATATCATGAGAACTCACTCACTATCACGAGAACAGAATGAGGGTAACCACCTCTGTGATTAAATTACCTCCCACGATATGTGGAGATTATGGGAACTACAATTCAAGATGAGATTTGGGTGGGGACAGAGCCAAACCATATCAAATGCTCAACATGACTAATCATCAGACAAATGCAATACGAAACTACAATGAGATACCATCTCACATCAGTCAGAAAAACTATACAACCCCATTTAAAGCTGGGCAAAGTACACGAACAGACATTTGTCAAAAGAATACACACACGAGCATATGAAAAAATGCTCAACATCACTAATCATTAGAGAAATGCAAATCGAAACCACACTGAGATCCCATATCATACCAGACAGAATGGCTATTATTTAAAAGTCAAAAACAGATGCCGGCAAAGTTGTAGAGAAAAGGGAATGCTTATACACTGCTGGTGGGAATGTAAATTTGTTCAGCCACCATGGAAAGCAGTTTGGAGATTTCTCAAAGAACTGAAAACAGAACTACCATTTGACCCAGCAGTCCTATTATTAAGTATATACCCAAAGGAACATAAACTGCTCTACCAAAAAGATATATGCACACATATGTTCACTGCAGCACTATCCACAATAGCAAAGACATGGAATCAACCTAGATGCCCATCAATGGTAGACTGGATAAAGAAAATGTGGTACATATACACCATGGAATACTATGCAGACATAGGAAAAAACAAGATCATGTGCTTTGCAGGAACACGGATGCAGCTGGAGGCCATTATCCTAAGCAAACTAATGCAGTAATAGAAAACCAAGTACCAAGCTCTCTCTTATAAGTGGGAGCTAAAGATTGAGTACGCACAGAAACAAATATGAGAATAGGAGACACTGGGGCCCAACTCCATCAGAGTTTTACATATACTCACCTAGCCAAGCGTCCCCAAAGGAAGCTCCTATGACTCTAATACCTTCATCTATGCCTATGCTCCTTCCCTCACATAGATCATTAGATATACTCGGGTCTTCTCTACTTGATCACTGAGAACTCCTTTCAAGGCATACTATCCTAGAGTCCCTTCAAGCCCAGCTGGCACAGGCTACTCCAGCAAGTCTACTGTGCTACAAAATCTCTAAGATGCAGGTGCCAGTCTCTATATCCAAAAGTGTCCCCAAGCCTCCAGAGACACACATCTAGTTCCCTCCAGATTGAAATGGGAAACAAGGAAAGGAAAATAAAATGTATTCCCAGCATGTTTTCCCCCAAACTCTCTCAACACATTCCAGAGACACCAAAATCAGTCCACACAACAAACATTCAACCGGAGAAGAAGATGCCAATCTCCCCTTCCGGCAGCCACACCCACAAATTTCACAACCAACTCTTTCAACCCTTACCTCAAAATTTTGTGAGAACAAATGAGGAGATGGCCACCACTTCATTAAGCACACTCCAAAAAGCAACTCCCCCAGCCCACCCTAGCTTACTTGGTAAGAGAGCAAGGGAAATGTAGGGGTGATGCTTAGAGTTTTGCTGGAACGTCAGTTCTTAGCAATTTATGTAGTAAAGTAGCCAATGTCATAAACAGGCACAATCTTCAAACTCAAAAAATGAGGAATGTATCTTCTTTTGATTACAAAGTTAGCATCTAGTCAGAAATCCTGGGCAAACAGGAAAGATACTTTTCACATCATGCTATACTTACCATGTGAATTACATATATGTGTTATTAACTGCATTTTACATATGAGACACAGAACTGAACTGTGATTATTTTAACTAAGGCTAAAGGATAAAAATCACAAATAGGAAAAAATCTTTCAGTGCATTAACAAAACAATGGCTGAATCCACGTACAAAATGAGGAAAAATTATTGCGTCATGTATCTCATAAAGATACTAACCAAATGAGATCATGGATGGCAGTGCTTTGATAATGAGAATAAAGCAAAACAAAACAAGAAAACTAGTTAGTATATACCCAGCATGTGCTTAGACCAAACGTTAAATTTTATCTTCTTACATCACCACCTGTAAGTCTTGGATGAGGAGAAGAGTAGAATATAAAAATACCTTTTAAACTCCTAGATTTCTCAGCATAAGCCTTTGAGCATCTTGGCACAGAATAAAGAATGGAAAACACATCTCTATTCCTCTCACTTTGTCGAAACTTTCTCCATTCTTTTAATCTATAACTTACACACAAAAAAATCTATTGCTAGTAAGCTTTTATAAAGCTTGGAATAAGTGACAGAACCAGAAATAAAAGCCACACTTTCTTGTGGCCAGTTCTAGCTTCCTAAAACACAGTCATGTCAGAGACAGGTGCAAGTTTCTGCTTATCACAAAAAGACGTCATTGCAATTGGTCAATCTCACTTTACTCAAAAAGTATATATATTTTTAAGTAAATTTGATTTCATCAATCAGTCATTTGTTATTTTTAAACAACAACAAAAAAAGAAACTGCTGCTTTGATTAATCTCTAGGGGTAATCTAGAGATATTCTAAGCCCAAATGCTCAGTTTACAAAGCATAACAGAAAACTAAGTCCAGTAGTGTCTTCTACCGCAACATACTGACTCATTATACTCCAAGAATATGATTTTACTTAAAAATGTTTTTCTTTAAACATAAAAAGTGGCTGGGCATGGTGGCTCATACCTATAATCCCACCACTTTGGAATGCTGAGGTAGGAGGATCGCTTGAGCCCAGGAGTTCAAGACTAGCCTGGGCAACATGATGCATCCTCATCGCTACAAAAATTTTTTTAAAATTAGCCAGGCATGGTGGCATACGCCTGTGGTCCCAGCTACTCAGGAGGCTGAGGCAGGAGGACTGCTTGAGCCCAGAAGGTCAAGGCTTCGTAAGCCATGTTTGTACCACCACATTCTGGCCTGGGTGACAGAAAAAGACCTGCCTCAAAAAAAAAAAAAAAAAAGTTTTTGTATGTTGATAGTAACAACATTTAAGTGTAACAACCACACAACATATATTTAGATGGTTTCAACTACTGTTCATTTTGAAACCTGCTTTTGATAACTAGTATTTTTAAGTTAGTCTAAAACCTATTTTGACTGTTTCCAATTTAAGAGGAAACATAGCTGCTGTCTCAATATGTAACTCTTCTTTAACCCCTCATATATTTCAAAGGTTAAATAATGAATTCCAGGGTTTTCAACCATGTTCATCATAAAAACAGAAGTTATCTCTTTAATATTTCTGTAAACATGTATCACTCTGGTTTTCCTCAAAATAGTTTTATTCAGTAAAAAGTAATATGGTATAAAGTCTCTACTTACTAAAAGGCCAGGCTTTTTAGATAGAGACACTCTACACCATGTGTCTGTTTAATATCCTACTACAAACACAAGATTATTTAAAATTAGAAAACACACCTTACAATGACATCCCAATCCCACCCAGGATTGTTTATCGTTAGCCATCAATCTCACTTTTCCCTGACCAAAGTGAATTAGAAGAGTGATAAGTATCTCAATGGAAAGGGAGTAATGTCCAATTAGACATTAAACATGAAACCAAAGAATGTGAAATCTCACTAGTGCCATCTACAGCACCAACGGAGAATACAGATAAGAAGAATTTTAAAAATAATGTTGTGTGTGTATCCAACCCTTTGATTCCCTGCCCAGAACTATGTGTCAAGACAGCTTTCTACCAAATCCTTCACAGAACCTAAAATATATAATTAGGTAATGCCAAAAAAAATCTTCAAAATCAAGAAAACGTGAAGCATAATGCTGATGTTAGTGTATGGATCAAAAGAACAATTTTTCATAAGAGGTAATTAAATGAAAAGCATACAGAATTTATTACAACTAGAAAAAGTAAGATAAATGATCCAGTCAGGGCCAGGCACAGTGGCTCATGCCTATAATCACAGCACTTTGGGAGGCCGAGATGGGTGGATCACTTAAGGTCAGGAGTTCGAGACCAGCTTGACTAACACAGCAAAACCCTGTCTCTACTAAAAATACAAAAATTAGCCAGGTGTGGTGGCATGTGCCTGTAATCCCAGCTACTCAGGAGGCTAAGGCAGGAGAATCACTTGAACCTGGGAGGCAGAGGTTGTAATGAGCCAAGATCGCGTCACTACACTCCAGCCTGGGCGACAGAGCAAAACTCCATCTCAAAGAAAAAAAAAAGATCAAGTCACATGTAGCAAAAATTCAAGAATCTGAGTTCAAATGGATTACAAGGCCTCAAAGCAAACCTTACCTTACATTCGACCACACTCTGATCTGATTCGCAAGTTACATAGATTTCATCTACTGCTCGGCGAAGATTATCAAAAAGAAATGCCCAGTATCGAGCTCTTAGATCAATTTTCCGAGGGTGCCTTGTTTTAGTGGGACTTTTATCAAAGTGTTTATCTCCAGTCGTAGACGATGTTATTTTACAGTCCACTGCAGTACTCTGGTGAAGTAAAATAAAACATGAAAATAAATAAATAAAAGGGCTTCCAGGGACTGGATTTTTTATAAAGATTCAATCAACTACAAATCAAAACTACTCCAGAAATAAAAAGCATCTGTACTGAACATGTATGGACTTTTTTCCTATCATTATTCTCTAAACAATACAGTATAACAACTATTTACATAACATTTACATTGCATTAGGTATTATAAGCAATCTAAAGATTAAAGTATATGGGAGGATATGCATAGGTTATATGCAAATACTACACCATTTTATATAAGGGACTTGAACATCCAAACATTCTGATATCCATGGGAGATTGATATGGTTAGGCTTTCTGTCCCCACCCAAATCTCATCTTGAATTATAATCTCCATAATCCCCACGTGTAAAGGGAGAGACCAGATGGAGGTAACTGAATCATGGGGGCAGTTTCCCCCATGCTGTTCTCATGATAGTAAGTTCTCACAAGATCTGATGGTTTTATAAGGTGATCTTCCTCACTTCGCTGGGCAGTTCTTCCTGCCACCTTGTGAAGAAGGTGCCTTGGTTCCTCTTCGCCTTCTGCCATGATTGTATGAGTTTCCTGAGGCCTCCGCAACCATGCTGAACTGTGAGTCAATTAAACCTCTTTCCTTTTAAATTACCCAGTCTCAGGCAGTTCATTACAGCAGTATGAAAACAGACTAATACAGACATCATGAAACCAATCCCCCATGGATACTGAGGAACAACTGTATATTATAAATCAACTTAACATATCTCTTGACCCTCTTCATACACTTCTTAGAGTATGTATTATTACCTCCACTTTACAGATTAATAAATTGAGGTTCAGAGGCTGAGTTGTTCAAGGTCACATTGCCACAGGAGACCATCTTCTAATTACAGCTCTACAATTACACTGCTGGCTTACCATTAGACTGTTGGCTGAGGTTCAGTGCTGATAGCTCTTTACCAGATATTCCAGACCACCTCATTTCTTTCTATATACCATTCAAAGTTAAAATTAACTTAGGAAGTTTC
Organism: Homo sapiens; assembly: GCF_000001405.40. Lineage (NCBI taxonomy): Eukaryota > Metazoa > Chordata > Mammalia > Primates > Hominidae > Homo > Homo sapiens. The sequence continues at coordinate 76,842,964 of NC_000015.10, forward strand.
CTGAATTATACTTCCTTCCCAAAGTTTTTTTCTACATTGATCAGCAAAGGACTAGCAGCTTCCTGTGAATCCAGACGCTAATCTTATGAAATTATCAAAACTACTACCATTCATCCCTACCTGTTTATGAATTTATAACACATCCATAAAATGTGGTATATATGTATAGCATTCATAATCATGAGTAATTAAAATCATAAAGTATATCATTCAAATATTTTACCATCCTTTCTTATAATGTACAACGGGCAATAATGCCTTGGGGTTAAGCTGTTTCTATCATTACGTGTGACTGCTCTATCCAAGGCTTTTATTTACAAAGATTCCAGAAGGGCAGAAAATATATTTTATAAAGGGTTTTTGAAAACATAGTTATCATTTAATCATCACAACAAGCTGTGACAGGACAAATATTACTATTCCTATTTTGTAGATGACAAAACTGAGGCTCAGACTGAATTGCCTGACAAAGTTAAAAGAATGACAGAACTGAAACTAGAACTCAATCTTTCAATTTCTGCTCCAATGTTCACAGAGCGTTTGACATGCATCTAGCAAACAGTAAGTGCCCAAATAATGTAAGGTATGATTATCATAAGAAAGACAAAAAGGAGAAAAAATAAGCTTGTAGAAAAAATGTGCATAAACTAATGGCAATAATTGCCAACTTTGTGAAGAAAGGTAGAAAAGACACATCAAATAACAGAGGCTAGACAGGCACAGTATTATACACATGCAGTCCTAACCACTCAGGAGACTGAGGCAGGAGTATCACTTGAGCCCAGGAGTTTGAGAACAGACCAGGGCAACACAGTGAGACCTTGAAGCTCTCTTTAAAAAAAAAAATCATAGAGGCTGGTTAACTAGTAGAGAGTTTTAAAATATAGGGCTCTACTTACTACTGACAAAAAGAATAGCAGTGGTAATAACAATTGCACCAGCATCTAACATTCATGATATACTTGCTATGTGCCAAGCATTGCACCAAGTGATTTACATATACTTCATTTAATCATTGAAGCAATTTTATATTACCAGTACTAATATTATCTCCATTTTACAGAGGAGGAAACAGGTTTAGCTAAATTAAATTATACCCCCAAGCCTCAAATTAACTTAAGTGATGAAGCCAGAATTCTTAATCGGGTAACTATACTACTACTATGGCTTACTATGTCTAACTGCTTCCCAAGACACTCAATAGATGACAAAACAATCTAAACTTGCAAAAGAAGTTTCACACAATTGGATTCCATGAGGTAATAGTGTTTTAATCAAGGACATTTGAGAGACAAAGACAGAAAGAGGAAAAAAAAAAAAAAAAAGGCAGGCCAGGGAAAGAGGGAGGAAGAAATTGAGACTTCTGACTCATCCCTCTCTGAGAGGCTCATCGGCTCCCCTGAGAATCTGAGAAAACCTATGGACTTATCCCCAAAAAAATGCACGTGTATGACATTCAACATATATTTTCTTCATGTTCACAGACTCCATCTTCAACCTCAGATTAAGAAGCTCTCCAAGAAAAGAGAGAAGACCCAAATAAATAAAATTAGAGATGAAAAAGGAGACATTACAACTGATACCATAGAAATTCAAAGGATAGTTTGTGGCTACTATGAGAAACTATATGCTAATAAATTGGAAAATCTAGAGAGAATGGATAAATTCCAAGACACATACCACCTATCAAGATTGAACCATAAAGAAATCCAAACCCTGCACAGACCAATAACAAGTAACAAGATCAAAGCCATAACAAAAAGTCTTCCAGTAAAGAAAAGCTCAGGCCCTGAAGGCTTCACTGCTAAATTTTACCAAACATTTAAAAAAGAACTAGTACCAATCCTACTCAAACTATTCCAAAAACAGAGGAGGAGGGAATACTTCCAAAATCATTCTATGAGGCCAGTATTATTCTGATACCAAAATCAGACAGACACATCAAAAAAAACAAAAATACAGGCCACTATCTTTGATGAACATTGACGCAAAAATCTTCAACAAAATACTAGCAAACTGAACATGTTCAACATTTTCAACATTACATTAAAAAGATCATTCATCATGACCAAGTGTGACTTATCCCAGGGATGCATGGATGGTTTAACAATATGCAAATCAATCAATGTGATATCATATAACAAAATGAATAAAAATCACACAATCATTCCAATGCATGCTGAAAAAGTATTTAACAAAATTCAACATCCCTTCATGATAAAAACCCTCAACTACTGGGCATAGAAGGAACATACCCCAACATAATAAAAGACATATGTGACAGACACACAGCTAGTATCATACTGAATGTGGAAAAACTGAAAGCCTTTCCTTTAAGATCTGGAACATGAAAAGGATACCTGCTTTCACCACTGTTATTCAAAACAGTACGTACTGGAAGTCCTACTTAGAGCAATCAGACATGAGAAAGAAATAATTGGAAAGGAAGAAGTCAAATTATCCTTGTTTGCAGATAATATGATCTCATATTTAGAAAAACCTAAAGACTCCACCAAAAACTATTAGAACTGATAAACAAATTCAGTGAAGTTGCAGGATACAAAGTCAACATACAAAAACCAGTTGCATTTCTACATGCTAACAGTGAACAATCTGAAAAAAAAAATGGTAATTCCATTTACAGTAGACACAAATAAAATTAAATACCTAGGAATTAACCAAAGAAGTGAAACATCTCTACAATGAATACACTGATAAAAGAAATTGAAGAAGACACCAAAAAATAGAAAGATATTCCATGTTCATGAATTGGAAGAATGAATGTTATTAAAATGTCCATAATATCCAAAGCAATCTATAGATTCAATACAATCCCTATCAAAATACCAATGACATTCTTCACAGAAACAGAAAAAAAATCCTAAAATATATACAGAACCACAAAAAACCTGGAATACCCAAGGTTATCCTACACGAAAAGAACAAAACTAGAGGAATCACATTACCTGAATTAAAGTTATACTAAAGAACTATAGTAACTCAAACAGCATGGTACTGGCATAAAAACAGACACACAGATCAATGGAACATAATAAAGAGCCCAGAAAAAAAAAATCATACACCTACAGTGAACTTATTTTCAGCAAAGGTGCCAGGAACATGCACCGGGGAAAAGACAGTCTCTTCAATAAATGGTGCTGGGAAAACCGGATATCTGTATGCAGAAGAATGAAATTTGACTTTCTCTCACCATATACAAACCTCAAATCAAAATGGATCAATGACTTAAATCTAAGACCTCAAACTATGAAATTGCTACAAGAAAACATTGGGGAAAATCTCCAGGACACTGGTCTGGGCAAAAATTTCTTGAGCAATATACCCCATAAGCACAGGCAACAATGCAAAAATGTACAAATGGGATCACATCAAGTTAAAAAAAAAAACTTCTGCACAGCAAAGGAAACAATCAACAAAGTGAAGAGACAAACAACAGAATGGGAGAAAATATTTGCAAACTACCCATCTGACAAGGGATTAATAACCAGAATATATAAGGAGCTAAAACAACTCAATAGGAAAAAATCTCATAAACCAATTTTAAAATGGGCAAAAAATATAAATGAACATTTCTCAAGAGAAGACATACAAATGGCAAACAGGCATATGAAAAGGTGCTCAGTATCACTGATCATCAGAGAAATGCAAATCAAAACTAAAATGAGCTATCATCTCACCCCAGTTAAAATGGTTTTTATCTAAAACACAGGCAATTAACAAAAGATGGAGAGGATGTGGGAAAAAATGGAACCCTGGTACACTGCTGGTGGGAATGTAAATTAGTATAACCAATATGGAGAACAGTTTAGAGGTTCCTCAAAAAAACAAAAATAGAGCTATCATATGATCCAGCAAACCCACTGCTGGGTATATATACCCAAAAGAAAAGAAATCAGAATATCAAAGAGATCTGCACTCTCATGTTTGTTGCAGCACTGTTCAAAACAGCCAAGATTTGGAAGGAAGTGGCCATCATCAGATGAATAAATAATGTACATATACACAATGAAGTGCTTGCTATTCAGCCATAAAAAAAAAAATGAGATCCTGTCATTTGCACTAATATGGATGGAACTGGAGGTCCTTACGTAAATGAAATAAGCCAGGCACAGAAAGACAAACATCACATGGTCTCACTTATTTGTGGTAGCTAAATACCATATCAATTGCACTCAGAGAAAATAGAATGATAGTTACCAAAGTCTGGTAAGGGTAGCAGGGGAGTAGGGGGGAAGTGGAGATAGTTAATGGGTACAAAAAAATGGAAAGAATGGGTGCAGCAAACCACCATGGCACATGTATACCTATGTAACAAACCTGCACATTGTGCACATGTATCCCAGAACTTAAAGCATAATAAATAAATAGTAACAAATAAAAGGATAAAAAATACAAAAAAAAATGGGAAGAATGAATAAGACCTAGTACTGGGGAACACAACAGGCTATACAATATAATTTAATTGTATAGTTTCAAATAACTAAGAGTGTAACTAGATTATAATACAAAGGATAAATGTTTGAGGGGATGAATACCCCATTTTCCACGATGCAGTTATTACACACTGCATGACTGTATCAAAGTATCTCATGTACCCCATAAATATATACACCCACTATGTACCCACAAAAATTAATTTTTAAAGCAGTTCCTCAGCCGAGTGCAGTGGCTCACACTTGTAATCTCAGCACTTTGGGGGACCAAGATGAGAGGATTGCTTGAGCTTACAAGTTTGAGAACAGCCTGGGCAACACAGCAAGACCCTATTTCTACAAAAAATGAAAAGGCTAACCAGGTGTGGTGGCACACACCTGTAGTCCCAGCCACTCAGGAGGCTGAGGTGGAAGGACTGCTTGAGCCCAGGAGTTCAAGGCTGCAGTGAGCTATGATCATGCCACTGCACTCCAGCCTGGGAAACAGAGCAAGACCCTGCCTCTAAAAACATTTTTTAATTAAAATTTAAAAAGAAGCTCTCTCCCTGTATTTAGCAGGTTTTTGAAACTATCTGAAGTACAAAAATAAAGACTTTTTTCTTTTTTTTGAGAAGGAGTCTCACTCTGTTGCCCATGCTGGAGTGCAATGGCGTGATCTCAGCTCACTGCAATCTCTGCCTCCCAGGTTCAAGTGGTTCTCCCACCTCAGCCTCCCGAGTAGCTGGGATTACAGCCATCATGCCTGGCTAATTTTTCTATTTTTGTAGAAACGGGGTTTCACCATGCTGGCCAGGCTGGTCTTGAACTCCTAATCTCAGGTGACCTGCCCACCTCAGCCTCCCAAAGTGCTGGGATTACAGGCGTGAGCCACCGCGCCTGGCCTAAAACATTGTGTTTTTTTTGGGGTTTTTTTTTTTTTTTTTTTTTTTGACACAGAGTCTCGCTCTGTCGCCCAGGCTGGAGTGCAGTGGTGCAATCTCGGTTCGGTTCACTGCAAGCTCTGCCTCCCAGGTTCACGCCATTCTCCTGCCTCAGCCTCCCAAGTAGCTGGGACTACAGGCACCCGCCACCATACCCAGTTAATTTTTTTGTATTTTTAGTAGAGATGGGGTTTCACCGTGTTAGCCAGGATGGTCTCGATCTCCTGACCTCGCGATCTGCCCACCTCGGCCTCCCAAAGTGCTGGGATTATAGGCGTGAGCCACCATGCCCGGGCAAAGATTTATGTCTACCCCTTCTGAGATAATCGTTTATTATATGTGTATCTAAAGGAACATTAAATAACACACTCAATTTGTCAGTTCATGTATCTTAATATGTAATTTTTAAAATATAAAATGTACTTTAAAATCTATCAACTGGTTTTTTAGTATTTTTTAGCACACCACAGCCACCATACAGACAGGAGTGCAGCCCCTCCTCCCTAGGAACCCCCACCCCTACTCTTCACTAGGCAGGGCCCATGGCTCATGAATGCAGAACAGTCACCCCAGCCATGGCTGAGCATACCCACTGTTAGTGACACAGAGTTTCCCTGAGAAGAGGCTCCCAAAGGCATACGACAGCCCCTTGGCCACTGCCACAGTAACAGTGCTATCCCTCCTGCCCTTGGACTAGGGGAGGACACAAAGAGCCTAAGGGCTACACTCAAACTTAGAGTACATCACAGCCACCATATGGAGAGGAGACCAACCTCTCCTCCCTGTGAGCCTTCAACTCCCTGCTCCCCAACAAACAGAACCCCAAGCTCATGCCAGCAGTGCAGCCGCCCCATCCCAGTGGCTGAACACCCTCAGTAACAGTGGCTCCACATTTCTTGGAGGTGGAGCCCCTAGGGGCAATCAAAAGCCTCTCTACCACTACCTCTGCCATGGAACAGTACTTGCTACCCTCAGACTAACAAAGAAACGAAGACCCAAAGTGCCTTATCCACGCCTTCGACAAACTGCAATCAACCCAAGGAGAGAAGGCCAGTCTGTCTCCCATGGGTCCCGCCCACCTCCTGTTCATCAACAGACAGGGAACCCCCAGCTTGGGCCCACAGCACAGACCCTCCATCCTGTGATGGCACTGCTAAAGTCCCTTCCTCTGCTGGCTCCAAGTTGGGGAGGAAACATCACCCCAGAGCTGCAGTGGGCAGCCTGGGAGCGTCAAGCCACAATCTAAAGGCAATGGGAGAGGAACCCACACTTTGACAGCATTGAGAGGGAGCAAGGTTACAACTGTGAGGAAACCACACGACCAAGGAAGAAGCTATCAACTGATCAATACACTTAAGCACCACCTACTGGATCACATCCCAAAGCTTCAACACCAAAAATACGCTGCTGTGTTAGTCCGTTCTCACGCTGCTATGAAGAAATACCCGAGACAGGGTGACTTATAAAGGAAAGAGGTTTAATTGACTCACAGTTCCATATGGCTGGAGAGCCCTCAGGAAACTTACAACCATGGCGGAAGGCAAAGGAGAAACAGGCACCTTCTTCACAGAGTGGCAGGACAGAGTGAGTGCCAGCAGGGGAAATGCTGGACACCTATAAAACCATTAGGTCTCATGAGACTCACTCACTATCACGAGAACAGCATGGGGAAAACCACCCCTATGATCCAATTACCTCCACCTGGTCCCACCCTTGACACGTGGGGATTATGGGGATTACAATTCAAGGTGAGATTTGGGTGGGGACACAGAGCCAAACCATATCGCTAACATACCCATCCCCATGAAATCAAACAAAAGAAGTCAGCAACAAATAAAGACCTTGCACAAAGCTTGAGTCCTATGAAACCATCCAGAATGGAAGTCTATTAATTACTCAAACTACACTGCAGTTAAAGGACTTTTTTAGCACACTACAGCCACCATACAGACAGGAGTGCAGCCTCTCCTCCCTAGGAACCCCTGCCCCTACTCTTCACTAGGCAGGGCCCATGGCTCATGAATGCAGAACAGTCACCCCAGCCATGGCTGAGCATACCCACTGTTAGTGACACAGAGTTTCCCTGGGAAGAGGCTCCCAAAGGCACACAGAGAAAAGAAAGAACCAATGCAAGAACTCCAGTAATTCAAATGACCAGAGTGTCACATGTCTTAAAATGACCACATCAGTTCTTTAATAAGGGTTCTTAACCAGGCTGAGCTGGCTGAAATGACAGAAATAGAATTCAGAATATGAATAGGGCCTGTAATCCCAGCACTTTGAGAGGCTAAGGAAGGAGGGTCACCTGAGGTCAGGAGTTCAAGACCAGCCTGGCCAACACAGTGAAACACCATCTCTACAAAAATACAAAAATCAGCTGGGCATGATGGTGGGTACCTGTAATCCCAGCTACTCAGGAGGATGAGGCAGGAGAATCGCTTGAACCCAGGAGGTGAAGGTTGCAGTGAGCAGAGATTGCGCCATTGTATTCCAGCCTGGGCGAAAGAGCAAGACTCTGTCTCAAAAAAAAAAAAAAAAAAGAAAAAAAAAGAGAGAATATGGATAGGAACATAGATCATCGAGATTCAGGAGACAGGCAAAACCCAATCCAAGGAAACTAAGATCACAATAGGACAATACAGGAGCTAAGAAATACCCAGTATAAAAAAGAACCTAACAGATCTAACAGGGCTAAAAAACACACTAAGAATTTCACAACACAATCACAAGTATTAACAGAATAGACCAAGCTGAGGAAAGAATCTCAGAACTTGAAGGCTGGCTTTCTGAAATAAGACTGACAAAAATAAAGAAAAAGGAATGAACAAACCTCCAAGAACTGTGGGATTGTGTAAAGAAGTCAAATCTGTGAATCACTGGCATCCCTGAAAAGGATGGGGAGAAAACAAACAACTTGAAAAAATACTTCAGGATAGTATCCATGATAACTTTCCCAACCTTGATAGAGAGGCCAGCAGTCAAATTCAGGAAATACAGAGAACCTCTGCAAGATTCTACACAAGAAGATCAACCCCCAAGACATGTAATCATCAGATTTTCCAAGGTTGAAATGAAAGAAAAAATGTTGAAGGTAGCTTTAATAGAGAGAAAGGGCAGGTCACCTACAAAGGGAACCTCATAAAGCTAACATCAGACCTCTCAGCTACAAGCCAGAAGAGACTGGGGGCCTATATCCAACATTCTTAGAGAAAAAAAATCTTCAACCAAGAATTTCATATCCAGCCAAACTAAACTTGGTAAGCAAAAAAGAAATAAGGTCCTTTTCAGATAAGCAAATGTTGAGAGAGTTTATGACTACCAGACCTGCTTTACAAGAGATCTTGAAAGCAGCACAAAATATAGAAAGGAAGAACTGCTACCAACCAATACAAAAACACACTTAAATACACAGATCAGGGACACTATAAAGCGGCCACACAAACAAGCCAGCATAATAACCAGCTAACAACAACATGATAGGATCAAATTCACACGTATTGCTAACCTTGAATGTAAATGGGCTAAATGCCCCCACTTAAAAGGCACAGAGTGGCAAGTTGGATTAAAAAAAACAAGACCCAATGGTATGCTGTCTTCAAGAGACCCATATCACACATAGAGACATGCATAGGCTCAAAATAAAGGGATGGAGGGAAATCTACCAAGCAAATGGAAATCAGAAAAAAAGGAGTGGTTACAATCCTAACTTCAGACAAAACAGACTTTGGGCCAACAAAGATCAAAAAAAGACAAAAAAAAGGGCATTACATAATGATAAAAGATTCAATTCAACAAGACCTAACTATACTAAATATATATGCACCCAACACAGGAGAAGCACCTAGATTCATAAAGCAAGTTCTTAGAGACCTACAAAGAGACTTAGACTCCCACACAATAAGAGTGGAAGACCTCAGTACTCCACTGGCAGTGTTAGATCGTCAAGACAGAAAATTAACAAGGATATTCAGGGCCTGAACTCAACATTGTACCAAATGGATCTGATAGATCTCTACAGAACTCTCCAACCAAAAACACAGAATATACATTCTTCTCATTGCCACATGGCACACATACTCTAAAATCAACCTCATAATTGGACATAAAACAATCCTCAGCAAATGCAAAAAGAACTGAAATCATACCAAACACACTTTCAGACCACAATGTAATAAAAATGGAAGTCAAAACTAAGAAAATTACCCAAAACCATGCAACACATGAAACTAAACAACATGTACTTGAATGAATTCTGAGTAAATAATGAAATGAAGACAGAAATCAAGGAGTTCTTTGAAACTAATGAGAACAAAAGATACAACATACCAGAATCTCTGGGATCCAGCTAAGGCAATGTTAAGAGGGAAATTCATAGCACTAAACACCCACATCAAAAAGTTGGAAAGATCTCAAATTAACAATCTAACATCACAACTAAGAGAATTACAGAAGCAAGAGCAAATCAACCCCAAAACTAGCAGAAGACAAGATATAAACAAAATCAGAGATGAACCAAGGAAATCAAGACATGAAAAACCTTTCAAAAGATCAATAATCCAGGAGTCGGTTCTTTGAAAAAATTAATAAGATAGGCCACTAGCTGGACTAATAAAGAAGAAAAGAGAGAATATCCAAATAAACACAATTGGAAATGTCATGTTACCACTGACCCCACAGAAATAAAAATAACCATCAGAAACCGCTATGAACACCTCTGTGCATACAAACTGGAAAACCTAGAAGAGATGGATAAATTCCTGGACACATACTCCCTCCCAAGACTGAACCAGGAACAAACTGATTCTCTAAATGGACCAACAATAAACTCTGAAATTGAATCAGTAATAAGTAGCCTACCAACCAAAAAAAGCCCAGGACCAGAAGGATTCACAGCCAAATTCTACCAGATATACAAAGAAAAGCTGGTACTATTCCTACTGAAACTATTCCAAAAAATTGAGGAGAAAGAACTCCTCCCCAACTCATTCTACGAAGCCAGTATCATCCTGATACCAAAATCTGGCCGAGACACAACACGAAAAGAAACTTCAGGCCAGTATCTTTGATGAACATTGACACAAAAATCCTCAACAAAATACATGCAAACCAAATTCAGCAGTACATTAAAAATCAAGTAGGCTTCATCCCCGGGATGCAAGGTTGCTTCAGCATAGGCAAATCAATAAATGTGATTCAACACCTAAACAGAACTAAAGAAAAAAAAAAACCACATAGTTATCTCAATGGATGCAGAAAAAGCTTTCGATATAACTCAACATATCTTCACGTTAAAAACTCTCAATAAATGAGATATTAAAGGAACATACCTCAAAATAAAAAGAGCTATCTATGACAAAGCCACAGCCAACATCATACTGAAAAGGGAACAGCTGGAAGCATCTCCCCTGAAAACTGGCATAAGACAAAGATGCCTTTTCTCGCCACTCCTATTCAATACAGTATTGGAAGTCCTGGCAAGAGCCATCAGGCAAGAGAAAAAAATAAAGGGCATCCAAATAGGAAGGGAGGAAGTCAAAATATCCATTTGCAGATGACTTGATTCTATGTATCTAGAAAACCCATAGTCTCAGCACAAAAGCTCCTTAGCTGATAAACAACTTCAGCAAAGTTTCAGGATATAAAATCACCACACAAAAGTCACTAGCATTCTTCCTGTAATCCCAGCACTTTGGGAGGCCGAGGCAGGCGGATCACGAGGTCAGCAGATCGAGACCACCCTGGCCAACAAGGTGAAACCTTGTCTTTACTAAAAATACAAAAATTAGCTGGGCATGGTGACGTGAACCTGTAGTCCCAGCTACTCAGGAGGCTGAGGCAGGAGAATCGCTTGAACCCAGGAGGCGGAGGTTGTGGTGAGCCGAGATCATGCCACTGCACTCCATCCTGGCAATAGAGCAAGACTCCATCTCAAAAAAAACAAAAACAAAAAAGTCATTAGCATTCTTATACACAACAACAGCCAAGCCGAGAGTCAAATCAGGAATGCAATCCAATTCAAAATTGCGACAAAAAAGAATAAAATACCTAGAAATACAGCTAACCAGGGAGGAGAAACATCTCCACAAGAAGAATTACAAAACACTGCTCAAAGAAATCAGAGATGACACAAACAAATGGAAAAACATCCCATGCTCATGAATAGGAAGAATCAATATCATTAAAACAGCCATACTGCCCAAAGCAATTTACAGATTCAATGCTATTCCCATCAAACTACCAATGACATTCTTCACAGAATGATAAAAAACTATTTAAAATTCATGTGGAACCAAAAAAACGCCCAAATAGCCAAGGCAATCCTAAGTTTTAAAAAAAACATGGCCGGGCACGGTAGCTCACACCTGTAATCCCAGCACTTTGGGAGGCCAAGGCAGGTGGATCATGAGGTCAGAAGATCAAGACTGTCCTGGCTAACATGGTGAAACCCCATCTCTACTAAAAATACAAAAAAAAAAAAAAAAAAATTAGCCAGGCATGGTTGCAGGTGCCTGTAGTCCCAGCTACTTGGGAGGCTGAGGTAGGAGAATGGCCTGAACCCAGGAGATGGAGCTTGCAGTGAGCCGAGATCACACCACTGCACTCCAGCCTGGGTGACAGAGCGAGACTCCGTCCCAAAAAAAAATACAAAAAACAAAACCCTAGAGGCATCAATGCTACCCAACTTCAAACTATGCTATAAGGCTACAGTAACCAAAACAGCATGGTACTGGTACAAAAACAGACACAAAGATCAATGGAACAGAAGAGAGAGCCCAAAAATAAGGCCACACACCTACAACTATCTGATCTTTGACAAGACAAAAACAAGATATGGAGAAAGGACTCTCTATTCAACAAATGGTGTTGAGATAACTGGGTAGCCATATGCAGAAGACTGAAACTAGTTCCCTTCCTTACACCATATACAAAAATCAACTCAAGATGGATTAAAGACTTAAATGTAAAACCCAAAACTATAAAAATCCTGGAAGACAACTGGCAATACCATCCTCGACATAGGAACATGCAAAGATTTCTTGACAAAGACACCAAAAGCAATTGACACAAAAGCAAAATTTGACACATGGCATCTAATTAAACTTAAGAGCTTCTGCACAGCAAAAAAAAAAAAAAAAAAAAAGTAAACAACTTACAGAATGGGAGAAAATTTTTGCAAACCATGCATCTGACAGAGGTTTAATATCTGGCATCTATAATAAATGCAAACAAATTTACAAGATAAAAACAAACAACCCCATTAAAAAGTAGGCAAAGAACACAAACTCTATTCTAAAGAAGTCATACATGCAGCCGATAAGCATATGAAAAAAAGCTCAGTATCACTGTTCATCAGAGAAACGCAAGTCAAAATCACAATGAGATACCACTTCACACCAGTCGGAATGGCTATTACTAAAAAGTCAAAAAAATAACAGATCTTGGCAAGGTTGTGGAGATAAGAGAATACTTACACGCTATTGCTGGGAGTGTAAATTAGTTCGGCCATTATGGAAAGAAGTATGGCGATTCCTCAAAGAGCTAAAAACAGAAATACCATTCAACCCAGCAATCCCATTACTGGGTATATTACCAGAGGAATATAAATCATTCTACCATAAAGACACATGCACGTGAATGTTCACTGCAGCACTATTCACAATAGCAAAGAAATGGAATCAACCTAAATGCCCATCAACAACAGACTGGATAAAGAAAATTTGGTACATATATATGATGGAATACTATGTAGCCATAAAAAAGAACAAGATCATGTATTTTGCTGGAACATGAATGGAGCTGGAGGCCATTATCCTTAGCAAACTATCGCAGAAACAGAAAACCAAATACTGCATGTCCTCACTTACAAGAGCTAAATTATAAGAACTCATGAACACAAAGAAGGGAACAACAAACAGAGGGGCCTCCTTGAGGGTGGGAGAAAAAAGAGAAAGAGGAAAAATAACTATTGGGTACTAGGCTTCATACCTGCGTGATGAAATAATCTGTACGACAAACCCCCATGAAACGAGTTTACCTATATAACAAACCTGCATATGTACCCCTGAACCTAAAATAAAGGTTAAAATACATATACATATATAAGAAATATATACATGTATATGTGTATATATGTGCATATAAGTATATATTTTTATATGTATATATTAAAAACATACATATATGTATATATTTTTAACTTTTTTTACATATATATGTATATAAAATCATTGGTGCCTTTGTGTGTGGGGATGGGGGATTCTTTGTGAACTCACAATGACATCACGATTAGAAGCCCATGTTTTTCTCATATGAAATTGTATTTTACATAATACATACTATATACTTAAAAATATCAAAATAATTGTCCAAAAAATCAAAAGTTAGCCAGGCACAGTGGTGTACACTTGTGGTCCCAGCCACTCTGGAGGCTGAGGTGGGAGAATTACTTGAGCCCAGGAGGTCAAGTCATTCTGTGAGCTCTGATTGTACCACCGTACTCAGCCTGGGCAACAGTGAGACCTTATCTCAAAAAATTAAATTAAATTAATAAAATAAAATAACAACACATATGAAAATAACTATGGATTAAAAAGCTAACTATAATTATGCTAAACACTTTCAAAAGATAAAGTAGGCTTGTGTTGTCCAAAATTTTATTAGAGCTATTTAAAATTTTTGTAGTCCAAATATCTTTACCATCCTACAACCTAAAGGCATCATTATATCAAGAAAGAAAATCATAAAAGAACTGGCAAACATTGAAGGCATAGCAGAGGAGCTAAGAGCATAAACTGTGGAAATTAACCGCTGAGGGCTGAATGTGGTGGTTCATGCCTATAACCCCAGCACTTTGGGAGGCCAAGGCAGGTGGATCCCTTGAGGCCAGGAGTTTGGGACCAGCCTGGCCAACATGGTGAAACCCCGTCTCTATTAAAAATACAAAAATTAGCCGGGCATGGTGACACATGACTGTAGTTCCAGGTTCTGGGGTGGCTGAGGCATGAGAACTACTTGAACCCAAGAGGAAGAGGGTTCAGTGAGCCAAGATCACACCACTGCACTCCAGCCTGGGCAACAGGATGAGACTGTCTCAAAGAAAAAAAAAAAGTTAAAAAAAAAAAAGAAAAAAATTAACTGCCTGGGTTCAAACCCTGGCTGTGTCATTTACTAGCAAGTTACATGCCTTCTCTCTGTCTCAGTTTCTTTTTGGAACAAAACTTCAATGTAAGTGAGGATAACTGTAATGCTTACATCGAAGGGTACGAGAACCAAACAAATTAATATCTGTAAAGTATTTAGTACAAGTAAGTCACACTGATTACCATATACACATTTGTTTTTAAAAAGTACATTAAATTTTTATTTAGATAAATAATATTCAAATCCTGCAAAATAAGATTTTCATAATTTATAATACATTCAGAAATTGAAATTAAAAGTAAATAAGTAAAAAAGTTATAGATGCTGTACCTGTTTAGTAGTTTTATGAGTGCCTTGAATGGTCCTCTTAGATTTTCCACCAGTTTGACATTTAGGTTTTCCTTCAAGGCAAGAAAAAAATAAATATGTAGATATACAGAATGATAGATAGTATAAAATTGAACTACAGGTAATTAGATAATGTAAACCTAAACTACGCAAATCATTCAGGCATACTAACATTTAATCTCCTTCCAGAGACCACAGTATAGTACAGTCTGTTCATGGTCAGTATAAACCGATATAATTAAAACAACAACAACAACAAATTTCCAAAGTCCCAGAGACTGCTATTATTGAATACCTTTCTCTGAATAGGAATAAATCAACATCTTAAAGAAGTCAGATACTCTGACAACTTTTAAAAACAAAGTCCAGTTACTGGTACTCCTCAACTTGTATATAAATCTGGAAATAGTTCTTTAAGTTCAAATTTCATTTCAACAATAAAATTAAGACTATATGTTTTCTATATAAAACCCCAATATTTTGTTTTATCTGATATATGAAATGCACAATTTCACTGCGAAAAGTGAGGTTTCAGTTCTTTATATTTTTTCACTCATTCTTTTTTATAAGAAAGACACCAACTACTGTTTTGTAATTACTATTCTCAACAGCAATTCAAAACAGAAATAAAATTCTTTTTTTTTTCTTTTATTTTAGGTACAGGGGTACATGTGCAGGTTTGCTATACAGGCAAATTACGTTTCACAGGGGTTTGGTGCACAGATTATTTTGTCACTCAGGTAATTAGCATAAGTAACTGATAGGTAGTTTTTCAATCCTCACTCTCCTCCCACCCTCTACCCTCAAGTAGGCCCTGTTGTCTTTTGCTCCCTTCTTTGTGTCCATGTATATGTACTCAATGTTTAGTTCCCACTTATAAATGAGAACGTGCAGTTTTTGGTTTTCTGTTCTTGCATTAGTTCACTTAGGATAATGATCTCCAGCTCCATCCATATTGCTGCAAATAACATGATTTCATTCTTTTTATGGCTACGTAGTAGTCCATGGTGTATATATGTACCACATTTTCTTTATCCAGTCTACCATTGATGGCCATTTAGGTTGATTCCATGTTTTTGCTGTTGAAAGTAGTGCTGTGATGAACATACACATACATGTATCTTTATGGTAGAACAATTTATATTCTTTGAGTATATACTCAGTAATTAGACTGCTGGGTCAAATGGTAGTTCTGTTTTCAACTCTTTGAGTAATCACCAAAAGTGCTTTCCACAATGGCCAAACTAATTTACATTCTCACCAGCAGTGTGTAAGTGTTCCTTTTTCTCTGCAACCTCTCCAGCATTTCAAAATAGGAATAAAATTCTATAATGTATAACAGAATAATTTTCCTTTCTGCAAAGTAATTTTGGGGCCAGGTCCCCTGAAGCAATATAAGTGAGCCATAACACACAGGTACCTAACTATCAACTTATCTGACATAAGTGGGACACCCTCACTGTTCCACCAGGGGTAAAGGGAGAGAATGCTACACTAACCTACAGAGCCACATCCTTTAATTATAAAAAACAATCTACCAGCAAGTTTTCTTAGAATATCCAGCAGAAAAACCAGCTTAGAATAAGCACAAGCTGTAATGTACCAGCAGGTTTTTAGAATATCCAGCAGAAAAACCAGCTTAGAAACAGAAATAATACAAAGCAGAGAACTTTTTTTAAGTGGAATTATCCTCAGAAACACCTAAGTATATATTGTAGTCATAAAACAAGAACAAGCTGCTATTAAAAACTTAGTCTTTAATTGCCTATATGTGGCAAAGTTTTAACAATATAAAATAATCCTTAACAAAAATTGTAAATGTTAATATTCTTCTTTTGTCATCATTACTACAGATATTCAGAAAGTTCTAATTATCTGTGCTTACAGTTTTTTGGGTTTTGTTTTGTTTTGTTTTGTTTTTTTGAGACAGAGTCTCACTCTGTCCCCCAGGCTGGAGTGCAGTGGCGCGATCTCGGCTCACTGCAACCTCTGCCTCCCAGGTTCAAGCCTCCCGGGTAGCTAGGATTACAGGCACCCACTGCCATGCCCCGCTAATTGTTTTGTATTTTAGTAGAGACGAGGTTTCACCATGTTGCCCAGGCTGGTCTCGAACTCCTGAGCTCAGGCAATCCACCTGCCTCAGCCTCCCAAAGTGCTAGGATTACAGACGTGAGCCACTGCGCCCAGCCTGTGCTTACAGTTTTATTGTTACAATAGTCACAAATGAAGCTTTAAAATTGTACTGGCCAATTATTTATGTTCTTGTATGAAAAATCGGGTTATGTACAGATGTTTGATTATTATATTTTCTTTCCTTTGTTTTTTGAATAGAAACAACTTTAATAGAAACACCTTTGAACTATTTTGTGTTCAGAATAACCCATGGAAAATGAGAGAATACAATTTCATATAAAAATATTTATAATATACAGAATTTTTTTTACTTTTGTAATAAATCATGTTGATATGTACTTTTATCAAAGAAATGAAGTAATAGCTCCTTGTGGAAAGATTAGCTGTTAAGAAGCTGAATTTCAAAAGATAAATCCAATTTTCCCCTCTATTTGATAGTTTTTGTGATTCAAAACAATGTTCTCTAAAAATAGCTAGGAAAACTGAGAAAGAAAAGCTACAGGGGAAGACAGGTCCAAGCAGGCATTTAAAAATACTATAATGCCTCCATAATTAAAATAGTATGACACACATGAATTAGGTAAACAGACTAGTAGAATGGAATACATATGGAAATTCACTCTACAGAAAAGGTGGAATCAAAAATAACTGGGGCAAAGATAAACTTTATAACAAGTTATGCTGAGGCAACTTGTTAGCTATAAGGAAAAAGATAAAATTAGATCCGTACCACACACTATATGTAAGAATAAACTACAAATGGATCAGAGGACCAAATGTAAAAAAGATAAAGATTTAAAACATTCTTTAAAGAAAATTTTAAATAAAATAAAATGTAAACATAAATTTAAGAGAATAAAACAGGTGAATTCTTGTTTAGCTTGAAACATCTTGTGTAAAGATGTTCTCAAAGAATGGAAACATGATTAGAACATGTAAGGAACAGGAGCCAAGTTAAAGGGTCTCCCATTTGAAAAATTGAGAAGAATTTAAGCATCAAAATAGAGTAACTGTACCCCATTAAATACCATAAGAAGCCATGAGTCCACACAAACTGAAAATATAAATACATACATAAATACATACATACATAAAAATAAAGAGGAGATGGTAAAGCTCTTCCTTATATTAGAAGGCTAACAAATGCAGAAGGAATGATGGAGTTGTTAACAAATCACCACTTTGCAACCACCAGAGGTATAACATAAGCCAAGGATTATCAATAGAAGCTAAAAAGTAGTGAGTGTACTGTTTCAACAAAAACAGGATATTTACATAGTTTCAAACTATCTTACCACAAATTACTCATTAGTTACATAGGAAAAAATTAGTTACTTTACAGTAGAGAAATTTGGCAGACAACACTTAAAGCAATTGATTAAATTAACGAGACAGTTATCACGAACCTCCTCTGATAACTGAAAAGGACACATCATTTCTATAGAATTCCTACTAAAAACACCTACCTGAATCTAGTCATGAAAAGATACCAGACAAACCTAACTGTGAGGAATATTCTACAAGCTCTCAGAAAATTTCAAAGTGAGGTATGCCAACCTCCTGTCTTCTGTATCTCTATCCAATCTTCAACATCCTCAAAACAGTGGCTTCACACTGCCTCTAGCCATTAAAGGGAGGGTAGAGATGATTTTTTTTCTTGTTCAAATAATAATAATGAGAACTAAAGAAATATCTTCTATTTTCTAAAGTATTACATTAAATTGCACCTAATTATGGTAAATATGATTTTTAAAAAACCTCCTTTTATTTTTATAAGAATTTAATAAAAGAAAAAACCTAAATGTATTAGTCCATTTTCATACTGCTTATAAAGAACTGTCTGAAACCAGGTAATTTATAAAGGAAAGGGCTCTAATTGACTCACAGTTCAGCATGGCTGGGGAGGCCTCAGGAAACTTGCAATCATGGTGGAAGGAGAAGGGCAAGCAAGGCGCCTTCTTTACAAGGCAGCAGGAAGGAGAAGTACCGAGCTTAGGGGAAAGAGCCCCTTATAAAACCATCACATTTCATGAGAACTCACTCACTGTCACGAGAACAGCATGGGGGAAACCACCCCCATGATCCAATTACCTCCACTTGGTCTCTCCCTTGACACGTGGGGATTATGGGGATTATAATTCAAGGTGAGATTTGGGTGGGGAGACAAAGCCTAAACATATCACTAAATCTCTTATCACTTTAACAACCCCTAATCTGCTGGTCATAATAACACAATAAACCCAATTTCAAATTTCACTATTATCTGAAAAAGCAAAACTAACAATAAGGCTTTTATAAAACCATGTGTGTATAAAAGCAACAAAAAAGTATTTCTTATTTAACATACTAATCAGCCCTAGAAGTCTAATTGCAAACAGTTTTCAGTCTATCTCTTTAGGACTAAATACACCCTCCTTATTTACAACAAAAATGAAACTAATTTTTTAAATACATACCATCATCATCTTTGCTTTCTAGTGGAACACTCCAAGCTATTAGGTTTCTTGCTGTACGACCCTCCTCTGCAACTATTCTCCTTACTTTGTCATGACTATTGGAGCGCTGGAATGAAGCCTATGTATGGAAAAGATGGTACTTATTAGATTATTAGATAAGTCAAAATATATATTTAACAAAGTCATTATTTCTCACATTTTTCTCAGAAAGAAAACACTTAAAACTAATTTGGGATGTGGTGGGTGGTTAAACAGAGAAAAGGAAGTCACAAGTCTTTTTTAGATCTAAAAACACTGAGTTTTGTAACTCTAAAAAATAAACAAATTATTTAAATAATAAATATAATCTAAGGTTTGAAAAAGTGGCCTAAAGAGCACCAACACTGCTGTGGACTAATATCTGCACCATCCCTTACATATCAACAAGTCCAAGTGTGAAAGAGACCAGTTTTCACAAACATCCTATATATTTCCCCTAAAAGACCTCTTCAGCATAAAATATTTTGGAAAACGCTTTTTTTAATTCTCTAGAGATTGCGCTAAAGTAAGTCAACATTCCATTTTTAGCTACATAATTTTATCTCCAAGTTATCAGGATTCAAATAATAATTGCTGTTAACAGGTAAATTTAAATTGCAATTTTTAAAACTCAAACTATTGCACAGAACATACGTAATTTCTTGCTTGCTCTAGCCCTGCCTGGCCTAAGAACACGGGCCTAAGATTCAGCCCCACCAACACCCTGTGCCAGCTGGGAGCCAGGTCCAGTAAAATAAAGGAAATTGCCTCCCCACTAATGAATGTCATATCAAAATAGTCTGTTTTTATAAGCCAAGTATCTATGAGAAGAAAGAGATCATAAAACACCCATGTGAACACGAGGATGCAGCCTCCTTATCTAATCCTTAAATCTGTGTGGGAAACCTGCCTCTTTGTGAAACAAGTTCACCACTGGGCCAGCCCAAAATCCCAGTCCAATTAGTAGGTGCCTCCCTGCCCTCCTATAGTTCTTGCCAGCCTGGACTTTTAGCATTCCTGGAATCCTAAAGCGCAATACATTTAACGAGGCAATTACTATGTGCAAAAGCATCAAGTAAGAGACTGAGGAGAATATAAAGAAAAATATAAATATATAAAGTATTGTGCTTGTCCTCAAAGAGCTAACAATCCAAGTAAATGAAGCAAACATGTAAGAGTAAAAAATAATATATGAATTAACAAGTATGGTAGGTAGTCTTCAAAGATGCCTCCCTTGGCCCCAGAAAACCACACCTGCTGGTGTTCATGCCCTCATGTAATCCACTCCCCGTGAATATGCCTCTGTAACTTGCTTTCTGACCAATAAAATGCGGCAGAAGGGACACTGCATAACTTCTGAGACTAGGTCATCAGAAGCTTTGCAGCCTCCACCTGAGTCTCTTAGAATGCTCCCTCTTAGGGCAGTCACTCTTAAAATCCAGCTGTCATGCCATGAGAAGCCCAAGCCACAAGTAGAGAGACCACACATGGGCAGCACTCTGGTTGACAGGCCCTAGCTGAATTCCCAGAGGACAGCATCCTCTACCCACTGTGTGAGTGAGCCATTTTGGACATTCCAGCCCAGCTGAGCCCCTAGAAAACTGCTGCCATGCCAGTACCCAAGCCAACATCACATCACAAAAATCACCCAGTCAACTCACAGAATGAGATAATAGGAACTAGATGAATGCACCCTAACACACAATATACACACCTGGATCTATTTCTATACAGATATTAAAAACCGTGAGTTTATACTGATTGATTTCAATCCTAAGCCACGGGGCTCATTTTAGCCTTTCGCTTTGCTTGTCTGAAACTTCTTTCTCCAACATAAGATCCCCAGTTTTCATTATCTACAACTTATTTACTTATCTGTTCAATTCTAATATACACATAAAGTAGTTTCAAAGTTGCTAACCCATACTCCTATGAGAAACACATTTACTAACTACATTACAGCATTTACGTATGGTTCTTATCTTTAACCTTACAATATCCAAAGTACTGTTTGCCAAAATCATGTAATTAGTTCTCATCTTCACCTGGGAGTATGTTACTATTTGCCTTCCAGTTTGGATTCTCCCCACCCACTGGTTAATTTTTACTCTTTTGGGGAATATGTGAAGAAAAAGCAATACATTATTTTCAAATGAAGGAAATTAATGAGTAGCATCACTTCAGGGAAAGAAAAAAAAGTCACTATAGTACACTCTAGAGCAAGGGTCAGCAAAGATTTTCTACAAAGGGCCAGATAATAATTTTTTTTTTTTTATTTTAGGCTTTGCAGGCCATAAGACCTCTGTAACAACTACTCAATTTTGCCATTTTATGTGAAGCAGCCATAGTCAGTATGTAAACAAACAATGTGGCTGTATGGTAAGAAGCCAACTGTGAGATAAACAGACACATATTACTTGTCATTTTGAAATAAATTCAAATTACTAAAAAGTTATAAATTCACACAAAGAATATCAAACATACCCTCACACATTTTTTTCCTGAAGCATTTGAGAACAATCTGCAGTTATACTCCTTGGCAGTAAATACTTCACTATGTATTTTATATATGTAAGGATACTATCCTATATCACTATACTATAACTAACAAAATCAGGAGATTATCACTGATACAGAATTATTATTTAAATTACAGCATTTACATTTCACCAACTATCCCATTAATCTCTTTGACAGTATAAAATAAAGTTGAGAAAAAGATATAAGCCCAATTCTCCCAGAAGCTCTGCAAACCCCAAAGAGGATAAATACGAAGAAAACCACACTTAAGCATATCACAGAAAAACTGATGATAAACTGAAACAAAGAGAAAAATCTTGAGTACAGAGGAGAGGGAAAAATCAACTCATTACCTTTAAAGCAACAGCCATAAGACTGACAGCCTTGCATTGTCCAGGAAGTGATAAAAGTAATAATTTATAATAAACTCTAATAAATTGGTAACTTATTGCCTATTTAGTGGTATAGTAGGGTCAAAATCCTGACTGAAAACGGTTCAAAACAGAATGATGAGAAAAATGGGGATACTGAGTATTAAGATACTTTGAGTTTCGTCATAAAGGAGAACAAAGAAATAAATAAACAGAATGGATTTTTAAGATGAGTGATAGTATATCATACTTTCATACTGATGGGGATGATCCAGTACAGAGACAAATTGTGTTATGGTAAGAAAGAGGGAATGACAATAGGTGCTAAATCTGTGAGTGACAGGAAACAGGTTTCGGTACAAAAATGAATCAACTCGCCAACTAATATCCAACTACCAGAAAAACAAAGACTATATTCTTCTACTCTAATTCTCTGTGATGAGAGTCTAACCCAAATTTTCCTCTCCAGAACTTGTCACTTTTTACGTCTTTAATGTAAACATCCGTACCCATATTCCTTCATTCCTCTGACCTTACCCTGAATATCCATGTGTCATCTACTTACCTGACTCATTAAGGTCTTTCACTGAAACTCATTTGTCTATGATCACTGTCCAAACCCCATTCAGTGTCCTGTAGATTTGCAAAAGTCACTTCTCTACTCATTCTCATACTTTCCAATCAATGTAACACCAGAAAACTTCGTCCTTTAGCTTAAGCACATCTCCCATTAAGTATTGGTCAGTTCTATCTAACTTACACTGGCATCTATCATTTAGCATTGTTCTAACCAAGGGTATCACTATTGCTTCCAGGCCAAATGAACAAGTATAAATAGATGGCCTACTTTTCAGCTCTACTTCAGATAATTCCCTTACACAATCACAGAACATCCTGTGAGACAGAGAGAGACACTGAGTGTGTGTGTGTGTGTGCGTGTGTGTGTGTATATCAGGTCAGAAAATTCACTATGCCATACATTACATTCTAAGTCAAGAGTCTTCACAAAATAATGAGTTTCCAAGAACTAAAATGGATAATCACAAAATAGCAATGTTGTAACACTAGACCAGAAAACTTCAAATCTAACATTCTTTACTTCCATAAACATTTCAGCTCCACTATAAATTTTACCAAGTTAGCTCTTTTGTATTTAGTACATATACACAGACACACATTCAAAGAAAAACCACTAGCTCAAGACTTTGATTTTATTCTTAATTCCAATACTTGATAAGCAAAAACATTATAACTACTCATCTTACTACAAGATCTGATTGAAAATCATTTTTCATTTTAAAGCACAGATGCTTTTTGTAATACATGCTGAATGGATTCCTTTTAGTAAAAACCCATAAATTCTAATGATTTTTAGTAGTCCAGTTCTTATAAAAATGTCAGTAGTAATGTAAATAAAATAGTTTTAAGCATTTTAATATCAGTATCAGGGTTTGAAATGCAATACATGGTTCTGAGATACTTCATAAAATAGATGTCTATTTCAAACAGTATTTTTTTTTAACCTAGGTTCTTTTCTCACAGGAGTCTTCAACAAAATATGTGTATTTTCATCCAAAGTCACAGTGTGCCACCTAGTGCTGTATGGAGATTTTACAGAGGCCTGTTCAAATACTTAATGTTTCAACTAAAAGTATAAAGATCAGCCTTCAGTGAAAGTTTTTATGTTCAAATCTTACAGTACATAATCTAAGAAAGTGTTTACAATAGTTACCAAAGAGGCTAGGTACTTCTGAGACTTGCTCCCAAAGAAACTTCTTTCTCTTAGGTTTAAAATATCTAAATAATTTCAACAACTTTCCCCATAATCTTGAAAAGGTTACAAGTACTGTTTACTAAATGTCTATGTATCTGTCTCCATAAAACTTTCTACTTTATACAAGTTCTTCAAAATCCATTCATACCACTATCTGCCCATAAAATGAAATTCTTGTATCTTTTTTCCAATGTTTTTCAGCTTTCTGAATAATTCAGAAAAGAACCTTTCTCTTAAATTCCCACTACTAACGCCCTTAATACTTTGGGTAGCATGAAGACAAGATTACTAGTCATGCAGCTTACCTGAGAAACCATGTAACTAGTACAATTTTCCTAATATTACAGAATGATAAGCTGGAATCCTGTTCAGTAATTTACGATAACTTTATCAGTTTTTACCAATATTTCACACCATCTAAAGGTAAAACCATAGATGAACTAAGGATGGCTAAACTATTATAAGGGGGAAACAACTTCTCTCTTGTATGAGCTACTCTGTTCTGGAGTCTCTGTTATAGCTCACTAGCCTATACACTAAATGATATATCAAGTCTTACCGAGTCTATCTCCTAAACACAACTGGAGAATGTAAATCCACTACCATCACCCTAGTCCAAGCTATCATCATCTCAAACCTAAATTACTAATACTGTATCAGCCTCCATGACAGAGACTACAATATGCATCAAAACCACTTGCTTTCTTTCCTGTCACAAAGCTAGACAACACCTTCCAGTCTTTCTTGCAGACAGATGGCCATGTGACTAAGTTCTGCATGCTAGAATATAGGGGAAAATGAGGTAAGCTATGTCCAGGTCTGGGTTTGCTTTTTTTTAAGTCTCCTGCATCATCAGCTATGTTCTCTCCCTCAATTCCCCACTTACTGGCCAGATGCATAGGATCTAGCAGACCTCTCTAAAGAATGATAGAGTCATAAGATAAAAAAAAAAATTTAGTCCCATCAAAATGTGAAAGGTCACATGCTGAATACCTACACTGAACTATTAAGTGAACAAGAAATAAACTACTAATCTGTTGGTTCCCCTTCCAGTTATGAAAACATAAAAGGCATCCACATTGGAAAGGAAGAAGTCTAATTAGCCTAGTTTGCAGATGACATCTTTTACTTAGAAAAAGATAAAGACAGCCAGGTGTGGTGGCTTACACCTGCAATCCTAGCACTTCGAGAGGCAGAGGCAGGAGAATTGCTTCAGCCTGGGAGCTCAAGGCTGCAGTGAGCTATGATCGCATCATTGCACTCCAGCCTGGGTGACAGAGTGAGACCTTGTCTCAAAAAAAAAACCAAAAAACCTAAAGACTACACCAAAATCTGTTAGAACTGATTAACAAATTCAGTAAAGTTACAGGATACAAAATCAACATACAAAAACCAACAGTGAACAATCCAAAAAAGAAAATCAAGAAAGCAATCCCATTTACGATAGTTACAAAGAATATAAAATATCTTGGAATCAATTTAACCAAAAAAGGGAAAGATCCAGACAAGGAAAATTGTAATACACTGATGAATGAGAATGAGGAGGATATAAAAAATGGAAAGATATTTCATGCTTATGAAATGGAAGAATACTATTAAAACAACACTACCCAAAGCAATTTACAGATTCAATGCAATCCCTTTTCAAAATACCAATGACATTCTTTACAGAAATAGAAAAAAAAATCCTAAAACTTATATGGAACACAAAATACCCCAAACAGCCAAAACAAACCTGGGCAAAAAGAATAAAGCTGGAGACATCACAGTACCTGACTACAGTAACAAAATCAGCATGGTACTGGCATAAAAACAAACACACAGACCAATGGAACAGAATAGAGAACCCAGAGATAAACCCATGCATTTACAGCCAACTAATCTTTGACAAAGTTGACAGGAACATACACCAGGGAAAGAACACCCTATTCAATAAATGGTGCTGGGAAAACTGGATAACTTTATGCAAAAGAATAAAACTAGGTTCCTATCTCTCACCATACCAAAAAATCAAATCAAAATGGATTAAAAACTTCAAAGTAAGACCTGAAACTATGAAACTACTAAAATAAAACTTAAAAGAAATGCTCCAGGATATTTGTCTGGGTAAAGAATTTTTGTGTAAGATCTCAAAAGCACAGGCAACAAAAACAAAAATAGACAAATGAGACTATATTAGTAACTAAAAGGCTTCTGCATAACAAAGGAAATAATCAACAAAGAGACAATCCACAGAGTGGAAGAAAATATTTGGAAATTACCCATCTAGTAAGAGATTAATAACCAGAACATATGAGGAGCTCCAACAACTCACTAGCAAAACACAAATAATCCAAATTAAAAATGGGCAAAAGATCTAAATAGACATTTCTCAAAAGATATACAAAATGGCCAACAGATATATGAAAAAAGACTCATCACTAATCACCACAGAAATGCAAATCAAAACTACAGTGAAATATCATCTCACGCAGTTAAAATGGTTTTTATCAAAAAGACAGGCAATAACATGCTACCAAGGATGTGGAAAAAGAGGCACCCTAAGTACACTGTTGGTGGAAATGAAAATTAGTATGCCATTATAGAGAACAGTATGAAAGTTCCCCAAAAAAACTAAAAAGAGAATCATCATATGATCCAGCAATTCCACTACTGCGTATATATCCAAAATAAAGGAAACTAATATATCAAAAAGTTATCTGCACTCCCATGTTTATTACATCACTATTCACATATATGGAATCAACCTAAGTGCCATCAACAGATGAATAAAGAAAAAGTATTACATATACAAAGTTGAATATCATTCAGCCATGAAAAAGAATAAAATCCTGTCACTTGCAACAACATAGATGGAACTGGAGGTCATTATGTTAAGTGAAATAAGCCAAACACAGAAAGAGAACTATCATATGTTCTCCCTCATATGTTGGAGCTAAAAAAGTGGATCTCATAAAGATATAGAGTAGACTGGTAGTTACCCAAGGCCAGGAAAAGTAGTGGAGTGGGGTGGGTGGGGATAAAAAGTTGATTAATGGGTACAAATATATGGTTGGATAGAAAAAATAAGACCTAGTGTTAGATAGATCAGAGGGGTGACTATAGTTATAATACTTTATTATGCTTTTCAAAATAGCTAGAAAAGAATAATTTGAATGTTTCTAGTACAAAAAGACATATTTAGGTTGATAGACACAGCCAAGTATATTAACAAATTATATGAATGTAATCAATTATCACATGTACCCCAAAATTATGTACATCTCTTATGCAGCAATAAAATAAAATAAATTACTGGGCATACTAGAAAACAAGTCCAAAGACTAAAAACCAAGAAAAAATATAAAAAAAGGGAATATACCCACACATTAGCCAAGTAATAAAAGTTATCAGAAATAGATTTTAAAGTAACTCTAATTAATATGAACTGAAAATAAAAGGATTGAAATTTTCTGCAGAAAACTAGATACCTTAAAAGAATCAAGTAGAAATTATAAAACTGAAGAATCAAAAAACTGAAATTAAGAACTCAATGAATGGGTTTAACAAGAAATTAGTGAATTAGTTAGACTAAAATATCCAGAATGAAAACATAAAAAAAATAGAAAAGAGCAAAAGAGACATAAGAAATTTTTAAAAAGGTCAAACATAGAAGCAAAAACTGAAATCTGAGGAAAAGAGAAACAAAAATGGGATTAGAGCACATAAAGGCTGAGAACTTTCCAAAACTAACAAAAGATCATACCACGAATCAATAGGCATTATGAATAAAATTGTGAATTTTTTTAATAAAAAGGTAAAATAAAAAGACAAACGATAGACATATTAGGGTTAAAAAGTACCGACAACAACAACAACAAAAAACCTTAGAAGTAGTTACAAGTAACCTCAAATTAATAAGAATAAAACTGACAAGTGACATTCTATAAGAAATAATAAATGCAAGTCAAGAAAATACCTTCAAAGTGAAAAAGTAAGTAACTGCCATGCAGAAATATGTGAAAATATCTATTTAAAAACTAATAAAAGGGACAGGCGCCGTGCCTCATGCCTGTAATCCCAGCACTTTGGGAGTTCAAGGCGGGCGGATCATGAGGTCAGGAGGTTGAGACCATCCTGGCTAACATGGTGAAACCCTGCCTCTACTGAAAATACAAAAAATTAACTGGGCATGGTGGTGGGAGCCTGTAGTCCCAGCTACTTGGGGGACTGAGGCAGGAAAATTGGTTGAACCCAGGAGGCAGAGGTTGCAATGAGCTGAGATCGCACCACTGCACTCCAGCTTGGGGGACAGAACGAGACTCCATCTCAAAAAAAAAAAAAAAAACCTAATAAAAAATGAAGATAACCAAAAAATAAATAAATAAATAACACAGTCACCTGGGGAATAAGGGCAAGATGGGATAGCGATGGGGACTGGTGACTAATTACCAAATCCAAGGAGCTGCGGCTGGCGTTATCTGTTACAATTTGCTTTTTTTTTTTTTTTTTTTAGATGGAGTCTCACTCTGTCACCCAAGATGGAGTGCAGTGGTGTGACCTCAGTTCACTGAAGCCTCTGCCTCCTGGGTTCAAGCAATTCTCCAGGTTCAAGCAATTCTCCTGCTTCAGCCTCCCAATTAGCTGGGACTACAGGCACACGCCACCATGCTCGGCTAATTTTTGTACTTTTAGTAGAGACAGGGTTTCACCATGTTGGCCAGGCTGGTCTCAAACTCCTGACCTCAAGTGATCCACCCGCCTCAGCCTCCCAAAGTGCTAGGATTACAGGTGTGAGCCACCACGCCTGGCACAATTTGCATTTTTATGAGCAAAATATTGCACAGATTTCTTGATTACTTAAAAGCTATAAGATATACCTTTTCATTAAAAATAAATATTTTGAATATTAAAAATAAAAGAGGAAAAACAAAAAATGAAATTCACATGGATATTCTAGAAGAGAAATAAAATATTACTGAGGTTATGAGCTCAACAAATCGCTTTAACCACAAACTAGATACAGCAGAAGAAAGGTCAGCGAACTGGAAAATGGAAAATATGACAGTAGGAAATACCTACATGAAAGCACAGAGGAAAAAAAGAATACAGAAGAGAAAATAAACATATAAGACACAGTGAAAAAGTCTTACATGGTACAAGTGGAGACCTTGAAGGAAAGAACAGAGAAACTGGAGCAGAAAAAAAATTTGAAAGGGAATGGCTTTAAAACTGACAAAAGATAGCAGCCAAATTCTCCCAGAAGCTCTACAAACCCCCAAGCAGGATAAATACAAAGAAAACCAAACATAAGTATATCACAGAAAAACTGATGAAAACCTGAAACAAAGAAAATCTTAACAGTGTACAGAGAGGATAAGAGCTCATTACCTTCAAAGGGGTGACAAAAAAAACTCAGCTGATTTTCCAACAAACGGACATGATAAACGTCAGTAAACAGTGGAGCACCTTTAAAGTACTAAAAGAAAATTACTGTTTTCTAGTATAAAAAATATTCTAATCTAGTATAATAATATAGTATAATAATCTAGGTTTGCACGCAAACCTACCTTCTACTATTATACTACATTATGTACTATACATACTATATTATACTATACTATATTAATACAGTATAATAATCTAGGTTTGCATGCAAATGAAGAACACCAAAAACAGTAAAAATATAAATAAAAGAGTATGAATACAAACTATATGAAAGTACTATAATCTTATGAAATTTTAAAGATATGAAAAACAAAGTGTATCACAATTTCACAAAAGGTGGAAGGGGAGTAAACAATTAAAGTGGATAAGGCCTTTACATTCTCCAGGAAGTGATAAAAGTAACAATTTATAATAGACTCTAGTAAGTCATTAAGAAATGTTGGGCCGGGCACAGTAGTTCACACCTGTAATCCCAACACTCTGGGAGACTAAGGTGGGAGTATCACTTAAGGTCTAGAGTTCAAGACCAGCCTGGGCAATAGAGTAGAATCTTGTCTCTACAAAAAAAAAAAAAAAAAATTAAGCCAGGCATAATGGCACCTGTAGTCCCGGCTACTCAAGAGGCTGAGGTGGGAGGATTACCTGAAACCAGGAGTTCAAAGCTGTAGTGAGCTATGATAGCACCACTACACTCCAGCCTGGCCAACAGAGCCAGACTCCATCTCCCGAAAAAGAAAAAAAGAAAGGAAAAGGAAGGAAGGAAGGAAGGAAGGAAGGAAGGAAGGAAGGAAGGAAGGAAGGAAGGAAGGCAGGCAGGCAGGCAGGCAGGCAGGCAGGCAGGCAGGCAGGCAGGCAGGCAGGCATCTCTAGGGTGCCCACTAAAAAATAATAATACATAAATAATGGGCTTATAGGAAGAAATGGAAAGATATACTGCTAGAGTATATATAGTGATACTTTTAGTAAAAAGTTTATCAACCAGGAAAACATATCAATGTCAAATGTGCACATATCTAACACATCTAATAATGTACAAGTAAAATTGAAATAAGAGAAAAATACAATTATTTTTGGAGATTTTAACACAACACACTCTTTTAGAAGCTGGCAGAACAAGCAGACAAAAAAATTAAGTAACAATATAGAAGATTTGAACAACATAATTAACAAGTTGATATATTTGACATATTCAGAACCCAGCAGTCAACAATGGCAAAAACACATTTTTTCCAGGTGCATGTTTTCCAAACTGTCAATATCCTTAGTCATAACTCAGGTCTCACTAAATTTCAAAGTATAGAAAGTAAAAAGAGATATAACCTGAATAATCCCCATGTGTTTGGAAGTTAAGCAATACATTTCTTTTCTTCTTCTTTTTTTTTTTTTGAGATGGAATCTCGTTCTGTTGCCCAGGCTGGACTGCAGTAGTGCCATCTTGACTCACTGCAGCCTCTGCTTCCGGGTTCCAGCGATTCTCCTGCTTCAGCCTCCCAAGTAGCTGGGATTACAGGCGCCCAGCACCACGCCTGGCTAATTTACTGTATTTTTAGTAGAGACAGCGTTTCACCACGTTGGGCAGGCTGGTCTTGAACTCCTAGCCTCAAGTGATCCATCTGCCTCGTCCTCCCAAATTGCTGGGATTACAGGCATGAGCTACCGCACCCTGCCAACCAATACATTTCTAAATAACTTGGGGATCAAGGAAAAAATCACAATGGAAATTGTATTTTTAGTTAAATGATAATAAAATGATGGCAGGTTAACATTTACAAGATGCAGCTTAAAAGAAACTGCATAGCTTTAAAGGATATGTAAGAAAGAAAACAGGCTAAAACTAAATTATCTAAGTCTCTATTTCAAGAAGTTAGTAAAAGAGCACCATATTAAATCCCAAGAAAGGAAGTAATAAACAGCAAAAAATCAATATAATACAAGACCAACATGTGATACAGAAAAATTAAAAAAAAAACAAAAGTGAGTTATTTAAAAACACTAATGAAATGTATATATTCCTTGGCAAGAGGGATCAAGTAAAAACAAGAGCAGGCAAAAATAGTATTAGGAATTAAAAAGAAAGATCACTACAGATCCTAGAAACCTCCACACATCAAAAAGATAACAAAAGGATATTATAAATAAAATTGTATCCGGTCAGTCACCGTGGCTCACACCTGTAATCCCAGCACTTGGGGAGGCCAAGGCAGGAGGACTGCTTGAGACCAAGAGTTCAAGACCAGACTGGACAACATAGCAAGACCTCTCTCTACTAAAAATAAAAATAAAAAACAAATAGCCAGGCATGGTGGTACCACCTCTAGTCCCAGCTACTCAGGAGGCTAAGGCAGGAGGATCACTGGAGCCCAGGAGTTCAAGGTTTCAGTGAGCTATGATCATCATGCCACTACACTCCAGCCTGGGTGTGACAGAGTGAGACTCTGCCTCTCAAAAAAATAATAATAATAATTAAGTAACATTGTAGCAATGAATTTGTAAATCTCTTTGAAACAGACAAGTCCGTTGAAAAACATAACTTACCAAACCTTGGCATAAAAGAAAACAGAAAATCTGAATAGTTACTGAAGAAATTGAATCCCACAAAAGAAAATCTATGACCAGATGGGTTTCACTGGTAAATTATCCTAATCATTTAAGCAACAAATTACATTAAATTTTCTAGAGAATAAAGAAGAAAAAACACATTTTATGAGGCCTGAAAAACTCTGATATCAGAACCTAACAGGACCATACAGGAAACATAAATTATAATTTAATGTCTTTTAAGAGAAAAGATGTGAAAATCATATATATGTATGTGTATAAGCACACAAACGTAGGCCAGGCGTGGTGGCTCATGCCTGTAATCCCAGAAAAACTTTGGCAGGCCAAAGTAGGCGGATCACTTGAGGTCAGGAGTTCAAGACCACCCTGGCCAATATGGCAAAACCCCATCTCTGCTAAAAATACAAAACTTAGCGGGCGTGGTGGTACGCGCCTGTAATTCCAGCTACTCAGGAGGCTGAGGCATGAGAATCACTTGAACCTGGGAGGCGAGGGTTGCAGTGAGCTGAGACTGTGTCCAGAATTGGTGGGTTCTTGGTCTCACTGACTTCAAGAATGAAGCCGCAGACCGTTGCCCTGAGTGTTACAGTTCTTAAAGACAGCGTGTCCGGAGTTTGTTCCTTCTGATGTTCGGATGTGTTGGGAGTTTCTTCCTTCTGGTGGGTTCGTGGTCTCGCTGGCTCAGGAGTGAAGCTGCAGAACTTTGCGGTGAATGTCACAGCTCATAAAGGCAGTGTGGACCCAAAGAGTGAGCAGCAGCAAGATTCACTGCAAAGAGCGAAAGAGCAGGGGGCGGCGCTGGTCGAGGAGGCTCGGGCCGCGCAGGACCCCACGGTGGGGGGCGGGGTCAGGCTCAGGCATGGCGGGCTGCAGGTCCCGAGCCCTGCCCCGCTGGGAGGCAGCAAAGGCCCAGCGAGAAATCGAGCGCAGCGCCAGTCGGCCGGCACTGCTGGGGGACCCAGCGCACCCTCCCAGCTGCTGGCCCAGGTGCTAAGCCCCTCACTGCCCGGGGCCACTCCGAGTACAGGAGCCCGCCAAGCCCACGCCCATCAGGAACTCTAGCTGGCCCGCAAGCGCCACGCACAGCCCTGGTTCCCGCCCGTGCCTCTCCCTCCACACCTCCCGGCAAGCTGAGGGAGCCGGCTCTGGCCTCAACCAGCCCAGAGAGGGGCCCCCACAGCTCAGTGGCGGGCTGAAGGACTCCCCGAGCATGGCCAGAGTGGACGTCGAGGCCGAGGAGGCACCAAGAGTGAGCGAGGGCTGCGAGGGCTGCCAGCACGCTGTCACCTCTCAAGATCATGCTACTGCACTCCAGCCTGGGCAACAGAGTAGGGCTCTGCCTCAAAACAAAAGCAAAAAAAAAAAAA
The DNA here is from genome assembly GCF_000001405.40 of Homo sapiens. Taxonomy (NCBI): domain Eukaryota; kingdom Metazoa; phylum Chordata; class Mammalia; order Primates; family Hominidae; genus Homo; species Homo sapiens. The sequence goes on from NC_000015.10 coordinate 76,876,452, forward strand.
AAAAAATACACACACATTTATACATGTATGTATAAACATAAACGTACTTGCAAATTGAATTCAGATATGAGAACACCACCAAGTTGGGTTTATTTCAGGAATACTAAGCTGATTTAACATTTTCAAATCAATGAATATAATTCACAGAATTTATTAATCTGTTAATAAATTTATATTTATTAACAACATAAAGGAGAAAAGCCTTGTGTTCACATCAACAGATGAAAAGAAAAGCATGTAATAAATTTCAATATTTATTTATAACTTTTAAATTCTTAGCAAACTACAGCAAACATCATATATAATGGTATAAAACTGAAAAAGACAAGGATGCCTACTACTATCACTACTTCCATTCAATATTATATTGAAAGTCCTAGCCTGTGTAATAAGGTGAGAAAAAGAATAAAACAGGGAAATTACGAGCTGAACCTACAGCAGCTTGTTACACTAGAAAGTATAGAAATGCTCAAAGAATAATATGGACATACCAAATAGATTTGGCTGGGTACACTGGCTCACAACTGTAATCCCAACACTCTGGGAAGCCAAAGCTGGAGGATTGCTTGAGTCCAGGAGTTCAAGACCAGCCTGGGAAACATAGGGAGACCCCCATCTCTACAAAAAATTTAAAAAATTGGCCCAGCTACTCAGGAGACTGAGGCAGGAGGCTGGCTTGAGCCCAGGAGGTCGAGGCAGCAGTGAGCTGTAATTACGCCACTGCACTCTTGCCTGGGTGACAGAGACCCTGTCTTTAAAAAAAAAAAAAAAAAATCCAAGAGCCAGCTTAAAGTCTCCCACTGGCTAATATGGGACAATCTGAGTACCAAAATAAATAATGATTATGTTAGATTACATTAAATAAAATTAAAAATCAGAGTCCAGATAACAAGAGAATGTAAGCATTTTCCTCACAGATCTTTAACTAATAAGGAAATCATTAATGGATTCTAAACCTAGTAAGTGACAGTTTGATAAGGTACTGTATATTTACACAGCCTCGAAGTGCTTCTCCACAAATTGCTTACTAATATCAAAAGAGAAAACAGAAACTTTAAAGTAGAAAAGCTTGACACTACATTACATTAACAAAGTAATCAAAGTTAACAAGCAGGATGAATTCACATCATATACCTCCTAAAGTGATGTACTGAGGACACATCGTCATTCGTGTGATATTCTGCCTAAAATGCAAAACCTGAATCTAATCATGATGAAACATCACCTAAATTGAGAAGACATCCTTCAAAATATCTGTTCTGTAGTCTTCAAAAATGGCAAAGTCAAGAAAGAGAAAGGCTGAAGAACTGTTCCAGATTAAAGGAGACCAAACAGACCTGGCAACTAAATGGATCAAGAAGAAAATAACTATAAAAGACATCATTCAGATAATGACAAATTTTGAATATCTACTGTGTATTATATAATAATACTGTATGAATGTTAAATTTCCACATTTTGAACACTGAATTGTGGTCATATAAAAGAATGTCCTTAATTCTTAGGAAATACATATTGAAGTATTTAAGGATGAAGGAGTATGTTGGCTTCAAATACTCTTAAATGGTTCAGGAAGAAAAGTAATATGCATATATTTATATATGTGTGCAGGTAGATATGTGTATATGGATGTATGTATATTTACAGACACGTGTTTCATACACACAAAGAGAGAAAGGAAAGAATAAAACTAATGGGGCAAAATTAGCAATTGGTAAGTCTGGCAAAAGTATATATGAGAATTCATATATGGATATATATCATATATGGATGTATGTATATTTACAGACACGTGTGTTTCATACACACAAAGAGAGAAAGGAAAGAATAAAACCAATGGGGCAATTGGTAAATCTGGCAAAAGGATATATGAGAATTCCTCATAGTCTTCTCACAACCTTTCTTAAATTTAAAATTATAATGAAATTAAAAATTACCAAAAATGATACAGGGGAGTATTTTCATGATTTTCAGGTAGAAAGAAATAATTAGGACACAAAAAGCACTAATCATAAAGGAAAAATTTAATAACCAAGCTTCATTAAAATTAAGAACAGATCCTATTCAAAAGATGGTATTAAAAAATGAAAAAGCAAGCTACAGAGTAGGAGAAGTGCCAAAGGTGCCAAAGGTCTTAGATTCAAGATAAAGAACTCCTTAAATCAATTGCAAAAAGAGAAAGACACTGAGTCAAAGCCAGGCATGGTAGCTCATGCCTGTAATCCTAGGACTTTGGGAGGCCAAGGCAGGAGGATTATTTGAGCTCAGGAGTTTGAGACCAGCCTGGGCAACATAGTGAGATTCTGTCTCTATTTAAAAAAGAAAAAAAGAAGAGGAAGAGGAAGAAGAAGACAGAGACTGAGTCAAAAAAGAAGTCTACTGGGTCAATAAAAAAATGGGGAGGAAACTTGAGTAGGCACTTCACAAATGATATCTAAATGGCCAATAATCAAACAAAGAAGTACTAAGAATCAGTCATCAAAATTTACCAAAAAAATTTTTTTAATAAATAAATGATTATACTGTGTACTGGTGAGGATCTGGGGCAACTCCTCCCATACACTACCGACAGGAAATGAAACTGGTAGCCCCACTTTGGAAATCTGGTATTATCTACAAATACATGACCTGGCCTCCAGTCTCAACTTGTACTATTCTTTTCCTTCTTTGCCATGCTCCAAAATCAGACTTTCATGCAGTTCCCCATAAGCACCAAGCTCCATCCTAATTCAGGACATTTACACAGAATTCTTCCTTCTGTATGGAATAGCCTGCCCCTCTATAATGCACATTTATTGGCTTCTTCCCTAGCATTCATTCTCTACATCCTCCTTTCCTAATAGTTCAATTTTTGTTGGGGTCCCTTGTGGTTCTAGGTAAGCACCTTTTGTCCCTAACTCCAGGGTGCAGCACATGACCTTGCCTAAGTCAATCTGCTCGCCTAGCCACAACAACTGATCCAGAGGTGAGCATGTGACCTAAGGTGATCAAAACTTAGGATCTCAGATCTTTTACTGGAATGTTAGAGAAAAGACTCTCCTACTGGCCATATGTTAGGGAATATACAGCTTTGGAAACTACTGCTAAGCATCTAGGGATCATAAAGACAGCAAGCCTTAAAATAATGGCAACAGAACAGAAGCCAGAGTAAGTGGAGGAAAAGCAATCAAATTTTTGATGACACTGTTGAGCCACTGGATCAATTCTTATCTGAAGCCAACTCTACTTGCTACTGAAAGCATTCTAAGAGAGTATTCCTCTTAGCCCAGCCAAAGCCTAATGATCTTTCGAATCCCAACTTAAATGTAACGTCCTAAGGCTAAGTTTTCTTCAACCCCGAGACTTGGCCAGGATTCCTTTTATATACTCAAACCAACTTGTACTCCTTTGTAACACTTAACCACAATTATATTTTAAATCATACACTTAATGTGTTTACTCTGTCTTCCATTAGACAGTAAGTTTCTGAAGGACTAGGTTTTGTTCACTATTCTCACTGTGTAGGATGGTGTCTGGCACATAAATATGTATGAATAAATGAATAACTGGCAGAATGATTTTTAAAAAGCATCAATAAATGAACATTATTGGGAAATGAGGTGTTCTACATAAATTGATAACTTAGGTTTGCCCCGCTAAGCACAAATTCTTTTTGGTTTTATTATTTTGTATGAAAATCTCTGAACACATTTCCTTGACCTCTGCGACAGAGGCTACTAAAGAAACTTACTCTTTTCTTGATAACTTCAGGTTACCACTATGAACACCAACTTCTATATGATACTATAATTTAATTATGCCTCAGGAGTTATAGAAATACAAAAGACAGTTGTCCTAAAATAAATGGGCACAGACAAAAGTGTTGTTAAAGATTTTTTAGTTCTTTACTTCCTGATGATTAAGAAGAACACAAAAGCTTAATTCTTAATTATTTTCTCCTCTTCCCTAACAAGCTATTAGCTGTCAATTCTTATTTGGTAGGCTTATGGGAAATGTACTATTACAGTTCTGAATAAGGAACTCAAGAATTCTGCAAGTACAGTGAATATACTTACAGTGTGTGGACTATCTGTTGTGTATGATCATAAGCATTTTTCATTTACTTTCAGGTTTTTGGACATATTCCTTAGAGTCACAATTGGCAGATAAGAAAAACTTTACTATATCTTACCTGCTAGAGTTTTAAAACAGAGATCAATAGGAAATAGTATGCAGCTATAAAAAGAAACGAAGATCTCTAACACTCTAGGATATATTGCTAAGTGAAAAGAAAAAAAAAAAACTCCCAAGATACTAAAATATATTACCTTTAGGTTCAAAAAAGAAAAACACATGTATATACATATAAATGTATACATTCATTTTGAAAATATAAAAGATAAATCAAACATTAAGAAAAACGATTACCCATGCACCCATTAAAATGGCTACCATCAAAAAAACAGAAAATAAAAAATGTTGGTGAGGATGTGGAAAAACTGGAACCCTTGTGCACTGTTGGTGGGAATTTTAAATGTTGCAGCCACTGCGGAAAACACTATGACAGTTCCTCCAAACATTAAAAATAGATTTACCATATTATCTACAAGTTCCACTTTTGGTTACGTACCCGAAATAACTGAAAACAGTTCTTTACTATTTTATTTATTTATTTACTTTTTGGAGACAGAGTCTTGCTCTGACACAAAGGCTAGAGTGTAGTGATATGATCATGGCTCACTGCAACCTCCGCCTCCTGGGTTCAAGCGATTCTCATGCCTCAGCCTCTCATGTAGCTGGGACTAAAGGTGCATATCACCATGCCAGCTAATTTTTTGTATTTTTAGTAGAGCCAGGGTTTCGCCATGTTGGCCAAGCTGGTCTCAAACTCCTGACCTCAAGTGAGCCAACTGGCTCGGCCTTCCAAAGTGCTAGGATTACAGGCGTAAGCCATTGCGTCTGGCCTGAAAACAGTCTTGAAGAGATATCTGTACACCCATGTTCATAGCATCAACATTCACAATAGCTAAAAAGGGGAAACAGCCCAAGTGTCTGATGAATGGATAAGCAAAACGTAATATATTATTATTATTTATTTATAACAGAATATTATTCAGTCTTAAAGAGGAGGGAAATCTGACATATGCTACAACATGGATGAACCTTGAAGACATTATGCTAAATGAAATAAGCCAAACACAAAAAGACAAATACTGGATGATTTCACTTATATGTGGTACATAAAGTAGTCAAAATCACAGAGACAGCAAGTGGTACAGGAGCAGGGGGTGAAGGGAAATGGGAAATTATTGTTTAATGTATAGAGTTTCAATATTTCAAGACAAGGAGTTCTGAAGATGAATAATAGTGATAGCTGCACAACAATATGAATGTACTTAATACCACTGAACTGTATACTTAAAAATGGTTCAGATGGTAAATGTCATGTTATTTGTATTAGCACAATTTAAAAAAATTAATGTTACCCACAAGGGAAGAAGAGGAAGAAGAGAGAAGAAAGCTGAATTTCTCTAAATGAACACTGTTTTATAGTTTGAATTTTGAACCATGTAAATGCTGCATATGCTATTAAATTAAAATTAAATCAAAGGAAAAAGAATTCCCTAAAAATCAAAAAGAAGCTGAGGACAGTGGAATCTCTTTTGTCAAGATACTAAGAAAGACCAGGCATAGTAGCTCATGCCTGTAATCCCAGCCCTGTGGAAGAAGGCCAAAGCAGGAGGATCACTTGAGGTCAGGAGTTCAAGATCACCTGGGCAACAAAGCAAGACCCTATCGCTACAAAAAAATTAAAAATAAAAAACTGGCATGCACCTATAGTTCCAAGCTACTTAGGAGGCTGAGGTGGGAGGACTGCTTGAGCCCAGGTGATAAAAACTGCAGTGAGCTATGATTGTGCCGCTGCACTCCAGACTGGGTGACAGAGAGACTCTGTCTCCAGAAGAAAAAAAAAAAGATATTAAGAGAAAAAAAATCTGTCAACCTAGACTTCTATCCCCTCTAAGACCATTTTTCAAAATTAGGGCAGATTAAAAAAAAAGAAATCTTCTGGCAAACAAAAGCATAGTTTATGACCAAAAGACCCAAAAGCAGACCAACAGAAAATAACCCCAAATGACAGATATGAAAAATCAAAACCTTAGAACTGAGGAAGAGTATGAAGTGGGAGGGATGAAATAAGAGCATACAACAAATAGATGCTCTCCTGCTCTTTCTTTTTTTCTTTTATTTGAGACGGAGTCTCGCTCTATAGCCCAGGTTGGAGTGCAGTGGCACGATCTTGGCTCACTGAAAGCTCCGCCTCCCGGGTTCATGCCATTCTCCTGCCTCAGCCTCCTGAGTAGCTGGGACTACAGGCGCCCACCACCACGCCAGGCTAATTTTTTGTATTTTTAGCAGAGACGGGGTTTCACCGTGTTAGCCAGGATGGTCTCGGTCTCCTGACCTTGTGATCCGCCCGTCTAGGCCTCCCAAAGTGCTGGGATTACAGGCGTGAGCCACCGTGCCCGGCCCTCTCCTGCTCTTTCAACCAGAAGAAGGGGCTCTGCCCTGAGCGCCACACTTCAGAAGGTTGTACCTATCAAAAATACCAAAATCCAAAAGGAATCAGTAACTAATTGAGTAAACACAAATTAAGAGAGAGGGACTCACAAACTAAACTTAGGGTCCCCCCAGGCCAGACAATAAGAGAGAAGGAAGAAGGCAAATCAGCATCAGTGCTGGAAAAAACAGAGCAAGAATATGTGCTTTTGATTAAGGTTGGTCACCCCAACTATCCCAAAGGAATTATCGAGGCAGACTGGACTCCATGTATACCTCCATTCCTTTCTCCTCCTCAATTTGAGTAGTTTAAGAAGATGTTTGGAATTGCCTGAAAAATCTTGAGTTAGAAAAGTAAAGTGTGGGAGACAGAAACCTGTTTTCCCTGGCTCTCTGGGGAATTTCACATCGGTCCCCATACCAGATTCAAGACCTACTCTAGCCCAACTTCTACCCTACCTAGCCCAGGGAGAGTAGGTTCCTTTAAGACTTGGCTAGACCCTGGGTAGGAGGCCAGGTCAGGCTGTTAGCATCCATTGATTTGTAACTATTTAATATTAAGAAATTTTAAAAGCTGGCTTCCACTTGTATTCCTAACCTAGGTACCATAAGTGTTAGAGGCAAGCCTGAGGAGCAGCAGGGTTCCTGGGCTCTAAGGTTGAATAGTACATTCATAGCTGCTCACTTTATCACTGTGCTTTATGACAATGTGTTCCATAGGGTATCTTGAATGAAACAACTATTACATTAAAAAAGATAAAAGAAAGGAAGAAAAGAGAAAGGCAAAAAAACTAAGGCTAGTCTTTAAGATATCACTTACCATCATTCTTTAAATTCTCTTCTATGCCAAGATCATTTATCACATAAACCCATGGAGTATGACTCCTACAATAAAAAATATATATACGCTTAGTTATAACATTACCAGAAAACCATAATTATTCATAAAAAGATACAAATCTCATCCCCACACTTACATTAAACAACAACAAAAAAAACTGCTCCTTTATATTACCTGTTGGGGTATAATATAGCATGCTTTAAATATTCCATGCTGAACAAGACCTCAGTGCTCTCCAAAAAATAAAAATAAAATGGAAAAGAAACAGTATTAATTACATGGACATCCTAACCCAGAGGGGTTCCAAACTTTCTTACTACAACCCATAAACACATACATGTTTTATATCTTACCCAGTTCATACACGTTTAACTGAATTAAAAATTTTGTAAAGTAACAGATGTACTCTAATATTTCCTTCTGTATTCTATTTCAGTTTTTAAATGCTGCTTTCACTGAACTGACTCACTAATGAGTCTGAACTCAGTATAGAAAATCCTGTGTAACTTTCCTTAAGAATGTTCATAAACTAAGATTTTATCAGAATATCTTAATTAACAATTACATAAGGCTGTAAGTACAACAGCCCGTACCTTTCAGGTAACCTATTTAATGTGGCCACACTTTTACTCAAAGAAATCCAAGTCAGGGAAACTAGACAGAACACAGGGACTGGGAAATTGCTTAACAAACAACAACAACAACAACAAAAATGACCTAACTCTGTATGAAGAGTCAGTGAACAAAGAAAAGAAAGCAGCAAATGGAACCAAACCTCCTTCTGGAAGAAAATCTAGATCATTTATCCTTTGTCAATAAATATGCTCCTTTAAAATGCAGTACCAGTAAACATATGTCCGGATAAAAATTTATATGCAAATGTTCACAGCAGCATTATTCATAACAGCTAAAAAGTAGAAACAACCCAAATACCTATCAACTGATGAATGGATAAATAAAATGTATATTCACACAATGAATAAAAGGACATAAAAATGGATAGACCAAAAAAAAGGAAGAAAGTGCTAATATATGCTACAATATGGATGAAATTTAAAAACATCATGCTAAGTGAAAGAAGCCAGTTATAAAAGAACACATATTGTATGATTCCACATACGTGAAATGTCCAGAACAGTCAAATCCATAGTGTCAGAAAACAGAGGTTGCTGAAGGCTGCGGGGTTAGGAGAAAATGAGAGTAACTGCTAATAAGCACACGGTTTCTTTAGGGGGTGATGAAAATGTTCTAAAATTAATTATGGTGATGGCTGCAAAACTCTGTGAATATACTAAAAACCATTTTTAAATGGGGAAATTATATTGTAAATGAATCATTTATCAGTAAAGCTATTATATTTTTTTAAATGTACTACCTCTGCTCACAAACCTCCAACCTCTCTCCATCTCACTCGGAGGAAAAGCCAAAGTCCTCACAGTAGGTTATCATGTCCAAAATTTTCCAATTCCATACACCCCTTCTCCCCAGCATTCACTGTACTCCAATCACACTGGCCTCCTTATGCTTCCCAGCATGCCAGACATATTCTAGCATTAGGGCTTTATACCTGTTGGACCTCCCATGTGGAACACTCCCAATTCACTTTGCACAAATGTCACTCTCAATGAGGCCTTCCCATATAACATTCATTCATTCATTCACTCATTTTGAGACAGGGTCTGGCTCTGTCGCCCAGACTGGAGTGCAATGGTGCAATCTTGGTTCACTGCAACCTCTGCCTCCCTGACTCAAGCCATCTTCCCACCTCAGCCTCCTGAGTAGCTGGGACTACAGGTGCACACCATCATGTCTGGGTAACTTTTGTATTTTTTGGCAGAGACGGAGTTTCACCACATTGCCCAGGCTGGTCTCGAACTATTGGGCTCAAGCAATCCACCCACCTCAGCCTCCCAAAGTGCTGGGGTTAAAGGCATGTGCCACCATGCACACCTGGCCCTATTTAAAATCATAACCCTACCAAACAAAGAAAAGCTATGGGAGTTCATCCCACCTTACAAAAAGGCTAAAAGAAGTTCTTCAAGTTGAAACAAAAGAAGACTAAACATTCATCTGTTGATAGACACAGGCTGATTTCATATCTTTACTACTGTGAATATGCTGCAATAAACATATAAGTGCAGGTATCATTTTGGTATATTGATTTCCATTGGGTAGATACCCAGTAGTGGGATTGTTGGATCAAATGGTAATTCTACTTTTTAGCTTTTTAAGACATCCCCATACTGTTTTCCATAAAGGGTATAATAATTCACATTCCCACAAAATTGTACATGAACCCCATAAATTTATATAAATTTTTTAAAAGGATGCTAACAATGTGAAAATGTATAAAAATAAAACTCACAACCGGGCACAGTGGCTCACGCCTGTAATCCCACCACACTGGGAGGCCGAGGTGGGCAGATCACCTGAGGTCAAAAGTTCAAGACCAGCCTGGGCAACATGGCAAAACCCTGCCTCTACTAAAAATACAAAAATTAGCTGGGTGTGGTGGTGCGCGCCTGTAATCCCAGCTACTTGGGAGGCTGAGGCAGGAGAATCACTTGAAACCAGGAGGCAGAGGTTGCAGTGAGCCAAGGTTGTGCCACTGCACTCCAGCCTGGGCAACAGAGTGAGACTCTCTCTCAAAAACAAATAAATAAAAATTTAAAAAAACATATGCTGGCAAGGTTCTGGAGAAAAAGGAACACTTATACACTGTTGGTGGGAGTGTAAATGAAGTTCAGCCATTGTGGAAGATAGTGTGGTGATTCCTCAAAGACCTAAAGACACAAATATAATTCAATCCCATTACTGGGTATATACCCAAGGGAACATAAATCATTCTATTATAAAGACACATACACCTGTATGCGCATTGCAGCACAATTCACAATAGCAAAGACATGGAATCAACCTAAATGCCCTCAATGATTGACTGGATAAAGAAAGTGTGGTACATATACACCAGGGAATACTATGCAGTCATTAAAAAGAATGAGATCATGTCCTTTGCAGGGACATGAATGTAGCTAGAGGCCATCATCCTTAGCAAACTAATGCAGGAACAGAAAACCAAACACCGCATGTTCTCACTTATATGTGAGAGCTAAATGATGAGAACACATGGACACATAGAGGGGAACAACACACACTGGGGCCTTTTGGAGAATGGAGTGTGGGAGGAGGGAGGGGGTGAGGAAAAATAATTGATGGGTACTAGGTTGAATACTTAGGTAATGAAATAATCTGTACAACAAAGTCCCATGACACAAGTTTACCAACATAACAAACCTGCACTTGTACCCCTGAACTTAAAATAAAAGTTTCAAAAAAAGAAAGTCTGAGTCCGTTCCAAGATGGCCAAACAGGAACACCTCCAGTCTGCAGCTTCCAGCATAAGTGACACAGAAGACAGGTGATTTCTGCGTTTCCAACTGATGTACCTGCTTAATCTCATTGGGACTGGTTGGACAGTGGGTACAACCCACAGAGGGTGAGCCAAAGCAGGCCGGGGCATCGCCTCACCAGGGAAGCACAAGGGGTTGGGGATTTCTCATTCCTAGCCAAGGGAAGCCGTGGCAGACTGTACCTGGAAAATCGGTACACTCTCGCCCAAATACCGCGCTTTTCCCACAGTCTTAGTAACCCACAGACTAGGAGATCCTCTCCCATGCCTGGCTCGGTGGGTCCCACACCCACGGAGCCTTGTCACTGCTAGTGTAGCAGTCTAAGATCAACCTGCAAGGCTGCAGCCCAGTCAGGGAGGAGCGTCCACAATTGCTGAGGCATGAGTAGGTAAACAAAGCAGCCAGGAGGCTCGAACTAGGCAGAGCCCCCCAACAGCTCAGCAAGGCCTACTTGCCTCTATAGACTCCACCTCTGTGGGCAGGGCATAGCTGAACAAAAAGCAGCAGACAACTTGTGCAGACTTAAACGTCCCTGTCTGATGGCTCTGAAGAGAGCAGTGCTTCTCCCAGCATGGCGTTTGACCTCTGAGGACAGACAGACTGCCTCCTCACATGGGTCCCTGACCCCCGTGTAGCCTAACTGGGAGACACCTCCCAGGAGGGGCCAACAGACACCTCATACAGGCAAGGGTCCCTCTGGAACAAAGCTTCCAGAGGAGGGTCAGGCAGCAATATTTGCTGTTCTGCAATATTTGCTGTTCTGCAGCCTCTGCTGGTGATACCCAGGCAAACAGTGTCTGGAGTGGACCTCCAGCAAACTCCAACAGACCTGCAGCTGAGGGACCTGACTGTTAGAAGGAAAACTAACAAACAGAAAGGAATAGCATCAACATCAACCAAAAGGACATCCACACCAAAACCTCATCTGTAGGTCACCAACATCAAAGACCAAAGGTAGATAAAACCACAAAGATGGGGAGAAACCAGAGCAGAAAAGCTGAAAATTCTAAAAACCAGAGTGCTTCTTCTCCTTCAAAGGATCGCAGCTCCTCACCAGCAACAGAACAAAGCTGGATGGAGAATGATGAGTTGACAGAAGTAGGCTTCGGAAGGTCGGTAATAACAAACTTCTCCAAACTAAAGGAACATGTTCTAACCCATTGCAAGGAAGCTCAAAAACCTTGAAAAAAGGTTAGACGAATGGCTAACTAGAATGAACAGTGGAGAGAAGACCTTAAATGACCTGATGGAACTGAAAACCATGGCAAGAGAACTTCGTGACGCATGCATAAGCCTCAGCAGCCGATTCAATCAAGTGGAAGAAAGGATATCAGTGATTGAAGATCAAATTAATGAAATGAAGTAAGAAGACAAGATTAGACAAAAAAAAGAGTAAAAAGAAATGAACAAAGCCTTCAAGAAATATGCACTATGTGAAAAGACCAAATCTACGTCTGACTGGTGTACCTGAAACTGATGGAGTGAATGGAACCAAGTTGGAAAACACTCTTCAGGGTATTATCCAGGAGAACTTCCCCAACCTAGCAAGGCAGGCCAACATTCAAATTCAGGAAATACAGAGAACACCACAAACATACTCCTCGAGAAGAGGAACCCCAAGATACATAATTGTCAGATTCACCAAGGTTGAAATAAAGGAAAAAATGTTAAGGGCAGCCAGAGAGAAAGGTCAGGTTATTCACAAAGGGAAGCCCATCAGACCAACAGCAGATCTCCTAGCAGTAACCCTACAAGGCAGAAGAGAGTAGGGGCCAATATTCAACATTCTTAAAGAAAAGAATTTTCAACCCAGAATTTCATATCCAGCCAAACTAAGCTTCAGAAGTGAAGGAGAAATAAAATCCTTTACAGACAAGCAAATGCTGAGTGATTTTGTTACCACCAGGCCTGCCTTATAAGAGCTCCTGAAGGAAGCACTAAACATGGAAAAGAACAACCGGTACCAGACACTGCAAAAACATGCCAAATGGTAAAGACCATCGATGCTATGAAGGAACTGCATCAATTAATGGGCAAAATAACCAGCTAACATAATGACAGGATCAAATTCACACATAACAATATTAACCTTAAATGTAAATGGGCTAAATGCCCCAATTAAAAGACACAGACTGGCAAATTGGACAGAGTCAAGACCCATCAGTGTGCTGTATTCAGGAGACCCATCTCATGTGCAGAGACACACATAGGCTCAAACTAAAGTATGGAGGAAGATCTACCAAGCAAATGGAGAGCAAAAAAAAGCAGGGGTCGCAATTCTAATCTCTGATAAAACAGACTTCAAACCAACACAGATCAAAAAAGACAAAGAAGGCCATTACATAATGGTAAAGGGATCAATTCAACAAAAAGAACAACTATCCTAAATATATACGCACCCAATACATGGACACCCAGATTCATAAAGCAAGTCCTTAGAGACCTACAAAGAGACTTAGACTCCCACACAATAATAATGGGAGACTTTAACACCCTACTCTCAGTATTAGACAGATTAATGAGACAGAAGGTTAACAAGGATATCCAGGACTTGAACTCACCTTTGCACCAAGCGGACCTAATAGACATCTACAGAACTCTCCACCCCAATTCAACAGAATATTCATTCTTCTCAGCACCACGTTGCACTTATTCTAAAATTGACCACATAATTGGAAGTAAAGCACTCCTCAGCAAATGTAAAAGAAAAGAAATCACAACAGTCTCTCAGACCACAGGGCAATCAAATTACAACTCAGGATTAAGAAACTCACTCAAAACTGCACAACTACATGGAAACTGAACAACCTGCTCCTGAATGACTACTGGGTAAATAATGAAATGAAGGCAGAAATAAAGATGTTCTTTGAAATCAATGAGAACAAAGACACAATGTACCAGAATCTCTAGGACACATTTAACACAGTGGGTAGAGGGAAATTTATAGCACTAAATGCCCACAAGAGAAAGCAGGAAAGATCTAAAATCTGCACCCTAACAACACAATTAAAAGAACTAGAGAAGCAAGAGCAAATAAATTCAAAAGCTAGCAGAAGGCAAGAAATAACTAAGATCAGAGCAGAACTGAAGGAAATAGAGACACAAAAAACCCTTCAAAAAATAAATGAATCCAGGAGCTGTTTTTTTGAAAAGATCAACAAAATTGATAGACTGCTAGGAAGACTAATAAAGAAGAAAAGACCGAAGAATGAAATAGATGCAATAAAAAATGACAAAGGGGATATCACCACAGATCCCACAGAAATACAAACTACCATCAGAGAATACTATAAACACCTCTACACAAATAAATTAGAAAAACTAGAAGAAATGGATAAATTCCTGGACACATACACCTTCCCAAGACTAAACCAGGAAGAAGCTGAATCTCTGAATAGACCAATAACGGGCTCTGAAATCGAGGCAATAATTAAGAGCCTACCAACCAAAAAAAGTCCAGGACCAGATAGATTCACAGCCAAATTCTACCAGAGGTACAAAGAGGAGTTGGTACCATTCCTTCTGAAACTATTCCGATCAATAGAAGAAGAGGGAATCCTCCCTAACTCATTTTATGAGGCCAGCATCATCCTGATACCAAAGCCTGGCAGAGACACAACAAAAAAAGAGAATTTTAGACCAATATCCCTGATGAACATTGATGCAAAAATCCTCAATAGAATACTGGCAAACTGAATCCAGCAGCACATCAAAAAGCTTATCTACTCACAATCAAGTCGGCTTCATCCCTGGGATGCAAGGCTGGTTCAACATATGCAAATCAATAAACGTAATCCATCAAATAAACAGAACCAATGACAAAAACCACATGATTATCTCAATAGATGCAGAAAAGGCCTTTGACAAAATTCAACATCTCTTCATGCTAAAAACTATCAATAAACTAGGTATTGATGGAACATATCTCAAAATAATAACAGCTATTTATGACAAACCCATAGCCAAGATCATACCGAATGGGCAAAAACTGGAAGCACTCCCTTTGAAAACTGGCACAAGACAAGGATGCCCTCTCTCACCACTCCTATTCAACACAGTGTTGGAAATTCTGGCCAGAGCAATTAGGCAAGAGAAAGAAATAAAGGGTATTCAATTAGGAAGAGAGGAAGTCAAATTGTCCCTGCTGGCAGATAACATGATTATATATTTAGAAAACCCCATCATCCAAGCCCAAAATCTCCTCAAGCTGATAAGCAACTTCAGTAACGTCTCAGGATATAAAATCAATATGCAAAAATTGCACAAGCAATACACCAATAACAGACAGAGAGCCCAATCATGAGTGAACTCCCATTAACAATTGCTACAAACAGAATAAAATATCTAGGAATCCAACTTACAAGGGATTTTGAAGAACCTCTTCAAGGAGAACTACAAACCACTACGCAACAAAATAAAAGAGGACACAAACAAATGGAAGAATATTCCATGCTCATGGATAGGAAGAATCAATTTCATGAAAATGGCCATACTGTCCAAGGTAATTTATAGACTCAATGCCATCCCCATCAAGCTACCAATGACTTTCTTCACAGAATTGGAAATTCTTCACAGAATTTTTTCCAATTTGGTTCATATGGAACCAAAAAAGAGCCTGAATTGCCAAGACAATCCTAAGCAAAAATAACGAAGCTGGAGACTTCATACTACCTGACTTCAAACTATACTACAAGGCTACAGTAACCAAAACAGCACGGTACTGGTACCAAAACAGATACATAGACCAATGGAACAGAACAGAGGCCTCAGAAATAACACCACACATCTACAACCATCTGATCTTTGACAAACCTGACAAAAACAAGAAATGGGGAAAGGATTCCCTATTTAATAGTGCAGGGAAAACTGGCTAGCCACATGCAGAAAGCTGAAAGTGGACCCCTTCCTTACACTTTATACAAAAATTAATTCAAGATGGATTAAAGCCTTAAATGTAAGACCTAAAACCATAAAAACTCTAGAAGAAAACCTAGGCAATACCTTCAGGACATAGGCATGGGCAAAGACTTCATGACTAAAACACCAAAAGCAATGGCAACAAAAGCCAAAACAGACAAATGGGATCTAATTAAACTAAAGAGCTCCTGCATGGCAAAAGAAACTACCATCAGAGTGAACAGGCAACCTACAGAATGGGAGAAAATTTTTGCAATCTACCCATCTGACTAAGGGCTAATATCCAGAATCTACAAAGAACTTAAACAAATTTACAAGAAAAAAAACAACCCCAGCAAAAAGTGGGCGAAGGATATGAACAGACACTTCTCTAAAGAAGACATTTATACAGCCAACAGACACATGAAGAAATGCTCACCATCACTGGCCATCAGAGAAACGCAAATCAAAACCACGATGAGATACCATCTCACACCAGTTAGAATGGCCATCATTAAAAATTCAGGAAACAACAGATGCTGGAGAGGATGTGGAGAAATAGGAATGCTTTTACACTGTTGGTGGGAGTGTCAATTAGTTCAACCATTGTGGAAAACAGTGTGGCGATTCCTCAAGGATCTAGAACTAGAAATACCATTTGACCCAGCAATCCCATTACAGGGTATATACCCAAAGGATTATAAATCATGCTACTATAAAGACACATGCACACGTATGTTTACTGCAGCACTGTTCACAATAGCAAAGACTTGGAACCAACCCAAATGTCCATCAACGATAGACTGGATTAAGAAAATGTGGCACATATACACCATGGAATACCATGCAGCCATAAAAAAGGATGAGTTCATGTCCTTTGCAGGTACATGGATAAAGCTGGAAACCATTATTCTCAGCAAACTATCACAAGGACAGAAAACCAAACATCGCATGTTCTCACTCATCCTTGGGATGGTAATTGAACAATGAGAACACTTGGACACAGGGCAGGGAACATCACACACCGGAGCCTGTCACTGGGTGGGGGGCTGAGGGAGGGATAGCATTAGGAGAAATACCTAACGTAAATGACAAGTTGATGGGTGCAGCAAACCAACATGGCACATGTATACCTGTGTAACAAATCTGCACTTTGTGCACATGTACCCTAGAACTTAAAGTATAATAATAAAAAAAAGTCATTACATAATGATAAAGGGGTAATTCATCAAAAGGATATAACCGTTGTAGATATGTACGCACCCAACATTGGAGCACCAAAATTTTAACACCACTGAAAGGAAAAAGAGACAGCAATACATTAATAGCAGGGGACTTCAATACCCCACTTTCAACAAGGGATAGATCATCCAGACAAAAAAAAAAATCAACAAGGAAACAGTGAACTTGAACAGTTCTATAGGCCAAATGGACCTAACAGACATATGCAGAACATTCCATCCAACAGCAGCAGAATATACAACATTTTCAAGCACACACAATATTCTCTAGGATAGATCATATGTTAGGCCACAAAATAAGTCTTAACAAATCCAAGAAGATTTAAATGATATCAAGTATCTTTTCTGACCACAATGGTATAAAGCTAGAAATAACAGGAAGAAAACTGGAAAATTCACAAATATGTGGAAATTAAACAACACACAACTAAACAATCAATGGGTCATAGAAAAAAATCAAAAGGGAAATCAAAAAGTATCCTGAAACAAGTGAAAATGGTAACACAACATAGCAAAACTTATGGAATACAATAAAAGCAGTTCTAAGAGGCAAGTTTATAGTGACAAAAGCCTACATAAAGACAGACAGGGCCAGGCGCAGTGGCTCACACCTGTAATCCCAGCCCTTTGGGAGGCCGAGGCGGGCGGATCACCTGCGGTCAGGAGTTCAAGACCAGCCTGGCCAACATGGTGAAACCCCATCTCTACTAAAAATACAAAAAATTAGCTGGGTGCAGTGGCGCATGCCTGCAGTCCCAGCTACTTGGGAGGCTGAGGCAGGAGAATCGCTTGACCCTGGGAGGTGGAGGTTGCAGTGAGCTGAGATGGTGCCACTGCACACCAGCATGGGCAACAGAGTGAAATTTCAACTCAAAAAAAAAAAGACACAGACAGATCTCAGCCTCACATGATGTGAACACCTGTAATCTCAGCTAGTCAGGAGACTTAGGTGGGAGGATTGCTTGAGCCCAAGAGTTCGAGGCTGTAGTGTGCTCTGATCATGCCTGAGACTAGTCTCTACGTTCCAGCCTGGGCAACATAGCAAGATCCCATCTATGAAAAGAAAAAAAGAGAAAGGCAAAACAACTCAGATAAACAACCTAAGTTTACACCTCAAAGAACTAAAAAAAGAACAAACTAAATCTAAAGTCAGCATAAGGAAGGAAATAATAACAGAGCAAAAATCAATGAAATAGAGAATAGAAAAACAGAAAAGATCAATGAAACTAAGAGTTGGTTTTTGAAAAAGATAAATGAAACTGAAAAACCTTTAGCTAGACTAAGAAAAAGAAGACTCAAACAAAATTACAAATGTAAGAGGAAACATTACAACTGATATTATAGAAATAAAGGGATCACAAAAGACTACTTTGAACAATTACATGCCAACAAATTGAATAACTTACAGAAAATAAGTAAACTCCTAGAAATATACAACCTACCAAGACTGAATCATGAAGAAATAAAAAATCTGACCAGATCAATAACAAGTAAGAAGACTGATTTTTTAATAAAAAACTCACAAAAGAGAAGAACCTAGGACCTCATGGCTTCACTGGCGAATTCTACCAAACATTTAACGAAGAATTAATACCAATCCTTCTCAAACTCTTCCCAAAAACTGAAGAAAATATTTCCAAACTCATTTCACAAGGCCAACATTACCCTAATACTAAAGCCAGACATAAACACTAGAAGAAAAGAAAATTACAGGCCCATATCCCTGATGAATATAGATTCAAAAATCCTCCATAAAATACCGGCAAACCAAATCCAACAGCTTATTGAAAGCATCATACACTATGATCAGGTAGGAATTATTTGTGGGTTGCAAGAATGGTTCAACATATGCAAATTAACACATGAGATACACCACATTAACAGAACAAAGAATGAAAATCATATGATCATCTCAATAAATGCAGAAAAAGCATCTGACAAAATTCAACACCCTTTCAAGATAAAAACTTTCAACAAATTAGGTACATAAGTAATGTCGTAATACAGATCATAGATGACAAGCCCACAGCTAACATTATACACAACAGTGAAAATTTAAAAGCTTTTCCTCTAAGATCAACAAGACAAGAATGCCATCTCATCCAGTTCTTTTTTTTTTCTTGACTAAGAAAAAAAATAATAAAAGTCAAGAAAAAAAATAAAAGTACTCAAGTTAGGAAAAAAAGAAGTGAAATTGTCTGTTTGCAGATTACATGATCTTATATACAGAAAATCCTAAAAGCTCCACCAAAAACTATTAGAACTAATAAATTCAATAAAGTTGTAGTATACAAAATCAAAATACAAAATAGAAAAATCAGTAGCTTTTCTATACACTAACAATGAACCATCCAAAAAAGAAATCAAGAAAACAATCCCGGCCAGGTGCAGGAGCTCACGCCTATAATCTCAGCACTTTGGGAGTCCAAGATGGGCAGATCATGACGTCAGGAGATCGAGACCATCCTGGCTGACACAGTGAAACCCCATCTCTACTAAAAATACAAAAAATTTGCCGGGCATGGTGGCAGGCGACTGTAGTCCCAGCTACTTGGGAAGCTGAGGCAGGAGAATGGTGTGAACCCGGGAGGCAGAGCTTGCAGTGAGCTGAGATTGCACCACTGCACTCCAGCCTGGGCAACAGAGCAAGACTCTGTCTCAAAAAAAAAAAAAAAATCCCATTTACAATAGCATAAAAGACAATAAAAGGCTGGCCACAGTGGCTCACACCTGTAATCCCAGCACTTTGGGAGGCCAAGGCAGGCCGATCACTTCAGCCCAGGAGTTCGAGACCAGCCTGGGCAACATGGCAAAACCCTGTCTCTACCAAAAATATGAAAATTGGCCAGGCATGGTGGTGTGTACCTGTAGTCCCAGATACTCAGGAGGCTGAGGTGGGAGGATCACCGGAGCCTGGGGAGGTCAACGCTGCAGTGAGTTGTGATCACACCACTGCACTCCAGACTGGGTGACAGAATGACATCCTGTCTTAAAAACAACAACAAAAATAATAGTAATAAAATACTTAGGAATATAAATCTAACCAAGAAAGACCTATACACTGAAAACCATAAAACTGATGACAAACTGAAAATAACACAAATAAAGAGAAAGACATCCCATGTTCATGAACTGGAAAAAATTAACATTGTTAAAATACCCATACTACCCAAAGCAATCTACAAATTCAACATAATCCCTATCAAAATCTCCATGATGTTTCTCACAGAAAGAGAAAAAACAATCCTAGACCTGGCACAGTGGTTCATGCCTGTAACCCTATAATCCTAGCACTTTGGGAGGCCAAGGCAGGCAGACCGCCTTGAGTCTCAAACAAGAGTTTGAGACCAGCCTGGGCAATGTGGAGAATATGCCAAAATACAAAATAATACCAGCAATCCAACAAAAATACAAAAAATAGCCAGGCGTGGTGGCACGCACCTGTAGTCCCAGCTCCTTGGGAGGCTAAGGAGGGAGGCTCACTTGAGCCCAGGAGATAGAGGCTACAGTAAGCTATGATCATTCTACTGCACTCCAGCCTGGGTGACAGAGTGAGACCTCATCTCTAAAAATATTAATTTTTTTTTTTAAAAAGAGTAAGTTCTGAAGTCAGACACAAATCCATATCCCAAGTCTGCCAATTACAAACTACACTCGCCTTTAGATAAATTCTTTAACATTTTTGAATCTCAGGGTACACAGCTATAAAACAAGAGTAAAAATATCTACTTTGTAGGGTTGTTTTCAAAATCAAAGAAAGTAAATGTGAAAAAATGTTTGATGGCAAACAACCAGCACTCAATACTTGGTAGCTGTGCACCACAGGATAATGGGGAATTTTTTTGTTATTTTCAGATTTTCTGATACATGATTGCACTGCACTGCAATTACAACTTCAAAAACCTGTAATGATTTAAAGTATTTCCAAATTACAGATTACACTAGGCTCTGACTTAAAATTTTTCAGTCCAGAGTTCATAAATTCTTAATTACAGGCCTTTTCCTCCAAAGAGGAAAAAAAAAAAGAAATGTTACTTCAACATTGACCAGGCACAGTGGCTCACACCTGTAATCCTAGCACTTTGGGAGGCTGAGGCGGAGAGATTGCCTGAGCTCAGGGGTTCAAGACCAGCCTGGACAACATGGCAAAACCCCATCGCTACCAAAAATACAAAAACTTAGCTGGGTGTGGTGGTATGCACCTGAAGTCCCAGGTACTCAGAAGACTGAGGCATGAGAATTGCTTGAACCCGGGAGGCAGAGGTTGCAGTGAGCCGAGATCACGCCACTGCACTCCAGCCTGGGTGACAGAGACTCTATCTCGAAAAAAAAGAAAAAGACTGAATTATTATTTCTTAAGTCCCACCAGATACTGATTAACTTGAAATCCTTACATCACTGCATCTTGTGCACTCCTGTTCAATTAGGCACCTGACAGATTATTGTTTCTGCATCTGAACTGAAAGTCAGTGGTACTTAAGATGCATGACCTTTTTTTTTAGGTAAATTCCAGATATTTCCAGGTGCACTTAGGTAAACAGGTACTACAATGTAATAATAAACGTAAGTAGGAGATGTATATTTCACAGATTACCACAAAGGATTTCTGGGGAGCAATTCACTTGATTATATGAATAAAAAGCCAACAGAGAGCAACCAAGAGGAAGAATAAGAACCCACGTCAGGTTAAATAGCACCACTATGTCAGGTTAAAGGGGTTATGTTCTCATTTCTCCAAAAAATGTATACGAATGGCTAACAAGCCTATGAAAACATGTTGAAATCACTAGTCATTAGGGAAATACATATCAAAGCCACAATGAGACATAACTTCGTACCCACCAAGATGTCTACCGTCAAAAAGACAAAACAACTGTTGGAGAAGATGTGGAGAAACTGGAATCCTGACACACTGCAGTGGAAATGTAAACCGGTACAGCTGGTTTGGTAACAATCTGGCAGTTCCTCAAAAAGTAAAAGATAAGTCACTATATAACCCAGCAATTCTATTCCTAG
The DNA here is from genome assembly GCF_000001405.40 of Homo sapiens. Classification (NCBI taxonomy): domain Eukaryota; kingdom Metazoa; phylum Chordata; class Mammalia; order Primates; family Hominidae; genus Homo; species Homo sapiens. Next base: position 76,898,396 of record NC_000015.10, read on the forward strand.
GTTTATACTCAAGAGAAATGAAAACACAAGTCCACACAAAAACTTCTAGAGGAATATTCACAGCAGCAATAGCCAAAAAGTAGAAACAGTGCAAGATGTTCATGAACTGATAAATGAATAAATAAAATGTGGTATATCCATATGATGGAATATTATTCATCCATAAAAAGGAATGAAGGGCTGATATGTGCTACAAAATGGATGAATCTTGAAAACATTACGTTAAATGGAAGAAGCCAGACACAAAAGGCTTCGTACTGTATAATTCCATTTATGTGAAATGTCCTGAATAGGCAAATCCATAAAGACAGAAAGTAGATGAGAGGGTGGCTGTAGCTGGAGATAAGATGGGGAAGTAGGGAGGGAGGCCAGAATGGAAAACGGCTGCTAATGCTTATGGGGTTTCATATTGGGATACTGAAAATGTTCTAAACTTGATTGTGGTAATGGATCCACAACTCTGTGAATACATTAAAATCATTGAAGTGTACATTTTAAATGGGTGGATTTTATGGTATGTGAAGTATAGCTCAATAAAGCTTCAAATTAAAAAAGAAAGCAAGCTATGTCCTAATCCAAAATGTCCAAAATTGCAATCATTCAGTTACTACCTTCATGATATTTGCCATAACTAAGTACCACCTATAAAATAATTTACGTAATTTTCTTTCAATAAAATGACATTTACTCAAATAAAAATCTGTAACACTATCTTAAACATAAAATCAGTCAATATACAAGAAATATGGATATGCTCTCCCTCTCCCTCTCGCTCTCCGTCTCCCTCTTTCTATGGTCTCCCTCTCTTGCAGAGCCTGGACTGTACTGCCATGATCTCAGCTAGCTGCAACCTCCCTGCCTCAGGCTCCGGTGATTCTCCTGCCTCGGCCTGCCGAGTGCCTGGGGTTCCAGGCACGCGCCGCCACTCCTGACTGGTTTTTGTATTTTTGGTGGAGATGGGTTTCGCCATGTTGACCGTGCTGGTCTCCAGCTCCTGGCCTCGGATGAACTGCCCGCCTCGGCCTCCCGAGGTGCTGGGATTGCAGACGGAGTCTCGCTCACTCAATGCTCAATGTTGCCCAGGCTGGAGTGCAGTGGCCTGATCTCGGCTCACTACAACCTCCACCTCCCAGCCACCTGCCTTGGCCTCCCAAAGTGCTAAGATTACAGCCTCTGCCCGCCCGCCACCCCGTCTAGGAAGTGAGCAGTGTCTCTGCCTGGCAGCCCATCGTCTGGGATGTGAGGAGCCCCTCTGCCTGGCCGCCCCGTCTGGAAAGTGAGGAGCACCTCTGCCCGGCCGCCACCCCGTCTAGGAAGTGAGGAGCGTCTCTGCCTGGCTGCCCATCGTCTGGGATGTGAGGAGCACCTCTGCCCGGCCGCCCCGTCTGGGAAGTGAGGAGCACCTCTGCCCGGCCGCCCCGTCTGGGAAGTGTACCCAACAGCTCCGAAGAGACAGCGACTATCGAGAACGGGCCATGATGACGATGGCGGTTTTGTCGAAAAGAAAAGGGGGAAATGTGGGGAAAAGAAAGATCAGATTGTTACTGTGTCTGTGTAGAAAGAAGTAGACATAGGAGACTCCATTTTGTTCTATACTAAGAAAAATTCTTCTGCCTTGGGATGCTGTTAATCTATAACCTTACCCCCAACCCCCTGCTCTCTGAAACATGTGCTGTGTCAACTCAGGGTTAAATGGATTAAGGGCGGCGCAAGATGTGCTTTGTTAAACAGATGCTTGAAGGCAGCATGCTCGTTAAGAGTCATCACCACTCCCTAATCTCAAGTACCCAGGGACACAAACAGGGCCGAAGGCCGCAGGGACCTCTGCCTAGGAAAACCAGAGACCTTTGTTCTCGTGTTTATCTGCTGACCTTCTCTCCACTATTATCCTATGACCCTGCCACATCCCCCTCTCTGAGAAACACCCAAGAATGATCAATAAATACTAAAAAAAAAAAAAAAAAAGACAAAAATAAATAAATACATACATACATACAAAAAAAAATATGGATATGGCAAAATATTGACAGTGGTACTCAAATGAAATTTGAGAAACTCAGGGCTGCAAAAAAACAGTGGCCAAGCAGAAAGTGGAGCACCCAAAAAAACAAAGAATAAAGGTGGTAAACAGGGAATGAACACTAGGTCTGGTTGAGCACAAAGTGTCTGAACAAGTTCCTGCCTTGTTCAGAACTGAAGTCTCACTTGTCTTATTCTGCCCTGCAATCCCGGAATATCTGTGGAGATGCCTAAGAATCCTAGAGATGGAAATGTAAAGATGGGCTCAAGTGCCAGAAAAGGCATATCTTTTCTTTATCCAAGTTTGGGTACACAGGTTGTAAAAGAGCAAGGAGTAAATGGCAGACCCAAAGCAGTGAGAAGCCTGCTGGTAGCACTACTCCAAAATATAGGGGCCCATCTAACTGAAGCCAGAATAGTACATCTATGAATTATCCACATATTGGTCAATAAATTGTAGAAAAATTGAGGTTTGCAATCACAGTTCCTCTCCAGGGTTCACAAAGTCTGTCACCCATGTTTTTGCCTTTTCCAACATTTAAGAAAATCTGAGTATTTGCCTTTCTGAGTCTGATACTTTAATGTTGTCACAGGCATACTCAAAAACTACTGTTCACATTTTTGCTAATTGAAAAATATGTGTATTATGGTAAAAATGAGTAGTTTGTAGCCAGGTGTGGTGGCACCCGCCTGTAGTCCCAGCTACTCAGGAGGCTGAGGCAGGAGAATCGCTGGAACCCAGGAGGCAGAGGTTGCAGTAAGCTGAGATCGCACCACTGCACTCCAGCCTGGGGGACAGAGCAAGACGCCGTCTCAAAAGAAAAAAAGAGTAATTTGAAGAGCAATATAGACATTTTATAATTCTAAATTGTTTAATAAGATTTTCAATTCTGATTACTTCTATATATACTGCCATGAATATGTCAACCAAGTTATTTATTTTATCTCATGAATGTGGCATGCTCAATTGAAAATACTGAAACTCTCTCTCTTTTCCAATACTGTATTAAAAGCAGGCCTAATGCATACTAAAATCTTGACAAATTAAATATGATGTCTGAAACCTGCTTCAAAACAATTTAGTGAGGAGGTAACTTTTATGAAATAATATTGCTCATGTATAATATATAGCTAATTTTTGAAATAGATTGATACATAGCAGTTCATCATACTATTCTCTTTTGCGTATGTTTCAAAACATAAAATGAACGTATTACTTTAAGAAGTTATCATTTTAGCAAAACTTTATGAAATCTTTAGTGTTTCATGTCATAGAAGAAAAAGTCTTTCCATAAATAATTTCTAATAATTTTTTTTTTTTTTGAGACGGAGTCTCGCTCTGTTGTTCAGGCTGCAGTGCAGTGGCACGATCTCAGCTCACTGCAACCTCCACCTCCCGGATTCAAGCGATTCTCCTGCCTCAGCCTCCTGAGTAGCTGGGACTACAAGCATGAGCCACCACCTCCAGCTAATTTTTTGTATTTTTAGTAGACACAGGGTTTCACCGTGTTAGCCAGGATGGTCTCGATCTCCTGACCTTGTGATCTGCCCACCTCAGCCTCCCAAAGTGCTAGGATTACAGGCATGAGCCACCGTACCCAGCCTCTAATAATTTTTAAGACTAGCTCCATCATTGGACTCCAGATCTTTTCACTCTTTATATTTCACAAGACCCATAGCCAATCAGTGAAAGCCAAACATGTTTGTGAAAAAGGTTAGCTACAAATGCACCATGGAATACTATGCAGCCATAAAAAAGAACAAAATCATGCCCTCTGCAGCAACACGGATAGAGCTGGAGACCAATGTCCTAAGTGACTTAACATGAGAAAAGAAAACCAAATACTGTGTGTTCTCTCTTATAAGTGGGAATTAAACACAGAATATGTGATTGTAAAAGTCACAAACAACAGGCACTAGGGATCACTAGGCCAAGGGGAGCATGGGCTGAAAGACCACCTGTTGTGTACTATGCTTATGGCCTGTGTGATGGGATAATTGGGACCCCAAGCATCGGCATCAATTTACCCATGTAACAAATCTACACATGTACCCTCTACTATATAAGTTGAATTTTTTTTTAAAAAAAGGTTACCATCCAGCAGAAACTGCAAACAGAATTTTATTAATGATTTAATTTTTGCTATGCCAGCCATTTACAGTTTTCTCTTCTACAATTTCAGAAATGCCAATTCCACAATGGATATCAGATTGTACCCTTACAGAGAATTCTATTAAACTTCCCCCTAAATAATACCCCCACTTTCTAAGTGTTTAAATAACATTCACATGTGATTCCCAAAGAAGTTGTTTATCCTTTAAAACTAGTCTGGGCTGTGGTCAGGTATGAAAGTGAAAGAGGCCAGGTGCAGTGGCGCACGCCTGTAATCCCAGCACTTTGGGAGGCCGAGGTGGGTGGATCATCTGAGGTCAGGAGTTTGAGACCAGCATGGCCAACATGGTGAAACCCGGTCTCTACTAAAAATACAAAAAAAAATTAGCCAGGCATGGTGGTGAGTGCCTGTAGTTCCAGCTACTCAGGAAGCTGAGGCAGGAAAATCGCTTGAACTTGGGAGGTGGAGTTTGCAGTGAGCCAAGATTGCGCCACTGCACTCCAGCCTGGGTGACAGAGTGAGACTCGGTTTCAAAAAAAAAAAAAAGAAAGTGAAAGAAATGACAGAATCTCAAGTCCCTTCATCTTACTTATCTTTAAAACATTCCTGCAGCTAAATGAAGACATTAATGACCTTAATATCAATCTTTTAGGAGTTCTTAAAATACCTATGAAGCACCAATGGCAAACATTTTTAAAGTCTGTTTAGAATACTATATCCTTTGGACCAGTCACCAAAATTTATTTATAAACACATTTGTACAGTACTGCTGATTACACTTCCATGGTTATTTGACCTGAACAACCAAGTGATTAACCATAATGCTATGGTCTGCATGTTTGTGTTCTTCAAAATTCTTGTGGAAATCCTAGTTTCCAAGGTCATATCAGGAGGTGGGGCCTTTGGGAGATGACTGTATTATGAAAGCAGAACCTTAATGAATGGGATAAATTCCCTTATAAGAGGCCAGAGAGAGACCCCTTCACCCTTGCACCATGTAAGGAGACAGCTAGAGGGTGCCATCTATTAACCAGAAAGCAGGCTATCACCAAACACTGAATCATCAGACATCTTGATCTAGGACTTCCCAGCCTCCAAAACTGCAAGAAATGAATTTCTGTTGTTTATAAGCCACTCAGTCTGAGGTATTTTGCTATACCAGACCCAAATGGACCAAAGACACATAGAGTATATTTTTAATGCAGCTCAAGGGAGTGTGGAGAAAGAAGGAAAAGAGCATTTGTTGAGGGCTTACCATGGGCTAGGAACAGTTCTCAATACTTTACAGACACCTAATTTATTACTATCAACAAAATTATGAGGTGGATATTATTCCTACTTTACAGATAAGAAAGGCTCAGAAAAATTAATTTGCCAAAAACAAGGGTTGGGGCTGAGATTCAAACTCAAAACAGTCTGCCTTCAAAGCCATCAGATTACTTCTCCCACAGACAACCTTCCAAATCACATTAAAACTTGACTCTTTGATTGATTAAAAATATTAATTCTTTAGTGGATATCATTCTTCAAGTGGCATAAATCATCTGCAACCAACAAACTTTGAGGAAAAGTCATAGTTAACAGAAATAACAGAAGGGAAAGAGCACCAGTATAGGCCAGAGTGGGACAGTGGTCAGACTACCAACCTTAGGTCAGAAAACTTAACCCCAGATTTACCACTCACCAGCTGGTGATCTAAGGCAAGTAATAACCTTTTGAGCCCCCGTTTCTCCATTCATAAAATAAGTATTACTCCTAGCCCATCCATCCTTCTACCAGATTATTTATGAAGATGAAAAGTTAATGATGAAATTAATCCATAAACTAAGACAAACTATAATTCATATAAGGAATTAGTATCTGTTCGGTAAAATGACTATTAATGAATAGCTATTTTCATGGAAAATAACTTGTCACAACTAGAATAAGAGATGCAGTCCACCAGCAACAGGAAGCTGCTCACAAACAGGCGGCCTCATCTCAGCTGGGGCCCCCTTAACAGCAGCAGGTGTTGCTTACAGGACCAGTTTTGTGCCTGCTTTCTAACAATCCCGTTCCTCCCTGGTGCCGTTCCCACGAACGCGCCTGGAAAACGGTGTAGAGGAAAGGCGCCAAGGAAGTGCTGTTTTGGAAAAGAGCAGCAACAGAGGCAGGAGGCTGGGTCCCACTACTCCCAGGTGCGAGAGGCTCTTCGCCCCTCCAGGCCTCAGCGCACGCATCTGGAAGACGGAGAGGCCATTCCTGCCCCGTTTCCTGGGCAGAGCTAAGATCAGAGTACAGGGAAAGCATGGTAAACCCCGCTGGGAATGACAGATGACGAAGACGATCACCTGTCAAACGAAGGGAGGCTCCTCCAGGGGCCCCTCGCATTTAGACATTCCAGAAGCCTCGTCACCCGCGGCCGGGGCTGCCCCCAAGTGAGGTGACGCGGCAGCCCCCCACTCACCCCTCAGACCGCGTAGTGTGCGGGGTCTCACGTCCCTCACACCCCAGATGAGCCCGCAGGGCAGGGCCCGGACGCGGCTCACCCCAGCCCCCGTCCCGAGGCCTCCGAGGCCGACCTCCGAGCCCTCCCCAGGCGACCGCGGCTCCCCTCCCCCAGCAACGATCCCTGCCCCGCTCAACTCGCACTCCCAGGTGAGGGGAGGGGGTGAAAGGGCGTACCCCGCCGCCATTTTGTCCCCTGGTCCCCGCAAGGCATTCAGACGGCCCGCGCCCCAACCCGGACCCGCCCGGGTCTGCGCTACGCACGCCCCTCGCGGACACTCACCCCCGACCGCCCTGCTTAGTTCGGGGCGGCTCAAAGCGTCCCGCCGGGAAAGGGGCGTGACGGGGCGGGGCAGGGAGGCCTCGGAGAGGCGGGGTGGCTTCCCGGCGCACCACGTGATCTCAGCCGCTGCCGCGCCGCTCCCGGCTGCAAGATCTGTGTTGTCCGCGCGCAGGCGCACGCCCGTTCGCGCCGTTGGGGCGCCCAGGCGGGAGGTGTGAGGGTTGATTTGGTTCGATGTCCCGGCGCGGCGTTTCCGAAGCTGTTTCTTTTCCTAGGTTAAGCTTACACCGCCGCTTTTGGCCACACAGGTCTTTCTCGTACTCAATCTCTTCCCTCCTCCTGCCTTATCACCACAGTCAATCCACAGATTAAGGACTTAGAGACGCGCCTCACAGAAATCTGTGCTGGCGAAAGCACTTGACAGGAGCACGCTGGGCTGCGCTGAACACAACTAGGCCTCCGAGAAGCTTTATCAGGGCCCTTCTGTGTGCCAGGCTTGGAAGGTCGAAGTACAGAGACCTAACAAATACGTTTCATCTACTTCAAAGACAAACATATGATGAATTAAATACTTTAACGTTTAAATCAGTCTGAACAAAATAGAAAAAAGATTCAATGCAGACTGTAATTATCAAACGAATATTCACCGTCCCTTTTCATCCAGCTGGGAAACAGCTCTTTACCCTTCCCTCTCCCTCCCCACCCGCAGTAGGCGGGAAGTCCTGGACTCACAAGCGTTGTGGGGGCAGGAACCATATGGCTATGTTCTGGCTCCCCTTCTCTCTTGCCTTCTTAGAAAACTCGCTTTTTCATTTATTCAGCAAATGTTTATTGACCACATACTATATATCAGATGGTATTCTAGATGCTTGGAGTTAATACGTGAGCAAAATAAACAGAAATCTCTAAAAAACCTCCGGCTTCTTGGAGCAGGGTGAAACCAGGCAAGTGTTACATCAAGTTTAGCCAAAAGCTGTGTCCTTACATATTTTAAGTTCAGCCTGAAGGTTTCTCCGTAAATAGTAAACTATAACCTAAATGGAGGTGTAAATACACTGCAACCTACTCTTGCGCCAATCACCAAGTTTTGGCCAAAGACGGCCAACTGTTCAAACCGTGTTCAAATAAGGTAAACGTCTAGCTATAACCATTCTGGCTGTTTCCCTACCTCACTTTTCTTTCTCTGTCTATAAACCTTTTTCCACCATGTGGCTCTGCGGGAGTCTGTATGAACCTACTCTGGCTCAGGAGGCTGCCTGATTCGGGAATAATTCTTTGCTCAAACTCTGTTTAATTTGGCTAATATTTTGCTTTTAACACAAGAAATAGTAAACACAATAAATAAGTAAATTATATAACATGATAAGCACTACAGTTAACAAAATGAGTAGGATAAGGGGGATAGAGTAGGGAGCATACTACAATTCTATAAAAGGCGGTCAGGGCCTCATTTCTTAATTATCCCCACTTCCTTTCATACTCATAAGCATGTAAACAACCTGAAGTCTCTCCCATCTTGAAATCTCCCGCCGAACCTACCAGACTCCACTTCAACCTCTGCTTTCTTTCCTATAATACATTTCTCCAATTATCTAAACAAGAGTGCCTCCAATTCCTCAACCACTACTCAAGTCTGGACTTACTGCACTCTGGTTTCTGCCCCACCACCCCACTGAAACCATTCTTTCCAACATCACTAGGGGCCAGCCGCCGTGGCTCGCGCCTGTAATCCCAGCACTTTGGGAGGCTGAGGCAGGTGGATCACCTGAGGTCAGGAGTTCAAGACCACCCTGGCCAAAATGGCGAAACCCTGTCTTTACCAAAAATACAAAAAAAAAAAAAAAAAAAATAGCCGGGTGCGGTGGCGCACACCTATAGTCCCAGCTACTCGGGAGGCTGAGGCACGAGAATCCCTTGAACCTGGATAGCAGAGGTTTGCAGTGAGCTGAGATCATGCCACTGCACTCCAGCCTGGGTGACAGTGCGAGACTCCATCTCAATTAAAAAAAAAAAAAAAAAAAAAGTTGGGCTGGGCTGGTGGCTCCCGCCTGTAATCCCAGCACTTTGGGAGGCCGAGGCAGGCAGATCACGAGGTCAGGAGATCGAGATCGAGACCATCCTGACCAACATGGTGAAACCCCATCTCTACTAAAAATAACAAAAATTAGCTGGGCGTGGTGGCATGTGCCTGTAATCCCAGCTACTCAGGAGTCTGAGGCAGGAGAATCGCTGAACCAGGGAGACGGAGGTTGCAGTGAGCACAGATCATGCCACTGCACTCAAGCCTGGCGACAGAGCGAGACTCTGTCTCAAAAAAAAAAAAAAAGTCACTAGGGATTTCCCTACTATATATCTTATGGACATTATCATCATTACCTAACTTAATTTCTCTTCATGACCCTCCTTCCTTCTGGAAATACTTTTCCTTGCCTTTCATTTTTACTCTCTTGGTAGCACTTCTCCATCTCTAACCACTCCCTCTCCATCTCTTTTAAAGTCTCTCTTATTTCTCCCAGCCTTTAAATATTGTTATCCCACAGGAATAGGTATAAGCCTTCACTCTTTTCCCACTGGACACACTCTCTACATGACCACTGCCTTTTACATAACTTTGGTTAGCATCTTTATGCTCTGGATTTCCGAATATATATCCCCAGCCCTGATTCCTACTCCTGGGATCCAGGCCACATTGTTAACTACCTACTGGTCATCTCCACTTGAATTAATAAAAATAAATATGACAAAAATAAAAATGATTCATCTTTCTTATATACATATAAAACAGCTTTATTGAGATGTAACCTACATACAAATCAGTGGTTTTTAGGATATTCACACAATTGTACAATCATCACTGCATTTTCTTTACCCCGGAAAGGAACCCAGTACTCACTTCTCCATTTTCCCTCAATTCTCTCAGCCATAGGCAACCACTAATCTACTTTCTCTATGCATAGATTTGCCTACTCCGGACACCTTGTATAAAGGGAGTCATGAGATGTGGTATTTTGTAACTGGCTTCTTTCACTTTGCATATATTCGAGGTATGTTTCTGGGCGCGGTGGCTCACGCCTGTAATCCCAGCACTTTGGGAGGCCAAGGCAGGCGGATCACAAGGTCAGCAGATCGAGACCATCCTAGCTAACAAGGTGAAACCCCGTCTAGACTAAAAAATAGAACAAATTAGCTGGGCGTGGTCGTGGGCGCCTGTAGTCCCAGCTACTGGGGAGGCTGAGGCAGGAGAATGGTGTGAACCCAGAAGGTGGAGCTTGCAGTGAGCCAAGATCGCTCCACTGCACTCCAGCCTGGGTGACAGAGTGAAACTCCATCTCAAAAAAAAAAAAAAAGGTATGTCCACGTTGTAGCATGCATCAACGCTTCATTCCTTTTTAAGGCTGAATAATAGTCCATTGTATAGAATATATAATCACCTTTTATTTATCCATCAGTGGAAGGACATACAGACTATTTCCACTTTTTGACTATTATGAACAATGCTGCTATGCGCATTCATTTACAAGTTTTTGTGGGGATATATATTTTCATTTATTTTGGGTATATTCCTAGGAGTAGAATTGCTGGGCTACATAGTAACTGTATTTTTAAATTTTTCTGGATCTGCTAGATGATTTACCAAACCAGCTACACCATTTTATACTCCCACCAGCAGCATATAAGGGTTCCAGTTTCTCCACATCTTTTCCAGCACTTACCATTGTCTGTCTTTTTTATTACAACCATCTGAGTGGATGTGAAGTGGTATCTCATTGTAGTTTTGATCTGGACTTCCCTGATAGCATAGTTTCATGTGCTTATTGGCCATTTATGTATGGTATTAGATAAATGTCTATTGAAATCCTTTGCCAATTTTTTAATCAGGTTACCACTCATTTTCTTTTGCCACAAAATCTATTCCTATTAATGATATGCCAAACAGTCTGGTTCCCCTCCGTGATGTGCTGCTGCCTTGGCCCCACTGATGGCAGATAGGTAACTTGCTTCAGCCAATAAAATGTAAGCAGGAATGTCAGTTCCAAGCAGAATTTATAAGAGCTAGCTTGTGCGTTCATCATGTCTCTTTTCTGTCTGCCACAAGCAATTTGTTTTAGAGAGAAGCTATTCCATCAGCATAAGTTCCATACTAGAGATGACATGGAGCAGAACTGCAGCTGATCCCCAGTGGATATGTAGCATTTTATATGGTTTGACTGTGTCCCCACCCAAATATCATCTTAAATTATAATCCCCATAATCCCCACATGTCTAGGGAGAGACCTGGTGGGAGGTAAATGGATCATGGGAGCGGTTTCCCCCATGCTGTTCTCATGATAGTGAGCTCTCACAAGAGCTGATGGTTTTATAAGGGCCTCTTCCACCTTTGCTCCTCATTCTTCTCTCTCTCACCTGCCCTAATATAAGATGTGACTCTTCCCCTTTCACCATAATTATAAGTTTCCTGAGGCCTCCCCAGCCATGCAGAACCGTGAGTCAATTAAACCTCCTTCCTTTATAAATTACCCAGCCTTGGGTGTTTGTTTATAGCAGTGTGAAAATGGACTAATACAACATTTGTTTTTGTAAGCCACTCAGATGCTTTGGGACATTTGTTACTGCATCATAACATAGCCTGGCCTAGAGGACACACTCATCCTATGTGACTGGCTCCACTGTCCCTCCAGGCTCCTTGACATGGCCTACAAGGCCCTGAAGATCAGGCTTGTTGACCTGTACAGCCTCATTTTTAGGCCATTCCCTCAACCACCCTATCCTCCAGACAGAATAAAATGCATTCAGGCCCTGGAATTTACTTCTTCCTCTCTCTTTCTCCCTCCCCCTAACCTGACTTAGCCTAAGTATTCATTATTACTGGATTAATATAATATTAATAGCTATCTTTGCCTAAATATTTTCTATGCCCACAACATATATGCGTGTGTGCATGTGTACACACACATGTCTTGTGCTTTGTTGTCAGATACACACACACACACACACACACACACACATATATATATATTTGGTCTGACAACAACCCTAAGAATTAGGTGCCATATCCCATTTTACAAATCAACAAAGACCCTAGATTTACTTTTCCTGGCGCTAGGAAGGGGTAGGACCAGAATTTGAACCTAGGTTCATTTCATTCCAAAGCCCTTCTTTGAGTCATTATGCTGTACTAAGAGATAAAGGTAATTGAATTTTAGTAAGCATTTACTATGTGGCAGGCATTATGCTAAATGGATATTAGCATGGACTTTTCATGGATTATATTTAACGCACATAGAGAAATCCATGCACTTGAAGTATAGAATAGTGGTATCCTACAGCAGTTTAAGACCCTGAATTTGGAGACAGATAACATAATATGCAACCTTGAGCAAATTACTAAAACTCTCTAAACTCTACATTCATCATCTGTAAAATGGAGCAATAAAATACACCTCAAAGGTTTTTGTGAGTATTAATATGAATCAATTTTTAGAAAGCACTTAGAAAGCCTTAGCATAGAGAAAGAGGTCAAATTGTACCAACTATAATGTTTCTTTTGTCATCTAATCTCACAACAAACATATGAGGTGGGTGCTACTGTATAACTACCCACTTTGCTTCAGCTGCCCTGTCTTTTCCCACCTCCTGACTTCCACACATGAGTCCCTCCAGAATGTGCCTGCTCCTTTTTGCTACCTGATCAACTCCCACCCACCTCTAGGACTTGCCCTAGACATCCTTTCCTGAACTTTGGCAACAGGCTTGGTTGCTTCTTCCTCTGGGCTTCCATAGCATTTTGTATGAACTTCAATAGTTAGTCTTCTTTGAAAGCAAGGAACAAGAATCCACTCGGCTGGGCGCGGTGGCTCATGCCTGTAATCCCAACACTTTGGAGGCCAAGGCGGGTGGATCATGAGGTCAGGAGATCAAGACAATCCTGGCTAACACAGTGAAACCCTGTCTCTACTAAAAAATACAAAAAATTAGCTGGGCGTGGTAGCAGGCACCTGTAGTCCCAGCTGCTCGGGAGGCTGAGGCAGGATAATGGCGTGAACCTGGAAGGCGGAGCTTACAGTGAGCCAAGATGGCGCCACTGCACTCCAGCCTAGGTGACAGAGCGAGACTCCATATCAAAAAAAAAAAAAAAAGAATCCACTCAACTGTTTACTATACCATGCCCGGCCCCAGACCCACTTCTAAAGTCAAATCTAGTGACTCAGGAGAGAAATGTAAGGTCTATTCCAAGAAAAAGAAACTTATACACCAAAACCACTGCAAAAACGTGTATTTTCATCAGCAGTAACCTGAAAAACATTTATGGGAGTAGATTCTAAGGGTGTTTTATAAGAAAAGATAGAATACGATAACAGACCAGCCTAAACTTACAATATGGATGTCCTTACCTGAGGTTCTCCTTTCAATGTGCTAAACTGAGTGGCGGGGCTGAGCACAGTGGCTCACCCCTGTAATCTCAGCACTTTGGGAGGCCAAGGGGGGGCGGATCATCTGAGGTCAGGAGGTCGAGACCAACCTGGCCAACATGGTGAAACCCCATCTCTACTAAAAATACAAAAATTAGCCAGGTGTGGTGGCACATGCCTGTAATCCCAGCTACTCGAGAGGCTGAGTCAGGAGAATCACTTGAACCCAGGAGGCAGTGGAGGTTGCAGTGAGCCAAGATTGCGCCATTGCACTCCAGTCTGGGTGACAGAGCAAGACTCCATCTCAAAAATAAATAAATAAATAAATAAATAAATAAATAAGTAAATCAAGTGGAAGCATCTCTAATGGTTTGCTTGGTTGAATGACTGAAACTAGGATTCAGTGGTGGCCTACATTCAATGAAGCTGAGCTGAGATGCCAGAACATCTCATATAACGTGGAAAAAGCAAAGGTTTGGTTTTTTGTTTTGTTTTGTTTTGCTTTTTGAGACGGAGTCTCCCACTGTCACCTGGGCTGGAATGCAGTGGCACGATCTCGGCTCACTGCAACCTCTGCCTCCGGAGTTCAAGTGATTCTCCTGCCTCAGCCACCCGAATAGCTGGGATTACAGGCACCCACCCGCCACCACGCCCAGCTAATTTGTTGCATTTTTAGTACAGACGGGGTTTCACTATGTTGGCCAGGCTGGTCTCAAACTCCTGACCTCTTGATCCACCTGCGTCAGCCTCCCAAAGTGCTGGGATTACAGGAATGAGCCACTGCGCCCAGCGCAAAGGGTTTTATTTAAAAAAAAAAAAAAAAGTCAAACTACAGGGTCATATACAAAAGGATCAAGGTTATGAGAGGGTTGGAGTGGATTTATTATGTGTAACCTGTTCACCCACTTCCTGACTATGTTTCCTGGAAGGACCCAGAGGGCACTAAAGCATTGAGAAAACATTAGTCAGAGAAGCGTAGCCATCCTCAAAAGTTCTGCAATGGCTGTCCTTTCTGGACTAAGGATGATTGAAACAGTTATCTGATTTCTATGGGAATGTTGGCATCATGGCAAGGGCCATGTAGTAATACTTAACCAACAGAGACAGGGAGGCACAATTACCATAATGGGCAGCAGGCAGTCAGAAAGTTTTGACATTGAGAGATCTGTGGGGGTGCTAACTCATGACAGGGTCCCTAGGAATAAAATAGATGGGCAGCCTGCTGAATTATTACTTGATATATGCAACTGGCAAAACTGTAGGTCAAGTGAGCAGAAACCTGTCTTGAGTTGCCACAAAAGGAAATTGTAGCCTCTCATTTAGTTCCCAGACCTAAACTGCTTCACATATGCAGGGTCCAGGGATTGAAGCAGAAACTGAGTCCCCTTGAGGAAAGAAACTACAACACTGTCACAACTGTATACTATAAATATTTCTCCAAGCCTGTCCCAAAAGGACCTGTGGCTATTATCAGGATGAGTGTGCCCTGAGGAAAGGGACATATCTAGGCTTTGAAGGATTATTACACACTACTCTGAGTTTATGCTAATCCTTAAGAACCCCTGGATAGATTGAGAGCTTTGGGTGGTCAAGTAGAAAATGAAATTTATAATCAAGTCCATCACTCATAGGGCTCAATAGGTTCTGTAGACCCACTCTGAAGTTATTTAGACTAGCCATACTTGTCAACTGGCAAAATCCCTGCACTGGCTCCCTGACCCATAAAGAGAGGACTCTTATGGTTAGGTAGAGCCAAGTAGAAACCACTGGAACTGCTCTTCTCTAACAAAATGGTAAGCCAAAAACAATACCACATCCCTGTGGGAATTGCAGACATTAACTATTGCCACCCTTAAAGACTTGATAGATACAAGAGTAAGGATTCTCATCACACTTCTGCATAATTCCTGTGTTTGACTAGAGGCAAAACTAGATGGTGGCTTCACTTGCAGCTTCCAATTTAGATACGGTATTGTTGCTGGAACAAATCAACATAGTCCTGCCATCTATTATGTAGCTATTGATCTGGAAAATCATTTCCCCTCATATCAACTAGCAGGAAAAATCAGAAAGCAGCAAATTTTTACTTGTCAGAAACAGCAATTCACCTTCACAGTCTTACTTCAGGGCTATGCCAGCTCTCAAACTCTGTAACAGTCTAGTTCACAGAGACCTTCGTCATCTAGACATGCCATAGAACATCATCATGTGATCCACCACATTGATAACATCATGCTGATTGGCTTGGTGAACAAAAAGTAGCAAATATTCTAGATGCCTTAGTAAGGCACATGCATGCCAGAGACGTAAAAATTCAGTGAAAGGAATGTTGGCATATCCCTGCATAGCAGTGTTTTTCAACCAGGTGATTGTGTCCACTAGGGAACATTTTGCAGGAAATGTATAGAAACATTTTTAGTTGTCACAACTGAGGGTAGGCAAATTAGTGGCTACTGGCATCTTTCAGGTAGGGGCCAAGGATGCTGATAAACATCCTGCAATGCACAGGATAGCTCCCCACAACTAAGAATTATCAAGCCCAAAATAACAAGATTGAGATCAAGAATCCCTACTGTAACTTATAGTAAGAGACAACTTTCTGCATCTTGCACATCCTAACACTAAGAAAGAGGCACATATACCACATTTGGGTGTATTTCTCTAAACAACTTACTGAGAACCCTTTTCTCCCAGAAAATTAAAGGGCTCTGTAGCAGGTCCAGGGTGCTAGGCAAGCTATCTTGCTACTCAAGCCTAATAATTCAGAAAACCCAAAGCGTCTATGGCAAGTAAGGATGCTGTATGGATCCTCTGGCAAAATAGGGGTCCAAAGCACAGAATCCCAGGGTTTCGACACAATGCTGTGCTCTTTTTTGCTGAAAGAGCACTGGATTCTATTAAAGGCTAGATTTTGATGACATCAAGATCAATGGGCTCTGAGCTGCCCATCATGAACTGCCATAAGATTGGGTGTGCATACACAGCAAAAATCCATCATCAATTAAAAGTGCCGTATAAAAGGTCAGGCTTTAGAAGATCAGGAGGACACAAGTAAGTTGCATAGGGAGGTGGCTCAGACTCTAAGGCCTCAAAAGGAATTTCCTATAACCAGTTATCAGAGGGGGGAAAAAAAACTTAAGGCTGATTTAAAGATGGATCTGTACAATATGTTGGCATCAGCTGGAAGTGGACTACTACAGTATTACCATTCTGCTGATAAGTGTCTCTGAAAAAATGATGAAAGGCAATCCTCTCGGTGTGGAAAACTTTGAGCGTATATTAGGACGTCCTCTTTACCTGGAAGGAGACAGGATTTTTGTATGAGGATTTTTGTGACCCATACGAATGCTTACAAAATGGCATCCACTGAATAGGCTTTCTATAATCAGATGGGCAGGCCAGGCACGGTGGCTCACGCCTGTAATTCTAGCACTTTGGGAGGCCGATGCAGGCAGATCGCAAGGTCAGGAGATCGAGACTATCCTGGCTAACACGGTGAAACCCTGTCTCTACTAAAAACACAAAAAATTAGCCGGAGGTGGTGGCACATACCTGTAGTGCCAACTACTTGGGTGGCTGAGGCAGGAGAATTGCTTGAACCCGGGAGGCAGAGGTTGCAGTGAGCCAATATTGCGCCACTGCACTCCAGCCTGGGCAACAGAGGCAGACTCCGTCTCAAATAATAATAGCAATGATCATCATCGTCATCATTAGATGGGCAAGAAGATCCATTCTGTAGATATTGGTCAGCTTCTTTATTCAGCTACACCAGTTGTTGTTCAGTGGGCCCATATGTAACTAACCACGGCAACAGGGATGGGGCTATCCATGGGATCAACAACATGGACTTCCCTCTCCAAGGCAGAAAACGCAGCCTGCCAACAAGAGAAGCCAACAGTGAGCTCCTGAATGCACTATTCCTTGGGATTCAGGGGACATATTGATTATATTGGACCTCTTCCATCATGGAGGGGCAGAGATTTGTCCTCACTGAAATAGACACTTTTTTTTTTAAACTTTCCCTATTCAAAATGGTTCTGCCAGCATCACTATCTGTGGACTTATGAAATGTCATGATGCTGTGATTCATTTTCATGATATCCTATACACTGTTGCTTCTCTCCAAAGATATCATTTGAAAGCAAGAGAAACTGGCTCGTGTTCTTGGAATTCACTAATATTATCACATACCCCAACACCTGAGAACAAGTAACCCGGCAGACTGGTGGATTGGACTACTGAAGCCATAACTAGAGCACCACCTGAGGGCCGGACACTTGTCAGGATGACCCAGACCTGCCTGTGGAAAGGAAAGGAGCTGCCCGCTTTCTTCTGAGAACTGTTCTGTTGCCTCTCTGCCTTCAGTGAAGCGCCTCTCCATCTATGAGGTAGTCCATGAGGTCCATAGATGTGGAACAAGAACTCGGGACCCACCAAATGGTGGGACTAAAAGAGCTATAACACAAACAGGGCTGAAACATCCCCCCTACTCGCCATGTTGTGAAGGCAGAAGAGCTTTGGCCCTTTGGGGAGCCTAGACCTGGGAGCTTTGGCCCTTCGGGGAACCTGGACCTAAGGGTTCCCTGGGCCAGGGCTGTGACTCCCTCTTTGGGGTTCTGCCGTTCCTGGTGTCTCCAAGCTTCTGGGCGCCACCGCGTTCCTCTCACCCAGACATGGGTGCCTGCAGCGGAAGCTGCACGCAGTACTTCTGGTCCAGCTGCAGCATGGCGTGGAGCCGGCACCTGTGCTGGCACCTGGAGCTGCCTGCACTGTTGCAGCCATTGTGCCTGGCTGTGTTCAGTGGCTGGACCCGTGCTTGCTCACCCACACACAACCCTTGCTGCTCCGCCCCTGGCTCACACTTGGCAGGTGTGGGATCCGGGCTGGTAGTGTAACCAAGTGCAGCCTGCCAGGCCAAGTGGGTGGAACAAGCCCAGCAGGAACGAGCAATAGGCAGAAACGCGCCGCCAGCCGCAGAGGTTTCCAGCTGGTTAAGCGACACCCCAAGGATCCTGTGACATCAGAATTTCTAGGAGGGCTGGAGAATCAGTCTCAGTGAGCTCAGGACAATTCAACCAGAAACGATACCCAAAATTCCCACACCAGAATTGGTCCAGTGAAGGCAGCACTGCTACGGGAATTTGATCTTCCCGTGATGTTGGTGACGTTTGAGAGCTCCTATCAGTCCTCTTGTGTCTAACTCTGATTCAGAGAATTGA
Source organism: Homo sapiens (assembly GCF_000001405.40). Taxonomy (NCBI): domain Eukaryota; kingdom Metazoa; phylum Chordata; class Mammalia; order Primates; family Hominidae; genus Homo; species Homo sapiens. The sequence continues at coordinate 76,916,928 of NC_000015.10, forward strand.
AAGATTGTATTTGTTGGGGGGGGGGGGGTCCTAGATCATGTACTCTAACTATAAGAAAGGCTAGGAGAGAGAGTATATGCCATTTTCAGCTTCTAGAGTGGGAGGCACACTTTAAGGTGGGGAGTTCTTCCAATATCAAAAAGAAAACAGATGCTAGATGGAACAGAATTTGGCAATATTCACCAGAGTTTACTTCTTTGCTATGCAAACCCAACACTAACATAAACCCCTGTTCTCGTAAGAAAGAAAAATTATTGCCAATTATCGTGATGCTACTATTCCTTATAAAAGCACAATGTGCTCATCCCTTCCCTAAAAGGGTGATAACCTCATTGGCAGCTACATCCAGTTTGTACAGAATCTCTGAGTGATACTCAGTCCTCTTCTGGTTCCATTATGATCCTATCTCAGTATTCTGTAACACATAAACGAAATTGTAAAATTAACCACCAGCTGCATGCCATGAAGAAAAGGGACAGAAAAAGGAAAAAAAATTAGTTAAATATATATACATGATTGAACAATGCAGAAAATTAGAGAACCTTCAATCTTTATTTCTGTAAGTAGTCACGAGACTGTAATTGGTATTTCTAATTTCCTTCCTCCACCACCCATTTCATGTTCTCTTTGCCCAGAGGAGCTGGCCAGGTTTTATTACCTGATACAATGACCCAAATCTTCATTCCTAAAGGATCAGAGCCCTTGATGGTCTTGTCCACGTGAGATTGTTGTTACTAGAGAACTTTGCCGCCGGACCTTGGAAGTACCAGAAGTCACCCCAAGGAGATCTTTGAGTCCCAGCCGTAGTCCTTTTAGCCTCTGCTATTTATCAGCAACTTTATCTCCTCTTTTTTCTTTTCTTTTTTTTTTTTTGAGACAGAGTCTTGTTCTGTCACCCAGACCATAGTGCAGTGTTGTGCTCTCAGCTCACTGCAACCTCCTCCTCCTGGGTTCAAGTGATTCTCCTATCTCAGCCTCCCAAGTAGCTGAGATTACACATGCATGCCACCACGCCTGGCTAATTTTTGTATTTTTAGTAGAGACAGGGTTTCGCCATGTTGGCCAGGCTGGTCTTCAACTCCTGACCTCAGGTGATCTGCCAGCCTCGGCCTCCCAAAGTGCTGGGATTACAGGCATGAGCCACCACACCTGGCCCCTTATCTCCTCTTGATAGTGAGGATTAATCATCTCAGCAAGTACCATTTTCGGCATGTTTTCCTGGTGACTTGAGGAACTTTATCCAAGTGGCACTCTTAGTTTCCAATTTGGTGGGACTATAGTTGTGTCCCCTGGCAGAAGCATTCCTCCTGTGCATACTAAGACCTCTAAATGAGCACATTAAAGAGTTGTGTGGATGGAAAACAAAAAATTTGCCAGTTTACGCTATGTGCAAAAAGCATACATTCTACTTCCATCTTGGATTCTACATTTTTGCAATGAAAAAAAGACCACATATTTGTTGCTGACTTAGAGCATATAACATATCTTAGAATGGCATCCAACCTTGGAAAATCTCCCTGCCAACATTATTCCCGGGCTTCAGTAAACCATCCTACCTCTCTATATGGCCACTTGTTTCTGAGTGATGGGGTAAATGATAAGGCCAGTCAATTCCATAAGCATCATTCATTGCCTTAATTCTTTCACCATAAAGTGTGTGTTCTTTGTTAGAAGCAATGTTACATGGAATACCATGATGGTTAAGGGCGATGGATGGTGTTATGCTCAGGGGCATGGTGGGCAGGGATATTGAATGGTGCCATCAGACAGCAACCATCCAAACACTCCAATACATCCCACTTTAATTCTAGGCATCCTACATTCCAATGCCCTTATTTTCATATAAGAGAATGGCTGTGAATTCATTAAATGCCTACATTCAGCAACCCACATGATCAAATTTTAAATTGGGTTTTTAGCCACCTACAGGTGTAGGAAGTTGATGGTTTTCAGTTCATACCATCAGTAAGAGACATTGCCCAACACAATTCACTGAAGGATCCCACACGCTGGTGTATGGGTTGTGTTAATGAGAAACAGTTGTTTGCTTAAAGAAAAATGTGTGAAAAATAAAAGATTAGTTTAGTACTGGGTGCTAGAAAGAAAAAAATACACATATAAAGTAAATTACTGGAAATAATTTCTTGGTAATTCCTCCAACTAAAAGTGTTTAAAATACCATATTTAAGTTTCATTTTTTGTTTTGTTTTATTTTTTCGTTTGAGACGGAGTCTCGCTTTGTCACCCTGGCTGGAGTGCAGTGGTGCGATCTCGCTTCCCTGCAATCTCCATCTCCTGGGTTCAAGGGATTCTCCCGCTTCAGCCTGCCGAGTAGCTAGGATTACAGTCGTGAGCCACCATGCCCAGTTAATCTTTGTATTTTTGGTAGAGACAAGGTTTCACCATGTTGACCAGGCTGGTCTGGAACTCCTGACCTCAAGTGATCTGCATGCCTCAGCCTCCCAAAGTGCTGGGATTACAGGTGGGAGCCACTGTGCCCAGCCCCGTACTTAAGTTTCTAGCTACCAGTCCAATCCTCCTGATGCCTGAAGAGCCCTCTGTTTAGTCTTCACCAAATAGTCATTCAGCTTGTGTTCAGAAATCTAAGATGACAGGAAATTCAACCTAACCTAAGGCCACTCTAATGGCTAAAAGTTCTTTGTGTTCAATGGAATTTTTTATCACTGTAACTTAACTCTTGAAACTAATTTCAAATCTTGAAGTCTTTTATATTTCGTTGTTAATGAAGTTCCTACAGACACAATCTTCTATATAGAAAGTGACTCACAGTCTATTAAAATGCCTTAAAATTATAATTATAGTTATGTATACCAAGATAAGCTGTGGTCTGATGTTCATGATTTTTATAAAAGTTGAAGTCCAGGAATTGTTTCATACAATAACTTAGGGTCTTGTGGTCTCTCACCTATTAAAAATCCATTGGATGAATAACTTCTTTCTTGCTTTGGAGAAGGCCTTGGGTATGAGTAGTTTATTTGGGAGGTGTCTTAAGTAGGTTTCAGAAACAGCACGAGATGGGGATTTGTGTGCTTGTGATTTATCAAGGAGATAAATCGGGAGAGACAGGTAAGAAAGAGTGAAGCAGGAAAGGAAACAACGTATGCAAGAATGAGGTTCCAGGTGAAATCTAGCTTCAGCCACATCTTACAGGAAGCTCTGGAGTATAAAGTGAATGGCAGAGCCCATCTTGCATCGGACAAAGGAGTGGAATTTTTGTATTCCTGCCCCAGACAGTTGTTGGTCATGGTCCATGAAATGAGAGGTTAGCATTACTCCCAGGAATCTCTAGCCACAGAGACTTCAGACATACATGGAAAATCATCTAGAGAAAGTTGTGGAGATGACCCGTTACCCAAGGTATCTGTGGCAGGTGGGCATTAAAAACAAGAACCAGACTGAGGAAGAGGATTCAGGAGATCTGGGCAAGGCATCAACAATGTCCACAAAGGTCCACCTCTTGCACCATTCAGGTCCATTTGCTTTTCACGTTAGGTATACTCCACCCTGTTACAGCTTCTCTGGGATTCTGGTTGGTTATAATTTCTGGAACACTTAAGACAGGAAAGTTGGTGAGACAAACTACAAACCCCACTGCTGCAGTTGGACCCAAGGCCATCACTGATATTTATCCCTTCTCTCCACCACATCCTCAGGTAGTACTTCTGCCCATCCGCATGGTTTGTTGGGTGGGTTGCCTCAGACTCTTATCTCTGAGGAGCCTGAGCTCCTGATTACCATGCCACTATCAGGCTCTGGTTGCTGAATTTTTCCATGTACAGTTAAAACTAAGCATGGGAGTACCAAGATGGCGGATTATCCAAATGCCAAATGCATTTCTTCTGCCTGCACCCCTTACACAGCAGCAGCCCTACCTCCTCCTGATAACCAGAGTCAATTTCTCTGCAGATGGTAACTCCTTTCCACTAGCACAAGGAACCCAAAGTGTCAAGGAAGCAGTTGTAGTATTAAGTTTAGTGGGATCCTCTGTTGACTGGTAGAAGTATATCCTTTCCAGAAATCAGAATCTCCACAACTGCAAGATTTAAAACTGTGAGGACAGGCAGAACAAATTCTGGGTCTCCAACAGTGATGAGGAGTGGGGCCACTCCCCACTCCACTCTTTGATTCTCAGACCCATGTGTTGCATTGACTGGAAAGGCAGCACCATACACTGACTGTTGGTTTAAGGATAAAGAAGGATAGTGACCTATCCTCACAACATGTCATTATAGCTAGATGTTCATTCTTTACCAGGGCAAAATAGCAAGCCAGGAGATACTTTTTAAATGGTATAGAGTTCTCTGCTACAGATGTCGTGGCCTTGCTCTAGAACCCAAATGGTCCATGCTATGACTCTCCTATGGGACTTGCCAGGTATTCCAGGTGGCGTCTTTTTTCCATCACAGAAACTCTAATATAGTAGGATCTTCCGGGTTATATGGTCCTAATGGCAGGACTGCTTGTACTACAGGTGGATCTGCTATAGAACTCTGATTCTAGACCCCAATCAAAGCTAGCAACTTTCTGTATCTCCTGATAAATGTGTTAGAGCAGCATTCCCAAGTGTGGAATATGCTGCCTCCAAAACCTGAAAAGGCCTTCTAAGTATTATGTTTATTTTTTCTTAGTGGGTGTTTCTTTCCTAGTGGTAGATGGTGCAAGATACAAAAACTTGTCTTTTATCTTGGATAGATTGCCTCAGGCCACTGGAATCCTAAAAACTTTATAGATGTGTCAGGCTCTTATATTTTTGTAGATTTATCTTCCACACTCTAGACTGGATTGTCCTACCAAGGTATCCAAAGTAGACACCATTTATTATCTGTCCAGTATGATTAACATGATAGCACCAGTATAGTGGTCCAATGTGATGTTCCATGGTATGTCCATATGATTTGGGTCCCTTTAGATTAGAGCAACACTGTGAGTGTATATTGTATACTGTCCTCCATTCCATATGAAAGAACTGCTTCTGGTCCCAATTCCTAATGGGTAGTTAAAATAATGCATTCACCAAATCAATAGCTTTATATCATACACCAGCAACCATATTAATTTATTCTAGTAAAGATAGCACATCTAGCACACCATCTGCAATTGGGACTACTACTTGATTAAGTTTGCAGTGGTCTACTGTCCTCCACCATGATCCACTGAGTTAAAAATTTTTTGTGTGAGATGTAGCTCATATACCATAAAAGTCACCATTTTTAAATTTAAAAAAATGTTTAAGTTTATTTTTCTTATATTGGAAAAATATATGTAACATAACTTTTACTATTTTAGCCATTTTTAAGTGAACAATTCGGTGGCATTAAGCACATTCCCACTGTTGTGTCACATTACCGCTATCCATTTCCAAAACTTTTCATCATCCAAACAGAAACTCTGTCCCCATTAAACAATAACTACCCATCATCCCTCTCCCAGCCCTAGCCTACTTCTATTCTGCTTTCTGTCTTTATGAATTTGAATATTCTAGGTACTTCATATAAGTAGAACCATACAATGTTTGTCTATTTGTGTCTGGCTTATTTCACTTAGTATAATATCCTCAAGGCTCATCCATGGTGTGGCATGTATCAGAATATTACTTGTTTTTAAGGCTGAATAATATTCCATTGTATATATATATATACCACATTTTGTTTATCTATTCATCTGTTGATGGACATTTGGGTTGTTTCCACCTTTTGGCTATTATGAATAATACTGCTGTAAATATTTGTGTACAAGTATCTGTTTAGATCTCTGCTTTTAATTCTTTGGAGTGTATATTTAGAAGAAGAGTCACTGAATCATATGGTAATTCTACATTTAACTTTTTAAGAAACTGTCAAACTATTTCCATAGTGGTTGTACCATTTTCCATTCCCACCAGCAAAGCAAAAGAGTTCCAATTTCTCCACAACCTTACCCACACTTATTCTTTATATATATATAATAACTTTGTATTTATATTATTTATATATATTATATATATATATATATATATATATATATATATATATAAAATAACCATTCTACTGAGTGTGAAACGATATCTCATTGTGGTTTTGATTTGCATTTTCCTAATGATAAGTAGTGATATTGAGCATCATCTTTTCATGTGCTTCTTGGTCATTTCTTCTTTAAAGAAGTATATCTTCTTTGTAGAAATGTCTACTTGGATTCTTTGCTCATGTTTGAATTGGGTTATTTTGGTTTCTTTGTTGTTGAGTTGTAGGAATTCTTTATACATACTGAATATTAATCCCTTATCAGATATATGATTTGCAAGTATTTTCTCCTATTCTGTGAGTTGTCTTTTTGATTTCTAGACAGTGTTCTTTGAGTTACAACAATTTTAAATTTTGATGAAATCAAATTTATCTTTTTTTCCTTTGATTGCCTGTGTTTTGGTGTTATATCTAAGAAACTGTTGCCTAATCCAAGGTCACAACAATTTCACCTATTTTTTCAGAGTTTTGAAAGTTTAGCTCTTACATTTAGGTCTTTGATCCATTTTGAGTTAATTTTTGTGTATGGTGTGAGTTAGAGATCCAAATTCATTCTTTTGGGTGGATTCATTCATGTGGGTATCTACTTGTCTCAGCATTATTTGCTGAAAATACTATCTTTTCCCCATTAAGTGGTCTTGGCAACTTTGTCAAAAAATCAATTAAGCATAAAGATATGGATTTATTTCTAGACTCTCAATTCTAGTCTATTGACTTATAAATCTGTTCTTATGCCAGTACCACATTGTCCTGACTACTGTCGATCCACTAGACTTTAGTAAAAGCTAGAATAGTAAATTAAGAGTGTATATAGGCTAGGCGCGGTGGCTCACACCTGTAATCCCAGCACTTTGGGAGGCCAAGGCGGGCAGATCACCTGAGGTTAGGAGTTCGAGACCAGCCTGGCTAACATGGTGAAACCTCGTTTCTACTAAAAATACAAAAAATTAGCTGAGAGTGGTGGTGCACACCTGTAATCCCAGCTACTCGGGAGGCTGAGGCAGGAGAATCACTTGAACCCGGGAGGCGGGGGTCGCAGTGAGCCGAGATCACGCCATTGCACTTCAGCTTGGGCAACAAGACCGAAACTCCATTTCTGAAAAAACAGAATCAAAAATAACAACAACAACAAAAAATCCTTGCCTACCCCAAAGCCATAAAGATATTTTTCTTTTTTTTTTCTTTTTTCTTTTTGAGACGGAGTCAGGCTGGAGTTCAGTTGTGCCAGGCTTGAGTGCAGTGGCGCCAGGCTAGAGTGCAGTGGTACAATCTCTGCTCACTGCAACCTCCGCCTCCCCTCCCGGGTTCAAGTGATTCTCCTGCCTCACCCTCCCGAGTAGCTGGAACTACAGGCTCGTGCCACCACGCCCGGCTAATTTTTTGTATTTTTAGTAGAGATGGAGTTTCACCGTGTTAGCTAGGATGGTCTCGATCTCCTGACCTCATAATCTGCCCGCCTCAGCCTCCCAAAGTGTTGGGATTACAGGCATGAGCCACCGCGCCTGGCCAGATATTTTTCTATGTTGACTTCTAGAAGTTTTATTATTCTAATGACAACATTTAGATCTACAAATCACCTGGAACTTGTGTGTGTAAAGTAGGGATCAAAGTTTTGTCTTTGTTTTAGTTTTTCCCATATGGTCATCTAGTTGACCCAGTAACACTTACTGGAAATACTGTCTTTAGCACACTCTTCTGGAGTTCTGACTTTGTCATAAATCAAGTGGGCCTATATGTGTGGGTTTGTTTCTTGACACTATTCGGTGCTGATCCCACACTGTTTTAATTACTCTAACTGTGTAATGAGTCTAATATACAGTTGCATAAATCCTCCCACATTCTTTTTCTTCTTCAAGATTGAGCTGGCTATTTTTGGTCCTTTTCATTTCCAGAAGCATTTTAGAATCAGTCATCAATTCCACAAAACAAAACTGCTGGAAATTTGAAAGGGATTACGTTTAATATATACATCAATTTGGGGAGAATTCACATCTTCACAACATTGAATCTTCTAATCCTTGAACATAGTATATGCTTTGGGGTTTAAAATGTCTTCTTTCATTTCTCTTTCAAAAGATAACTTAGGAGAATATCTTCACAGCCTGTCAGGCAAAATGCCTTAATATAAAACATCAACTCTTAAAATCATTTAAAACTTTCTATGTACATAACTTGTACAACTTTCATTATACTTAATGGAAAATATTTGATTTTTTAAAGACTACTATGAAGAGCATTGTTTTAAACTTTTACTTTCTAACTTAGATTGCTGGAATATATAAATTAAATTGATTGACCTTATATCTAGTAATACTGGCAAACTTATTTAATTATGATAGATTATTTATAGATTCCTTTGCATTTTCTGGCATACAAAACAATGTCATTTGCAGATACTACCAGTTTTATTTTTTCCTTTCCAATATTTATACCTTTTATTTCCCTTTATTATCTTCTTGCACTAGCAAGAATTGTATCTTTAGTACAATATTGACTAGAAGAGGAAATAGTGAGCATCTTAGTCTCTATACTTGTTCTAGTGGGGAAGCATTCAATATTTTACCTTTAGAGAAAATGGATTTGTAGATATTTTTTCTCAGATTAAGAAAGTGGCAAGGTGTCGTGGCTCATGCCTATAATCCCAGGACTTTGGGAGGCTGAGGCGGGCAGATCATCTGAGATCAGGAGTTTGAGACCAGCCTGGCCAACATGGTGAAACCCTGTCTCTACTAAAAATACAAAAATTAGCCAGGCGTGGTGTCATGCACCTGTAATCCCAGCTATTTGGGAGGCCGAGGCAGGAGAATTGCTTGAGCCCAGGAAGTGGAGGTTGCAGTCAGCCAAGATTGCACCACTGCACTTCAGCCTGGGTGACAGAGCAAGACTCTGCCTCAAAAAAAAAAAAAAAAAGAAAAGAAAAGAATAGGGTAAATATGTGGGAAACTCTAAATAAGTTTTAATTGTATGAAATAATAATAATAAAATCTTCTAGGCAATAATAACATCAAACAAGGTAGAGTTTACAACAAAAACTCTACTAAAGATAAGAAAACACTTTGTAAAGATTAAACCGCAGTCCATGAGGAAGATAAAACAATCATAAATGTGTAAGTCCTGAATAACATAGTCTCAAAATACATGACAAAAATTGACAAAACTTAAAGAAGTAGAGAAATATACAATCAGAGCAGATTATAAAACATCTCTCAGTAACTGATAATGACAAGCAGACAAAATATCAGTACAGTGAAGATCTATACTGCACAGTTAACAAATGTTACCAATTGACACAAACAGAAAACTATAAACAACAACTTCAGAATATAGATCTTTTTTTCCCCATTGCACATGGGTGGGAACTCTTTCAAAGAAGGCGCAGGTAGCAGAAGTCTGAGGTCTGACCTCTCTAGTAGAATAAATAACAGATACAATAAATGCGTGTTTCCATGCCCCCTGTACATTTGCATTCTAATTCCACTATTAAGTGAGGGCCAGGTGGGAGTTTGTTTAGCCGGAGGATGCGGGATACCTCTCACTTTGGGTGTAACGGGTAGACTCAGAGTAGAGACCAGGAGTTATATTTTGGAGGGGACTCAAAGGTCTAGCTTGCCATATGCAATTCCAAAATAGATTGCACGTTCCCAGAGTTCAGATGGATCCAGGGGAAGAAGTATTTGTGGTAAGAGCTACAGAAACTCCACCAAAGAGGTAAAAGATAAGGAAAAGCATACCAGACAACAATTAATTGATACAGAGAAACTCCTGAGATGAAATGTGCGTATTTGCTGAGCATTTTTAAGGCATTCCCAGGCCTTTTAGGTCATTCTGGACTGTTTCTCTGCTTTTCTGAGCTATTTCAATGACAGTAGTAGCTTCCTTTGTATCCTATTTTTGCAAAAGGTGTATCTGCCTGCTATGGTTTGAATGTTTTTGGCCCCTCCAAAATTCACATTGAAACAGAATTCCTAATGTAACAGTATTAAGAGGTGTGGCCTTTAGGAAGTGATTGATTCAGAACCTTCATGAAAAGGATCAGATGCCCTTATAAAATAACTTGACAGAGAGAGTTAGCCGTTTTTGCCCTTCCATCCCTTCTGCCACGTGAGGACATAGTGTTCTTCCCCTCCGGAGGGTGCAGCAACAAGGTGCCATCTTGGAAGCAGAAAGCAGCCTTCGCCAGACACGAATCCTGCCCACACCTTGATTTTGGACTTTCTAGCTTCCAGAGCAGTGAGAAATAAATTTTTGTTCTTTATAAATTATAAATACAGATTTATAAATCTTTATAAATTATAAATATTTATAAATTTATAAATTTATAATATATTTATAATATATAAATATATACAATATTTAATACTTTAAATAAAATATTTAATTTAAATATTAATATTAAATATTTAATTTAAATAAATATATAATTTAAATAATTTAAATATAATATTTAAAGATAAATAATATATAATTAATATATAATAAATTTATAAAATATAAATTATAAATAAATTTATAAATACAGACTTATAAATCTTTATAAATTATAAATACAGATTTATAAATTATCCTGTCTCAGGTATTTTGTTCTAGAAGCACAAATGGATTAGGATACTGCCTTTAGAAGTGTATATACTGTGCACAGAAAACCTCTGGAAAGTTATGCCCCAATGTTAATAGCAGTTATTTATGAGAATGGGATTTGAGATCTTTTTTTCTTTTTTCTTATTTGCATACACTGATTTTCCTAAAATAAACAAGTAAGCAAAAATAAACAAGTAAGCATGCATAACTTGTGTAACTCCTTTGTTTCTACACTGTCGCCCAGGCTGGAGTGCAGTGGCACGATCTCGGCTCACTGCCTCCTCTGCCTCCCAGGCTCAAGCCATCCTCCCACCCCAGCCTCCTGAGTAGCTAGGACTACAGGCACATGCCACTACACCCAACTAATATGCTTTTCCGTATTTTGTTTTTATAGATCTGGGGTTTTGCCATGTTTCCAAGGCTGATCTTGAACTCCTAGGCTCAAGCTATCTGCCTGCCTCAGCCTCCCAAAGTGCTGGGATTACAGGCATGAGCCACTGTGCCTGGCCAATTTTTAGTTTTATTTTTTAAACAGAAATTAACCTCAAAATCCCATAGACTTGAGTTTCATCCCGAATCAAAAAACCAAAGCCCAAATCAATCACAGTCCCCTGAACACCAACCACCTCGTGATGGAGCTGCAATCAGAGCAACTGCATTTTCTCTTCCTCAGTGAGATCTGTGAATACCTAAGACTTGAATGCATGGTGTGACTATAAAGCCACGCCTGAGTTTTCTTAAACACTCGAGAACTTATAAATTCAAGAAGTGCTGTCTTTCAAAGTCACTCTGCTTGTTTCAGCTTTGAATTTCCTCCATGAAATTGTCTTCAGAGCTGGTTTAGTAACGCCAAAGAAAATAAATTTCATTATAATTCAGAAGAAACACTTGCTTAAGTCACAGTCTTATTCCTCTTTTCATGCCCTCTTTCTTAGTGTTCTTTATTTTTATTGCTAATGTGTTTGACTAAGACCTCAAGGTCCTATTGTTGAAAACCTGGGGAAAAGAGTGTGGGAAGAGGTTCTGAGGCATAATAAAGCCTGGGGCTTGGGGAGGAGTACAGGGAGGGGGCTGGACAGTTTGAATGTGAGGCCCAAAAGTAAGGTGACCATATCATTTATCACCCCATTCTGGTATACTTTTGAGTGTGAAAGAGTCATGATTAATAATCATGTCAGGTCAACCAGGATGTATGATCACCCTATGTGAATAGGGAGAAAGTCAGGAAGGCACTCTAATATTTGTCCACTTGGGCTACCTTTAGGGCAAGAGATGCACCAGTATAACTGACCAAGGGCCATAAATGTGAATTGCCGGAAGTGGAGGATGGCTTCTATTTGAGGATGGAGCTATCATTACATTTGATCATTGGGACAGATCCATCTTTAATTTAGGGAAATCTTATTCAGTGAAAAAGTTACATTGAATTTCTTGAAAGTACTTCTAATAGGTTAAAAGATTTTGTGACTACTTACACATTCAGATACTCCTTGGAAATGAAAAGATTTTTAAGGCATTATAATACACCCACCCACCTACACATGTTCTTGTCACCTTCTAAGACTCCACCATAACCCTGGAATTCTCACATTTCCTTCTCCCCTCAAAAGACTGACAAAAGATTAAACAGCCAACAAAATCCCCCTAATTGCATGGTCATTCAGTCTAAGTTGTTCTCCCATTCACTGCCTTATAGTCTGTTCTTTTGTCTTGTGTTTTCCATCTGTGCAAAGCTGCAGTCTCATTGAGTTTGTTGGCTTTCCCACTTAAGTTGTTTATTGTACCAAATCTCATTCATTCTGGTGGAAATCAGCCTGTAACACAAGGGTCCATGCCATATATGTTAAATATTGCTTTGTTTTTTAAGCCACTGCTTATTGTAACACACATCTTACCAAATTCAAAAAGCAAGAAATCTACAAATCTTTCTTTCAATAGTTTCAAAGTTAACTTTATTACCCATAATACATACTTCTAAAAGAATGCCAGAATAGCTGAATTCATACATTTCACAAAAATTTATTGAGTTCCTCTTTTTTGTAGGTGCACTAGGAGAAATCACACAGTTCCCTACCTCAAGGCTCTCACAGCAAACAAATCTAAAAAAATGATTGAACTGTATACTTAACATTTGTGTACTTTAGGTAAATTATACCTCAATAAAAATATAAATAAAACCAATTTTGCTATATGCTATGGGCTTTTATAGGTCAAGAAAATTGATCTTTGGATTCTCATAACACATTTTTTTAAACAGGCTACTTATTTTAGATATTTATTTTTCCCCGAGTAGAATGGATTAATTACAAGTAATGACATTGGATCAGTCTTGCCTCTTTTAAGCATAGGCCTTTACTGTAATCTGCTTCCAAACAATCCCAATAAAATCGTTGATTTTAAGAGTCAAAAAGTTGCTCAGAGCCTTCTTCAGGGACTCTTAACTTTTTCTGCCACATGGATCCTTTGAAACTCTGATAAAAGCAAAGCTATAGACTTCCTCCCTGGAAATATACACATGCACCAAGATTTTGGGATAAACACACCACTGAAAACCATGCAGGGACCACTTAGGAACCCAAAGATCTCAAATTAAGATCCACTGAGATAACACAATCCTTTTCCTCCAGATGAAAGCAATAGACCCAGGGAGCGAAAACAGCCTGTTTAGGGGCTGAAGACAGAACCCAGCCTTCTGATACTGCTTACTCCACTGTCTCTTTAGATATCATTAAGTTCCCTTGGCCCCCAAAACTCCCATCTGTGGATCCCCTGAGTTTAGAAGAACTTCCACAGTACCTTGTAGCCTACCTTTTATAACTGGAGTCACGCCGGAAGCTGGTCAAAGTTTACCTTTTACTTATTGGAGAACAACAGGTACAAAGCAGAGTTTCTTATATTAAATTGGGACATTTTTCTCTTTTTTTCCTCAAAACCGAGAATGGAAGTGAAAATTAAAATCCAGCAATAAAGGGTTTTCTTTTTAGTTTAATGAAATCAACTCTAAAATTTGCTTTTATTTATATTCTGAAATTTAAAACTTTGTTCTTCGTTGATCTTTATAACATTGGAAAGATTGAACTTACACTTTGCTCTGTGAATCTTTCAATGGTTTGTGACCAAACCATAAATTTCAACCCGACCCAGGAAATTTCTGCGACTTGTGCCCACCCAGTTTTGCAGTTTGGAACAGAATTCTTGCTCCCAATCCAAATAGAGACTGAGAGAAATGAAAGAGGACCCAGAAAGCCTTTTCTTCTCTGTGAAAGGCCTGATCCTAAGTGGCGCAATCAATAAAGAAAAGGGTTCAAGGTGCAGCCTACAAATTTCTTAGAGTTTAATGTGTTCAGGTTGAGGTGGAGAAATTACATAAACCTGTGAATAGACATGGAATAGAAGCCATGTGTATATGCATTCTGTCCCTAAAGGTTTTGCTAGGTACTTACTAAGCTATTCCTTCTGTGCAATCATCTTTCGTTTTTCTACTTGTATGGATGAAAGCCTACCTTCACTGAACACTTCACCTTATGTGCCAGCTATTGTTCTAAACCCATTACATTATTTAATCTTCACGACAATTCTTTAAGGTAGTCTTATTACTATGCTCATTTTATAGATGAGCAAACAAGTTTTCAGGGGTCAAGAAATTTGAGCAAGTTCACATTAACTTGTAAATCACGAAATTGAGCATCAGATACAAGCATCTGGCTGCACTTCCTGAGTTTGTACGTCCTACTCTCATAAAATAGATACATTGAAGACTGAGAAAGAATACTGTTGGCCGATTCCTCAGGCAATAATTTTTTCGATATTGTATTGTTGTCTCAGAAACCTCCAGCCTCTCTCATTGATGGACGGTAGGAGGGGCACATGGAGTGGACCAGGAGTGGGCAGGAGTGGGGTGGGGGCGTGCTTTTAGAAGCGTTTCGGGGGAACGACAAGGCGCGGGTCGTAGAGGTCTACCCTCTCTGCAGTCCCAGCATGGCTCCTGGAGCTCTCTGGGCGGCCGCTGACCCCGACATCGCGGCGGCCCGCCCCCAGCGCCGCGCTGCCCAATCAGCGGCGCGGCCTGGTGCCCCGCCACTCCGCGCCGGCCATATAGGCCTCCTCCTGGCGCGCCTCCGCACCGCATTGGTGGACCGGCCCCCAGCCCGTCCATGGGCGTTGTGGCCGCCACCGCAGGTTCCGCCTCCCGTTCCCTCCGCCCTCAACGTACGTCGCACCGCCTCTCTGTAGCCGCCCGCGGAGCATCGCAGCCGGCCCGGGCCCCCGCCAGCCTCCCTCCTCGCGTCCCTCGGTGTCCTCCGCGGGCCGGCGCGATGCGGCTGGGCCCGAGGACCGCGGCGTTGGGGCTGCTGCTGCTGTGCGCCGCCGCGGCCGGCGCCGGCAAGGCCGAGGAGCTGCACTACCCGCTGGGCGAGCGCCGCAGCGACTACGACCGCGAGGCGCTGCTGGGCGTCCAGGTGAGGCGGCCAGGCCGGTGCTGGGAGGGCCGGGCCTCGCACCGCGGCTGCCGCGGGCTTTGTCCCGGGACAAAGGGGGGCGGCCGGGCGAGGCCTGGCAGGGGCGGCCTGACAATGGGGGCCGGGCGGCGCGGCACTCGCTCTCTGGGGGTCCTGGGGCCTGGAAAGCCTGAGGAGATAGCACGGCCCAAGAGCTGGATCCCTTCTACCCCTCAGATCATGGAGGGTGTGTAGGGGGTAGGGGCCTTGAAGTGCAGGTGCGGGTCACCCCGAAACCCTTTGGCAAGGGGGTCTTCTAGTAGCCCTGTTTTTCTCCACCATTTTGCCCCACTGATAGTAATGCTTGGCCCTCCTGTGTGTCGCTTCCCCCTAAAGGAAGATGTGGATGAATATGTTAAACTCGGCCACGAAGAGCAGCAAAAAAGACTGCAGGCGATCATAAAGAAAATCGACTTGGACTCAGATGGCTTTCTCACTGAAAGTAAGGACTGCCCTACACGACTAACAATGGAGACAAACACAAATATGTTAAGCAGCGGTGTCTGCTGAATGTATAGATTGCTAGTGTCCCAAGTTGGAAGTCCTGTGAGAAGGAGAAAAGGACATGGAGAATAGGCTTTATACTTACAAATCTTTAGACACTGAGAACCAAGTAAAACTCGGTGCTTTCTCCAGTTATATATAAACATCATTGACCCTGTACTCTATGTGGAAGTCACACCTTGAGACACCCTCTTTCTCACGTGACTTTTGTTAGTGTCAACAATATGATTTATTTTAGAGAAATATGCCCCAAAACTTTAAGGCAGTAAATGATTTATCGCTCTTTTGATATATGCTTCATTTAAATTTTAGGAATTTGCTTCTTTTTTTAAGCAAGTAGAAAAAGACCTGTTGCCTGTGAATTACGTTTATTATAACATTATACCAAAATGTTAGAGCTGGTAGGGGCCTTGGGATCATCTTGTCCACATCACTTTGTAGAGATGAAGAAATGAAGCACAGGGATAAGTGCCTTCTACAAATAAGTGGCAAAGCTGGACTAGAATCCAGGTATCCTGCTCTTAATTCAGGTTTTAATATCCTTCAGTTAAAAAAAAAAATCTGATGCTCTCAGGTAAATTCTCTAGTCAGAAATGAAATGCACAGACTATTAAAAGAATGTTCTAAATAAATTGCTGTGCAGTTGTCTCTCCCCATTGTTCAATTCAAATGATGTTCCCTGTCAGCGTTCCAAGTGGGTCCTCAGAAAAATTCAGGTTGTTATTGTGACTCTTAAGTTAGCTGTTTTTCTGTAACTCTCATTTAAATGCTGTTCACCATCAAGGAATTAAGTTGCTGGAGACAATTAAAAACTGGTAAATTTAAGATGTGCTGTCAATGACATATTCACATTGGAACCCTCTGGAAGATTAAGGGCTTTTTTCTTCCACTTAGTTAGACAATAATAACAAGACCTTTGGTCTCTGATTATCCAATCTAAGAATAAGTCAATCTTTGGTTATACTAGAGTAATCAAAGAACACAACACGTTGATTTGGAAGACTGCGTGGTACCTATCTGTCAAGACCTAGATATGTTCAAATATTTAATAGTAAGGTTTTAAGAAGTTTAAACTTAGAAAAGTTTTAGTCCAAATATTCATTATACAGATGAGAAGAAAAGCTTGAGATGGTAAACTACCCCCTGATGGCAAAGCTGAAGTGTGAACCCACATTTCTGATCCCTGTTCCATTCTGTTTTCTTCTATGCCATGGTGATCTCTTTAAATAAACTAGAAGAAAGATTCATGGTGCTTACGAAAGCCTTCATTCTACTTGAGGACCCTTAAGATAATTTTGGCAATTTGCTCTTTGAGGGCCAGGTCTGGAATCAGATGTTAAGAGGTAGCAAAACTCAGTAGGAGTTGGCTTTGAAGCCAGACAGGTTTGAATCTGGACTCTGCTATTTACTAGTTGTGAAGGCTTGGACTTTTCTGAACCTCAGTTTCCTCACCTGTATAATAGTGATGATTATAATTGCATTGTTTTGAAGATTAGAGGCAACATGTACAGAGGAACCTGATAAATGGTATACTCATGCTGTCCTCACAAATATTCGTGTTCGTCCCTCCCTTTGTTTCCTTTAACGTAGTTTAGTAAATATTTTTATGAATAGTTTTTTGTTTTTTTTTTTGAGGCAGAGTCTCGCTCTTGTCACCCATGTTGGCGTGCAGTAGTGTGATCTTGGCTCACTACAGCCTCTGCCACCCAGGTTCAAGTGATTCTTCTGTCTCAGCCTCCCAAGTAGCTGGGATTACAGGCACTGGCCACCATGCCCGGCTAATTTTTGTATTTTTAGTAGAGACGGGGTTTTACCCGAGACCAGGCTGGTCTCGAAATCCTGACCTTAGGTGATCCGCCTGCCTCAGCCTCCCAAAGTGCTGGGATTACAGGCGTGAGCCACTGAGCCCAGCCAAATAGATTTTTTAAAAGTTGATTGAAAAGTGAACATTTGAATTTTAGAAACTTTCCCATGCCTTCAGGTACCAAGTTAAGACAGATAGCTGTTGCAGGAAGGGCATAAATTGCTACCCATAACTTCGTTAAAATTTACTCCAGATGTTTTAACAACATATTTAAAGGTAATATACTGAAGCAGTATTCTCAGTCACTTGAATACCTTTTCAGAATTTAGGCCATATCTACTTAACCATCTATTATTTTCTTACTATAGTTTTAATTCAACTCACATAAAATTTATTTTAAAGGAAGACTTTATGTCACCTTCATAAATAAAAAACACTGTTTTTTCTCATACATACTAAAATAAATAGCTATCAAAATATTTATGCTTCCTGAGAGATCTGTGGTAGTTAGCAAAGGTTTTCTGCAAGATTTTGGATAACATTTTTTTTAAAAGTAAAGTGCTATTTTGGCCAGTTGGTAATTCATTCAACAAATACTTACAGAGCCAGGAACTTTCCAGGCATTTGATGTACATCAGTGAACAGAACATACCCAAACTTTTATGGAGCTTACATTATATTTAGATCATATGTTATAGTATGGAAGCTCCGGCCAGGCATGGTGGCTCACGCCTGTAATCCCAGCAGTTTGGGAGGCCGAGGCAGGTGGATCACGAGGTCAGGAGTTAGAGACCAGCCTGGCCAACATGGTGAAACCCCGTCTCTACTAAAAATACAAAAAATTAGCCGGGTGTGGTGGCACATGCCTGTAGTTCCAACTACTCAGGAGGCTGAGGCAGGAGAATCGTTTGAACCGGGAGGCAGAGGTTGCAGTGAGCTGAGATCGCACCACTGCACACTCCAGCATGGGTGAAAGAGCGAGACTCCATCTCAAAAAAAAATAATTAAAAGCTTCATGAGCTCTTCTAAACAGCCTTTCCCACTTCCTACCCCATTTCTATTAATACAACTAGGCCAATTCTCAGTATTTGCAAACATCAAAGATTTTGCCTTTTCAGAGAAGGTTTGGAAATCCTTACTCTTAAGTATCAGAATTAACGTCACATGCGTTGTGTTCTGGGAAATTCTCATAGGTGAACTCAGTTCATGGATTCAGATGTCTTTTAAGCATTATGCTATGCAAGAAGCAAAACAACAGTTTGTTGAATATGATAAAAACAGTGATGATACTGTGACTTGGGATGAATATAACATTCAGATGTATGATCGTGTGATTGACTTTGATGAGAACACTGCTCTGGATGATGCAGAAGAGGAGTCCTTTAGGAAGGTGAGTTCATGTGCACAAGCTGTTTCTTTTGATCATGTCAGTTCACTTTACCTTCCTGCATGAATGAGCACATTGAGGGCCTGAGGTCATAAGCTGGATTGTCTTGTTCTCTAGGAAATCACCTGTTCCACTTCAGCAGTCATTTTGATGGTTTCCTTTCTGGCCAGATTTAGGACTCTTATTCTAAATTACCTACATGATCCTTCTATCTGTTTTTCTCGGCTGCATCATTTAATTGTCCTCATTTCCAGAGTTGCTTTTTAAATGTGTTTTGAATGAGTATCTCAATATTTTAATATCATTGAATAATCAGTTTTATCTTTATTAAGAAGGCCATTATGGCCCATTCCCATTTTTAAACACATAGTTTTATATACTCACTTAAAAAAACTGCGGTTTCCACATCTGTGGATTCAAACAACTGAGAATCGTAAGTATCCAAAAAAGTAAGTATTAAAAAAAAAAAAACTGTGTCTCTATTCAACATATACAGAACTTTTTTCTCTTGATTATTCCTTAATATAGTATAACAATGATTTATTTCTCATTTAAGTTGTAATTTATATTATAAGTAATCTAGAGATGATTTAAAGCAGAGGTCCCCAACCTTTTTGGCACCAGGGACCAGTTTCATGGAAGACAATTTTTCCACGGGACAGTGTGTGGCGGGGGGGTGGGGAATGGTTTTAGGATGAAATTGTTCCACCTCAGATCAGCAGGCATTAGGTTCTCCTAAGGAGTGCGCAACGAAGATCCCTCACATGTACAGTTCACAGTAGGGTTTGCACTCCTATGAAAATCTAATGCCACCCCTGATCTGATAGGAGGCAGAGCAGAGCTCAGACGGTAATGCCTGCCACTCACCTCTTGCTATGTGGCCCAGTTCCTAACAGGCCATGAACCAATACCCGTCCGCGACCTAGGGATTGAGGGTCCGTGATTTAAAGTATTCAGGAAGATGTGTGTAGGCTATGTGCAAATACTGCACCATTTTATATCAGGGACTTAAGCATTCTCAGATTTTGATAGGGAGGTCTTGGAACCAATTTCCCAGGAATGTGTGAGGGAGGACTGTGTAACAAATTGACCATTGTAACCATTTTAAAGTGTACAGTTGAGTAATATTAAGTACATTCATGGTGTTGTGCAACCAATCTCCCCGACTCTTTTCATCTTACAGAGTGGAGACTCTCTACCCATTAAACAATAACTCCCCATTCCCTCCTCCCACTAGCTCCTGGCAACCACTGTTCTACTTTCTGTCTCTGAATTTGGCTACTCTAGGTACCTCATCTAAGTAGAATCATACGCCGTATTTGTCTTTGTAACTGGCTTATTTTTACTTAGAATCCTCAAGATTCTTCCATTTTGTAGCATGCATCAGAATTTCCTTCCTTTTTAAGGCAAAGTAATATTCTGTTGTATGTACAGGTTGAGTATCCCTAATTCCAAAATCAAAATGCTCTTAAATATGAAACTTTTGGAGCACTGACACGACACTCAAAAGAAATGCTCATTGAAGCATCTTGGATTTGGGATTTGCAAATCTCTGTGGGATCCTGCTTTCCATTGGTTTGGGTATATACCTGGAAGTGATACTGCTAGATCATACGGTAATTCTATTTTTAATTTTTTGAGAAACCACAGTACCATTTTTCATAGTGAGTACACCCTTTAAAATTACTCCTTTTTTTTTTTTATTTTTATTTTTTGAGACAGTATCTCACTCTGTTGCCCAGGCTGAAGTGCAGTGGTATAATCTCGGCTCACTGCCTCCTGGGCTCAAGCAGTCCTCCCAGCACAGCCCCCGAAGTAGCTGGGATTTCAGGCTCAAGCCACCACGCCCATCTAATTTTTGTATTTTTTGTAGAGATGGGGTTTTACCATCTTGCCCAGGCTAGTCTCAAACTCCTGAGGTCAAGTGATCTACCCACCTCAGCCTCCCAAAGTGCTAGGATTACAGGTGTAAGCCACGACACCTGGCCCCAAATTACTCATTTTTTGAAAATTTAGTATCTGTGTGAGTTCTAATGTGTCTCATGGTTTAATTTGTTGAAATATATGCTTCTTAAGCAGAGCTGAGAAAGACTAATTTTATTTAGGAATTAGGAACTTTTTAACACTTCTAGGAAGTCTATTAAACTAAAAGTATATCAACAGAAATGACTGTGAGCTTGAGAAATTGATATATCAAATACTTTTGTATTTCAAAGCTAATTTTAAAGAATTAAAATCTTTTTTATAGGTACATGATAGTTGTATTATACATACTTACAGAGTACATGTGATATTTTGATATCACACAAACGTATATTATAATGATCAAATCAGGGTAATTAGAGGATCACCAAGAATTTTTTTAAGATAGTTTTTATGTGTAGAAAAACATAAAAATAAAATCAAACATGCTGTTGCAAACTGTCCCAAAATATTAGTCAAGGGTGCTTGGAAAATATTCAAGGCTCTTCTGTTTCTTAACTTATCCTGTTTTGGTATATACCTTTTAATTTTTGTTGTGGCCATAATTTATTGTATTAAACAATATAGTGTAACAATGATTTACTCCTCATTTAAATTGTAATTTGTCTTATAAGTAATCTAGAAATGATTTAAAATATTTGGGAAGATATGTGTAGGTTATATGCAAATGCTATGCCACTTTATATCAGGGAATTGAGTATCCTTGGGTTTTGGTATCTGTGGGAGGTTCTGGAACCAATTTCTCACAAATATGGAGGGAGGAGTGCATAACAAATTTACTATTGTAACCATTTTAAAGTGTACCATTCAGTAGTGTTAAGTACATTCACAGTGTTGTGCAGCTAATCCCCAGAACTCTTTTCATCTTGGAAAGCTGAAACTCTGTACCTGTTAAACAACACCCCATTCCCTCCTTGGTAAATGCTTTCTAAGTGTGCTATTTATTTAGAATCATATTGGCCGCTTGAACTCTGTAAGCCACCACTAACTCTAAGTTGGTTAATTCTCTGCTAATAACTACAGCATCAATGTGGAGGTTTGGGGCTCCATCCTCAGAGCCAGTCTGCTTAGCTTCACATTTAGCTCCAGCACTTCACGGTTGTGTAACTTTGGGCAAGTTATTAAACTTTCATGTGCCTCAGTTTCCTCATCTCCAAAAATGAGGATAATAATTCCCATTCAGGCCAGGTGTGGTGGCTCACACCTGTAATCTCAGCACTTTGGGAAGCCAAGGTGGGAGAATCACTTGAGCCCAGAGTTCGAGAACAACTGGGCAATGTGGCAAGACCCCGTCCCTATGGATACATTTTCCTCTTAAAAATTAAATCCTAACTAATCTAAAGCTGTCTAGTTAACAAATGCCCAAACAAAATTTAAAAATTAGATGGGCATGATGGTCCGTCCTGTGATCCCAGCTATTTGGGAGGCTGAGGCAGGAAGATTGCTCGAGCCCAGGCAGTCAAGGCTGCGGTGAGCCATATTTATGCCACTACACTGCAGCCTGGGCAACAGAGAGACCTCATTTCTAAAAATAAATAAATAAATAAATAAATAAATAAATAAATAAATAAATAAAAATTTCCTCTTTAGGATTATAATAGTGTGGATAAATATTAATAAATGGTAGCAGTTGGAGGGGCAAGCAGTTCTGTTTTGATTTAAAAGAATATTGAAGAAAGCATTTACAGTTCACATAAATTTATATTTAATCAACTTTTTAAAACTTTATGCATTTGTTAACTATCAGCTTTAGATTAGTTAGGATTTTATTTTTTAAGGGGAAAATGTATCTTTTGTTTTCTTTTTATTTGGGTCTTCATTCTACAGTGGACTAAAGTGAGTAAAAATCAGTCTTTTTACTGCTTGTAAATACTAAAGGAAAAACAAGTAGTGATAATGAGATTTGGGATCATCTGTCTATTAAGTATCCCCATTTACTATAGGAATTAACTTATCTTAAACCAATGTAACTTATCTAAAACCAAAGCATGGTGTGGTGTGGTTTCCCTTCCTAGGAACAACAGAGAAGTTAAATACAGTATTTTAAAATCTTGCTGGAATTAGATTCTAATTATGTTTTCTATTTTTATTTTTTGTTACTCAAAAGACTTAATTACTATCCCATTAAAAAATAAGAAGTGCATGTTCCTGTATTCTTAGAAGGGGGTGATGTAATAGATGGTGCTGAGAAGAAAATCTTCACTTTGAAGAGATACATGACTCATAAATTGTTTATGAACAGTTCTTTTAAAAGGTGTCTGGTTCTAATTCTGTGTTCTCCACCAGCTACTTAGAATGTGTTGATTATAACACTCTGCTTTTAAAGGATGAATTAGATGAATCTTAACAGCCTAAAGGAATAGATTGATCCCGAAAATGAACACTTCAATGGGAGTCCTTTTGGTTATTTTTTTTTTTGACAGCCTAGGAATATGTCTCTATCTTCATGAAGTTCTAATCATATGTTTTTAGAATTTGCTATAAGTAACTTCCTGTGTGTATGTGTAGTCCCAGCTGCTCAGGAGGCTGAAGTAGGAGGATTGCTTGAGCCCAGGAATTTGAGGCCAGTCTGGACAACATAGTGAAACCTTGTCCCTTTAAAAAAAAAAAATAACGTCCTAAAAATTGATGTGGAGTGTAAAGATGAACCCAGAAACCATATGCATTATTTTTCTAAATAAAAAATAACGGATGAGGAATGAATCAATCTCAAAGTTATAGACTAAACACTATACCATAAATAAAATAATCATAAAAAGTAATTGGATATGTGAATAAAATAAAGTTTTCTATAAGAAAGTCTGTTATAACTGACGAAAGTCAGCTTAATATCTGAACTTCACCTTTTTTTTTTTTTTTTTTTTGAGAGGGAGTGTCGCTCTGTCACCCAGGCTGGAGTGCAGTGGTGCAATCTCGGCTCACTGCAGTCTTAGCCTCCCAGATTCAAGCAATTCTCCTGCCTCAGCCTCCTGAGTAGCTGGGACTATAGGCACGTGCCACCATACCTGGCTGATTTTTGTTTTTGTTTTTGTTTTTTTTAGTAGAGACTGAGTTTCACCACGTTGGTCAGGCTGGTCTCAAACTCCTGACCTCAAGTGATCCACCTGCCTTGGCCTCCCAAAGTGCTGAGATTACATGCGTGAACCACCATGCCCAGTCTGAATTTTATCTTATATTTAATAAGTTTTCATATAGGGAATAAAGATAACCCTTTCAGGCTGTGAAATGCCTGAAGAAGCATTTCTTTATAATATAAAGAACAGTTATGGTCAACACAGGATAATTAAAGTTTGGGGATCTATCTGGCAAAAGTTCAAGTGTTCTTTGTTTTTGTTTTTGTTTTTGTTTT
The DNA here is from genome assembly GCF_000001405.40 of Homo sapiens. Taxonomy (NCBI): domain Eukaryota; kingdom Metazoa; phylum Chordata; class Mammalia; order Primates; family Hominidae; genus Homo; species Homo sapiens. The sequence continues at coordinate 76,941,052 of NC_000015.10, forward strand.
GAGACGGAGTCTTGCTCTGTCACCCACGCTGGAGTGCAGTGGGGCAATCTTGGCTCACTGCAACCTCTTCCTCCCAGGTTCAAGCAATCGTCCTGCCTCAGCCTCCCAAGTAGCTGGGACTACAGGCGTGTGCCACTATGCCCAGCTAATTTTTTAGTAGAGATGGGGTTTCACCATGTTGGCCAGGCTGGTCACGAACTCCTGACCTCAGGTGATCTGCCCACCTCGGCCTCCCAAAGTGCTGGGATTACAGGCGTGACTGCTGAATGTGCATGTATAAGCAGTATTTATTTATGTAAGATATAACCTTGCATGTGGCTAATCAGAATTTTTAATGCCTAGTCATTTGTTCTAGTATCACACATTATATATTTCCTCATGTAGAATCATTAGTCTACCAAAAGATGGCAGTTTTGTTCCTCACAAGTTTCTGTTGTAATCTAAAAATAAATGATTATGGTAGCTTTTTTATTACTGTACCTAACACTTTTTACCCTCTACTAGAATACAAAGTTTTTATATACAAGAAAAAAAAAGAGTGTTGAAGTTTTATGAAACTGACCATCTTTTTTGTTATTTTTTTAGGAATTTGCCATTTGTAAAAAACAGTCTTTCTGTTTTTGGCTTCTTCGATTTAATGTGAGCTATTCTTATTTTGTGTTCTTCAAATGGCCGTGAAATGTGAACCAGAAAAAGCTACCCCCTTCACTTTTTTTTTTTTTAAAGAAATCTCAGCTTGTTGAAAGAGATCCTTTCTTTCCATAGGCAAATTTGGCCAAATTTAGCTCTTCTCCTGAAACATGGACCTTTTTGCTCCAAAGTGAAGGGTTCTTTCATAAGGAAATCAAAGCACTTGGTATTTTGAATAATGGTTTATTCAAAAAGAACTTGATTGACTCAGCAAAGTACCTCAAATTCTTGTTTGTCTGCTTTTACCATGTTAAACCTGAACATAAAATGCAAATTATTTGGTCTAGTTATTTAAAATTTTGAAACATTAAGTTAAAAGCTATTTGGAAACAAGTTATTATTTTTTCTTTTCTGTCATGATTGGGTGAATATAACTGGCTTGTAGAGTCTGATGTTAATAAAACAAATTCTTTGGGGAAAGAGGTGAGCCTCTCCGCTGTAAATCAGTAATTGTAAAAGAACTAGTGTTTAGGTAAATGACTGCTACCTGACCTCTATTATTCTAGAAGACTGAAGAGGGTATTTTTATTCAGTAGTGAAACACTTAAAAGCTTCTAAAATATTTGAAATTGTGCTTTAAAAAAATGCACAGTTTAATACATATCAGTTTATAGGAAGGAAAGCTATTCCCAGAAATTCTCAAAACAGAAATTATGCAGGATTAGCAGTATAGCATTATTGGCTCCCAAGGCTCTTGGTTACAGAATTACCATTGAAAATTTTATCAAAAGCAGCCTTGTCCCTGATAGCTGCCGAATCATTTTTAAAAAGGGGGGTGGATGGGAAGATGGGAGAGAAAGTAGAAAAGGATATGTGTTTATTAAACCTTAACATGGGATCCATTTAAACTTTTGATGTTATTTATATCTGAATATACAGAATTAACACTATAAAGAGCCTGCTAAGACTAGACTTCCAGGCTGAGCACGGTGACTCATGCCTGTAGTCCCAGCATTTTGGGAGGCTGAGGCAGGTGGATAGCCTGAGCTCAGGAGTTTGAGACCAGCCTGGGCAACATAGTGAAACCCCATCTCTATCAAAAATACAAAAAATTAGCTGGGTGTGGTGGCACATGCCTGTGGTCCCCACTACTTGGGAGGCTGGGGTGGGAGGATCACTTGAACCTGGGCGGTGGAGGTTTCAGTAAGCCGAGATTGCACCACTGTACTCCAACCTGGATGACGGAGTGAGACCTCATCTCCCCACCCCCCAAAAAAGAAAAGATTTCCAAATATTAGGTACATATACTAATATTATGAGATTCTCAACATAAGAAGACTGTTTTTCTGAAACAATAATGTATTTTTGAAAAGTCACTTAGAGGACCAGAAACATTTTTTAAAAGCCCTACCAAGATTTAATACATGGTATAAAGTTATTGATTTTTGGGCATTCAAAAAAGTATTGAGATTAATTATTAAAGTAGACAGTATAGTACTGTAGAAAGAATAGGGAGGATCCAAGTTCAGTAGTTTTGTTTGTTTTTTGAGTCAGGGTCTTGCTATGGTGTGAAGGCTGGCCTTGAACTTCTGGGCTCATGCAGTCTTCCCAAGTTGCTGGAACTACAGGCGTGCGCCACTATGCCATGCTCAGTATTTTTTAGCTGTATTTCTGACTTTTATCAAATCATTCAATCTGCTTTTCTATCAATAATAGTATATAACACTAAATACTTAAGGTTTATTAATGGTGTGGTAGGGATTCTCATCCCAATTGCTTATTAGAGATTTTTATCCCAGTTTGATAGATGAGGAAACCAGAGAGGTTAAGCAGTTTGCGCTGACACCACAGCTAGTAAGTGGCATTGCTGGAATTCAGGTCTGGGTCTATATGACTCTAGAGCTTGTGAGTCTATCCTGCCCCTAATACATGTATTTGTGTAGCTTACCTTCAAAGGGACGATGTGAAGATAAATGAGATAACGGATGGGAATGTACTTTAAATTTCACATAGTTTGTATTTTTCAAAGTATTTAAAATGATGTGGTATACTAATGAGAAATTTTAATTTTCAAAGCTTCACTTAAAGGACAAGAAGCGATTTGAAAAAGCTAACCAGGATTCAGGTCCCGGTTTGAGTCTTGAAGAATTTATTGCTTTTGAGCATCCTGAAGAAGTTGATTATATGACGGTAAGAAAGAAACATTTTTAAGAGAATTATTGAGTGACCAAAACTTTAAAAAAATATATTTAAAATTTTTGTGGGTACATAGTAGGTATATATGTTTATGGGATACATGAGACTTTTTTTTTTTTTTTTTTTTTTTTTTGAGACGGAGTATCGCTCTGTCGCCCAGGCTGGAGTGCAGTGGGGCGATCTCGGCTTACTGCAAGCTCCGCCTCCCGTGTTCACGCCATTCTCCTGCCTCAGCCTCTCTGAGTAGCTGGAACTACAGGCGCCCGCCACTACACCTGGCTAATTTTTTGTATTTTCAGTAGAGACGGGGTTTCACCGTGGTCTCAATCTCCTGACCTCGTGATCCGCCCGCCTCGGCTTGCCAAAGTGCTGGGATTATAAGCGTGAGCCACCGCGCCCGGCCGAGATGTTTTGATACAGGCATGCAATGTGAAATAATCAGATCATAGACAATGAGGTATCCATCCCCTCGAACTTTTATCCTTTGTGTTACTAACAATCCCGTGAACACTCTTTTAGTTATTTTAAAATGTATAATTAGTTACTACTGACTATAGTCAACCCTGTTATGCTGTCAAATAATAGATCTTATTCATTCTTACTGTTTTTTTTGTACTCATTAACTGTTCTCAGCGCCCCCTCCCCCAACACTTCCCAGTCTCTGGTAACCATCTTCTACCGTCTATGTCCATGAGTTCAATTGTTTTGATTTTTAGATCCCACAAATGAGTGAGAACATGGGATGTTTGTCTTTCTGTGCCTGACTTATTTCACTTAATATGATCTCCAGTTCATCCATGCTGTTGTGTGGATCAACATGTTGTTGCAGGATCTCTTTCTTTTTTATGACTGAATAGTACTCCATTGTGTATATGTACATTTTCTTTATCCATTCATCTGTTGATGTACGCTTGGGTTGCTTCCAAATCTTGGCTTTTGTGAACAGTGCTACAACAAACATGGGAGTGCAGATATTTCTTTGACATAGTGGTTTCCTTTCTTTTGGGTATATACCCAGCAGTGGGATTGCTGGATCATATGGTAGCTCTATTTTTAGTTTTTTGAGGAACCTCCAAACTGTTCTCCATAGTGGTTGTATGAATTTACATTTCCAAGTAACCAAAACTTTAAAACCTGTTCATTAAGTTGTTAAAATGAATTGTATAACCAGAATTTTAAGAGATACACAGATTTAAAATGATGCTCATTCTCCCCACTTAAAATTAGGCTTGGTAAGGAGGCTTTCTTGTGGTGACGAAGTTGCTTATTGGGAGGGAGAAGGTGAAAGACTGAATTTTTAAATCTCTGTACTATGTATGAACAGCAGGCTTCCTCAGGCTATTTTCTCTCATAACTGTGTTACCTTCAGTGCCTTCCTTATCCTTTTGTAGCTTTCAGATTTTTTTTGGTTTTTCAATGTTAGTAATATTAGGATTTCTGTTTAATTTACAACATCACTTATGAAAGCTTTTGGTCTGGAAAAACATCATGTTTGGATTCTTCATAGGGTTGGTAGGGGTGCAGCTGCTAGTTAACTAGTAATGTTTTTGCAATTTTAAGTATAATGAGTCCTCTCATCCCTTTAATATTTAAAATAAGTACCAGTTTTTCAAAACTTTTGTTGAATTGTAAGTTTAACTCAACAAACATAAATTGAGTCCCTATTATGACTTGGCCAAGCTTGAAAGCATAAACCATCACACTGGGAAATAAAGACTAATGTAACAAATAGCTTTTTAAAAAAGAGACTAAACATTTATATTGAAGTCTGTTGCATGACATCAGCCTCCAGCTACGTGGCTTGGTTCCCTGGATATTTCAAAGAAGGAAGATATATCTTTTTGTTTAATGTGTCATGGTAGACCCTGCTGCCTTGCATAACAAGGCTGCAGATACATTTTTCTCCATAGCTCAGTGGTAAGACACTGTCATTAATACCACTTCTCTTGCCATTGTGAAGCTTCTAATTTCTCATTGGCACAGAATACATGACCCAGTTTAAGAACAGTGCTGGGTGTAATTTAAGTACCAAAATTAAGTTGGGAAAAGCTAATTGAGCCCAAGAATGACAGGCAAAGGATGCTAGATCTTGATTCTCTGGAGAATAAGGAACAATTGAAGACTAAAGAGGGGAATTACCAGTAAAAGCAATGAAATAATTTAGGCATAATGTGATACGGCCCAGAGTTCTATCTGGCAATTGAATGAAATAGATTTGAGCAACATTTTGAAGAAAGCATATGCAGGAATGTTGACTTACTAAATAAGTGTTAAGGGAAGGCAAGAGTCAGAGATGGGCCAGGCATGGTGGCTCACACCTGTAATCCCAGCACTTTGGGAGGCCAAGGCAGGAGGACAGCTTGAGGCTAGGAGTTCAAGACCAGCCTGGACAACATAGCAGACCTTGTCTCTACAAAAAAGTTAGCCAGGTGTGGTGGCATGCACCTGTGGTCCTAGCTACTTGGGAGACTGAGGTGAGAGGATCACTTGAGTCCAGTAGTTGGAGCCTATGATGCCACTATTATTGTGCCACTGCTCTCTAGCCTGGGTGACAGAATGAGATCCTATGTTAAAAAAAAAAAGAAGGGGGAGGGCTAGGCGGAGTGGCTTACGCCTGTAATCCCAGCACTTTGGGAGGCTGAGGCTGGCAGATCATCCGAGGTTAGGAGTTTGAGATCAGCCTTGCCAACATGGCAAAACACTGTCTCTACTAAAAATATAAAAGTTAGCTGGGTGTGGTGGCATACGCCTGTAGTCCCAGCTGCTTTGGAGGCTGAGGCAGGAGATTTGCTTGAACCCGGGAAGCAGAGGTTGTAGTGTGCTGAGATCATACCATTGTACTCTAGCCTGGGCTACAGAGCAAGACCCCATCTGAAAAAAAAAAGGAGATAGGAAGATATTGAGGAAAGTACTGAAACAGCTGGCCATTGAACAGGTCATCTTTAGGGAAAAGGATTGGTTGTTTGATAAGAAGCTTTGATAAGAGGGAGGAACAGATTTGGGGGCAGTTTGGGATGGATAGGGCTAGGTTTGCTGAAGGGGAAGCAAGGAGATTGAGGTATAATGGCGGGCTGGTACATTTTAGATCTGGAGGCAGAACAGCAGTTCTAAGGTAAGGGCTCTTTTAGGGTTGTTCATGGATTGGAGGGCAAATGAAGTTAAAGACAAAGGTAGTATAAGATGCTTTTCTTGAGAGGGAGAGATGTGCGGAAAATAGCATGAGAGTAACGCTGAGGTTGTTTATGAGAGTGAAAGTGGAGTTCTTCACAATATCAGAAGCTTAAGGATGTTGAATTTAAAGCTACATAGTACTTCAGGTTTTATTCTTGCTTCTAAATTCCAGTGTTTAGAAGGATTGTCTTGAAGATATGGACAACCAAAGTGATTTTTCCTGTATAAGTACCTTACTAGCTGATTGCACCACTAGAGCTCCAAAAATTATCATTTATTTCTAAAGAAGTTCTGTAGTAGAATTGAATCGGATGGCAGTGGGACTGAACATTTTGTAACTTTTTTTTTTCTTTTTTAATGAACGTGGAATAGGAATTTGTCATTCAAGAAGCTTTAGAAGAACATGACAAAAATGGTGATGGATTTGTTAGTTTGGAAGAATTTCTTGGTGATTACAGGTGGGATCCAAGTAAGTCACCTGGGAGAATGTGAAAAGAGAAAAGGAATTGAAGAAAGACATTGAAAGACAGCCTTGCTCATTGAAAGCTCTCTTCAACAGGAAATGTAATGAGGATCTGTGTCTGATCCTACTTGTTTCGTTAACTGTAATACAAGTTCAACAAATGGATTTATAGCTTATCTGAGAACGCTGTCTTGCTTACTTTTACTTCCGTGTCTAGAGTCAAACATTTTTCTTTCTTTTCAAACAAATCTAATTTTATTATCAGTTTAAATGGGGAAGGAAGTAAGGTAGATATTTTTAAACAAAATCCTGTGCTGTTGCAGGTGGATCTTAAAAGAGATAGAAACATAAAACACTACAAATACTGGTGTAAACACAGTATCAGAAGCTTAGTAGAAGGTGAATAAGTGTTTGAAATTAAGAGTTTGCTTTTATATAAGCAGCTGTTTTTTCAGAATTGTTGCTTAAAGACACCAAACAATGCCATTTTTAAATTGGTCACCAGTTTTACTTATTCTGATTGTCACTTTAAAATTACACATGGCATTACTTTGTGAAAACATGTAAGAAACTTTGTATAGAAACATGATATACAGTAAAACATTACCCACCTCACATCTGGGAAAACTAGATATCGGAACAAATAGCAGTTAACAAAATTACTAGTTTGTGAAAACATCCAATGATTTTAAAACTGGGTTGTTTAGACTCGTGTCACTTTTGAAAATGACTATATATTTGTTCTTATGTCAGGACTTTTCAGTTAAGTAGTTCTGTTTTATTGGGCTTTCTTTAGTAAACTTTAAATTCACTTCCTTTATTCTAGGGATATACCAAACTTCTTATTGGATACATGTGATATTCTTGTGTATGTATATTTGTGTTTTTTTATATTAAGCTGCAAATGAAGATCCAGAATGGATACTTGTTGAGAAAGACAGATTCGTGAATGATTATGACAAAGATAACGATGGCAGGCTTGATCCCCAAGAGCTGTTACCTTGGGTAGTACCTAATAATCAGGGCATTGCACAAGAGGAGGTAAGTGTTACAGAACAACTGTTTCTCTCCACCCCCTCCCCCCGAATTTGGTGCTGTTGATAGGAAAAGAAGTTCAAAATCTTAAGCCAAAGAAAGAAGTAATGGAGTTATTTGGGATTGATGCATTACTATGTTTTGAATTTACGAACTGTTTAGATTGTCAGGGAGACGAGGAAGTTAAGATTGTGTCATGTATTAATTTGAGAGTACAGTGAATAGAATAATAGTTTGTATTTACCTACAGGGACTCAAAACAGGTTATAATAATTTTTCATTGCCTTGATATATCCTGGATTGGATTTGAGTGGAGAGAGACAGAACCCAGCAGAAATGAAGAAAGGAGATAATGGGAAAAGCAGTAGACGGACCTGGTTACAACGTGTAACATTTTTAGATACTTAAACAATAATGAGTACTTGTACACCTGGATGATTTTGACAAGTCAAATCACATTAAATTGTGAACATCTTGCTGAAAATACTTATTACACTTGACACTTTTTTGTTTTATTTTGAAGGCGCTTCATCTAATTGATGAAATGGATTTGAATGGTGACAAAAAGCTCTCTGAAGAAGAGATTCTGGAAAACCCGGACTTGTTTCTCACCAGTGAAGCCACAGATTATGGCAGACAGCTCCATGATGACTATTTCTATCATGATGAGCTTTAATCTCTGAGCCTGTCTCAGTAGAGTACTGGCTCCTTTTATAATTTGTTACCAGCTTTACTTTTGTGATAAAATATTGATGTTGTATTTTACACTCTTAAGTCTTAACCACAGTCAGAATTATCTTAATGTAGATTATAATTTTGGTCTTTTAGGAAAAAAAAACAAAAATCTGATATTTATTTCAAAATGTATTGAAGCAACAAAATATTAATATTGTGCCATATGACAACAAAGTCTTTCCTAAATACTCCATCTGTTTAGTACTGTATTGTGGAATATTTGAGTTCTATTTCCATACTTGAAAACATGGAGGATTTTAGAGATGCCTGAACAATATTATTTAAGTAGTATGTGACCGAGCTATAAATTTTTGTTTTTGTTCTAAGTAGATTTAATTTGGGAACTGACAGGACAATGTTTTTAGGTTTAGCATTTTGTTTAAAAACCTTTAAAGAAACCTTTAGAAGGACTTAGACCTCACATATTAATGTTGAGAAGTTCTGCTTAATTTTAAAATGGTTTCTATAAAGGGTTTTATTGTATGAAATAGAACTTTATATTTTTGCATATGTATAGATAGTAATTATATTTAATGTATAACTATAGCATTATGGTGAGTGGAATTTGACATTGTCCAAACCTTTTTCATTTTTGAGTGATTAAAAATGAAATGTCCTTTGTATATGTTTGTTTGCTTTTCTTTAACTTTCAGATAAATATTGAATTTAGCATAGGTTTTGTGGTATTGTACATTATCTTGCCTCATCCATTCCTTTATGTGGATAGTTCCCAAAACTGTCAAATTATTCTTGCTGCATTTTCTTATTTTTTTTTTAAATAAGAGAATCATGTTATAATATAATTGAATGTGCACCTGACACATTTTAATAATTGGTGTTGTAGCAAATGTGGTTTTGCTCTTTGGGGCTATAAATAATCTTGAGTAACGCAGGTTGGAATTACCAATAGAGCTGGTCAGTTATCAACAGTAGAGCTCAGTATCAATTTTACTGAAATTAAAATCATACTTGATAAGCATGATAATCAATTTTAACCTAATTCAGCAGGTCAACTTATTTAACTTTGGTGGAGGTGGGATAGGGAAAAGTGAAGGGAGGAATTAATTTTTTTCTAGTTCTGATGTACAGAGATTGTTTTTCATTCTTTTTTTTTTTTTTTTTTTTGTGACAGAGTCTTGCTCTGTGGCCCAGGCTGGAGTGCAGGGGCACTATCTCGGCTCACTGCAAGCTCTGCCTCCTGGGTTCACGCCATTCTCCTGCCTCAGCCTCCCGAGTAGCTGGGACTACAGGCGCCTGCCACCACACCCGGCTAATTTTTTTGTATTTTTAGTAGAGACCGGGTTTCACCGTGTTAGCCAGGATGGTTTCGATCTCCTGACCTCATGATCAGCCCACCTCGGCCTCCCAAGGTGCTGGAATTACAGGCGTGAGCCAACGCGCACGGCCTCTAGTTTTTCATTCTTTAAATCACTTTTATTTGTGGGTGAAGAGGTCAGCTATGCATTCTCTTAATCACTTTCCAGCCTAAAGTTGTCTCATATACAGCACACTGGGGGCTCAACAAGTACCTATGACTATTTGAGAAGACATGAAACTCTTCTCTGATAGAATCGACTGCACCTATATACCTCTCTACTGCCGCATCTTTGCTGATGTGAGGTGTGCTTGCAAATTGTAAGCTTCCACACCTTAATGACTGCTTGCTTGGGTATCTACATGGTTTTCATTTTAACCTACACTATATGTCTGGCTATAGCAGTTTTAGAATTACAGATTTACCACTATCACTCATCTGTCATTTGTCAGACTCACTGAAGCTGGCATATTTGAAATCACCAGTTTGACTAGTTAACTATTTGTTTTTCTCTCTAGCTTCTCCAAAATCTATGCCAGAATAGATCATCAGATATGGATTATATTTCAATCCTTTGCAGAAATGCAATGTCTGTACTACTTTCCTTCCTAGCATAAAGAAAACTACACTTCCCAGCCCTCTTGTAGGTAGGCGATGGCTAGTTCTGACCAGTTAAACATGGGTGGAAGTAGTGTGTGTCACTATCAGACTATCTCATGACAAACCCTTTTCCTCTGCCACAGCACTGTGCAGGAGGCCTCAGCTGAAATGGTGCAGCCACAAGATGAAAGTGGCTTTGATCTTGAGTCTGTGTAGGTCAGCTGGATCCACAGTGGGCTTTGTATGATCAAAAAATAAGCTTTTAATTATGTTAAGCCACTGAGATTTGGTTGTGCTTTTTTGTTTTTAACCACAGCAGAGCCCATCCTGCTGTGACTGAGTGAAGATTTCACATTTAACAATAGGCTTTTAATAAGCATGCAGAGAAAAAGAATCATCTGCTTGAACAGAGATGCTATATCTACTGCTGAGTCAAAATAGAAAATTTTAAGGCTTTTTTTAGATTTGAATTTTAAATAAGACTTTTAAAATAAAGCTTTTATTTTGGTTTTAATATAATTAGGATAATTTGAATTTATCCTTGAGCATGAGAGTAAAAATAGTTTGAGACTTTCTGAATCATTGGCTGATTCTGCCTGAAGGACTTAATGACTTCCATTATTTGAGTTCAGGTACAACTTCAAAGGGGAAAATTGAATGGGATGTGCACATGTTGGCTCATATGTAGTTCTGATTGGGCCAATTTGCAGGACAGAAAATGATGTCTAGATTATGATATAAATTTAAAGGAAGCCAGGACGTTCAGAGGAAAAGCTAGCATATCATGTTTGCCTTACTTAGTTCTTTCCTTTGCAGTTTTAAAAATAGGCTTTTTTTTTTTTTAGTGTAGTTTTATGTTCACAGCAAAATTGAGCAAAAAGTAGTATAGAGAGTTTCAATATGTCCCCTGCCCCACATACGTACAGCCTCCCCCACTATCCTATCCTATATGTCATGAGATAGTACCTACCAGAGTGGTACATTTGTTAAAATCGATGAAACTGTTAACATATCATTGTCACCCAAAGTGCATAGTTTACATTAGGGTTCACTCTTGGTGCTGCACATGCTCTGGGTTTGGACAAATGTATAATTACATATTCCCACCATTGTAGTGTGGTAGAATATTTCCCTTGCCCTAAAGTCTTTCTGCTCCACCTATTCATCCCTCCCTTCCCTGTAACCCCAAGCAATACTGATCTTTTTACTGTTCATAATTTTTTAGATTGTAGTAAAATACACATAACAAAATTCATCTTAACAGTTTTTAATTGTACAGTTCGGTGGTATGGTATTAAATACAGTCAAAATGTGAAACTATTACCACCTTCCATCTCCATGAACTTCATTTGTAAAACGGAAATTTATACCCATTAAACAATAAAGCCCCCTTTCCCCTTCCCTTCAGCACCTGGCAAACACCATTCTAGTTTTTTTGTTTGAGATGGAGTCTTGCTCTTGTTGCCCAGGCTGGAGTGCAATGGCATGATTTCGGCTCACTGCAACCTCTGTCTCTTGGGGTCAAGCGATTCTCCTGCCTCAGCCTCCCGACTAGGTGGGATTACAGGCGGGCACCACCATGCCCCCTAATTTTTTGTATTTAGTAGAAATGGGGTTTCACCATGTTGGTCAAGCTGGTCTCGAACTCCTGATCTCAGGTGATCCACCTGCCTCAGCCTCCCAAAGTGCTGGAATTACAGGCGTGAGCCACCGTGCCCAGCCTCCCATTCTAGTTTTCTTTTTCTTTCTTTTTTGAGACGGAGTCTCACTCTTGTCATCCAGGCTGGAGTGCAGTGGTGCGATCTCGGCTCACTGCAACCTCCACCTCCCAGGTTCAAGCGATTCTCCTGCCTCAGCCTCCCAAGTAGCTGGGATTATAGATGCCCGCTACCACGCCCGGCTAATTTTTGTACTTTTAGTAGAGACGGGGTTTCGCCATGTTGGCATGGCTGGTCTCGAACTCTTGACCTCAGGTGATCCACCTGCCTCGGCCTCCCAAAGTGCTGAGATTACGGGCATGAGCCACCGCGCCCAGCCCCATTCTAGTTTGTGTCTATTAAAATAGACTCATATAGTATTTGTCTTTTTGTGAGTGGCTTCACTTAGCATAACGTCCCCAAAGTTCACCCATATTGTTACCAGAATTTCTTTCGTCAGGCTGAACAATACTTTATTGTTTGCATATACCACATTTTGCTTATCCATTCACCCTTTGATGGACACAGGTTGCTTCCACCTTTTATTGTGAATAATGCTGCCATGAATATGGGTGTACAAATATTTCTTTGAGATCCTGCTTTTAGTTCTTTTGGATATATATTATACATAGAAGTGGGATTGCTGGATCATATAGTAATTCTATATATATATATATATATATATATATATATATATATATTTTTTTTTTTTTTTTTTTTTTTTTTTTTTTTGAGACGGAGTCTCGCTCTGTCGCCCAGGCTGGAGTGCAGTGGCGCGATCTCGGCTCACTGCAGGCTCCGCCTCCCGGGTTCACACCATTCTCCTGCCTCAGCCTCCCGAGTAGCTGGGACTATAGGCGCCTGCCACCGCACCCGGCTAATTTTTTGTATTTTTAGTAGAGACGGGGTTTCACCGTGTTAGCCAGGATGGTCTTGATCTGCTGACCTCGTGATCCGCCCGCCTTGGCCTCCCAAAGTGCTGGGATTACAGGCGTGAGCCACCGCGCCCGACTAGTAATTCTATTTTTAATATTTTGAGGAACTGCCATAGTGTTTCCCACAGCAGCTGTGCCATTTTGCATTTCCACCAATAGTGCACAAGAGTTCCAGTTTCTTTACATCCTTACCAACACTTGCTATTTTCTGTTTTTTTTTTTTTCTTTTTTTTTTTTAATAGTAGCCATCCTGTTGGGTGAGACGTGGTATCTCGTTGTGGCTTTGATTTGCATTTCCCTAATGGTCTGTCTCTACAGTTTTGCCTGTTCCAGAATATCATTCCTTTGCAATTTAAATGTGAGGATAAATGTATGCTATTGTTTCTCAAACGTTTTTGTGTTACAATACCTCCTTTTGAGTGAGAAATGTCAACTCAAACTTACACTTTTTCACTTAGGAAGATGATTTAGGAAAGCCACTTAGAGTAAAAGTTTTTAAACAACTGTAAAAACTAATTTGCTTCATTGCAACATTTGAGTTCTGTCGAATAAATATTTGGCCAGATTTCCTGCCTGCTATAAAATTTTTTATAACTAGTAACCAATTACCTAAGGGCCTCCAGTGCAGCTACTAAAACGTCTCTATTTTATTTGGCGGGGGGGGGGGGAAACACCTCAATCCAAGCACAAAAAAAACAAGTACTGCTGAATACCTACAGTTTGCCCTATCTTTATCTCAAATTAACCAGTTAGTTCCTGAGCTGTAGAAAGGAAACCATTTGAGCTTATAAAACTATTTTAAAGTGATTATGGGGATTTTTAAAAATCTCATAGCTTTTAATCATGATTTTTCATACCTTAAAGAAAAAAACCCTACTTTTGCTTTCTGTTCCACAGAGATATTTTTCTTCTGAGACCAGGTTCCAATGAACAGAGGGCATCAACATTTTGCTCAGTTATTGTACCATTAGCAGTGATTGGTAACCTAAGTAGAGAGACTGTTCCATTACAATGACACACTAAAAGCATAAACTAAGGTCTTTTTGTGCCAGCTGCTGGCCTGTCTGAATTAATGCTTTGTTGTTCCGTCTACAACAAATGATGTCATGCAAGTGATTTATTTTGTAAGAGTACTCTGTAATGAAAAACTTGATTGAAGTTAATTGTGGACTCCCTTCATGGTGGTAAGGAGGCTAGGCTGAGGCTGAGCTATGACTAAGCTACAGTTATTTTACCTCGCTGTCATATAGCAATTAGTCTTTAGCCCTTCCACTTTACAATCCCAAATGACTAGGCAAAACTCTCCTAAACTTCCAAATAACCCACCAAAGCAAAACAACTATTACTAGGAGCTTAGAGAAGGAAAGAGGCAAGAATGATTTACCTTGATGCCACCTTCCTTCTGCTAAATTTAAAGATGTAAGAAAATCTAATTTATAAAATTTCATTTGGCAAAAAGAAAAGGTAAAAAGTTTACCTGGAAATCAATTGTCCTACATTAAAGTGAAAAAGGCCAGGCACAGTGGCTCATGCCTGCAATCCTAGCACTTTGGGAGGCTGAGGCGGGAGATTTGCTTGAGGATAGGAGTTCAAGACCAGCCTGGGTAACACAGGGAGACCTCATCTCTACAAAAAAAAAAAAAAAAAAAAAAAATTAGCATGATGTGGTGGCTTGTGTCTGTAGTCCCAGCTACTTAGGAGGCTGAGGCAGGAGGATTACTTGAGCCCAGGAGGTTGAGGCTGCAGTGAGCTGTGATAACACCACTGCACTCCAGCCTGGACAACAGCATAAGACCCTGTCTCAGAAAGAAAAAAAAGAAAAAGTAAGCTCCTTGAGGGCTGCAACTGTTTCTTCATCACTGTATCTCCCCTGCCCAGCATGTGATTAGGACATACTAGATAGTCACTGAATAAATTTACTAATAGAATGATACAAGATGAGAGAGAGCTGACACATTATCAGTTTATTTCAGTCACTGTGTTTTTTAATGTCTCTTAGTCTGTTCTTGTGATCTTTATATTCTTTATCTCTTTGGATATTTAAATATATCTTAAAATACTTTGGGATTGTTCTGTTAATTCTTGTGGTGGTCCCATCTGTTAGTTCACTAACTCGCATGTGGTTTGCACACTTTGACTGACTGCATCTTAATGAGCTGTTTTCATGGGAGTCAGGTGTGTCCAAGACGGTGGAAGTGTCCTTAAGCAGCATGATTTCCAATTTACCTCTTTATTAAGCCCTGTGGGTTTTGTCAGTTCTGGACAGGTTGAGCAGGAGCTGGATTCCTCATATAAGGACAAGCATGAAGTGGGGGAGGCCCTTGTAAGGCCCATTTGAAAATATATGTGGGTACAGTAGTTAAGACAGCATGGTGTGGTACTGGCATAAGGATAGGCATATAGATCAATGGATTCAAATTGAGAGTTCAGCAATAAAATCTCACATTTATAGACAAGAGTATCAAGAAAATTCAATGGAGAAAGAATAACTTCTTCAACAAATGATGCTGGAACAACTGGATAGCTACATGCAAAAGAATGAAACAAAAATATAGATAAATTGGACTTTATCAAAATTAAAAATTTTGTGCTTCAAAGACACTACCGAGAAAGTGAGAAGATAACGTATAGAATGAGAGAAAATATTTGCAAACCATATACTTGCTAAGTGATTTATATTTATATATCTAGAATATATAAATAATTCTTATAACTCAATAACTAAGAAACAAAACAACAAATCACCCAATTACAATATGGGCAAATTATCAGAATAGATTTGTATCCAAAGAAGATACACAAATGGCCAACCAACACATGAGAAGATGCTCATTAGGGAAATACAAATAAAAACCACACTGAAATACCACTTCAGATCCATTTAAACGTGTGTCTATAATGAAAAAGCAGACAACAAGTGTTGGAGAGGATGTGGAGAAATTGGAACCCTCATACCTTGCTGGTGGGAATGCAAAATGATCCATTTGCTTTGGAAAACACAGTCTGGCAGTTCCTCAAAAAGTTAAATACAGAGTTACCATATGACCAAGCAATTCTACTCGCAGGTATATACCCAAGGGAAATGAAAACATATCCACACAAAAACGTGTGCAAGAATGTTCATAGCAGAACTATTATATTAGCCCCTAAAACGGAATCAATCTGTACTTTCATCAGGTGATAAATGGATAAAATAAAACATGGTGTAGATCTATTCAATGGAATATTATTCAACCATAAAAAGCAATAAAGTACTGATATGTGCTATAACATGGATGAACCTTAAAAACATTATCCTAAGTGAAAGTAGCCAATCATTAAAGTCCACATATTGTATAATTCCATTTATGTGAAATGTATAGAGACAAAGTATGTTAATGTTTGCCTCGGCCTGAGGATAGAGGTATGGAGTGTTGGCTAATAAGTACCTGATTTCTTTTTGGGGTGATGAAAATATTCTAAAATTAGATTATGGTGATAGTTGCACAATACTCTGAGTATACTAAAAACCACTGGATTGTGCACTTTATTTTTTTAAAATTTTTTAATTTTTAATTTTTGTGGGACATAGTAGGTATATATATTTATGGGATACAAGAGATGTTTTGATACACTTATGCAATGTGAAATAAGCACATCATAGAGAATGGGGTATCAATCCCCTCAAGCATTTGTCCTTTAAGTTACAAACAATCCACTTACACTCCTTAAGTGTTTAAAGTTATTTTAAAATGTACAATTAAGTTATTTTTGACCATAGTTACTCTGTTGTGCTCTCAAATAGTAGGTCTTAATCATTCTTTTTTTTTTACTCAAATTGTGCACCGTAAATGGGTGAATTTTAAGGCATGTGAATTATATCATCATAAGCCCATTTTAAAAAGAAAAAACATAACTCACATGGCTTTCCCACCAGAAAGCCACTCCTCAGAAGGCTTCACTAATCAGTGTGAGCCAAGAATAGTGACGACCACCTGAGAGAGAAGCACATCCTTACCAGAGATGGTCACCAACCCCCACCTGGCTCCACCCGCCCCCCAGCAAACTACACAACTACCCCACCCCACTGCAATCCCCTGAAATTTAGTGCTCAATGAGAGCACCCTTGGGACATTTTAAAAGCACTTAAAGAGCAGGGTCGGCCAGGTACAGTGGCTCACACCTGTAATCCCAGCACTTTGGGAGGCCGAGGCAGGCGGATCGCCTGAGGTCAGGAGTTTGAGACCAGCCTAGCCAATATGGTGAAACCCCGTCTCTACTAAAAATGCAAAAATTAACTGGGCGTGGTGGCAAACACCTGTAATCCCAGCTGCTCAGGAGGCTGAGGCAGGAGAATCGCTTGAACCTAGGAGACGAAGGTTGCAGTGAGCTAAGATCGTGCCACTGCATTCCAGCCTAGGCGACAGAGCGAGACTCCATCACACACACACACACACACACACACACACACACACAAAAAGCAGGGTCAGGAACCCTAGGATGCTACAATTTATGAGACAGTCTTGTATAAGAACTAATTGTCCTCTGTCTTTCATGGTTTTAGAACATCCCATGGGCATTCACGTAGATCAGTGGTCCCCAACCTTTTTGGCACCAGGGAGGGGTTTTGTGGAAGACAATTTTTCCATGGACCCAGGGTTGTGGGGATGGTTTCAGGATGATCCAAGTGCATTACATTTATTGTGCTTTTTATTTCTATTATTATTATTACATTATCATATATAATGAAATAATTATATTAATACAACTTACCATAATGTAGATTCAGTGGGAGCCCTGAGTTTGTTTTCCTGCAACTAGATGGTCCCATCTGAGGGTGATAGGAGATAGTGACAGATCATCAGGCATTAGATTCTCATAAGGAGCATGCAACCTAGATCCCTCGCATGCGCAGTTCACAGTAGGGTTCGAATCCTTGGAGAATCTAATGCCATCACTGATCTGACAGGACGCGGAGCTCAGGCAGTAACGAGAGTGATGGGAAGCAGCTGTAAATACAGATGCAGCATCACTCCCTCGCCTGCCCGCCACTCAGCTCCTGCTGTGCATCTGGTTCCTAACAGGCCATGAACCGGTACTGGTCTGTGGCCCAGGGGTTGCAGACCCCTGATGTAGATGAAAGGCCTGCTTATGATCATTTGAGCCTAGAATCAAACTCTATTTTAAACTATTTTTATATAGTTTTCATGTACATAGCATTTCCAGAAATTCAGCTACTATGTAAATCAAAGGAATGTGATGCTTTGTTTTATTCAGAACATTCTCAAGAGTTATTTGCCATTTAGAAAACCAAGTCACAAATGGCATTGCCACTGCCTGCATTTGTCCTTAGGCCATTTGCAGTGCAAACATCTGACCACAGTACTTCAATATGTCTCTGGTAAAGTCATATCCAAGATTGAAATAATACTCCTTTAATAAAAATTACTTTCCTTTTTTTCCTCCTTCCTATTCTAGTTAGAGCATTACACTGTGTATCAGTAAGCTCCCCAACCCCACCACCTGCTACAACAGGAAACGGGGGGTTCAATATTTGCAAAGTAGAGGGCAGGTTTAAGGGAACCAACTGGGCTTGGTGAGACACCCTGGGATAAGCAACAGCAGAAGTCTTTGCTGCCCCTTGGTCTGAAGGGGCCTGGGACAGGTATGATGGTGAAGCCCAGCCCCTCCCCCCTCTACCTCCATGAGCTGTGACCAGAGAGATAGGCCTGTACTGTAGGTATCTTGCTGGGTCAGGGGATAAATGCCCTCATCTCTTTCCTCCTCTGTTGCATCTCCTGTCTGTGCCTCCCACTGGCCTGCTGTACCACGAAGCCAGAGAGCTAGGAGGCGGGTCGATGCAATCTGTGGAGATAATCACAGGGCAGGCCAGGTCATAGGAGGTTACAGAATAGATAGGGGAAGAGAAGTAAGCAGTACATATTGATCTTTTTAAATTTTTATATGTAGATAAGTTATACTGCCTATGAATTTCATTTCAAGATTGTAAAGCAAATGCTGTAATTATAGCAAGGGAGCACTGAATCTCTTTAGGATTGACAATCACTGCCTGGAACCACCAGGGCCTCTAAGGGAAACCAGTTTTGAATAGAGACCAGTCAAAAATGAGGAAGACTGTGTCTTAAATACTGTGTTTTAAATAGTGAAATGAGGGAGCTATAGCCACAAAAATGACAGGCAAGCGAAGGAATCTGACCAAGATATCCTTAAGGAACCAACCCCCCACTGGGAAAGATAGGCTTAACCTAATCACAGTTGGAGGACCATTATTTTTTAAATGTATCAGTTACACAAAATTGCTTGTATAACTTGTATAATGTTAAAGAAAAATAATAATGCAGCCTGAATTTACTCATAGAATATATTATATTTAATATTATTAAGTTATGTACAATTATAATTTTAGGAGAAAGATAAACGGTGAATCTGGTTATAGCAGAGTGAGAAAATAATTCTTTTTCTGATCATAGAAGTAAAGGTATAACAAGATGCAAAATGAATGAGGCAGTCTCCACCAAATAGGCTTGGCTTTGGCAATGACCCCAGGGAGTCCTGGTTTCCCACTGCTGCCATGCGCTGACCCTTTCCCATCACGCTTCCCACCCTTGCTCTTCATTTGTTGCCTAACTTAGCCTCAATGAATGACAGTTCTTCTTGGTTTGTTTCTCACCGGTGCTGTAAGCTCCCTGAGGCAGGGACTGTGTTACTGATGACTTTATGTTTCCTTCAGTTTCCACCAGACATATAGTAGAGGCTAAATGTCTTATTTGCTTGATTGTTTGTTCATTTTCCAATTTGTGGAGGTTTAATCAGTGATTCTCAAACTTGGGGTACATTAAGACCATCTGGGGAGCTTTTCAAAAATATCGATGCCTGGCTCCCCTCCCTGGAGATTCTGATTCAGATGGTCCAAGGTGGCCCAGGTGATTCTAATATGCGGCTAGGGTCGAAAGCTCGTTCTAGCTCAGGGTTTCTCAGCGGTGGCACTGTTGACATTTTGTGCAGAATAATTCTTCATGAGGGGCGAGGAGGGCTGTCTTGTGCTTAGTAGGATCTTAGCATCCCTGGCCTCTACTCATGAGATGCTAGTACTTCCCTCCCCCAGCCAAGGTGTGCCAGACAAAAATGTCTCCAGACGTTGCCCAAGTGTCCCGGGGGTGCTAAATCACTTTCTATTCAGAACCATTGGTCTACTTGCTCTGAGTTGCTTTAAGAGCCTGGTTTTAGGCCGGACACGTTGGCTCACGCCTGTAATCCCAGCACTTTGGGAGGCCAAGGTGGGCGGATCGCCTGAGGTCAGGAGTTCGAGACCAGCCTGACCAACATGGAGAAACCACGTCTCTACTAAAAATACAAAATTATCCGGGTGTGGTGGTGCATGCCTATAATCCCAGCTACTTGGGAAGGCTGAGGCAGGAGAATAGCTTTAACCTGGGAGGTAGAGGTTGCAGTGAGCCGAGATCCCCTGGGAAACAAGAGCGAAACTCCATCTCAAAAAACAAAACAAAAAGCCTGGTTTTGAAAGCCCATCGTCTTGTTTTCTGTGTCTGCCTTCACAGGAAGCTGCAGGACAGTGTCTGGGAAAAGCACTGAGCTGATGTCAGAAGTTCTGACTGCCATTCAGTAGTGGGACGTTCAACATTAAAACTGTTGCCAGGTAGCTCTCTCATATTCCCTGGGTCTGTTTCCCCAGCAGAGGGCTAACGAAGAGGTCAAACTAGTGGATCTTTCCATTTCCTTCCAGCTCTCACATTTTCTCTCTGCCGGCTTTCCCCTAGCAACCAGTTGGAATTGGAGTGTATTTTACATTAGATACATTTACTGAAAAGAATTTTATATTTCCCAGTTAATTAAGAATGAGTTAATTAAATTGCTTTAATGGTTGTGACTTTATTGATTTTCCACCTCTACCTCAGTAAGTTTCTTGTACACCCTCCCCCATGCCCAACCTCCCAGGAGACAAACTAAAAGTAAGGCCTGATATTGTTTTCATTCCTAAGTTACATAACCAGTTTCAGTGTGGAATATGATTTAAACAGACAGGAAGAAACACTGCCTTTTTATGAGAGGAATTTAAAAGTGGAGATGATGAATTTAACAATTTAACTTTCAAAGACAAAAAAAGTCTGTAGGAATTTTAAAAAGTAGATGTTATTTTTAAAAAGGGTAATGCTAGTATTAAATGAATTTAAATGACCGATTTCCAGTTTGGGGTGTGTGACTTCAAATGAATCTGTGATAATCCAAAGAGACGCCCGCCCGCCTGCCTGCCTTTCTTCCTTCCAAAGTTGTTTATTGAGCTGTTCACAGGTGAAACATGGTGGTGTAGCAGCACATTGCCCATAGATCACACTGTGAATGGAGCACCCTGGAGTTGTGCAAATGGTGGTCCTGAAACAAAAATGGCTGCCACAGGGGCCTTTCCCTTTAATAGCTAACTATCAAATCAGAGGAACAGACCTGTATACAACTACCTGTCAAGCAGACAGGGTAGAGTCCCTAAGACCTCCTAGTCAGTCCCAGTGAAGCCTTCCTCACTCTCCCAACCAGAAACCTTCGAGTCTTTGACTCCCACCTTTCACTTCATGTCCAATCCAGCCACTTCTTGCTATCTCCACTGCCATTGCCTGCGTCATCTCTTGGCTGCATTAACATGGTTGCCTCTTCCCCACCCTCTACCGGTTTCTCCATTATTCACTCTCTACAGGGCACCAGAGCATAGAACGTCTGCTTCTGTTCCCCTTTTCACTCAGCGTAAGAGCCGAAGTCCTTACAATAACTAAGAAGCCCTACAGGATCATCTCCTACTGTTTTCCCCTCATTTACTCCTCTCCCTCCATACTAGACACCATGATAGTTCCTCAAACACACGCCAGGCTCCTGCTTCAGGACTTTTACACCAGCTGTTCCCTCTCCCAAGAATGTTCCTCCCAGATAGCTATAGGGTGACTGCGTTACATCCCTTAGCTCTTGGTGAAAGTCATCTGCTCCATGCAGCTGCCCTTTACCACCCTATTTAATACTGCAACCTGCCACCCACATACTGACTCCCCAGCCCTAAGCCTGCTCTTGTTTTTTCCCCACAGTATACCACCTTCAAACATAATGTATTTATAATGTCTGTTTCCTTCCACTAGAACATAAGAAGATCCCAGGGGGCAGGGTTGTTTTCTTCTTTCGTATTTCCAAGCACCTAGAACAGTTCCTGGAACATAATAACTGCTCCAAAAAAAAGCTTCCTGAATGAGTGGATGGATGAATGAATGAATGAATGGTTGAAGCCCCCTAGTCTCCCACTACAATTTCACACTTCCACAACAACACTTATGGATCTTCACCCATAAGCTGTGAAGTCTGACCTTGGGCAAGTTCCTTAGCTTCTCTGGGTCTCTATTTTATTACTGCTAAGTGGGGTTGATAAGTTCCTGTATTTACCTAATAGGGTCATTGTGTGGATTAAATGAGTTCTTTCCTGAAGAACGGTGACTGGCACACAAAGTCCTCAATAAATGTTAGCTGTTATTACTGTTTTTTTAATTATTAGGTTGGTGCAAATGTAATTGCAGATTTTGCCATTTAAAGGTAATGGCAGAAACCATTATTCTTTTGCACCAACCTAATTAAAAAAAAAAGATTTAGAGGCGGGGGTTTCCACTATGTTACCCAGGCTGGACTTGAACTTCTGGCCACAAGTGATCCACCCACCTCAGCCTCCAGAGTAGCTGGGACTTCAGACCAGAACCACTGCTCCTGGCTCTATTACTGTTGTTCTTAAAGCTGTTGACCAGGGACAGAATAGGGGCTTGATGTGTAGTGAGGGAAGAAACGAATGACTGAATGAACTCCTGTCTGCTTGAGAGACTAGCAATGGCTGGACAGAGGCTGGAATAGCACGTCAGGTGTGCTGAGCTGGGAGCCTGGGCAAAGCAAAGCTGGGAAGGCAGGTCAGGCGGGGACGGATGCTCTGTGGTGCCCCACGAGGAGGAGTTTGGACTTGATCCTGCAGGCTATGAGAGAGGAACCGGTGATCCTGCAGGCTATGAGAGAGGAACCGGTGCCCAGATCTGCATTTTGAGGAAAGTGTGTGGAGAACGGATTATTAGTAGGTGGGGAGATCAGTTAGGAGGGTGTAGACGTTTCTGGAAGGGAATAATGGGCCTTTGGGTAGAACAACTGTTGTGGGAACAGAGAGTGGAGACATTTTGGCGGCAGAACCATCAACAGGACTAGTCTGACATGCTTCATTAAAAAGCAAACCCTGTATCCGCTCCTTCAGTGCAAGCTTAGGAAGTTGATCCACTTTTTATGCTCTATCAGGTAGAAAAATATGATTAATATGAATTATATTGATTCATACCTACCATGAATTTCTAAATGAACTTTAATTTGTATTAACCGGCTCTTTGGGCTTATTAGTCAATACAGAAACCGACGGTTTTTCTCCTGGGAGAATGTTTAGACTAGGAAAAAAAAAAAAAAGGAAATTCTTTCCTTGCTAGGTAATAAGAGAAGGATGAGGTAAGCATGGCCAAAACACAAAGTGAAGAAAAGTTCTGGAACCCGCTGTCATAAAACAGTCCTCATGAAACCTCAGCAGGTACTGGCACAGCTGCTTTTAAAGGTTAAAACAGGAAATACACACATTCTGATTAAAGCCCATCTAAGTTCTGATAAGAGCTGATGAGGGTTTGAAAACATTGGCATTTCAGGATCTCGGTAAAGTGACTTTCTAAGCAAAAACAAAAACAAAAACAAAAGACAAACAAACAAAAACCAGGGTGGAGGGAGGGGCAAAGCTTTGATAAAGCTGCAAGGTGAGATGAACTCAGCAGCTGGAGTTAAGATGCCAAAGATGAAGCCTCCCTGTCTGCATATATTGGCCAGCAATTGACAGCTCTGCCCCTTGAACATAATTGCCTTCCCTCTTGGTCTGGGAAATTTCACAGTTTGTTGTCAGTCTTTGATGCTCAGGTGGTGTTAAATATTTTAAAACCAACAGAAACCTCCAAATCCTAACATCTCTGCCCAGATGTCAGCCCAGATCTGGCTTCTCTTTCTCCAGAGCTGTGATTGTTATTGTTACTTTAAAGTAGTTCTCATCCATTGGACGTCACATATCCTGAAAACCTGTGTTCTCAGAATTTTGAAATTTGCCTTTTTAAGGTCTTCAGGAAATGTGTGCAGGCATTTAACGCACACAGCTGTTTTAAATGCATGATGAGGGCATGACTATGCTTAGATATTGCCACCTCCAAGACAAGAATGGCCGTTTTCTTGTTAATTCTTTCTTTAGTGGCCAAAATTGGGTCCAAAGGAGAAGTTTCCTTTGCTCTCTGAGATAGAATGGTCAGCAGGGGAAGGTTAGATGTGTCGGCTGCTCTGTGTCCAGCCCTGTGAGACTTGATTTGTGAGGAGGTGCTGCTGGTGAGGGAGGAAGCGCCTCAGGAAGAAGCCCAGGTAAGCCCAGGCAGCTGTGGATTGTGCAGGCCCTGGCACACGCTTTCCTACTGGGCACTTAGAAACACTTCTGTGCCTTGCAACCTTGCTTTCTTTGGGGATATTTCTCCATGGACATTGATAAGATTTGGCTGCATCCCTACCCAAATCTCATCTTGAATTGTAGCTCCCATAATCCCCACATGCCGTGGAAGGAACCCAGTGGGAAGTAATTGAATCATGGGGGGTGGGTTTTTTCCTCTGCTCATCTAGTGATAGCGAGTAAGTCTCACAAGATCGAGTGGTTTTATAAAGGGCAGTTCCCCTGCACACACTCTCTTGCCTGGTACCATGAAAGACGTGCCTTTGCTCCTCCTTCGCCTTCCACCATGATTGTGAGGCTTTCCCAGCCATGTGGAACTCTGAATCCATTAAACAAACCTCTTTTTCTTTATAAATTACCCAGTCTCTGGTATTTCTTCATAGCAGTATGAAAATGGACTAATATAGCCGTGTACTCCAGTGGCTCTTAAAATGCAGTTCCGTGACCCGTAGCATCAGCATCACCTGGGAACGGGTAAGAATGCAAATACCCAGGCCCCATCCAGACCTCCGAATCAGAAACTCTCGAGCGAGCCCAGAAATCTGTGGGTTTTGTTTGTTTGTTTGTTTGTTTGTTTTGAGATGGAGTCTCACTCTTGTTGCCCAGGCTAGAGTGCAATGGCACGATCTCGGCTCACTGCAACCTCTGCCTCCTGGGTTCAAGCAGTTCTCCTGCCTCAGCCTCCTGAGTAGCTGGGATTACAGGCATGTGCCACCACACCTAGCTAATTTTGTATTTTTAGTAGGGATGGGGTTTCACCATGTTGGTCAGGCTGGTCTCAAACTCCCGACCTCATGTGATCCACCCGCCTTGGCCACCCAAAGTGCTGGGATTACAGGCGTGAGTCATTGTGCCCGGCCTGAAATCTGTGTTTTAACAAGTCCTCTGGGGGATTCTCATGCACAGTCGGAACCATCGATTTCAACATGATTCTACTGGAATGGTTCATCAAATGGCTTTACTTGTAGTTTAGTCTTTATTCTTTGCTTCACAATTCTGTGCACCTGAAGTATCCTCATCGTAAGGCTGCTGTTACCCTGTCAGCAACAACTGTGAATGGAGGGAAGGGGGGACTTGGGAGGTGGGCAGCCTTCAATCTTCACACCTTTAAAAGGGGCAAGAACTCACAAGCGGAAAAACAACAACATTTACTCTAAAGAGAAAAGCAATTGCTATTTGGAAACAGTGGCAGAGCAAATTGAGGTGATAACCATAAAACATTTTTACTTCTGACAAGAGAGTCCCTTTAGGGCAGGTAATGGTCTGTTAAATATCAAAGGAGCAGACCAAAGACCTAAGGACACTTAATATGGAGAAGGGATGAGCTGGGGAGAGGGAAGGGATGTGGGCTCTGTCTCAAGGAGCCACAGCCCCGTCATGTAGAAGAGGACCAGGAACAAGAGGCATATGCAGTGAGCCATGAAAAAACAGTTGGGGGCTTCTTCTGATACAGAGCTAACCAACAATGGGATGGCATCTTAGGAGTAAAAAGGAGTTCCTGGCACTGGGAGTATGTAAGTCTGTATGGTCGCATGACAGAGATGCCATAGTAAAGGCAATTCTTGTATCAGGCAAGAAACTGCACCAGGGTCAATATTTTGCAGACTTTAAAATCATGTTTTAAAGCAGAACTCTTTCTTCGAATGAGATAATACACCATGGTACCACAATTTATAAAACAAAGCGGGGCCTCTTTGGTGATCCCTGGAATAGGGATCTGGAGCCCTCCCATGTGGACACCTCTTTGGAATATCCTGGGTGCATATCAAGTCCTTTCCGACAGGAGCTCCTTTGATTCTGTGGTTCTTTGAGAATTTTCCAAACCGGAACTTCTGCTCCCCTCCCAGGCTTTTCCTGAGCTGCCCACACACTTCCTTGGATGTGGTGTCACCAAGGTGGTGATGTTTATGGGGAAGGGGAAAGACGTGAGTGTGTGCACTGCTGCAGCCACATACCTCACATGCCCCTCTCCAGGGATGGCACACGGTGAGGGCTTTCCATGCTGGGGTCAAGGATTGCAGGGGCAGCAGATGGCAGAGGCTGCAATTTGAGTTTAACCAAGCCTTTCACCACCTTTGGTGCAGACAGGAGAAAAGGCAGGGAGCCCCAAAGCCTGCGCCAATGGGAAGGGCAGGGGTAGAATTGGTTTTGCCATGCTGGGGGAAACCTGTCTTGAAGGTAGCCTAGGAGACTGTCAGAGCCTGCCCTGGTGGTGGGATTTCAGAGGTGAACCTGGGGGACTTCCCAGACTCTAAAGGGGCCAAATGTGAGAAGGCCCATGGACTTGCCACAGAGGGGAGGGCCGCCAGCCAGGGCCTGCCTTTGTCTGCCCAGACTTGCTGGCTCTGAGTCTGTTTTTTCCAACAGAACCAGAACTTTGTCATAAAATTCTTGGACTACTTGAGTTTCTGGATTAGAAAGTCTCCTCCTCACCCCCTCCTCACCCCCTCCCCACCCCCACAATGATGATAGCTCCAGTCTTTCTCATAAACACCTAACAAGAGTAAAATGTTTTCCCTTCAGAAGGATAACAAAAAGAATAACACCAAGGAGATTTCGTTATAGTGCAGCTGCTTCTCTGGTTGGCAAGAGACACAGCTGTAACCTGGAGCTGTTTTTGTTTATTTGAAAGGAAAGGCAAGACAAGTATTCATTAATTCCACAAACATTTACTGAGCCCACAGAGCCACTGGGATTCTGCTGGTCACTGGGGAGATACATATATATGTATATGTATAATACCTATATATAGGTATTATATAATATACCTATATATGTGTATTTAATATACCTATATAATATACCTATATATAAAATATATATGTATATGTATGTGTGTGTGTGTATATATATATATAATATATATGTATATAAAATGTATAAAACTGGGTCTTGCTCTGTTTCCCAGGCTGGAGCGCAGTAGTGCCATCTTAGCTCACTGCTGCCTTGAACTCCTGGGCTCAAGAGATCCTCCCACCTCAGCCTCCCAAGTAGCTGGAACTACAGAAGCAGCCACCACACCTGGCTAATTTTTTAATTTTTTGTAGAGATGGGGTTTTGCTATGTCACCCAGGCTGATCTCAAATGCCTGAGCTCAAGTAATTCTCCTGCCTGGGCCTTCCAAAGCACTGTGATTACAGGCATGAGTCACTGTGCCCAGCCATTGAGGATATTAAGTCAGCCCCAGCTCTGAAGGTGCCATCAGTGAGGAGGAGATGGACATAAGAAAATCACAGCCCAGGTTCTAAAGGCCTCATCTTCTTTAAAAAAAAAAAAAAAAAGAAAAGAAAAGAAAAAAGAAAGAAAGAAAATCACAGCCTGGAAATCCGTGAATTGACACTGATAAGTTCACACAGGCTATACAGTTAGCCAGGTGAAGAAAAGAAGGATACCAAGCCTTCTAAGCAGAGAGTAGAGCATGTGTGGGCAGCCCAGAGTCAGGGAAGTGTGGGCTTCCTCCTTGGTAGAGAGGGGCATGAGAGGTGCTGGGTAGAGAGGGCCAGAATGTTATAGGAAAGGCATCCTGATCCAGACCCCAAGAGAGGGTTCTTGGATCTTGCACAAGAAATAATTCAGGGTAAGTCCGCAGTGCAATGTAAAAGCAAGTTTATTAAGAAGGTAAAGTGGTGAAAGGACGGCTACTCCATAGACAGAGCAGGACGTTCCCGAAAGTAAGAGGAGGAAGGCGTCCACCCTGGGTACAATGCTTGTATATATGGAGAGATGTGCTCTGCTACAAGGGTTTGTGATAAAGGATTAATTTTCTTAATTATGATATTTTGCAAGAATTGATATTATTATCTTTAAAGCAAAATTAGGAATGCCTGTGTTCTCCAGATATCAGGATATCTGGACATTCCCGTCTGGGTCTGTTTAGTAAACATTATTAATTTTTTCCCTTAACTGTAAATATCTAGAGGCCAGGAATGCCTGACTTTCTGAGAATGCAGCCCAGCAATTCCCAGCCCCATTTTCCTAGCCCTTACTCAAAATGGAGTCGCTCTGGTTCGAATGCCTCTGACAAGAAGATAGACCAATATGAGGGGCCAGGCAGGTCTGGTGGGTGCTGTCTGTCAAGCTGAATTTGGACTTTATCCTATGAATGATCAAAAACTGTTGATGGGTTTTAAGCAGGGGAGAGTCTTGACCACATTGGTAATATAGAAAAACTCTGTGAAATAAGGATGTACAGGATTTGCATCTAAAATGAACTCAGATCAAAATACAAAAGGCAAGCCTGCCGTGGTGGCTCACATCTGTAATCCCAGCGCTTTGGGAGACTGAGGTGGGTGGATGACTTGAGGCCAGGAATTGGAGACTAGCCTGGCCAACATGGTGAAACCCTGTCTGTACTAAAAAAATACAAAAATTAGCCGGGTATGGTGGCGCGTGCCTGTAGTCCCAGCTATTCACAAGGCTGAGGCAGGAGAATCACTTGAACCCAGGAGACAGAGGTTGCAGTGAGCCCAGATCAAGCCACTGCACTCCAGCCTAGGCGACAGAGCAAGACTCTGTCTCAAAACAAAACATAATCAAAAAAGGCAATTAGTTGCAGGACTATTTGTAATGAGAAACAGCCCAAATGTCTGTCAATAGGCTGGCTGAATGAACTATGGTACAGCCATGCCAAGAAGTACTAGGTAGCTGGAGAAAGAAGTGAAGACTGTTTCCATATAGAATATATCATTAAGAAAAGGAATGTGTGTCTCACAGTTCTCTAAGGAAGGCAGGGATGCAAATATATAAACATGTAAATGTATCTGCTTATATTTAAAAGCACACAAGCAATGGAAGGATAAAGCAATGAAAAGTGGCTACCTGTAGGAGGAGAGAGGGAGCAGAACGGAAGAGATAGAGATGGAAGCTGGACTTATTTGAAGATAGCTTGTTTTGTACATGTGACTTTGGAACTGAGTAAATATTTCATAAAAGTAAAAAAATTACATAAAAATGAATCCCCCCAAAAAGAAGCAAATAAACATAATGTGCATCTGGTTGGTGGAGTCAGCACACAGATGAACTGTTCTAAACACAGTAATTTGACTGTACAACCCCAAAAGGATATAGCCTGAAGACAAAAAGAACTGCAAATACACAAACGAAAATCTTAAATTGTTTTCAGCAGTCACTTGGCTGATGGGAGACTTGGTATTGGTGTTCTGAGACTGTTGTGTGCAGTGTGGAATGAAGCAAATGAGAAATTATGTGAAATTCTAATTCTGGAATTCCTGGTGTTTTTGAGAAATGAGATTCTGGACATGGGAGAAAGGAGGTACAGATGGAAGAAGGAAGAGGTTGTGCAAACACCCTGTAGACCTAAATTTAATTGAAAGTATCAATATGAACTTATGATGTGCCTTATATTTATATTGAGAAAAAATGTATTTCCTAGTTCTGACCTCAGAAAAGACCTAAGAACAATAAGCATTTCAGTAGCTATGAGCACCCCAGTACCTAGATTATCTTCTTGAAATATACCCAGTAAAAGAACTAGTGTTCCCTGAAAAAGTGATTGATTCCAGGTCTGAGACAGGAAATGGACAACAGGTGACTGGAACATTGGCCATATCAGATGGCAAGAAAGTTCTCTAAGACAGCTAGGGTGGTGTCCAAAGGACTCAGGAGTCAACTTGAAGAGGCCCCCTCTGGCCAAAGATGGGACCATTTTTGCATCAATAAAGGCAAAAATTGCAATGGATTGAAGCACATCAAATATGTTTAACTCCATGAGTTCATAATGATACTAAAACATATCTAATTGGTCACCTTTGGAGTATTCGGTGGTTCATA
The DNA here is from genome assembly GCF_000001405.40 of Homo sapiens. Lineage (NCBI taxonomy): Eukaryota > Metazoa > Chordata > Mammalia > Primates > Hominidae > Homo > Homo sapiens. The sequence continues at coordinate 76,971,158 of NC_000015.10, forward strand.
AACTGATAAAGAGAAATAATTGAGCATTTATCCCGCCTATACTGTACAAACTACTACTGGGTAACCAAATAGTAGATAAGGAGACGTTTCTCTTTATAGAAGTAATTCAGCTCGTAAATCAAGAAGAAATGGTAGAATTAGAATATTGCCATGTGGCAATCCCTAATTAATGGATAGTGGCACTGATCAGCAATGTCTGCTAATATCACAAATTGAGATAACCAGACCTCATAGGCCTCCTATGAAGTATTCTTGCCAAAAAATTGGACCTGAATCTAGATTCAAATGGCAATTTACAGGAAATACAGGAGATAGAAGAAAATATTAAAGGACACAATGGATATGCAATCAGTCATTCTATACTGTGGGAAGCTCTACAGGATAAATGATCTAGTTTCTTTCTTTCTCTTTTCTTTTCTTTGTTTTTGAGACAGGGTCTCGTCTGTCACCCATGCTGGAGTGCAGCAGCATGATCACAGCTCACTGCAGCCTCAATCTCCCAGACTCAAGTGATCCTCCTGCCTCAGCCCCCCTGAGGAGCTGGGACTACAGGTGCACACCACCATACCTGGCTAATTTTTGGTTTTGTTTTTTGGCAGAGACAGGGTTTTGCTATGTTGCCCATGCTGGTCTCAAACTCCTGGGCTCAAGTGATCCACCCTCCTCGGCCTACCAATTTCTGGGATTACAGGTGTGAGCCACTGCACTGGGCCTTATTATCTAGTTTCTTAAACAAATAGGCTGTAAAGAAAAACAGACAGACATGTAAAGGAAACTGATAGTTAAAAGAATCACAACCTGCAAAACTTATTTAGATCAAGATTCAAACAATCTGAACAGAATAAAATAATTTTTTGGTGACATATGAAACACAATTAGAAATTTGAACACTGGCTGAATATTTGATTATATTAAAATTATTGTCAATTGTTTTTAAGTGGGATATTGTGGCTATGATTATTTTCAAGAGTTTTAAAGGGAGAAGAAACATAAATACTTCTCAAAACTCTCTTCAAAATCATCTTCCTTCACCAGTTTCCTCTCTGCTTAGAATAAGCTTGTTATTTCAAACTCAGGGCCAATGCAATGTGAAGATGAAAAATAATTTGGGGAGCAAAATATATCGTGGATATACATATGTAAAAATATAGTATGTATACTTACATTCCCAGTTAAGTATAGTATTCCTAAGTCAATTTATAGAATTTTCAAGCACATTTAAAAAATAGTACTGAATTATTGAAAATACCACCGAAATTCCTTCCAGCTATGTGACTATGCAGAAGTTCCAGATTAAAAAGTCCTTAACATAAGAGAGATGTTATGTAATCGTCTTTGCCTATGAAGTTAATGTCCAGATTTTGGACAAAAACATGTTCACCTCATATCCTAAAAATAAGTATTTTAAGTCTTTTCCATACAGGTGCCAGAGAGTCATGTGTTCATTTTATTAACACCAGAGGCAATAACACAGTGCTAAAAATAAGCACGTGTCTATGCATGTATTTTTAACTACAGGAATGGCATTATGTTATAAAAATCTCACTTGGTTTCCTACTTTTCTCATTAAACACTTTGATTTTAAGATATATCCATTATATCCATAATGCGTGTACTTGCAGTGCAGCAACCCCACTTTCCTTATCTACTCCCGGGCCGGCGGACTCTCCCGCCGCCCCTCGCTCCCTCCTCATAGGCACAGGAACAGAATTTCTGAGTCATAAGACTGATACAGACGTTTCAGTCTGGAAAACTGCAAGCACGGCAGATGCCAAAACCCCTTTCCTGTGCCTGAAAGAGAACTTCTGGAGGTATGAAGGGCAATAATGCCTCCCATCCTCCCTGTGGCTCCAGAATTAACTCTCGAAACAACAGGATTTGGGGTAGGAAGGTTACAGCTAAGGAGCCGCCAGTCCCCACCCATCTGCTCTGGGAGAAGTTATCTCGAGGTCCAGTTAAGCGGTCCAGCAACTCCGAAGGACTCGCTGGAAAGTCCTGCACACCAAGCTTGCCCCTTCTGCATAGCTCGGGGTAGGGAGCAGCCACCTCTTGTCTCAAGACTGAGGAGGCCTGGGGCAGGGCGGGGCAGGCAGAAGACTTGAGCAGGGACACCCTGGGATGAGGTGGTGCCTCCTTGATCGCTGCACCTGCCCCTGCACCTGGGGTGGGTCTGAGGGGAACAGCATCACTAACTGCTGGACTGAAGCCACCATAGGAAGCTCAGGCTTCTTGGGCTAAATAAAATTCAGAAATGTCCAGACTGGCTGTGACACCAGGCTCTTCAAGCAGCCCTGACACAGGGGGTCTAGGGGGCTTTTGCTGACTTCTGCTGCTCCACCTTCCTGGGCTCTAGGAGGCGCTGTTCCTCCAGCATCCAAGAATCAGCCTGAACCAACGGCAGCTGCCAGGCGACAGCTCAGAGCCCAGTGGGGGTGGTAAAGACCATTCAGATAAAGGCTTGGGGAAGAACAATGGAAATTGTTCCCGGCAGCACCCAAACCTGGAAAACTCTTTTGGGGCAGAGCTTGGGTGTCTCCTGCCTTGATCTCAGTGCCATCTTTCTCCCCTGGCTCCAGAAGTTTCTTCTATTCTTCCAGATTTTCCAAATGCAGACCAAGAGGGATTGAGCTCTCCTCTACCCTGCCTGGCCCAGAAGTTCCATTTCCTACCTCCTTCTAGCAGGGGAGCAGGGGCCTTCCTTGGTGGCCCCCAGGATGGCCCTATCTCAGAAAGACACAACCACGACTTCTCTGTATAATAGACACCACCACACAGTAAGTAGTGGGAGGATGGGGTGGGGAGGGACTTTTATTTGTCCTTTAGGCCCTTAACCCATGGCATGACTCTGATGGTTAAGGACAGCCTGGGACAAGTCCAGTGAGATTAGGGTAGGAGAGTGGGGAGGTGAGTAAGACCCCATGGGGGTGTGAGTGCCTCTGAGGCAACCTAGAGTGGAGGTGGAGGGGGTGGCAGACCCTTAGGAAATAAGCATGACCCCTGGCTGGGTAAGGGCACCCACTATGAGGGTAACAGTCACTCGTTCATCCCACAACCATTTTTGATATCTGTAGGTGTCAGGTACCATGCTAGTTGAAGGATATAATTGTGAACAAGTGATGTGTGGGTCTTAGTGTCGAAGAGCTGACATTGGAGGATATCAGAGACAAAAATCAAGTAAGCAAATACAGCATTGTTAACTGCAGTAAGAACGAGGAGGACAGACACAGGCCCACAAGGAGGTCCGGGTGGCTCCTGGCATCAGGGCCATATGTAGCTCAGCTTGGGGTTCAGGGTCCTAACTCCAGCTCTGGCAGGCTGGAGGAAGAGTCCCACATCCAGATGAAGTGGCACTTATGGGTCTGAAAGATATAAGCCCGGGTCTAGGGGCTGAGTGGTCCTGTATGCCAGGGGGCATGCCAGGAGCTTCACCATGTTAATGTGCTTCATCCAGAGAGGAAGCTGACCACCAGCAATGCTTGTGAGACTGGCTGCTGGCTGCCTTCTTATTCTCCTCTTGGGTCAGGGCTGACCCTCTGATGGGGTGGGGCTGAGGCTGGCCAGCAGGGAGGCCAAGCTGTTGGATCAGAGGAAGGCGATGTCAGACACCAGCCCCTGTCACCCACCAGCTCTTCCCTTCCCATTGTCCCTGGCTGGCCCTGGCCCAGCCTCTCCAGCATCCTCATTTGCCTCCCTGCCTCCGGCTCACCCTGCCCACATATCCACCAGGGGCTGCCGTTGTTTCTCTGATTAGTTACTGTGTTGCTGCCAAATTAATGCTTCTAAACCATATTTTATAACAGCAGCCTTCATCTGCAGAGAATCTTTGAAAATACTTGGCTTGGCATTTAAAGTGGTACAAAAATGTGGCCTTACTGAATTTTTACAGCTTTATTTATCCTTTCAGAGGTGCATCCTGCACGTATGTCAAACTGTGGGTCCTCATCCCTCTGCCACACCTCTGCTCAGTTATCTTTCTCTCCTTCAACCCCCCTCCCTGCCACCCTCCTGCATCCCTCTGGGTAGTGAAACAGCCCCTTATTCAGTCAGCCAGCCTTGCATTCAGCAGGCTCTGCAGGCTCCCACTCTGTGCCCGCCATTCCTGGGCAGCACTAGGACCCCCCCTGCTCTGACACCTCATCCACTTGTTTTGTAATCTTATTAATCTTCATTTATTAACTCCTGAATGAGACCTTATCCTTCTGCTCCTCTGAACTGTAACCCTTCAATGGCAGAGGCTGCATCTTGCCCATTCCTTGGCCTCATGGTTCCCTGCCTGTGGCAGGGGTCAATAAATGTGCTACATGACCTGGACTAACATGGGCTCTGGAAGGAAAGCACTAAATACTGGCCTGGGGGCTGGAACTCAGTCTCAGCTCTGCCACTTAACTGCTGGATAGTCTCTGGAACATTACTGTCTTTTTCTGAGCCCCAGGATCCCCAGCTATAACATGCGGCTGCCATCCGTGTCTTGGTTACCTTACTAGGCTAAGGTGGGAGACTGCAGGTGCGGGCTGTTATTATAAGGGTTTTCCCTGAGGGTGGGGTGTGTACTGGGGCAGGGGGAGATATTGTGTTTCTTGGTGCCTCTTGGCCATAAGACCTGAGCAAAGCCAGCATGAAGCCCCTCCACAACCCTCAGATGGCAACCCAGGGGGTTAAGGCGGGGGGGATGTGAGGCAATGGCCAGCAACCCCATACACACCTGTTTAGGTGAGTTGCAGATAAGGTGCTCTTATGCTCCCAGGGCTTTCTGCCAGCATTGAGGAGAAACAGGAGCTCTTCTCCAGCCAGGTGAACATGGCCTCGCTTGGCAAGCTTGCAGTCCTACATTCCGGTAGGTTACAGGCTGCTTCCAGTAACGCAGGGAAGCTGGGGAAGGATGAGTTGGGACATTTTATTATGGTGGACTATCTGAGTGGAAATGGATAGCTGAGCCCTCTGAGGACCCGCAGCCTCATTACCCAGAGGGGAAACCAAGGTTCACGCAGGAGAAGGGGCTTGTCCAAGGTCACTTTTGCAGTCTTGTCTCTAAGAATATGGATTTTGGAGACAGGGAGATTTGAATTCTGCCACTTACTAGCTATAAGAGCTTGAGCAAATTTCAAGCCCTGAGGCTTAGTTTCTGCAAATGTTAATGAGGAATCACAATTCTGATATTTTATTGCTATGAAGATTAGAGGAAATGATAGATGAAGAGCTTGCTCCTGAGTGGCTGTTCAGGCCTCCAGCCCCAAGTCCCTAGGCATAGGATGATGGGGGAACTGCTGAGAAGGGCCTTCTTGTTTCTCAGGCAACAAAACTGCCAAAGGCTTTAGGAGAGAATCCTAGTGGGGTTTGGGTTGGGGGAACTCTGATTTCAAGGAAGTGAGTGGCTTGGGATCTGGTCCAGCCTTCCCGTCCTTTCCTTTCATTCATCTGCTCATTCATTCCACAGATGTGGATTAAGCATCCACTCAGGGACAGATTCTGTCCTGGATGCTGCTCTATCAAAGAGAACTAAAACCCAACTGCTCCCCACCCTAAATGCTCACAGTCCAGTGGAGAAAGAGAGAGAGAGACAAGGCAAAGAGACACTGTCAGAGTGAAATTGCTGTTAGAGGTGTGTGCATGACACACGGGGAACCCTGAGGAAGTGGAGCTGCTGAAGAGTCATGCTTCCTTTTTTTTTTTTTTTTTAACTGCAGAGCACTTTGTTATGGTTGAGACCTACCTTTCTGTATAATTTTATAACCTGCTATTTCTTCTTAAATTTTTTTTAGAAATGAGGTCTCACTATGTTGCCCAGGCTGGAGTTCAGTGGCTATTCACAGGTGCAGTCCCACTGATCAGCATGGGAGTTCTGACCTGCTCCATTTTGGATCTGGGCTGGTTCACCCCTCCTTGGGCAACCTGGTGGTCCCCCGCTCCTGGGAGGTCACCTTGTTGATGTCAAACTTAGTGTGGACATCCAATCAGCACAGCACACTGCAGCCCAGAACTCCTGAACTCAAGCGATCCTCCTGCCTCAGCCTCCCAAGTAGCTAGGACTACAGGCACGTGCCACCGCATCCAGCTATTATTATTTTTAGTTAACATGTAGTAATTGTACATATTTATGGGATACAGTGTGCTATTTCAATACATGTATATGATCCATAATGATCAAATCAGGGTAATTAGCATACCCATCACCTCAAACATTTATCTTTTTTTTTTTTTTTTTTTTTTTTTTTGTGATGGAGTCTCATTCTGTCACCCAGGCTGGAGTGCAGTGGCATGATCTCAGCTCACTGTAACGTCCACCTCCAGGGCTCAAGTGATTCTCCTGCCTCAGCCTCCCAAGTGGCTGGAATTACAGGCACTCACCACCATCCCCAGCTAATTTTTGTCTTTTTAGTAGAGATAGGGTTTCACCATGTTGGCCAGGCTGGTCTTGAACTGTTGAACTCAGTGATCTGCCCGCCTTGGCCTCCCAAAGTGCTGGGATTACAGGCATGAGCCACCGCATCCAGCCCATTTATCATTTATTTGTGTTGGGAACATTTAAAATCCACTCTTCTAGCAATTTTTAAATATACAATAAATTGTTAATTATAGTCATCCTAGGGTGTTATAGAACACGAGGGCTTATTCCTCGTATCTAGTTGTGATTCAGTATCCTTTAACCTCTCACTATCCCCCACCCTTCCCAGGGTTTAGTAACCGCTATTCTACTTTCTACTTCTACGCACTCAACTTTTTTAGCTCCCACATATGAGTGAGAACATGTGGTATTTTTCTTCCTGTCCTTGGCTTATTTCACTTAACATGATGTCCTCCATGCTCATCTGTATTGCTGTGAATGTCAAGATTTCATTTTTTTTCTGGCTGGATAGTATTCCACTGTGTATGTATACCAGATTTTCTTTATCCATTCATCCACTGATAGACACTTAGATTGATTCCATATCTTTGCTATTGTGAATAATGCTGCAATAAATATGGGAGTGGAGATAGCTCTTCAATATACTGATTTCCTTTCCTTTGGATGTATACCCTCTAGTGGGACTGTGGGATCATATGTTAGTTCTATTTTTAGATTTTTGAGGAAACTTTATACTGGTTTTCATAATGGCTGTACTAATTTACATTTCCATGAATAGCATATAAGACATCTTTCTCCACATCCTCAGCATTTGTTATTTTTTGTCATTTTTATGGTAGTCATTCTAATTGGGATGGGATGATATCCCATCACCATTTTGATTTGCATTTTCCTGATGATTATTGATGTCACACATTTTTTCATATACCTGTTGGCCATTTGTATGTCTTTGAGAGATGTCTATTCAGCTCATTTGCCCATTTTGAAATGAGATTATTTGTTTTTTTGCTGTTGAGTTATTTGAGTTCCTTGTGTATTCTTGATATTAGTCTTTTGTCAGATAGATAGTTTGCAAATATTTTCTCCCATTCTGCAGGCTGTCTCTTCACTCTGTTGATTGTTTCCTTTGCTGTACAGAAGCTTTTTAGTTTGATCTAATTCCATTTGTCTATTTTTTGCTTTTGTTGCCTGTGCATTTGAGGTCTCCATTAAATCTTTGCCCAGACCAATCCAATGTCCTGAAGTGTTTCCTCTATGTTTTCTTCTAGTAGTTTTAGTTTTTGCTTTTCTTTCTTTTTCTTTTTCTTTTTCTTTTTTTTTTTTTTTTTTTGGCATAGCTAGCTGAGGTTTTCTTTTGGAAAAAAAAATCGAATTGGCTTGTAGCTGGAGGCATGGCCAAGTGGGACACCCCAGGCAGTAAACTCCCCCTGCGGGTGGGCTTCAACCTCCCCCACAGGCTCTGGGGCAGCCGCAGGAGGGATAGGCTGGGCGGGGCTGCCATGGCCGTTCACCTGGGCAGGACGTCTGAGGACTAGGACACCAGCTTCCCATCGCGGGTCTCCATCTTCTTCACAACCATGGAGCTGGTGCGGCTGAAGGAGCTGGAGCCTCCAGCCAGAGCCAAAGCTGGAGCCCAGGCCGTAAGCTGAGGCTGGGGCTTGTGACGCCCCCGTAGCCCGAGCTCAGCACATCAGCATAGCCACTGGTAGTCTTCGTTTGGATACTCATGTTCTGCATCCCAGACGCCAGCCGGCTCTCCTCGCCCTCCAGCAGCTTCCTGTAGGTGGGATTTCCATGTCCAGGACCAGCCTGACGTTCATCAGCTCCTGGTACTCAGGCAGCTGCCGCACCATGTCCTGCTTGGCCTGCCGCAGGGCGGCCTCCAGCTCGGACAACTTGGCATTGGCGTCCTTAACAGCCAGCTCCCCGCGCTGCTCGGCATCTACCATGGCGGCCTCCAGGGAAGCCCTCTGGTCTTTGAGGCCCTCAATCTCAGCCTGGAGCCGGCTGATGTTCCAGTTCATCTCCGAGATCTCAGTCTTTGTGCACTGCAAGTCATCGCCGTGCTTCCCAGCCAGCGTCTGCAGCTCCTCATGCTTGCTCTGGTGCATGCTCTCAGCCTCAGCCCGGCTGCGGTTGGCGATCTCCTCATACTGTGCCTTGACCTCAGTGATGATGCTATCCGTGTCCAGGCAGCGGCTGTTGTCCATGGACAGCACCACAGGCGTGTGGGAAATCTGGGACGGCAGCTCCTGGATCTCCTCTTCATACAGTTGCCTGAGGAAGTTGATCTCATCAGTCAGCGCTTCCAGGCCAGACTCCAGCTGTACCTTGTTTATGTAAGCTTCATCCACATCCTTCTTGAGGAGGACAAATTCATTCTCCATCTCTGCACGCTCATTGATCTCATCATCCTACTTGTTCTTGAAGTCCTCAACCAGCCCCTGCATGTTGCCAAGCCCTGCCTCCAGCTTCAGCTTGTCCTGGCCCAGAGTCTCCAGCTGCTGCCAAAGGTTGTTGATGTAGCTCTCGAACTGGTGGTCCACGTTGCTCCGAGCCTTCTTCTGCTGCTGCACGAGGCTCCACTTGGTCTCCAGCATCTTGTTCTGCTGCTCCAGGAACTGTACCTTGTCGATGAAGGAGGCAAACTTGTTGTTGAGGCTCTTGATGTGCTCCTTCTCCTGGGTGTGCATGGCCTGGATGTTGGGGTCCACCTCCAGGTTAAGGGGGCTCAGCAGGCTCTGGATGATCATGACAGCTGTGATGCCTCCGATACTGCTGGCCCTGCCATAGCCTCCACCCAGGCCACCCTGGAAGCTGCTGCTGCCCACTCAGGAGAAGCTCAAGGAGCTGATGTGGGCACCAGGCCCACTCATGTAGGAGCGGCTGCTGAAGGCCTGGGGGCCAGAGGTGGACACCTTATAGGACTTCTAGGTCACCCTGATGGACATGGTGGAGGCAGGAGTGGAGGCAGATGGGCTGAACCAGGTGGACATTCAAGAAGGAGCAGAGAAGCTGCTTCTAGGTCCCTTCTAGTAGTTTTCTAGTTTGGGGTCTTACATTTAAGTTTTTCATTAATTTGGATTTAATTTTTTTAATGATGAGAGATAAGGATCTAGTTTCATTTTTCTGCATATAGATATCCAGTTTTCCCCATACCCATTTATTAAAGAGACTGTCCTTTCCCCCAAAGGACATTATTGGCAGCTTTGTTGAAAATCAGTAGACTGTAAATACATGGATTTATTTCTGGGTTGTCTATTCTGTTCCATTGATCTATGTGTCTGTTTTTATGCCAGTACCATGCTGTTTTGGTTACTATAGATTTTTTTAGTAAATTTTGAAGTCAGGTAAAGCTAGAGGTGTGATGACTCCAGCTTTATCCTTTTTGCTTAAGATTTATTTGGCTGGCCACGTGCGGTGGCTCACACCTGTAACCCCAGCACTTTGGGAGGCCGAGGTGGGCAGATCATGAGGTCAGGAGATCAAGACCATCCTGGCTATCACGGTGAAACCCAGTCTCTACTAAAAATCCAAAAATTTAGCTGGGCGTGGTGGCGGGTGCCTGTAGTCCCAGCTACTTGGGAGGCTGAGGCAGGAGAATGGCGTGAACATGGGAGACGGAGCTTGCAGAGAGCTGAGATTATGCCACTGCACTCCAGCCTGGGCGACAGAGCAAGACTCTGTCTCAAAAAAAAAAAAAAAAAAAGATTTATTTGGCTATTTATTCTTTGTTAGCCTGCTTTTTTTGTAGTTGTTATAGATAGGGTCTCTGTAGCCTCCACCCCCGCCCCCACTGCCTCCCCAACCCCCTGCCCTGGGCTTAAGTGATCTGCCCACCTCAACTTCCCAAGTAGCTGGGTCTACAGACACGTCACCCACACCTAGCTAATTTTTGTATTTTTTGTAGAGACTGGGTCTTCCATGTTGCCCAGGCTGATCTTGAACTCCTGGGCTCAAGCAATAAGCCTGTCTCAGCCCCCTAAATTGCTGGGATTACAGGTGTCAGTCATCACACCCAGCCTAACCTGCTATTTTTATTTGGTATTATGTAATAAACATTTGCCCTATAATATTATAAAACTCTTGGTAAACATTTTCAATGTCTGTGATGTATTTTCTGTAAAGCAATGCCATAGTTTTTAGGTTTTTGGTTTTTTTTTTTTTTTTGGCGGGGGGAGGGGGGGTGGGTCTCATTCTATTGCCCAGGCTGGAATGCAGTAGTGTGATCATGGCTCTCTGCAGCCTTGACCTTCTGGGCTCAAGTGATCCTCCCACCTCAACCTCCCAAGTAGCTGGAATCACAGGTATGCAACATCACATCCAGCTAATTTTTTGATTTTTTTTTTTTTTGAGACAAGGTCTTGCTACCTTGGCCAGGCTGGTCTCAAACTCCTGGGCTCAAGTGATCTGCCCACATCAGCCTCTCAAAGTGCTGGGATTACAGGTGTAAGAAGTAGGCTTGGACATTTAGTTTCGTTTTCAGGTTTTTTCTTTGACAAATAATACTGTTACAAATATCTTTGTACAGAATTATTTCCCATGATTCTTATTTCCTTGGGGTAGATTTTTAGTCATGGAAATTCTGGACACAGTGTGTGAACATTTTAAAATCTCTCAATAATCCCTTGATACTTATGGCCTGAGTGACTTTCTGAGATGGCTTTCTGGTGTGTCCAGTCGCAGTTATGGCCTCGTCCTTGCAGCTGTGTGGAGATATGGGAGTTACAGAAGAAGAGAAGGTGGGCATGGAGTGTTTTGAATCACACGGCTCTGGGGTTCTTACTAATCACAGGGCTGTGGCCACATGGCCTCATCCTCCTGAGATTCATTTCCTCGTCCGTGTGATGGAAGTGATAATACTACCCTCAAGCAGTTTTGTGAGGACCAAGGCCCGTGAATGTGCAGCACACAGCTCAGGGTCTGGCACACAGAAGAGCACAGCAATTGTTTATCGCGATAGCATGGCATCTCCTTGGTTGGGACTGGTGTAAACGTTTGGCCTCTGGAAGCTGAAGCTGCAGAGTGAGACCCACCAACCCAGGCATGTGTGTCCCTACATTGACCCAGCCAGGGCCCCCAGGATCCCTTCAGACAGATGGGCAGAAAGCAAAAACCAACACCAAGGTCCGAGACCAGAGAAGGTGAGCAAAGGGCTCTGAGGGCAAAACAGAGTGGGGAAGCGATCGTCAGGCTGCCTGGGAGAGGAAAAAAAGGGGACTGGGAAGGAGCGGGAGGGAGAGAGCTTGGTCGGGGAGAGGAGGAGTGGACAGGAAAGGTCGAGACCAGAAGATGAGGTCCAAAGGGAAGGGTTGGTTCAGTACCAGGACATAAGGTGAATCCAGCTACTATGTGGCCAGAGGAATGGGCAGGAATGGGTCCCAGGAAGTTCTGACAGCCAATGCCTAGTTCTATGACTAGCTCACTGTGTGACCCTGAACAAGAACCTCACCCTTACTGCGCTCCGGTTTACCCATTTGCAGAAGTTCCTGGGTGTCCTTCGAACTTGGACAACCTCTGGCCTGGCAGTGTCCTGAAGAAATTGACAACCCTCCATCTGGACCTCCGCATAAGTTTAAAAACCTAGCAACATAGCTCCTCTGCAGGAGACAGGAGACAAGTGCTGGTGTAACCGAGTCTCTTGGAACAATGGGAAGCCTTTCGGGAGGATTATTGGAAGAAAATCCAGAGGGAGGGGGCTTGCTTAAAGAGAGTGACCACAGCCAGAGCAGAGCAGAGTGGTGGGGGAGGAGTGGGGGGGGGAGGGGTGGGGGGAGGGAGGCAGGGGGTGTGGACAGAGGGAGCGTGGGTGAGAGGAGTGCCAAGGTGGGAGGTGCCCAGTGGGGAGTCCCAAGGCAGGGCAAGGATTGTCTTGGGCTCCCTGCCATTCACCCCATCCCTTAATGAAGATTAGAAAATGTCGCCTGCTTTGGCTGATGAAGTCTCATGTTTATATTGCTTGGCTAGAAGAATAAGGTCTTGTTTTCAGACCTCACTCATTCCCTTGGCTGGATACGCTTGTGTTTCAGGTTGGGTTCTGCAGAAGCAGAAACACTGAGACAGAATTTGAGGTACGTGATGTTTATTAGTGGTCAACAGCTAGGAAAGGAGCGGGGAAGCAGGCTTGGGCAGAGGGAAGCTGACCTGTGCTGCAGCTCAGCAAAGTCTCAGCTAAACCAGCAGTGTTCATCAAAGTTGTCCAGCATCAGATCTAAGTGGATGGGCCTCTATACTCCTGCCACCATCAGTCACCAGATGTAGGCTACCCCAGCAACGGCATAACCTGAGATGAGGTGGCCCTCAGCAGTGGAGGCAGGCTCTGCAGGAACTGAAAGCTGAGACTGTCTGATGACCTCTCTCCCTGCAGCTGAGCAGCAGGTCCTTCCTTGAAGGGGGAATCTGGGCTGCACATCTCCATGTCTATCACACTTTAAGCAGTGAACCACCCTCTCAACTGTACATGGCAGAGAGACAAACTTTAGAGAATACAAACCTATGCTTTGGACAGATGCTTTAATAAATGTGGATAGGGAAAATAAGTCATTGTGTTTGTACTAAAGGAGTCCCAATTAGGAGAGTCAGATTCTCTGAGTCCATTGCTTCCTGATTTTCTGGCCTGGCAGTTTTGAAATATCTGGCTTGTCATATTTCACCACTTCCCTCCCCTCCTGCTGTGCTAGCTCCTGGGCCTGGTAATATGCTTCTGCTGGATGAAGGTGCCACGTTGTTCTGTTTAAAGCAAAGAGCATTGTTTCCCTTCTTTTCCTATTTCTGTGGGATTTGGCCATGAGGCCTTGAAGTCAGGAGTAAGGAGGTAGCCCGAAAGACATGGGACCTGAGTCCTCAAGAGGAGGATGCATCTGGCTTCAAGGCCTTTAGTGCCCTGCTAGTTCCCTTAGCTTGAAGTCCAAACCCTCAGCCTGGCATGAAGTGCCTGATGAGCTGGGCTGCTTCCTCCCAGCCTGGCACAGAGTGGGGGCTCAGTGAGTAAGAATGAGGAAAAATACCAGGCACAGTTGCTCACACCTGTAATCCCAGGACTTTGGGAGGCCAAGGTAGGTGGGTCACCTGAGGTCGGGAGTTCTAGACCAGCCTGACCAATATGGAGAAACCCCGTCTCTACTAAAAATATAAAATTAGCCGGGGGTGGTGTCGCATGCCTGTAGTCCCAACTACTCGGGAGGCTGAGGCAGGAGAATCTCTTGAACCCAGGAGGCGGAGGTTGTGGTGAGCCGAGATCGTGCCATTGCACTCCAGCCTGGGCAACAAGAATGAAACTCTGTCTCAAAAAAAAAAAAAAAAAAAAAGGAAAAATGCTTATTTCTGTTAATAGTGATAATAATAAAAGGACGCATGTTTCTCTAGGCTCCACCAAACCATAGGTACTCATAGGGGCTCAGTACCAGCGATAAGCTAAAGTTGCTGGGTTCATCTGCTCATACAAAACCTCAAGTGTCGGCTAGGCGCGGTGGCTCACACCTGTAATCCCAGCACTTTGGGAGGCTGAGGCAGGTGGATCACTTGAGGTCAGGAGTTCAGGGCCAGCCTGGCCAACATGGTTAAACACCGTCTCTACCCAAAATACAAAAATTAGCTGGGTGTGGTGGCAGGTGCCTGTAGTCCCAGCTACTCAGGAGGCTGAGGCAGGACAATCACTTGATCCCGGGATGCAGAGGTTGCAGTGAGCTGAGATCGCACCACTGCATTCCAGCCTGGGCGACAGAGCAAGATTCCATCTCAAACAAACCAAAAAAAATCCTCAACTGTCTCCTCAAGGTCTACTCCAAACAATTTCTAGGAGATAAGAGGTAAAGAATAATGAGTTAAGAGCCAGAGCTCTGGACTCACCACTGAAACGAACCAGGGATCCTTGGAGAAAGGTTGATTTGAGAGCAAGGGGCAGGTAACTTACAAGATAAGCCTGAAAACTTGGGCCAGAAAGTAAAGAAGTGCTCAATAAATGATGGGGCCATAACAGAAGGGAACAGAAGCCACCCTAAGGGGCTCGCAATGGCCACATCTGGGATAATTTGAGCATCATAATAAATAATAATAGTAACAGATTATAACTCATTGGATGAAATAGAACTTACCAATCCCACACTAATATAATTAAATGGATAAATAATTGGGAGAAGGGAAAATTCTTCCTTACGGTATAATAAATGTAGATGGAATGATGAAGTTGGAGAATCACCAACGGATGCTAAAACTAGTGGGCAAAGATGCAAAGAGAAACATGATCTACATATTTACATAGTCTCAAAGGATTTCCCCACAAGATACTTACAAATGACTAAGGGAAAAACAGTAACTTTAAGGTGGAGAAAACTGGTGGACACTACTTTAATCGAGTGATCAGAGTTAACAACACCAATAGTGGGACAAATTGACATCACGTGCCTCCTGTTATGATGCACTGAGATAGACGCAGCATCACATATGTGGTATCTTTTGCCAAAAACACATCATCTGAGTCTAATCATGAGGAAAGCACTTGACACAAACCCAAATTGAGACGCTTTCTATGAAACAACTGGCCTGCAATCTTCCAAAGTGTCAAGGTCATGAAAGTCAAGGATAGACTGGGGAACTGTCACAGAATTAAGGAGACCAAGAGAAAAAAACACAAAATTTTAAAGGACATTACAATTAATGAAATTAAATTTGAATATGGAGTGCAAATTAGACAATAGCCTTATATTGATGTTAAATTTCTTCTTCTTTTTCTTCTTTTTTTTTTTTTTGAGTGAGGGTCTCACTCTGTCACCCAGGCTGGAGTGCAGTGGCATGATCAAGGCTCATTGCAGTTTCCACCTCCCCAATTCAAGCAATCCTCCCACCTCAGCCTCCCAAGTAGCTGGGACTTCAGACACATGCCACCATGCCTGGCTAATTTCTTGTAGAGATAGGAGTTTGCCATGTTGCCCAGGCTGGTCTCGAACTCCTGAGCTCAAGCAATCTGCCCGCCTCACCTCCCAAAGTGTTGGGATTACAGGTGTGAGCCACCGTGCCTGGCCAATGATAAATTTCTTAATTTAAAAAACTGTACTGTGGTTATATAAGAGAATTTCCTCATTTTTAGGAAATATACACTTGAATAATTTAAGGGTGAAGGGATACCATGTCTGCAACTTACCCAACTAATAGAAAAAAATCAGTATGCATACATAAAAATAGAGAATAATAAAGCAGTTGAAGTAAAATTTAAACAGTCTGATGAATCTGGGTAAAACAGACAGGAGTTTTTTGTACTCTTTTCTCTGAATTTAAAATTATACCAAAATAAAAATTTACAAAAAAAAAAAAGAAGCATGAGAAAGCCTGCCTCTTCTAGATGACCTGAGGAGGTACTACTAGGGCGGGGCTTGGGAGGCAGCTAGAGAGCGAGTGCCTGCACCCTGAGGATGTGGGCTTTCATGGGGCTGGGAAGTCTCTTTGCTACTCTGGCTTCCAGCCGCTCCTCAGCTTGGTTCTACAATTTGAAGTCCTGGGAATGAGGCTTTTCCAGCTGAGCAGACAGGGCTGTCAGCAGCAACACTGTCAGGTCTACTGTGAGTCTACTGTTGAGAGTCTCAGACTCACAGAGTCAGAGACTCACCCTGGTTGTGAGTCTACTGTGGGTGAACCTGGACTAGGTGCCTTTTCATGTTATCAAACACTGATGTAGGCATGTATCTATCTATCTTTCTTTCTTTCTTTCCTTCCTTCCTTCTTTCTTTTTTTTTTTTTTTTTTTTTGAGATAAGGTCTCACTCTGTCACCCAGGCTAGAGTACAGTGGTGCAATTATACACATCTCACTGCAGCCACAACCTCCTAGGCCCAAGTGATCTTGTCACCTCTGCTTCACAGGTAGCTGGGACTACAGGCACATGCCATCATGCCCAGCTAATTTTTTTTGTAGAGACAGGATCTTGCTTTGTCGCCCAGGCTGGTCTTGAACTCCTGAGCTCAACCGATCCGCCCACCTCAGCCTCCCAAAGTGCTGGGATTACAAGCGTGAGCCCTTGCGGCTGGCCAGAATCTTGTTTAAGCTTTAAACAAGTAACCTGCTTAAATATGTAGGCTCATCATTTCTGTTTTCCAGGTGAGGTAACTGAGTCTCAGTGAGGTGAGGCTGGACCTCTTCCAACTCTGACTCCAGGGATCATCTACCCCCGCCCCCCCCACCCCAAGTTCCACTCCTTGCACAGGCTGGGGCTTCCCTACTCCGAGCCTCAGCACATGCTGCTCCCTTTGCCTGCACACGGGCCCACCACATGTCTCTGCCTATTGATTTTCCGGCCCAGCCAAGACTGAAGTTGGGGTCTCCTGCCTCTGAATCCTAGGTTTTCAGGGAAAATTAAACACCAGCTGGGCTGAAATCAAGCTTTGCTTTACTGTGAACAAGTCATTTTCCACCTGAATTAAAACCAACCCAAGGGGGGAGAGGATGCTAGAAACACATTTTTGAAGCTGTTTTGAGAGACAGCTGCCATAATGGAAACAAAACAAAACAGGCTAGAAAAGGGGTTGGGGGGTGGGAGATGGTTATGCCTTTCCTTCCCTGTCAGTGAGATCATTCTACTGGTCCCCCTCTGGGCCCTGCTACCCCACTTATTGGGCCTCAGTTTCCCATTTGTAAAATGAGAAAGTAAGGCAATAGCAGGAGTTCTCCTCCAAGGTGTATGACTGACTCACTTACGAAACCTAAAATCTATACTCCCTGGCCCCACCCAGTCAGTAGGCCAAGGTTGGGACTTGGCCTTTTGCTTTTTTTTTTTTTTTTTTTTTTAACAAAGTCCCACTTCTGGTAGGCACACTTTGTGCTGTTTGAGCACCTCCAGATAGTCCCTGCAGGCTCTTCCATCACTGCAGTCCTCCGTCCTCTGACCAGTGATCGGGTGGCAGTGGATTCCTGGGACTCACTGAGGCCCCTTCCCCATGCCCACCAGTTCCTGGGCCACCTCCCGAAGGGCCACTTTGCACCTCTTTGCTGTCTTTCAAGAATCCTGACCGGCACTCGGCTTCTGACGACTGATAATGCTTGGAAACTCAGAGTCACACTCTTGTGGCTGCAAATTAGTAAACCTGAAAGCTCCTCGTCAACTCAGGCGAGCTGTGTGAGTGGGAAGAGGCCTTAGTTTTTGCAACTGCTGTCCCTGGGGGCAAACTGAAAAACAAACTGTATCACATCCTGAAGGCCAAAGGCCACACCCTCAGCCCCAGTGGAGGACTCTGGGGCAAGGATATTTCCTGGAGTCAGAGGAGAGGAGCCTCCATCTGAGCGCCACACCCCCACCCCGCATGGGCTCTGCACTTCCTCCTCAGTGGGGACTTGCTTTTCCCTTCTTCCTCATCCTGTTTCTGCCCCAGGCCCTGGCCCCTCACTGCCAGCCCCACACTCTGGGGAGGAAAGACCCTTTTTAGCGATGGGACTCCGAAAAGTTAACTGACCTGTCTAAGCCTCAGGTTCCTTATCTGTTGAATGTGGCCGTAATGCCTCACACTGTTGTTGGGAAGATTAAGTGATACATAAGGCATGGGAAGTGCTTACAGCAGAGCCTGATGCAGCACAGCCCTAGTAGACTATTAGCGTTATTCTGGAACTCCCTTCCTGCCTCACGGGTGAGCTCTTTCCCATTAATCAAGACCCAGCTCCCCTCCTTTGGGAGGACTTCCCAGGCCAGGCTCCTCAACAGCCTTTCTCTGTTGTCTGCGCACAGCACATTTTCCCTTCCTAGGCTGCCTCCCTCACCAGACTGGCAGGGGCTGAGCTTGTTCATTTGCATGTTCCCAGACAGGAAGGCTCAGTCAGTGCTGGTGGGTGTGCTGCAGTGGAGCTTGTTCCAATCTGGGACAGGGTAAGTGGGGTGGACAGTGGTTGCCCCAGTACAGTAGGCATGTGCCTCTGGCCACCTGGAGGGACCCTACAGGTATTTCCCCCAGCAATAGTGAACCATCATGGCCAGGTGCTGGAACATCCCACTTCAGCCATGGGATGGGTGCACAACCCTACAGCCATGGGCAGCGTCATGACAGTGCATCCACCGAGGTCTAAATGGCCGACTCATGAATGCCCTTCTGGCCATAAGCTGATGGCAGGTTGAGAATTACTCCTGCAGGACAGATGCTCCCCTGCAGAAGGGAGAAGCGTGCGTCACTTGCCCTACCCCTTGGACCAGTGGCAATGCCATCTCCAAATGAAATTCATGGCAAGGGCCTCCTGGCTCTTCGAATGTCACCAAAGAGCTTTCAGACCCTCCTTCTCTCCCTCTTCTTTCCAGCCCCTGCCCCTCTTCAGAAGGCTGGAAGCTCTCGCTTTAGATTCTTCCTGGATAACAAATTAGAATCTTAGGACCCTCAGAGTGCAGTCCCGCCCTCCAGCTTGGTGTCAGCCTCACCTCTGAGAGCTATTCCCCCAACAACGTCTTCTCTTCCAGCCCCTGAGAACTTGGCTGAACTTCCTTCAAAATGGTGTTTATTCGGCCAGGTGCAGTGGCTCACACCTATAATCCCAGCAGTTTGGGAGGCCAAGGCAGGCAGATCACCTGAGGTCAGGAGTTTGAGACCAGCCTGGCCAACACTGTGAAACCCTGTCTCTACTAAAAATATAAAAATTAGCCAAGCATGATGGTGCATGCCTGTAATCCCAGCTACTTGGGAGGCTGAGGCTGGGAGAACTGCTTGAACCTGGGAGGCAGAGTCTGCAGTGAGCCAAGACTGTGTCACTGCACTCCAGCCTGGGCGACAGAGCGAGACACTGTCCCAAAAAAAAAAAAAAAAAAAAAGGAAAAAAGAAAAAAGATGTTTATTTGCTTTCCATCTTGCCTGCATTTTGTCCATTTGTCCATCCATTTATTGGTCAGGAAAGGCTTTCCTGAAGAGGTGACATTTGATAAGAGGGCCAAGGGATAAGGAGTAGTTAGCTGGGCCAAGGCAGGGTCTAGGATGGAACGGGAAGAAGCTTCCAGGCAGAGGGGTGATCATGTGTGAAGGACCCGGGAAAGAAGAGAATGAGGCAGAATGGAGGAATTGAAAGATGGTCCAGGAAGCAGTATCAGAAATTGAGAGAGGCATAATGGGAGTTGAAGTTTTGAAGAGTAGGCTGGGACCAAATTATGCAGGGTCTGTAGGCCATGTAAGGGCAATGGCCATTGTCCTGAGAGTAATGGAAAATCATGGCAAGGTGACAGTGGGACGTTGATATGACCAAATGTGGATCTGAAAATGTCACTCTGCTGTGTAGAGAGCAGACAGGAGTGAGCAGGGTTGGTTTCATAGATGTACAACTCGTGTAAGCAAATTGTACTTGGGGTCTAATGCTCTGAGATTGCTGTCTTGGAATTCTTAATCACATTATTTTTGAATTTGCTTTTCTTAAGTACAGTCTGGTGGGACAATGAAGCATACATCAAGGACTTGGAGCCTTGGCTCCTGTGGTCCTGCTTCCAACTGCCTCCCCTGGACTTGTTCTCAGTCTTCTCCACTTCTGCCTAGCAACCACTGCCACACTCTGCCCCCAGCAGAGACCTGAGTGCAGGCATGGGGACAGTCCGGGTCAAGGGCACACCTGGTAGCATCTGAGGATTGGCCATGGCAATGTGGCCCCTGCCCCAGGCTGGCAACACCATGGCAAATTCAACAGGCGACTCAGGGGGCTGAGCCTCTCACTCACTTCTGACCCTGGTTCCTAGTGCATCCTGGCCTGGATTTTGCAACACCCCTGGGGACTGCCTGTCCGCTGTGGGTTGGTGAGGCAGGTCCATGGGAAATGGCAATGCCTGGCTTGACTTCCCCAACCTCCGCTGGGGAACGCAGAATGCAGATCAGCGTGGTGGCTGACAGGAGGAGAAGTCCAGCAACTGGTGAATTTCACACAGAACTGAGTCAAGTCAGAGGGTGGGGCGGGGCAAGTTGTCCCACAGATATTCCCATGCCCAAGGGAGTGTAACGTTAAATAACAAATCAAAAACACCATTCCAGGTTGAGAGAGAGACTGCAGTAAAGAAACAAGTTTTATAGATTAGTACCTTTAACGGCAATTTTGTCCCTGCTTTTTGAGTAAGAGGTCTCACATTTTTATTTTGCACTGGACTCGCAAATTATGTAGCTGTCCAGGCAGTGAGCAATCAGTGAGATCAAGCTTGTGAAAGTGATGGAGGTCCTGTAAATATTGATCCTCCTTCTGTGGCAGCTGTTGTTACTGGTTTTGTTGTTTCTGTGGCTCAGAGGGATGGATGAAGTGTCTTCAGGAGCGGAGTCCTGCCAGTCAGTGGTGGGGGCTGTGACAATAAATGTTATAAAAACTGATTTTGCATTTTATTCTCAATCCTTGTAGCTACTGCTTCTTGAATTCTTCAAGCAGATGTGTTCAGATACCAGGCAAAACAGGCAGGGGCTCTGCCTGGGAGGGGTATGCCCCCACAGCCTGGCCTGAGGCACAACTGCACAGACCTCAAGGCAAATTGTTTTGAAGCAGCTGGAACAGTCACTAAAAAGCGGTGATTTTCAGGGATGGATTCCTCTCCCCAAGGGCCTGGGCCTGGGTGTGGGTGGGGCTGGTGTGAATAGGGGCCCCCTAAGACAGTACTCTTTTCTGAGGGGCACTCAGACATCTCAGTCTTGCTCCTCCATCTCCCTGACATCCCACCAATCCACTCAAGCCCCATCGCACCTGCCCCAACCAGACCTCATTCCTGTAAAAGTCATCACAATATCTTCTTCTGGTCTCACCCGCTCTGAGCCACTCCTTATGGAGAAAGAACTCCCTAGAACCTGTCTGTCAGTCTCTAGGCCCCTCAGAGCAAAAACCAAGTCTGCCTCCCCTTGAGGCCCCGGTCCCAGCAGGACCCTGCAGGAGTTGGTGCTCAGCAGTGCTTGTGTGCCTGGGCTGAGGAGAAGGTTGTGGTGGTCACGTGGTTGGCTTTCGGCATCCCCGGCTGCCCATTCGCAAGGCCAACCATGGGGAAGTATGAGCACGTGACCCACCTAGGGCCAAGGAGACACAAGGGAAGGTCTCCTGGGGAGCTGGGCAGAAGGGAGGGTGCAGGGGCTTTGGAGAAAATGAGACACAAGGGCAGGTGTCCTTTTCTTTCTCTGCTTGTGGCTGTGTCTGGAGTTGTAGATGAGCTGCTGCAGCTCCTTGGCCTCCAGCCCAAGGAGGAAGATCGTAAATGCAAGAGAAACTCAGAGAGACTGAGCTGAAGCCCTCATGTACCACAGCTGGAGGCTGCCCTGCCTCCAGCCCCGTTGTGTAGATGACAGCACACGTCCTCTGTGTCAGACCCTCTGGTTTATGTTCTTTGCAGCCAAAAGCATCCTCAACTGATGCGAATAACACAGTGATGCAGAATAGCATGTGCTAAAGGCTGGCCTCTCATTCCTATGGCACCATCAGCCCCGGTGGCTTCCCTAGATTGTTTTTCCTTTTATTGACTTGGGTGAGAGGGTCTCGAGGTAGAACTGGAGAAAGGAACAATGAAACGCTTTTTGAATAGAGGGCTGTTAGTAAAAGACAACTGTGGAAGTTAAGAGCGTGTGCTTTGGCTTCGGACAGATCTAGGACCAAAGCCCAGCCTTCTGCTTATTGCCTGCTACTTGGGTGCGTTACTTACACTCTTTAATCACTAGTTTGCCCCTCTGTAAAGTGGGGATAATGACAGTGTAACTGAGGTGGTCCGTGTGAAAAGCAGAATGATGTACCCGGTGCTGGGTAAGTACTCCAAAGCCGAATTGGCTGTCTGGTCGCCCAGCCTGGGGACCTGCAACAGGTAAGGGTGGAAGGGAGGGGAGGAGGAAGGCCTCTCTAGTAGAGAATTGCAGAGTCTCTCCAGAGGTTCCTCACATTACTTCCTTCCCCAGTTGCTCCAGCCCGTCACCAGCATGGCCCTCCATCCGGGGCTGCCCTGGCTGGACAGGTACAGTTGGGAAAGGAAGGCCTCATGTGTGGGAGCCTTGAGGTTGGCTTTGAGGGTGGGAGGATTTGCCCAGGTAAGGAAGATCAAGGAAGGCTTGCCAGAAGGGAGGCTGGGAACAGAGCAGGTGGGAGTGGGAAAGGTGCCTCCAGGGAGAGGGAAGAGGCCTGGCTGGAGCAGAAGTCTCTGGGAGGTGATGGGAAGGACACCTAGAGAGGCAGGGCAGGGAGCCCAGCTGTAAAAATTTCTGCCAATAAGCAGGCAGGAGCCTTCTGTTAACAGAGGGTCTCTAGTCTGCTCCAGACCTAGAGGCATCATCCCATCTGATGGATGGAGAAACTGAGCTCAGGGAGGCTGAGCCAGTGCTATCAGAGGTGGTGGTGCCATTGGGAGGTGAGGTGCAGCCTGGCTCACTCTATGGCCTACAAAGTTCAAGGGGATTTTTACACTATTAATTGTCTTCAGCTGCAAGTAACAAAAAACCTGACTGGGGCGCCTTACAGATTAAAGATTAGCTCAAATCCAAGGTTTCTGGAGGTGAGGGCCTTCTGGGGGCAGTCCCATTGCTCTGCAATCCTCCCCAAAGTGTTTCCTCTTGGGTGGCTATTTCAGAGCCTGGGTGTGCCCCCTCTCTCTAAACCCTGGGCATGCATAATGGGCACTTGGGAGCTCAACTATTTCATCTGCAGCAGCTCTCATCTTATCACCCCGTCAGCTGTAAGGCAGACATCAGTGAGGGTGGTGATTTGCGGACAATCCCTGACTCACCCCATTTTGCCAGCCTGCCCTGGGCTCAGGACTTCCTGCTGCATCTTCTGCTGAGCCGGCAGGGCGTGGCGTCTCAGGGCTGGGGCTGGGGCTCTAGTCCAGGGCTCTTCCTAAGGTGGTACCACACAGTGCCCCCAGCACCTGCCCACCAAACTGGAAATTCCAGAAATATTCTCGACACCGTCTACTTTCCAAAGACTGGGTGTGGCAGATGAGGAAGCTGAGGCTCAGCGAGTTGGGGGGTCTATTAAGGTCCCTCAGCCCCTGAAAGGTGGGGTCAAAATTAAACAAAAACTGGGCCTCAGACTGGGTTTCCAAACACCCCACTCTGTGCCTTGATAATCCTGTTTCTCTCTCCATCCATTCCCATTCACTGAGCCGGAAGCCTCCATCTTCAGAAGGGGGTTCTCTGCCCCAAACAGCGTCTAATCTGGAGACTTGCGGTGGTGGCGGTGGTGGTGGTGGGGGCAGTGCCGGGGCCTCAGGCTGTTCTCCCTCATCTTGCTGCCTGCTCACCTTGCCTCTGTGTGCTCACAGCCCCCCAGAGCACAGCTGTGTCTGCTCCCAGACTATGGGCTCCTTGAGGGCAGGACCTGGTTTGGGTCCCAGAGCAGCCAGGGTTTGATGAATGACAGATGCCCTAGACCTGGGTAAGCCCCTCCAGAATGACTTGCTAGTGCGGGGTGGGGAGTCTGGCATCTCTGGGCCCAGCCTGGAAGGGTGCTGGACTGGCTGGCGGGTGACACACCTGGGGTTCCTGGGCCCCTCCTGGCCACACTGTCAGTGGGCCTCAAGCTCCCTTAGCATATGGCCTCTGGAATAAAGTGAGCCCGCACCTCGGGAGGGGGCAAGCAGAGGCAGGAGCAGGATGGCAGGTGGCAGGCGGGGCTGCACAGGGGAGCACAGCAACTCCACTTCCTGTGGGCGAGGGCCCTGTGCCTGCCCCGGGGGAGGTTGCACAAACCTTCCTGCGCAGGCCTCGGGCTGCCTGCCTGCCTGCCTGCCTGGCCCGGCCCGAGCTCCAGCCTGCCTCTTCCACTGGCCACTGCCTCCCACCCAGGGCTGGCATCCCTGCTCCCTGCCCTGGGTCCCAGACTGTGTCCTCCATCACCGCAGGGTCGGTGAGGGGCTGGGCTGGACACCAGGGCCCGCCCTCCCATCACTGAGCTCCACTCCTTCCTCATTTTGCTGCTGATTCTAGCCCCAAACAAAACAGGTTGAGCTTTTTCCTCCCCTCAGAAGCTCCTCTCTGGCTCGTGGCTGCCTTCTGAGTGTTGCAGACGGCGCCGGCCGGGAAGGGGGGCCTGGGCCAGCCCTGCCAGGACTGGGACGCTGCTGCTGGCGCCTGGCCCTCCATCAGGCCAGCCTGTGGCAGGAGAGTGAGCTTTGCCGCGGCAGACGCCTGAGGATGATGCCCCAGCTGCAGTTCAAAGATGCCTTTTGGGTGAGTGAGGATGGTTGGGGGCACTGAACAAGTGGAGGGGGCAGAGCTAGGCTGAAATCTCCATGCAGGTGATGGGATGCGGCTCCGAGAGGGGAGCTTTCTCATAAAATAGTGGTTGATTCTTGGTCTTAATTGTCATGGAGGTGGCCCAGGCCCCCACCCCTTCTGGACTGGAACGCAAGTGGACTCCGTGAATGAGCGTCCTCCTCTCTGCTGCCCCGTGTGTTTTCTCCTCTGGGAGACCTCTCCCCACAGCAGGAGCTCCTCAGAAGAGGGTAACACATGGGTGGGGGCTTGAGGAGGATGTGTGGGGCAGCAAAGGAGGGGTCACAGATTTAGAGACCAGACAAACTTGAGTTCAGGTCTTGGCTCTGTTACAGGCTGGGCAAGTCATTTCTGTCTCCAAGCCTCAGTCTCTCCATCTATATAATGGTGATAAAATAGAAATCAACACACCAACTAAAGCATTGGATCAGCAAGGGGATCCAAGGCACTAAAGCCCCCAGCACCTTGCCTCACTCCAAATGGTAATTCTGTTCCCCTCACCCAGCCCCTTGTCCCTTGCAGACCTTAGGGGTCCTTCAAGGAGGCAGCCAGGTGGGCAATGGCTTGCTTACTTTCTTAAATTCAACACGGGCTTAAATCAAGTCATTTCCCCCATGAAATAAGGGCGCCCAGCCAGTGGTAGAGGTAAAGTGGCTTGGCCCGGGCCACGTAGCCTGCAGCCCAGCTTGGACCCCTGGTCATCTCAGCACTTTTCCAGCTGTCCTTCAACTACCCCTCTGCCCCTCAGCTCTGGCTGTGCCCAGGGCTCTGGGGAAAAACTGAGACCTCTCTGGTTGGAGCTGGGGAATGTGGCTGTCCCGGGGTGCTGCCTCCAACCCCGAAGAGGACGCTCTGGCCCTCGGCTCAGCCGGCTGAGCCCCAGCCAACAGCCCTGCCCTCCCCGGGCCTTTTCCTGGGGCTGCAGCCAGGAGGATGAGAGCTATGGAGCCAGGCCTTCCTTCCCTTCCGGCCGGCTCCACTTGGGGCCTGTGGCCAGCGTGTGAGTGTTCTGCTTCCTCTGCTCTGACTGTACAGTAGGCAAAGGACCCCACGTGGGGAGGGCACCTTGTGCCTTTCTGGGCCTCAGTTTCCCCATCTCTACAAAGACAGGGTGGGCCCAGCCCAGAGAAGCCAATGGAGGCAGAGCTGCCTCAGCCCATCCGGAGGACCAGGCACCAGGATGCTCAGGGCCCAGGCTGGCAGCTGGAGCCCTGGGGGATGGGGGATGTGAGTCACCACCTAGCTGCCCTGCCTTGGTGTGCAAAGTTGGGGGAAGGGGTAGGGCCTGGAAACCCAGGCCACTCTGTAGCCCAGGGCAGGCCAGGACCCCTTGACTATTTTATCACTGAGACCTCTGTCCAGTCCTAGAGCCCCTGGGCCTGCCTTCCCTAGGGCAGAGCTGGGCAAGGAGCAGCCTCCATGGCAGGATCTGGGCACAGGTAGGGGTGGCGTATAAGGGAGCAGGGTATGGCAGCCGCAGCAGAAGCAAGCAGCCAGCCCCTGTGGAGCTTCCTGAGCGGCATCCTGCCCACACTCTGTGCTCGTCGCACCTCTGGGCTTCCTGGCCTCCAAGTGCCTTGTCTCCTCTGTGTCTGGCTCCCTGAGCCTGGGGCGGGCATATAGTTTCCCTAGGGAAGGCCAGAGCAGGAAGGGGAGAGAAGTAGCCAGTGGGAACCTCTCACACTGAGTCTGGGCCGATGCCCCGAAAGGTCACTGTAGGCATCACCTGCCCCAGGGCTCTGGATTCTAATACCTCTTCCTGATGCTCAGCCCATCCCAGTGCATAACAACTAACATTTGCTGAGCACGAAAGATGTGCCAGGCGCTGTTCTCAAGATGTATGCATATTCACTCATTCAATCCTTCAAACACATGCTACTGTTATCTCTCTTATTCAGATGAGGAAATTGAGGCACGGAGATATTAAGAGACTTGCGCAAGGTCACACTGCTGGGATTAAACCCCTGGCAGGCTGGCTTTAGCACTTGTGTTGTTGCAGGATCCCTCTGTCTATCTGACATATCACTGGATCTTTTGGCTTCGGGGTAAGATAAGAGGTAACCCCTCTTATCTCCCAGAGGGGTAAGAAAATCAGACAAGGTGGCTAGAACAATATTCTGAAGCTTCATTTGTAGACAAATCTGTAAAACAGAAAAGGCACACTACTCTGGCCACAGGTGTTATATTAGGAACAGCCCAGCCAGCTTGGCCCATGTCTGGGCCTTCCCCCACCCCAGCCCAAGGCACTGTCATTAAACCCTTCAGCCTGCCAGCACACTGTTTAGAAATGACTGGTTTTTAGGCGGGGTGCAGTGGTTCACGCCTGTAATCCCAGCACTCTGGGAGGCCAAGGTGGATGGATCACTTGAGGTCAGGAGTTCAAGACCAGCCTGGCCAACATGGTGAAACCCTGTCTCTACTAAAAATACAAAAATTAGCCAGGCGTGATGGCATGCTCCTGTAATCCCAGCTACTTGGGAGGCTGAGGCAGGAGAACAGCTTGAACCCAAGAGGCAGAGGTTGCAGTGAGCTGAGATTGTGCCACTGTACTCTAGCCTGGGTGACAGAGCTGACAGAGTGGAGGGACCCTACTTTGGCTAAACTGGAAAGATCATGTTTGATATCACAGCCCCTCAGTTATTGGGCAACCTCACCCATACAGAACACGGGGCGGAGGAGGGGAGCCAGCCCTGCTGTTTCTGGCTTTAGCTCACAGTAAGGGAGGAAGCAAAAGTGGTTTCTCAGGAGCCAAAGATGATTTCCCTAAGAGCTTTCCTTAAAGCTCATATACTACACTCCTAGGAGATGTCCCCTAGCTTTTACTCAGGTCCTATGAACTCTAATTTCACCCACAATTTTAATGAGCTTGGTCATGGGGTCTTTTAGCCTATAGATGTAGCAATTAGTGGCAGTCTGCACAGTACCTGATATACAGTTGGCGATGGATAAATGCTGATGGACCTGGACTACGAAAGGACGTTTCACAGGCAGCTAGCAGCCTGATTGCAAGGAAGGAGACAGAAACAGTCTGAAAAGCAGCTGTAGTGGCACAGAAGTAGTGGGGACACTCAGCATGGGAGCAGACACAGTCCTGTCCCTCAGTCGGCCTGTTTTTGCAATTTTGTCAGTGTGGCCACACAGTATTTATTTATAGCCTGATTTTAGCTGCAGCCGAGTGTTCAGATGCACGCTGCTGTAGGAGTGAGGCAGGGCGGACCAGCCACAGAGGGAGGGAAGGGATAATGTGATTTCTGTGATACACACAGATGATAAAGAGCATCACACCTTGGCAGGAAGTTTGTAAATGAGCCTCAGAGTGGGACCTGTCAGTGAGACAAGGTTGAATCTGAGAATACCAGCTGTCTGAGCGGAGAGGGCACTGGCCTAGCACTGAGTCTAAGGCGCTGGGAAGCCCAGAGAAGGAAGGGTCCTCCCCCTGCCCCCAGTTTGTCGTGGCTCCACTCCCAGCAGGTGGCCAAATTATTGCAAGAAATGTCTGTCTGTATCCTCTGCACAGGGCTGACAAGTGGGGTACTGGCTGAGGACGTGTTCATAGAATAAATGAATGGACAGTGAATGTCTCCATGGTCCATCTCCCTTCCTGAACCCATTTTTTACTTCATTTCACTTTTTTTTTTTTTTGAGAAAGAATCTTACTCTGTCACCCAGGCTGGAGGGCAGTGGCACAATCTCAGCTCACTGCAACCTCCGCCTCCTGGGGTCAGGTGATTCTCCTGTCTCAGCCTCCCGAGTAGCTGGGATTACAGACGTGCGCCGCCACGTCTGTCTAATTTTTGTATTTTTAGTACAGATGAGATTTCACCATGTTGGCCTGGCTGGTCTCGAACTCCTGACCTCAGATGATCCACCCGCCTCAGCCTTCCAAAGTGCTGGGATTACAGGCGTGAGCCGCCGCGCCCAGCACTACATTTCACTTTTGTTATATTCTGCAAATATTTGGTGAGTAGGGCTGTCTACTAGGTGGTCCACGCTGGACCCCTGAGCTTCTTCACCCTGCAACATCTAATCAGATGAATGAAACTGTCTTGACCTGAAGGAAGCCATAGTTCAGTGCCGGGGCTGGAGGAATAACTGGGTCAGGCAAGGAGTGCTCTGAGAGGAGCAGTATCTCAACTGTGCCATCCTCTCCCAGGTCCCCCATCCCCCGCAACCTGTATGTCTATCCAATGGCCTTTGCAAAGATGTCATTAGATATTGTTTTAAGAGGGAAAATCTAGTTCTGGACCAGATTCTATTGAGATCCACATCCTATTCCTTTTAGGGTAGTTAAAAGGAAAAGTAAGGACCTGGGGAGGCTGGGTCACATGCACTGCAGTGACTGTCACCCACCCTTTGGGTGGGAACCACCAAGGGGGTATGGGGACAATAGGCCTGAACTTTCCCCTTGACATGTGGGTGTATCTCTCCTTTGAGGCTGGGCTCTGGCTCTATCTAGAAACCCCTGTGCCACACTGGGAGGAGCTGAGCCTCCCCAAGCCCATTTAACAGGTGACAGCACCGCTGCCGAGTGGGGCAGTGACTCACCAGCTTCACACAGTGGGACCAGCTGGGCTGGTCTGCCCCTTCCCTATGTGGCACTCAGCCACTGGTGCCTTTTCCCTTCCCAGTTCTGAGATGCTGAGGTGCCCATTTATGAGGCTACAGAGAAGGGGACTGAGGGGCCCTACTCTGATCTGTCATAAAGCTGCCTGTCCCTACCCCCAGACCTGTCTACCATGGCCCAGGGGCATCAGGAGAGCCTGACATTTGCTGGGCACCTGTTCCATCCTGGGCATTTAAAGAGAGATATATATATATATATACACACACACACACACACACACACACATACACACACACACTTTCTAAAGAAACAAAATCAACTAATATAAGATCCTAAAAGGAAAGTGGGGAAATGGAGAAAAATAGGAAAAGAAGAAGCACCTTTAGTCTCATCACACAACTGCTAATATTATGCTGTGTTTGCATAAGATTGCCTTACATAGGTGCAAGCATATTGTGTACATAATTTTGTATTTTCCCTTTCTTTTACAAATTTTTTATTTTTGCAGAGATGAGGTCTCCCTGTGTTGCCCAGGCTGGTCTCAAACTCTTGGGCTCAAGCAATCCTCCTGCCTTGGCTTCCAGAGTGCTGGGATTACAGGCGTGAGCCACCATGCACGGCCCTCCCTCCTTTTTTTTTCTAGTATTTTAAATTTTATTTTAAATTGTAGCGAAATACACATAAAATGTACCATCTTAACCATTTTTGTGGTGTATGGTTCAGTAGCGCTAGGTTTGTTCACACTTTGCCACCCTCCCCTTTTTTTAGCGTAACTCACTCCATCGGGAACACCTGTGGGTGTGGACATGGGTTCCTCATTTTCAGCAACACCACTGTTCATGGCTGCACAGTTCTCTAGCTTGTGAATTTGGTGACCATGCTGTGATTTTTTTTGCCCAGTCCTCCACTGCTGAACATTTAGGTTACTGCCAATTATTTATTATTCTGGACAGTGACACCATGGGTAGATCTTTGACTATAAAGGTTTTTCACTTGGGGATTATTTCTTTGGGCAGAGGAGGCTAATGGCTATTTTCCAGGGAAGGAGGCATTTCTGGGTGAAAGAGTGGGGCCAGTTCTCCAGCCATGGGTACTAGCAGTCACTTTGGGATCCCCCATAGTCCTCTGGTTGGGCAGGAGCTTTTTCACACAGGAAGGAGGGACCCCAGAATGGCCTGGAAGGGTCAGGGCCTGTGGATGGGGCCCTGCTGGAAACCAGAGCCTGCACTGACTTTGTGGAAGGCCTTGCAGCCCAGCAAACTGCTGTGGCTTTGAGGGCCAAGGAGGCCAGTGGCTGAGGAGTGGCCCTGGTGCACTCAGAGCTTGCAGACAGTGCAGGAGGTGGGAGAGAGAGGCCCTGGCCATCCTGCCTTTGCTGCCACCAAGTACCTTCCCGGCACCTGCCTGGCTGCATCTGTCAGAAGCAGTGAGGACGGAGGCTCTCCCTTTCCTGATTGGGAAAGCTCTTTAAGACCTGGTGTTCCCTGTAAAAAGCAGAGAGCCTGGCAGTGCACCTGGTCGGCAACCCGTTGTGAAAAGTGGGGAAATAAGCATTTATACTGGCGCAGGCTTGTAGTATTAACAACAAAAATCTGTGGACGGATGCACAGGGAGCTAATTAAAGTGGTTGCCTGTTGGGAGAATGAGAGAAAGGAGATGGATGAGGGATGAGGCTGAGCGGCTGTGAACGTTTTCAGGATTGATGTTTTTATACTGTTTGATTTTTGAACCATATGAATGTATTAATTATTCAAAAATTAAATCAAACAATTAAAAATGAAAAAGAGGACATTTATTTCAAGTCCCATGAAGAATTTTTCCCTGAATCCCAGCTACTTACATCATCCCCTGAGGAGCAGCAATGCTGCCATTTGCTGAGTGCCTGTTCCATGCCAGGCATGCTGCCATTCAGTCCACATGCCCCCAAACGCATTGTCAGTGTCTTCCTGACTCTGTGATGGGACCTAAGGCACGGCAGGTCTAGGCCCAGACGAGGGTCACCTGTGCAGGGTAGAGCAGGGACTCCCACCTAGGTCTGTCGAACTCTATTGCCCTCTGCCCTGAATTCTAGAGAGTTTGTTCTTGCTTCTACTTTAATTTGTGTAGGATGAAAGGATGCTTCCCTACATGTTAACACTGGTGTCTATGGATTTGGAAGTAGGATTCTCTCCATCCCCCATCTAATTTTCTGCAAGTCAATACAGAGTACCTTTGTCATTAAAAAGAAAATATTTAAAAAGAAAACTAAGCAATTCCTGCTTTCAAGAATGAGTTGGTGTTTCTAGGCCAAATTTGTGGTTTGCTAGCATGCCCTTTTCCACATGCTCGGTGCATATTTTGTGGTACGTGGGCCTCTGGGGACCAAGAACTTCGTTCATCTGTGCCCATTCCACAGGACGTGGCCGGCTGCTCAGGTGTTAGAAGATTGCAGAGGTTTGTGGTCATGCTTGCTTTGCTTTTGCGATGCCTGCAGATGGTCACTGCCAGGATTTGCTGGCTGCAGGGTTCTGGGTCGATTTGGTGTTCTGAATTCAATTTTATTCTTGATAAAAAACAAGATCTGCTTCTTGATGACCCACTTTGTGCTCCAGTCCCCTGGAACCCACATGCTTTTCCTGGCTGCTCCTGACATCTACACAGAACTAGGGCAGCCCCTGGGATGGAGAAGGAGGGCCTTGCTTTGGGCTTTGAAGGGTGGGTGAGGATTTGAGACATGTCAGGAGGACAAACGGCACTCAAGGTGGGAGGTACGGCATGGGCAAAGGTGTGGAAGGGGGTTTGGAAGACAGTTTTCTGGCCCAGAGCATTGTGCAAGGTGACTGGTAGGAAGGGAAGGCACGAGCTGGATTGTGAAAGGTCTCTGCCCTAAGTGGTGGCAGAGATACTTTCTTCTGCCTCTCTGCACCCTCTCTGGTGGTGGCTGTTTCCTCTCATGCAAAAGAGGACAGAGGCTGCGGGCTGTGAGTGGGATGCCCTTCCTCCTCACCCAGAGCCTGGCTGACGCTGCAAACCACATGATGGAGGGAACTTTGGGTGGAAACCAAGACTGCCTCTGCTTCCAGCTAGAGAGCATGATGCCCTGGGCCCTGGGCTGCCCACACCAGGACTCTCCTCTGGGTTGGCTCTGGAAGGTTCCTCCCTCACAGACTCAGTCATGCTCCATCCTCCAGGCTTAGAAGGAAATCGGCTTCTTGGGAGGCCGAGGCGGGTGGATCATCTGAGGTCAGGGGTTCGAGACCAGCCTGGCCACCATGGTGAAACCCTGTCTCTACTAAAACTACAAAAAAATTAGCGGGGCATGGTGGCGCATGCCTGTAATCCCAGCTACTCAGGAGGCTGAGGCAGGAGAATCGCTTGAACCCAGGAGGTGGAGGTTGCAGTGAGCTGAGGTTTCACAATTGCACTCCAGCCTGGGCAAAAGAACGAAACTCCGTCTCAAAAAAAAAAAAAGAAGAAGAAGGAAGCGGGCTTCTTTGAAGCCTCACCCAACCCTCACCCACACTTGCTAGGTGGCCTTGGAGAATCATTTTCCCTTTCTGAACCTCAGTTTCCTCATCTGCAGGATGTCAGGGTCGTCATCACTTAAGATAAGGGCTTTGAGGTTGGGGCGGCTCAGGGCAGTGCTAAGGGACCACCTCCTGCTCACCACAGTGGAGTAGCAGACCAGGAACAGTTCCCAGGGGACCCAGATTTATAATTGGATATGCACCCATAGGGTGAGCCTTATACATAGATCTTGCTGTTTCAGAATGCCTCCTCCAATCATGTTCACCATTGCATGTTATACTCCACCATTAGAGAATCATTCCTTTGGTTTCAAGTAACAAGATGATCTATGTTATCTCACTTAATTCCAACAATAGTCCTGTGAGGTCAGTATTCTTATTCCTGTTTTACAGAGAGGAAACTGAGCCTCTTGGAAGGAATGTGGGCCTGGGGGATGCCACACAGATGGATCGGACTGGGCTGGGCCTGGATGCCACCTTCCCAGGTCTGGGTCAGAGAGCCCTTTGCAGTTAATGGGAGGGTGTGTTGGTTTGCTGAGGCCTGGCACACTGAGCAATGGGTGATGGAACAGGCAGGAGAGCGACAGCTCCTTCCACTGGTGTTGACAGGCCACCCACCATTGGGCAACAGGAAGTGCCAGCTGGAGCCCTGGAGACCAGCAGCCAGTGTGGGGATGTGGTGGCCAGATGGAACTCAGGGCTTCCCAGCTGTGGAAACAGGAACGGGAAACAGCCACACTGGGGAGGAAGTCAGGGGGTGATGGGCTGAGGCAAGAGCATGCCTGCGTGGCTAGAGAGAGTGACCAAGGTGGAGAGTAGTTGGAGATAAGGTAAGAAATAGAACAGTGGCCAGGCGTGGTGGCTCACACCTGTAATCCCAGCACTTTGGGAGGCTGAGGTGGGAAGATCACTTGAACCCAGGAGTTCAAGACCAGTCTGGGCAACATGGTGAAACCACTTCTTAAAAAAAAAAAAAAGTACAAAAATTAGCTGTACCTGGTGGTGCACACCTGTAGTCTCAGCTACTTGGGAAGCTGGAGTGGAAGGGTCACTTGAGCCCAGGAGTTGGAAACTGTAGTGACTGTATGATCGCACCACTGCACTCCAGCCTGGGCAACAGAGCAAGACTGTCTCAAAACAAACAAACAAACAAACAAAAAAAACAAAGAAAGAAAAGAGAAGCAGAGAGCCAGATCTTGTAGGACTGTCATTCTAAAAAATCCCAATGCCCAGGCCACACCCCAGGTCAATTACACCCCGATTTCTGAGGGTAGGACCTGGACATCAGTATTTTTCAAAGTTCCCCAGTGCCTCCATGTGGAACTTTAGCTTGAGAGGCATCAACATAGATAATTGTGGTAATTAATTACCATTGCTGGCCAAGCATGGTGGCTCATGCCTATAATCCCAGCAGTTTGGGAGGCCAAGGTGGGCAGATCACCTGAGGTCGGGAGTTCAAGACCAGCCTGGCCAACATGGTGAAACCCTGTCTCTACTAAAAATACAAAAAATGTAGCCAGGTATGGTGGTGCATGCCTGTAATCCCAGCTACTTGAGAGGCAGAGGCAGGAGAATTGCTTGAACCTGGGAGGCAGAGGTTGCAGTGAGCCAAGATTGTGCCACTGCACTCCAGCCTGGGCAACAAGAGCAAACACTCAATATCAAAACAAAACAAAACAAAAATTACCATTGCTGACAATAGGCATACATCTGGTTTTTACCATTTTCCTGACCTCATTTGACTCACCTGAGTGAGCAGAGGTTAGAAGTTTTGGGGGTGGTGGTAATTATATGTAACATAAAATTGACCATTTTAACAATTTTTAAGTATATGATTCAGAGGCATTAAGAACATTCACTATTTCCTGAACTGCTTCATCATCCTGAACAGAAATTGTACCCATCAAACAATAACTCCCCACCCCTTCACCGCATACCTTGTTCTACCTCGATTCTACTTTCTAGCTCTATGGATTTGCCTATTCTAGGCATCTCCTGTAAGTAGAATCAGATAATATTTGTCCTTTTGTGTCTGGCTTATTTCAGTTAGCATAATGTCTTCAAGGCTCATCCATGTCATAGCATATGTCAGAATTTTCTTCCTCTTTATGACAAAATACTATTCCATTCTACGTATATACTTTATTTTGTATATCCATTGATCCATTGATGACCACTGGGCTGTTTCTTTGAGCTACTGTGAATAATGCTGCCATGAACATTGGTGTACAAGTACCTGTTTGAAACCCTGCTTTCAATTCTTTTAGATTATACCTAGGAGTGGAATTGCTGGATCATATGGTAATCCTATGTTTAACTTTTTGAGTAACCGCCAAACAGTTTTACATTCCCATCAGCAATGCAAAAGGGATCCAATTGCTCCATATCTTTGCCAACTCTTGTTAATTTCTGTTTTTTTTTTAAATCATAGCCACCTTAGGAGGCATGAAGTAATATCTCATCGTAGTTTTGATTTGCATTTCTCTAATAATTAATGATGTTGAGCATCTTTTCATGTGTTTATTGGCCATTTGTGTACCTTCTTTGGAGAAAGTCTATTTAAGACCTTTGCCCACTTTTGAATTGGTTGTCTTTTTATTGTTGAGTTGAAGGAGTTCTTTATATTTTCTAGATACTCATCCTTTATCAGATATATGATTTGTAAATATTTTCTCCCACTCTGGAGTGTCTTTTCACTGTTTTGATATACAAAAGTTTTTCATTTTGATGAATTCAATGTGTCTACTCTTTGTTTTGTTGCCTATGATTTTAATATCATATCAGAGAAATAATTGCCAAATTAAATATCATGAAGCTTTCCCTATGTTTTCCTTTTAAAATTTTGTAGCTTTAGGTCTTACATCTAGGTGTTCACTTCATCTTGAGTTAATTTTTGCATATGGTATAAAGTAAGGGTCCAGCTTAATTCTTTTGCATGTGGATATCCAGTTTTCCCAGCGCCATTTGTTGAAGTCTGTCCTTTTCTCATAGAATGGTCTTGGCACCCTTGTCAAAAATCAATTGACCATATATGTTAGGGCTTATTTCTGAGCTCACTATTTCCATTCTATTGGTTATATGTCTGTCCTTATGACACTACCGCACTACTTCAATTACTGTAGCTTTGTAGTAAGCTTTGAAATCAAGAAGTGTGAGTCCTCCAAACTTATTCTTCTTTTTCAAGATTGTTTTGGCTCTTTGGGGGCCCGAGTAGAGCTGCTTTTGTTGTTCCCTTTTTATAGGTGAGGAGACTGAGGCCTGGACCCTCCTGAGTTTGCCCAGCCTGGACTGGCCACGAGTCCGTGACAAACTCCTCATCATACTCTCACCCTGGGCATGTGTAGGGAGACACTTGCTTTAGAGGGCCCCTGGGTTGTGGGCTCCTCCCTGCGATTGCTCTGCCTTACAGCTCCCCAAGAAGGTCCATCTATGACATCTCGGCTTCCTTGAGGCCCCACCTGCTCTCACTCTTCTTCAAGGAGGGTCTGGAGGGAAGGCCTGGAGGCTGGGTCACCAACTTCCTCAGTGGATCAAGATAAGACCCTGCAAGGAATTAATGTCTGTCCCGGCCTCAGCTTGCCTGGATAAAAATCAGACTTCTGGCCCTGTGCAGTGGCTCATGCCTGTAATTCCAGCACTCTGGAAAGCTGAGGCAGGTGGATTGCTCGAGCCCAGGAGTTCAAGACTAGCCTAGGAAGCATGGCAAAACCCAATCTCTACAAAAAATACAAAAATTAGCTGGGGCGTGGTGGTGCACACCTGTGGTCCCAGCTACCTGGGGGGCTGAGGTGGGAGGATCACTTGAGCCCAGGAGGTCGAGGTTGCAGTGAGCTGTAATCATGCCACTGCACTCCAGCCTGGGCAACAGAACACTTTTTTTTTTTTTTTGAGATGGACTCTCGCTCTGCTGCCCAAGCTGGAGTGCAGTGGCACAATCTCAGCTCACTGCAAGCTCCGCCTCCTGGGTTCACGCCATTCTCCTGCCTCAGCCTCCCGAGTAGCTGGGACTACAGGCACCCACCACCATGCCCAGCTAATTTTTTTGTATTTTTAGTAGAGACGGGGTTTCACTGGTTAGCCAGGATGGTCTCGATCTCCTGACCTCGTGATCTGCCCGTCTAGGCCTCCCAAAGTGCTGGGATTACAAGTGTGAGCCACCGCGCCCGACTGGCAATAGAACACTTTGAGGACTGCAGTCACTGAAGCAGAAGGGATTCCCTTCTTGGTCACCTCCTGAACAATTGCCCATTGACCTGGACCAGCTCTGAGCCCACTCTCCTAGGCATCAGGACATCAGACTACAGGTGGTAGGAAGACCCAGAACAGCTGAGGATGGTTCAGGCAAGCAGAGCTGGGGGTGGAGGGCGGGAGATCAGCACAGAAGTCTGGATCAGTGTCCCTGGAGCTGCAGTGAATACTAAACGCAGCCAGGTGTGAGGTCTGCACAGCACAGGGAAGCACAGGGTGTGGGTGGGGTGTTTGGGGATATCTGTGAGGATTCTCACTGACCCTGAAACCAAAGAAACAGGTGTGGCTGGTGCCAGGACCAAGGGAAGACCAGCAGCTGAGCCTGGGTCTAGGGTCAGAGCAGGAGCCGCTCTGAAGCTGCAGAAATTTCATCCCCGTCCTCAGATAACTCCCAGTCCTCAAGGGAAGGAGCTTGCACTCAGGGTCTGGCAGTCTTTTTGTTTTGTTTGTTTTTTGAGACAGAGTCCCACTCTGTTGACCAGGCTGGAGTGCAGTGGCACCGTGTCGGCTCACTGCAACCTCCGTCTCCTGGGCTCAAGCAATTATCCTGCCTCAGCCTCCCGAGTAGCTGGGATTACAGGTGCCCGCCACCACACCCGGCTAATTTTTGTATTTTTAGTAGAGATGGGGTTTCATCATGTTGACCAGGCTTGTCTCGCACTCCTGACCTCAGGTAATCCACCCGCCTCGGCTTTCCAAAGTGCTGGGATTACAGGCGTGAGCCACTGCGCCCAGCATTCTTGATCTGAGTCCTACCTCTGTGTAGGCTGAGAGTAAAACGTTAAATAGTGAGTGGTCCCAGAGAGCACTAGGCTCCTCACACAGCCCCCAGGCCTGGGGTAGGGGGAGCATCTGACTCTAAGTAGAGTCGTGTTTCTCCACCATGCGGCTGTGTGTAACATGTACACTGGCTGTGTTGGGCAGAGCAGGGCGATTTCCCAGACTCCAACATAGAAGCCTTTACTTGGCAGGCGCCATCTTTGTCTCTCACTCTGACCTTGGAGCCCAGTGGCCCGCTTCGATCCTACTACACTCATGGGTGGTCCTGGGGAGCCCCTCAACTCTCTGAGCCTTGGTTCCTTGTTTGTAAATATTGTAGTAGTAAACTAACTTTGGTGGTTAGAGGATTGAGAGTGGAGACATGCAGGTTAATGGCCAAGCAAGGATAAGGAGCCCCACGTGCCATCCCCTGCAGGTGTGGAGTCCAACTAGCCCCCCAGGCACGGAAGGCCTCAGGCTCAGCTCCGAGGCCCTGAACCTGCTGAGGATGGCAGAGAGAGCCAAAGGGCCTCCAGAGGCTGCAGGGGTCCCTGCCTTCAAGGAAGGGCACGGGCATAGGAGTGGAGCTCCTCTGAAGCTCTAGGGGCCCATCTCTGTCTCTTGAGCAAGTCCCAAGCCCAGGGGAGCCTGCCAGCCCTCACACCTACAGCAAATCACAGCCGCAAAGCAGGCACCTCATATCAGCCCTATAAGGGCTTAGGAGTCCACGTATTCTCCCCAATTTACAGATGAAAAAATTGAGGCCAGAGAGTGGGAGCCACTAGTCTAGAGAAGTGTCCCAGCTAGGATCAAACCCAGTTCTCCTTGTAAACGCCCCTTCCCTGGGCTCCTCTCAGTTAACATGCATGAATCCCCTCGGCTGCCCTTCCAGGAGCCCGGTGAGCGTCAAATGCCCTGCATGAGGCTCCTGCAGGTGTTGTCCATTCAGTCCTCAGAGCCCCTGGAAGTGGGTGATGCTCTCATCCCGATCTCACAGAGGAGGAATCTGGGCTCAGGAGGTTTGTGACTCATGCAGACTGTGTGGAACTGGCCAGAACCAGAACCCAGTGCCTGAGCCCTGTCACGCCCCACTGCCTGGACTCGCTGTGGGCCTGTCCTCCCCTGGGACATCCCTGGCAGGCGTAGGTGGTGTGGGAGGGCAATGCCTGGGGACGGGGATGTGCAATGACAGTGCCTGGACCACTGGTGCCCCTGGCTGGTCACTCACAGGCGGGAGTCCATTCGGCAAGGAGCCGTGCTCTTCCTGTGAAGACGCCTGGACCCCTCCTGGCTGGCTACAGGGTCAGTGCCTCCTCCAGGGCTTGGGGTCTGGGGTGGCTCAGCTCCATCCTCCCCTGCATCAGTCACCCCCAAGGGCCCACGGCCTCCCTTCCTCACTTGCCCTCACTGTCGGCCTCCTTCCTCGCCCACTGCTGGATCCTAGTGAGCCTCCAACTGCCAAATCAGCTTGGCAGGGGCGGTACAGAGCTGTGTAACCTGGACAAGTCACTGTTATCCTCACTTCCTTGTCTGCCTGTAAGATGGAACAGTAACAGCACAGTACTAACTTGACGGGGTTCCCTGAGGACTGGAGGGGATCATGCGTGAGAGCCCCACCAGGCACCGCACACTCAATCCCTTCCCCTGAACCTGGAACCTGGTCCTGGTTCCTATGACCTCCTGGGAAGGTCCTGCCCTTTGCTGTGTGTGACTTGGCTCTCCTCAGTCTGGCCTCAGGCCACCTTACAGACACCTGCTCCATCTCCCTGCACCTGTCTCTGCTGCCTTGAAGCAGGTTGCACAGGAACAGCACTAGCACTGGACTTCCAGGCAGCTGAGTCTGAGGGGCGTGTCTCCATCTACCTCTGGCCGCCTTGTGTTTGCTCCTTGCCTCCTCTCTCACTTTTCTTCTCTTTTCTATTTCTTTTTCTTTTGAGACAGGGTCTTACTCTGTCACCCAGGCTGGAGTGCAATGGCTCAATCTCGGCTCACTGCAGCCTCTGCCTCCCAGGTTAAAGTGATTCTCCTGCCTCACCCTCCGAGTAGCGGGGATTACATGTGCCCGCCACTACGCCCAGCTAATTTTGTATTTTTAGTAGAGACAGGGTTTCACCATGTTGGCCAGGCTGGTCTCAAACTCCTGAGCTCAAGTGATCCACCCCTCTCAGCCTCCCAAAGTGCTGGGATTTCAGTTGTGAGCCACCACGTCCAGCCCTCTCTCTCTTTTCTGCATGTTTTGGTTTCATGACACAGGAGAAAGAAGTGGGGATTGGGCTGGCCCCATGAGAGTGAAGGAGGGGAAGCAGGCGGGGAACTCAGGCAGTGGGGTGCTTTCCTGCCTCATCATTGAGAAGGCCTATTTAAAAGAACAAAGCTTTCAAGCCAGACAGACCTTGGTCAAAAGCCAGACGCCCCACAACATTAGAG
Source organism: Homo sapiens (assembly GCF_000001405.40). Taxonomy (NCBI): domain Eukaryota; kingdom Metazoa; phylum Chordata; class Mammalia; order Primates; family Hominidae; genus Homo; species Homo sapiens. The sequence continues at coordinate 77,011,159 of NC_000015.10, forward strand.
AGAGTCACCTCTCTTGTCTTCACCTTCCTCATCTTCATGACAGACAGTAGCTGCCTCGTGGTCAGTATTGCTGAGGGCAGGTACCACACTCATGCACAGTGTGTCCTTGTCCAGTGCCTGTGTTGTCCCTTCAGTGGGACCCCTGGGAGTCCCTGGAAGCTCACAGGGCTCTGATGGGGTCCCTGTCAGCCACGGGCCTGTGGGCCTCCCAGCACAGTGGAGCCCAGCCCAGGCATCTCTGGGACTCGGCCAGCTGGGCTGCTCAGGTGAGGGGCCCTGTAAGGCCCGGCAGAGGCCATCAGACTGGGACTCGGAGGAGAACTGTGGCACTCTGGAAACTCATTTCTAATCTCAAGGTCCTGTCAGCCCAGGTGAACAAAGAGTCGCTCATCTGACATTAATGCACATTTGTTCTCTAAAAACTAAAAGTCTGTCTTTGCCTTCTTGGCCCTCTGTCTTCAACACTTACCCTGGGCCATCTCAGACAGCTGTAAGTCATCTTCATCCCATATTTATTTGCTTATACATGGATCGCAGCAGTACTTGAGTCAGGGGACCCCTAGACACCAAGTCCCTAGTTTAACAGGCCATCTGAGGCTTGAGTCCTCTCTGTGGAACCAGACCTGCTTACAGACTGTAGTGATGGGCGCTCCTCACCTGTCAAAGCCCCCCACCCTCTTTCCATACCTACAGCCATTCAGGCTCCTGGGAAGCCTTTCCTTGCATTGTCCTGGAGTTGGCCTCCCTGTCTCTGCCCCCATGAGTCCTGGCTTGGGCTGGGAAATGCCAGCCACTAGTGCTCCCTCTGCTTCTGATGGCCCCACAGAGATCTCCAGGTGAGACTTTTCCTAGGCCATTCCCTCACAGCTTTGGCTTGGAACTCTCCCTTCCCTCCCTATCACCTCCTCCCAAATACTCTGGGTAAGCAACCGCCTTGTTTACTGAGGGCTCTGGCCATCCATCCATCCATCCATCCATCCATCCATCCATCCATCCATCCACCCACCCACCCACCCACCCATTCACCCATCCACCTGTCCATCCATCCATCCGTCCACCCATCTGTCCATCCATCCATCCACCCACTCATCCATCTACCTACCCATCCACTCATCCACCCATCCACCCACCCATCTACCCATCCATGCATCCACCCACTCACCCATCCCTCCATTTGTCCACCTGTCCACCAGTCCACCCATCCACCCACCCACCTATCCACCCATCCATCCATCCACCCACCCACCCATCTACCCATCCACCCATCCATCCACCCACCCATCTACCCATCCACCCATCCATCCACCCACCCATCTACCCATCCACCCATCCATCCACCCACCCATCCATCCATCCTTCCATCCATCCATTCATCCATCCATCCATCCATCAAGTTGTACCTGAGTGTTTGGTCCTTTGCCTGCCTCACTTTGCCAACCAGTAATGGTGGAGAGGAGTCCCACTGTGGGGTACTGACTGTAGGGCGGTGGAAGGAGCCTGGTTGCTACCCATTGACTTAGCATCCCTGTGCCTCTGTTTCCGTATCTATACAATGGGGATGATAATTCCTGTCTCAGAGGACTGTTGTAAGAAGTAGAGGGGACCAGTGTGACTGGCTTCTTTAAAGGTGCTGGGTAATGGGTCATTGAATCTGCAAGCAAATGATCTGGTCCCCTCCATGGGGCACCTCAGGAAGCAGCCGTCATAAGGCCTTGTCCTCTTGAAGGCCTCACTGAGGCGCTTCTCCAGCCCATCACTCAGCATGTCTGTGAGCAGAGCTGTGTGTAGGCACCAGGTGCCGGGATCCAGTGGGGAACCTGAAAGACCCCCCTCTGCCTCCATGGAGCTCAGCCCTTCCTACCTCAGGTTTTCAGTCCACAGAAGACAAGCAACAGGAAACTAGGTGCTAGCAAACCCACAGTGTCAGCCACACTGGCTGCAGATGTCACTGCTGGTGTGAGGGAGGAGAGCACCCCAGCACCATGCAGCTCCGTGCAGCTACCTTCCAAAGCTGCTGCTACGTCTTGCTTCCCCACCTGTGGCCCATGCTGGAGCTTTCCCAGTCATCTTCAGGTGTAACCCAATCCAGTCCAAGCTAGTATCACAATTTCACTCTCATTCAATTTAAAGCTCCCCAGTTCCCCGACTTTCACTGGAAGCCTCTGATGGGGAAAAGAGAACAGGGTCAGTTTCCTCCCTTGCCATGGGGTACCCACACTGCACTGCCAGCTGCCTCTGGGGTCTCCATGGGGGGGTGGTGGGGCACAGGCCGTGACTGTAAAGGGGAGAAACATCTCATTGCCCTGGTACTGTTGTAACTGGTGACAGTGAATGCACACAGGTCAGCCCTTTCTCTCCCTGGCACCTGGGCAGGTTTTTTGGTGACCCTGCCCCCCTGGAGTCCCTGACCACTCCGTTCCCTACAGCCTTCCACTTCCAACCTCTCCCGTTGCACCCAATAGTCTGCTCCACTCAGCTTCTCCTAGGGGCTCCTCTCTCCCTGTCAGGCTATTCTCATGGACAGAATTACCAGGCAGCTCTTCCTGGCTACCTTCCACGGCCCCCACTTGGTTCCCAGGGAAGATTTTGGTGCCAGTTCTTGGACATAGCAGGTAGGAACTCGGACCAAAACCCAGGTGTCCCCCTCCAAGGTTGGAGGCTTAGCTGTCCTCTGATAGATGCTGTATTCTGGAGTGCCAGGCAAGGGAGCATTTGAAAAAGGCTCTGCTCCCCTTTAAATGGAACCTCTGGTGGAGGAAGGTGTGTAGGGCGAGAGGGGAGGTGATGAGGTGACTCATTTCTTCCAGCCTGGCCCCAGCTGAGGGAAGGTGTTTCTGGTCGGGGAGGTGGCAGGCAGGCGGGGAGGGCTCGGGGAGCTGCTGCTTGCTGAACTGCCCCTGGGTGACAGGCCCTGAGTGTGGGGCTTTGCAGAGAGGCAAAGTAATGGGAAGTTAACAGCCAAGATCGTGGCTTGGGATATCTGGGTTATATCCCAGCTGCACCCGGCAGGTCCCTGGGCAGATTGGGTAACCTCTCTGGGTTACCTTTTCCTCATCCATAAAATGGTAGTCATCACCCCTAGCCCAGTATCTGCCTTGTGGTGAGCCCTGATCTTGAGTCCACTGTTCTCACCTATGCGCACGATTTCACTTGCTTCTCGGGTCACCTCTAGGCGGTGAGAACTATTAGGCCCATTTTCACAGGGAAGGAAACAGGCTGAGAAGGGCCAGGGTCACGGGAGGTGTGAACCCACATCTAGTCAGTCAGACCCTTCCCAGCCTCTCAAACAGGCCCGAGTACCCTCTCTGACCTGTGGCCTACACTAACAGGACTGTGCCCTAGAGGGGCGGGCTGTCAGGGCCCGAAAGGGGGTTAGCCTCCTGCCCCCACTTTCCCAATGAGGAAACCAGGTCCTGAGAAGTAAAGTGGCTTGCTTCAGGCCCTGGTGTCTGTGGTCTCGCCCCTGCAGCCACCAAGAGTTATGGGCGTGAAAAGGGGGAAGTGGCGGTAGTTACAGAGGGTGCTTCTCCACTCAAGCCGTGGGGGTGTGGAGGGCCCTGGCCGGCTCACAGGCCTGGGCCGTGGCTCACACCAACACCCACCAGAGAATGAAGCCAGTAGGCTGTCCCTGACAGAACAGGGCACCCAGGCCTTGGCCACACTGCCTCAAGGCAGAGGCAGGAATATGTTTCCTCCCAAGAGCCTCCTCCTGGAGTTCTGGGATGCCGCCTGAGGCCGATGGCCACACACCATGGACGGCGAGGGCTGGGTCCCACATCTGGCTCAAGTGAGCCTCCCAGAGGAAGAGACTGTGCCCGCTCCCCACCTGGCACCCCTAATCCAGGACGGGTTATCCTGGGTGCCACATGGCTGGGCCGTGACCACTGGCTGTTCATGGGTTACCCAGAGCCGCACTCCTCTGACCCAGCCTGGGCCCCAGGCTAGCCTCTGTGAATCCACAGTAACTGAATTATAGCCCAAAATACAGCTTTGATTTGAGGTGGAGATAATTTGAGTAATCATTTTCAAGAGTTATTTTTTCAAATCATGTTTGGATGTTCCAAAATAGAAAATGGTTCCTGGGCTGTCTACTAAATGGCTGATGTAGGTATATGGCTTTGGGGACAGGTTGACCTGCATTCAGATCCCAAACTCTGCCCTTTACCCATTGAGTGGCTTTGGGCAGTCTCTTTCCCTGTTTGGGCCTCCTGTCCCCATCTTCGCCTCCCGAGATCTGTGTTGTGGTCAGGAAGATAACGCTATGATACCCTTGGTGCAGTGTGTGCCAGGTAGACTTGATAAATAGAGATTTCACAAAGGGCAGGGCCACAGGCAGCATTCGGATGACAGAGGTTGGACAGGATGAGGGGAGATGGAGGTAAGAGGAGTGGGGGACAACTAGGGTAGGTCCCCTGGGGGTGATGCTGATGCTGGGTCTTGGGTGGCAGACCCACATGACTGATTAAGTTACAGGATGATTGGTTCATTCATTTCCTAAACACATCCTGAGCCTGACTGTCCCAGCTCAGAGCACGGAGTCAGACCCATGCCCTCGAGGAAGTGGCAGGGGTGGGGGTGAAGGAGGAGGGCGCGGGCTGGGGGAAGGGGTGCAGGGCTGGGAGGCATCGTGAGCAGCCCCTGGAGAGTCAGGCACTTCCTCGGAACATCCCAGTCCTTGTGACAGTAGCTCACTCGGCCACAGCCCCTGCCAGCAGCCCAAAGCTCTGAGCGGGGGACTGGGCGGGATCCTGGAGCCTGCAGCCTCTGGGGACTTGAGCACGGCGGTCACAGCCTGCAGGGCCTCTCGCTGCTTTCTGACTCCTCCCGAATGGCCAGCGTAGGTTCGGTTTGCTTCTCTTTCCACTCTGGGGGCCTCCATAAGGACAGGAGAAGGGTTCCCTTGGCGTCAGGGCTGGGTGTGGGGCTGGGCTCCAGGTGGCCTCTCCAGAGGTATCAGGAAGGAATGACAGGTCCCCTGAGAGTCCGGATTCTTGTCCTGACTCTGCAGCGTCAAGCAAGCCATTTCCTTCTCTGGCCTCAGTTTCCTGAGGAGTGAGGGAAGCCGCACAAGGTGGTTCCCAGTTCTCAGGGCGGGGGGGTCTGTGGCATTCTGACATGAATGCTGGTGTCCCTCCGGGCAGGTGCAGGAGGCTGAGGCCCCAGATTTGTTTTTCTTCCCAGCCGCCAGGAGCTCTGACCTGAGGGTCTGGAGTGAGGGCAGAGGCTGAGGGGTGGGAAGGGGAGGGCTGCTGGCTGCAAGCAGCTGCCCACCAAAACCACAGAAATGGAAGCCTGGTCCAAGCTAACCCAGTGATGTCAACCTGGACATGGGGGTGGGCGCCTGCCTCTGAGGCTGGGGGGACAGCTTCTGGCCTTCCAGGCTAGACACGCTGCTTGTTGCTCTGTGGACAGCTGAGCCTGGACCAGGCCCTCCTCAGGAATTTCTAGGGATGCTTATGGAGGGGGTAGGAGCTTGGGGTCCTAAGTGTCCTACAGGCCAGGAGAGTCCACCTGCTGAGGGTGGGCTGGAGTTTGTGGGGAGGGGGGGCACTGTTGGGGCAATTTATGCCATTGCTACCCCTACTTCAGATTCTTCTTAGACCTTGGAGAATACCTTCTCCTTCCAGCACCTGACTCAAATGCCTCTTCCTGCAGAGAGCTCTCCTGGATTTCGACTCCATCCCTGTTCCCCTCACACCCCTAAGGTGGCATTTGAGGGGAGACATGGGTCAGGGGAAGGAGTACCAGGCTTTACCTGAGTCATGTGTGTGCGACCCTGGAGTGTGCGTGACCTTGGAGACTGTAATGTGTGTGGTCAGGGGAGCTGGGACTTCTTCCTCCAGTCTCTGAGGCTTTAGGGGTCCTCAGGGATAGAAAGGAAGACAGACTAGGTGCGGAATGTCAGGCCTGCCTTGGTGCAGTTGGTGACAAAAATCCTGTCTCCCCAGCACCTCTCAAGCTCCCCTGGAGTAAGCCTGCGTGCAGTGCCTGGGAGAGCTCAGGGGGTTGTGGCGGGGATCCTGGCCCCGGGACCCACTCCCCAAGCCTGGGAATGTCCTGGGAGACCTCTGTTCCTTCATAGTCCTTAAAGACTACCTCCCTCCCCCAACTTCTCACACCCAGCTTCCCACACCAGCAGCTCAGACACACACCTGGAATCCACTGCACAGTGAGAAAGGAGAATTGGGTTGGCCAGGAACAACAGCCAGGGCAAGCAGGGCAAGTGCCAGGCAGCAGAGGGTAGCTGTCCCTGGAGAGTTCTCTGAGGCTCCCCACCCCACCCCAGTCCAGAGGTGAATGTAGGGTGTGCTTGCGCATGCTCTGACCTGGACTGAAGTCACCCTCCATGCCCACCTCCCTGGATCTCCGTGAGGGGGGGTTTCCTGAGCCCACAGAGAGCCCAGCGCAGCATCTGGCACATGGCTGGTGCCCAAGAAACCGCAATTGCTGTGATGGTCATGGAGACTGCACAGTGCTGAGGTGAAGGGCAGGGACCCCAGCCAGACAGCCTGGGGTTCAAGGCCAGGCCAGCCACTTTCCAGCTGGGCCGCTCTGGATACGATCACATGTCACCCTCCTACACCTCGGTTTCCCCACTTAGCTGAGATAGGGATATTGGAAGGGTGGCACTGTGAGTGAGTGAATTTCAGGCCTGGCTGTCATCAGGGGGACTTAAGGGTGGCTCTTCCCATCTGCTATCTCATGCTGATGTGTGTCCTGTCCTGTGAGCTCTCCAGATGCCAGGCCCGGCACCCCCGGCCCTGTCAGCTGGGTGGGGCTCACTTATGTACCTGTCACCTCTGCAGATGTGAGGGGACCTCCTGTGTGCCTGTGTAAAGCCAGGTCTGGAGTCCCAAGAGCTTGCCCTGAGCAGGGGAGATGGAGGCAGGAGGGAGGCTGTTCCCAGAGATGGTGGGAGGGTCCCCACAGGGCTGTGCTCAGTGTCGCCTGGTCGTGGCCCTCATGTGTCCTTCTGTCCTGTGTCACAGTGCAGGGACTTCACAGCCCACACGGGCTACGAGGTGCTGCTGCAGCGGCTTCTGGATGGCAGGAAGATGTGCAAAGACATGGAGGAGCTACTGAGGCAGAGGTGAGCTGCTGGGCAGGCCATGGGGAGCGCAGGCAGGAAGCAGGTGGCTTCCGCTCGGCTCCTGGGACAGTGGACGAGGCCCCCATCCCAGCCAAACTCTGTCAGAACACGCCCTGCTTTAAAAAACTCTTCTGTGTTCCCTCAAACCTGGGCCTCCCCCAGAGGTGGCAAGTCACTGATGATCTTTCAAATGCCCTTTTTTTTGCAGGGCCCAGGCGGAGGAGCGGTACGGGAAGGAGCTGGTGCAGATCGCACGGAAGGCAGGTGGCCAGACGGAGATCAAGTAAGATCTCCCGGGCCCTGGGGCTCACTCCTCTCCTCTGCTGGCAGTTTCTGGGCCTTTAGATGAGGTTTAGGTCTTCCTGGCATGGGGGAGGCTGGGCAGAACCAGGGTAGGTCTGGATTGCTCCTTGGTGCCTGGTTATTGGGCATTCAGGGTGAGGCCAGGTTCTGTGAGGGAGGAAGCCCGAGGGTCTGAGTTCTGGAAAGGGTCTGGGCAGGGGAGACAGGAGGCCATCCATCCTCAGTCATTTGCAGCGCAGTCTGCACCAGCCTGGGTGGCCTCCACTGAAGTCCTGAGGGGCAGGTGACAGGCGTCTCCACTGGTGGCTCAAGTCCCCTGCAGCACTGGCTCAGCATGGGCTTCAAGGATGGAGATGTAGCCAGAGACAGGGGTCCAGGAGGGGACACACCTGGGTTCCGGTGTCAGCTCCTCACCCCCCAGCTGTCTGACCATGGGCTGGCTGCTGACACACTCTGTGGCTCCGTTTCCTCATCAGTGATGGGAAAGTAACGCAGCCCTCCTCAAAGGAAGAAGTGGGCCCATGGGCTTAGCTGAGGCCTGGTTAGAGGGCAGGCCGTCAGGGAAGTGGCTCTGATGAAGCGGGAGTCTCCAGCCCCACAGGTCTCTGCACGCAGACTGCTGGGGTGGGAGGCCAGGTGAGGAGATGAAGGTGAGTTCAGGACACAGCCACCCTAACAGTGGAGTGGAGGGGCTGCTCTGGGAAGGCCCAGACTGTCCCCCTGGGTGAGGACAGAGCCAGGCCAAGGGGCAGACAGACCACCGGCCTCCAACTTCTTGAAAGGGCTCTGCAGAGTCCTCCTGCCGAGGGGCCCTGAGCCTGACCCTGCAGCTGCTGTGGAACCCCTTCCCTTCCTGCCTTCTCCCCCGAGAGAGGAACTGAATGTGCCATACTCTGAAGGTCCCCCAAAGACACCAGGCACCCTGGCGGCTCCTGCTTCCAACCAGGAGCCAGAGATCACAGGAAGGCTTAGATGTGGCATGAGCCGTGTGTGAGGCCAGAAAGTTGCACACAGCCCTGGGAGGACGGAGGGCTCTGAGGAGCCCTTGGAGCTCTGGTCCCGGCTCGGCCAATCTGAGCTGTGGGACTGTGGGCCAGTCGCCTAGCCTCTCCAAGTTTGTTTCTCACCTCCCACTCCAGCGAGCTGCCGTGCAAATCAACAAGAACATGGTCTGAGGGCCTCCCAAGGGAAGGGCTGAGGGCCGGGTGCAGGCTGGGCACAGAGGAGGGCTCAGGACATGGTGAGGAGTGAATGGACGTATGCAGGGAGGTGTTTTCTGCAGGAAGCAGTGCCCAGAGCTCTCAGCCAGGGGAGGAGCAGCTGTGGGGGCCTGGCAGCATGACCAGGGGAGCCCCTCCTGGTCTCCTGGCCTCCCAGCCTCCAGGCCAGCTGGAAGAGAACTTTCCCAGAAAGAGAGGGTACCTCATGGGGAGAACTCAGAGACTCAGGAGAGGTGGAGAGGGTGGCCCCAGCAGGGCACAATGGGAGCCAGGCTGGAGTGGGTCTGTGTGATGCAGGCTCAGGGGATTGTGAGTCACAGGGGATTTACAGCAGGGAAAGAGAAGCTACCCACAGAAAATACAATGGGGGTGGGGAGCAGGGTGGGCCTCAGGAAGCAGGAGGTACGCAACATCTTGCTCCATTTGTAGAACTAGGAAGGGGCCAGGTGGAGGCTCTGGGCGGCCCTGATTGCGCCATGGTTATTCAAGGCCAGGTGGGGCAGGGTCTGCCCTGACTTATCCTTTGTGTGGCCCTGGATGGTCCTCCCTGTCTCTGAGTCCAGGGTCTGTACCTATGGAAGGGGATGGTCACTTGGAGAGGTGTTCTGGGCAGTCACAAGGACAAGCAGAGAGTGCCAAGCCACAGGGGTTCACTGCACACAGTGGGGCTCCATAGTGTTGCTCTTGACCCATGTGGCATGAAGTACTGTTGATGAGGCCATGCAGCTGTTCCTTTCGGTGTAGGCCAAGCATCCATCCTCCATCCATTTAGTCACCATTTAATTGAGGACCTACTATGTGCCATGCCCTGGATGGGTCAGGAGGATTCACTAATTTAAAATAAAATAAAGGGCTTTGCCATTCCTTAGCCAGAGTCCAGCACAGTGAGGGTGACTTCCTTCTCCTTCCTAGTCCTTTGCATTAGGGCCCATTTATGCGCCACCTCCTCCAGGAAGCCCTCCCAGACACCTTGCCTTGCCTTACTGTCAGAGTCTTGGCTTAGACCCAATTACCCCTCCCCATGCCAACCTGAAGGGCTTTTGGTGGGGAAGTGTGAGCAGTGGCCGTGGACCTGTTTCCTCATCTTAGACTCCTGTGGGGGGGGGGGGTGTGTGTGTTGGCCCTCAGGAAAGGTGACCCGGCTCTTCAACATCGGGGCTGGTGGCCCACCCTCCAGGGCCCATCCCTGAGTAGGGGAAGCCCCTGGCCTCCCTGAGGCCCACAGCTGCCCCCCAGGTCTATGGGATGCTCATTCCCTGCCCCTTGCAGAACGGGCAGGGGACTGGGGGATGGGAAGGCTAGGAACAGGGTGCAGAACGAGGACAAAAGCCAGGTGGTTAAGTGACCCTATAAATAGCCTAGTGAGCCCTGAGGGCAGAACTGCTGCCTGAAGGTACTGCATTTCTGCAGTCCCCTGACCTCAAACCAGCCGGGAGCCACCCTCAGGCCTGGAGGCTCGGGCCACTGAAATTAACAGGAGGTTACATCTTAAGTGATTTTTGACATGTACCTCCTTCACATGTTAACTCAGCAAACATCCGTGGGGCAGTGGCAATGGAGGATGGACAAGTAAGACCCAGTCCCCAAACTCCAGGGATCCCCACCAGCGCTTTCAGTGCATTTTAAAGACAGCATTAGGGCCAGGCGCCGTGCCTCACGCCTATAATCCCATCACTTTGGGAGGCTGACCTGAGGTCAGGAGTTCGAGACCAGCCTGGCCAACATGGTGAAACCCCGTCTCTATCAACAATATAAAAATTAGTTGGGCATGGTGACGCGAGCCTGCAGTCCCAGCTACTCAGGAGGCTGAAGCAGGAGAATCACTTGAACCTGGGAGACGGAGGTTGCAGTGAGCCCAGATTGCACCACTGCACTCCAGCCTGGGCTGCAGAGCGAGACTCCATCTTAAAAAAAAAGATAGTGTTAGTATTTGCAGGGGGCTTACCAACATTGCTGACATCACATGTCCAGCCCTGCAGAGACTTTGCCTGACTCTCCTTTCCAGCCTCTGGGCCTTTGCTCCTGCTGTTGCCCTGTTGCTCCCCTGCCCAGTCCCACCCATCCCTCAAGGCCTGCCTGAAATGTCACCTCCCTCAGAAAGCTGTCACCTCCACTCCCCTATTGCTCATCCTGCGTCAGGTAAGGTGCTGGGGGTGCTGCATGCCCCCAGAAGCTGCACAGGGCAGGGGTTTGGGAAACAAAGGAAAACCAAGGCAAGGCCAGCTTCCTGTAGCCCCTCTGTGGTTACCAGTGGGCAGGTACAGCCCCCAAGGGGTGCAAGTTTGAATCCTCACGTCCCTGCCTCACCCCCAGTTGTCACAAACCAAAAATGCTGTGGTTTTCCTGTCAGAGAGATTTTTAAAATTTTTTTCATGGTCTCTCTTCCTCTGAACTCAGAGAGAATGACGACATTGCTGAGGATATTGGCGGGAGAGAGCCAGGCCCTGTTCCTGTCAGATGTCCCCTGACGCTGGCTCATCGTGGGCACAGCCTCAGCACAGGGAGCCGAGAGGGCTACTCCTGTCAGCTGGTGGGCAGGCAGCAGGGACACAGTGGGGTCAGAGCAGGAAACACACTGGAAATCTGGACTGTATTTGAGCACAGAATTTCAGACTGAGCTTCCTGAGAGCCGAGTCAAAAAGGGCAATGGGATGAGTTACACATGAAGGCACTGGTGACAGATGGCAGTAGGCAGAGGCCTGTGCAGGACCCTGTCTTCAACATGCGATGGAGACACAGTAGAGGTGCTCAGGGAGATCTTGACAGTTTCCCTGCACAGACGGTGGGAGGAAGCAGGAATTTCATGGGGCAGAGAATGACTTTATGTGGCCCCCAGATCCTCCCCAAGATCAGAGCTCAAGGCTGTTCACTTTGGGGGTTCTGGGGCAAAGCTGGGCTCCTCCTCTCATCCACAGAGCTGAGGCTGCCTCCTTGAAATTTCATCTGGGGCCAAGAAAGGGAGGAGTGTTCTGGGCCTTGTTGTGTGAGCTGAACTAGGGTGGCCTGATGGTTCCAGCAACGGGGACAGGGGACCTGGGGCAGGAAGGCCTGCAGCCCAGGGGACAGGAAGAGGGGCCTGGAGGGGCCAAAGCCTGCCTGCCCAGGTACCCCAGACAGAGGTAGCACCAGTATCTATGCAGTACCCAAGGCCTAGCCAGGTCATGGGGACAAATGGGAGTTCAAGGTGAGCACAGACCATCACTGTCAAGACTGTCCCAGGGGTGGGACAGAGGCTGAATGTCCACCTGGCAGTGCTGTACGTTCAGGCAGGCTCCCAGCTTTCAGGTGGGGGCTGGGAAAAGGGCCAGCAGCTCCCAGAACCTGCGATTCCTTACAGCACCCCTCAGCCTGAGACCATGAACCGGGGTGGCCCACAGGTGGGTTTGGGGTTGAGAAAATTTAGATTATGAGCCTGGGGACAATGAGGAGGAGAGCCAGGCATTGCCCCTGTCCTCAAGGGCTCATGGTTCAGCTGCGTGACAGACATCCGCTGGGCCAGCCCAAAGTGACATCAGTGCTCAGAAAGGACAAAAGAGGATGCCAGGCAAAGATGCAGCAATGGAGATGGGCACGTGCAAAGGCCCTGAGGCAAGATGGAGCCTGGCACCTGGAAGCAACGGGCGGAGGGGCAGAGAGCAGGGCTGACAGGTGGGAGGTGGAGGTGGTGCGGCAGGGGCTGCAGCGGTGGTGGCAGCTAGCGTAGGACAGTCACGAGATTTAGGAGATAAAATAGAAGGTGGCGGCAAGGAAGGGAGAGGACAGAGCCTGGTGTGACTCCTGGGTTTCTGGTGTGTATAGCTGGTGGACAGTGGTGTCTTTGCCAAGAGGGGAGCCCTGGAAGAGGAGAGGTTTGCAGGGCAGGTGCTGAGTCCGGTTTTGGACACGCTGAATTTGAGGTATCTGTCAGATATGAGACCCAAAAGGTGAGGGCGGGGAAGTGGATGTGCAGGCCCTGAGCTCTGGGAGGGGTCTGGGTATGCTGTGGTCATGAAGGAGGCGGGGCTGGAGGGTGGTGTGCGTAAGGGCTGGGTTGGGGGTGCGGGGACCACGCTGTGCCTGGAGGCCTCTAACTGAATGAGTGGGACTGAGCTGAGGGGTGAACTGACAGGAAGCAGAGGGATTGGAGGTGCCACTGCTGGTGAGGAGTCAGAGAAGAGTCCTGAGCCCCACAAGGGAAGGTGGGGTCACCACACAGCCACCCCTCTCCTTCTTCCTCTCCCTGGTTCCGCCTCTTACCGCAGGGTGGCCACGGGCGCAGCTCCTTCACTCCTCTGACCCTTGGCTTCTCATCTGTGAAATGGGATAATAAAGGCACCTGTGCTGGCAGAGTTGTGAGCAGTTCTGACGTCTGGATGGGCATCAGCAGCGCTTGGGGCCGGGCCCCACCCCGAAGCCTCAGCCTCAGGAGGTCGGGGAGGAGCCTGAGAATCTGTATTTCTAACAGGCTCCGCGGATGCTGATGCCGCTGGTCTGTGGACCTCACTTTGGGATCCACGAGTTTAGGGCGAGGGGCCTGGCCCCCACCGATCTCCCCCAGGCCTGGATCCCCAGGCTCCTGCCAGGCTACTGCTCCTCCTTGGCCTCTGCTTCCCCAGGTGTCTACTGAGAGGAGAAGCCCCCTGAGAAGCCTGCCTGGTGCGCTGCCCCCTCCACCCAGGGCTGTCCGGTGGGCGTCATGAGGCCATATGGCCGCCAGGGGGCAGCCGAGCTGCTCCACAGAGAGGCTGCAGGGAGAGCCAGATAAAATACTGGATGCCCAGGTGAACGTGAATTTCAGATAAACAACAAATACTTTAAAAATAAAAGTCCGTTTTAAATACTACAAGGGGCATACTATACTCAAAAAGTGCTCGTTCATCTGAGATTCACATTGCACTGGGTGTCCTGTTTTTATGTGTTCATTCTGGCAGCCCCCGCCCATCATTCCCTGCCTCCTATGCGCAGTGCTGGGCCCTTCCCTCCCTCCCTCCCTCCCTCCCTCCCTGGCAGACAGTGCCCACCTCTCAACTCCTGCGCCCTGCCCTGCTAGCCTCTCCCACGGCCATCCAACCTCCTCCAAACATCCCCCGGGCCACCTGCTGAGAGCCCATCTGAACACTGTCCCCTCCCCTGTAGCCTCACCCTGGGGCCATTTGGTACCTGCCGAGGAGAGAGGGCTGTGAATGTGGGAGAGGAGTTCAGGGGAGGGAGGGAGGGTCCTGAAGACAATCCCCTCTTCTCTAAGAATGCAGCTAGGAGCACAGATGGTGGGGGCCTTCGGTACCTCCTCCTTCTGCCACATTGCAGAGGGTTGATTGCTTTAATTTGCAGAGAGCTTTGTCTTCCAGAAATCAGTCTGGGGCCCCAGTGGATGGTCACCATCTGGCTAAAGGGTCCCTTGGTTCTAGAGTGACCCAGGGTCTTCCCACCAAAATAAAAGTCCTCCCCACTGCCCACCCCGCCGGGAGGCAGCCTGGACTGTAGGTTCCCGCTGTGCTCTCCTCCTCCTGACCTGGACCCATCTGTTTTGCAGCTCCCTGAGGGCCTCCTTTGACTCCTTGAAGCAGCGTAAGTCCCCTACCCTGGGGCAATGGGATCTTTTGGGACTGCGAGGCTGGTGGAGGGTTTGGGGGGACAGAAGATGAGGTGTTGGGGCTGGGGCTGGGCTGGCCCACACGGGTGAGTTGTGGGTGGCTGAGGCCCATCAGATCTGACACTGGGGACCAGTATCCATGCTCTGCCCCCAGAAATGGAGAATGTGGGCAGCTCACACATCCAGCTGGCCCTGACCCTGCGTGAGGAGCTGCGGAGTCTCGAGGAGTTTCGTGAGAGGCAGAAGGAGCAGAGGAAGAAGGTGAGGCAGGTGCAGGGGGCGGGGGAGCTGCTCCCCCATTGCCAGCCTCTCAGTTGCTGTGGGGGTAGGGGGCTGACCTTCCTGGTAGAGCCAGTGGAGGGCGGCAGGGGTGGTGGTGGGACAGCACTCCAGGCTTTGGGGCTTGAGGGTGATCTGAAGTGGGTAGGGAGGGCAGAGGCCTGGCCGCTGGCACTAAGGCCAACTCTTAGTCCCAGAGCCCCATGGAAGGTCCTTCCTGTCGAGCTGCCTCACGCCTAGGAGGATCCTACTACAGCAGACTCTAGAGGGTCTGTGGCAACTTGGCAGTGTCCAGAGGAGGCAGTCTGAGTTGTGGGGGTCACTGGAAACTGGTCTTGAGTCCAAGGATCAGGGCTGATTGTCCTGGAAAAAGGCAGACTTGCAGCCAGTCACCCCACAGGACTGCCCAAGGCTGAGGGGTCAGACACAGACTGGGGTGGGAGAGTTGTATGGCATTGCTTAGCATCCAAAGGTACTTCTCACCCATATGTAGGGCATGGCTGTCCCGAGACAGAGTGACTGCATGGAAGTGAAGTCCCCATCATGGGAGGTGTGTAAGCAGAGGCTGGCAGATGCTTGTCAGGGAGGCTGCAGGGCTGAAGTTGGATATAGGTTCCCTGGAGGGCAGGCAGGACGCAGACTGGCCTGGAGGCTGGGCTTGGGCCTGTGAGGATGGGGGCTGAGCCTCTCAGGGCCTTAGTGATGAGGGTGGTGCCCTGCACAGGGTGGCAGGGCAGCACACAGATCCGCTTCTTGCCTGGGGAGGAAGGATCGTTGTGAAGTGGCCAAAGAATTGAAAATGAAAAGTCACAACTGAGCCTTGAAGGGGAAGAAGCTGTACCTGAGGCTGGGGCCAGGCTAGGCCTGGGTGTCCTGGCCATACCACTTCCCATCTCTGTGCCTCAGTTTCCCTCTCACAGGATGGGACACATATGTCTACCTCCCAAGTGCTGGGAGCTCAGCCCAAGCCATGCGCCCCTCAGTCTCCACAGACAGGGCTCCAGCTCTGGTTAGCAGCTCTGCTGGCAGAAATGTAGCGTGGCTGCCCGTGCCACCTGCCCATCTGCCAGCTGGGCTTTCAGGATTCTAAATGTGGGGTTCTGAGCAGACAGGGGGTCCCCAGAAGCCAGCCCAGGCTTGAGGTGCCGGAGCAGGCACCCTCTCTGAGCTGGGACGTGCCCGCAGAGCCTGCAGAGAACCTGCCAGGAAGGAGGGACCCCGGCCCTGCTATTTTGGGCCCTCCTGTGGCCAG